>NC_000022.11:44959564-46209564 GCF_000001405.40 Homo sapiens
CTGCTCCTACCACGGAGAGGAAGCCAGTGATGGGGAAGACTGGCAGGTCATTCAAGATGCACCCAGGTGGTCCCGGTGCTGCAGAGGATGTCTGAGCTGGGCACAGCAGAAGCATCAATGAGAGGGAGCCAGTGCTACCCACGGGAAAAGTCTTCATGGAGGAGCTGATCACTGAAAACAGTAAAGAGATGACCACCAGGGGAACAGGAGGGAAGATATCCCAGGAGATGAAATGGCTTCAGTTGAGACCAGAGTTATGAAAGAAGCCCAGGAGTTCAGGAGATGCAAGCACAGGACCCAACCAGAGCAACAGCAAGGGCAGGGGCTGAGCCAAACGTGAGGCAGCAAAAGTAAGCCTGGCCAGCTTGTGAGAAGTCAGGGCAGCGCCTCCAGGAAGCGCTCTGAGCAGGGCCAGTCTCCACCCCAGAGAGCGGGCCCTCCGCTGTGTGACCTCAGCACCGGACGTGTCTCTAGTCCTGCAACCCTCTCTAATGGCTGAAACCTGAGCATTCCTCACTGCACACGAAATGCTTCACACAAGGCCTGGCACCCAGTAGATGCTAAGTAAACATCCGCCTGAAAAGACAACCATCCCAGGAAACCCCTGGACGCTGAGGCCTCCACAAGCCACGGGACCCAAGGCTGGATCCATTTTTCCATTTCCTGCTGATCTTCAGTTGTCTTGGCTCTGCAGAGACGCCCCCTTCCCTCCACAGCTACCTGAGTTCGGTGTCAGATGACATCAAGACAATTATCTCTTTTTTCCTTCACTGCCCGAAAAATGAGAAAATTCTGGGTCGACACTGCAGTCCGGCAGCACCAGGCAAAGCCCCCCACTCCTGTCCCTCAACGACTATGGTCACCTGCTCCCCAGGTCGTCGCCCAACCCTCCACTGGCTGGAAGTCACTGCTGTCTGCACCCATATTAAGGGGCCATGGGTGACCTGGGCTGCTGGTTCTTCCCATGTCTGTCTTCCCCAAGAGCTGTGTGATAGTCACTGTGTCAACTGGACTGGACCATGGGGTACACAGACATCTGGGCAAGCATTACTTTGGTGTGTCTGTGAGGATGTTTCTGGATGAGACTCACATCTGAATTAGTGGCCTGAGTAAAGCAGGTGGCCCTCACCAGTGAATGAGGGTCTCATCCAACCAGCCGGAGGCCTGAACAGAGCAAACTGTCTCAGTAAGAGAAGTCCTGCTGTCTGCCTGCACTCAGCCTGGACACCAGGGTTTTCTTGCCTTTGGACGCAAACTGATGCATCAGCCTTTCTCAGGTCTCCAGCCTCCTTTTGGACTGGAACTTACAGCATCGACTCTTCAGGGTCTCCAGCTTGCCCACTGCAGATCCTGGGACTTGAGGATCTGTCCCTTCAAAATCACGTGAGTTGATTTTTTTTTTTTTTTTTTGAGAAGGAGTCTCATTCTGTCACCCAGGCTGGAGTGCAGTGGCGCGATCTCGGCTCACTGCAACTTCTGACTCCCTGGTTCAAGCGATTCTCATGCCTCAGCCTCCCGAGTAGCTGGGATTACAGGTACGCGCCACCACACCCGGCTCATTTTTGTATTTTTAGTAGAGATGGGGTTTCACCAGGTTGGCCAGGATGGTCTCAATCTCTTGACCTCGTGATCCACCTGCCTCAGCCTCCCAAAGTGCTGGGATTACAGGCATGAGCCACCGTGCCCAGACTGATTTTTTATACAATTTCAACTTTTATTTTAGATTCAGGGGGTACAGGTGCAGGTTACATAGGTATACTTCGTGATGCTCAGATATGGGGTACAACTGATCCTGTCACCCAGGTAGTGAGCACAGTACCCAACAGGTTTTCAACCCTCGCTCCCCTCCTTCCCTCTCTGCTCTAGGAGTCCCTAGTATCCACTGTTGCCGTCTTTATGTCCCTGTGAATCTAATGTTTAGCTCTTACTTCCAAGTGAAAACGTGGTAATTGGTTTTCTGTTCCTGCTCTATTTGCTTAGGATAATGGCCTACAGGCTGGGCGTGGTGGCTCATGCCTATAATACGAGCACTTTGGGAGGCCTACGTGGGCAGAGCACCTGAGGTCAGGAGTTCAAGACCAGCCTGGTCAACATGGTGAAACCCAGTCTCTACTAAAAATATGAAAATAAGCCAGGCGTGGTGGTGCACCCCTGTAATCCCAGCTATTCGAGAGGCAGAGACAGGAAAATCGCTTGAACCAGCATGGCAGAGGTTGCAGTGAGCCGAGGTTGCGCGCACCACTGCAATCCAGCCTGGGTGACAGAGCGAGACTCTGTCTCAAAATAAATAAATAAATAAATAAATAAATAAATAAATAAATAAATAAATAAGTATAATGACCTCCAGCTGCATTCATGTTGTTGCAAAGGGCATTATTTTATTTTTTTTATGGCTGTGTAGTATTCCATGGTGTATATGTACCACATTTTCTTTATTCAATCCACTACTGATGGGCAGTTAGGTTGTTTCCATGTCTTTGCTATTGTGAGTAATGCTGAGATGTACACACAAGTGCATGTGTCTTTTGGGTAGAATGATGTATTTTCTTTCCAATATATACCCAGTTAATGGGATTGCTGGGTCGAATGATAGCTCTGTTTTAAGTTCTTTGAGAAATCTCCAAACTGCCTTCCATGGTGGCTGAACTAATTTACATTCCCACCAAGAGTGTATAAGCATTCCCTTTTCTCTGCAGCCTCACATAACTTTTTAATGATCTGTAGATGTGCCTCAACTTACGATGAAGTTACATCCCAATAAAGTCACTGTAAGTTGAAAATATCCTAAGTTGAAAATACATTTAACACACCTGGCCTGCTGAACATCATAGCCTAGCCCAGCCTAACTTAGTGTGCTCAGAACACCTAACATTGGCACGGCTGATGGGAGCTGCAGCTCACAGCTGCTACCTAGCATTGCAAGTGAGTATCACATGGAATAGTGCTAGCCTGGGAAAAGATCAAAATTCGAAGTATGTTTTCTACTGAACGTGTATTGCTTTTGCACCATGATAGAGTCACAAAAGCGTAGTAAGTGAAACCATCATCAGTCAGGGACCATCTGTACACCACACATCCTACTGGCTGTATTTCTCTGGGGAACTCTGACAAATACAAGCTGGGTCCCATATAACCCAGCGTCTTGCTCAGAGGGAACACCAGGTACTATATGGACACATGCCTGGATGAAGAGCTGCCTGCAGGTGCCTCACGGAACGGTGGGGGATGGAGGCTGGGGCAGGGTGGGGGCGTGCTTTACTTGCGATGTGGCCAGAAGACTCAGCCCCGATGCATTTAGAGGCCCTACAAGAACACCTCATAGCACCAGGAATAGAGCCACGCAGTACAGTTTTCTCTTCCAAGCACCATGATGATAAAACAAATCATGACTCGTTCTACCTTTGCATTACTTCATGGTTTGCAAGGTACTGGCTCATCCGGTTCTTTCAACAACCCTGGGCAGACATTGCCATCTGGAAATGAGGAAGCTGAGCTCTCTGGGGGCACAGGGGCTGCCCCCCAGATCCCTCCTCGTAACAGAATCAAGATCTCAGCTTCTCACAAGGACACTCTGCAGCTGTGACATGGACTCCCTGCTCTCCCTTCTGGGAACAGAGGGGAAACCTCATGGTAGGCCTGGCCTGGCAGCCACGCTCACATCACTGCAGCAGCCCCGAGGGCAAGACAGCACACTGGTGACGGAGGGCGACCCGCCACGCTCACACCACTGCAGCGGCCCCGAGCGCAAGACAGCACACTGGTTAGGGAGGATGACCCACCATGCTGAACTGTGTTTTGAGGGTACTGAGGGTGGATCAGCCCTCACTGTTAAGGATTTTGTTTTTTTACCTAGAAATAAAGTGACTTCTATGAAGCCCTCACTTCTATCAAGCAGGGTCTGAGAGCCCTAAGATGACGTGACCCATGGTTTCTCCAATCCTTTCTCAGCAACCCTCGTCATGGTCATCATCATCCCCAGCAAGAAGTGGGGCTGAAGGACGAAAGAAGAGAACGGATAAGAAGATGCTTTGTAAACAGCAAGGCAGCCTCCAGGCACTCACCGCAGACTTTGTTTTAACTCAGAGAACCCGAGGCCTTCCCTGGCTGTACGCTCCCAGGGGCCATGTGGGGCTGAGTCCCATGCCAGGCCCAGCACCTGAACTCAGCCCACAGCAGAGTCAGGTGACATCTGAAGGACAAACACCACCAAAGTTCGGAGAAGCAGGCCCACCCCACACCTCTGCTCAAAGCTTCTCTCTCCATGTGGGGGACCCCAAGGGCCAGCCACACAAGACATTTCTTAATTTTGTGGACACACCTGTCACCTGCCTTTGACTCAAATCATTGACTTCCCGGTAATGAATCAAAGCCTGGCACACAGAGGGCACTCAGGGTCATCTTTGGAAGGGCACTGGCTCCAGGGCCAGCCAGCTGTGTTCCAGCCCTGACCTTGGCCCCGTCCAGCTGTGTGTTGGGAGGGTTGCTGGAAGCCTCGGCTTCCTTCTCACAGGAGTGGACCCAACAAGAGCAAGAGCATGTGTTTCCTGGGGCTGTGGGGAAGATGAAACAGATGAATATCTGTACGTATGTGCTGCCACTAGACAGTGACAAACACAGAGGATTCAATATACTCGTTAATATTAATATTCACCGAGGCCTCAACCCTCTGTCTTCCCTGCATCACTGTTTAACCATTATCTTCCCTAAACACAGACCCACCCAGAGACACATTCAACAGTGAGGCCACTCTTCCCAATGCAGCCTCGGCCCGAGGGAGGATGGGACTTCGCGTGGTGCACCCCGGCCCCCCTGCACTGACTCTCGCACCCCTGAACCTGGGGTCTCCCACTGAGCAGCTCAGGCCCGGCCATTTGGCAACCCTGGGGGCGCAGAGGAGGACCACTCCCAAACCTCCGATCTTCAGCAGCGAAACAACAGCCCCTGACTCGGCAGGAGAAGATTTTACTCACTGCGGCTCAGCATTTAAATGACCCGATTATGCTAATTCCAGCTGCAGTGATTAGTAACTACATTTTAAAGGGAGATGACTCCCAGGGTGAGGTCTTTGGGGAAAAGTTTTTGCCTGCGGCACAAGTTCCCATGTGACTTTAGACAACCAGTGGGTCTACTCTGTTCATTCATTCATTCACTCATTCATTCACTTATTTTCTAGGAGGGATTTTAAAAGCCTCTTTTTTTCCATCCCCAGTCTCGGGCCCAAGTCTCCTGGCCACCTGACCTCCCGGAGACTCACAGTAAACTGGGCCTGAAGCCGCCTCTCAGGCCAGTTGTCAGTGCAGCAGGTGTGGACCAAACCTGCTCTTGCTGCCCTCTGCAGTGTGAGGCCGGGCAGCACCTTAACATCTCTGAGCCTTGGCTCCTGTCCGTACACTGGAGATGAGGTGGTTGGGAAAACAATGCACATAGGGTGCCTGGGGCAGGGGCATCTCAGGGGCTCACGTCCTTTCCCTCCCCTGTGATATGGGGGGGCTCCCAACAGGGTGCCTGCAATGTGGCGTGAACACCGCAGCCACTCTGAGTCCCAGCCTGGGACTCAACCGGCTTGAACAGCAGCCCGAAGACGGGCTTTGCTGGACCATCCCCCTGTGCCACCTGTCCAGGGCAGCTGCCAGGCCAGGCTTCCTGACCTCTGAACACAGCCGCCTCTGGCCAACTCGGCTGCACACCTGCTTGTATGTGGATGGCCACGCTCATCCCCCTCAAGATGCCTCCCAGCCTCTTCCCCTCTGCACAGCCCTCAGATGTGGGTCCTTTGGGTCTGTGCCTATCCCTCCCCCGCCACCACTACACTAGCCACCTGCACCCAGTGGAGCTCACCATCTGTCCAGCCAGAACTCAGTCACCCTGCCCCACCCTCCCTACCCCATAGGTTCTGCCACTTCCGACTTTTTCCATCCTGCACGGCCCTGGTCCTCCTGTCAGTCCAGGTTCTCACCATTTTCCCAGTTCTTGGCTGAGGGGTTTCCCTCTATCACCCCAGATGCAGCCTCTCCTCCCTGCCTCCTTTCCCAGCACCCCGAGCTGAGACGATTCCCCCGGCCCCCCAGGTGTTCTGGCTGTCTGGGCCGTCTGTCTCCCTCGCCCTCCAGACCAGAGCTGAGTGGCTGGTATCTGACCTGGGAACAGTGGAGCAGGACCACACTGCCCACTGGCTGGGAAGTCAGACTGCCACACTGGAGCCACTGCCAGATGCCAGGCAATGGGGCGGACGGGGCCATCCCAGCAGCCTGGGGTTAGTGCCAGCCATGTATCACAAGGACCCTCAGCAGGGACTCCTAGGCACAGGGGGTCAGGACACCCGCTACCCCAAAGCTGCACACCCCCTGCTCCACCACTTCCTCTCTAAAGGAGGTGAGCCCCATCCAGAAATCCCACTTCCAAAGGCCCGGCTCCCACGGGCCTGCTCATCCACTGGGCACCCAAGGGAGTGCTGTGTCTTCCTCTGGAGACAGGTGTTTCTCCAGCCATCCCTCCAGCCTGGAAAGCCCCTTCCACAGCTCAACTCTCCTCCTCCAGAGCCTGCCAGATGCCCTCCCATATCCTGGGCACTCCCTGCATCCCTCCAGTCCCTCGCTCCTACGCTGCCTGGGCCTCCTAGACAGGCTCCGGGGCCCCAACCCAGCTTTCCAGCATAAAGGGAGAGGCAGAGCCGGGGACGTCCCCAACCACGCGACGAGCCCTGCTGCTCACTGAGCTTCAAAAAACCCGGAGTCTCCAGCCCCTTTTTGAGAGAAGTCTGAACCTTGTCGGGTGCAGGCACTTGCCCAAGGTCACACAATCTGCGTGAAGGTCAAAGCAGACAAGCTGGGCCCCCAAGCCCAGCTCTTGCCACACAACCCTTGGGCAGGCCAGCGTCTACTGGGAGCTTTGGGGCCACTGCAGCGTCCCTGTGAAAAGACAGGCCCCAGCACTGGAGATGCAAGAGACCAAGCCCCTGTCCCCAGGGAGTCCCTGGGCAGGCAGGGAGACCACAGGTCAAGGCCAGGCAGGTGCGGTGAAGGGAGCCAGAAGTCCCCCCTTCAGAGCCTGGGTCCCTCCATCCGTCTGTCACAGGTGGGGGCCAGGCCAACCCTGCCAGCTGCCACACACATCAAGGCCCCAGCATGAGGTAGCGGTAGCCCCCGCAGTAACCTCCAGCAAAGCCATCAAGACCAAGAAAAATTGTGATGGGCGATGGCTTTGAAATCTGAGGAGTGAGGTCCAGTCCAAGATGGAAAAGGTAGCATCGCTGCAGAGGCTCCCAGAGCAGTGCCCACACTCGAGTTAGTGCATTATATAGATAGATAGACGCTTTCTTGACAGACTTTGCAAGGCTGATCTGTCTCCCACCCCCCAGCCTCTCCATCCAACTTGCAATCTCCCCCAGAGCCCATTGGCCAAGTCCCCTGTGTGCAGGTTGAGAAAAAAACACAGGTAAAGACGACCACACCTCAATGCCTCTGCAAGAAAACACGATTCTCTTTCTGCTTCTCCATGGAGAGCCACGTGGAGCTGAATCAGGAACTTTCTCCAACCACTGAGTCCCCTGAGGTGGGGGCTGGATGTCCTCTCGCTCACGGGGGGTGGCCACCAATGCGCCCTGCACAGAGACCAGGGGACAGAGGCCGGGCCACGACAGAAGAGGCCTTTTACTTTTTTTTTTTTTTTTTTTTTGAGATGGAGTCTTGCTCTGTGGCCAAGGCTGGAGTGCAGAGGCGCAATCTCAGCTCACTGCAAGCTCCACCTCCCGGGTTCATGCCATTCTCCTGCCTCAGCCTCCCGAGTAGCTGGGACTACAGGTGCCCATCACCACACCTGGCTAATTTTTTTGTATTTTTAGTAGAGACGGGGTTTCACCGTGTTAGCCAGGATAGTCTCGATCTCCTGACCTCATGATCTGCCTGCCTCGGCCTCCCAAAGTGCTGGGATTACAGGCGTGAGCCACTGTGCCCGGCCAGTCTTTTACTTTTTAAAAAATAAATTTTATTCCAGAATAGTTTTTGATTACGGAAAAGTTATGAAGATATAGCACAGAGCATTCCCCAGTAGCCCACGCTGTTTCTGCGACTGTTAATGTCTGACACCGGCCTGGTGCATCTGCCTCCACTAGGGAACCAATGTCATGCACACAGTTTGTTAACTGAAGTCCACACTGTGTTCAGGCTTCCTTTGTTTCTCCCAATGTCCTTTTCTGTCTCAGGATCCCAACGAGGATCCCACATGACATTTCATCATCGCTCTCCCCAGGCTGCCCTGGGCTGGGAGAGTTTCTGACTCTCCTTGTTATTGATGACCTGGACAGTCTGAGGACGGGTCAGGAATTTCGCAGAATGTCCTCTTAGTGGGATGTGTCTGTTTCTCTCTTGATGAGGCTGGGGTTATGGGCTTTGGGGAGGAAGACTGTAAAGGTGTCTGGTACCATTTCCATCACGTATCAAGAGCGCATCTTGTCGACCTGGCTTGTCATTGTTGGTGTTGACCTTGGTGACCTGGCTGAGGTGTGACTGTCAGGCGTCTTCAGAGCAGTTACTTTACTTCCTTCCTTCCACACTGTGATCTTTGGGAGAAAGCCACTGCGCCCAGCTCACCCTTAAGGGGTGAGAGTTACCCCTCCCTCCTTGAGGGCGGAGTAGCTACATAAATTATTTGAAACTCTTCTGCATGGAAGATTTGTCTCGTCTTTATTCATTTATTGAATCATTTATTTGCATCAGCAGGGACTAAGAAATGTTTACTCTGTACTTGGTCTATGATGCAACACATATTGAGTATCCCTTATCCGAAATGCTTGGGATAAGGCTGGGTACAGCGGCTCACACCTGTAATCTCAGGACTTTAGGAGGCTGAGGTGGGCAGATCACTTGAGGTCAGGAGTTCGAGACCAGCCTGGCCAACATGGCAAAACCCTGTCTCTACTAAAAATACAAAAAGTAGCCGAGCGTGGTGGCACGTGCTTGTAATGCCAGCTACTCAGGAGGCTGAGGCAGAAGAATTGCTTGAACCTGGGAGGCAGAGGTTGCAGTGAACTGAGATTGCGCCACTGCACTCCAGCCTAGTCAACAGAGTGAGATTCCATCTCAAAAAAAAAAAAAAAAAAAAATACCTGGGACCATACATGTTTTGGAATTTATATTTTTTGTATTTTGAAGGACTTGCATTATACTTATCCACTGAGCCTCGCTAACCCCAAAATCCAAAATCCAAAATGCTCTAATGAGTGCTTCCTTTGAGTGTCCCATCACTACTCAAAGTGTCAGGTTTCAGAGCAGATTTTTTTGGGTTTCAGATTTTTGGAAGAGGAATACTCAACCTGTCCTACTTTATTGACTTTGTAGCTCAAACTGCTCCAGCTGTGGCCACTGGGGGCTCTCTGACTTGGCTCTGTGTCGCTTTGACATAAGAGTCCCATTATTCTGTTTTTTGTTGTTACCTTCAGGCACTACAAGACGCTCAGCTCCTGGGCACCATTCACAGCTGCACCAAAGGATACTGACACTTCCTGTGGCCAGAGTCTCTGCAGGCGTCACTGCTTCGTGGAGCTCACTGGCATAGGGTTGGACGGACGAAGCAGGACAAAGGGCCTCCGTGTCCACGTGATCCATGCTCGCCTGGCCCTGCTGGCATCAGTTTGCAGGAGCTCCCTAAAAGGAGGGGTGTTTTCATCACAAAGGACACCCCAAAGCCAGCTGCTGCAAGCTGCCTCGTTCTTCCACCCTCAAGCTCTTAGACTGAGGCCTGGAAAGGCGCTTGAGCTGTGGAGTCAGGAGGGTGTGGGGTTCAACTCCTAGGCCTCCATTTCTGCAACTGAAAAATGGAGCCGGCCGGGCACGGTGGCTCGCACCTATAATTCCAGCACTTTGGGAGGCCAAGGCGGGCGGATCACTTGAGGTCAGGAGCCCAAGACCAGCCTGGCCAACATGGTGAAACTCCGTCTCTACTAAAAATACAAAAATTAGCCAGGCGTGGTGGTGGGCACCTGTAATCCCAGCTACTCGGGAGGCTGAGGGATGAGAATCACTTGAACCTGGGAGGTAGAGGTTACAGTGAGCTGAGATCACGCCACTGCACTCCAGCCTGGGTCATACAGCGAGACTCAGTCTCAAAAAAAAAGAAAAAGAAAAAGAAAAATGGAGCCATTTGAGGATTGCAGATGAGGTGCGTGAAAGCCTGGGGGCCCAGCTGGCTCAGCATATGACATGCATGGCTGAGTGTAGACTTTCCGCTATCTCACCTGATCCTTGCCACTATTCTATAAGGGCCTATAGTGTCCCATTTTACAGATGAGGAAATGGAGGAACAGAGAGGTTAAGTAACTGGCCCAAGGACATCCAGCTACTAAGGGCTGAGATTTGAACACTGTCTCGTTTTTCCATGCGCTCTGGACAACCTTCAAGCTCTTGACTCTATCATCATCACATCCTCCAGCAGCGCAGCCACTTCATGAAACTACAGGTGGTCAACTCTACAGGTGGTCAACCAAGATCACAGCTCCACGCTAGCACTGGCACTCGGGGAAGCCAGAGCCCAGGGAGGCTGTGCGGCCAGCCCAAGGCCACAGAGCTGGCTTATCGGAGATGCATGGCACTCCTGCCTCGATCCCAGGCCAGTAAGCTTTCCACTAGGAAGAAAGATTAAAAGCGTCCTGAAGGGAGGCATATTCCCCATCCCTTGAAGCCAGGCTGGCCATGCCATGTGACCTGCTCTGCACAGAAGGGCAGGGGGGAATCTTTTCTGCACACTATTTTTATAGGCTCGAGATTCCAGGAATTCCTAGTTCATTCTGCAAAGCCACTGGGCAGATGCTGGTCAAGCACAGCTGCACCACCAAAGGCAGCACCTGTGCCAGGGGAGGGTGGGACCTGGTAGGGCTGGGTGTGCCAGGCGGCAGCCCCATGCCCACCCCTCTAGGTCTGCTGCTACAGAGCCACCAGTGGCTCCCCAGGGTCTCCCCTTAACCACCTCAGCAGTGGTACCAAGGCCAGCATGACCCTCCCCACACCTGCCTACCTTCAACAGCAGCAATTCCTAGGCCAATTCTCGGCCCTCCTTAGAAACCTGGGTTCAGGGTCAAGGTGGGTCCGTGTGGTCAAAGCTCGCCGAACTGCTCTAGCACTGCTCATCCAGTCCAGCCACAGAGAACCATGGTCCTGCCCCCTCCAGCCTCACTTCTCAGGGTTCCCTCTTTGCCCCAAATTTAACTCTAAGCTCTTTGGAGACTATACAGCCAGGAAAGATTTGGGGGACAAGTGGCGAGGGACACAGTCTAAGACTTCCTTCAATCTGCATGCTGATTACATTCTGACTAGCAGAAAATGGGGGGTGGCTCTTCGTCTGTTTTGCCTCTATTTCTTCATCTGTAAAATGAAACCACTCACCTCCTAAGGTCTGGCCAGGATGAGATCAGCTTAGCACTCCGTCAGCACTCCTCCTCCAACCCAGCGGTGCTCAAGGTGTGGTGGCCATTCCAGCAGTACCAGCAGAGCATGAGGACTCGCCTCAAAATGCAAATTCTCAGGCCCACCCAAGAGTGATTAAATCTAAAACCCTGGGAGGAAAGGCTCAATAATCTGTGTTTTGGAAGGAGTTCTAATCCACCCACACCCTGTGTTTTTCAACCACAGGGCTCCTCACTCACGGCTGGACCCTGTAGATCACCATCATGGGCCCCTGGCGTGGCTATGAAGCCTGTTTGGCGTGAGTGACTCTGAAGCCCTCCTCTCACCTGACAAGGTATCTTTGGGTTTTCTCCGTCCTCCCTTGAATTCTTTCTGCCATGTGTTTTTCAGATGATAAAGCATTGGTGCCTGGTAAACAGCCCTCCTCAGGGCCATTCGGGGTAGGCAGCAGAAGGAGTGCATCCGAGACCACCTGTACCGCACACAGAGTTGGGGAGATACTGAGAAGGGGTCTCCACTTTCCACTCTTGGACTTTGGGTGACTTGGGACCAATTTCCACTGTGTCCACCCTTTGCTCTCCCGGGTACCTGCAGAAGCCTGAATTCCCCAACACCACCATCCACTCCAGGGCTTCCAGTGCCTTGGGGCTGCTGAGACAACAGGGCCTGGCCCTTGGGCGGCTCTCTCTCTCCCTTCCCAGAAAACTTAGCCCTCCCACAAGCCATCAAAACACACTGTGCCTCCACCTCCAGGGAGCCCTCGTGGGTGTGCCTGGTAGAGCCAATCTCTCCTCTGGGTCACTGCATGCCCTGACATGGCTTTGCACTGACCCCTCCCGCACTTGCTGCGTCTGTCTCCCAAGCTCAGCCTCAAGCTCCTTACGGACATGTCTGTCGTTCCTTGCATACCACCTGGTCCAGCACAAAGTAAGGCATGAAGCAGGCGCCCCACAGCTGCTAATAAACACATAAGAAAACAGGCTCAGGGAGGTTAAGCAACTCCTATCCCTGGGTTGCAGTTGGGGGGAGAGATGAGGGTTCCAGTGGGCTCAGGACAGGGTCACCCATACCGGCTGCACTGAATGCTTTAGGGTGGGCAACACTGTGTCTGCTCAGACCTGCAGGCCCTCCCCTAATGAATGACAGGGCTGGGTCTTGGGGGAGCCCTCACAGTAGAAAACATGAATGAGAGATAAAGGCTTGGCTTTGAAATTCAAGTTCCTTTGTATTCTTCATCAACTTCTTACCAGAGACATGACTCAGATGGGCTTTCCCAGACCTGATCGCTTTGATGTTGCTAATGAAAATATGAAAGGTGATTAAGGAGGACGTTTCTTTTTTCTTTTGACTTTGGTAAAATGTATCATGAGTGACGGATTTGGGCATTTCGGCCTGTTGTGCATTTTCATCATTTTGTTAAGAGGGGAAAAAACCTGAAAAGCCAAAGAAGCTTGAAACCAAGTGTTGGCGGACGCTGCTGCTCAGTGGAACGAGGAAGCCGAAAACCGAGTGTTGGCAGACGCGGCTGCTCAGTGCAATGAGGAAGCCGGAAACCGAGTGTTGGCGGACGCGGCTGCTCAGTGGAACCAGGAAGCCGGTGCTGGCTCTCCAGGCCCACACTGCACGCCCTGACATGGCTCCTCAGTGGAAACTCCTCATGTACGTCGGCTCAGGGTGCTCTGGGCAGAAGCGGACATCGTGTGGGTCCTTGAAAGCCCTCACTCAGTCAGTCAACAAACACTGAGCACCTGCTGCATGTCCCACCCAGGTGGAGCTGAGCTTCTCCTAGGACAAATAGGATTCTGCCCCTCTCCCTGTCCCAAAGCTGTGTGCAAAGGAGCTGTGTGTCCGTCCCCCTACAGACAGGGACTGTGTCTTTGCTGCCAGACAACTTGGGCCCTGGCACAGGCCTGGTGCCAAGGCCCAAGTAGGCCAAGGAAGTAGGGGCGGGGGAGGGAGGTTGGCAGGCAGGGCGCTCAGAGATGAGGAGGCACACCCTCCCCGCCATGCAGGAGGTCCTCAGCTGTGAGAATGACACCAGGTGACTGTCACTTTAACAAACTCCCACTCCGGGCTCTGATGACCCTCAGCTTTGTTGTCAGAATTAAGTGCAAACACTATGACTGACTCCCCACCCCCAGTCATCACAGCCCGGTGGAGTCTGTGTGTCTGTGTTTAATACAGAAGTCCCCGAGGGGCTGCATTCCCTTCAGGTCCTCAGGCCCCAGTCAGAGAAAACGGGGTCTGCTGGTCTCCACCCTGTCCCCTCCCTGTCCCTGGACCCTGGGTCCGCCAAAGAAGCAAAGAGAAGATTCAAGTGCACTCAACCTATGCACATCAACTTCCAGATTGGCAGATGTCAGCTCCCACCCCTGAAACCAGAAAAAAGTTAAGCAAACTGAAAATCAGTGACTTTTCTTAGAATCCTCAGAAAATTGAGGTTACAGGACAAACAGCCAACCCTAAAACTAAAGAGACAGGCGGAGACAGAGAACCACAGCTCACAGTGAGGACAGGCTGCTGGAGCCAGGAACTGGGAGGAACAAAAAGGCAACTTCAGCGAACTGCTCAAGCTGAGTGGGGGCTACCTCAAGACTTAAAACCTAGGGGCTCAGCGTGGGGTGGGGGGCACACTTTTATAAGGCTTACCTTCAGAAACCCCACCAGGGTCTCCAAGTGAATACTGGAGAAAAATCCCACTGTGCTTGACTGGGGTGAGGGGAAAAGGAACCATTCTGAAACACAACTAACATATACAGAGTACCCACTGTATTCCCAGCTTTCTCAAGACAGTGTAAGGGTGGGGTCGCCATGGGAGAGGAAAGTGTGGCTCTTGTCCCCAGAAGCTATGCAACTAGCTGAACAAGACCTAGCCCAGCACTGGGAAGTCAGGGAAGACTTCTTGGAGGAGGTGGTGCCAAGTCAATTCTTAACAAATTAGCAGGAATAAGCCAGAAGAGGAGGCAGGTAAGGACAATGTAGGCAGAATTAGCAGAAACAACACTAGGGGCGTAGTTTTTGGACACCAGTGAGACACCCTGGCCAGGCTGACACTCCTCCTTGCTCAGAAGTACTAAAAGCTTTGGGCTGAGGCCACAGCAGACAGGCGTGACTATCAGTTCCATTCTCTGCCTGGAGTGTTTGTGTGTGATGCTGTAAACGTGCATATGCGGCCAGGTGCGGTGGCTCACGTCTGTAATCCCAACACTTTGGGAGGCCGAGGCAGGTGGATCACTTGAGGGCCAGGAGTTCGAGACCAGCCTGACCAACATGGCGAAACCCTGTCTCTACTAAAATATAAAAATCAGCTGGGCATGGTGGCGGATGCCTGTAGTCCCAGCTACTCGGGAGGCTGAGGCAGGAGGGTCACTTGAGGCCAGGAGGTTGAGACTGCAGTGAGCCATGATCGCACCACTGCACTCCAGCCTGGGCGACAGAGACCCTGTCTTAAAAAAAAAAAAAAAAATGCATATGCTTAAGGACACAGAGGTCTGCACAAACACACCCTGACATGACACATGCTTACATTTTCACCCAAACAGCCGACATACCCACATGTGTTGGTACCACCCTGCACAAAGTCCTACATCCGTGCAGCTTACATTGAGTTTTAACACTAGGCAAATCCACTGTGACCACAGCGGGTCACTTCCGGGCCCTCGTCACCACCTGACCTGCTCATAGATGCAGCCTGGTGCTATACAGTGTGTGTCCAATCAGACCAGAAATTGGAGGAGAAAGAGAGCTCTTCAAACAGCAGGTATCCCGCCTCCCATGCTGGGTTTACAGTTCAAATCAGAGCGCTGAGCGTGAATATGATTTAGATCTAATAAGACCAGGGTGGTATATGGAGATATAGATGCCAACCAATTTGTTTCAATGAATAGCGTAATATTCTCTGTTATTGAAAATTCTGATCATATTAATACCACTCAGTACCCAATCATTGAACAAGCAGATCAAAATGAAATGTGAATTAACACATGGGTGTTGTGATGAGAAACAAACATCCTACAATTCAAAGCTGAAAGAATCCTCAGACATCCTCCTGTCGGTCTCTGTCTCTCCTCCAGCATGGAGCCACAGCCTGTCCTGGACGCTGACCCCACCTTCTCCTCTCTCTCCACCTGCTCCCCAATCTGCACCCTTGGCTGAGGGAAGAGAGCAGAGAATCTTCCTGAAGCCCCCATCACCATCCTCCTCTCACCCCTTCTCCATCAAACCCACCTTTTCTCCAGGGAAGCAGAATCAAGGGTCCAAGCTCCTGGCTGAGACACTTCAGCTCCCTCAGCCAGCCCCACGCCTGGGATGAGCCCAAGGAGTGACCAGCACCTGCCTGGCCTTGGACTCCCCCTCTGGCCACCGTGACACTGTTCCTTCCGGAGCAGGAAGCGCCTTTGGGTGGGTGTCTCACAGAGCCATAAGAGGCCCCTGTCCCTCCCCTCCCTCCAGCCAGCCTAGAAAGTGTATGGAGAGCAGGCGTCCCTCTAGGCCTGGTGACATCGGTACTGCACATGGAGTCCCCTCATGAGTCGCAAGCAGGTCTCATCACTGGGCGCCCTCCTGCCCTGACAGCAGAGAGGGTTTTCTAAGCATTTACAGAACACCGAGCTATGCTGCGCACTGTGGCATGAGCTTCTTCCAGCTCATCTCAGCCTACGAGGAAGGCAGGAGGGAACCCAGGCTCCTGCCACCTTCCTCCCCAAAGCTGCGGCCAAATCAGCGAGGGAAGCCCACGGCCACGCCCAGTAAAGAGGCTGCCCTGAGTGCTGTCCGTGGTGCTGAACCAGCAGGGCTCTTGGGGCCAGCGGGTCCTCCCACCCAGGGCTCCACTTCCAACTCGCCCAGGAGAGGGCGCTGGTCAGTTTTGCTTCATTTCCAGAATTTACCTTGGTTAAAAAGAAAACCTATTTTAAAAATTTTGGGTTGGGCACAGTGGCTCACGCCTGTAATTCCCAGCATTTTGGGAGGCCAAGGCAGACGGATTGCTTGAGTTCAAGAGTTCGAGACCAGCCTGGGCAACATGGCGAAACCTCATCTCTACAAAAAAATTCAAAAAATTTGGCCTGGCATGGTGGTGCACACCTGTAGTCCCAGCTACTCAGGAGGCTGAGGTGGGAGGATCACCCGAGCCCAGGAGGCTGAGGCTGCAGTGGGTCATGATTGCGCCACTGCACTCTAGCCTGGGCGACAGAGCAAGACCCTGTCTCAAGAAAACATTTTGTTTTTAATTGACACATAACTACATATTCATGGGGTACAGTAGGATATTTTGATGCATGTACATATTGTGTAATCATCAAATCAAGGTATTTAGCATATCCATCGCCTCATACATTTATTATTTCTTTGTGGTGAGAACACTCAAAATCCTCTCTTCACACTGTCTTAAGATACATAATACCATATTGTTAGCACAACAGTCACCCTGCTGTGCAATGGAACACCAGAACTATTCCTCCCACCTAACTGTAACTTTGTACCCATTGACCAATCTTTCCCTATCCAAACTTTTAAAATGTGGACTTCATGCCATTTTAGAAGGAAAAAAGCAAAATTACAATTCACATTTCACAATTTACACAGTTGGTTTCATGCACTTTTGACTGTTCCGTCTTGTTTCTGCAAGTTATACAAGTTGCAGCCTCTGGGGAGCTGGAAGTGTCCTGTCCCTGGAGGTCCTTGTATGTCCAAGGACAGCCCAGACCCATCTGCCTGTACTAAAGCACAGAATTTCACATTTGAGGCAGGAAGCCCCACACCTACAGGCCCATTTAAAAACATACAGATGTTTTATTAAGTACTGAAGAGAGATTAAAGGTTCTAAAACGTGTAACATTTGAAGAATAATACCAGAAGCATCCATGTACATAGCACTCGGGTTAAGAAAGTGGCCAGGGCCGGGCGGGGGCTCACAATGCAGTCCCAGCACTTTAGGAGGCCCAGGTGTGAGGACCGCTTGAGCCCAGCAGTTCAAGACCAGCCTGGGCAACATGGCAAAACCCTGTGTCTACAAAAGATGCAAAAAAGGTGGCACACTCCTGTAGTCCCTGCTATTAATACTAGGGAGGCTGACCTGGGCCCGAGAGGGTGAGGCTGCAGTGAGCTGTGATCATGTCACTGCACTCCAGCCTGGATGACAGAATGACACCCTGTCTCAAAAAGAAAAGAAAGAAAAAAACGAAGAAAGGAAAAAATAAAATAAATATTCACTTTGAAATCCTCCACTCGCTACAGGTAACTACTACTATTTTGTATTTTTCATTCCCAGACTTTTTTTTTAATAGTTTACCACATATGTATATCAAAAAGTGTATCAGGCCAGGCACGGTGGTGGCTCACACCTGTAATCCCAGCACTTTGGGAGGCCGAGGTGGGCAGATCACCAGAGGTCAGGAGTTTGAGACCAGCCTGGCCAACATGGTGAAACCCCATCTTTACTAAAAATACAAAAATTAGCCAGGTGTGGTTGTGTGCGCCTGTAAGCCCAGCTACTTGGGAGGCTGAGGCAGGAGAATCACTTGAACCTGAGAGGCGGAGGTTGCAGTGAGATGCGATCATACCTCTACACTCCAACCTGGGTGACAGAGCGAGACTGTGTCTCAAAAAAAAAAAAAAGGATATCGCTTGTTTTTTGGGATGGGATCTTGCTCTGTCACCCAGGCTGGAGTGCAGTGGCATAATCATGGCTCACTGCAGCCTCAACCTCCTGGGCTCAGGCGATCTTCTCACCTCAGCCTCTAGAGTAGCTGGGGCTACAGGTGCATGCCACCACACCCAGCTCATTTTTCATTTTTTTTTTTTTTTGTAGAGATGGAGTTTTACCATGTTGCCCAGGCTGATCTCGAACTCCTGGCCTCAAGTAATCCTCCCACCATGGCCTCCCAAAGTGTGTGATTACAGGTGTGAGCCACTGCACCTGGCCTGCATGTTTTGAACTTTAATTAAATGAAATCATATGAAGTTTTCTTCTGCAACTTTTTGAAGAAAACTTCAACTCCAAGCTCCCAAGAGTCAAGGTTGTTGCACGTGGCCTCACTCATTCCTTTTCCTTGCTGTAGACACAGTGCATACATGTGCATATTTATCCATTATCCATCAGTGGTGGCCACATTCTGTTGTATTTCATTTTGGCTGCTAGGATTTTCAGGCCTCCCAGGACACGTGTGTAATAATTTCTCTATGGGAAATACCTACAAGTGGGATCTCCGGTTTGCAGGAGATGTACATCTCCCCTCATCTTTACTAGATGTTTCCGAATTGTTTTCCAAATTCTCCCACTTCCCACCCAGCAGCACTCCTCACACCCAGGAGCCCCCAACACCGTCATCATTCTCCTTCAGTGTTGGTATTCGTCTGGAAGAAACAAAAAGGACTCTCCCTGTGATTTTGTTTTTGTTTGTTTTGTTTGTTTTTTGAGATGGAGACTCCCTGCGATGCCCAGGCTGGAGTGCAGTGGCGCGATCTAGGCTCACTGCCACCTCCGCTTCCCGGGTTCAAGCGATTCTCCTGCTTCAACCTCCTAAGTAGCTGGGACTATAAGCATGCGCCACCACACCTGGCTAATTTTTGTATTTTCATAGAGACAGGGTTTCTCCATGTTGGTCAGGCTGGTCTCAAACTCCTGACCTCAAGTGATCCACCCGCCTCGGTCTCCCAAAGTGCTGGGATTACAGGCGTGAGCCACCACGCCCAGCCTCCCTGTGGTTTTCATCAGCATTTCTCTGATTCGGGTAAGGCATCCTCCCAATTGTAGAATGACCGCCCTTTTTTCCTCTTCTACTACACCTGCCCAATCTCCTGGCTCCCGTAGGAGCTAACCAATCTCCTGGCTCCCATAGGCGAAGGCTGTTGACAAGATGGTTTCATTCTGAGGAACAAAGGATGTGTCCACAGGGGAACCAGGTGGCCACTGCTGTGTAGACTCTGCGTGCAGCTGCTGCATCTGGAGATCCCAGGTGAGGCAGGCCCACTGGCCCCGGGGAGAAAACGCAGGACAGGGCATCTTCCCAGTTCACAGCCTCACCCCCAGTAACAACCACCCCCTGCAATGAAACTGCACTTTGGGCTCAGAAAACATTTCTTCCAGCTTTGTCCCTTTCCAGCACCCCTAGACCTCGCTGCCACGTGGCTCAGGCAGCTCCAGCTGCAGCCCCCTAAGGGTAGACCACATCTGGTTCATTCTCTCCTGCACCCACAGTGCTTGGCAGAGATCTAGAGTGTGGAGGATCCTCCTGCTGGCTTGGGGGCAGTGGGGTACAGGGAGGAGGTGCCATCTGGGGGCTGCCTCTCTGAGCAGCCCTGGTCCTTTGGTATTGGCGGCCTGATGAACACAGTGGCCAAGGCCAAGTTCACGTGTGACACCAGGGAAAGAGCAGCCAACACTCCAGAGGCTGTCGTGGTCTCTGACAGGCACCCGAGGTCGTGCAAGGGCACTCAGGAGGCAGTCTTAAGGACAGGCGGGGCTGCAGGACTGCCAGCCCCCTCCCAGCCATAGGAAGGCAGACCCTGACCCCTTCCTGCAGCCCCTGGAGGGCAGCCAGTGGCAGAAAGGAAAGGTTGTCTCATGTCTGCCCAGTGTCCTCCCCAGCCTTCTCCAACTCTGGCCTGTGACGTGCCCAGCGCCGTGGCAGCTGTGCCTCTCCCCTCTTGGCTCCTCCAGCTCCTTCCCTGCTCAGAGGGAGACTTGGTGTCCATGACTATCTCCATTTACCGGCTGTGTGTGCTCAGACACTTTAAGCTGTGCCCAGTTTATGGTGTTTGGGCTTTCAAAATGTCTTGTTGTCTTGCTTGTTTTTGTTCATTGAGGTAAAACCATTGACATAATATAAAAGTAACCATTTCACTTCTGTAATCCTAGCACTTTGGGAGGCTGAGGCAGGGGGATCATTTGAGGTCAGGAGTTCAAGACCAGTCTGGCCGACATGGTGAAACCCGGTCTCTACTAAAAATTCAAAATTTAGCCAGGCATCATGGCGGGTGCCTGTAGTCCCAGCTACTCGGGAGGCTGAGGCAGGAGAATCGCTTGAACCCGGGAGACAGAGGCTACAGTGAGCTAAGATCACGCCACTGCACTCCAGCCTGGGCAACAGAGCAAGACTTCGTCTCAAAAAAAAAAAAAAAAAAAAAAAAAAAAGGAAAGAAGAAGTAACCATTTCAAAGCCTACGAGGCCACTGCATTTACTCCATTTGCGAAGCTGTGCAACCACCACCCCTGCCAAGTTCCAGGACATTTTCACCACTCCAAAAGGAGCACTGGTTTCTTTCTGCAGGATGTCAGCATGTCTGGCCCCCAGTGGAAGATCTGGACTCCTGGAGGACAGGTTCAGGGTCTCAGGTGTCTCTATCTACACCTCAGACTGGCTTGCAGTCACTGCTCACCCACGCTGAAGTAGGTAACATGTAGCGATGTGGACACACGGTTCCCAGAGTCTCCTGAGTGTATGTCCAGCACCCTGCAGGGTTACCGGGCATCACCACACAGGGCGTCCACACTGCAGACCTTGGAGGCCCAGGGATGCAGCACAGGCCACATCTCAGGGACAGAGCCAGCCCATAAGTAAAACCCAGTGAAGGGGGTCTGGAGGAGCTGTGTGTGATAAAGATTGGAAAAGGGATGAGTGGTACGAAGGAAGCCACTGCCATCAGAGGCAAATTCAGGGCAGCTGCGAAGCTTCCAAATCCATACAAGTCAAGCCACTGCCTCCCCCAAGACCGCAAAGTCACTTTCCACACAACACAAGTGGGTGCTGACACCTGTGTCTCTTCCAAGGGACAATTAGCTGTCACTCAGCCTTGAAAACAAGGCCAGGGTCCTCTGCCCGCCCCAGGAAGCCGAGCCCCTTCACAAGGGTAACATGCCCTCTCCGTCTAACCCGGGACCAGGAAGCAGCATCTGTCACCCAGCACTGCCGCCCAGAGTCATCACACAGCTAATTACTGCTAATTGTAATATCGTTTCTGTCTTGCTGCTAATACATTTAGACTTGCTAATCAAATCAAACCATTCCACCTTGCTGTGCTGCTTTCAAATAAACATTTCTGCAAAACGGGAAATAAATAAGTCCCAAGCTTTGTTCTCTTCTCCGGAGCTGCTGTCTGCAGAGACTTAGGGTAGGGCGTGGGGGTTGCCGTGTCTCTGGGACCAAAGGCATAGAAGAAGTCTGATGAGGAAACGGCCTTTATGTCCAAAGCTTCCCATCAGGTTGGAGAAAGAGGGAGACAGAGGGGAGGAGAGGAGAGACCTAGAGACTGGGAGGGAGAGGGAGGAGGAGGCAAGAAACTGCCCTAACTGAGCGGCATGATCTGTTCAACACTTTCCCTGTGTCATCTCTACCCTCCTCGGATACTGTCTCCAGCAGCCCCTGGCTGGGCTGGTAGCTCCTTCTCGTGACCCCCTCAGACCTCTGCACTCCCCGCCTCACTCACCAAGTTGGAGTTTACTGATCTGTCTGCAGATCTGGCTATGGTCTTGAAGGTGGGGACCCTGTGCTGTCATGAACCCAGCACCTCACCCAAGGCCTGGCAGGCAGCAGGTGCTCAGGAAGCCCTGGCTCAATGAACAGGCTAATGATCAGGGAAATGTGACTTTCCTGATTCTGCAGATGAGGAAACCAAGACTCAGAGATGCTAAGTGACTGCCTAGCATTTGTGCATCAGTGAAGAGTGGACCTGAGAATTCGTTCCTGGCTGGACAAGCCCTTCACCTGTGCTCTCTCAGAAAGGAGGGGAGGGAGGGGACACTGGCTTTTCTGTGCCCCTTAACAACAGCTACACGGGGACCAACAAAGAAATGTGACAAGCTACAGCGGCACGCAGGTGTTCTGCTCAAGGACACGCTGGGATGACTCTCAGAGTTCTGGAATGGAAACTGACAAAAGGTTGACCATGAAAAGAAGGTAACAAAAGTGTATCCAGTTACTATGGCAACCCAGCTGAAGAACTGGCTGGTGCCTGCACACGTACCCCACTGCTGAGAAAGGGGCTCGTGCCACCCTAGGGCCAGGGGGTTGCAGGACTTCCCAGCCCCAGCCCTCGGCTGCCTCCCGTTGCCTTGGCAAATGCGGTTTCCCCATCACCCACCAGCCCCGAGGGAACGGGGGTGTGGCGGTGGAAACAGCGCTGGGCTAGGGGGTCATGGCACACAGGTTCTCTCCTGGTTCTGCCAGGACTGGCCCAGACTAAGTCACTTCTCCATTCTCAGCCTCAGTGTTTTTTTTTCAGATGAGGGGAACCCGGTGTCCCTGCCGCCTCTGCTGCCTATCAGCTTCTGTGTATCTCACTGCAGGAGTGAATGAGTGAGTGAATGACCCAGTATGAGTACTTTGCAAAGGCTGATCTGGGGCAGGGAGAGAGAAGAGGAAAGACGACAAGATCATGACTGAGCATCCACTTGGGGCAGGCACACCCTTGCCATCACCTACGTGCAACCCTGGGGAGCTGGCACTACCAAACCCTTCCACAGATGAGAAACCTGGGGCTCGGAAAGTCATCCGATTACCCTAAGAGGGCACAGGCCAGCCAGCCAAGTCTGCAGGACTCTAAGCCCGTGTCCTCCCCACTCCTCCACAGGCCCAAGTGCTCGGCGGGTCCTAAGCAAACTCCCCCATGGGCTCACATCTCGCAGCCACTGCTTCTGCCCAAGCAAGAGACGCACATAACCAAGAAGCCAGAAGCTCAACTCCCGTCAAATGAGGCTGTCGATTTTAATTAATTTCAGACTTTGTGTGTTTCTGGCAATTATTTGTAACAAGGTTTACAGAGGGCATTTAAAATTAATGGTGATTTTTATCTGGAAATCATTGATTATTTTTAAGTAGCTCATTAGGGGTGAGTGTGTATTACGGGAGCAGCAGGCTCTGTCAGGAAGGAGGCACCTGGGGCTACCAGGAGGAGCCAGAAGAAGGAAGACGTCTGAACTGTGACAAGTTCAAAGCCAGCAGAGATTATGAAATGATGCTCCCCAAGACAGAATCTGATTTGGACCAAGATGTATGCAAGGGGCCGGGCGCGGTGGCTCATGCCTGTAATCCCAGCACTTTGGGAGACCGAGGTGGGAGAATCACTTCAGGTTAGGAGTTTGAGACCAGCCGGACCAACCCTGTCTCCACTAAAAATTCAAAAATTAGCCGGGCATGGTGGCAGGCGCCTGTAATCCCAGCTACTCAGGAAGCTGAAGCAGGAGAATTGCTTGAACCCAGGAGGCGGAGGTTACAGTGAGCCGAGATCATGCCACTGCACTCCAGCCTGGGCGACAGAGCGAGACTCTGTCTCAAAAAAAAAAAAAAAAAAAGGCAAAACCGGGGGAAATCTAGTGAATGACCTAAAACGGGAAAGCGAGTTGGGCTCCTCTTGCTTCTCACCCATTGACCTGCAGACATGTTGGCATGTTTGCTGCCGCTGGTGGCTCTTAGGGAGGTCCAGCTGTCCCTAGCCACTTGGCCCAGGGGAACTCACTACCTCAGGCAGAGGCTTCAGCATGAACCCCCACTAGTGGCAAAGGCCCTGAGGAAACCGGAACAAAGACTGCAGGGAGGGGTCCCTGTGGGCATCAGCAGACAAGCCTGGAAGAGCTGGGCCCTGGGCCGTCGCAAACACCACACCAAAGGGCAGGCGAGGGAGGCTTAGCACATCATCTTCTGTACTTTTTGTATTTTTTAAAAGTATTTTAAAAGACATAAGTTTGAAAATCTACCCTAAGAAAAACCAATGCAGATGAAGAGAAATGTCTAAACACCAATCACATAAAATGTTAAATGGAAACAATCTAACATCACAGACTGTTTACAAACTGCTACAGTTTTTACTTCCTGCTTTTTACTCAGAGGATTAAACTCCAGGGTAGTCCTCTGAATTATAATAAAACCACTAATATTTGCATAAGCCTTTATAGCTGATACAGATATTATTTCCATTTTGCAGGTGGGAAAAGGGAAGTTTGGGGAGATTCCATGCCCAAGTATTCAAGGCATGTACTCTGAGGAACTGGAGCTGGGCCCCTTTCCGACATGCCGATGTCCTCAATCTTTCCCAGAGGTTAGCAAGGCATGACAGCCACCGCCATCATCATTGGCATCATCACCACCATCATCACTATCATCATCATCACCATCACCACCACCATCACCATCATCATCACCATCATCACCACCATAACCACCATCACCATCATCATGATCACCATCATCATCACCACCATCACCACCATCATCACCATCACAACCACCATCATCACCACCACTACCACCATCATCACCACCACCATCACCATCACCACCCTCATTACCACCACCATCATCATCACCATCACCACCACCACCACCACCATCATCATCATCATCACCACCACAAAAGGGCCAGTAAGAGCTGAAGAAGCATGACCTTCACATCTTTCCATCTGGTCAGGTGGCCAGGGAAAAGGTTAACCTTACCCAGAGCCTTGGTTCTCAAACTTCAGGGGATCCCGAATCTTGTGGGAAGCATGTTACACACAGACTCCTGGACCCAGTGGTGGATTCCCCAGGTATGGGGAGGCACCAGGCTTCCGCAGGTGAACAGAGCTCGGGGATTCAGGTGCAGTCAAGGGGCTGGCTCTGAGGGCCCCTGTGCAAAGCCTGGCAATGCCGTAGCTGGAGGCACATCTGAGAGTTAAACACCTGCTCAGCATGAGAATGAAAGTGCGTGACATACATGCTTATTTGTATTTCAATCCTGCTCTGTAAGTTATTAATTTAATTTGTAAGGTGATAGGACTGCTTATCCTGTTATTTCATGGAAAGCTTTATTTTTCAAGAAAAGTCACATTAGGACTGTTTTCTATTCCTGTTATTTCCTTCCAGAACCTCGGCATTTCCCGCTGGTGGCCAACACAACTACAAGCCCTGCAGAAGAGGAACGGACGGCACCCTGGGCCTGACCTGAGATTTGTCAGACCTATCAAGTGATGTCACAAAGACTCTGCAAAAGCAACAGGAGGTACTAGCCCCTGGAAAATGCTACCTGAGTGTCAAGGTCTTTAAAAGTGATGTTGGCAACCCTGTGGGTTTTCTGTTATCCTGTTAACTCTGCAGGGGGTTGTCAGCAGGGCATCCTCCAGGAACACAAGGAACTTCACTGCTGGGGTATCGACTTCAGTGACTAGGACTTCGAAAACTTTTTGCTCCTGCTTTAAACACACACAAGCATCTTGTCTTTAAGAACATAATCTAACAGCAATATCATTTACAGTTTGTAAATAAATGTAAATTTATCATTTACAAACTTCCACACCCACTATTTATTCATTAAAATTTTACTGTTGCACACCTGAACCTCTTGTCAGAACAGAGAGGACTTTCACTACCTCCATTTTACTAAAGAGGAAACTGCAACTCACAGGGTCTGATTTGCCACCAAGTAGCAAGGCCAACACTTGCAAGCTCTAGCTCATGATACATGAAGAAGTCAAGGCCCAGCCTAGGCAACAGTGAGACCCTGTCTCTAACAAAAAAATTAACTGGGTGTGGTGGCTCACGTTTGCAGTCCCACTTATGGGAGGCTGAACCAGGAGGATCGCTGGAACCCAGGAGTTGGAAGTTGCATTGAGCCATGATTGCATCACCGAGCTCCACCCTGGGCAAGAAAACAAGACCCATCTCTCAAAAGAAAAAAAAAAATGAAGAAAAAAGAAAAACAACTCTAGTCTCTGTTCCCTCCACTGTGGAGATAATATGGGAGATAATATTTCCTCACAGGGATGTGTTGTGATGGCAAAGCAACATGGAAAACACTTTTACTCACCATAGGAGGTGGTCAGTAAATGACAGCTGCCATGACCACCACTGATGTTATCACCGTAGCTATCAACACCATCACCATCACCATCACCATGGGCACCACCGCCACTACCATCACAATGATCACCATCACCACCACCATCACCAGCAGCACCACCACCATCACCATGAGCACCACCATCACCATCAGCACCACCACCACTACCATCACCATGATCACCATTATCACCAACACTATGACAACCATCCTCATCACCATCACCATGACAACCATCACCAGCAGCAGCACCACCATCACCATCAGCACCACCACCACTACCATCACAATGATCACCATTATCACCATCACTATGACAACCATCCTCATCACCACCATCACCATGACAACCATCACCAGCAGCAGCACCACCAACACCATGAGCACCACCATCACCATGAGCACCCCCATCACCAGCAGCATCACCGCCACTACCATCACAATGATCACCATTATCACCATCATTATGACAACCATCATCACCACCATCACCAGCAGCACCATCATGAGCACCACCGCCACTACCATCACAATGATCACCATTATCACGACAACCATCATCACCATGACAACATTACCAGCAGCACCACCACCATCACCATGACACCCATCACCAGGAGCACCACCATCACCATCCTCATTACCACCTGCATCCGCATGATCCAATCCAGATGCATCCAGAGGTCCTTTCTTGAGGGTAAGGAGATGCTCCAGGCCTTGGGTCTTGGTGGATGGGCTGGATCTTATTTCAAAAAAAAAAAAAAAAAAAAAAAAGGGCAACCCAAGCAGGATAGCAAAGGCTCAGTGACCCCCACATGTTTAGTATGTCTGGGAAATGGTCTGCAGTTTTGAGTCAGGAGATGAGACTGAAGAAAGGATTTGAGGCCAGATAATAAAAGCCCCCATCTGTCCACTGCAACAGTCTTGAATTTTATTCCTCAAGTTACCGGCTTCTACACTGTGCTCGCTGGAGCCCCAGATGCCTCCCACATGCCAGTGTTCCTGGAGCTGGGGAGAGGGCAGGTGAAGGTCCTGGAGTTGGGGGTCCTGGAGCTGGGGAGAGGGCAGGTGCAGGCGGGGTCCTGGAGGTGGGGGGAAGGCAGGTACAGGTGGGGTCCTGGAGATGGGGAGACGGCAGGTGCAGGTGGGGTCCTGGAGCTGGGGAAAGGGCAGATGCAGGTGGGGATCCAGGCCCCTGCCCCAGCTCCAAGCAGAGCAGCTTGTCTATCAGATTCATACCTCGAGAGAGGCTAAGAAGACATTAGAAACTTCTGCCATTGGCCAAGGAGAATGAAAGTTCGTGTTTACGCACAGAAGAGTAACATAAAAGGCTAGCTAAACTTGAGACAAACAACTTTGGTCACGGTGTAGTGGACAGAGGCTGGGAGTAAAGAGACCAGTCAGGGGGCTGCTGTAATATTTCCGGTGAAAGCTGCTGAGGGGTGAATGAATAGTGGCAGAGGTAGGAAAAAATAATGAAAACATTGGCATGGAGGTGACATTGGCAAGATGAGGGTGGGAACTAGCAAAGAGGTGAGAAGGAAGGCCAGTGGGACCCCCGGGGAGACCAATGTTTCTGAAGCCAGCAGCAGAAGGTAACGGCCAGGCTGAGAGGCACCAGGACCTAAGCTAAGCTGTAACAGCCACGGTTCTGCTTCACACTTCCAGGTCTACAAGGCGTGCACTCAGATCACCTCATCTTGCATGTGAGCACACAGCGGTGCAAGGGTGCTTAATAACAGGCTCAAGCTTACGAAACTAACAAGGGTCCAACGTGGGACCTGAGAGGTGAAGTTGGGGAGGCTGTGCACAGGGTTAGAGCTCAGAGGAAGAAATCCCATGGTCCTCTGACCACCCAGAGCACTGGCAGCCACCACCTGTGGTCATTACATCCGGACCCCAGCTGTTCCTCATGGTGACAAGGAACCTCTTGAGGGCAGGCATTGAGGTTTACGGTTCTTAAATCCATGGAGCCCCCAACACTCTCTCGTCTCCTCTCTCTCTCTCTCTCTCTCTCCTCTCCCCCTCCCCCTTCCTTCTCTCTATCTCACCCTTCACCCCTCATTGGCTATCAGGCCATAGATTATAAAGGTCTCCCCCAGCAGGTGGGTAGATGGGATGGAAGAACAGGAACTGACGGATCCCAAAATAAGGTGGGCCACCCTGAAGATCCACGTTGTCCAGACCTGGAGTGGACTTGCTTTGGAGATAGTGAGCTCCCCGTCACACAAAGAACTCAACCAGTAAGAATGACTAACAGGGAATCCCTGGAGGATTTGGTCAGCGTTTGTCAAACTTATTTAGGAAGCAGAGCCTAGGGAGAACATCTTTGTGGAATACCATGAACTAATATTTCATCCCATGATACAATCAAGGAAAAACTTTACTGTAGAAAATATCACTTCAAGGCGAGGCATGGTGGCTCACCCACGCCTGTAATCCCAGCACTTTGGGAGGCTGAGGCAGGAGGATGGCTTGAGCCCAGGAGTTCAAGATCATGACCTGGGCATCATAGTGAGACCTCGTCTCTGCAAAAAATAATTAGACGAGTGTGGTAGCATGGGCCTGTTGTCCTAGCTACTCAGGAGGCTGAGGTGGGAGGATTGCTTGAGCCCTGGAGGTCAAGGCTGCAGTGAGCTAAGATCATGCCGCTGCACTCCAGCCTGGGTGACACAGCAAGACCCTGTCAAAAGAAAGGAAAGGGAAAGGAAAAAGGGAAATAGAAGGAAGAAAAAAATATAACTTCATCTTAGCTGCATGTGAAAAAAATGACTAGAAGTCCACCAAAGTCTTCAAAATAGTCATAACCAACTGTAAATTTGTGTCTGATGCTTATTATCTCATTTTGTCCTCTGCTAGAACCCAAGAACCAAAGATGTAGGAAATATGAATGCCAGGGAAAGAAAAGTTTAATTGAGAAAGGTCTGCAGATTGTGTCTTTTTCCCTGCACATCGAGAAAAAAGCATTGTGGAAGTTTAGCAATGGCATATGCTGTGGTCATTTTGGGGCTGCTACACCAAAAGATTAGACTGGGTAATTTACAAACAACAGGAGTCTACTGCTCACAGTTCTGGAGGCTGGGAAGTCCACGTGGAGGGCCCCAGCAGATGGCAGTGTCCGGTGAGGGCTGCTCTCTGCTTCAAAGATGGTGCCTGGCTGCTGTGTCCTCACGAAGGCAGACAGACACCCTCAGCCTCTTTTATAAGGGCACTAATCTTATTTATGAGGGTGTAGCCCTGGGGACCTAATCACCTCCCAAGGCCCCACCTCCTAATACCATCATCTCGGGGTGAGGTTTCAAGGTATGTACTTCAAGAAGGGCACAGCGTTCAGGCCTTGGCTACCTAACTCTCCGCAGCCCATGGCAGGCTGGCGGATCACAGGACCATAGTCTGAAGGGCCACAGATAAAGCAGCCTGGTCAGGAGACCTCAGGGAACTCTTCACATGGATGTTCCTCAAACCCCGGACTCAAGGAACAAGTTGGCGGTGGCGGTGCTGTGCGAGTGATGAGAAGGGCTCTAGGAAGCTGCCTCCAATCTCAGCTTGGCCTCCTCCAAAGAAAACGCTGGATTTTATTTGTGGGTGCCCTGGAAAAGGCCCACCAGCCCTCAAACCTCGCTTTTTAAACCCATGAAACGTGAATCCAACGGGTTAATGTAAGTGGCAATGCCCAATACCTCAAGATGCTGCTACACAAATGTTAGTTGTTGTTCATGAATGAGGAACGAGGAAATCAGTCCCCTGCTCACTAATCATCCTGAGAGAGAGAGGAAAAAAGAAAACACATCACTATAATAATAGAACGTCTACACAAGCCACCACAACTCGACTTTTTTTTTTTTTTTTTTTTTTTTGAGACGAGTCTCACTCTGTCACCCAGGCTGGAGTGCAGTGGTGTGATGTCAGCTCACGGCAACCTCCGCATCCCAGGTTCAAGCGATTCTCGTGCCTCAGCCTCCTTAGCAGCTGGGATTACAGGCGCACACCACCACATCAGGCTAATTTTTGTATTTTTAGTAGAGACAGGGTTTCACCATGTTGACTAGGCTGGTCTCAAACTCCCAACCTCAGGTGATCCACCTGCCTTGGCCTCCCAAAGTACTGGGATTACAGGCGTGAGCCACCATGCCCAGCCGTGAGCTACATTTTTAACGTCCACGTGTTTAACGCCAATGCAAATCTCTAACAGGAGAATTCCTTTTGAGCACAGGCACGCTCTTCATAAAGTGCACGCCGAAGGGGCCAACGGGCTCCGTGAATGCTGCCGCTGCCTCCACTTCCACCCATGCCCGTGTCCCCTGGGCAGAGGCCTACTAGGGGCTGGGGGAAGCCAGCAGAGAGGCACTCAAATTCCCTGGCAGGATGTGATATCAAAACCATGGCTCCCACAGTCATGGACACAGGTTTGATGGAACACGGTCACCCCTGGACTATGCCCCCAGAGGATGACACAGGCAACCAACCCTTCAGGCTTCTCTCCACTGAGGGTTTGCCCAGGAAGAAAAGCACAAGTCCCATCCATCAATTCCACTTCTGCATAGATACCCAAATGAATGGAAGGCAGGGACTCAAACATATTTGCACACCCATGTTCCTAAGAGCTTTATTCACAACAGCCAAGGGGTGGAAGCAAGGCAAACGTGCATTGACGGATGAATGGATAAACAGCACGGAGTACGTGCAAGCAGTGGAATAACGCACAGCCTGAAAAAGGAAGGAAGTTCTGACGCACGCTACAACATGCGTGAATTACGCTGAGTAAGAGTATATTACGCTAAGTGAAAAAAGCCAGTGGCAAAAAGATAAATTCAGTATATTGCGCGAAGTGAAAAAAGCCAGTTGCACAAAGATAAATACTCTGTGATTCTAAGTAAGATGCCGGCTACCAGGAGCCTGGGGAGGAAGGAATAGGAGTAATTGTTTCATGGGTACCAAGTTGCAGTTTGGGAAGACAAGGACATCTGGAGATGGATGGTGGTGACGACTACACAGCGTGAATATATCTAATGTTGCTAAACTGGGCACTTAAAAATGGTGAAGACGGTAAGTTTTATGTTATGTCCATTTTGCTGCAATAAAAATTTCGATCAATGTTATTTAATAAAGCCAGGAGTGTGACCGAGGAAAAAAGGCAGGAGTCGCTAACTGCGTGGCCAGGGGGAGCCCTGAACCACCTTGGAAGGTCTAACCACCAACAGCGGGCCCTGCTGCCGCGGCTCCTCCACACCCAGGCCTGCGAGGCGGGAATCAAAGCCCCGCCCTGCCCACCTTCCAGGGCTGTCACGAGGGTGCCGTCCATCGGGCAGGGCAGTCTCCAAAACTGTCCAGAGAAATGCAACCTGGGCTTCAATCCAGGTTAGCGCATCCTTCAGTCATTAACACTAGTAATTTTAGCATTTGTGCACCAAGGGGATTAAGTTCAAATGAGGAAACCCTCCTTGAGAAGGCAAAAAAGCTTGATGTGCACGCTATTAAGAATTCCCTAAAATGGGTAAAAGAAAAGGCAGTCTGGCCACTCCACGGTGCAGTACAGATTCTCCCACCTCACAGGTGCTGGGTCCGTGCAAAGGGGAAGGGATTTCCGGTGCCTGGAAAACCCACTGTGTGTGGTGGTTCCTTCTTCAGTGACGTCAGCCAAACAGAACACAAACCACCAAGACGACAGGCAGACTTGTGACAGATGATCCCACTGAGCGTCCTCCCCCAGGGAAGGAGGCAGAGGATCACACAGCTTCGGCCCAGGAGACCCAAGGAGAGGCTGAGAACAGGGACGGGCCTGGCGTCCCCCTAGATGGTGAGTGATGCTGTGGTCCTCTCTGTGGGGCCAGGACATCCATGGAGGGGCAGTCCCTTACAGAGCTCGGGGGACCCTGGGGTGGTCACCCTGTGCCCAGCTGGGGGGCTCCTGTGGTGGCCACTGTCTCCACCTCTGTTCTGTGTCCCGCTGGCCTCCCTCCACTGGCCTGCTAGCCAGACCTGACTCTCAGCTCCGCTGGTCCATCCAGCTCCATAAGCAGGACTCACCTGGGGACACGGGACAATGGCTGCCCTCGCTGGCCTTACAGGGTGAAGGGGCTGCTGAGAACTCTTGTCTTCACTTTCTTTGGTTTCTTCCAAAAACATATTTAGTAAATGAGTCAATTGTGTAACCTAAGAAACAGCTTTTTTAATGAAGCTGTTGGCTGGGTCACAAGATTTTTGGAGGCATTAAAGAAACCAGACCCGGACGTTGGGGGAGCGCACTTGGTCGGGTCTCACCCCAGATGCAAACGTCCCTTCTCTTGACCAATGTAAGTGACGGGGAGTGCACTGCCTCAAGGGCAGACTGTTCTCTCAGTGCATTCTTAGATGTCCTCTAACTTCAGCAGAAATTCAGTTCTGTGTTAATCCCTTCTCTCCATGCCCTCTGAAGTTGCAGAAAGCACCATTCATGCCCCTGCCAGGGGAGGACCCTTGGAGTGTTTGAACAGAAGCCCCTTGAAGCCACTTTGCAGAGGCTGCCGCTGCCCAGGGATGCTGGACGATGAAATGCATGGGAGGAACTGACGGGGACGGGGTGCTGTGGCCGCACCGCAGCGTGGACGCACTCAATGCCAGGGCGACCAGAGTGAGCCACTGAGACTGGTGTCAGGGCTACCTGAGCCACCAGCCAGTATCCCAGGCCTGCCTTCCAAGTCCTGCTCCACCGCTGGCTGATGCCAAGCACAGCAGGTGACTGTCAAGCACGTCACCCACATCAAACCTTGGAAAACATCTAACAGGCAGGAGCGGAGGCGAGGTGTGTCTTCCACAGGCTGGACTGAATCTCTGCGCGTGCACGTGTGGGTGGCAGAGCCAGGGTCCCCACCAACTCAGCCTGAGGCCGGCTCTGGCTTTTGGCCGCCATCCTCCAAGGAAGAGCTCCAGCCCCACTTTCTGTGGACTGAACAGCGTGTAAAGCACCCAACACAGAGTAGGCATAAGAATGAGTGATGTGGCGGGGTGGGGGACAGGAGGACGGGAGTGGCGACCTGACGCTGACCCCCCAGAGAGGCTCTCGGGACCCTACCCAGCCTGCTCACACGATCCTGTCGGCCTCATCCCAGCTCTCCCTGGTTTTCTTCATTTCAGCCTTGCAACCCCGCTATAAAGCAGGCAGTAGAGCCTCGTCCCCATTTTACAGATGCAGGGACTGATTCAGAAAGAGCTGAGCTTTTACCCAAATCCACCAAGTCCAACAGGGCATGGGACTCTGCATCCTCACACTTGGTCAGAAGGGACACCTCCACTCTGCCACTCCCTGAGATGCCAGGGAACACAAGGCATCAGGTACAGGGAGAAGCCACGTGAACCTGAAATGCCACATCCATGTGCGGCATCTCAGGGTGGGGCCAGCATCTCACTGGGATTCCTGGCAGGACTCGCTGGCTGGGCGGTCTGGGCTCCATTCTGGCTGGGATACAGTTTAACATACAGACAACACAGAGACACTGAGCCCAGACCAAGCTGGTTCACACTCCAGCTTCAGATATAAGCCCTCAGGTGAGTCATCACACCTCACCCAGCCTCAGTGTCCCCTCCGGTAAAAGGGGGATCGCAGGAGGCCTCTGTGTTGTTGGAAGTAAAGGCAGCAGAGGCCTATCCACGCTCATCCACCACAGCGGCACCGGCTCCATCCTCCCACCCGCCAGGGCTCTCCCACAGCCTAGAGGATGGGGAGGCTGAACCAGACCCCAGCTTCCCGGTCAACCGGAGAACAGGCCACAGCCAAGAACAGCGAGTCCAGAACCGCTCCCACACACGGCAACGTGCAGTTGACACACACGCTTCTCCGCAAGGCAGTCAATCCCCATCACAGGCTTGGAGACAGCGGCCTTCATTTTAGCCACTTCACAGATGAGAAAAATCGAGACCCGTGGAGATGAGCAACTTGGACTCTTTACTTTCCTGCAGGCCAAACAGCAACAAGGAAGCTGTGTGTGCACCCAGGAGAATGCACATCCCTATTTAGGTCGGCTGTGCTTCTAAAGCAATCTTTCCTCGCCACTGGATGAGAACAAATCAGGGTGAAACTCTCAGCTGGCTGGTTTTCAAAACTACACACACAACCTAATATCAAACCTTCTGCCTGTGAAGAGCCACAAACTAGAGGAAATGATGCACCCCAGCTTTTCTGAGATGGTCCTGATTTCAGATATTCAAACCACCTGCCCAGTCACAGTTTCAGAAGATCCTGCCATCCCACCGCTTAGGATGGAGCACGGGTTCATAGTTTGTCCATCTCAGCTTCTGGCTGTGAGAGAAGGACAGGGAGCAGACCCACATACTGAGCCAAAGGCACCTGCTGCTGCGTCGGCCCGGGGCATCCCCGCAACGTGAATCCAAGGTAGGCAGGGCTAGCTTCAGCTGGTGGAGATACTGGGTTGAAGAGTGTCCCCCTAAATTTCAGATCCTTCTAGAACCTTGGAACATGACCTTATTTGGAAATAGGGTCATTACAGATGTAATTAGTTAGCTGAGGTCATTGTGCCTTAGGGTGAACCCTAAATCCCATGACTGGCGAGCTTATAAGACAAGGAGAAAAGACTCCCAGACAGACCCTGAGGTAAGACAGCCAGGTGTAGACAGAGGCAGAGACTGGAGGGCTGTGTCTTCAAGCCAAGGACTTCCAGAAGCCGCCAGGGGCTGGCAGAAGCAAGAGAGGGGCCTCCCCTCGAGCCTCCGGAGGGAGTGCGGCCCTGCTGACACTTTCCTTTCAGACTTCTGGCCTCCAGAACTGTGAGAGAATGAATTCTGCTATTTTACGCTGCCCAGCTCGTGGGGATCAGTTACGGCAGCCACAGGACACTCACACAGCAGAGAAGAAAGCTAAGGCTCAGAGAGAAAAGTAACCAGCCACAACCCCCGGGCTCACACACAGCTGAGCCCAGCTGGACTGGGCAGCCTGGCCCAGTGCTTCAGACCTACTTTCCTCCCCTGGCACCCACTTCATCTCATCAACACTCCCCCACCCCCACTTACATACAGGCTGCTGATTACGATGAAAGATGTGCCAACGTCCCCACTTCCGCAGTATCCAAATTAGTGTCATTACAGAAAAGAAGTCCAGATAAAAATACCCAAACTTGGGGAGCGCCAGGGCGAGAATCAGCAGACCTGCATGGCAGCCTGCAGCGGCAGCATCTGAACTCACAGCAGCTCAGGCCGAGAGGCCGCCCACCGCCCACCCCTCCAGCTCATACTGGTACTCGCCAGCCAGGTCCCCGGCTCTCAGAGCTGTGTTTGCCTTTTTCATCAACTAAACAAAGCAGCAGAGGTGCAAACACTGCCTTGGGGAAGTGGGTGGGTACATCCCTCCCTCCAGTCACCAAGGTTGTGGGGAGGTATGGGGGGGATGAATTACTGTACAGCAAGTCCAGCTGCACCAGGATGTAATAAAATGTGTTGCTAAGATACAAGTGCCACAGAAGTTCATTAAAGGACACTTTCAACCAAGCTGCCAGACTCTTCTCCCTTCAAAGCCGCTTCTTTGGTACCGTCCCTCATGCTTATAATTAGATCCACAATATGAGAGGCAGCGTTCCCCATTCAAGTCCACTCAGCAGAACACGTTAATAAAATAACTCCAACGAGGCAGTGGCTGGGGCTGGAGTGTGTGGGGGGCTGGGGGACGAGTCTATTTACAGAAATGCATTTGTGTTCCACTTACTTATCTAAATGAGAGATAAGCACCCTTGAAGAGTCCCGAGGCACTCTGGTTGTGTGACCAGCTCCTCCCCTCCCAGGAGTCTGGGGCTCACTCTGGGACCACAGAATCGCTAAACCTTGGGAGCTTGGACCACTGTAGAACCAAGGTCTTGAATCTCGGGAATCACCAACACAGACTCTTTGCATCTTAGGATGCTAAGGTTCTAGAATCTTCGGCGCGTCGAGTCTGACTCAGTCACTGCATTTAGCACTCGGTATGTCGGCACCTTCCGAGATGTTGAGTGGAGACAGAGATGAGGGAGGGAGGAAATTACTAGATGACCCCCCCGCCCCCCACCTCCACCCCCCCATCCCCCCACGTGATTCGGGGGAAAGACAGACTCTGTCCCTGAGGTCAGGGTGACTGCCCATCTCCGCCGGGCCCCAGACGATGCAGAGGAAGGAGCCAGGTGTTGAGGGCACAGCGGAGGGGACGTGGCAAGGGGCTCAAAGATGGTCGCAGAGGGGACAGTTCACCTCGATCTGCAGGGGTGTCCCTTCTGGCCGGGGATATGTGGAAAGGCTGTATTGCCCATATCCAAACATCACACTTCATTTCTGGCTTCTCTTGAAAAATCCAAGGAGCCAGCGGCACAGGGCCCATGCCACATGACAACAGGGGGGTGCTGGGCCATGCTGCCCCCAGCTGAGGGGCTCGGTCTCTCCAGCGCCCAGCCCTCAGCAGGACCACTCGCCAGCCCACAGCTTCGGTGTCTGCCATCCCTGCCGAGGCTGGGAACCTCAGGTTGTAATTACACAGCCACAGAGTCCCTGATGAGTCTCAAGATTTCTGAATCACAGAATCTCAGTGTCAGGGAGCATCCGCCAGCCTTCCCCGTACAACTGCTGGTTGGTGCCGCTTCTCCTTCACTGACTGAGAGGTGGTTTGGCAGATGGAGGCCTTAAACAACCAGTTCTAGCCCCAGACAGCTCTCATCATCAGGGTATTCCTCCAGACTGGGGGCGGAAATCAGCTTTCACCTAACTTTCAATCTGTGGTCAACATTCTGCCCCATGAAAGGGCTGCTCCCTCTCAAACACTCAGGCCAGGTGGTGATTCAAAGGCTGAGGTCAGTCACACCGAGAGGAAGGGTCCCTACCCCGTTTGACTCTCTGATCCCCTCTAGATCACTCTCTAAAGCTGCCACCTGTCCTACACACACACACAGACACACAAACACACACACGCATACATGCATATACACATGCAGACATATACACATGCATGCAAACACACACAAACACCCACATGCACACACGGATCCACACACGTGCATGCACAAGCACACACACATGCATACATGCAGACGCACATAAGCATACACAGAGGTGGGCACACACGAACACATGCACACACACACATGCATACATGCAGACGCACACAAGCATACACAAACGTGTGCACACATGCATACACACATGCACACACACGCGCACATGCACATCGCTTCCCCGTTCTACTTTTCACCAGAGCACCTGCCACCTTCCGACCCACTCCACGTCACGCATTATGTTTCTCATCGATTACCTGTCTCCCCCCCGAGTCTCTGAGCACCACAAGGCCTATTGTGCCCACTGCTCACGAGCCTGTTAACGGGGCCCTCCCTGCTGAACATCCTCATCTGGTCACACCCCAGAGAATACGCAAAAAGGCTTCAGACACAGAGAGCTCCACTACCCTCGTCCCCTCCAGTCCCTTACGCTGAAGGTCCTGGGCCAATGAGTCCCAGCTCCTGCTTGGAGATGGCAGCCACAGGTGGCTCCTGGCAACTTTCCCTTGACGTGCCCACTTCTGCCACTTCCCATGCCTATGGCTGGAATCACCTCGAGGGCTCTGGCCTCAGTCCACGATGGCCCCAGTAACTGTTCTGTCACCTCTCCTTCCAAGCTCTTGGGGGGACCTTCTTGCAATGGCTGCAGGGAGGTGGACGTGGGCAATGTGGACAAACAGAGTTTTGCATTCAATGGGGCTGTCAACCCAGAGTTTAACAAATAATTCCGGCATTTATCTGTGGTGCATTTATTACCACTGAGACGCATTAATCACAGACTAGACTCGTATTGCTGATTGTAGGAAATGCTACCTGTCACTTTGCAAGCTGCATCTCACATTAAATTCTGGATCATAGTCTCTAATATGTATATATTTTTAATTACATTTTCAGGTTCATTTACATGTGCAGATTGGCTTTCCGCCTGAATGACATCAAAGAGAAACACTTCTCCCTCTCTTTCTCTCCCTTCCCCTCCTCTCCTGCCTCATCCCAGCCCTTTTCTTTTGCCTGGGGTAAAAACCCTCTCCCCAAATTGACTACAGCTTCACCCAGGGGCGGCCTCCTCAGGGAGGTCCCAACAGACCCCTCTGCTGCCGCTTCGCATAACGGAGGCCCGCCCTTCCAAATTGCCATCTCTCAGCTCCTTTCCTATTTTGGGGAATGACTCTTCCGTAACAAGCCCACAGCTGGCCCCTACCCTCAATTGTAGACTCTGAAAACAGAAATGTGCAAACTTGGGCTAGGTGATGGCTGCAGGGACTCCTGATTCTCCAGGGACACAGAAGGTGAAGAAACTTACCCATACCTGGAGATCTGCAGCCAATCTGATTTAGTAAGTTTCATCGTATGGACCATTCTGGAACACACTGTGCCCTGCCAAAGCTGCCTGTCTCTTACTTGTGCAATTCAGAAGTCAACTACTTGGAGAGTCTAGCAACCATTCTCAAAACACCCAGGTGTCCTGAGGGTCCTTTCTTGGCAGTCCTGTTGTCCACAAATAAGGTCATCCATGCAGGACGCAGCAACTCTCACACACAGGCTGCCCTCTGGGGCCAGCGGCTTCAGAAAGAAAACTCTGGTGAAGTAAATTTAATTGTGAAAACAAACACAATAGGTTTCTCGCATGGGCCAAGCGCAGTGATCAGAAGACCTGGAGTCACAGGGGCCCGATCTTGTTCCTGGGTGCAATTCCCAACCCCGACCGGGGCCTCAGTTTCCCTCGGGTAAGATGAGGGGCTTGGCCGAGGTGCTCCCCTTGGTTCTCACATCCTATGCTTTTAGCTTCAGCCATAAGCCATCAGGCCAAGGCGGGGGACATGTCCCCTCAATTTCCACAGACTCCCAAGTCAGGGGCCGAATCCCAGCTCTGGGTACACCCGTCCAGAGACCAAAAGCAACTCAGTAGTTTCTGTATCAACAAAAAGCCAGAGATGCCTCCCTGCTTTTCTACGGCAATAATGTCTTTGGGGTCCTGCTGGCTGTTTCTTGTATTATTGTTAATAAAATAGTACTGACAACAGCTCTCTCTACTCAACTCCTGGCTGCACCTCGGGAATCACGCCCGGTGCGTACAATGCTCGCCCCATTCATCCCCGGGACATCACTGCCAGAGGGGCTCCAACACCCCCACTTTGAGACCAGGACCCAGCCTGGCCTGCCCCTCCCATCCCTCTTCAGGATGAGGGTTTGACTCAACCCTGAGCAAAAAAATAAAAATCCCACATGGATACCCTCCTTTCTGCCATCTTTTAAGAAGACCAGCACAAGTGCCAAGCCAAAGTAAAAAACCGTATAGTACGGCCCAATCGGAGCCGCCAAGGGATGCCCGCTGTTGGCAGTCAGGGACTGTAACCAGAGTGAAGCTGCACCAGCAATTTCTCCCCACACTGGGACTGCTACTACCGAACAGGAAGTCACCACCAAAAACAACACAGAGCAATCTTCAGAAAGCATATTCGTTCCTTCAGAGAACAGAGACCATTTCAAAATGAGATGTCTCCACCTTAAACTATAAAATAACATCAATAATAATAAAAAGGAGAGCAGAACGCAAGCCAGAGAGAGGGAGGAGGAGGAAACCCCCCAGCTGCGAAGGGCTTGGCTTTTGTGCTGCAGACTCCTCTCCACAACCCCGCAATCCTCACCGAGGCCCCGGCCAGCCACACACTCCCCGGTGCTAAGCCAACAGCCAGGCTCCCGGGAGATGCAGAGACCCAGACCCAGACCCCAGGAAGCTTCCATGACTTCTATTTCGGAGCAAAAGTACTGCTCGCGGTCACCAGGACGGTTACTAACTTGCTGGGGATTGTCTCCAACATCGTAACTCCACTCATTTTTATCTGACCGTGTGCCCCGGAGTAACAGTCCACACCTCACTTTTCTTATTGGTGCCATTACGCTGTCATTTCTCCCCCTACACGTGCCAGTGTTGGAGTTAAGGTCACGAAGCTGGGCACCCAATGGTCCAGAACTGGACCACGGCTTCTCTACTCACCAGGGGTGTGATCTCAACAAGGCCCCCAACCTCTCTGGGCCGAGCCAGTCCACAGAGAGAACCAGAAGGCACCTGCTCAGAGCCAGCGCCCCACAGGAACACCAGGACGCGTCAGGACACGTCATCAGTCCCACTGGGTGAGAACTTCCTGTGGGCCCAGAGCTTAATGCACCACTCACTAATCCTGCGGCCTCTCGAAGATTGTTTCTTGAGTGCTCACCGAGCACCAGGCACTCTGCTGCCTGGCTGGCCATGAACTATTATTAATCCCCTTTTATAACTACGGAACCAGAGCCTCCAAGGCGGCAAAGCCTGCCCCAAGCGGAAGGAGCCGGCAAAGGATGGAGCCGGGATTGGAACTCCAGTCTGTCCAGTTTTAAAGCCTGCACTGTAAATCACTTTGTCACACGCCTCTCGGAGACAAAGTTAAAAGCCTTCTAAACAGTACTCGGGAGGGAAATCGGGGGGCAGGGCCTCCAAGGCTGGGCCACCGGACACCCTCAAAGCTCCTTAACCCCCTAGAGGTGACCAGAGCCTCCCCGAGACACTGCCCCATACATATCAAGAGCCTCGGCTGCTGAAGAAGGAGTGTGGCGCCCTCAGGACCAGCAGTGTGTCTGCAGATGGGGCGAGTAGCAGCCTCGTGTGTTCGCTGCTCACACAAGTGAAATCAAAGACACAGCCCATGATTCGGTTCCTGAAGAGACAAAGGCGTTGGAGGAAAAACTTGGTAAATCACAAGGCTAATCATCATAGCCAGCAGCTCTAATGAGGCATCATGGGACTACCAAAGTTATTATCAGAGTCATTTCATTGAAAAAATTCAAAGTTAATTGAAATCAATTGTACGGTTCCGACAGCAGGTGTTTTAAGACTCTAAGGTATCAAAGCGGACTCTTTGGAGTGGCTGATGCAGGCGGCGTAGTCAGCATAGTGGTCGTCAACCTTTACGGGGGCAAAAAGCAACATGACGCTCTCGCATGGAAAGATCGCCTCCCCAGCGGGGACAAGCAACAAGACAAAAGTGCCCAGGTCAGAGCCCGGGCAGGGGGGTGGTTCCTGTGGTTCAAGTCAACCCTCATCTCTAGTGACAGACCCACGTTTAACACCTTCACGTTGCAGTCTAAAAGCACTTTCATATCTGCTGATTTCATCGCAATCACCAGGTGAGTGGGTCTTATTCCCACCCCCACTTCACAGCTGGCAAACGGAGCTCGTTCAGAGAGGCAGAATGGCTTGCCCAAGGTTGCTCAGCCAAGACACAGGAAGCTGGGCCGTGAACCCCCGTGTGCTGACTATGGGGCCCTTGCTCTTCCGGCTCCATCACCTTTTACCCTACACCATGGGAGACCAGCTGGAGATGAGCAGGGGGCTAACATGGAGGCATTCCGGGCCAGGGGGCAGTGTCGACAATTCCATTCACAGCGGTCCCAGGCGGCTCAACCTTGGAAAGCTGCCCTCCTCCGATGTGTCCTGAAGATTCACCAGCCCAGTCCGACCCAAGTCCCAGGATTATCCTGACAATCAAATAAAAAGACGTCGATCAAGGAGGACAGAGGAGGTGCGTTGAAGAGAGTGCCACAGCCAGCCACAGCAGCGAGTGTGCAATCTGCCACCACCTTCTCTACCAGTGCAAATGTCACCTCCCTGGAGCTGTCCCCACACCCCTCAGCACAGCACATCGTCCCATCTGCCACCTGGGTGAGCCTGGTGGCCAGACATCTCACACAAATACCTCACTGGGCCTCGACAGGTGACTGTGGACACACCTGCCTCCCCAACTGCATGTGAAAACAGCTGTGAGCTGTGGGCTATATCAAGTGAAAGCCCTCTGCAAGTGTAAAGCCTTATAGAGTGAGATGTCACCGTCACTCACAACATACCGCTCCACCGCTACTTCCATATCCCCAATAATTTCTGGTGGAAACTCCTTTCATATTCGTGGAATTAACCTGAGCTGTTCCCAAGAGACCTCCACAATACCACGTCAGGTGTGAAAAGCAGGTCTGGGAACAGTGATGCCTGGTGCATGGACTTGTGTGAGAAGGTGTTTACCCAACATCATAGACGCATCTGCAGACACCTCCGTGAGCACACCTCGAGGCCACCGCCGCTCTCGCCCAAGGATACAGTGGGGCAGGAAGAAGTGAGACCCGCGCTTTACGATATTCAAACTTGTACTGCCATTTTCCCGATGAGCACGTGTTGCTTTTCTAAGAAAAACCTTTAAAAAGTAGAATTCTTCTTTATCTCCTAAATGTGACCAAAATGATAGAATGCTGATCACCACCTTCCTTAGTAAAATTTACTTCAGCAGAATGTTAATTATTTTCCTGACTTCAAAAACAAATCCTTCCTCTCATTTTAGTAACAGACAAAATAATAACTATTTCATACACATTACATAGGCTTTACATGTCTACTGTTGTATTGACATATATCAATATACAAATATTTGTCATTATACGTTACATGTGGCCAAGAAAATTAAATCAATAGGAATAAAAATGTAACTGGTAAACATGTAACTATAAATTGCATTTATGTACATACACACACACCACATGCACACAAACACATACACACACTTTTGTTCTTCAACTTAGCAGAGTTACCCACTCAATTGCCTTCTGGGGCTTCCAGAGGTGTCCCCCACTAATTCTTTGGCTCTAAGAACCTCTGCTGAAGGCTGGGGGAGGGTCACCTGGAACCCCCACCCTCACAGCCTGGTTTATGTACTGGTCACCCAGGGCTCTGGGTCCAGCACCAGCCTCGCGCTCCCCACAACGATGGGGCCTGTCAAGAGGCTCCCCACGCAGGTGACAAACACCTAAGTATCTCATGCACTTGGGGAACCCAGGCATCCTTCACACTCCTCCCTTCTGACCTGCCCTCAGCACCCCTGCACTCCTACACACATCTTCCTGCCTCGTGCCCTAGAAGCCCTTGGGCACGGCAAGAGGCCATGGTATCAACTCGAGGCCCTCCGGCCCTGCATGTGACATCTTCTTACACTGGCCCCAGCTGGCCTTCTCTGCCCTCTCTCTCCTCCTCGTTCATGGTTTTACTGCCAGAAAACTCAGCAGCGCCCTTACCTCCCACTGCGCGTTTCTCTGGGGCCATTTTCCCTTGACAAGCTTGGCCACCATCCGCGCCCATCCGCTCCCCAGGAGGCCCTATGGACGCATCTCCCAGGCAACCCCCTCCCGGAAGCCGTCCTCAGTTTCCAGGCCAGCAATGATGCAGGTGTTCCCGCAGCATGATTTTCACAGCCCTTTTCCAGAAGTTCCTTGAAACTGTTCTCCACGCCTCACTCTTTTGTTGGGTTTCCAAGGGCAGGGAGCTTGTCTCATTCATCTCTGGGTCCACTCATTTCAACACACACGATTTCAAAATCTTCCCTTTGCTCCAGGCCTACTGCAGGCTAGGGGCTCCCCTAGGACAGTTAACAAATCATTGCCAATCTTCACACCATCACTGCCCTGGGAAAAGGCAGAGGGGAGCTCAGCAGGCACCCCTCAGGGAGCTTACAGTCTAGCACAGTAGCTGATCTAGGAAGATCTACACAAGCAAGGCTAAGAACGCCGCAGAGGCAGAAAAGCACTCCAGGTGTCTGCAGCTGCCCCTCAGGGAGCTTACAGTCTAGCACAGTAGCTGATCTAGGAAGATCTACACAAGCAAGGCTAAGAACGCCGCAGAGGCAGAAAAGCACTCCAGGTGTCTGTAGCTGCCCCGCAGGAGCGAGGAGGAGCTTCTGGGGCAGAGGCCGAGCAGGTGGGCAGGGCCATCCCTGTGGCTCTGCAGGCCCCTGGGATTCATTCCAAGAGCAAGGGGAAGCCACCAGAAGGTTGTGAGCCAGGGAGCACTGTGACCTCATTCACATTCTAAGACACTGACTCTGGGGAAGAATATACTAGAAGGGCCCAGAGTAGACGCAGCATGCCACTCACAACAGGAAAAGGTGGAAACAGGCCAAACGTCCACTCGTGGATGAACGGTTGGACAGAATGAGTTCTCTCTACAGGGCGGGAAGTCCTGACATAAAAGCTAGTGAAGTGCTGATACGTGCTACAACTTGCATGGAGCCTGAATCATTAAGTGCAACAGGCCAGTCACAAAAAGATGTAAATATATCTATTTAATATAAGTGGAATCATACTATATACATAGCATAATCATACTATATAGTCATTTTATACACACACACACATACATATATACACACACACATAGTATGATTCCATTCATACGAAAGCCCAGAACAGGCAACTCTAGAGACAGAGTAGATTAGTGGTTGCTTAAAGCTGGGGAAGGGGGAAAGGGGAGAGGGGAAGTGACAGCCAAGGGGTTTCTTTTATAGGCGACAAAAATATTCTAAAATGGATGGTAGTGAAGGCTGTACAGATCTGTCAATATGCTAAAAACCACTGAATGGTACACTTTAAATGGGTGAGTAAGTCTATGTAAAATATATCTCAATAAAGCTGTTTTGTTGATGTTTTTAAGTAGACGCAGTGAAGGGGCTATCACAATCTTCCAGGTAAGAGATGGTAGTGGGTGGGCGCAGGGCGATGAAGGGATGGAGGGGTCCAGGAAACTCCAGCTGTGTGTGTGGGGGGTGTGAGAGGTGGGGGATGAAGGCCACACAGGTGGTAGCCAGGCTAACCAGGGGTGAAACCGGGCTAGGCCTTGCTGTCCCATTCCCACGATCTTCCCCTAGCAGTATTAAGTGTGGAGCTTTTGGAGTTGTACTGATTTTTTTCTGCAATGTATAATGATACTGTTTCAACAATGAGAACTGGCACTTTACATCAGAGAGATTAAAATGTACCTTTCTGGAGGAGAGTAAGCTTGGGAGGAGAGTTCGGAAAACAGAAAGTCCTGGTACCAAAGGACTGCAAACAATGTGGGGTGGGGCTGTGGATAACCCCCCAGCTTCATTCAGTGGCTGCTTCTAAGGTGGAATCCCCCATTGCTGGACACAGCTGGTAAGTCATGGTGAAGACACGTCTCAGCGCTGGGCGCGCACACAACACCTTTCAAGACAACGTACTTTTACTGCTGCACTCGGGGACAGCCTCTCAGAACCCAGAGTTCATCAGCTCCACGGACTCTTGGGGTAGTGCACAAGGTCCCAAGCTCACCTCCGGGGTCCTTCTCATGAGACCACAGCAGCATGGACTGCGGTTCAAACAGAAGGCTCTTCCCAACCTGACTGTAAAGCTGCACCTGCATGAAGTTCAGGTCTGGAGATGCCAGCTCACACATGGCATCTAAATGCTGTGCTCGGAACTCCGAAGAGGGGACCTCCACCCACCCAGTATTTACGCTGGGTCTTTAACTTACACAGAAGGGCTTGTTGCTTGACAATTTAGATAAAAATGTTACTGCCCCTGCATGTGCTGCAATCTCATGGTGTAAACCACTGGAGCAGCTAATGGAGTCTTCACACATCATATCTTGTTAAAGAAGAGGGCCCTCCACTATCTGAATCACAGCCCAGCAGCAAAGTGCAGCCACACCTGGGAAGGCAGCTTAGCTGGCCTGGGCCTGGCCACAACTCATCAGCTCTGACCAACTATCCTATGCCTCATTTTTTTTTTTAGTGGAAAATATGAACTTCATTTTCAAATAGCAAGGTCCTATGTAAACTCACTTCCTGTTAATTCCCTAGTCTCCGAATGGTAGGACAAAAACTAGACAGTTACACAGAAAACATATCTCTATCTACCCTGACCAATAAGCTATCTACCACTATGAGTCCTTTAAACACCTTTACACACTTGTCCATGTTTCTTAAAGTAACTGAGAAAAACATCGCGCTAAGGGCATGAATGAGAAATTCATGGTTGGGCCCTGAAAGACAGGATTCCGCTGCTGGCGTACTGCTAACAGACCTGGATAACGGGGTCATCTGTTCATTTTACTATCTAGTTCATCATCCACATGTGCACTTTTAATTGAAACTTAACCTTTATATCCGATGTTCCAGCACAGAAAACATCTCTGGAGGTGGAGATGGTATAAGCGTTTCCCTAAGCGACTCTCTAAAAGAATTCTACCTTTAATTTTCTGTTGAGTTAAATAAACAAACTGTGACACACTTGCCTTTTCACCTCCACTCCCCCATTTCGGCTCCTTCTGGGCAGGCTCTGGGGTGACCAAGTAGAGGCCTCTTCAAAACCCTAGTTCAGCCCAGAGTCACCTCCAAAGGCTTGTTCATCGACCTTTCCCCAGCTAAGCTGCCAATCACCACCAAACTCTCCCAAGGAGAGGGAGAGGGGAGTAAATGTTAAGTCTCCCTAACTCATTTCATAGGTGACCTCTGAAAGATTTCAACGCAGAGCCTGGGAAAGACAAGGCGGCTTTATTAGCATGCTGAACCACGGCCGCAGCCCCCTCCCCTCCCTCTTTTATGAGCCCTTGTTATATAAAATGCCACAAAGGGAAATGGAAAAACAACACCCTCGCAGTTAAAAACACAAGTTCCAATGGCCAGGCCAAATCCTGGCTGCTTACCCAATGTTGTTTAGTCATTTAAAAGGGAAACATTTCTAAAAGGCCGGAGAAAAAAAGTTTTCCTTGCTTTCTTTCTTTTTAAACACACACTCACACACACAAAAAGATGGAGGTCAGTTCGCAAGCAAGCCTCCTTCCCGGAGTTCAAATTTAAAGGCAAAGGCAGCCCGGAGTCGGAGAGCTCCTTCCCGAAGCTGCCGCAACCTTCAAACAGGATTTTCAAATGTTTCTTTCGGCTTATCTAAATTCCGGCATGACAGATAATAAATAGCGACTCATTTACTATCATCATAAAAATTTAAACAGCCTCGAAATAGTTGCTACAATACAGAAGAAATGATCAAACCCAAGCTCAGAAGAGTCATTCCAAATAGTAAAACTACTGCCAAGCAGAAACATAAAGAGACATTGTTCCAAGAAAAGCTCCTAGGTTATTGGATTTTTTCTTCTTCTCTCTCTCTTTTAAATCTTCTAGGAGCGTACGAGTCAACAACTTGCCGTTTTACCCAGTGAAAAAAGGGCTTAGTAACCCTCAGCTATCACACTGGACCAGATCTGGTGGCAGATTTTTTTTTTTTTTTAAAGAAAGTATCTGATTTGATTCTACGCAGTGATTAAACAGCTTTGTGCTCTGCGGAAAAGGGTCTTCCGACCCCTCCCCCTCCAAAAATGGCATCAAAGCAATCAAAATGGTAATGCAGGGCCTGGGTCCCCTCCCCCCGCCAACTCCCCGACTTCGCCGGGGCCGCGCGCCGGGCCCCCCTCCGGCGGGAATGGAAGCTTCCACTCCCGGACGGGGGCGCGCGGCCGGGGGCGGGGGGGCCGCGGCACCAACTGAAAAGGGTTAGCGCATTTGTCCCAAGCCTTCGGTCCAGCCCGGCGGCCCAGACCAGGCGCGGGCCGCGGCACTGCCATCTTCCTTTCAGCAAGCCCGGCCCCCCCCAAAACCCGCCACTCGCGCACGCCCCCTCCCATCACTTTTTAACTTTAAAGACTCGACACGAACGCCCGGCCTCCGAATTCTCTCTCGCCAGGGTCACCGGCAGCCGCCCCAACCTCGTCCACGTCTCTCCCCTACGCCAGAAAATCCCCCGGGGGAGGGGGCGTCCGATCCGGCGGCCCGGGCTGGGGTGGGAGCGCGGGGGCAGGCCCGGGCGGGGGCGCGCGGGGGCGGGCCCGGAGCTGTCCAAGTTTGGCGCTGGCGGCTGCGGCCGGCATTCCGAAGGAAACGCGATCGATGGCCGGGGGCGCGGCGCGGGCGGGGGCGGGGCGCGAAGGAGGGAGGGAGGGGGCAGCGGAGGGAGGGAGGGGCGCCGCCGCCCCCGTGCCCGCCACAGCGGTGCCCCCAGCACGCCATTGGCTGCGCCGCTCAAAGTTCTCGGCTCGGGGCTGCGCGGGGAAGGGGCGGGTGTGCGAGCGCGGGGAAGGGGCGGGTGTGCGAGTGCGGGGAGGGGGCGCGGCGGGGGAGGGGCAGCGGAGGAGGGGCGGGAGCCAGGGGGCGGGGGCGCGCGGCCGGCCGGGCTCTGGCGGCGGCATCTGTTCGTGGTGCTGAAACCCCGAGCGCTGAGCTCAGCGCAACTAAGTCACAATGGACAACTTTTCCTCCCCGGAGGGGGCCCGGAGGGGGGGGAGCGGTCGCGCCTCCGACGCGTGGGAGCTTCTCAGGTGTCCCCAACTACACCTAACGCCCGGAGCCCAAAGTTGGAGCAGAACTGGGGAGTCCCGGGGGCGCGTTTCTTTTGTTCCCCGGGAGCTGGCGTCAGGTTCCAAGAATAAAAAGTGAAGCTAGGGAAGTGGAAGGTGGTGGGGGGGAGGGAGCCTCGAGGAACGATTTCAAAACGAGGTTTGCCACGGAACCCAGAAATCGCTTCCAACGAGTTTGGTGTCCAGGCCCCCACGGCCGCCCCCCTCCGCCCCCATGGCCGCCTCAGCGCAAAGCGGGGGACTCCGAGCCGGGAGAAATCGCCACGTTCCAAAAACATGTCCACCACCTCAAAATGGACGCCGGGCCGCGCGCTGCCTTTTAAGTGAGCTCCTCTCTTCGGCCCCCGCAGGGCCCGGCTCTCCCTGCCGCCTCCGAGAACCCGGCTCTTTCTTTCCAGGAAAGGGGAGGGGTGGGGAACTTTGAGAACTGGAGACAGACCCCTCTGGGAGTCTGAGCGTGCGTCGCCCAGGCTGGCACTTTTTAGGGCGCCGCCAAAGTGCCCAGCCACCCTCCCGCCCCATCCCAGGGGGGGCCGCGATCCCATCGCTTACTTGTTTGTCGCTGAGCGCGGCGATCCGCGGCTGCCTTTCGTGGAGCTGCTTCTTGAGGTCGCCGTTCTGCGGAAACACGGAGGAGCGGGCTCAGGCAGGCCACCCGGGGTCAGGTGCACCCCAGCACCGCGGGCCGCGGCACCCCCCGCCCGGAGCCCCACGGGCGGGGCCGGCCGCAGCGCACCCCAAGTTTCCCGGGCCGCGTCCTGCACGCGCGGCGGCCGGGCAGTGCCGCGCGGGGCCGCTTACCTGTGGCTGCCGCCTCATCGGGGCAGCTCGCGGGGCGGGGCGGGGGCCGAGGCCACCCGGCGGCGCGCCCCGAGCCGTGCAAGTTTGCAGGCCGGGGTGCGTGTGCGAGTGAGTGTGAGTGTGAGTGTGTGCCGGGGGAGGGGGGAGGAACAAAGAGCCAAGTAAACACGGCGAGTCCGTGTCGAGCAAAGCTCATAAATATTCAAGTCGCGTCCTAATCTCCCCAACACACACACGCGCACGCCGAGCCCCGCTCAGGCTCCGGCCGCCACGCCGCCGCTCGCCAGCAGCGATCGCCAAAACTACTTCTGCACACCGGGCAGGTTCGCCCGGGGCGCGGGGGCCCGAGGGGAGGCCGGAAGGGGGCCTATTCGCACTCCCCTCCCCGGGACCGGCTCACGAAGGGGCCCCCTCCAGGCACCCTCCCAGTCATGCAGACCCTACATCGCTTAAGAGAAGACTCCAGGCTCGGGTCCCACGCGTCCTCGATCCCGCAAACTGTGCAGGACAGCGCCAGGGGCAGGCGGAGGGGAGCCCAGAAGGGGGTCCGCGCGTGTGCTCACTCCCTCGCCCCCCGCCCCCGGGCAGGCTCCAGCCTGGAAGACCCAGAGACCCGGAAGAGAGGATGCTGGGCTCGGGTCCCCCGACCCCCTCACCCCGCAACACACTCCCCGGCCCCGGGCCCGGCCCCCGGCCACCTACCTGGTGGCGCGCGAGTTCCACGGCGAGCGCCTCGGGCCGGCTCTGCAGCTCCATCCCGGCAACTTGGGCAGCACTTTGCGCTCACTTTGGCCCGGGCTCCCGGGAAGTTGCGCGGCTCCGCGGGGGCCAGAGCGGGCGCGGGCGGACGCGGCCTCCGGGCTGGGTTGGGGGGGACACGAGCCCCCTCCCCCACGGCCGAAAGGGAAGGGGGCTGGCGAAGGGGAAGACAGGCTTCCGGGCGCCGCGGCGCCGAGCCCTCGGCTGCCCCAACTCCTCAGGCTGCCCGGCAAGTTGCGCCGGGTCCCCGGGCTGCCGGCGCGGCCCGGAGCATGGCCCCCCCGGCGCCGGGAGCCCCGCGCAGCCCCGCGCGCGCCCGCCCAGCCGCCGCCGCCGCCGCCTCCTCCCGCGCGAGCCTCCCGCGGGCAGGGACTATATTTCCTCCGGCGCGCGCGCCTGGATCTCGTTGGGCCTCGGCAAAGTTGTGCCTCGGCACGATGCTAATTCGGCAGTGCCCGGATGGAGCGGGCCGGGGCGGCGGGGGGCGGTGCCGGGACCCTCAGCCCGCCGCGCCCCGCCCCCGCCCCGCCCGCGCCTGCGCACTGCCGCCCCGCCGCGGCCCGGCACCCCGAGCGGAGAACAAAAGTGGCGGTGGACGGGGACGCACGGTCGCCGGCTCCGGGGACTGCTCGGGCCGGGCGCTCGGAGAGGACGACTGCGGAGTCATCCTCTCCGTCCCCGGGCCAACCCGGGGAACGCGGCGCCCCCACCCCCTGCGCCGTGTAACGCCGGGATCAGGACACTTTCCGCTGGGAGGCTGCGAGTCCGTGTTTCCATTTCTCCTCACCCTGGTCCTCGGCTCCCTCCTTTCCCCCCTCCTCCGCCTCCCTCTGATATTTTATTTAAATTCTTCCGTCCCCTCCTGTCCATACCAGCGCCGCGACTTGGGGGATTAAATTAGTCGCGTCGCCACATTCCCCCGCCGCCTGATGGCCTCCGTGTTGTTTAAACAGCAAGAAAATTGATCTCTTGGCTCTTCCTTTAATGATTTTTTTTTACACGATTAAACTCTCAACAGATGTCACTGGACATTTTAAGACTCTTGTTAAGAGTCGTAAACAGGCCCGGTCAATGCGACCTAAAACAATTATAATTACAGCTGCGGAGGTCGCGTTTCAGAACCCCCAGCCGCGCAGCCAGGAGGTTAATGTCCCAGAGTCACTGTCACCACCTCGGGGCTGCCATCTTCATTCAGGTCGGAGTGCCGGGTGCCCTGTTGGCAGCAAACTGGCACGTTTGAAACACGCTGGGGAGAAAGGGTGCAATCATATGTCAAAGTAAACGTTTAAGCTGTTAAGTCGTTTTAACTTCAGATTCCTCTCCGGCAGCACAAAAAATACCCAAGCAAGCACCATCAGCAAATGTCCCTTTCAACATATGCCAACAGGTCACACATTGCTTTTGTTGGCAGAAGTTATTGGAATTCCCCCTTTTCTTTCTTTTCTTTTTTTTTTTTTTTTCAAGTGAGGACCCCAGTGTTGTTCTGCTCTCTGTTAGGGAATTTGTAATAAATTACGTGTTTGGGACCCCCAAACACAGATGGCCCCTCATCCCACAACCCAGCACCTCGCCTTCAGAGCACGACAGAGTGAGACTTAGGATATGAGTAACTATGCAAAAAGCAGAGGGGCATGTAGATGACCCTTACTTTAACCCAAATTAGTTAACAGAAACTTGCAAACAGCGCTTTAAGACTCCATAGGAGGCCGGCCGGGGGCGGTGGCTCACACCTGTAATCCCAGTACTTTGGGAGGCCGAAGTGGGCAGATCACGAGGTCAGGAGTTCGAGACCAGCCTGCCCAACATGGTCTCGACTAAAAATACAAAAAATTAGGCATGGTGGCGCAAGCCTGTAATCCCAGCTACTCGGGAGGCTGAGGCAGGAGAGTTGCTTCAACCCAGGAGGCAGAGGTTGCAGTGAGCCGAGATTGCACCACAGCACTCCAGTCTGGGCAACAGAGCAAGACTCTGTCTCAGAAAAAACAAACAAACAAACAGAAAAGACTCAACAGGAGGAGCCACTACCCTCCGGCCAGCATCTGCCTGAATCTGTGTGGGCCGAAGATGACCTGAATAACCTCTGTTGATTTAATTACGTAGGTTAAATATGTGGGTTACGGTAAGGATCATATACATGCCCCTCTGTTTTTTGCATAGTTACTTACTGTGTGAGTCTCATTCTGTCGTGCAGGCTAATGTGCAGTGGTGAAATCATAGCTCACCACTGCCTCCACCTCACCTGCTCAAGCAATCCTCCCACCTCAGCCTCCCAAGTAGCTGGGACCACAGTCACACCATAAGCCAACACTGGTTAATGTGGATGCAAAACTAGCCCGTGTTTGAAGTGGTCGTGATTCCTTTGGTTTTGCCCCAAGCAGGGAGAAGCAAGGTTCCTCAAATGCAAAACAAAGAGGCTGACTCAGGGTGCCCCAATAGGTACCCACTCCTCCCACTTCTGGGTTTAGCCCGGGTCAGGGTGGTGGCCTCCCTCCTTAGTGCTTTTGCTGGGCTGAACACCAGCCCAGGAAAGTGGACTGCCCTGGAGACCCATGCTTGGAGAGCCAGAGAGAAAGTGTGCAGAAAGAGGATTCCTACTGTAATCTCTGTAAATGCCACTGGCTTCTTGGTAAAAATTCAGAGTAATTTTATCAGCCACGTAGGGTAATTAAATCAACAGAGGATATTCAGGTCATCTTCAGTCCACACAGTCTCAGGCTGATGCTGGCCAGAGGATAGTGGCTCCGACTGTGGAATCTTAAAGCACTGTTTAAGTGCATGGTGTAGCAAAAGATCCGACAGAGACAGCAGAGACACAGGGCCCCTGTGTTAAACACAGAGCGAGAAAAATGACTGACAGGCAAAGGAAGGGTTAATTCTGAGAGGGGTGGTCTGAGAGGGGCTTGTCAAGAAGTAACTTGAGCAGAGCCTTGAGAATGTAGTAATACTGTTTGTTCTGAGTTTTACCATCCACATGGCACTCTTCATACCTGTTGTCTCCTGCCCTCGTTGAGTTCCGGGGGTAGGTCTGGTATCCCTATTTTACAGGTTAGAGGACTGAGGCTCAGGGCATTAGGTTACTTACAAGCCCTGTTGCCTGGAATTGGACCCACAGACTCAGGCAGCAGAGACCTGGATAGATGTGTAGCCTCTTCCCCGTCAGGGCTGGGAGATCTGGGCCAGTGGCTGAGGATGGATTTGCTTCCAGAGAAGAGCAGGCATAAGCCATGGGCCTGGGGTAGGCTGCAGGAGGGATCTCAGGGGGCCTGCAGTGCTCACTGGAGGAGAAAAACAGGACAGAAAAGATGGCAGGACCAGACCCCAAGGTCCTACAACACCATGCTGGGGTTTTAAATGTGTTATGTGGACAAGGGGACCTGCCCAAGGTTTCCGCACAGGGGTATGAGACATGACCAGGCCTCTGCTCAGAGATGACCTGGTGGTAATGTGAAGGATATGGTGGAAACTGGATGTGGGGGCCAGTCAGGAGATGGGGGCCATGGTTAGTGAGAGAGGCACCTCTCTTGAGATTGGGGAGGGGGAGAAAAGGAGGAGGCCAGTGCAGATTTCTGGAGCCACCAAGGCCCCAGTACAGAGGAAGTGGGAGGGGGTTTGAACCTGTGGCGTGCGGTTCACCCACATGAGCGATTTCTCTGTTGGGGACACAAGTTTTCCTTTAGTGTTACTGCTGCAGGGACCACTTACCGAGAGCCTTCCCTTTCCCCTCTGTAGTAGGCATTCTTCATGCCTTTTGATCCTATGGAGGTGGGTATATTTATCCCCACTTTACAGATGAGAAAACTGAGGCTCAAAGTGGTTCAGTAACTTTCCCAAGCTGCACAGCTATAAATGGGGTACACACCCATATCAGGGTCATAGGACAGCCCTGTCTATGCCTCTTGTCTGAGTAATATTGAATAGCGCCCCTTTCACTTTTTTTTTTTTGAGATAGAGTTTCATTCTTGTTGCCCAGGCTGGAGTGCCATGGCACAGTCTCAGCTCACTGCAACCTCCGCTTCCCAGGTTCAAGCGATTCTCCTGCCTCAGCCTCCCAAGTAGCTGGGATTACAGGCACCCGCCACCACGCCCAGCTAATTTTTATATTTTTAGTAAAGATGGAGTTTCATCATGTTGGCCAGGCTGGTCTCAAACTCCTGACCTCAGGTGATCTGCCCACCTCAGCCTCCCAAAGAGCTGGGATTAAAGGCGTGAGCCACCATGCGTGGCCCCACTTACACTCTTAAATGGGTCCCAGCGGCCGGGCGCGGTGGCTCACGCCTGTAATCCCAGTACTTTGGGAGGCCGAAGCAGGTGGATCACGAGGTCAGGAGATCGATACCATCCTGGCTAACACGGTGAAACCCTGTCTCTACTAAAAATACAAAAAATTAGCCAGGCATGGTGGCAGGTGCCTGTAGTCCCAGCTACTCGGGAGGCTGAGGCAGGAGAATGGCGTGAACCCGGGAGGTGGAGCTTGCAGTGAGCCGAGATCGCGCCACTGCACTCCAGCCTGGGCAACAGAGCGAGAGTCCGTCTCAAAAAAAAAAAAAAAATGTGTCCTAGCTTGGATGAAGTCTATGGTCAGCCCGCCGTAGGGCATGGAGGCAGGATTCCCCCTCCACTCTGCCTGACTCCAGAGCCTGCTCTCTTCCCAATTCTTCACTTTGTCTTACACAGGCACTGTGCCCTTGGTCTACGACAGTAGCCAAGGTCAGGAGTGGCACCGTCTGGAGCCTGGGATCCCGGTGCAGAGGGCTCAGGTCCCAGCAGGGTCAAGCCACAGAGCCGACTGCAGCCTCACAGACTGTCACTGTCCTTCCTGCAAAGCAGGTGGCCAGGGCTTGTTCACCCACAGTAGAGTTGGGACATATCTGCCAGATACCGACAGGCTCTGACCTATATAGCCTAGCAGCCCCGTGCGTCTCCTTTGATGTTGTTGGGTACCTCCAGTCAACATGCCCCAGTCTGGGCTCAGCACCCTGGCCCAGCGCTCTCCATCTCCCAGGCAGCTGCACCCAGAGCCATCCTCTCCTCTCTCACACCCCGTAGCACGTACACCCCTGGTGTTCCTGTGGTATGATAGGAAATGTATCTGGTCTTTGTTCCCAAGCTCCTAAAACCCTTATTGTCTGAGTGATAGGACTGTCTTTTGTTCTTCATAAGGAGCCCCTTGAGGTCACACCTGAGTTTATGCTAATGAAGGGACTGAGGGTGGGCCCAGTCACCAGGCGGGAAGAGCTGTTGTCCTGCTAGACCCTGGCTGCCTTCTGCTAAGCTGCCTGGAGGCGGAGTGAATACCCAAGGGCTGGGTAGAGCCCCTCAGCACAGCAGGAAGGCACAGTGGAGGCTCCGAGGATGCTGGGCCAAGGCTGAGGCTCCTGAACACTTGAGAGGGAGAGGACAAGGAAGGAAGCCAGTGTGGCCAGTGCCCATCACCATGTGTGCCCGGCCCAGGCTGGGAGGCTGTTTCACATCATAACTCACTAAGTCTCCATGCTTCCTTCCACCCAAGAGGCAGATGTAATTACAACCCCCCATGGAGGCATTGATCTCAGGCCCCCCTGCAGATACCGAAATCCATGGATGCTCAAGTCCCTGATATAAAATGATGTAGTATTTGCATATAACCTACACACATCCTCCCATGTACTCTCGATCTCCTGACCTCGTGATCCGCCCACCTCGGCCTCCCAAAGTGCTGGGATTACAGGCGTGAGCCACCGTGCCCGGCCTGTATTATTTTTAATTGTTTTTTTAAATTTTTTTTTCCAAGAGATTTTCAATCCAGGCTTGGTGGAATCTGTAGATGCAGAAGCTGCAGATATGGAGGATCCACGGTGCTAACTTTAGCTAAAGGACTTTTTTGTATTTTTAGTAGAGACGGGGTTTCACCATGTTGGCCAGGCTGGTCTCAAACTCCTGACCTTAGGTGATCTACCCGCCTTGGCCTCCCAAAGTGCTGGGATTACAGGTATGAGCCACCACTAAAGGACTTTTTTTAAAGACCAGAGAGACACACACCTGTAGTCCCAGCTACTTAGGAGGCTGAAGCAGGAGGATCACTTAAGCCCAGGAGTTCGAGGCTGCAGTAAGCTATGATCCCACCACTGCACTCCAGCCTAGGAGATAGAGTGAGACAACCCTGTCTCAATAAAAAATAAATAAATAAAAGGCCCAGAGAAGATAATAATTTGTCCCAAGTCTTTGTACTCAGACAGGCTCCTGTTTAAATCCTGACTGTGGGCTAGAGTCAGGATTTACACTGGAGCCTATGTACAAAGTCTGTGATTTTTCTCCTGTTAGCCCTGGCCACCTCCCTTTCTAGGTATGATCCATCCTGCTGTTATTACAAGTTCAGGGCCAAAAGGCCTTTTGGAAAGTTGTCTTTCTTTTTTCTTTTTTTGAGACAGGGTCTGGCTCTGTCACTCAGGCTGGAGTGCAGTAGTGCAATCTTGGCTCACTGCAACCTCTGCCTCCGAGGCACAAGCGATCCTTCCAGCTCAGCCTCCCTAGTAGCTGGGACTACAGGTGCACACCATCACACCTGGCTAATTTTTAATTTTTTTTGTAGAGACAGCAGTCTCGCTATATTGACCAAGCTGGTCTCAAACTCCTAACCTCAAGCAATCCTCTCACCTGCGCCTCCCAAAGTGCTGGGATTACAGGCGTGAGTCAGACCTGGAAGGTTGTTGTTCTATTCCCAGATACATTTTCTTATTTCCCCAGCAAACAACAGTACAATTTTCAAAGGCAGAATTCAAAACCCAGGGAAACCAACCCCAACTCCCAGGGATGCTTCGTAAGGACGTTTCTGTATTGGCTCCAGCGGCCAGTTTCAGATGAGCACCCATGCAGCCAGCCAATCATCAATACAACAAAACATTGTGGCACTATTAGAAAGAATGTTCTCGACGCTTGACCCATGCTAACTGGGACCCACCTGCCCTGTGGGGTGACGAGCTCCTCGTGACTGAAGATGATTTAGCCAGGCTGCTCTAGAGAGAACAGTATTTTGTGTTTGTTTTTTTGTTTTGGTTTGGTTTGGTTTTGGTTTTTTTTGAGATGGAGTTTTGCTTTTGTGACCCAGGCTGGAGAGCAATGGCGTGATCTCAGCTCACCGCAACCTCTGCCTCCCGGTTCAAGCGATTCTCCTGCCTCCGCCTCCTGAATAGCTGGTATGATACACACACACCACCACACCCAGCTAATTTTGTATTTTTAGTACAGATGGGATTTCTCCATGTTGGTCAGGCTGGTCTCCAACTCCGGACCTCAGATGACCTGCCCGCCTTGGCCTCCCAAAGTGCTGGGATTACAGGCGTGAGCCACCGCGCCCCACCGAGAACAGTATTTCTTTGCCTTCATGATATATCCGGTTTCCTCCTCTGGGATGCTTGGTTCTACCTCCTAAAACTTGCAGTTTCAGTTGGAGAGATTAGACATGGAGTTATGTCTGTAAAAATAAAAATAATACCAGCTAACATTTTATATACAGCTCACTACGAGCCAGGTCTCTTCCAAGTGCTCCCTGCACATCAATGTGTTTAATCCTTATAATCGCCCCATCTTAGAGGTGAGCAAATTGAGGCTCAGAAGGGCTACATGGTCTCACAGGCACACCCCTGTATGTAGCACAGCTGGGGTTCAGCCCTGTCCTCTTTGCAGTGCACCTGGGCAGAGAAGTGTAGAGGAGAGATGTCCTATTCTAGTGGAAGTGCCTCAGCGATGGTGCTTCCTTGCATCAGACACTGCTCCAGGAGCTCAACCCGCGTCACCTCTTTTAATGCCCACGACTCTACGACTGTCAAGATCCCCAATACACCGATGAGGGCACTGAGGCATGGGGAGAGATCTAAGGGTCTTGTCTTCCATCACTTGGCTGGTCAGTGACAAGACGGGGACTCTAACCCTGAACATCTGACTCCACCGCTTGGCCTTGCTATAGGAATGCGGAGAGAACATCTGAGCAAGAGATGATTCTGAGCAAACAACCTTGGGGCCTCCTGCTCTGCAGTTCCTGTTTTTTTAAACCATTTTATTGAGGTACGATTGGCATCCAAAAAGCTGTACTACTTAATGAGTACAACTTGATGAGTTTAGAGATAACAATACACCCAGTGAAACCATTCCCACGATCAAGGCCATAAACATATCTGGCATCTCCAAAAGTTTCCTCCCACCCTCTTAAAAAATTTTATTTCTTTGTGGTAAGAGCACTTAATATAAGATCTACCCTCGGATCACCTGAGGTCAGGAGTTTGAGACCAGCCTGGCCAACATGGTGAAATCCTGTCTCTTCTAAAACTACAAAAATTAGCCAGGCGTGGTGGCACACACCTGTAGTCCCAGCTACTTGGGAGGCTGAGGCAGGAGAATCGCTTGAACCCAGGAGGTGGAGGTTGCAAGGAGCCGAGATTGTGCCACTGCACTCCAGCCTGGGCGACAAGAGCAAAATTCTGTCTCAAAAAAAAAAAAAAACAAAAAAAAACAACTACCCTCTTAGCAGATTGTAAGTGTACAGCATGGTATTGTTAAGTACAGATCCACGCTGCATGGAAATCTCCCGTTCATTCCTCTGTCTCAGCACCAGCTGTTCCTCCATGCTATCGGCTCTTTAAGAACAGAGGGCCGGGCGTGGTGCCTCACACCTGTCGTCCCAGCACTTTGGGAGGCCAAGGTGGGCGGATCATGATGTCAGGATTTCAAGAGCAGCCTGGCCAACATAGTGAAACCCCGTCTCTACTAAAAATACAAAAGTTAGCCAGGCGTAGTGGTGGGTGCCTGTAGTCTCAGCTACTTGGGAGGCTGAGGCAGGAGAATCTCTTGAACCCGGGAGTCAGAGGTTACAGTGAGCCGAGATTATGCCACTGCACTCCAGCCTGGGTGACACAGTGAGACTATATATAAAAAGAGAAAAAAAAAAAGAACGGAACTGTGCAAAACTAGGCTGGGTGCGGTGGCTCACACCTGTAATCCCAGCACTTTGGGAGGCTGAGGCCGGTGGATCACTTGAGATCAGGAGTTGGAAACCAGCCTGGCCAACATGGTGAAACCCCATCTCTACTAAAAATACAAAAATTTGCCAGGCATGGTGGCACGCACCTGTAGTCCCAACTACTTGGGGGACTGAGGCATGAGAATCACTTAAACTCGGGAGGCGGAGGTTGCAGTGAGCCGATATCATGCCACTGCACTCCAGCCTGGGCAATAGAGTGAGGCCCTGTCTCAAAAAAAAAAAAAGAAGGAGGAGAAGGAGAAGGAGAAGGATTGTGCAAAACTAGCATCTCTAGAGGATTTTCAACTCACAAGCAGTGAGTAGGTATATTACGTATGCTATTTGATTGTCTGCTTATAATAGCTCTGAGAGATGTGAACACTGAGGTGAGGTGATGTTTACTAGCCCAAAGTCACCCAGCATATATGTTGGGAGCCCTCTACCTGAACCCAGGTCTGGGATCCCCAAAACCCAGCTCTTAATAATTCAAGAGGTCCAAGAACAAAGGAGGAAGAGGAGGAGGAGGGAGGCTCTCCAGGACTCAGCAGTAGAGTAGGAGGGAGATCAGGGGAAGCGGAGGGAGCCTCGTGCTGGGCCTGCTTCTTGGGTCTTTCTTCTGGGAGGTGTGCACAGCGTGCTGACAGCCTCCTTCAAACATCCCTGCACCACCTCCCACCCTCTATCGGGAAGGAAGAAGCTTGGGGTGGGGGAGGCTCCCTTGGAAGTGGGTTCAAGGCCTGGCAGCTGCCTGCAGGCTCCTTGCTTCCCTCTGGGAGTTTTGGTTTCCTCCTGGGTAAAAGCAAGTTGATGAGATTAAGGGGAAATTGCCAGGGAGAGAGGGCTGCCTGGTGTGAGGTGGACCCCACCTGCCCAGGAGTCTCTCTGTGGGCATCACAAAGACAGTGCCAGCTCAGTGACACCTGAGGATGTCTCTGTCCCAGGGCCCCTATTATTAGCAAAGCCTTCCTCATTAGCACTTTCACACCTACATCATCACAGATTTCCAATCAGCTGTTCAATTCTCTTTTGAGAAGGAGTCAGTGTTGTACATATTGTAGGATGCCCTTTAAAAGGAAAAACATGGCCGGGTGCAGCGGCTCACACTTGTCATCCCAGCACTTTGGGAGGCCAAGGCAGGTGGATCACCTGAGGTCAGGAGTTCGAGACCAGCCTGGCCAACATGTCAAAACCCCATCTCTACTAAAAATACAAAAATTAGCTGGGTGTGGTGGTGTGCGCCTGTAATCCCAGCTACCCAGGAGGCTGAGGTAGGAGAATCACTTGAACCCAGGAGGTGGAGGTCGCAGTGAGCTAAGATTGCGCCACTGCACTCCAGTCCAGGAGACAGAGTGAGACTCCATCTCAAAGACAAATACAAATATAAATAAAAGGAAAAACATTTTTCTTCAAACAGGGTGGACAGGCTGACAGGCAGGTCTGGGAGGGGCTGGGGCAGAAGGGGCTCTGCTTCCGGCGGGGCCCCTGGGTGGGAGCCGAAGCAAGGGCTGCAAGTTTGGGTCAGAGGTCCAGGTAAAGAGCGGGGTCACGCATTCGCCCCTGCGTGCTGCTCTGAATCTGCCCTGGTCTCGACCTCTCCGGGGTTGTGATGCGGCCCCCTTGATGTCCCTCCAGCGCCCTGTGTTTGGAGGAAGGGACCCAAGCAGCCCAGGTGGCTGAGGTCAGGAGGACTTCGCAGCCTGGCTCTGTCACCCACAGGCAGAATGGCAAAAACAAGCTGCCTGCTAAGTCTCAAATTCTCCACCTTTAAATTGGGGGTTGTCCACCCAGCAGGCAGCTATGGAGCAGCCACTATGTGCCAGGGACTGCTGGCAGAGGGAACATCAGGTTCCTCCCTCTAGGGAATGGAGCAGCTCCCTTCTGGTGAGGCAGCTAAGTGAGCCCTGTGGTGGGTGCCGGGATAGACCATCCCAGGTGGATGCTGGGTAGAGAGCCTGGGCAGGAGAGAGCCTGGCCCCTCGGGAACTGCTCGTGGTAAGTGCAGCTGATCCCAAAGTACAGACAGTACACCTGGAGGCAGCCAGCTGGCAGAATCCTGGTGTCAAAGGCTAAAAACACAGGCCTTGGAGGGTTTGGGGCAAAGACCTGCTGGTCACTGGTGGTTACTTGGCTGCCAGAGGCGAGAGGATTTGGCAGCCCTGACCCTGGAGCTGAGAAACCTGGGGCAGGTGAGCCGGGGGGAGTGAGGGAGAGGGGGGATCCCTAGGTGAGGTGGGGTGGGGGGAGTGGGAGGAACCCTGGGGCAGGTGAGGTGGGGGAGTGAGGAAGAGAGGGGAACCTTAGGTGGGGTAGGGGGAGTGAGGGAAAGGGGAAGCCCTAGGTGAGGTGGGAGCCCTATGTGAGGTGGGGGGAGTGAGGGAGAGGGGGAGCCCTATGTGAGGTGGGGGGAGTGAGAGAGAGGGGGGAACCCTGGGGCAGGTGAGGTGGGGGGAGTGAGGGAGAGGGGGCAGCCATGGGAAAGCAGGATTGGATGAGGTCGGCAGGGAGGCTGGGAAGGTGACAGGTTGGGATGTTACAGCCCTGCTGTCTCAAGGTTGTTTTGGGGGGGTTCTTTGTGAACCATAAAAGGCCAGGTCTCAGCTCAGGAGAGGCCAGCGTCCCTGCACTTTCTGCCCTGTGCTGGGCTGGAGGGCATTCCCTCCAAATTTTCATTATTTCTGGAACCACAGAATATGACCTTGTTTGGAAGTAGAATCTTCACAGAAGTGAAATCCGGATGGAGTCATTCTGGGTTCGGGTGGGCCCTCATCCCATATGACTGGTGTCTTTATGGAACAAGGAGAAGAAACAGAAAGGTTTCTCACAGAGAGACCCAGGGAGAACGCCAGGTGCTGTCAAACGCAGAGGACACCAAGGACTGCCGGCCACACTGGCTGCTGAGAGGCGTGGGGTAGGCTCCACTCTGAATCTCAGAGGACCAAGGAGCAGGGCCCTGCCAACAGCTTCATTTCTTTTTTCCTTTTTTTTTTTAATTTTCATTTTACGTTCTGGGGTACATGTGCAGGATGTGCAGATTTGTTACATAGGTAAATGTGTGCCATTGAGGTTTGCTGCACCTATCAACCCGTCACCTAGGTATGAAGCCCCGCGTGCTTTCCTCCCCCCGCCCCGCCCCCGACAGGCCCAAGTATGTGTTGTTCCCCTCCCCGTGTCTATGTGTTCTCATTGTTCAGCTCCCACTTATAAGTGAGAACATGCGGTGTTTGGTTTTCTATTCCTGCATTAGTTTGCTGAGGATAATGGCTTCCAGCTCCATGCATGTCCCTGCAAAAAACATGATCTTGTTCCTTTTTATGGCTGCATGGTATTCCATGATGTGTATGTACCACATTTTCTTTATCCAGTCTATCACTGATGGTCATTTGGGTTGATTCCATGTCTTTGCTGTTGTGAACAGTGCTGCAATGAACAAATTCGTGCATGCATCTTTATAATAGAATGATTTATATTCCTTTGGGTATATACCCAGTAATGGGATTGCTGGGTCAAATGGTATTTCTGGTTCTACATCTTTGAGGAATCGCCACACCAGTTTCCACAATGGTTGAACTAATTTACATTCCCACCAATGGTATAAAAGCATTCCTATTTCTCCACAACCACACCAGCATCTGTTTTCTTGTTTTTTTGTTTTGTTTTGTTTTTGTTTTTGTTTTTGTTTTTTGAGGATGGAGTTTCGCTCTTGTTGCCCAGGCTGCACTGCAATGGTACAATCTCAGCTCACTGTAACCTCTGCCTTCCAGGTTCAAGCAATTCTCCTACCTCAGCGTCTCAAGTAGCTGGGATTACAGGCATGCGCCACCACACCCAGCTAATTTTGTATTTTTAGTAGAGACAGGGTTTCACCATGTTCGTCAGGCTGGTCTTGAACTCCTGACCTCAGGTGATCCACCCACCTTGGCCTCCCAGAGTGCTGGGATTACAGGCGTGAGCCACTGTGCCCAGCCACATCTGTTGTTTCTTGACTTGAAGACATTCATGCGGCCAATAAACATGAAAAAAAAGGGTCAACATCACTAATCATTGGAAAAATGCAAATCGAAGCTACAATGAGATACCATCTCATGCCAGTCAGAATGACAGCTTCATTTCTGACTTCCAGCCTCCAGAGCTGTGAGAGAATACATTTCTGTTGTTTAAAGTTGACCAATTTATGGTAGTTTGTTACAGCCGCCCTGGGAAACGAATATGCTCCTTTTTTTCTTCTTCCTCAGCCAAGCCTCACCTTTTTTGTTTTTGAGATGGAGTTTCACCCTTGTCACCCAGGCTGGAGTGCAATGGCACGATCTCAGCTCGCTGCAACCTCTGCCTCCTGAGTTCAAGCAATTCTCCTGCCTTAGCCTCCCAAGTAGCTGAGATTACAGGTGTCCGTCACCACACCCAGCTAATTTTGTATTTTTAGTAGAGACAAGGTCTCACCATGTTGGTCAGGCTGGTCTCGAACTCCTGACCTCAGGTGATCCACCCACCTCAGCCTCCCAAAGTGCTGGGATTATGGGTGTGAACCACCAAGCCTGGCCAAGCCTCATCTTATTTCTGGACTCCATCTCCTTTTCCAAGCCACAGTGATCAAAGTCCTGAGTCTCCTTTCTTGAGGGACGGTGGAGGCGGCACCAAATTCGTCTACTTAATTAGCATTCCCCCACTGCCCCCCGCAGACCCTGGCCTTCATGAGTGCTCATTCTCCACTCTGTCAGGTTGGGTCTAACGTCTCCGTTTGGTCTTGGCTATGGGAGATGTGGTCTTCAATCTTGGGGCTCGTTGTTCTCAGATCCTGTTAGTTTTCCTTCCGTGGCCTGTGTTTGCAGGCACAGTCAAGTTTAATTATTTATTTACATAATCAGCACCTACTTTTTCCCAACAGTTCATTGAAACCTTTCAAGGACTTTGGAAACAATCCCTTTTATTCTCATTTTGGTTGGCCGGATGCTGAAGCAGCAGAACGGAACAGAACAGAACGGTGTATGGTTCCGGTTTCACCTGCCCCCACCTCCCTGCTTCACATGCAGATTCTGGGTGAAAGAGCATTTCTTAGGCACCCACCAGGTGTCAGGCACCACGGTGGTCATCTGAAGTTATCACCGTCGGCAGCAGCGGCAGGGCCAGGCTGATGTTTGTAGAATTCAACTCCATGCATCGTGCTGAGGGCTTTTCATGTTCCCTCATCTTAATCCTTCACAAAACCCTACAATACAAGGTAGGTATTATGAACCCCACTGTATAGGTGAGGAAACTGAGGCCAATATACATGGGGTGATTTATCTAAGAGAGCACAGCTGGTAAGCCGTTGTTTCTGACCCTGAGTCTAACTCAGGACCAAGCCTGCTGTGCTACCTTTTACGTGGAAGCTGTGCAGGGCTTGCAAAAGATGCCTAACAAACACTGACCAAGAGGCTGCCCACTGTGGCCTGCGGACATCACAGGTGAGGAGACTGGAGGCCGGGCTTGTAGGTCTGCTTTATCACCCTCCAGGGAGGACCATAAGTAAGAAAATCTTTCAACTGCCATGTGGCAGTCATGGGCGAGTTCTGAGTTATTAATAACACATAATTTTTCAAACGAAGATCATTATCATAATAACGAAAGGTGCCATGAAGAAGTGCTAATTGCAATAATTACTAATTTATTAGGGAGTTAGAAGATGGGTCAAGGTTTGTAAATCAGGAAGGAACGTGTTAGACAAGTACGTGAGAAAACATGTAAAGTTAAAGATTCAGAATGTCTGTCTGAGAGCAGTCAGAGAAGAATTGGAAAACAATTGCTTCCACGAGCATCCCCTCCCTGGGACAGCCGCTGAAATCTCAGAGCCCCTGAAAATGCAAAAAATAAATAAATAAATAAATAATATAATCCAAAAAAAAATAACCCAAGATAGCCTGACCCTAGGATCCATCTATCCAGGCTAAAATGGTAGCAATTTAGACACCGAGCTTGCAACACAAGCTAAACCCAAGGACAGACCAGAGGGCCGTTTTCCATTCCCGTTGCTGCCTGCTACCCCAGTGCCCAGAATGGTGTCTCCCAGAGTGGGTGCTTATATGAACAGATGTTCTCATGATTGTTATTTTTGCTAGTGGTATCATTGTAAATGAACGTCAAGCCTGAGGCATTTCATCCAGCCAACCACAGGCTCCGCTCCTCACTCCCCATAGGTTAAGGCCAATGGAGGCTTTCGTTTGTGTGCACTTACACACTGTGTGTGTGTGTGTGTGTGTGTGTTTATGTGTATGCCTCCGTATGAAATAGAGATTCAACCCGGTGCTAAATAAACCTGCTAACAATTGGAAAGCCATGTACACTGGTGATTTGTTATGAAATATCCAGTTTGAAACCATGCACTCGGCCGGGTGCGGTGGCTCACACCTGTAATCCCAGCACTTTGGGAGGCCAAGACGGGCGGATCATGAGGTCAGGAGATCGAGACCATCCTGGCTAACCTGGTGAAACCCCGTCTCTACTAAAAATACAAAAAAGTAGCCAGGCATGGTGGCGGGTGCCTGTAGTCCCAGCTACTCGGGAGGCTGAGGCAGGAGAATGGCGTGAATCCGGGAGGCGGAGCTTGCAGTGAGCCAAGATCGCACCACTGCATTCCAGCCTGGGGGGCAGAGCAAGACTCTGTCTCAAAAAAAAAAAAAAGAAAAGAAAAGAAAAGAAAAGAAACCATGCACTACAAACCATCCATGTTTGTAAAATCTGACAGATGCTTTCTCATCTGTGAATGTGAAGGTTATGGCCTCCGCCCGTCCTGCCTCATAAAGATTTCAGGAGGGACCCAGAACCAGAGATGGGAAACAATTTCGAGCAGGTGCAGTGCTAACAGCTCATCTCTGTACGTTAATCCAGCTTCTCCATTAACCTCAATCAGGTCCACTGAGTCCCAGGCGCTGCAGGATTGACCTTGACCAGTTCCAGAAGCAGCAAACCTGGGTGTGTGTTGGAAGCAGCCCCAGCCCTGGATCCTAGATATTCTTACATGTAGGAAAAGCATACAATGCACACAAGAACAGGTCCCAAAGAACCTCCCTCCATTATCCTGAACTGTGAGTGCACCTGCTTATACCTCTGCCCCTACCAGCCCATGCCTCTAGATCTACTTTACACCTGCCCAGAGGTTACTGTGCAGCCAGGAAGAGCCATAGCGGCTACCAGATCAAGGCTCTCTACTTTTTTTATTACGGCAAAGAACATGTGAGATGAGGTCAAGATCTTAAATTTCATCAGGGTATGTCTGGGCGAAAATAACAGCTGGATAATGTAAATGACAAGTTGATGGGTGCAGCAAACCAACATAGCACATGTATACCTATGTAACAAACCTGCACGTTGTGCACATGTACCCTAGAACTTAAAGTATAATAATAAAAAGTTTAAAAGGTAAATCATCCCATGTATTCATTCATAACCAGACTCTTTTTTTTTTTTTTTTCAGATGGAGTCTCATTCTGTCGCCCAGGCTAGAATGCAGTGGTGCAATCTCGGCTCACTGCTACCTCCACCTCCCGGGTTCAAGTGATTCTCCTGCCTCAGCCTCATGAGTAGCTGGGATTACAAGCAGGCACCACCATGCCCAGCTAATTTTTGTATTTTTAGTAGAGACGGGGTTTCACCATGTTGGCCAGGCTGGTCTCGAACTCCTGACCTCAAATGATCTGTCCACTTCGGCCTACCAAAGTGCTGGGATTACAGGCGTGAGCCACCACGCCTGGCCAGAAGAAATTTTTATTGCATAAAATGAGAAAGGTGTTCTGGAGACACCACCAGGGCAGGGTTGAAAGTCCCTCCATAAAGAGATTACCCAAGGTATTAACCGCCCATCTCAGCAGAAGCCAGGAATAGGGATGGGTCATATCTGCAGAGACTGCCAGCTTGGACCAAAGGGGAAGAGATGGGATGAAATAAAGTAACATTTTTGGACTTCTGGGGCTCTACAGGACAGGACAATAGAATGATGTGGTGGTGAACATACTTTCTCTTTCAAGAAAAGAGGAAGAATGACTCCAAAGGCAACTTACAGATCGGGGGCTGCCACTTCCACCACAGACCCAGGGAACAAGGCTGTTTCCTCTTCGTTTCCAGAAGACGCAACTTCCACCCGTGGCTTCCAGTAGACCAGGCAGAACCTGCCTAGTGCCTGAGGGGTAGAGCCACCACACAGAGCCCCCAGAGTGGGGCTGCCACAAAGAGACACCTGAGCAGGGTCACCACCCAGGGCTATGCGGTGGGGAGGGGACAACTGCCCCAGTGGGCCCAGAGTCCCAAAGAATTGTCCAGCCAAAGAATTATTTTTGAGCCTAAAATCCAAAGGACGTTGCCTTGCTAGATCTTGTACTTGCCTGGGACCCATCACCCCTTTCTTCCTGGTTTTCTCTTTTAGAATGAGAACGTGTCCTATGCCTGTCCCCACATTGTGTTTGGAAGCACGTATGTCTGATTTCATGGGCTTACAGCTAGAAAGGAATTTTGCCTCAGGAGAAATCATACCTTGAGTCTCACCCCTACATGATTCAAGTGACATTTAGATGAGACTTTAGTCCTCAGAGTTGAGGAATAGTTAAGACTCTTGGGGCTGTTGAGATGGGGTGAAGGTTTTTGGTTATGTATTGTGTGTGTGTTTTTGGACACGAGGTCTCACGCTGTTACCCAGGCTGGAGTTCAGCAGCATGATTATAGCTCACTGCGGCCTTGAATTCCTGGGCCCAAGCAATCCTCCTGCCTCAGCCTCCCTAGTAGCTGGGACTACAGGCACACACCCACCATGCATGGTAATTTTTTATATTATTATTATTTTTTGTAGTGACAGGGATCTTGCTATGTTGCCCAGGCTGGTCTCGAACTCCTGGCCTCAAGTGATCTTCCCACCTCAGCCTCCCTAGTAGCTGGGACACAGGCATGCCTGACTGATGAGGTGAAGGTGTTTTTATGTGTTAGGAACATGAGTTTTGATGGGCCAGAGGATGGCGTGTTATAGACTCAATTGCATCCCTCCAAAATCTGTATGTTGAAGCCCCAACCCTCAATGTGACTGTTTTTAGATGTAGGGCCTTTAAGGAGGGAATTAAAGTTACAAGAGGTTGCAGGAGTAGGGCCCTAATCCAATAGGACTGATGTCCTCATAAGAAGAGAAGAAGGGCCGGGCGCAGTGGCTCATGCCTGTCCCAACACTTAGGGAAGCCAAGGCAGGCGGATCACCTGAGGTCAGAAGTTCAAGACCAGCCTGACCAACATGGAGAAACCCTGTCTCTACTAAAAATACAAAATTAGCCGGGCTTGGTGGCGCATGCCTGTAATCCCAGCTACTCAGGAGGCCGAGGCAGTAGAATTGCTTGAATCCGGAAGGCAGAGGTTGCAGTGAGCCAAGATTGTGCCATTGCACTCCAGCCTGGGCAACAAGAGCAAAACTCCATCTAAAAAAAAAAAAAAAAAAAAAGAGGAGAAGGAGGAGGTGGAAGGGAGAGGGGAAGAAGAGGAAGGGGAAGAGGGGCTGGATGTGGTGGCTCACACCTGTAATTCCAGCACTTGGGAGGCCAAGGCGGGTGGATCCCTTGATGTCAGGAGTTCGAGACCAGCCTGGCAAACATGGTGAAACCCATCTCTACTAAAAATACAAAAATTAGCTGGGTGTGGTGGTGCGTGCCTGTAATCCCAGCTACTCAGTAGACTGAGGCAGAAGAATCACTTGAACCCAAGAGGCGGAGGTTGCAGTGAGCTGAGATCACACCACTGTACTCTAGCCTGGGCAACAGAGCAAGATTCCATCTCCTCTCTCTGGGCACTCACAGAGGAAAGGCCATGTGAGGACGAAGCGAGACAGCGAACTGTCTGCAAGCCAGAAAGACCTCACTAGAAACCAATCCTGATGACCCCTTGATCTTGGACTTCCACCTTCTAAATGAACTTCTGTTGTTTAAGCCACAAAACCCGTGGTATTTTGTTACGGCAGCCCTAGCAGACGAATACATCTCACTTTTGGATGAGGAAACTGAGGCACAGAGAGATTGGGTAACTCATCCACTGGTACTCAGTAGCGTGTGGAACCACCCTTCAGCTTCAGGCAGCCTGGCTCCAGAGCTCCTGCCTGCTCATATCACTAGAGAATAAGAGAAAACAGCCGAGTGGAAAGATCCTAGGCCTTCATGGTACTCCGCAGCCCACCCCACCCTTCTGCCCCCTTGGAACTGTGTTCCCAGTCCTGGCTCTAGGTGTTGGTTATGGTTCTGTCTCCCCTGCCACCTGGAGCCACCCGCTGTGGTCTCTCTGTAACTGTCTTGACACCAGCATTCAATCAACGCTTGCTGGACTAATAATTCCCCAGAGTAATGAGCTCTGCTCTCCTCTGGGCCCAGCCACAGTTGGTTTTGCTCCCTCTACCTCGTGCCATCGTCATCTGGGTCTGTTGTCTGGCTGTCTCACCCAGAAAAGCTCCCTGGGGTTAAGGACAGCGTCCTATCCACACCTGTTTCCCACAGAGCTCAGCCCCAGACCCTGCTGTGGGCCACCCTCTAAGCCCTGTTGGACTGGCCTGAGTGAAGAGGGGGCTGGGGAGGAGTCCTAGGTGTGGACACATTTGCGGTGCTGAGTGTGGAAGTGGCATCTGACTTTTAGAGTCTGAGGGATAAAAATACCTCCGAGAAGAACATGAGGCAGATAGAATGCAAACAGTTTATCTTCCCTTGTCCAGGTGACCAAGGGTGATCGAACTGAACTGTGTCACTCGGCCACCCAGGGGCATGAGCCAAATTTAAGTGGAACCACCTGCCTTGTGCCCCAGGTCCCCAGCCACACCCTACACACACTCTGGACCTCTGCTTAATGGATCTTCCAGGGCTTGTTTGTAAATTACTTTGTGGGTGTGGACTAAGGTGTCCTCGGTATACAGTAGGCATTCAATATGTGCTGGTCCGTGGTTGACTTAGTGCACAACCCTATTGGGATAAGTAGAGAAGAGGGAGACTGGACCCCACCTCAGGTGCATGTCACCTGCCTTTGTCACCTCCACCCGGTTCTCTGAGTCCCTGGTCCTGACAAAGCTTCCCATGTTTAAGCCAGAGAAAGCCATCCAGTGTGTCCAGAGAGCAGCAGGGACTCCTCTCAGTGTCCTGCCCCCTGCTTGCTCGCTCTTTCTCTCTCTACACACACACGCGCACACACACACACACACCCTGACTCAAGTGGAGACATCTTCCAATGTAATCCGATTAAACTCTCAAAGTTAGAAGCGATTGTCAAAGTCATCTTGCTCATTCTCTCAGTTTATAGATGAAGAAAGGTTGGTTCAGAGAACTTCAATTACATCTCAAGTCAGAGGCAGGAGGGGGATTTTAACCTCAACCTCTCCTCTCCTTTCCCGAGACAGAGACAGCACCCAAGAGGCATGCACGCCACCCTGCTTCTCCCGCTCCCAAGACATGAATAATCAATCATGGCTCTCTTCCTGGCTGAGCCTGAACATGGTCCACAAATCCTTATCGACACAGCTTTCCAGGCAGCCACTACCAAATGGTCAACTTGGATTGGACCCCCCACCTTCCTAGCTGTCCCCGGAGCATGTACTGCCCCGGGGTACCTGAGTGTCTGCAATGTCAGCCACAGCCAGAGAACCCTTGGGCTCAGCACAACATTGGAGACTTCAGGAGAGAAACCGCCTGGAGGGTCCTCTGCCATAGACAAGGGTACAGTTCTGGGACTCCATCTCTTCTCTTTGAAGGTGTGTTGTTTTTGTTTTTGTTTTTTTTTTAGAGAGCAGTGGCTCTCACACTGTTTGACCTGGACCCACAGTAAGAAACAAATTGTACATAGAAGCCCAGGACCCACACCTCGTATGCACATACCTGCAACTGAATGAATTTTGTGGAATAAATATCTATGCATTGTGATCGTTTCTATTCTATCTTTTATACATTGATCTCAACCACCAAATTGATTTCATGCCCCACACATGAAATCAGTGGTGTGAAAAACCACAGCCAACCCTAAATGGTCGCTCATGTATCCAGTGTCTTTATATTCCTGGACTTCTCTTTCCATAAAACTCTCCCATTTCCTTCCCTGATAAAACAAGGGATGGTGCAGAAGTAACCAATGTAACCAGGGAGTAGCTGACTGCTGTGGTGCCTCCACCCAAAAAAGTCAGTAAAACCCAGGAAGCACTAATAATACTGGGTAGACCCGCAATGCCAGCTGGTGAAGGGACTCAACCCTCCCCAGAAGATGTTATTCATGAGATCCAGGGATCCAGGACAGGGCATGGCCCTTCAGACTTTGAAAATGTCCCAAGTAATTCTCACCTTCAACTTGTAACTGGGAATCACTGATCTCATCCAGTTTTTTTGTTTTTTTGTTTTTTTTTTTTGAGAAGGAGTCTTGCTCTGTTGCCCAGGCTGGAGTGCAATGGTGCAATCTCGGCTCACTGCAACCTCTGCCTCCAGGCAATTCTTCTGCCTCAGCCTCCCGAGTAGCTGGGATTACAGGCATGCACCACCACACTCGGCTAATTTTTGTATTATTAGTACAGACGAGGTTTCACCATGTTGGCCAGGCTGGTCTTGAACTCCTGACCTCAGGTGATCCACCTGCCTCAGCCTCCCAAAGTGCTGGGATTACAGGTGTGAGCCACCATGCCTGGCCTCATCCAGCTTCTTAATTTCACAATGCGTGAACTGAGGCACAGAGGAACAACCATTGGTCAATGATCTTAGGGATCCACGGGCTAAGCTGGGACTACTCGAAGTCATAGTGTCAGAGACTTGAAGCTCTTGGGGACTTCCTTTATTTTATACCTGGGAGACTGAGGCCCAAGGAGGGGAGGTGAGCACCTGATAAGACACAGTCGACAGGAGATTGGGACATGGCACCTGCAGTGGGTTGAATGGTGGCTCTCCAAAGGTTGTGTCCACATCTGAACTCCTGAAATCTGTGAATGTGACCTTATGTGGAAAGAGTATCATGACTTCAGACTTCTAGCCTCCAGAATTGTGCAAGAATATATTTCTGCTGTTTTAAACCAAGTTTCTGGTCACTTATCAACGGCAGCCCCAGGAAACTAGTACACACCCAAAACAAAAGTTCAGATAGTCATGGAATTCAGGTGGTCTAATGGATTCAGGCATTCTAATGGGATTCTGGTGTTCTAATAGAGGCAGGCACTCTAATTGAATTCAGGTGTTCTAATGGTTCAGTTATTCTAATGGAATTCAGGTGTTCTAATGGAGTCAGGCATTCTCATGGAATTCAGGTGTTCTAATGGAGTCAGGCATTCTCATGGAATTCAGGTGTTCTAATGGAGTCAGGTATTCTAATCGTTCAGATATTCTGATGGATTCAGGCATTCTAATGGAATTCAGGCATTCTAATGGTTCAGTTATTCTAATGGAATTCAGGTGTTCTAATGGAGTCAGGCATTCTAATGGAATTCAGGTATTCTAATGGATTCAGGTGGTCTAATAGAATTCAGATATTCTAATGGCTCAGGTATGGAATTCAGGTATTCTAATGGTTCAGGTATGGAATTCAGGTAGTCTAATAGGATTCAGGTGATCTAATGGAGTCAGGCATTTTAATGGATCCAGGTATTTCAATAGAATGCAGGTATTCTAATAGATTCAGGTATTCTAATGGATTCAGGTGGTCTAATAGAATTCAGTATTCTAATGGATTCAGGTATGGAATTCAGGTAGTCTAATGGGATTCAGGTGATCTAATGGATTCAGGCATTTTAATGGATTCAGGTATTTCAATAGAATTCAGGTATTCTAATGGATTCAGGTATTCTAATGGATTCAGGTGGTCTAATAGAATTCAGGTACTCTAATGGATTCAGGAAAATAGAATTCAGGTATCATAATGTTGGACTCCTGTCATGGGCCAGGTGCTGTACTAAGGATTAACACTAAGGATATTTCTCATGATGACACCAACAAGGCCCAGCAGGTACAGCTGTTATCCTGACAGTACACAAGTGTTAATTTGCTGAAGGCCAAAAGCTAGTGCTACACAGCCAGGACTGGAAGCCCGCACATCCTATCCACCCCTTCCTTTCCAGGTCTTTCTGACAGGCTGCAGGTGGGGCAGGTCTCTTTCAGGAGAATAAGGGCTTATGATTCTAGGTTCCCACCACGTGGGCAAGTATTGCTAAACCTGACATTAGCAACAAACTCCAAGACTCATGATCAAAATTTGAGGAGTAGCCCTGAAGTACAAAATAGAACTTTTTTTTTGAGACAGGGTCTCACTCTGTAGCTCAGGCTGGAGTGCAGTAGTGTGATCTTGGCTCACAGCAGCCTCCATCTCCCTGGCTCAAGTGATCCTATCACCTCAGCTTCCCAGGTACCTGGGACTACAGGCATGTGTCACCACACCCAGCCAGTTTTTTTATTATTATTTTTTGCAGAGATGGGGTTTTGCCACATGGTCCAGGCTGGTCTTGAACCCCTGGGCTCAACCAGTCCTCCCACCTTGGCTTCCCAAAGTACTGGGATTATAGGCGTGAGCCATTGTGCCTGGCCAATAGAACATTTTAAAAGGAGAATCATATTACAGAGTTGTTGGGGATTTTTTTCCTTACTCAAGATGAACGGGAAGGGATATATTCTCTGTGCTATATTCAGTAGAGAGGAAAGAACTTTTGTTTATTTTATTAAAAGAAATGAGAGCAAAGATGTTTGGCAGTTCTTAAGTTATTTAAAGCCCTAGCTTCAGCTTAATATTCCCTGTATGGTATTAGGATATGTGATACATAGTCAGAGAGGAGAGAAACCACAAAGTGGAAATCAGTCGACTTTCCACTTAACCACAAGAAGCAGCTGGTGTTAAGAAGTTTATAAGCCAGATGAGGGGTTGATGGGCATCCCAGGAGAGGCACGTTGTGAAGATGTCTGAGAGAAGACCTGGGATAGAAGAATCACAAAACCAACCTCAAGGATGAAGGGCTGCCAGGGGAGGCCAGATCTGAAGGTGTTCTCACCCCTCACTGATCATAGGGAAGGAGCCCTCAGACCCACAGGCAGCTTCTGGTACGAGGTGACTGAGCCTGGTCACAACTCACCTTTGGGTGGCACTTCTATGCTTTAAGAAGTATGCATACTTTAAGACTGGGCGAGAGGGATCATGCCTGTAATCTCAGCACTTTGGGAGGCCGAGGCAGGTGGATTGCTTAAGCCCAGGAGTTTGAGGCCAGCCTGGGCAACATAGTGAGACCCCTTCTCTTATAATTTTAAAAACTATATTAAAAAAGGAAGTACTTTAACATCTTCCTTGTTTAGCTCACAAAAAAAGTCCTATAAGGAGATGGGAAGTGTTATCATTGATATTTTACTGGAAAAACCCCACTGAGGTTCAAATTAAGTGTGATTTACCAAAAGTCTTATTCTAAATGGGTGATGGTAGGAGGTATTGTGTGAATTCCAGCCCTGAGAGTGCTCAAGAGCATCAAATCCCTCACTAACAGTCAGCCGAACATCTAGCTGTTCTCAAGGCGTTCAAACTTTAAATCTCACCAAAGCAGATTCCCTGCAGAGAAAACATCACACAGAAGTAAGGTTTTCTTAACCTATCACCGCGTTTCTCCCAGCCACAGAGGCAGATACGCCCTACGCATCTGACAGGTCAGACTACTCACAGCTTTCATTTTTATTCCTGCCATGCCCTGACTTAGAGACGCAGTTTCCCCATCTGGAAATAGAAGGGATGATGGGATGATCTTAAGGATCCTGAAAAGTCTTCCCAGCTCTAGAACTCCAGACTGAGCAGATCCACCCTGGGGACCCTGGCTCCACCGGTGGACGACATGGGCAAGAAGGCTCTGCATTCAAAGACTTTACATGGAAAGGGCGCGCGCTCTAATGCCTCGTATGGTCCTTCATAAGCGAAGACGACATCACTCACTCGCTGACCCTCTCCCTTGACCTCTGTCTTCTTTCCTTCCCCCTATTTCTTTTTGTCTGAGATGGGGATCTTTATCTCTTGCTCAGGTTGGAGTGCAATGGCACCATCACAGCTCACTGCAGCCTCAACCTGTCTGGCTCAAGTGATCCTCCCACCTCAGCCTCCCGAGTAGCTGGGACTACAGGTGCACAACACCATGTCTGGCTAGTTTTGTTTTTTGTTTTTGTTTGTTTGTTTTTTGCAGAGACAGGGTTTCGCCATGTTGCCCAGGCCAGTCTTGAACTCCTGGGCTCAAGCGATCCTCCTGACTCAGCCTCCCAAAGTGCTGGGATTACAGGTGTGAACCACGCACCCAGCCCTTCCCCCCATGTTAGTAGTTATGCTATATTTGTTTTATTATAGGCCACCTTGACTCCTCTTTACAGCTTGGCAAGGTATAATTCCCAATACATGCATGAAAGCAGGAAGAAAGGGAGGGAGGCAGAAACAGGGAGGAAATGAGAAAGGAGGGAGGCAGGGTGCGTGCAAGGTAGCAGACACCCTTTGAGTAGCTGGGACGCTGTCGGTGTGCAGCGTGCACATCGGGCGTTGCCTTTGCCAACAGTGATGGGGTTTCGCCATGTGGTCCAGGCTGGTCCACCTAAGGCAGTGGGCCAGGGGTTTTGATTCATCCTCTCCCTACAGCCCCCGCCCCCAGGTCAGCAGTCTTATCCCTACTTTATAAATGATGAAACAGAGGCTCAAAGACATCTTTGGCCAAGGCCACACAGCAGTACATGGTGGTGCCAGGATGTGCCCTCCTGGGGGGCAGCGTGGGGTAGCGATGAGGCACTGCCTTCAGAGGCCAAGTCCTGCCAGTGGCAGGGGCCTGGAAGTGATGTGCCTGGAGCGTCATGTGGGCCCCATCACTGGCCCCTACTGGGACCAGTCTGCACACTGGCTAGCAGACTGGCTGGCCTTTCCCTGACCACCCTTGCCTCTGAAGTGAGGTGGGTGATAATGCCGCCATCTCCCACCCACAGATGACAGCGAGCACTGAAGTGAAATAGAACTTTGGAAACCAAGAGGTCCTAAGACAGCAGTGACCTCATTTTTGCTAAAGTCCCCAATACTGCTGTGAGGCAGGGAGCCTAGAATCCTCATTTCCTTCTTCAGGTGAGGGCACAGAGGCCGCACAACGCCAAGACTTGTTTGCTGTGGGCTGATGGTGGGACCGGGCCTGGGGTCTAGACCCAGGCCCACACACTGGTTCCCCTCCCAGTGAGGTGGGCAAACTGGGCCAGCCCCAAAGTCCCTGTCTGCAACACTGAACTAAGCGGGCAACGGTACCTATAGGGACTCCTTAAAATGCTAGCTCTGTTTCCCTTTTTGGAAAAGGACCACTGAAGCCCATGGCAGCCAAAAATCTCAAGCAGACCCTGAGTCCATGCCCTGATGCTCTGGAAGGGGAAGGAAATAGAGCCAAGAGCTGGAACCTGGTCAGCTTAAGGCCACAGCGCCCTAAGAAAGGTTCTGTGTTCATGGACATGTGTGAGGACTGTGTCCTGACCAGCCCCCATGGGACTTCACACTGTGCATCTCACTTGGCATCTGGGGAGCCAAGGGCCACACCCGCCCAGGGCTACACAGCAACTGGGGTGGGAACTCCCTTCGCCAGGCGCCAAGCCCAGCGCTCTTTCTGCTCGGTCCATAGAGGGAAAGGCATTTGTTCCAGAAAGTCAGTCTCCTGTACACATTCCGCAAATCTCCCAAATGGAAGTCAGAACATCGCAATCACAGGCAGTCCCCCTCCAGCCACACCGCGCAGCCTCTGTGGAATCTGAGGCTGCTTAGAAGAACGGTTCTCAGCTGGTGCATGCTGGCTGCCATCCAAGGCCCACCCATGAATAGCCTTGATCTTGGGCAACACTGAGATGCTTTTTTCCTTTTTGGCCGCAGATGCTTGTGACACCGGCAAGTTGCCTGGCAGCGCCTCCTGGGTCTCCATGACCTGGTGCGGTTTGGAGACCAGCGAACTCTCCAATCCGCAGGGAGACCCGTTTCCCTTGGGAACAGGCGTGCTCGTCCACCCCCCGCCCACTTCTCTTTCATGTAGTCACTTCTAGCAGAGGAAGCGGCCGGTCCCTGTGCCCTGTCCAGGCAGGCCAGTGTCCAAAGCTGGCCCCCAGGGTGTGCTCTGCATGGCTTTTAGTCTGGAATGTTCGTGGAGACAGCCCACGTGCCTTGCTGGGTTTGAGCCTCACATGGACCTGATGGAGACAGAGCCGGAGGGTCCTGTGGTCCTTGCTCTTTGGGTAAGGACACCAGGCTCAAGTAGGTGAAAAGGATTTGCCACAGGTCCCGGCAGGTAGGAGGTGCAGCTTGGAACCACCCTGAGCTTCTGCCGATTCAAGGCCCATTAAATACTTCCCACCAAGGCAGCGGGACTGACCCCAAGCCAGGCGCTCTCCTGTCTCTGCACCCACCTTGCTGGGTGACTTTAGACCTGCTCCCTTCCTTCTCTGGGACTGTAATATGAGGAGAAAGGAAGCGTGTTTCCACCAGATCGAGGTTAGGGACTGTGGGAGGAGACACGACTCACAGTCAGCACCACGGGGCGCTGTGGGGCGGGTGCTCCTGGTTGTAGTGTCTGCCACCCCCTCGTGCTCCCTCATTTCCTCTTGAGGAGTCACCAGTGGTCTCCATTCACGTGTCAGGCCTGCCTGCCCTGAGCTCTCAGCGGGGACCCAGGGACAGCGCCCTCCCCCACACACTCTGTGGCTCCTTCTCAGACCCCTGAACACTTGGGCCTGGGACCTCTTACCCTACACCCTCTCCCTAGGGGATCACAGCTCAGCCAAGGCTTCCATGGTCAGTCTCACACCAGCTGCCTCCAATCACCAGGCCAACTTTTCATCTCTGCTGGGATGTCCTGAGGGACCTCAACAGCAGCACATCCAAAAACAGTCTCTTTCCATTGTGACAACATTCCATTGGTGGATGATAGTGTTCCATTGGTGTCAGCATTTCATGAGAGGGTGACAGCATTCCACTGGCGGGTGACTGTTCCATGAGAGGGTGACAGTATTCCATTGGTGGGTGACTGTTCCATGAGAGGGTGACAGTATTCCATTGGTGGGTGACTGTTCCATGAGAGGGTGATAGTATTCCATTCGTGGGTGACTGTTCCATGAGAGGGTGACAGTATTCCATCGGTGGGTGACTGCTCCATGAAAGGGTGACAGCATTCCAATGGCAGGTGACTATTCCATGAGAGGGTGACAGTGTTCCATTGGCGGGTGAGTGTTCCATGAGAGGGTGACAGTGTTCCATTGGTGGGTGACTGTTCCATGAGAGGGTGACAGCATTCCATTGGCAGGTGACTGTTCCATGAGAGGGTGACAGTGTTCCATTGGCGGGTGACTGTTCCATGAGAGGGTGACAGTGTTGCATTGGCAGGTGACTGTTCCATGAAAGGGTAGCAGCATTCCATTGGTGGGTGACAGTGTTCCATTGGTGGGTGACAGTGTTCCATTGGTGGGTGGCAGTGTTCCATTGGTGGGTGACAGCGTTCCATTGCTGGGTGACTGTTCCATGAGAGGGTGAGAGCGTTCCATTGCTGGGTGACTGTTCCATGAGAGGGTGACAGCGTTCCATTGGCAGGTGACAGTGTTCCATTGGTGGGAGACACTGTTGCATGCAGATGACAGCATTCCATTGGTGGGTGACTGTTCCATGAGAGGGTGACAGCGTTCCATTGGCAGGTGACAGTGTTCCATTGGTGGGAGACACTGTTGCATGCAGATGACAGCATTCCATTGGTGGGTGACTGTTCCATGAGAGGGTGACAGTGTTCTGTTAGCAGGTGACAGCGTTCCATTGGCAGGTGACAGTGTTCCATTGGTGGGAGACACTGTTGCATGCAGATGACAGCATTCCATTGGTGGGTGACTGTTCCATGAGAGGGTGACAGTGTTCTGTTAGCAGGTGACAGTGTTCCATTGGCAGGTGACGGTGTTCCACTGGTGGGTGACAGTGTTCCATGAGAGAGTGACAGCATTCTATTGGTGAGTGATAGTGTTCCATTGGTGGGAGACACTGTTCCATGGGGATGACAGCATTCCATTGGTGGATGACAGTTTCTATGGGAGGGTGACAGTGTTCCATGGGGGTGACAGCATTCCATGGGAAGGTGACAGTGTTCCATGGGGGTGATAGTGTTCCATTGGTGGGTGACAGTTTCTATGGGAGGGTGTCAGTGTTCCATGGGAGGGTGACAGTGTTCCATTGATGGGTGACACTGTTCCATAGGGGTGACAGCATTCCACTGGTGGGCAATGAGCTGGGTGGTGACATGGGCCCCAGCAGGGGAGAGTTAGTGGGGCTGAAAGAGTAAATGGCACAGCCGAGGCCAGGGCCTGTCTACAGAACAGGAGACCCCATGTGTAGGTGACTGGGGCCCAGCTGGCTTGAGTGGAGGCTGCACTGAGTGCTGAGATGACACCTGGGCTGACAGCCGATCTCCCAGTAATAGGAAATGAAAACAGGAGCTTGTGAGATAAGCCCTGCTGAAGGGAGCCCAGGAGCAGACATACCTGCAAAAGCTCTTTCTAAAGGACTTCTCTTTTGCTATTTTCTCACCTCACTTCCTGCTCAAGAAAGCCAGGGCTTCTCTGTTGGCAGAGGTCACTGTGGCTACACACAAGGGCTTGGGGCCAGCCAGACGTGGGGTGAGCTGTGTGCGTTTCTGCACAATTAACTTGGAGCCTGTGAATGAGTAGTGGGGCTGGGGTCACACAGGGAGATGCATGCAAAGGCCTGCATGTGGCACTGAGGTCGCCATGAATGTTCTCATTGGTTGTGTTTATTGATTGCTGTCTCAGTCCCTGCTGTAACAAAATACCATCAACTTGGCGGGGTTGGGTGGGGGTTATAAATAACAGAAATTTATTTCTTACATTTGTGAAGTCTGGAATTCGGAGATCAAGGCGCCAGCAGATTCAGTGTCTGGTGAGGACAGCTTCCAGCTCACAGACAGCTGTGTCCTCATGCGGTGGAAGAGAAAGGCAGCTTCCCATGGCCTCCAAAGGGCATGAATTTCATTCACGAGGCACCCCCACCATGACTACTCACCTCCCAAAGGCCCCACCTCTTAATGCCATCCCACTGGGGTTCAGTTTCAACCTGTGAACTTTGGGGGACAGATTCAGCCCTCAACAATCACCCTTCTTCCTGTTGCCCAAGTTGGAATCTGGCCATTGTTCTCAACTCCCTCAGCCTCCTGGTTCCATCCCTCCATCCCCAGCCTGGTACTCCCGCAGAGGTGATTGTTTTTTTAGTTTTTTTTTTTTTTTTTTTTTTTTGAGATGGAGTCTTGCTCTGTCACCCAGACTGGAGTGCAGTGGCATGATCTCGGCTCACTGCAACCTCTGCCTCCTGGATTCAAGCAATTCTCCTGCCTCAGCTTCCCGAGTAGCTGGGAATACAGGCATGCACCACCATGCCCAGCTAATTTTTGTATTTTTAGTAGAGATGGGGTTTCACGATGTCGGCCAGGCTGGTCTTGAACTCCTGACCTCGTGATCTGCACACCTCGGCCTCCCAAAGTGCTGGGATTACAGGCATGAGCCACTGCGCCCGGCCACAGGTGATTCTTGAGCCTGTCCCCCCTCTAACCCCTCACCTCCACCTAGCACCCCTGCCATGCTCAGGCCCAACACTGCTCTCTGGGGACATGGCAGCCCCCTCATGGCCACCCCAATTCCAGGCCTGTGAACTCTTACTTGTCCTCCTGCTGTGGCCAAGGTTATCTTTCCAGGCACAGCTCTGATGATGACCTTCCCCTACTCCCTGCTGTCCAGGATGGCCTTGCTCCTTGAACGAGCACCAACGGACCTCTCCCCTCCTCCCCGACAAACACCTGGCCTCTTCCTAAAGTCCCCAGTCACTCTCACAGCTCAGTACGCTTGACAAGCTTTCCTCTCCTTGGAATTCCCATTCCCACTGCCCACCTGGCCGGCTACAGGGCATCCTCCAGGTCCCATCTCCATCTCCCCTGCTCTGGGAAAAGGTCCCAGACTCCCTGGGCAGTTGTGATTCTTCCCTGGGCTGGAGTTCCCGCTGCCTCCTTGCTCACTGCCCAGCAAGGTGACCCCTCTTAGGTGGGGGCCCTTCGCAAGCGGGAGTGCTCTCAAGGAATCCTCCCTAAGCACTTCTGTGGGCCAGGCCCAGCACTGAGGACCCGGGCTCTGCAGAAGCCTCTAGGTGGTGGGTGAGACAGGTGTGCGCCAACCACAGGTACAGGGGAGGGAATGAACATGGTAAGATGGGTGTGCATATGGTTCTGTAGGTGGGCTGTGGAGGAACGGCCCATGCCACTTCAGGGGAAGTGACATTAAAGCTGGTTTTGGAGGGTCAATTGGGATTCATCAAAAATCCTTCTCCAGGCTGGGCGAGGTGGCTCACGCCTGTAATACCAGCACTTTAGGAGGCCGAGGTGGGCAGTTCGATTGAGCCTAGGAGTTCGAGACCAGGCTGGGCAACATGGTGAAACCCCGTCTCTACAAAAATACAAAAATTAGCTGGGTGCAGTGGCAAGTGCCTATAGTCCCAGCTACTCGAGAGGCTGAGGTGGGAGAATGGCTTGAGCCTGGGACGCGGAGGTTGCAGTGAGCTAAGATCAAGCCACTGCACGCCAGCCTGGGCAACAGAGCGAGACCCTGTCTCAAACAAAACAAAACAAAACGAAACTTCTCCAAGTACTCAGGTCCACCTGGACCACTCGCTTATCGCAGAGCCAAGGACATTGATCACCTGCTCCACAATCTGATGTGAAGAACCTGGAGACATGCGCTGGAAGGCGCTAGAGGCAGCTTCCCAGCAAAGCCAGGACTTCCCTTACTGGGGCCCTGAAAAGGCTTTGCTAAAAGTCTCTCCCTCCCCCAGCCTAGGGCTGGCTTTGCGGCCGTGTGACCTGTATAGCAGCACATGGGCTGCACTGAGAAGGGCCTTTTGCTGGGCTTAATGCTCTGCTGTTACCGATTTGAAATTCTTAAAATTTTGGACAAGGGGCCTGCATTCTCGTTTTGCATTGAACCCTGCAAATGATGTAGCCAGTCCTGGCCCAGAATAGCCCCTTCCCTCCAGCGAAGATGTCTAGAAATTATACTTCACGGTTTCCTGGACACCTGACATAATTTTAGTTAATATTTCATTGTTATTTTCTGGCCTAACCATTCATCTGGCATTATTACCCACCCCGGGAACAAAGTTTTTGGCAACCAAGAATGTCCTTGTAAGATGTTCTTTATTGACTGGGCACGGTGGCTCACGCCTGTAATCCCAGCACTTTGGGAGGCCGAGGATGGGAGGATCACCTGGGGTCAGTAGCTCAAGACCAGCCTGGCTCACACCTGTAATCCCAGCACCTTGGGAGGCTGAGGCGGGAGGATCACCTGGGGTCAGTAACTCAAGACCAGCCTGGCTCACACCTGTAGTCCCAGCACTTTGGGAGGCTGAGGCAGGAGGATCACCTGGGGTCAGTAACTCAAGACCAGCCTGGCTCACACCTATAATCCCAGCACTTTGGGAGGCTGAGGCGGGAGGATCACCTGAGGTCAGGAGTTCAAGACCAGCCTGGCGAACGTGGCAAAACTCCATCTCTACTAAAAATACAAAATTAGCCAGGCATGTTGACAGATGCCTGTGATCCCAGGTACTCGGGAGGCTGAGGTAGGAGACTCGCTGGAACCCAGGAAGCAGAGCTTGCAGTGAGCAGAGATCACCCAGAAATAGGCACTGGATGAATTAAGGAGTGATTCACGAGAGGTTCCCCTTTTTAAGAAAACAATTCCCTATGGAATTCCTTTAACTAGCCACACTCCTAGTACATTTTTAATGTGCTTTAACATATTAAAAATTATTTACACGCAGTCTTCTCAGGTCTGTTCGTTGAGCCAGTGTGCCTGACCTCCATTCTGTGCGGGGTAAAGGATGGCTGCCACCACCCCCACCCCCTCGGGTGCTGTACACCAGGGCTGGCACCAACTGGAACATGCTGAGGCATGCCAAGTCAGGACCCCCACGTGGCTCAAGCCTAGGGCTCGGCAGTGAACTATCAGTACAGAGTCCTCAACTCGTCTTGGGTCCAAAGTGAGTGAGAGTAGCCCTGAATCAACATACTAGCACCTTTCATTGGCCAGAAACACTGTGCTGATCATGGAGACCCAGAACGACCCCAGGACCCCAAGACGGTCCTATGAACACAGGCCTGCAACTCCTCGGGACATCTGGTCACCCTCACATGCCTGGGGGAAGGTTGGACAGGGGAGACCCAGGAAAAAGGGACCAGACTCCACATGAGTCTCTGCCCAGGACTGGGTGCCCCAGCCAGGTGACATTCTCAGCATGGTTGGTCCCAGGCATGGCAGAGGTCTTAGAAAATGTGGAGGGAGACCCTGGGAAGAACAGGCCCCTGAGGCAGGGGCCGCACTTGCTGGCGTTGAAAGCTCTAAGGGCGGTGCAGATTCTGGACCTCACTTGCCTCCTCTGTCAGCTGGGAATGATAATCCCCACCGAGACGCGACAACTGTAAGGATCAGCTGAGATGGTGGATTTAAGGGAGCCCGCCAATGCTCAGGCATCACGGTGATGTGGATTTATGACGAGGATGGTGTTTGGGCTCATGTGCATAGAGGAGTGTGAATGCCAATTCCAGAAAATCCCCAGCACAGCCCTCCTGAGGAGCATAAACAGGGAATGGATGATGAAAAAAAAAAAAAACCTCTTCTCCAGGATCCTAAAATGTATCGATTTGGTTTTAATGGGGAGCGAACCAAATTTCTCTTGAAGCTGTTTCCTGCAGTTTTAGTTGCAGGATGGGAGTGGATTTGCTCATTGATGAAGGAAAGTTACAGAGAATAGAGGAGCCCACTACACCTGGGTGCCCAGGGAAGGTGTGGGGAGGAGGGATGTGCGGCCCTGAGCCTTTATGCAGGAATCTGGGGGGACTCAGGACTGGGGGAAAGGGGTTACTGAGGGTCATCAGGAGTGGATGCAGAATCTTCATGAATTTCATGGAGAGGAGAAGAGTGAGGCAGAACTGGGTGCAGGTCCCAAGAGAGGTGCCTAGCTGGGGCTGGTTGGGGACCTTTTAGGGGCACTATGGGAGATAGGAAATTAGCCAGGAATGGCCAGAATCTGCAAATGTTTCCTTATATGGTAAAAGGGATTCTGCAGATGTGATTAAATCAAGGATCTAGGCGTGGTGACCCACGCCTGTAATCCCAGCACTTTTGGAAGCCAAGGTGGGCAGATCGCTTGAGCTCAGGTGTTCGAGACCAGCCTGGGCAACATGGCGAAACCCTGTCTCTACAAAAAATACAAAAGTTAGTCAGGTGTGGTGGCACATGCCTGTAATCCCAGGTACTCAGGAGACTGAGGTTGGAGAATTGCTTTAGCCTGGGAGGCAGAGGCTGCAGTCAGCCGAGATCGCACCACTGCACTCCAGCCTGGGTGACAGAGCGAGACCCTGTCTCAAAATAAAATGTAAAAAGTCAAGGATCTTGATGTGGCGATACTGTCCCAGACTATCTGAGTGGGCATGCTGTGATCTCTGGATCCTTATGAGAGGGAGGCAGAGGGATCTTTGATGAGCAAGGAGGAGGAAATGATAGGATGATGGATACGGATTAGAGTGATGGGATTGGAAGATGGTGGAAGGAGCCACAAGCCAAGGCATGCAGGCAGCCACTGGAAGCCGACAAAAGCAAGGAAACAGATTCTCCCCTGCAGCCTCTAGAAGGAACCAACCCTGCAGATACCTTGACTTTATCCAGCGAAAATGATTTCAGACTGCTGACCTCCAGAGCTGTAAGTGAATAGAGGTCTACTGTTTTAATCCACTGCATTTGGGGTAACTATTTACAGCAGCCATAGAGAACTAATACACAAGAGGACCCCGAGTTCTGAGTCAGGGCTGGAACCAGGCTGTGCAGGCTACCCCTGGTTCCCAGGTTTCACTCAGGCAGCCCCTCACACCTTCACCACCAGCCTCTGTCTTTGCAAACTAAAGAGCCCCTTCTAAAGAACCCCAAGGTTTCCCTTCCCCCAGGAGGGTTCCAAGCACCCTCCAGGGCCTTTCTTGAGGGTCTTGAGGAGCTGCCTGCTGGATCGCAAGTGTGGAAAACGTTTCCTGGCTTGGGCTCCTGTGTTCTTGTCCTCTAACTCCATCCAATCAATCATGAGGCAAAGGGATCTCCATCGGCCATGAAACAGGCTCCTCTACCACCATGCCTGGCTAATTTTTGTATTTTTTGCAGAGACAGGGTTTCGCTGTGTCACCGAGGCTCATCTTGAACTCCTGGTTTCAAGCGATCCACCTGCATCAGCCTCACTAAGTGCTGGGACAATCTCCCCACATCAAGATCCTTGAGTTTTTAAATTTTATTTTGAGACAGGGTCTCGCACTGTCACCCAGGCTAGAGTACAGTGACGTGATCTCAGCTCACTGCAGCCTCTGCCTCCCAGGCTCAAGTGGTCCTCCCACATCAGCCTCTTGAGTAGCTGGGACTACAGCTTTGTGCCCCCACACCTGGCTAATTTTTGTATTTTTTGTAGAGGCATGGTTTCGCCATGTTGCCTAGGCTGGTTTTGAGGCGTCGGCAGGGCTGAGGCAGGAGAATCTCTTGAACCTGGGAGGTGGAGGTTGCAGTGAGTTGAGATTGCACCACTGCCCTCCAGCCTGGGCAACAGAAGGAGACCCTGTCTCAAAACCACAACAAAACAAAAAATAAATAGGGATCAAATCCAACCATCAATGTGGTTCTTCTGGTTCCAGAATTCCCTAATTCTAGATGCGTTATTCCTGACTCTTTATTGAATCATAACTGATAGCTCAGAGCAGTCGTTTTATTGGCACAACTGAGTTATCTTCCCCTGACGGCATTAACTGCTGCTTGCAGACACAGAGTTCATCCAGCACGTGCTTCCCACGCAGGATTCTCAGGAGACCTGCCTGGAGACGCTCTCTGAGTTTGGCAAGTCATTCCCAGAGGAGGAAGCGACAGTTAGAAACTCAGATATTTCACAGAGTGCCTCCATTTCCAGGTAATTTATTAAAATCTACAAGAACTAAGGGAGAGCCCTTCCTCATTAATTTCTTGACCTGGAGAATGTTTATTGCCCTTTCCCTTGCTTCCTGATTCTACACCATTTCATTTATAACAAAAGGCTTTTTCCTTAAAAAAAAAACAACAACAACAGAAGTTTTGTTTGTTTGTTTGTTTGTTTGTTTTGAGACAGAGTCTTGCTCTGTCACCCACGCTGGAGTGCAGTGGTGCAATCTTGGCTCACTGCAACCTCCGCCTCCCGGGTTCAAGCAATTCTCACGCCTCAGCCTCCCAAGTAGCCGGGATTACAGGCACGCACCGCCGCACCGGGCTAATTTTTGTATTTTTAGTAGAGACGGAGTTTCGCCATGCTGGCCAGGCTGATCTTGAACTCCTGACCTAAAGTGATCCACCCACCTTGGCCTCGCCAACTGCTGAGATTACAGGTGTGAGCCACCTGGCTAAAAAACCGAAGTTTTTGATGAGACAATTTACTTGTAGATTTTTAAAAGTTTAACCAGTATATGTCTTAGTTATTCCATGTTCACTGTTTACCCACTAAAAAAAAATTCAATTCCATTATATTCTAGTTCTTTTTTCAGTTAAAGATTTTAATATATGTCAGGGGTGATGGCTCACACCTGTAATCCCAGCACTTTGGGAGGCCAAGGTGGGCGGACCACTTGAGCCCCTGAGTTTGACACCACCCTGGGCACCATGGCAAAACCCCATCTCCACAAAAAAATGCAAAAATTATCCAGACATGGTGGCACAAGCCTATAGTCCCAGATACTGGGGGGGCTGAGGCGGGATGATCACTTGAGCCTGGGAGTAAGGTTGCAGTAAGGTTGCAGTAAGCCTGGCAACAGAGCAAGATCCTGTCTCAAAAAAAAAGAAAAGAGGCTGGGCGCAGTGGCTCATGGCTATAATCCCAGCACTTTGGGAGGCCGAGGCAGGCGGCTCACCTGAAGTCAGGAGTTTGAGACCAGCCTGGCCAACATGGTGAAACCCCATCTTTACTAAAAATACAAAAAATTAGCCGGGTGTGGTGGTACATGCCTCTCATCCCAGCTACACGGGAGGCTGAGACAGGAGAATCCCTTGAACCAGGGAGGCGGAGGTTGTGGTGAGCCGAGATCACGCGACTGCACTCCAGCCTGGGTGACAGAGTGACACTGTCTCAAAAAGAAAGAAAGAAAGAAAGAAAAGGTAATACAGTTGTGCCCTTGCCATAGGTCTGTCCTCATCACTACTTTGCCTAAGCTTTTATTTACTGACTTGCAGAACATTTATCCCAGCTAAACCCAGAAGCAACCCAGGAGCCTGTCCTGATGAAGAGACAGAGCCAAGAGGATGCTCACCACCAGCCCTCACCTCTCAAATTCTAATAAAAATGCCTCAAATCTGCCCAGTTAAAGATATGCAGCAAGGATGGGGATGTATTTATTCAATTATTCATTTGATATGACCCTTCCCCCTGCTCCAGGCATGTGAGCCGTGCCTGCTTCCCCTTCACCTTCCGCCATGATTTTAGGTTTCCTGAGGCTACCCCAGAAGCAGAAGCTGCTATGCTTCCTGTACAACCTATGGAGCCATCAGTCAATTAAACCTCTTTTCTTTATAAATTACCCAGTCCCAGGTATTTCTTTATAGCAGTTGCGAGAACAGACTCATACATCCTCCAGCAGCTCATTCACCATCCAGCAGCAAATATAAGCATGGCCCTCCTGGCTCAGACTCCTCAGCTTCAAGGTTGAGAGCTTCCAAGCTGCTCCTCACCAACTGCCCAGCTCAGTGGTCACTCCAGCCACGCTGGACACCAGCAGTCTCTCTCTCCCCAAGTCTCGCTGGCCTCTGGGCTTCAGCACAGCCTGTCCCCCATGGCTAACTGCTGCTACCTCTATGCTGCAATTTCCAGGTCAGCTGTGCCCACCCCCTTATCCCCCCAGGCCCTAGTGCCCCTCAGCTGGGACATTCCCTGGAGGCCACGCAGCCTGTGCTGTCCCATCTGAGGACTTCTCCGATGCTATCAAAAGTGCCTGTGACCTCTGACTCCCCCAGGGGCTCCACCTCAGTGACCGTGCCCTGGCCACTTTCCAGCTTTCACACCGAGCCTGAGACACAGCAGACATTCAATAAATCTTTGATGAATAAAGGCAGGATCCACTGACTACTTTAAGGGAAGTGAGATGATCAAGTTTGCTTTTGTAAATATTTGTCTAAGTTATTAAAGCAGCCCATATTAGTGATAACCAATGAAAATGACACCAAAGAGCCTCCCAAGAAATGACTTCTCCAGATCTCATTCCTCGGGGGTAACTGCTGTTTTCAGTTTGGGATGAATCATTTCAGAATTAAAACAATAACAACACAACCAGCACCAATCCAATTCCATATACAGGGAAGCATTTTTTAAAGAATAAATATAGATATCCGTGCATACATGCATAACATTATACTATATATACCATCTTGTAACTTGCTTTTGTCTATAAACATATCAAGAATCGGGAATATTTTTCTGTAATAGATACTATTTGTAAATAGATACTATCTGCTTTTTTAAGCTTGCATCTTATTCAACTTAGCGAATGCACCATAATATATATTTTTTTCTTTTTTCTTTTGAGACAGGGTCTCACTGTCACCCAGGCAGGAGTGCAGTGGAGCAATCAGGTGTCACTGCAGCTTTGACCTCCCAGGTTCGAGTGATCTTCAACCTGCCCAGTAGCTGGGACCACAGGTGCATGCCATCATGCCTGGCTAATTTTTGTATTTTTTGATAGAGATGGGGTCTCCCTATGTTGCCCAGCCTGGCCTTGAACTCCCGGGTTCAAGCAATCCTCCCACCTTGGCCTCCCAAAGTGCTGGGATTATAGGCATGAGCCACCATGACCAACCACATTTTCTTTTAAAATGAACGTCTTATTTTGGAATAATTTTAGATTTACAGAAATGTTGTGAATATAGCACAGAGTTCCCCTAATGTTGCCATAACCATGGGACATTTGTCAAAACTAAACATGCACGTTGGTATATCATTATTAACGAAATCTTTTGCTTGCGTTTCACCAGTTTTCTCACTAAGGCCCTTTTTCTGTTCCAGGACCTAGTCCAGGCATTGAGTTTCTCCCTGCAGCCCTGATTTAGCAATTCCCACATGGTGGACACTTGGTGTTTTGCACTTTTGCTGTGCCATGAGGCTGCAGTCCGCACCTCGTGGCCTCTCTCCCTGCTCACCTGCACACATCCTTCCCTCCCACAGGTGCATCCTTCCCTCCCACAGATGGGCCAGAGTGGAGGGCAGTGCGAGGTTATGCAGGCACAGGAGGCTGCTCCCAGAGGAGGGAGGCGTGGCAGTTGTCTACCTTACCTCCACCTTGTTTCTGTGATTTGCACTTTAGCAAGCTCACTCTGGCTCCTGGGGCTGAGACTTGGAGGGAGAAGGCTGGTCTAGAGGCTTCAGTGGAGGGACAGAGGCAAGGGGACAGACATTAGAGAGCTTTAGACAAGACTCCTGTCTGGTTGGGTGTGGAGTTGAGTGAGGGGAATGATGAAGGACTTCAGCTTTGTTATTTAGGCAAAGGAAGTCATGGGGCCCTTCAGGGAGGCAGCAGGAACAGGGGAGGAGGTTCATCAAGAGGCTGAGGGATCCAGTTGTGGCTCCGATGTTTGGGTGCCCTTGGGATACCCGGGAGGCAGGAGTCATAGATTTGGAGCGTCCCGAGTGGCCAGACGAGAGCCGAAGCCATGGATGGGGATGTGACGCCCTTCCTTCTAGATTGGATCTACCGAATTAAAGACACACACAAGCTCAAGCACACGTGCACACACAAAGCTTGTTTTTTAAAATCCAGCAGAAATTGTGCGGACACACACAGCTGGAGGGTGATTTAGCTACAGAACACAGAGACCTGGAAAACCCAGCAGGAGGAGCTGAGCCTGCCGTGGATGCCCTGGTGGAAGAGCTGTGAAGAAGCGTTACATCCAGGCTAGTGGCACCAGCAGGTAGCTGAAGGGGATGTGTGATGCAGGTCTGTGGCCGACACCCGGCCATCCTGCTCTTTCTGCTGCGCTGAGCTAGACAACAGTCTGTCCCACTCCAGGCACGTTGCCTTTCCCCGGTGCCCCTTACATGGATCTCTGGGCCGCCTGGGTCTAGCCTGTCCCCAACTTGCCATCACCCCTCACTCCTCCACCTGCCATTCCGCACAGGAGGAAACTGAGCCACTGCCCCGCTTCTGAGAACTCCTCAGCTATCCTTAACTCTCCCACAGCCTCCCCTCTGAGGATGAGTGTCTTCACCTGCAGAGCCTGCAGCGGGGGACAAGATTAAGGTTAAGGTCCTTCCTTGAGTCAGAGTAGCATGGGCAATGAAGGAACCATGGGCAGGCAGATCTGGTTCCAATCTTACGTCAGATCTGATCAGCTATGTGACTTTAAGTCAGTTATTTAACCTCTCTGAGATATACATCTCTCTCTCCCTCTCTCTTTCTAGTGGGGACGATAATTCCCAGCTTGCAGGGGTTTTCTGGGAAGCTGAGAACATGGATGTGAAGTATCTAGTACATCACTGGGACTAACTAAACAGCAGCTGTAATTACAATTATTATAGGAATTCTGAGCTATTTCAACTCCACAGTTAAAGGGAGATATTTTCAAAGTTCCAAGCCATGTAAGGTAAATCAGGGACAGTTCACACTGCCACTGTCCCCCAGAGTGAATTATTCACCCTGAAAAGTGTGTTCAATAGAGATTATTAACTTGCAGAGGGGAATAAGTTTCAAAGAATGGCAAAAGCACGTCTAATCTTAATTAGGTGCCATTTTTCTCTGTCCACCTAGAAAAAAACTAGTTCCTGGATTTGCAGGAGCTGGGGTCCATTGCAAAGGGGAAAACAATAGCTTAGAGGATTCCTGCACGTTAGGATAAAGGAGAGACTATCCATGGGGGAGGACCACATGGAAAAACACTGCTCTGTCCAGGGGTGAGTGAGTGTCACAGCCTCCTCCCATGTCACAACGCACAGTGCTGCCTCTACTTGGGACATCAGTGTGTTTCAGAAGCCATCAGATTCTCTGTGAAGTGCACAGTTTACAAGCCCTATGTTCCCGCCAACTGGCACCCTGAGACAGTGGCTTTGTGCCCTGAGCCTGGGCTGCAGTGGAATGAAAGTTCATTGCACATTGAGCTGCTGGAACAGAAGGTGGTTTGCTCAACATGGTACAGCTCCGACCGTGAGCTGATGGAAGCCTGTTCTTGAGGGAGGCTTCTGTCCCCTTCCCCTATTCAGAGCAGCCCCTGCGCTTTCACACAGGAGTTCAGCTGAGGAGTATCCCGAACTCAGAGGACCCCTCTGTGTTCCAGTCAAGCCTCTGCCATCACCTGCTATGTGTCTTTGGGAAAGTCCCTCAACTTCTCTGTGACTCAGTTTCTTCACCTGTAAAACAGGGATGACAAGTGTATTTGCACCATCTACCCGTTAAAGAGAATAATGGACGTAAAGGTGCCATGTGCCCACATAATTCATCGTGATTGTCATTCTCTTGTTCTACTTGTGCCCCCCACCCCAAGACTTCCTGCCCAAGAATGTACCATGGAAAATCCAGGCACTGTGGCCTCACAGAATGTGCTGGAAGAGGGTGTTTTGGTGAGGAGGTGGTGTCCCCCATGGAATGCAGCTGAGAGAGTAAGTAAGCGGAGGCCAAGCACCCCTATGAGCCCTGACTGAGGCCTCTTCATGGGGCACCTCCCGAGGCTCTGGTCACGCACCACCCACCTCGCTCAGGATCCTACGCCCTCCACTTCTTACCAGGGCGCCCACTCCAGAAGTTCAGTGTAAGTCATTACTCTCCCAATGTAAGGCTTTCAATGCACCCCATAAAGAGGGGCCCAGGTGCTGGCTCTTTCCACCCCTGCTCCCGTCCCACTCCAACCCATCCCTCCTGGCTTTGGCCATCACTGTCCCACCGCAACCTCAGGGCCACCATGTTCGTGGTCCCCATCTGTCCTCAGCAACACTCAACTCCTGGACTGCCCCCTTCTTCCCGTGGCCCCCGGCTCCCACTGTTCCCCACCCTCCTTCCCAGGCTCCATGGCCAGGTGGCCCCTCTGCCCATCCTGAGCCTCTGCTCTCTGGTTGGCCACCCCAGCACGTGACTCACCTGGGCTAAATGCCCTTCAGCCGCATCTCTCCCTGAGTACTGTGCGTGGCCATCAGCTCCTTCTTGTCACCTCTCTGGACTCTCAGTGGGCATCTCAGGTTCAAATAAAAGTCCCCACTCCCTCTCCCCCAAGCAGCCCCTCCCCTGTCCTCTATCTGGTTGTCTACAGCAAAGCCCTGGGCAGCAGTCATGGCTCCCACGTCAGTCCACCCCATTTCTCATGGGACCACCTTCAGATTTCTGAGCACTTGCCCAGCCTCCTTCAACCTCCTCAGGAGGTCACCCTGCACTTCTGCAAGCCAGGCTCTGCCTTTCCTCCTGCAGGAGAGCTCTGTGTGTCCTTTGGCCATCACCTTAGAGCCCGCAGCACATCCAAGCTTATCCACTCACATCTTCTTTCCACCCTTAAGAACAGAAGCGGCACGGAGCAGAGACCAGCCTAGGACCCGAGCCCTGGGCACAGGGCCTGCCGCATCGGGCATGGATGACGGGTGTGGGATTCCACCCCCCGTAAGGCCCGCCCCAGCTCTCTGTCACCTCCCCCAAGACCCAGGCTCTAACTCAGAGATCTCTGAAAATAGGACAATGATTCCTTGTGTTGTGGCCTCTGTTCATTCCACTCTCTGCCTCTAATACTCTTCGGTCTTTCTGTTCTGTTTGGTCAGCTGCGGGTCCCTCTTCAAGCAGCAACTCACAGGTCCATCTCTTCGGGGTGCCCTCCAGGCCTCCCAGGGAGGGGACTGCATTGCTGGGTCCCTTCTCAGGGACCCTCATTCCATCCTCACCACCCTGGCCTCATCCCTCATCTCTCCCTGCTGTGGCAGAACACTTCTGCCTCCCTTCTCTCCGACAGAAGACGAAGCTTCTATACTTGCTTCCAATGGCTTCTTGAAAAGCGGCATGGCCCAGTCCATCAGGCTTGTGAAAGGAAAATAAATCTCGGGGCCCCAGATCACTAAGCTAAAGGGAAAAGTTGAGCTGGGAACTGCTTAGGGTCAACCTGCCTCCCATTCTATTCAAAGTCACCCCTCTGCTCACTGAGATAAATGCATATCTGATTGCCTCCTTTGGAGAGGCTCATCAGAAACTCAAAAGAATGCAACCTTTTGTCTCTTATCTACCTAAGCCCCTCCCTGCTTCCCTCCCACCATTGCATCGAGTTGTCCTGCCTTTCCAGACTGAACCAATGTTCCTCTCACACGTGTTGATTGATGTCTTCTGTCTCCCTAGAATGTATAAAACCAAACTGTCCTCTGACCACCTTGGGCACATGTCTTCAAGACCTCCTGAGGCTGTATTCTTGGCATATAAAGGTGTAAACCAGAAAGTATCTGAGACGGGTCTCAATTAATTTAGAAATTTATTTTGCCAAGATTAAGGACATGCCCCAGAGAGAAGTCTGTGCCTTTCTCCAAAGATGATTTTGAGGGCTTCCATATTTAAAGGGGAAAAGTGAACTGGAGGAGAAAGAGGGAGGGTGTAGTTACTGAATCCACATGTTACAAGGGAAAAGCAGCAGGTAGGGGAGTAGTCAATCATGTATTCGCCTGGCACTCAGTAAATCAGCACTTTACATAAGATAAGGTGAACACTGGATTAGCTACCTGGAGAGATACTTAACCTTTTCTCTGTAGCTCTCTGCTTAGGAACAAAAGGAAAGGTAGCTTCTTGCATGACTCAGCTTGCAGCCTAATTTCTTTCTTTTGGCCAAGTGAATTGGGGTCCTGAGTTTTTATTTTCCTTTCACAAAGGGGAGCTTTAGAAGATCCTTCTCTTGCCCAAAACATAAAAATAAAAAGTTGGCTTTCAAGACTATGTTCTTACTCCAGATCAGGGGCTCTCAGCTGGGATGATTCTGCCTGCCAGGGGGCATTGGGTGGTGTCTGGAGACATTTTTAATCATCTGGACTTGGAGGCCGAGGAGTGGCCCCTCTATCTGAATGTGGGTAGAGGCCAAGGATGCTGCTGATGCCCTACAGGATCTTACCTCAAATGTCCACAGTGTCCAGGCTGAGCAACTCTGCCCTAGGCCTAACAAATCCTACTTTGCATGCAAAAACCAAGCCCCAAGTCTTTTCTCTTGATGTTCCTCCTGAAGCAATGCTAATTGCCCCTGAGGCAAAGGACACCTTGGCTGAATAGAAGGGACTCAAGAAAATGCATGCTTTTAAATACAGCCTTTACAAATGTCACCAAGGAGAGGTCCTTAGCACTGTGGGACTATATTGAGGGCCCCTGACATCATCTGGGTCTCCTCAGGGGAGATTGAGATTTGAAATACAAGGGAAGAGGAGTTCTGAGCAAAAGGACATACAGACCCAGAAGTTGGGCTGTGATATGGTTTGGCTGTGTCCCCACCCGTATCTCATCTTGAATTATAGCTCCCACAGGTCATGGGAGGGACCCAATGGGAGGTAATTAAATCATGGGGGCAGGTTTTCCAATGCTGTTCTCATGATAGTGAATAAGTCTCATGAGATCTGATGGTTTTATAAAGGGCAGTTCCCCTGCACACATTCTCTTGCCTGCCACCATGTAAGATATGCCTTTGCTCCTCCTTTGCCTTCTGCCATGATTGTGAGGCCTCCCCAGCCATGTGGAACTGTGAGTCCAATAAATCTCTTTTTCTTTATAAATTACCCAGTCTCAGGTATTTCATTATAACACGTTTGGGACAGCGGACTGGGAGGGGGTGGGAGGGGCTGGAGGGAAAGGAGCTGCCTGGGTCATCCTAGGAGTGCTGGAAGCTGCTGTAGGCCAGGCATACACACACGACACATCCAGACAGAGAAGGGGGCACAGAGTGAAGCTGGGAGAGGAGAGCCCAGAACAGTAGCTGTCCCACGACTTCCCACACAGAAGCGCTCCGCTAAGGAGCTGGTTCTTTTTTTACATATATAATAAACAATATTAAAGACCAATACATAAATAAGTGGGAGTGAACAGGTTAAAGGTAATTAATATCAAAATTAAGATCTTTCTTTCTTTCTCTCTCTCTTTCTCTTGCTTTTTCCGTTCGTCACACGCAGGCTGGACCGTGGCAAAAAATTAACCAAAAGGTCAACTTCAGTGTGAAGGAAGGAGCATTAGGAGAACAGAGAAAGGAATAAAGAAAAACAGCAGCAAATTACTCTTAGTACTGTGGAAACAAACAGAAATTGGGCTTAGAAAAAAAAAAAAACAGAGGAAGCCGGGCGCGGTGGCTCACGCCTGTAATCCCAGCACTTTGGGAGGCTGAGGCAGGTGGATCATGAGGTCAGGAAATCGAGACCATCCTGGCTAACACGGTGAAACCCCGTCTCTAATAAAAATACAAAAAATTAGCCGGGCGTGGTGGTGGGTGCCTGTAGTCCCAGCTACTCGGGAGGCTGAGGGAGGAGAATGGCGTGAACCCAGGAGGCGGAGCTTGCAGTGAGCCAAGATCGCGCCACTGCACTCCATCCTGGGAGACAGAGTGAGACTCCGTCTCAAAAAAAAAAAAAACAAAACAAACAAAAAAAAAAACAGAGGAAGAAGGTCCAAATAGTCCCAGGTACTCGGGAGTCCGAGATAGGAAGAACATTTGGGCAACACCGGGGAGACTGAGGCTGCAGCGAATCATGATCACATTCCTCTGCTGGACCTGAATGGTCAGGAACATGTTCTTAAGCAGAAAAGAGCCACGATGTCTCTGCATTCCAAATCTAGGGATTCTGATTCAACAAGTCCAGATCACTCTATACACCTGGTTGTGATGACCCAAGACTCTAACCTGGACCCTCATGCAGTGAGTATTACCACAACCCAGGTCACATTTACTGAGCGGGAGTGGGGGCTTCCTGAGCAAATCCCAGGGAACTTTGGAGTCTGCACAGCTCACCGTGCTGCTGTGCTCCGGGAGGGTGTTGTCAAAGGGTTCTAAGAGGAAAATCAGAAACGTTTTGGCAACCTGACTGGAACCCTAAACCTCCCCCAAGCCCCCCACCCCCCATGCTAGCATCTCCTTTGTGCCGCAGTCTCTCCAAACGGCATTTGCTTCTCCTCTCTCCCCTACCGCCCTTTTGCCACATCAAACCTTAGATGCTGGAGTCCTTGAGTTAAGACCAGCGACTTTGACATGTTTAAAAGGAAATGAAACTGGTTTAAATAACACAGTTCTGGGTTTTATGAAGATCGTGCACTAAAGTACATAGCACAGATTAGTCCTCCCAGCTTGCAGGAAAAATAAAAACACCCCAGGGTCTCTGCTTTGCCAGTTCCCGACAGAGGAGCGAAGGGAGGGTAAAGGACGTTGCGAGTTCAATGTAAAAGGCAAGGAGAAGACAGCTGACGGGGCTTTGCGGATGCACGAAGAAGTGGGAGGATGTCCGGATCCTCTTTGGAATACAAACCCTGTCATCGTCCATGCCCCGAAGTTGCTGGAGCTGCAAAGGCCTCAGTCCAACGAGGACTGAGACGCTGCTGGCCTCGAAAGGAGATCTCAGCCACCCCAGGCTGAGCCCACCCGTTTGGGCCCTGAGCTGAGCTTCCAGCACCTCTCCAAGCTCCTGGCTCCTTACCACGCCCCCAGCTTTCCCCAATGTCCCCCTCCTGCCTAACTCACCAGGCCTCCCAACCTCTTCCCGAACACCCCACCAGTGCTCACTCCTCTTCCCTTCTCCTGCCAATCCAACCGCCATCTGCCCTGTCTGGCCCAAGTCACACCTCACTTGCTCAGTAACATGCTCCTGTATCCTCCCAGGAATTGGGAAGGAAAAGGACAATGGTGACCAGTAACTACACATTGTTGATCCTCACAGACCTGGAGAGAAGTGAAGTCACATGGGTGGATGCCCACCACGAGGACCACCCAGCCATGGCCAGGGAGGCAGGTCTCAGAACACGCTCACCGGGCCTCAGGGGACTCACCCTCAGGGGACCACCATAAGCATGTGAGCCAGGAGGGCCACCACACCAGCATCCTACAAATGTAACAACATACAAAGTCGTCACCCAGCCAAGAGCCTGGCTTAATCCACGTATTGACTTGAACCCGGCACCTCTGCATGCTGGGCACACACACATCCACACAGGTGAGCACAGTCGTGTGCACCTGCACGTTACACAGGTGAACTTTTCTCATCCAGTCCTGAGGTTTCCACTGCATCTTAAACACTTAGCCGAGGTGTGTCAGGACCAGCAATGTTGTCTTTGCGGCCCTTTGATGGTCCCCTTTGCAGTCAGTCATCCCAGCCATCAAATAATTGAACACCTGAGATTCCTTTCAGCAAATCATAGCCATTGGTAGATGCACAAATATTTAAAAAAAAAAAAAAAAAGGCCAGGCGCGGTGGCTCATGCCTGTAATCCCAGCACTTTGGGAGGCCGAGGCGGGTGGATCACGAGGTCAGGAGATCGAGACCATCCTGGCTAACACGGTGAAACCCTGCCTCTACTAAAAATACAAAAAATTAGCCAGGCATGGTGGTGGGCGCCTGTAGTCCCAGCTACGTGGGAGGCTGAGGCAGGAGAATGGCGTGAACCCCAGGGAGCGGAGCCTGCAGTGAGCCAAGATCACGCCCCTGCACTCCAGCCTGGGCGACAGCGAGACTCCGTCTCAAAACAAACAAACAAACAAAAAACATGCTGGGCACAGTGGCTCACGCCTGTAATCTCAGCACTTTTGGAAGGCCGAGGCGGGCAGATTGCTTGGGTCCAGGAGTTCAAGACCAGCCCGGGCCTGGGCGACATGGCAAAATCCCATCTCTGCAAAATAATAAAAAATTAGCCAGGTGTGGTGGCACACACGTGTAGTCCCAGCTACTTGGGAGGCTGAGGCAGGAGGATCACTTGAGCCCAGGAGGTTGAGGCTGCAATGAACTTTGATCGCACCACTGCCCTCCAGCCTGGGTGACAGAGTGAGACCCTGTCTCAAAAAAAAAAAAAAAAAAGCAAAACTATGAATGATTCCAGGCTATCAGAATCTACTAGGACTTAGCCTTGGGGCCTGCGTGTGCCTGGCCATAGCCACCTATTCGCTGTCATGGAGACATCTCACAGTCACCCGGTGGACACCCCAGCAATCCAACGAGAGGGTGCGAGGAGGCTCCCCCAACGTCCAGCCTCTGTGGCACCTGCTAAGCACTAACTAATCATGTTTGATAGCAACCATCTTATGTAAAGACTTTCCGGCTGGGTGCGGTGGCTCACGCCTGTAACCCCAGCACTTTGGGAGGCCAAGGCGGGCGGATCATGAGGTCAGGAGATTGAGACCATCCTGGATAACACGGTGAAACCCCGCCTCTACTAAAAATACAAAAAAATAGCTGGGTGTGGTGGCGGGCGCCTGTAGTCCCAGCTACTCACAAGACTGAGGCAAGAGAATGGCGTGAACCCGGGAGGCAGAGTTTGCAGTGAGCTGAGATCACGCCACTGCGCTCCAGTCTGGGCGACCGAGAGAGACTCCGTCTCAAAAAAAAAAAAAAAAAAAAAAAAACACTTTCCATGTCCCCATAACACTACACAGATGGAGAGATGAGCCACACGAGGTGCAGAATCCAAGCACCGAAGGGGTTCAGCAGCTACCCAGGGCCACACAGCTAATGAGTGAGTGACAAACCCAGGAGTCCAACTTTGGAGTCTCCAACCCCTCAAGCCCTCTGCTTTTCTGCCCTTTTTGTCATTATTCAAGATGCTTCACTGGGAAGGGGAGAGGGGGGAAGAGGGGGAGAAGAAAAGCGTAATGGAAACCACATGGTATTGGTGGGGGCCACTCAAGAATAGTGCTTCACGGTTACAGGACACATAAAACAGCAGAAACCTTCTGCAGCTGCATACTGCCACGGAAATCAAACTGGCAGAAACACAATTCTCCTTATCTCCTAAAGAAATTATTTGGAGGGCTGGCCCCAGGGAAATTCAGGCAAAGAAATAAAAGGGGAAAATGAAGGCAGACGTAAACTTGCTGAATTTATCATTGTGTCATGCTGGAAGCTGAGGGAAGTGTCATATTTATATGACTGAGTTATAAGCTGTGGTTTTTATTAACCAGTGAAAAACACACTGAGATCAGAAATGGTGTCTATGAAACAATTCTTGCATATGGGCCTTGAAAAATAATATAATGACAAACAGACAAAGAATCTGCTGATGAAAACTAACTCATATACGTAAAATAACAAGGTTAGAAATGTCTCTTTCTTCATATGAATGGAATGACGTAAAGTCCTTTTTTAAAGAACAAATGTTTTCTAAAATCAAAAGAGATTTTTCTCTTCTGGAAGTTTTAACACAGGAGATTCAGAAGCGAATGCAGGGGACAATAATGAAATGAAAGAAATGATAATGACGAAAGAGACAGAGGCACACATTCTAAAGATCAAGCAAGAGGCCAGGTGCGGTGGCTCACGCCTGTAATCCCAGCACTTTGGGAGGCCGAGGCAGGCTGATCACCTGAGGTCAGGAGTTCGAGACCAGGCTGGCCAACTTGGCGAAACCCTGTCTCTACTAAAAATACAAAAATTAGCCTGGCATGGTGGTGCGCACCTGTAATCCCAGCTACTCAGGAGGCTGAGGGAGAATCGCTTGAACACAAGAGGGGAAGTTGCAGTGAGCCGAGATCACGCCACTGCACTCTAGCCTGGGCGATAAGAGTGAAAATTCTGTCAAAAAAAAAAAAAAAATCAAGGCAGGGGAGAATCAGGGGATGGGGAACCTCCTCTCTAGCTCTGGTGGTTGAAAGGCAGCTGCAGGCTCCCCAGTCTGGAATCTCTAAGGCTCTCATGGGACTCTGCCAGTGCCCATGGTCTTCTGAGCCTTGCCTTCTTCCAGCATCTGGCAGCTGCTGTATTCTTGCTCCACCAACAGCTGCTGTCCCGGCTCCGCCGCAACTTCCCTGCCCAGAGATATGGGAACTAAAGGGATAGGGCAGAGGAGATGGTTGCAGACCTGAAGCCCAATGGCCCGAATCCCAGCTCTAAGGCTTTCTCTGAGAGCCAGGGTGCATCACACCCTTGCACGGGCCTCAGTTTCCCTGCACCTGCCTTACAGCATTGTGGGAAGTATTCAATGTACTTCAAAGTGCTGTCATCCCAGCACTTTGGGAGGCAGAGGCAGGTGGATGACCTGAGGTCAGGAGTTCGAGACCAGCCTGGCCAACATGGCGAAACCCCATCTTTACTAAAAATACAAAAATTAGCTGGGCATGGTGGTGTGCACCTGTAATCCCAACTACTCGGGAGGCTGAGGCAGGAGAATTGCTTGAAGCCCAGAGGCGGAGGTTGTAGTGAGCCAAGATCATGCCACTGCACTCCAGCCTGGGCAATAGAGCAAGACTCTGTCTCAAAAAAAAAAAAAAAAAAAAAAAAAAGTTATTTCCTATGCTGTGCCTAAAATGGCACCTGACACTTAAGAAGAGCTCAAAAACTATTAGCAGCCACAATCGTCAGTTTATTCACTTTTGAACAGGTGTTGACATTTACATTCTTTAAAAACAGAAGAGCAAATGAGGGCTGAGAGGGTGAAGCCCTGCTCCACCCGTAGGCAGCCACAGTTCCGACTTTCCCTGAGTCCTCCCAGAGCGCTTCAATGTGTGTACATGCAACGGACGTCAAGTCCTTCTTTTATGAAACAGTAATATACCCGTATTCACTTTCTGTTCTTGTGTAAGAAATCACGACGTAGCACACTTAGCAGCTTCAAATCACGCCCATCAATGGTCTCACAGTTTCTGTGGGTGTGGACTCCAGCACAGCTTAGCAGGGCCTCTGCTCAGGAGTCGCCGGGTGTCATGGGGGCCCTGTAGTCTCCTCTGGAGCTCGAGGTCCCCGTCCAGGCCCAGTTAGGTGTGGGGAGATTTAGCTCCCAGCAATTATAGGCCTGAGGCCCTCGGCTCCTTGCTGGTATCTGCCAGAGGCTGCTCCCAGAAACTAAAGGCCCCTGAATTTTGTTTTTGTTTTTTTTATTTGTTGAGACAGAGTCTCTCTCGCTCTGTCGCCCAGGCTGGAGTGCAGTGGCACGATCTCGGCTCACTGCAACCTCCGCCTCCCGGGTTCAAGCAATTCTCCTGCCTCAGCCTCCCAAGTAGCTGAGATTGCAGGTGCACACCACAACACCTGGCGAATTTTTGTATTTTTAGTAGAGATGGGGTTTCACCATGTTGGCCTGGCTGGTCTTGAACTCCAGACCTCAAGTGATCCACCTGCCTCGGCCTCCCAAAGTGCTGGGATTACAGGCATGAGCCAATGTTCCCGGCCTATATTTTTATTTTAATTTAGAAAAATAATTGTTTGCAGTACTTTTCTGATTTTGCTCCCCATAAGTCAGCATTCCCTGACCCGGGAACCTCACGTCAATGGAATAATACCATATGGGTTTTTGGGTCTGGCTTCTTCAGCTCAGCATAACCTCTAGAAGATTCATCCATGTGGTTTTGAGTATATTTAGATCTTTTTTTAATTGTGATAAAATTGCATGACCTGTTGGGTATAAATTTCTGTAATCCCATGGTTCTGTGAATCTAATACCAACAGACCCTCGGGAGTGTAAATTTCGAAGCCCTCAACGCTGTACCAATTGTCAACGGGAAATCCATAATCAAAGCGCTCTAAGACTCTCAAAATCTAGACCTCCAGATCAAACTCATTCATACCAAAAAAGTCCAGCATCCAAGAATGGCCCACTCCACCACTCGCTGGGTTGTCCTAGTCGAAGACCCAAGAAGGAGTAACCCCTCCCCTCCCACAGCCAGCTGCTCCCCAAGACCCTGAGAGTCTAGCGTCCTCATCTACATCCGTCCCATCATGTTGACCCCTCCGCCAGTGCCTTGGCTCCAGCGCTACCACCCCTCCCCCACACAGTCAGCAGCCATACCTCAGAGCCCCCCTGGCCTCCGGGGCTCCTCCACTGCCTCCCACAGGCCAGGCAGGTGTGGTTCCAGCCCGTCAGCCAGAAGCAGGACCAGAGAGGCATGTACAGGAGCCAGCTTTGTGGTGGGATCACTTATCTCACCTGTAAAATGGAAAAATAATATCTTCCCTAATTACCTTGACAAAGAAATGATAATGTAGGAAAATTCAATGGCCCCAAAGGGCTTTCACGAAGCATCAGAAGAAACAGATCCTATCATCCACTGACCCAACCCATTCATTTAAAACATGTTTGCCCTGTACTTGTAGGGGGGCCAGGCCCTGTGCTAGACACCCAGGGATTCCCCGAGAAGACAGCCCCTGACCCGGAGCTGGGGAATCCTGTGGTGGCCCAGAGGAAGAACCAAGGATCCTTGCCTGGTGGGGAGGGTGGGTGGCCAGGGAATGTTCCGTGAAGGTGGGGATTTGAGATGAGCTTGGAGACCATGACTGGGGGTCTCCAGGCTTGGAGAGAAATGGATGATGGAGAGAACACCAGTGAGGCAAACGCCGTGGGATGGAGGGTGCTGGAGGGAGGGCAGAGGAGGACAAGTGGAGGAAACAGAGAACGCCGCGGCTTATTCCCACCATGGACAAGCGGGCCACAGTGGAGACAGTGTGGGGCCACAGTGTGAGGTGCTCTCGAGACAGCACCGGGGAGTGGGGCAGAGCAGAGCTGGCTGGCTGTGGGGCTGGGGCTGGGGAGCCAGGCACAGGGAGCTCAGAAGGGTCTCATGCGAGTGACTGAGGGGGTCTGAGCTGCACCGACGGAAGCTTTCTCAGCGCTCAACCAGACTGCCCAGGGATCCCACAGGAGGGGAGGGGAGGGGAGAGGGAAGAGCCAGGAGGGCTGAGGACAGGCACTTAGGTGGGTGGCCATGGGCCGGGACCTCAAGGGGAGGCCTTGGGTGAGATGACCCCCAAGGATTTAGATTCTTTATTCCTTGATTTTGTTGTTGCTGTTAGAAACAGGCTCTGGAGTACAGTAGTGTGATCATGGCTCACTGTAGACTCTACCTCCCAGGCTCAAGTGATGCTTCTGCCTCAGCCTCCTGAGTAGCTAGGACTATGGGCCTGGGCCACCACACCTGGCTCATTTTATCTTTTATTTTTGTAGAGACGGGGGTTTTGTTATGCATAGCATAGCAATATGAAAGTCAAAACAACCTAGAAGATCCTGGGTCCATTACTGGCCAAATAAATCCAAAATAAACAAATTCATACCTCTATCAATTACATAGTGGAGGCCACAGTATTGTAGGGGAAGGCCTGTCTTTTTCTCTCTGTCATGCACACACACACACATACACACACACATGCTCTAACACAACTCCGCTACCTTCAGAGAGCAGCCTGCCTTTTCCCTTTCATGGTGCCGGCTCCCTTGTGCGCAAGCTAAATGAGCTTTCTCTTTCTCTTTGCTGCTGTGTCTGCTGACCTCTCTTGAATTTTATTTTATTTTATTTTATTTTATTTTATTTTATTTTATTTTATTTTATTTTTTGAGACAGAGTCTCACTCTGTCACCCAGGCTGGAGTGTAGTGGTGCAATCTCAGCTCACTGCAACCTCCGCACCCTGGGTTCAAGCGATTCTCCTGCCTCAGCCTCCCTACTAGCTGGGATTACAGCCACACACCACCAGAGCTGGCTAATTTCCTTTTTTTTTTTTTTTTTTTTTTTGAGATGGAGTTTCGCTCTTGTCGCCCAGGCTGGAGTGCAATGGCGTGATCTAGGCTCACCACAACCTCCGCCTCCCGCGTTCAAGCAATTCTCCTGCCTCAGCCTCCTAAATTGCTGGGATTACAGGCATGCGCCACCACGCCCCACTAATTTTGTATTTTTAGTAGAGATAGGGTTTCTCCATGTTGGTCAGGCTGGTCTTGGACTCCTGACCTCAAATGATCTGCCTTCCTTGGCCTCCCAAATGCTACAATTACAGGCGTGAACCACCATGCCCAGCCACCTCTCTTGATTTCTATCCTGGGAGATTGCAAGAGCCCAATGCACCAATAACAGAGCCGTCGGCAAACCTCTTCACCTGCACGTCCAGCTCCACCACCATCCTGCCAGGTCCTCTCCACTCCTGTCTGATTGAGAATCTTATTGTCTCCCTACCACCCCTGACAAGATCTGCCTCCTGTTGGATTGTTCTAGTTAACAGCAGGGCTGGCTTTGCAGGCTCACTACTAATCATGAGGACCTTAAAATTATCCTGTTAACTAAAAATAAACGACAACAAAAAAAGGTCTTACAAAAATAGGTCAGTGTTTGGGGGCTCAGCCCAAATCTTCTGGGTCTTCTCCAGGAGGAAGACTAGGTTGCAGGGTGGTCTTGAGGATGGGTCTCAGTTTTCCCATCCCTGTATTGGGAGGTAATAATCTCTGCCTGCCTTACCCCTGAATATGAGGGTGGACCAAAGGCCTTCTGCCTCTTCTTCCAACTCTGAGGATGCCGGGCTCTGAATCATATATTTACAACTTTTCAATAACTTATGTGACCCTTTATGACGAAGGCCCACGCTGGTCAGGTTGCTGTATACTTCCACATCCCCCGCCTAACTTTTATTGATAGGAGTTCCTTTGATTTTCCATAAAGATAGTGATTGATGCCAAAGTCAGTGATTGCCAGGGAGTCCCTGTCGGGGAGGAGGGACCAAAGGACAGCTGGCTCAGCTCCCCTGAGCTGGGGAGGTAGCGGCCCCGATTCCCACTCGTCAGATGAGACCTTGAGAAGGACGGAAGGTCACAGTGATAAAGGGATGCTGTCCAGAGTAACTGATGCACAGCACTGCTCTGCACAGAATTTCATGCCCATGCTGGATGGCAGCCCGGGCGGGGAGGATCTCCCCTTTAAAAATGAGGACCCTGGGGTTGACAGGTTTTAAGTGGCATATCATAAAGCGTTCCTGCCACATCACCCCTGGGGTGTGAGGTTGGGCCTGACTCCATAGAACTGAATGGGCTTTAGCCACAGAGACCCGTTCAGGAATCTATTTGTCTGTGGACAGTGGATAAAGATGGTCATGAGCAACACTGATTTCAAGGGAAACTTTGTCTCTGGCCACAAATAAACGGTTGCTGCTTCGTTTGGCTCACAGACTGCATTGCCCTGGGCCAATGTTTCGTTTTTGTTTTTTTTTTGTGGAAAGTGGGGGAGGTGGGTGGTGACATTTTCAGCTGCTGTTTTCATGCGTCATTCTTAGTCACTGTGGGCAGCTCAGAAGCCAGCACGAGCCTTCCCACCACCTGGGGCTGGGGGTTCCCAATTTCATGGTGCTGACGCTACCTGCAGAAGAAAGTGACAAACACGTGTCCCTCCTCCAGATCCCATGAAGAGGGGGCCATACGGCCCCTCCTAAATTAAAGACAGACACACGTAGGGTAGGCTCAGTGGCAGAGCCAACCCCGTCGTGACACCTGACCTCTTTGGAGATTATGATCTAGCTCCTTGCACCATCTGGAACATTCCCAATGCTAGAATAGCAAAGATGGGCCCTGAACATTCAAAATAGATGCCGAGAACCCAAACCTGGAGCTTCATGCCTATGCCTCATGAGCAAGCCCCTCGGGGCCCTACTCCAAGGCATTTGCTTTTGTTTTAGATATAACTTAACCCCGAGTCTCTCACAAATGACACATTCAAAGCAACAAATTCCTAATGTGTTACCCCTGCACACTTGCTGAAGAAAATATTAAATCATCCAGTGGGTTATTATTATTATTGAGATGGAGTCTCGCTCTGTCACCCAGGCTGGAGTACAGTGGCGTGATCTCGGCTCACTGCAAGCTCCGCCTCCCGGGTTCACACCATTCTCCTGCCTCAGCCTCCTGAGTAGCTGGGACTACAGGCGCCCGCCACCACGCACAGCTAATTTTTTTTTTGTATTTTTAGTAGAGACAGGGTTTCCTCGTGTTAGCCAGGATGGTCTCAATCTCCTGACCTCGTGATCCGCCCGCCTCAGCCTCCCAAAGTGCTGGGGTTACAGGCGTGAGCCACCGCACCGGGCCTCCAGTGGGTAATCATTGTAGATGAATCTTAAGGTACCTTCCAACCCCAGTATTCCAAATTTTCAGTCTTCAGCAGAGATCATGATGAAAGAAATGACATAAAGGATGTAGTTCCAGATTTCATTTCCCAACACCAAGCAAGCATTTCCACAAATATTATTTTAGTTTCAGGAGCATATAAGCTGCTTTATGGTATCTCTCCCTGTTTTTCCTTTTTTTTCAGAGGGGCAGCTTGGCTCCGTGAAAGGAGAGCCCTGGACTGAGGTGCCCCATGGGATGGATGCGGCGTGACTTTGTAGATGGCACCGCACTGTGGTGGTTTGTCTTCTCTCCTGTGGCGTCGAGATCCACTCACTCACCAGCATTTATTGAGCAATTTCTGTGTGTCGGGAGCCATTCTAGACCCCAAGGGGATTGGTGAGAAACAGGACAGACATGCTCTCTGCCTCACTGAGTGTCTTTTTCCTCTAGAAAGATGATGATGAGGCCAGGCATGGTGGCTCACGCCTGTAATCCCAACAGTTTGGGAGGTGTGGTGGCAAGCACCTGTGGTCCCAGCTACCTGAGAGGCTGAGGCAGGAGAATCGCTTGAACCCGGGAGGCGGAGCTTGCAGTGAGCCAAGATCATGCACTGCACTCCAGCCTGGGCGACAAGAGTGAAACTCCGTTTCAAAAAAGAAGGAGGAGGAGAAGAGACTACAGGCACCCACCACAACGCCTGGCTAATTTCTTTGTATTTGTAGTAGAGGCGGGGTTTCACCATGTTGGCCAGGCTGGTCTCGAACTGCTGACCTCGGGTGATCCGCCTGCTTCGGCCTCCCAAAGTGCAAGACGGTAAATCTTATATGTCTTTTACCACAGTAAAAAATTTGGGCCTGGGTGACAGAGTGAGACCCTGTCTCCAAAACCAACATTTTTTTGAGAAGCGTATTATACTCTGGTGAGGAGACAGGCCACCATGAAGGGGAATAGTGCAGGAAGCAAGTCTGGTTCCTTCCAGCAAGTTCCATCTGGATCAGCTCATGCCCTAGCCCCGACATGAAAGGCTTAGGTGTGGTGTCTCCTGCACTCACTCCCCCAGGCTTCCCAACTCACAGTGCCCCCTCCTCCCCACTTAGCTGGTACCCCAGGGGAGTACCCTGTGTTGGGTGCTAATGGTTCCAGGGTTACAGAGGAGAATCAGGAGCTTATGGCTACATGTGTGGGCGGCAGGGAAGGTGTTGGCTTTGACCCATGCAATGAGCTGGGAAGGCATAAGAAGGCACTTTCCCAAATACATCTGCTTTCCAACTCCCAAACTTCCATCATTGGAGAATTTCTCCCTGTCCCTGTTAAAATGCAGATGCTCCTAAAAGGAACCATCTACAGTCACCAATTTCCAGAGGCAGTTTATTATTTCTCTTTTCAGCAAGACTGCTCTCTTTGAAACTAGTTCCTTAAAGGGAAGGAGGGTGTGGAGAGGGAACACAGGCATGTGATGCTGTGGGGAAGCGGGAGCCCTGCTCTGGCTCAGGCCTTCAGCAGCCCCGTTAAAAAACAGTGCACAGGCCAGGTGCAGTGGCTCATGCCTGTAATTCCAGCACTTTGGAAGGCCAACTAAGGCAGGCGGATCACCTGAGGTCAGGAGTTCAAGACCAGCCTGGCCAACATGGTGAAACCCCGTCTCTACTAAAAAGACAAAAATCAGCCAGGTGTGGTGGCGTGCATCTGTAACCCCAGCTTCTAGAGAGGCTGAGGCAAGAGAATTGCTTGAACCCAGGAGGTGGAGGTTGCAGTGAGCCAAGATCTTGCCACTACAATCCAACTTGGGTGACAGAGCAAGACTCTGTCTCAAAACAAACAAACAAACAAAAACAGTGCACAGGCCGGGCGCAGTGACTCACACCTGTAATCCCACTGCACTCCAACCCAGGTGACAGAGTGAGACTCTGTCTCAAAAAAAAAAAAGACCAAAAAAACCACAAACAAACAAAAACCAGTGCACCAACCTCCTGATGGGCTGCCTAGCTCCAGTCTCTTCCCAGCTAATCTGTTCTCCAGGCCATTCCCAGACTTTTTCAAAATATTACTTTATTTTTCATTATTATAAAAGTTATATGGGCTCATTAAAATAAATTCAAATAATACTAAAAAAGAAACGATATTACTCAAAATTCAACTTCTTCCAGACTTTTTAATAATCATTCATATATAGATATTGTACCAATTAGCAATTGCCACAAAAAAAAACCTATGTAACAAACCATCCTAGAACTTAGTGGCTTCAAACAATCATGTGTTTTTATGAGCTGCAGATTGTCATAGTTTGGCTGACGGAGGCTGGGCTCAGTGGATGCCTCTGCTGATCTTGGCTGGGCTTACTCATTCCTTTGGGAATTGGCTTAGGGTTGGCTGATTGGGGCTGGTCTTGGCTGGTGACTTAATTCTGCATATCCCTCATCCACCTCCTGAGACCAGTGGGTAGCATAAGAATTTTCTTCTCAACAGCAAAAGAGACCAACTGAAACCACTCCCAGAACTGGTACATCCATCACTTCTGTCTCATCCTATGGATAAAGTAAATAATGTGGCTAACCCCATGTATTGGTCCATTTTCATACTACTATGAAAAAAATACCTGAGACTGGGCAATTTATAAAGAAAAAGAGGTTTAATGGACTTATACTTCCACATGGCTGAGGAGGCCTCACAATCATGGTGGAAGGTGAAGGAGGAGCAAAGACATGTCTTACACGGCAGCAGGCAAGAGGGCGTGTGCAGGGGAGCTGCCCTTTATAAAACCATCAGATCTCTGGAGTCTTATTCACTAATCACAAGAACAGCACGGGGAAAAAACCAGTCCCGTGATTCAGTTACCTCCCACTAGGTCCCTTCCATGACATGTGGGGATTATGGGAGCTACAATTCAAGATGAGATTTGGGTGGGGACATAGCCAAACCACATCACCCAAGTCAAGAGACAAGGAAGTACACCTCACCCACAGCTGGAGGGCACTGGAGATTACAAGGAGAGGAGCAGGGATCCAGGAAAGGATGAAGACCTGGGCCAGTTATGTAATCCACCTCAGATATGGTGGATCTTTTTGAAATAAAAGCATATTCATGTTATATACACTATTTCTCAAGCTACATTTTTTTCCCACATAATGGATTGTAGACATCTTTTCAGGTCAAAAACAGTTGTTTTACATTGTTATTTTTAATGGTTGAGGAGAATTTTGATACATGGATGTGTTTTAATTTATTTAATCACAGAGTTATAGTTCATAACCTCAGGCCTGATCACATAACTGTCCAACTTACAACCTTTCAAGGGCCCAACACTGGATGAAGTCCAAATCTACTGTCTAAAAATCATGGTCCTTCTCAGTCTGATCTCAAATAGCTGTTCTTATTTCGTCTCCTCCTCACTCCTTCCCACTCATCCCTCTGAAGCTATACAGTAGGTGACACTCCATTTTTCCCCACTGTCCAGGTTAAGATAATGCCTATGACTGTAACAGATGACCCCATATCTCAGAAGCTCAACACAACAGAAATTGAGACCTCATTTCTGCTCACATAAAGGAGTATCTGTAGCAGCACGGGGAGGAGAGCTCTGCTCCAGGCAGTCATTCAGGGACACAACGGACCTTTAACAAGATCATCTCAGACATCAACATTCAACCAGCAGATGAGGGGAAAGAGAGAAGAAAGGATCTCACCAGAGGGGTCAGGCCCAGACACAGAAGTGGTATATTCCATTAGCCCACTTTCCATGAGCCATGATTCAGGAATATGCTGGAATACCTGCAAAGGAGCTGGCAAAGGTATGGGACCTGTGCTCAGCTATCCAGGCACTTTGCATGGTAAGTGCATCTGTTCATCTGCCTGGGATACCTCTCCTTCACTCCAGCTTTCAGTCTGCTCAAAGGTTTGCCATGGGAGACCCTCCCTGCTCTGGGCTGAGTCAGGGGCTCTCTCTGGGCGCCCACGGCAGATAGTCAGACACCTCCACCGGAACACCTGCTCTCCCACATTAGAATAGTGATGAGGCCGGGCACAGTGACTCATGCCTGTAATCCCAGCACTTTGGGAGGCCGAGGTGGGCAGATCATGAGGTCAGGAGATCGAGACCATCCTGGCCAACATGGTGAAACCCCATCTACTAAAATACAAAAAATTAGCCAGGTGTGGTGGCGGACACCTGTAATCCCAGCTACTCGGGAGACTGAGGCAGGGGAATCGCTTGAACCTGGGAGGCGGAGATTGCAGTGAGCTGAGATCGCGCCACTGCACTCCAGCCTGGGCAACAGAGCAAAACTCCATCTCAAAACACAACCAAAAAAAAAAAAGAAAGAAAGAAAGAAAAGAGAATACTGACTGGCCCCTGCATTTGTGTCTATCTTCCCCACAATTGGTCATTGACTCCTCCCAGGCAGAGAGGGACTGGCTCATGAGAAAGGGGCATGTGAAGTTGGCGTTGGAGGCCGGCGGTAGGCCTGGGTGAAGAGGGGCAGGTATTGCTAACCTTTTGGGTAGAGAGAGTCTATTAACTGAGTCATCCTCAACCAGCAATGTGGGGAGGATGGGGCGGGGTGGAGGTGAGTGTGTATCACTGTCTCAGGAGAAAAGTTTCCCTTGAAACACACACCCCAACCCCTGCAGCCTGATCTCTCCCCTCTGCCCTGGCCTCTGCCCTCTAAGGTTCCGGGTGGAGTGTGTTATGCAGAGAATGAGGCAGAAGCAGCTGGGGCTGAGGCTTGCCCTACCTGGACCATCCCTGCCAGCACAGAGGCTGGTTGGCTAGGGCAGGCCGAATGGTAGGGTCCTGGGGAAGATTCCAGCAGGTGGGGCCTAGCTTGTGGGGAGAAGCAACTAAGGGCCTGGGCAGGAAGCCCCTGTCCTGCCCCCAGGGCTCATGGTCTCAGTGCTGTGCCCAGGCCAAAGTCCCTCTGAACCTGGACTTCTAGAAGCAAACTTGACCAGAGAAAGGAGACAGCAGAGGGCTGGAGACACCCAGGGCCTCTGGGTCCCTGTCACTGCCCCTGCCCCATGGGGCCTGCTGAAAGCCCCTCAGGTCACCAGCACCCCACACCCAGAAGTCTTTCCCGCTCTGCAGTTTCTCAGGCCAGAGGCCTAGACGCCCCCAGGACACTGCCTTCTGCCTCACTGCCCCTCCTCGTCACTTTATACCCCCCTGCCCCAGGCTCTCCCCACCCCTGCCCTACCCCTCACCCTGGGCCAGCACTAGAGGAGGCACCCTGCCCTTGTACGGCCCTGAGGGTGAGTCCCACCTTAGATGGTACTCCTGTGTGCCTCTCGGACCTCATCGTCAGCGGTCCAGCCACCTGCAGGGCCCAGGTCCAGACCTCTGTCCGTTCCCACTCGCTCCCACCTGAGGGCTGCCCTACAGCCACCTCACCTGAGCCCTCTCTCCAAAAGCCATTGTGATGGAGTTCCCACCACCTTCAAAGCCCAGCGCTTTTCTGTTGGTTTAGGAAGAGGCCTCACCTGTGAGCCTCAGGCACACCAGCCTTCCCACCTCCTGGGCCCCATTCACCTTATCAAGCTCTTTGTACCCTCCTGACACAAGCAGCTCCCAGAGAGAACTCCTCCCTGATGCCCAGGCCAGGTCGGGACCCCTGTTGTGTGTAACCCGGGTCTGTGACCTCCTCCTGAGCATCCTCCCAGGTTGCTGTTCTCCCTCGTTTGACATTGCTGTTTGATTACTGTCTCTTCTCCTAGACTGTCAGCCCTGTGGGGACAGGCACCGTGCCTGCTGTCACTGCCCCTGGTCTCTGGCGCCTTGCAGGACACCTGGCATGTTGGCACACTAGGTATTTACTAAGAGTGCATGGATGAGGGAGGCATGGGCCAGGTAGAAGTGGAGAGAGAGGGGGTAGGGGACACAGAATGGAAGAGAAGGACCTGGAAAGGGACAGAAGAAGCGAATGAGAGCAGAACAAGGAGAGGGAGCAGGGGGCACCGGAAGGAAAGGACCGCAGCAAGGGAGAAGGTGGGAGGGCCAAGAGAGGAGGCAGGGCAGGGGTGGGGAGGCGAGAGGGGGAGGCGAGGGGGAGGTGACTTTCTGAAGATTTCATGTTCCCTTGTCCTGGTGGGCTGGGGGCAGTTGGGAATGCCAGCCTCGTGCCTGGTGGCCTCCTGGTGGCTGGGTGGGCCTCCCCTCCAGCCTCTGAGCCGATGGTCCCCCTCTGGGGAAGGTGCTCTTTGGCGAGATACGCAGGGACAGGTGGCAGTGGCAGCTGCAAAAGCCTCTTCCTGGCTGCATGGCACTGCTCAGGGCTGCCATGAAGCGGCCAAGAGGAGCAAGAGAAGAAAACCCACCCCTCTGTGGGGTGGGGGGCGGAGGCAGGGCAGGGGGGCTGCGCCTCGACTGAGCCCACCTGCAGGTGTAGTGGTTTTCACAAAAAGCACCAACCACACAGCCTCCTCTCCTGCGGAGTCAGTTCCCATTCCCAGCCAGACAGTTCCACTGATCCTTTCTTCAGTCCACTTGTCCTCAGCACCGGGTTCCAAAGGGATAGGCTGTGTTCCAAACACACAAATATCCCTAATTTCCTCCCAAGTGCTCTCGTTTTTTCTGGTGACGTCCCTAAAAAGTCTTAGTTAGGTGCTCCTCTCCTGAACACAATTATAGCCTTTTTTGCATAAATGGGAACCCTTTGGGAAGGGATCCCGTCCTTCCCTCCCACCCTCGCCCCCCGTACACACATTTATAGGAGCCGAAGGCCCTAAGCCACAAATCCTGAAAATTCCAGAGCTTCCCCCGCCCCAAATGTCGTTTCATTTATTTCTATGCGCTTGTCTCCAAAACTGCCGCAAACTGAACCTTGCCGTGTTTTGCCCGTCTCTGCTTCCCTCCTGGTCTTCCCACCTCAGTAAATGGGGCACCGCCCACCTGATTACTCACACCGGAGTCATCCCTGACGAGTCCGCCTCCTCCCCCGCCGCAGCTCCCAGAATCTCGTAACTGCCCTTCTAAATGCATCTGGAATCTGCCTGCTTCCTTCCCTCCATCCCCACGGCCGCCAGGAGACTCAGAGGAAACCAGTGCAGGTGAGGCTGTGTTTCAGGGGCTTAGACTTTCCACTAAGTCCCGAGGGTCCCCCACACCCATCCCCAGGCCTCTGCACACAGGGTCCCTTCTGTCCAAGTCGCTGTTCCTCTACCTTGGCACCAGTCTGCCCTCATCTCTCCATTTGCCCTCACATTCTACACATGGGTTTTTTTTGTTTTGTTTTGTTTGTTTGTTTTTGTTTTTTATCCTTACAGCAACCCTGGGAGGTAGGTCCTGTGAGTATCCCCATTTTGTTGGTGAGAAACCTGAGGCTGGAAGGTAAAGAAACTATGCAAGGGACACAGTAAGAGGCTGAGATGAGATTCAAAAGGCTCACTCCCAGGGCCTCTGGCTGCAAAGCCCTGAGGGCTGAGCCGCTTCCAGCCTCAGCTGGTCATTACCTGTATTTGTTCACAAATGGCCCCTGAGGTCCTACTGTGGGCCCAGCACAGTCATAGGCACTGTACAACCTGAATGCCCACCACTCCCAGAAACTCTCCCTGAGCCCCAAATCGAAATTAGGTCTCCCTGTTTCACTTCCGCATAGGACCGCACATGCTTCTCTGTCTCCTCAGCACAGCTTGTAATTGGCATTGCTCTTGTGACTCCTGGATTGTCTCCCCTCTGGACTGTAAATTCCAGGGGGGCAGGCTTTGCACAGCTGGCCCATGGCCAGATGTCTGGATGGCTGGTACACAATAGGCACAAAATGAATGAATGGGCGAGCCCATACATGCCCTGGCAGAGACCATCAGTGTGTGGAATAGATGTATTTTGACTAAAAAGTGGCCTCAGAATTATTTTTGGTAAAATGCTTTTCCCATGGAGCCGATCATAGCTGTGAGCTCCATGGTAAAAACTTCCGCGAAGGCCGGGAAATAGTGAGCGCCCTGAGTGAGCCGCTCTCAGCCACACCGCACATCAGAAGCCACTTTATCCTGTTTCGGACACCTGCTTCACACCTGGAGGGCTGGAGCCCGAGGCGTCTGGATTTTTAAAAACTCCTTGTGCTCACGTGCCCAGCCAGACCTGAGAGCCGAGGCCTTAGCCATGCAATTTGCTGCTTTGTGAATTGCAAAAGTTATCGAACCTTGCTACTGTGAATGTTTACCAGGTTGCTCAGTAAGATGCTGGGGAGACAGAGACGAAGCTCCCAGGCCTGTGGCCAAGGCTCAGAGACGTGCTACTGAGCAAGACCCGGAAAAGCTTCCCGCCCGGTCAGGGCCACTTCCCCACTGCCACTATGGCAGGCAGGAGCTGTGCTGGGGCCATCCCTGGGCTTCACGCCAGCTCCGTCACATCCCTGGTTGTGTGGCCTAACTCATCTCCTGTGGCCACTGCAACAAATGACCACAAACCTGGGGGTGTAGAACAACACAAATTAATTCTCTTACCTTTCAGGAGGTCACAAGTCCTAAAAAGGTGTCTACAGCGTTGGTTTCTTCCGGACGCTCTAGGGGAGGACCCCTTTCCAGAGACGCCCCCATTCCTTGGCTTATGGCCCCTTCCTGTCTTCAAAGCCAGTGGCCCAGCATCTTCTAATCTCTCTCTCTCTCCGGTCACATCTCCTCCTCTGACTCTGATGGTTCTGCCTCCTTTCTTCCCTTATAAGGACGCTTGCAATTATATTCGGTCCACCTGGCTAATCCAGAGTATTCTCCTCATCTCGAAATCCTTAATCACGTCTGCAAAGTCCCTTTGCCATGTCAGGTGACACACTCACAGGCTTCAGGGATTAGAGTGCAGACATCCTAGGCAGGGGCAGGGGACATTATTCTGCCAGGCTCAGTGGCCTTGCCTAGGAACTGGCCACTCCATGCCTCAGGGCCACGTCGGAAAGTCAGGGGGGATAACAGTAACAGAGGCAGTGGAAGTCATAGTATAGAAGGAAAAAGAGTGATAGAAATAGTCATGGCAATGATTATGGAGATGTGAGGATTGATTTTCTATGTAAGTCTGTAGAAGAGCATCTGACTAATAAATGTTCAAAACACATCAACTGTCAAATACATTTTATTAGTGATATCTCTAGCACTGTGCCACAGGCCCTATGAGCTGTAACAGCCTATAAAATGATTTTGAGATTAGAAACAATGTATATATGACAAAATAATTTTATTTATTTACTTTAAGATGGGGTCTCTGTGACCCAGACTAGACTGCAGTGGCACAATCACATCTCACTGCAACCTCCACCTCCTAGGCTCAGGTGATCCTCCTGCCTCAGGCTCCCAGCTGGGACTACAGGTGTGTGGCAGCATGCCTGGCTAATTTTTTAAATTATTTTTAAAGACGGGGGTCTCCTTATGTTGCCCAAGCTGGTCTCGAACTCCTGGGCTCAAGCAGTCCTACTGCCTCCACCTCCAAAGTGTTGGAATAAAAGGCATGAGCCACCATGCCCGGCTTAAAATATTTTTAAAATGGCAAAGTCAAAAGAACAATTAAATCCATTTCAAAAAGGTGTAGCTTAATAAGAAAATACAGCAGTTCTACAGAAAACAGAGCAAAGGGGCTGGACGCAGTGGCTCATGCCTGTAATCCCAGCACTTTGGGAGGCCAAAGCGGATGAATCGCCTGAGGTCAGGAGTTCAAGACCAGCCTGGCCAACATGGTGAAATACCATCTCTACTAAAAACACAAAAATTGGCCAGGCATGGTGGCTTGTGCCTGTTGTCCTAGCTACTCGGGAGGCTGAGGCAGGAAAATCGCTTGAACCTGGGAAGTGGAGGTTGCAGTAAGCCGAGATTGTGCCGCTGAACTCCAGCCTGGACGACAGAGCGAGACTCCATCTCAAAAAAATGAAAAGAAAACAGAGCAAAGGGTATGAATTTACAGAAGAGGATATCCAAGACATTAACAAGCAGAAGAGAAGACACTCAAAAGCACTGGTAATGTGAGAAATCAAATTAAAATCACAATGAAGGTTCACTTTACACATTTAGGCTGGCAGAAGTCTGAAAGCTCGGTGATGTCACAGTTACATGATGTAATACAGGAGACCTCCCTCACTCTGCTGGGAGGGTGGGCTGGGTGGCCCTTGGGAAGGGTCTCTAGGTGTGTTAGTAAGATGAAGGAAGTGCAGGACTGAGATGCAGCAGTTCCTCTCCTAACAACATCTCGCCCCAGACATTCTCACACAGGTCCCCGATGCTCACTGCAGTGCGAAGTGGGTGCCCAGCGCTGGGAGAGTGGGTCTTGGTGGACGCACACCTTGCAGGGTGGTTTGGCAGCTAGAAAAAATCAAATGAGATACACACGTAAGAACATGGGTGGCAAAGACACATCAGGGTTGGTGAAAAAGCAAGAAAATGAATGAGATAGATAACATCACATCACGAACGTAAATTAAAAACAGGGGCGTGCAAATGGCAATACCCATTTCCCAGGAACAGAAAGACTTAAACACTTGAGCATGGGTCATCTATAGGTGGGGGGTAGGGAGGTGGAAGGGAATGAATGAGTGAGTGAGTGAATTAATGAATTCACTAAAGAGAAATATTTACATCATTGTGGCGGGTGCCCGTCCACACATTGTTGCAGGCTTGATGTGCCGTAGGGAGAGCTTCCAGAAGGTGGAGCATGCAGGGAGTACCCTTTGCCTCCCTGAAGGGTGCTGTAGGCCTGTCAGGGCCTGGGATGGGGAGGGCTTGGAGAAGCAGAGAGTTTGGAAGGATCGGAATTGAGAGGATGAGGCAGAATATGTCATTGTCTTGGCAAATTGGATTGGCAAAGCCAAAGAGAAAGAAAACACAGGAGGCTCCCAAGACTGACCGCTCACGTGTCTGGAGTGCTTCAGATGAGCCAGGGGCACCTAACAGGAGTGTAAGCCCCACACGCTGCGGGACTCAGTCTCTACTCACAATAACCTTGCGAGAAAACTATTCTCTCCCCATCTCACGCCGGGGAGCATGCAGGCTGTGCTGGGGTTGGGAAGGGGTTCCACCTGGGAGGGAGGAGCCAGAAGACCAAGCAGGCCCTGCCCATTCCAGAGCCATGCAGGCCGCAGCTTATATCTGCGAGACTGTAATGTTGATAACTCAAAGGGAAGAAAACCCAGCAGAGAAGAATGCTGCAGGCTTCGAGGCTGCTTCCGCACGTGGACCAAGCAGCTGCAGTAGATTTCTCCCCTGGGGCCCCACAATGCAAGGAAATGAGCCGGAGCAGGCTCTGGACTCTGATCTGGGATCTGGCCCGGCTGGAATCCCCTAAATTCCAAAAAGGAAGTGACAGTTCTGTGAGATAAGTTCTGTCACCAGCCCAACAACCCCCTGAAAAGAGATACTCATGTCCCCAACATAGATCTTTGTAGTTGTCTACCTGCATTTTATCTCTGCGCATGACATAGGGTGGGAGAGGAGGAAGGACCACAGGACACTGTGTGGCTGGGAGGATGGGCCACGGGGACAGTGTGGCTGGGAGGTTGCACCACAGGACACTGATGATGATGAGCTAGCTTGTGGTTGGAAGCAGCCTCAGCAGGTCCACTAAGGGCATGGTCCCCTCACTCTGCATTTCTGAGATGCAGTAGATGTCACCTGGGCTTGGTGTCTGGGTACCAGGGACGGAAAAGTGGAGAGTGTTGGAGCTCCAAGGTCTTGGGGAACATCCCAGTCTCGTTGTGTCCGGTCCCACCTAGAGCCCTTGAGACTCCTTTCCTTGCATCTCAGCGTCCTCTGCTGTGATGTCATCCCCGGATGAGATGCTCAGAAGGCCCCTTCCAGGTCCACTGTCTGTGCCGCTGTCCCCTCTCCCCTCACAGCCATCTGGAAATGCCCTACGCTGCTGTGTTCTTGGCTCCAGCCGCTTGTGCAGCCTGACGGTGGTTTTAATTTGTCTCCTTCACATGAGTGGGGATTAACAATCACTGCAGTGTGGTTCCCTGCGGAGGAAAGAGCTGACGGAGCCGCCTGAGAAGCTGCTCCGCTGGCCCCCGTCCCAGGCGCAGACGGTGGACAGAGGGGTGGGGCAGTCCCAGCGCCAGGGAAGCCCCTCCTGCCCTCCCACCTGGGTCAACAGTCTCCCCAACCCCAGTTAGCTTTGGAGCCCTTCTCCAGTCCCTTTGGGTCTCACTCAAGTCAATCGGTGGCCACAGCCTGGACTGTGGTCAGTCTGAGATGCTGAAGCCACGCCGTGACCCCAGGGGCTCCCACATCACCAGGAGCAGAGAAGGCAGAGAGTGTGCAGGGCAGAACTCATGCTCCCATCAAAGCAGGGGGCACGGGGACAAGCCCCACGCAGGGCAGCGGAAGGCCTCCAGCTTAGAAGCTGTGGTCCAGCTCTGCCCTGGACCAGCGGGGTAGTGGGACAAGCTCCGCCTCCAAGCCTCAGCCTCCTCGTGTGAAAAACGGGAGCAGTGATGCAGAGTGGGCCTGGGAGCAGGTGGTGCCGAGGGAAGCTGGGAGTGTGGAGCCGGGGGAGACTGAGGCGGGCAGACCAAGCGTCATCAGGCAGCCCAAGTCCAGCCACCGCACTCCTGGACTGGGGAGGGAGAGGCTGCGCAAGTTCCCAGTTCTCCATTGGCACAGAGAGAGGATGGAGCGGGGCTGGCGGCCCGCGGGTTTAACCGGCCTCAGAAAAGAGAGAGGATGGAGTGGGGCTGGCGGCCCGCGGGTTTAACCGGCGTCAGAGCCCTGCAGTTGTGCACAAAACCACATGCATTGCTTTTTCGGTATCTGAGGCTACATCCGCACCCCAGACCTCTGGAAGCAGAATTTCCCAGGGGTGTGACTGGGCGTTTGTCACCTTGGGGCAGGTGGGGCTCTGACTGTGGTGGGAGAAGCATCCATGGGTTTCAGGTTTCTGTAAGCATGGTCCCAGGAGGCTTTCAGCAAAGCGGATGGAGCCACCCTCGGGGCGGTCCCCATGTGCCAGTCCCCCATGCAGACCACCACTGTCTCTCTCCATTTCTAATCCCCAAATCCACTCCCAGGAGCTGCTAGAGACTGGCTCTGTCACCCCCTGGGACTCTCACACACTGCTGGCGTGAGCATAAAAGCAGTTCAACCACTTTGGAAAAGCGTTTGAAAATATCTACTAAAGTTGAACATATGCCTAGCCCATGACCCAGCAATTCCACTCGGGTGTTTTTTCCACAAGAGAAGTGAGCACATACGTTCACAAAAAGACGGACGCAAGTATGTTCATAGCAGTTTTATTTAAAATAGACAAGAAAGGAAACTCAATGCCTATCGATGGAAAAATAAAGTGTGATACACCCATATAATGGAACATTATGCAGAAATACAAAAGAACGCTCGACGGTTGCATGCAAAAAACTGGATGGATCTCCCAGATGCCGTGACAAGCAAAAGAAGGCAGCTCAGGCCGGGCGCGGTGGCTCACACCTGTAATCCCAGCACTTTGGGAGGCTGAGGCAGGTGGATCACCTGAGGTCAGGAGTTTGCGACCAGCCTGGCCAAGATGGTGAAACCCCGTCTCTACTAAAAATACAAAAAATTAGCCGGGCATGGTGGCGGGCACCTGTAATCCCAGCTACTCAGGAGGCTGAGGCAGGAGAATGGCGTGAACCCGGGAGGCGGAGGTTGCAATGAGCCAAGATTGCACCATTGCACTCCAGCCTGGGCAAAAAAGAGCAAAACTCTGTCTCAAAAAAAAAAAAAAAAAAGGCAGTCCAGAAGAGAGCAGACGGCATGATTCCATTTGCAGAAAGTACAAAACAAGCCAAAGCAATCAATGGTGGCAGTGGTCAGAATAGCGGCTGCCTTTTGTGGGGAGGGTGGTTGAGGGGGAAAGAGGAGGAGCAGTCTTTCTAGGTGCTGGAAATGTTCTACATTGTGAGCTGATGACAATTGATGGGTGAACACATACGTGAAAAGTCATGGACGTGTCAATTTAAGAGTGAGGCAGTTTACACACTTTACAGTGTGTATGCTATACCTCAATTCTAAAAACTGTGGGGACTCCTCGTTGCCAACAGGCTCAAGTGCAAAGTGCTGGAGGCTCATGGCACCTGGCCCTCCACAGTCCAGCCTTGCTCCAGTTTTTCTCTCTTCCAGTCTTCTCTCTCTTTCTCTCTTTCTCTCTCTCTCTCTCTCTCTCTCTCTCTCTCACACACACACACACACACCCCGTACTAGCCATCTTCATAACCATGATCTGACTTTCTTCTCACAGCCACTCTGGGGGGTAGATATCATCATGACCATTTGACAAATGGAGAAACAGAGCCTCAGAGTGATGTGGATGGTGACGAAGCTCCAGGGGGGCCCAGTTCTTCCGCTCAGCACACAGCCACTGAGGACATGTGGACACCAGTCCTGCAAACAACGGAGTGGGCCAGCCTTGCCTCTGACAGCTTCCAGTCTGGAGGAAGGCAAATCACCAAATGGAAAATGTTCACATGTGGGAACAGCACGGGCCCAGGAACGGTCCCTGTTCTGCCACTGGGCAAATTACTTAAACACTCCAAGTCTCCATGTATTTGTCTGTAAGATGGTGATACGACCTCCCTGCTTCTGGCCTGTGGTGGATACCAGACAACTGACAGCAGCATTACTGCCCATTGTTCTGATAATGAAATAGCTTCTGATCCATCCAGCTGTCCAAGGTTAAGATCAAATGCCACCATCTCATGGAGACATCCTCAGCTTTGCCGCCTCTGTAGACCCAAACCATCACCATCATCATCATCACCATCATCATCATCATCATCATCACCATCCTCATCACCATCACCATCATCATCACCATCATCACCATCATCATCATCATTATCATCACCATCATCATCATCACCATCATCATCATCACCATCATCACCATCATCATCACCGTCATCACCATCATCACCATCATCATCATCATCATCATCATCATCATCATCATCACCATCATCATCATCACCATCATCATCATCATCATAACAATAATGAAATAATACTAGCTATAGCATCTTAAGAATTTACCTTGTGCCAAGGACTATGCCAAGTGCTTTACATACATTTGCTTATTCAATTCCCAGAACAATTCTGGAAGCGACTGTTATCGTCTCTACTTTTTTTTTGAGACTGGTTCTTGCTCTGTAGCCCAAGCTGAGTGCAGTGTCGCAAACACAGCTCACTGCAGCCTCGACCTCCTGAGCTCAAGTGATCCATCCACCTCAGCCTCCCAAGTAGCTAGGATTACAGGCATGCGCCACCATACCTGGTAATTTTTTTAATTTTTAATTTTTATTTATTTATTTATTTTTGAGACAGAGTTTTGCTCTTGTTGCCCAGGGTCCAGTGCAATGGCACAATCTCGGCTTACTGCAACCTCCACCTCCCGGGTTCAAGTGATTCTCCTGGCTCAGCCTCCTGAGTAGCTGGAATTACAGGTGCCCGCCACCATGCCCAGCTAATTTTTTGTATTTTTGATAGAGACAGGGTTTCACCATATTGGGCAGGCTGGTCTTGAACTCCTGACCTCAGGTAATCCACTTGCCTCAGCCTCCCAACGTGCTGGGATTACAGGCACGAACCACCACTCCTGGCCATTAAAAAAAATTTTTTTTTTGTACAGACAGGGTCTCACTATGTTGCCCAGGCTAGTCTTGAACTCCTGGACTCAAGCGATCCTTCTGCCTCAGCCTCCCAAATTGCTGGGATTATAGGCATGAGCCACCATGCCCTGCCCCATCTCTACTTTTTTTTTGAGACGGAGTCTTGCTCTGTCGCCCAGGCTGGAGTGCAGTGGCGCGATTTTAGCTCGCTGCAAGCTCCGCCTCCCGGGTTCACGCCATTCTCCTGCCTCAGGCTCCTGAGTAGCTGGGACTACAGGCACCTACCACCATGCCCGGCTAATTTTTTGTATTTTTAGTAGTGACGGGGTTTCACCGTGTTAGCCAGGATGGTCTCGATCTCCTGACCTCGTGATCCACCTGCCTCGGCCTCCCAAAGTGCTGGGATTACAGGCGTGAGCCACCGCGCCCGGCCCCATCTCTACTTTTTAATCTGAGGCTTACAGAGGTTAAATGGCCGGACCAAGGTCACACCTCTTATGATAGATGAAGTGGAGACTCAGCCAGGTCTGTGAGCTCATGTGCTTGGAATCTTAACCGCTGGGCGACAGTGCCACCTGTCCTTCCTTGAGTATGGAACAGTCTCTCATAAGGCAGGTTATTTAATTGTATTGACTAACATTTAGATGACATTTTACTACTTACAGGGCACACTCCTCATTCCACAGATGAGAAAATTGAGGTCCACTGCTTTTTCTTTCAACAAATAATCATAGAACGGCCACAACTGGCAGTGGTGCATCCGGGCACAGCACTGGCAGGGCCTGCTCTCGTGGAGCTATTAGTTTAACAGAGAGCGAGGGGGTGGGTGAGGATGCCAACAACACACCTCAGTGGGAAATGGAGCCAAGAAGAAACTCAAATAGGTGTCAGGGAGAGCAAGGGCCAGGAAGCTTTGGCTTGGGGGCCAGGGAAGGCCTCTCTGAGGAGCAGCGTTGAAAGGCACCATCTGGGGGAAGGGCATGCTGGGAAGGGGGCACAGCAGGTGCAGAGGCCAAGGGAGGGGGCAGCTCAGCGTGTTTGAGGGACAGATAGATACACCTTGAGAACAGTGGTGTAGAGTGAGCTCGGGGAACCAGCAGCAGGGACGGATGGAGTCTGCGCAGGTTTTATCCTAAGTTAGAGGGAAGTCACGGGAGGGTGTTAAGCAGGAGGGTGACATGATTTCGTTCATGCCTCAAAGAGGGCCCCAGGAGGGCAGAGCCTGGGAGAGGAGTCAGGTGTGGGGGCCCGGGTGAGAGATGAAGGTAGTTTGGACAGAGACAGAGGCAGAGTTTAGGGAGAAGCGAAGGGAGTCAGGGATCCGGGTGGACTCAATGGATTAGATTCCAGGGATGAGGGGGCGGGGCGCAGTGGCTCACGCCTGTGATCCCAGCACTTTTGGAGGCCGACGCAGGCGGATCGCCTGAGCTCAGGAGTTCCAGACCAGCCTGAGCAACATGGTGAAACCCCGTCTTTACTAAAAATACAAAAATTAGCTGAGTATGGTCTCAACTACTTGGGAGGCTGAGAAAGGACAATCACTTGAGCCCAGGAGGCAGAGGTTGCAGTGAGTCGAGGTTGCACCAGTACACTGCACTCCAGCATGTGCAATGGTGAGACCCTGTCTCAAAAAATAAATAAATAAAAATCCTAGGGATGAGGGAAAGACAGTCCCCAAGGTCTTGTGCTTCTGCATGAGTGGCAGCACCATTTCAGATGACGGAAAGCAGGGACAGGGTGAGACTGAGAGCAAAGGAGACCAAGAGGAAACAGCGGGAGGGAAGCGGAAGGCGCTGAGCCACATCATCAGGGAGCCAGGAAGGCAAACCCGGTCCTGGCCCCTGCAGCCTGCTATGCTGTGCTGCCGCCTCGTGGTCAGTCCTCAGCTTCAGTGCTCCCCATCACCGCCTCCAAGAAGCCTTCCCAGGTTGCACCAGCTGGACCGCCTGGGTGGTGCTCACCCATCACAGACCTAGTTTCACTCTCCTTACAGCAGGATCAATGTCTGTGTTAACTGCTTCATCCAACCATTTATTTTCTCCCCCCACATAGAATGTTGGCCTCTTGAAGGCATGTCCTGTTCTGAGAGCTTAGTCTCTCCCTGGCCTCAAATAGGACCTGTCACATTATAGATGCCCAATACTATTAACCCTTCCGCTGACTTGACAATGCATTCCAAGCAAATAGATGGATCTCTGTCCAGTGCCCCCAGTGTGGGACAAAATTGCATTCCATTGGAGGTTAAAGAACCTGTCTTTGGGCCAGGCACAGTGGCTCATGCCTGTAATCCCAGCACTTCGGGAGACCAAGGCAGGTGGATCACAAGGTCAGGAGATCAAGACCATCCCGGCCAACATAGAGAAACCCCGTCTCTACTAAAAATTAGCCGGGCGTGGTGGTGCACACCTGTAGTCCCAGCTACTTGGGAGGCTGAGGCAGGAGAATTGCTTGAACCCAGGAGGCAGAGGCTGCAGTGAGCCGAGATCGCGCCACTGCACTCCAGCCTGGGCAACAGAGCGAGACTCTGTCTAAAAAAGAAAAAAAAGAACTTGTCTTTGGGGTCTGACAAGAGTTCCATTCCAGGCTGTCTGTATTTCAGCTGTGTGGCTTTGGACAAGTCTCACGACTTCTCTGAGCCTCAGACCAAACACTAATGCCCATCTCAGGAGGTAGTGTAGGAGTAAATACTGTTCACACAGAGCTCAGCCCTGCCTGGCGTGAGACCAGACCTCACACGGTAGAAGCACGAAAGTCAACAGCAATACCCAAAGCAATGCTCTTCAAAACTTTGACAGTGATGCCTCGCTCTTTATTCTCCATGACTGTCACATAGAGAATTTAGAATTATTAGTCACATTGGCACCAAGCTCCCTTTCCAACCCACTGGCTCAATAAAAAGGAGCAGTGGCATAGACAGCTGTGCATGGTGTCAGCTTAAAACAGAGCCACATGCTCAGCTCTGGGTGGCTTAAGCTGTTCCCTCCTGCCCCCCTGCACAGGCAGCAGTGACTCAGTCATGACTGCAAAAACTTCTTCCCAGAAACCATGATGATCTTTTGTTTTACGAATTGACTCACTGTATTTGCCTCTATAATTCTTAACAGTAGCTTTGGAAAGAATCAGACAGGAGAGAAAGTGACAGCTCTTCTCAGATCCCTCAGTGGGGTGTTTGGCAGAAATGTCCCATTTCTTCACCCTTCCCTGCACCCTTTGCAATGAAACATTGCTGTCCTCCCTTTGAGAGGTACAATCCATTTGCCGCACTGCCCTGGGTAGGCCACATGACTTGTTTTAGCCAACAGAGTGTTGAAGAAGTAACCATGTGTCTGTTCCAAGCCTGCCAGAACCCTGCCACCTCCATGGAACAAGCCTGGCTAACCATGAGATGGACATCACTATTCACTCTGAGGCTCAGAGAGGTTATGGGAGTTGTCCAAAGTCACACAGCTGGGGAATGAGAGACCCCATGGAGCAGGGCCAAATCAGCCCAGTTGTCCCAGTCTAGGCTCCAGAGGCATGAAAGAGACCAGACAAGTTAGGCAAAGCCACCTGCTCAACCTGCAGCTGACCACAGACTGATGAGAGAACCCAGGCATAAATGGAAGAACCACCCGGCTGAGCCGTAGACTCACAAGAAAAGAACAGCTGTTTAGAGCTGCTGAGTTGTAGGGTTGTTTGTGAGCCATCGGTAACTTGGACATTCAGTTCCCTGAGGACAGTCTAAGGCCTTGGGTCCTTCCACCCTAAGTGCAGGCAGGCGCGGCCAGGGCTGGGGCAGGACAGGCAGAAGGGTGGATGTTGTAGGGCCACCTGGGCCCTGCAGATGAGCATAGAGTTGGTTTTTCTCATAGATAATGAGAATTTGCAGTTAAGAAAAGTTCCTTCTGGAACATGGATTGGGGGGAATAGTGGGGTTGTGATTAGGAGACCAGCTGTTGAACTCGTCTAGGGAAGAGACGATGGAGACTTTGCACCAAGGCAATCACAATGGAAGGGATGGATGGGAGAGGTGAGGATACGGAGTTCTCACAGAGCTGAGGACAGACTGGCTGGGAGCAGGTAAGGGAGGGTGTGGTGGGCTTTGGGCCAGGGTACCTAGCTGGCTGACGAAGCAGTTCACCAAGACAAAAAGCCTGGAAAAGAACCGCCTTCAGGGCAGGATGACAAGCCCCATACTAGTTGACTTGAGTGGAATCCACAGCATCTCTCAGGCTCTAGGAGCACAGGGGCTCCATCTGTTTGCTGCACTGTTATGCATCTTCTCCCCACCTAGAGCAGAGTCTGTCTCTAAGGAGGTGCTGTTTATTTGACTGAGACAGATTAATTGGTACTTAAAAGCACTTACTGTGTGTTAGGCCTGTTCTAGCACTCTATATGTATCCATTCATTTTGACCCTCAAATAAACTCCATGAGGATGGTACTATTCCTATTCCTGTTTTACAAACCAAGAGACTGAGGCACAAAGAGGTAAGGTAAATAGCCCAATGTTCCAAATCTAGGAAGAGGCAGAGCCAGGATTCGATTGTCAGCCCCAGAGCAGGGTGTATTAGTCTGTTCTCACACTGCTATAAAGAATACCTGTGACTGGGTAATTTATAAAGAAAAGAGGTTTAATTGACTCACTGTTCTGCATGGCTGGGAGGCCTCAGGAAACTTACACTCATGGTAGAAGGCAAAGGGGAAGCAGGTACCTCCTTCACAAGGCAGCAGGAGAGAAAGGGGGGGGTGAAAGAAGCCACACACACTTTTTTTTTTTTTTAGACGGTGTTTCACTCTTGTTGCCCAGGCTGGAGTGCAATGGCGCCATCTCAGCTCACTGCAACCCCCGCCTCCCAGGTTCAAGCGATTCTCCTGCCTCCACCTCCTGAGTAGCTGGGATTACAGGCACATGCCACCATGCCCCGCTAATTTTGTATTTTTAGTAGAGATAGGGGTTTCTCCATGGTGGTGAGGCTGGTCTTGAACTCCCGACCTCAGGTGATCCACCCGCCTCGGCCTCCCAAAGTGCTGGGACCACAAGCATGAGCCACCTTGCCCGGCCAAGCCACACACTTTTAAACCATCAGCTCTTGTGAGAACTCACTCATTATCATGAGAACAGCATGGGGGAAACTGCCCCCATGATCCAATCACCTCCCCCCAGGTCCCTCCCTCGACACTTGGGGATTAAAATTTGAGGTGAGATTTGGGTGGGTACACGGAGCCAAACCATATCACAGGCTTCTCAGCTTCACCACTACTGACACCCGAGGGTGGATCCGTCCCTCCCTGTGGTGGGGCCTGCCCTGTGCTCTGTAGGGTGTGAGCAGCATCCGTGGCCTCCACCTACTACCTGCCAGGAGGACCCCCTGCCCAGTGTGACAACCAAAAATGTCTCTAGACACTGCCAATGTCTCCTAGAGCAGAATGGGTCTGGGCTCGTGAATCCTTGCTACGAAACCCAGTCTCTGTTTTTCTTTCTTTGTCTAACCCCACATCTGTGGGGCATGTAAACTAAAAATAAAATCCTAAGTGCTCCACCAACTGAGTGGACCTCCTGTGGCCAAGGGGACTCCAGAGAAATCTTATGAGTTCCTGGCCATGACAGGACAGGTCAGACACGGCTCATCAGATTTTCTCCTTTTTATGGTTTAAAGCACATAGTAAGTGCTTTTAAGTACCAATTAATATGTCTCAGTCAGGCTGGGCACGTGGCTCACGCTTGCAATCCCAGCACTCTGGGAGGCTGACGTGGGTGGATCATGAGGTCAGGAGTTTGAGACCAGCCTGTCCAACATGGTGAAACCCCGTCTCTACTAAAAATTCAAAAATTAGCTGGGCGTGGTGGCACATACCTATAGTCCCAGCTACTCGGGAGGCTGAGGCAGGAGAATCGCTTGAACCTGGGAGGCGGGGGTTGCAGTGAGCTGAGATCATGCCACTGCACTCCAGGTTGGTGACAGAGCAAGACTCTGTCTCAAAAAAATAAAAATAAAATAAAATAGTATGTCCCAGTCAAACAAACAGCACAAACAACAACTGGCCAGCATTAATGCTAGAATAGACATCATAAGAGAGACAGAACAGACTCTTTGTGACAAAAAGATACCAAATTGTAAACAGGACCTATGGTCACAAGGGTTGAATGCTGCGCCCCTACACTTAAAAAACAGACGAGGAGCCAGGTGCAGTGGCTCACGCCTGTAATCCCAGCCCTTTGGGAGGCCGAAGTGGATGGATCATGAGGTCAAGAGTTCAAGACCAGCCTGGCCAACATAGTGAAACCCTGTCTCTACTAAAAATATAAAAACTAGCTGGGTGTGGTGGCACATGCCTGTAGTCCTAGCTACTTGGGAGGCTGAGACAGGAGAATTGCTTGAACCCGGGAGGTGGACGTTGCAGTGAGCTGAGACCATGCCATTGCACTCCAGCCTAGGCGACAGAGTGAGGCTCCATCTCGAAAAAAAAAAAAATTAAAAAACAAAAAACAAAACAAACAAACAAACAAAAAAATGAGGTTCTACCTGCCACAAGGTTTTTCCTTGTTCTCCAGCAGCTAAATAAGCCCTGGCCTCAAGATGAGCAAGATTCAAACACTTGCAACTCATCTAGCTCCCAGATGCTAACTAATGACCTCCTGTTCCACCAGCCCTAATTCCAGCTTTGACTGGACAAGACACTGGTTTCTGTAACTTTCTCCTGATAAGAAGGCCACCCACCATGGACTGGCACCGGCGGGTTTACAGAGTGCACTTTCAGGCCTTCCTGTCCTGAAAGGATCTTTTGGGCCTGATTGTAATACATTTAAATGTGGAGTCTCCATCCCAAAGTGAACATGGGTCACCTGTGACGTGCATGATTATTCAGTACGCATGAGTCAGGACACCTTCATGAATATTCATAGCTCCTCCTGTAACCTGTTGAATATGTATGATTAGCCAGCCTGGTCAGGCCCAACCCCTCCTCCTTCAAAGAGCCTGTCTCTGGTCTTGGCCGGAGGTATACTTCCCACCTTGCTCCATGGCCACCTTGCAGGGTGGAACCCTTTAGAAGAAATAAAGTCTCTTCTCTTTTTCTTTTTTTTTTTTAATTGAGGAGGAGTCTGTCTCTGTCACCCAGGCTGGAGTGCAGTGGTGCAATCTCAGTTCACTGCAACTTCTACCTCCCGGGTTCAAGCCACTCTCCTGCCTCAGCCTCCCAAGTAGCTGGGACTACAGGCATGTGCCACCACGCCTGGCTAACTTTTTGTATTTTTAGTAGATACAGGGTTTCACCGTGTTAGCCAGGATGGTCTCGATCTCCTGACCTTGTGATCCACCCACCTAGGCCTCCCAAAGTGCTAGGATTACAGGCGTGGGCCACCACGCCCGGCCAGTCTTCTCTCTTTTTCTAAATGTGTATATAGTGATTTATTTTTAAGTGAACAGGGAGAAGAAGGATGCACTGATGAAGCTCTTTGCCTTAAGCGGATTTGGAATTGAGAAAGGTCACTCTAGTAGATGGGGTGGAAGAGAGGTCTGAGAAGCCAGCCAAATATACAATTTAGAAAACAGGTTTTGACACATATAGCGTTACCCAGGGCCACAACTTCTTGAGTAAGAAACCTGATGAGGATTACAGATGTTTTGGAGATTGAAGGCAGCTTTCCCAGGGCATAGCAACAACCTCTGAAGATCTCTTTCTTGGAAACATTGGCCAGGATGGTTTATGATGCAGAATAACACCTGCTTTGCTGCAGCTGCAGGAGAGGAGGGCCCCCTTTCTCCATAGCTGGCTGAGGTTTCTGTCTCTAGCAGTCAGGTTCAAAGCCAAGTACTGGAGTTCTCCTAGCATGAGAGGGAATGAGACAAGGCTGAGAGGCTCCAAACGTGTCATAAGGAGAGGAGACCAGGGGCAGAAGGTTGTCGATCAATGGAATGTTGTGTATGCCATGTTTTGCATTGGCAGTGATCAATAAATATTGGATGAATGAACAAGACAGGGATTCAGGGACAGTTCACCAGGGTCTGAGCAAGACCTGCAGCACAGCCAGCTCACCCTGTCTAGCCCTCAAAGCACCCATGAGGCTCATTCCACAGGGACAGCTGCACCTGAGCTTGAGCTGGGGACAGACTTTAAGGGGTTGGTGAGTGGCCCAGTCACAAAGGGAGGAAGGTTTTATCCAAAGGCCATTCATTTCTATACTCCCTCTTTCCACCTAGTAAGTTTGTTTCTAAATATCTTTGTCACCTTCTGTCACTGTCATATTGCAGGACTCAGCATGTATGGGAAAAGATGTAAAATATCTCATTAATAATTTCTGTGTGGACTAGGTGCAGTGACTCACGACTCTAATCCTAGAGCTTTAGGAGACAGAGGCAGGAGGATTGCTGGAGGCCGATTTCAAGACCAGCCTGGACAACATAGCAAGAGCCCGTCCCTATAAAAAATTTAAAAATTAGCTGGGCATGGTGGTGCACATCTGTGGTCCCAGCTACTCAAGAGGCTGAGGCAGGAGGATCTCTTGAGCCCAGGAGGTTGAGGCTGCAGTAAGCCATAATCATGTCACTGCACTCCAGCCTGGGTGACAGAGCAAGACCTTGTGTCTAAAAAATAACAACAATAATACAAATTTGTATGTGGATTGCATGTTGAATGGATAATATTTCAGATATATTGAACTAAGATGAAGATTAAAGTTAATTTCACTTTGGCTAGGCACAACGGCTTACTCCTATAATCCCAGCAATTTGGGAGGCCAAGGCAGGAGGATCACTTGAGCCCAGGACTCCGAGACCAGCCTGGGCCACACAGCAAACCCCATCTCTACAAAAAATACAAACATTAGCTGGGTGTGCTGGCGTGCACCTATAGTCACAGCTACTTGGGAGGCTGAGGTGGGAGGATTACTTGAGCCCAGGAGGCCGAGGCTGCAGTGAGCTATGAATGAGCCACTGCATTCCATCCTCGGTGACAGAGCAAGACTGTCTCAAAATTAAAATAAAATTAAATTAACTTCATTTGATTTTTTCTCTCTTTAATGGGGCTTCTGGAGAATTTTAAATGGCCAATGTGGCTCACTTCTCTGGACAGTGCTGGTCTAGAGTTGCTTGCAGCTGTACAAATCGTTCTTTTTTTTTTTTTTTTTTTTTTTTTGAGATGGAGTCTCACTCTGTCACACAGGCTGGAGTGCAATGGCATGATCTTGGCTCACTGCAACCTCCGCCTCTCGGGTTCAAACTATTCTCCTGCCTCAGCCTCCCAAGTAGCTGGGACTACAGTCATGTGCCACCATGCCTGGCTAATCTTTTGTATTTTTAGTAGAGATGGGGTTTCACCATGTTGGCCAGCCAGGCTGGTCTCGAACTCCCAACCTCAAGTGATCCACCCTCCTCGGCCTCCCAAACTGCTGGGATTACAGGAGTGAGACACCGCACCCAGCCCTTATCTGCTTTTTGACTGAAGTTTATTTACAGGAGACAAACACCATTCCCTCCACAATTAAGGCTAAAGGCCAACCCTAGCAAGCAGAGAGAACTAATTAAAAAGTCTGAGAGTTGGAATTGTGTTTGTATTTCTCCCGTCAACTCGAATAATCGGTTTGCATTCTCCTCTCCCAGATTCCTGAGAAGCCACGGCTGCCGATGACTCCGACGAGTGTTTGCATTTCCAGAGCCTGTGAAGTTCTGTGCCTGCAGCTACGGACTTGGCCTGTTGGCGTTTTCATAGTCTTGCCCTTGCAAACAAGGCAATCAGTCTACTAAGTTAACAAAAGCTTACCATTCACAGTAAAAGCAAAAGAAATGAAAAAAAAAAATGTAAGGAGCCCTCCGGTAAGTGATTTTCCTATTGCTTCTGTCTACTGAGATAGTGATTTCTTTGGTTCTCGTGACCAACCACACACACACACACACACACACACACACCCCTCTATAGAAGAAATGTGTGAAACTCATGCTTCCAGTAACAATCTATACATTGATTTTTTTTTCCTCTGCATCAAAATATGTCACCCTTCAAAGCTTGGGCCCCAACCAATAGAAACTAAAATCCAGTTCCAGAGAAATCTATGGCTGCTAATTAAACTCTTACTCAAAGCAAAACATAAAGGATTTACCTCTTGATTCTTCTAGTTAGTGCTGATGGATTATTTCCTTTACACGTGTTTTAAAATCGCAGCTTACCGGCTGCAGGTGGTTTCTGTGGACCCTGAACCACCTGGTTCCCTCAAGTGTGCACCTGCACGCGGCACCGTCCCACACAGAGGGTGGACCTGCAGAGCTCAGGCAGGGAGGTGGGCGTCTACGCGGATTCACTCGACACGCTGATGGGACACGCTCACGGCGTGCGGAGGCCAGGAGGGAAAGGGTCAGGGCCAGGCACAAAGTCTGAGTCGGGGAGGGGCAAGTTCGTGGCAAGAAAGCCCCACCCAGAGACAGGTCGAGAGAGCAGGTGCCCTGTAAAGTGGGGCGCTCCGGGTTCTTGTCCTGCCTCTGCCGCTCGCTCGCTGACGACCTGGGAGAAGTCGCTAAGCTCTGGAACTCCTCTGCTTCTCAGCAGCAAGACAACTGGCCTCGGGGGCCCTGCGGATCCCTCCAGCTCCGGGGCTGCTTCCTTACTTTCTTGTTTCTCCTTCAGTCAACAGATAAATGCCTGCCACGGACCAGGCACTGGGATCGGTGTCACTCAGATCACAGGACACTCAGATGTTGATAACGCGTAGGTAACACAGTGTAGAAGGAAAGGTCTGTAGCAGACAACGCAACACAGCGAGAGCCACAGCAAGCGGGGCACGAGCCGGGTGAAGGCAGATGGAAAACATCCCTGGGAGAGGGGAACCGGCGGCTTCCTCCAGGTGGTCATCGTGGATCCTCAAAGCTTAGCACAGTGTCTGGGCACAGAGCAGGGCCTCATAAATGTGTTCAATTTACATAGGCCCAGAAGAGGCGGGCGCGGTGGCTTATGCCTGTAATCCCAGCACTTAGGGAGGCCGAGGCGGGCGGATCACCTGTGGTTGGGAGGTCGAGACCAGCCTGGCCAACATGGTGAAACCCCATCTCTACTAAAAATACAAAAAAAAATTAGCTGGGCGCGGTGGCGGGCACCTGTAAGAAAGGCGCTCGGGAAGCTGAGGCAAGAGAATCACTTGAATCCGGGAGGCAAATGTTGCAGTGAGCCGAGATTGCACCGCTGCACTCCAGCCTGGGCAACAAGAGTGAAACTCCATCTCAATAAATAAATAAATATGGCTTTAAGGTATACTTGATATACAAAACACGGCATATATTTAATATATACAATTTGATGAGTTTGGTGTCAGCACAGTTTTTACAAAGCAAGAACATACTCACAGCGGATGGGTGTGCGGCTGGGCCTGATACATGGGAAGGTGGAGTGGGGAGAAGGGTCTTTCTAGAAGCAGAGGGGCAGCAGAATCTCTGGAGGGCTCCTCGCTCTATGAGGAGAAGGGTCTTTCTAGAAGCAGAGGGGCAGCAGAATCTCTGGAGGGCTCCTCGCTCTATGAGGAGAAGGGGTTGTTCTCTTATAGGCTGGAAAGCAGTTCTCAAGCCTGGGGAGACGGGTGGGTTTTAGGACAGAGGGCCTGGCTTCCCCCCATGTGAGGTATTGATGTGGACTGAATTGTGTCCCCTTAAAATCCATGTTCAAGCCCTAACCCTCAGGGTGACTGTATTTGGAGATAGGGCCTCTAAGGAAGACATTAAGGTTAAATTAGGTTATAAGGGTGGGGCCCTGACACAGCAGGGTTAGTGTCCTTGTGCTGTAGGGCAAAACGGGGTTGCTGCCCGATGTGCTAGAAGCCAATCTTATGATGCTGAGTTTTTGAGAAAATAAAACCTTTGTATTGAAACTCAGCTCCCAAGGAGACAGGAGACAAGCTCAAGTCTGTCTCCCGGTGCTGGAATACTTCAAGGCAGTGTTTTTTATTTATTTACTTTTTTTTGTTTTTTTTTTTTTGAGACAGAGTTTCACTCTTGTTGCTCAGGCTGGAGTACAGTGGCACGATCTCGGCTCACTGCAACCTCCGCCTCCCAGGTTCAAGCGATTCTCCTCCCTCAGCCTCGAGACTAGCTGGGATTACAGGCACCCGCCACCATACCTGGCTAATTTTTGTATTTTTAGTAGAGACAGGGTTTCACCATGTTGGCCAGGCTAGTCTCGGACTCCTCAAGTGATCTGCCCACTACGGCCTCCCAAAATGCTGGTATTACAGGCCTGGACCACTGTGCCTGGCCTCAAGGCAGTATTTTTATTAGGAAAGGTCCAAGGGGTGGATTCTGGGATCTGTAGGTGATTGGCGGAAGAAAGTGGAGGTCTGGAAAGTCCTTAGGCATGTGCAGTCACCTCTTCATGCTACCTCGTGTGTCACATGTGCAAATTCAGGGGGCGATTCAGGCTGCGACGTTGGCAGGCGGGTTCTGCACGGACTCCAGCCGGTCCCCGGGGCTGCGACTGACTTCAGCCCATTCTTTCATCTCATGGGCAGAGGAAGCTTCAGTATTCCAGCCAGCTGTTTCCTTTCTCATCTGCCACCCTGCAAACTCAAGAATTTCTGCTGGCCGTCTGTATCTTTGACTCTTGGGGGCACGGTTTTACTTACAAGAGAAAGACACCATGGAGCCCGCACCCTCTCTCTCTGCCGTGTGAGGACGCAGTGAGAAGGCGGTGTCTGCAGACCAGCAAGGGAGGCCTCCCAGAGCCCTGCCATGCCACACCCTGAGCTTGTGAGAAATGAGTGTGTGTGGTTTCAGCCACGCAGTCCATGCTGCTTTGTTAGGGCAGCCGGAGGTGACCAACGTGGCTGTCAACCTTTGCTTCCCCAACCACCTCCACTGGTTCCTACCCCTCTCCTCCTTGGCCCACTCCCCTCCAGCTCCCAGCCAGGCCACCCCCCTGAGGCTGCAGAGGCCAAGATCACCAAGAACCTCCCATGGCCAGAGCCCCTGGGATATCCCTTGACTGGAAATAGCATCATACATGCCACACTCAGAGGACTCTCCAGCCTGACTCTGACGACCCCACTCTGACGCCGCACACCCCCAACTCCCCAGCTAAATCCCTCTCCAGCCTCCCAAGTTCCATGAATGACAGCTCCACCCTCCCGCTGCTCAGGCTACAAACCTGAGTCACCCTCGACTCCCCTCTCACTCTCAATCCAATCCATCAGCAATTCCGGTGCCCCCAGTGCTCCCACCCCACCACCATGAGGGATGCCCTCCCCTCGCCTGCCCACTGGATGGCTACAGTCTCCTCCTGCTGGACCTTCTGCTTCTACCGTTGCCCCCTCCTCTCTGCACAAAGGGTGGCCCTTTTAGAGCCCAGGTCAGGGCATGTTTCCCTCTGCTCCAACCCTGACACTTCCCAGGGGCACTCAGGGACCGCCAAGCCCTCCCGCGGCCACAGCGCCACGCAGGCCCCAACTCTGACCTCTCTAACCAGCGCTCCCACTTTCCTCCTCCTCCTCCTGCTCTTCCTCCTCCTCCTCACCAGACATGTGCAGTCACTGAGCCCCTCGCCCCTTCCATTCGCCACTACTGCCCCAGCAACCCTTCCCCAGATGACCGAGATGACCACGGTGACCTCCCCACAGATCTCCTTCCTCCCTCTTCCCCCCCCTCCTCATGGCTCCAATCCAACATCCACTGGAACCATGAGCTTCTGGCAATGCCACGTCACCCTGGCTAGCCCCTGTCTTAAACCCTTCAGGGTTCTTCAGAACTCTCAGGACAGAGCTCAGACTTCTGGGTTCTCAGTATATGGTTTTGGGTCTCCTGTCCCACAGCTTCTCCTCTGGAACATAAGCTTTGCAGGGGCAGGGAACGCACCCACCTTGCTCTCTGTCCAGAACCCGGTGCAGGGTCAGCGGTCTGAAAGGCGTGTGAGTGGATAAACTCAGTCCTTTCTGCCCCAGCCTCTCATCTGACTCACCATTCCCTCTGTCTGGTGAGAAAACTCCCCACCCTTCTTCGCTTTGCTAACTCCTTGTTGGCCTTCAAAACTCAGCTCTAGGGACACTTTCTTTTTTTTCTTCTTTTTTTTTTTTTCTTTTGAGACGGAGTCTCTCTGTTGTCGCCCGGGCTGGAGTGCAATGGCACAATCTCAGCTCACTGCAACTTCCGCCTCCCGGGTTCAAGCGATTCTCCTGCCTCAGCCTCCCAAGTAGCTGGGATTATAGGTGTCTGCCGCCACGCCTGGCTAATTTTTTGGTATTTTTAGTAGAGACGGGGTTTCAACATGTTGGTCAGGCTCGTCTTGAACTCCTGACCTCAGGTGATCCGCCCACCTTGGCCTCCCAAAGTGCTGGGATTACAGGCATGAGCCACCGTGCCCGGCCTCTAGGGACGCTTTCTTCTAGAAGCTTCCCTTAATGAAATGACCTGTGTAACCTAACGTGTTGAGCATCTCATGAGAGTCAGGCAGTGTGCTGAGGTGTTGGGTGCTGTTTCAAATAACTCAGAGCCTGGATCTACCCAGGCCCTCTAATTCGAATGAGTTCCCCTGATTTGGAAGTTCAGGATGTGGATCCTCAGGCAGGTGTCTTGACAAAAACTCTCCAGGTGATTTTGCTGCACCCCTGCCGCCTGTGTCCCGAGAAGAGCCAATCTAGGAGTTGGAAGACCCACTGCCCTCTGAGCGCTGGCTGTGCCAGGCACATGTGAGATGCAGTGCTCAGCTCGCCTCTGACCCGCACACCCCATGCGGTGATAGGTGCCATTATTATTCCCATTTTATAAGATGAAAAAACTGGAGCTTAAAGGAGTTACTTGCTCCATGTCACGCAGCTGGGAAGGCACAGAGCCTTGTGCAGCAAGAAGGGATCTCAGGGCCCATTGAACCCAGGGATTCCCCACCACGCTGTATGAGAATCACCTGGGGAGCTTTGAAAGCACTCCACCTGGAGCTTCTGATTCAGCCCACACTGATATTCTTTCCCCCCCGGGGAGTCTCATGCTCTGGCAGAAATGAGAGTCGTTGACTCATCCAACACAGTGGTTTTACAAGTAGGGAAACTGAGGCTGAGAGAGTCCAACTGGCTTGTTCAAGTCACACAGAGTTCTCGATGGAACAAGGATTCAGATGGAGGTCCTTGTGGCACCCCATCCAATGTTCTTTCCAACGTACCAATGTTTTCCCAGTACCATTACTCCTTTCAGAGAGGCTAGAGGAGGCTTCCCTAACCAAAGCCATAGAAACCCAAGCCATGGCCAAGTTTCAAGGAAATGTGACCCCAGGCAGGGATCGCTGAAAAGCAGTTCCACCCAGCCTGGCATGAGGAATCACCACCCTAGCCTAGAAGAAAACAAGAAGGCTTTCTCCAGGAGGAAGCAAACCCAAACTACTCTCCAGTGCCATCTAGTGACAGAGAGAGGGGCCACCAGAGCTTTTCGCAGCCCGAAAGGACAGAACTGTCACAAATCCACACCAATGGAGCGTTGGAGATGTCTGGGAGGCAGCAGGACATGGAGGAGAGTCCTCAGATCAGAGGTTCCAGGGGATAGAGATGGTCAGAGAATTGTCACCAAGGAGGTGGGACTTGAAAGGTAGGAATTCACATTAAAGTATTTTACTGAGAAAGAGTTAGGTGTGGTGATTCCTCAAAAAATTAAACACAGAATTACCGTGTAATCCAGCAATCCCACTTTGGTAAATGCCCCAAAGAATTGAAAGCAGGGACTCCAACAGCTATTTGCTCATCCGTGTTTAGAGCAGCAGTCTTCACAACAGCCAAAAGCTGGAAGCAACCCTAGCGTCCATCTATAGATGAATGGGTAAACAAAATGAGGTCTATCCACACAATAGAATATTATCCAGCCCTAAAAAGGAGGGAAATTCTCACCTTTGCTTTGACATGGGCGAACCTAGAGGACATTATGCTAAGTGAAATAAGCCAGTCATAAAACGACAAATACTGTATGATTTTACTTACATCAGGTGCTGTGGTTTCAATGTGTTTCCCAAAAAGTATATGTTGGAAACTTAATCCCCAGTGCAGCAGTGTTGGGAGGTGGGGCTGCCTGATGGGAGGTGATTAGATCATGAGGTCCCTGCCCTCACAAATACATTCATGAAGATATTCATGAATGGATAATGTTATCGTGGGAGTGGGTTTCTTATAAAAGAATGAGTCCAGCTTGCTCGTTCTTTCTCTCTCTCCCCCCACCTTCTCTCTCTCTCTCCCCCCACCTTCTCTCTCTCTTTCTCTCTCTCTCACCTTTCTGCCTTCTGTCATGAGATAACACAGAAAGAAGGTGATATGGTTTGGCTGTGTCCCCACTCAAGTATCATCTTGAATTGTAGCTCCCACAATTCCCATGTGTTGTCGAGGGACCCACTGGGAGGTCATTGAATCATGGGGTGGGTCTTTCCCATGCTGTTCTTGTGACAGTGGATAAGTCTCACGAGATCTGATGGTTTTATAAGGGCGAGTTTCCCTGCACAAGCTCTCTCTTTGCCTGCTGCCATCCGGGTAAGATGTGACTTGCTCCTCCTTGCCTTCCGCCCTGATTGTGAGGCCTCCCCAGCCATGTGGAACTGTGAGTCCATTAAACCTTTTTCCTGTATAAATTACCCAGTCTTGGATATGTCTTTACTAGCAGTGTGAAAACGGACTAATACGAAAAGCATTAGCCAGATGCCAACACCTTGATCTTGGACTTCCCAGGCTCCATAACTGTGAGGATATAAATTTATGTTCTTTCCCTCTTGTTGCCCAGGCTGGAATGCAATGGCACAGTCTCGGCTCACTTCAACCTTCGCCTCCTAGGTTCAAGTGATTCTCCTGCCTCAGTCTCCTGAGTAGCTGGGATTACTCGTGCCACCATGCCCGGCTAATTTGTGTGTGTGTGTGTGTGTGTGTGTGTGTGTGTGTGTGTGTGTGTGTGTGTATGTAATTTTAGTAGAGACAGGGTTTCACCATGTTGACCAGGCTGGTCTCAAACTCCTGACCTCAGGTGATCCACTTGCCTCAGCCTCCCAAAGTGCTGGAATTACAGGTGTGAGCCACCACACCCGGCCAAATTTACGTTCTTAATAAATTACCTAATCTACGCTATTGTGTTATATGTTATAGCAGCACAAAACACACTAAGACATGAAGTACCTAGAATAGTCAAATTCATAGAGACAGAAAGTAGCATTGAGGTTTACCAGGGGCTGGGGAAGGAGTGGGTAGAGAGTTTCAGTCTGAAAGATGAAAAAGCTCTGGAGATGGGTGGTGGTGATGGTTGCCCAACAATGTGAATGTACTTACGTCCCTGAACTGTGCACTTTAAAATGCTTAAAATGGTGAATTTTGGCCGGGCGTGGTGGCTCACGCCTGTAATCCCAGCCCTTTGGGAGGCCGAGGCAGGCAGATCACGAGATCAGGAGATCGAGACCATCCTGGTGAACACTGTGAAACCTCGTCTCTAATAAAAATACAAAAACATTAGCCAGGCGTGGTGGCAGGCACCTGTAGTCCCAGCTACTCGGGAGGCTGAGGCAGGAGAGTGGCATGAACCCGGGGGGCAGAGCTTGTAGTGAGCAGAGATCGCACCACTGCACTCCAGCCTGGGCAACAGAGCGAGACTCCATCTCAAAAAAAAAAAAAGGTGAATTTTATGTTAGGTATATTTTATCACTATCTAAAAAGAGGAAGAGAGTCAGATGTAAGGCCCAAAGTGCCAAGTCAGACTGAATTGAGTATCACGCCCCAGAATGGGATGGTCATTTATTTTTCACTCATTCATTTATCCATTCACCAGCAAATACTGACACTGTGACATACCAAGGACCGTTCTGGGTGCTGGAAATCTGACATCAAACCAAACAGACAAAATTACCTGACCTGGCAGAGCCTACAGTCCAACAACAACAATGAACAAATCAAGTAAATGCCTAGCATGGCAGCTGGTGACACCTGCTGTAGAGAAAAACAGAGGGAGGGGGCTGCTATTTTATTTTAACTATCAAAATCTGTTTAGTAAAGACAATTTTGCTCATACAAAACAAAAGTTTACAACAATCTGGCCAGGCAAGGTGGCTCACACCGGTAATCCCAGCTCTTTGGGAGGCCGAGGCAGGTGAATCACTTGAGGTCAGGAGTTCAAGACCAGCCTGGCCAAATGGTGAAACCCCTGTCTCCACTAAAAATGCAAAAATTAGCCGGGTGTGATGGTGGGCACCTGTAATCTCAGCTACTCGGGAGGCTAAGGCAGGAGAATTGCTTGAACCTGGGAGGTAGAGGTTGCAGTGAGCCAAGATCGTACCACTGCATTCCAGCCTGGGTGACAGAGTGAGACTCCGTCTCAAAAAAAAAAAAAAAAAAAAAAGTTTACAACAATCTGAGTGCTGGACACATCATCCGAGACAAGGGAGGCATTGCAGGCACCTAGAGCCCTTCCCCTATATGCAAAGGAGACCCTGGGTGCCCCTCTGCCACCTGCCCCTGAGGGAGAGAAAAGCTGAAGTATTCCTGCTGCCTCTTCCCCCAAAGGGAAGAGGGAGCCGGGAATGATGGCACAGGGACCCTGTCTCTAGCTGCTCCTTCTCTGTGCTGGGGGAGGCCCCTCCCCTTACTTGCCCAGAACCCTGAGGCTGAGCCGTTTGAGGGTGATGGCAAATGGCTGATGGGCAAAGGGGGCAAAGTTGGGACATCTTCGGTGCAAAGACTCCTCCCATCCCCAACCAGGTCACACAATGGAAATTTGAGGGAGGACCTCAAAAGTGGCCCTGCCTTTGCCCACAAGGGGTAGCTGGCTGATGTGTGCTGTTATTTTAAATAGGGACAGAAGGAAAGAGCTTTCTGACTTGGTGACATTGGTGAAGGCAGTGAAGGAGTGAGCCCTGGGTGTTGGGGAAGGGTGCACAGGCCCTGGAGGGGAGCCCGCTCTGAGTGCTGGGGCAGGGTGAGGCGGGACAGAGTGGGCAGAGAGATGGCCAGGACTGACCACGCGGGGCCTTGCTCTCCGTTGTGAGAACACCGGCTTTCCCCACGGGTGAGATGAGAGCCTGAGTGGGATTGGGCAGAGGAGAGGCATGATCAGACTTAGAATTTCACAGGGTCATCCAGGCTACTCTGAAAGGATGGACTCAGGGGCACAGGAAGAAGTAGAAAGGCCAGTTGGGGCCACTGTCAAAACCCAGGCAGAGATGATGGGAGCTTGATGAAGGAGCAGAGGTGGCCGGTGAGGAGGGCTCGATTCTGGGTCTGTGCCAGAGGAGGAGGCATGGGGTTTTCTGATGGCTTGGGTGTGGATGAGAGAAAGAGGGGTCAAGGATGACTCCCAAGCCCTTGGCTTTTGTCCTGAGAATGTGGAAGGATGGGGCTGCTCAGTGACTCAGATGAGGAAGACAGAAAGAGGTGCAAGTCTGGGGAGAGAAGAATCAAAACGCGCTTTTGAACATATCAAGTCTCATCCAGCGACCCAGCCTGGGCCTCAGTGTACCCACCCAACCCTGCCCTCCTCCCTTAGACGCATGCATCCACCCCGTTTCTCCCTTTCAGATATCTCCAGACTTCCAGTGTTCAGCAGGACCTGGGGTGTGGCCGCAAAGTTCCCTTTATGTATTTGGAGCCCAAGGAGGGCCTGTTACTGTGAAATGAAAGCACTTCCCTATCTGCCCCCCACCCCAGGGCCTTTGCCAGCTGCTCCACATTAGTTAAGCGCTTACTACCTACACTTTGGGGATTGAGGGTTTCTTTAGCTTTGAGACTGGGAGGCAGCTTAGCAGTGTAGACAGTTAGCTCATAATTCCTGCAGGGGTACAAGTGCCAAACCAAGTGCTATGATCCCTGGAGAGGCAGCCTCACCCACGAGGGCCTGGGGGCCTGAGTTCAGATCCTCACTCTGCATCTAACAAGCCGTATTGACCGGGGAGGGTCACTCAGCCTCTCCTGCCTCAGTTTCCTGATTCGTGTAACAGGGATAACATCAGCTGGCTTCCCTTGACACACCATCTATTAAACTGATTGATATGAATAAAGGATTTAGAATAGGGTCTTGAAGAAGGCGGTGCTGGACCCACGGACAGTGGCCAATGGGTATTGTTTGTCATCATCATCGTCACCATCACCATTGCTTTCGTCATAATCATCACTGTCACCATCATCAGCGTTCAGAGGAAAGGGGGTGTAGAGGGTCGTGTATCACCCAGAGGTGGATCTTGAGTTAAGCTTCGAAGCAGAGCAGGAGCCAGCTGTGCACGATGATGACATTAACAGCCGGCACTTTCCTCTGTGTTTTACACGCATGACAACGGGTTGACAGAAAAAGAGAGAGCTGGGCATCAGCCAAACAGAAAGTTGTGCACGGAAATACAGAAAAGGACTCGGCGATATTTATGAGCCCATGAAGTACAGAAGTAGTTAAGGATTGGAGTTCCAGTAAGAGCGCATCGCATGCCAGTCTTATCGTGCCTTGCTTTCTGGAATGATGAGACTCCCCTTCTCCCCTCCCCCCTCACCCACTCTGTCTCCCCCTGCCTCCCACCCTCCTACCTCCCCAAACTCTCCATGGACTGTTTAGGCCTTAACAACTCTGGAGAGCTATTAGGATCTATCAAGCGAACAATAATTTACTTCACGAAGTGATGTGTGTGATTTTCACCATTGACTCTAATCGCAACAGAAAATCATTTCAGTCGGCTGAGTGCATAATCTGTGTGTGCTGAACTTCTCTAAGCTTGGACTTACCTAAGGGAGGAAAATGGTCCCCTGGGACCCACTCAAGAGACGCGGAGTAAACAGCGTGCATTTCGTAAATGGGCTGGGGGTGTGCCAGAACCATCGCCGGGGACCCACCGCTGTCAGCCTAGAAGGCCATCGAACACTCAGAAACCATCTTCACAAATCCTTCTAGGGTGAGGTGGGGGGGTGAGGAGTCAGGGGTCGTGCACCTAACCATCAAAGACAGTGTGGATGTCCTGCTCATCTGCCACCGGGTGGCGCAAAGAGAAAAGGAGAGCAGACAGAGCAAGGAGGCACGTGTCCTTCCTCCTCCATCACATCTGCAGACTGAGCCCAAGCATCGGGAGCCATGTGGCCAGGCAGAAATGGGAAGTCATCTGTGCCCCTTGCTAGCGGACATGGTCCCAGGGACAGGTCCTGTCCTGTCCTGAGGCTGGAACTTCAGGAGTCCCAGGCCAATCATCACGCTACCAACTTGAGGAGCTTGAGATTTTCTAGTTTAGAAAGCAGGTACACAATTGTACATAGAGCACCAGCGTACCCAGGTATAAAGAAAGAAATATGCCAACCTGTTGGCCGTGGCTACCTTTCAGAGACTGGATTATGAGTTTTAGTATTTTCTAAAATTTTCTACAATGAATATGCAAGTAATAATAATAATATAAGATCTTACAAAGAAAAAAGTCTCAAGATTCCACTCTGACCATGTGTCCAAGTTCTAGCAACAAAATTAATGCCTAGGGAATGCCATGGCCAAGTCCCATCAGGACAGGGACTTACTTCACAACATCAAGAGATTTTAGTAAAAAGTGCAGGGGCCAGGGACAGTGGCTGTAATTCTGATGCTTTGAGAGGCCAAGGCAGGAGGATCGCTTGAGCCCAGGAGTTCAAGAACAGCCTGGGCAACATAGTGAGATCCCTGTCTCTACAAAAAAAAAAAATTGTTTTAGATTAGCTGGGAATGGTGGCATGCACCTGTAGTCTTAGCTACTCAGGAGGCTGAGGTGGGAAGATAGCTCGAGCCCAGGAGGTCGAGACTGCAGTGAGCTGAGATTGCACCACTGCACCCCAGCCTGAGCAACAGAGCAAGACTCTATCTCAAAAAAGATGGGGGTTGGGGAGCAACAGAGCAAGACTCTATCTCAAAAAAGATGCAGGAAAAAGAGCACAGAGTGGAGAAGCAGAAGAGATTCTTAAGTTCTTGTCCTATAGGTAAGAGCTAAAACAAGTCACTTGCTGACCTAGAGTCTCAATATTCATGTCCCTTGACTGCAGGCAAAAGCTGGCCTCACCTCCTATGATTAATTGACACTTGTTGCTTCTCCCTGCTCGGGTTCCTTCCCCTTTCCTTTGCTGCCTGCTGCTGTCCTGCTCTGTGTAATTCGGCGTGGATGTCCCTGCTTCCCCCAGGTCAGGCAGGCTCCTGAGCAGCCCCCAAAGCACAGATGTAGTGCCCGATGGGGTGGGGAGGGGATGGCAGCCTGGCAGAGCTGAACACTTGGGGAAAGGGAATTTCTCTCCTTTGGGGCACTCAAGCACCGAGGGTCATGGAAGCCGGGAGCTGCCATGTTGCACAGAGTAAGTCTGTCTGAGAATGAAGCCAGCTAATGAGAAAACAGAGCAAAGAGATGGAGAAACTGAGGCCTGGGGATGTCACTTGAGCCATGACATCAGCATAGCCAAAGCCAGCCCCAGCCTCTGAAAAAAAAAAAAAAAATTTGGCTGGGCGAGGTGGCTCACACCTGCAATCCCAAAGTGCTGGCCTTGACTAAGGCCAAGGCAGTCGGCTCACCTGAGGTCAGGAGTTCGAGACCACCCAGGCCAACATGGTGAAACCCTGTCTCTCTACTAAAAAAAAAAAAAAAATACAAAAGTTAGCCAGGCGTGGTGGCAGGTGCCTGTAATCTCAGCTACTCAGGAGGCTGACGCAGCAGAATCGCTTGAACCCGGGAGGTGGAGGCTGCAGTGAGCCAAGAGCACCACTGCACTCCAGTCTGGGTGACAGAGCGGAACTCCGTCGCAAAAAAAAAAAAAAAAAAAAAAAATTCCCAATTCCGATTCTGCTGTAAAGCCCCAGCCCCTTTCAGTTACCATTTACTGAGTGATAACTTTCCTCCTATTTCAGACCCAGCGTGGGTGGGATTTCTGCCCCCTTGCAACGGAAGCCTTCTGGGGCTGTGTAGGGCCGGCTCTGCCTGGAAGTGCAGATGCCGGAAGCCTCAACCAGAGGGAGCCAGCAGTGGCCTGCCAGCCGCATGCCAGCCCCAGTGGGCTCTGTTGCCTCCCATAGGATTAAACATTTGAGCCCATACTTTAATATCTGAATTTCATCTAAAACTCTAAAGAGTTTCAGTTTCTCTGAAAAAAAAAATCGGAAGATCTGGCAACACTGGGTCTAGGTCCTACGTCCTACCTAGAACAATGAGCAGGGGCTACACAGGGGCTGCCACCTTGGCTTGGAGCCTTTCATTCTCTGTCAGTTCCCTGCAACTCCCTATTTTCTCTCCAACGCTGAGGCTGGGTTTCAGCTGGCATTTGTAAAATTTTGGGGGGCTTGTATTTTTATAGGAGAAAATTTTTTCTTTTTGTCTACACCTCTGTCAACAATGGCATGGTGAGATGTAGGACTAGTGGCCCCAGTGGATCAGGCCACCTGGGTCCCTCTGTGGCCCTGCCCATGTGGACACTGGCCTGAGCCACGTGACTTGCTTTAGCCAGAGGTCCAGCAGCGCGTTAAACACACACACGCACTCATGCATGCATGCACTCACACACACATGCACTCACGCACGCACATGCGCGCGCACACACACACACACACACATGCACACCACACACGCTTGATGAACACTCTGTCCTCTTTGAACCCAGAATTTGGGGTCAAGATGAGAGACCATGTGGAGAGGGACTTTAGAGAGGAAGGGAGTGCTCAAAGAATAATAAGAACGCGTCAAAAACCAAGAAGCTGCTTTGGAAAGGTGACCACTGGCCAAATCTAGGACAATCTGAACATAAAAATAAATTATAGTCACAAAAAATTATACTCCATTGAATATAACAGGAAACCAGGAATCCATACAGATATAAAAAATAAATGAATGCACTGAGAATTTGGTGAGGAATGGAGATATTTGCAGAATTTCAAAGTACCTACCCACAAAATGGCAGAGAACATGAAAAAAGAATGACTTTGGCCGGGCATGGTGGCTTACGCCTATAATTTCAGCACTTTGGGAGGCCGAGGTGGGTGGATCACTTGAGGTCAGGAGTTCGAGACCAGCCAGGCCAACATGGTAAAAAGCCCATCTCTAATAAAAATTATCCAGGTGTGGTGGCACACGCCTGTAATCCTAGCTACAGGGGAGGCTGAGCCACAAGAATCACTTGAACCTGGGGGGCAGAGGTTGCAGTGAGTCTAGATCGTGCCACTGTACTCTAGTCTAGGCGACAGAGCCAGACTCCGTCTCAAAAAAAAAAAAAAAAAAAAAAAAGGAATGACTCTATAAGAGAGATGCTGGCAGACACCACTGTTGTCAAGTGATCAAAGTAAACATCAAGTGACAAATCGAAACCAAGCCCCACCCTATGGGAGGCAGTGAGAGAAACAAGGTATCCATTTGCGACAGTGCTGCCAGACTGCATAGTTGCTTGAGTAGGAGGAAGAGCAAACAAAGGGAATTGAGGAGAGGAAAAGAAAACGAATCGTTCGAAAGTGTTATCCTCCCAGGAGAACTGGAGATGTGTGCACCAGAACACCCGAACAGGGATGGTCACGGGAGCGTTACTCATAAGAGCCCAAGAGTCCAAATGTCAGCATCCAGCAGCTCAGCAGTGGACAGACAAGTTGTGGTCTAGCCACACGTTGGAATGTTATTTGGCAATAAAAAGGAATGAGGTACTAATACACGCCACACCATGGATGAATCATGAACACAAGATGCTAAGTGGAAGGAGCCAGTCACAGAAGACCATTTATACAAAATGTCCCAAATAGGCAAATCCGAAGAGATGAAAAGTAGATTTGTGTTTGCTTGGGGCTGGAGTGGAGGCAGGAGGAGGGGTGACTGTCAATGGGCGTGAAGTTTCTTTGGGGGCTGAGGAAAACGTTCAGATGGGGGTGATAACTATAGAACCCTGAATACACGAAAATGGAACTGTATCTGTAAAACTGTATACACTGGATTGTATGTATAAAAGGGTGAGTGTTATGGTATGTGAATTATCGCTCAATAAAGTTGTTATTTAAAATAGTAAAAACAAATTGTAGGTAGATTTAAAAGTTGAACTAGTAAAGTACTAGAAGGAAAACAAGCAGAACTTATCCTACGCGAAGGGTTGGACCAAGAGGATGGATGTGATCAGATGTTGTTCTGTATATTTTATTTGAGAGATAACATAGACGGTGAGGAAGCAAAAGGACTGGGAGGCGGGAGGCAGGACCGCTGCAGTAACCCGGGCAAGAAACAATGAGGGTCTGAAGCAAGGGGTAGCAGTGGGCCCTAAGAGGGAAGGAGAGAGACGAGAGGCATTTGGGAGCGAGAACTGAAGGGCCCTGGTGTTGAATGGGTGATCACAGGAGAAGAAAGACCTCCTTCCTTCCCATTCTTCCCATTCTTCCAACGCAGAGTAAGTGCCACTTCCTCGGAAGCCTCCCTGACTCCAAAGCTCGGTGGGGTTCCCCTCCAGGGTCCCCCCACCTCCATATCAGAGCACTGATCACAGGGACTGGCCATGGTCTCTACTGCCCTCTGGACAGCTGGGCAGCAGGACCTGGGTCCTGTTCACCATCAACCCCAGCACCCGTCAGCATTCAGCATGCTATGAATGTTCAATTAGTATTTGCTGAGCAAAAATGCGAATGGATGAACCAGCCTGTGATACTTGCCAGGTTTTGGCTTCTGAATTCATTCACTATGTTGGCCATTCTACCATGAATGTACTCCAGCTTACCCCTGAGACATGAAGGCAGCTGGGGTTAATGTGGAGCCTGCAGCCCATGCCTTCTGCTCCTGGGTCTGTGCTCCATGTGAGGTTAGAGGATGCCAAGGACTGAATGTGTGTGCCCCCCTCTAATTCCTCTGTTGAAGCCCTAATCCTCAATGTGATGGTATTAGGGGTGGGGTCTTTGGGAGATGATTAGGCCACGAGGGTGGAACCCTCATGAGTGGAATAGCGTCCTTAGAAAAAAGACTCCAGGGAGTTATCCAGCTCTTTCCACCCCATGAGGACACAGCCAGAAGACGGCCATCTGCAAACCAGGAAGGGAGCCCTCCCCAGATGCCAAATCTGCCAGCACCCTGCTCTTGGATTTCCCAGGCTTGAGAACTGCGAGAAATAAATGTCAGTTGTTGAAGCCACCCAGTCTGTGGTATTTTTGTCGTAACAGCCTGAGCTGATGGAGCCAGGGAGGCTGCATGGTCATGAGCATGCTGGAGGCTAGTAGGGAGCAAAGGAAGGGAAGACTGGGGTGGGTGTCAACCCCAGGTAGCCTATGTTTATCCCCGGCCACTGCTCCTCAACTTCATCCTGGAAACCCAGCTGTCACCTGTCAGGAGAGGCTGCTCTGTCTCCTCAGAGCATAGGGCTGCAGCCAAGGTGGCTCAGGGGTCCTCCTCTCCAGTTCCATCCCAGATGACTCAGATGCCATGGGCAAGTGTCCCACCTCCAAGCTCTTATGGCTGTAGGGCAGGGGCTGAGCTGGAAATGTCAGCAACACCAGGAAGAACATTCAGAATATCTGCCCCATGTGTCAACTGCTCACCACGTCCACGGTCCACTCCCGGGTCCAGGCCACCACCATATCTTGCCTGGATTGCTCTTAGGACCTCCTGACCCTGTGGCAGCTTCCAGTCTCACCCACGACAGCCGCCCCGTTTCCCGCACAGCGGCCTGCAATCTTTTAAAGACAAACATCATACCTTGACGTTCTCCTTCCTTACATTCTCCAGGGCCCCCTGGACAACTGCTCTCAGGATAAAATCAAAACCCTTCACCAGCGCATGAGGGTCTGCATGATCTGGCGCCCACATCTCCTTCCCCTCTCTCCCTCACTCACCAGGTTGCAGCCATGCTGGCCTCCTTTTCACCAAAGCTGCCAAGCCCTTTCCCACCCCAGGGCCTTTGCACCTGCTGTTAGAAGCACTCGAAGCTCGGCTGGGTGCGGTGGCTCATGCCTGTAATCCTAGTGCTTTGAGAGGCCAAGATGGGAGGATTGCTTTAGGACAGGAGTTTGAGACCAGCCTGGTCAACATAGCAAGACCCAATGTCTATTTTTTTATTATATATTTAAAATTTTTCTTAAAAAGAAGCACTCTATCTGCCCACTCCACCCGTCCACACCACATAACCCCCTCCATCTGCCGATCCCTGCTTGCTCCATCACACCACTCCCTCCATTCCTTCCCACATAGCAGCTTCCTCCACAGTGGTTGTTTCTACTTGTGCGTCGTTGCATCACTCCCAACCAGAAGCAAATCTGCATGAGCATGGGCACCTGAGCACGGGCACCTGTTCTGTCTTGTCCCCACCATTTCACCAGGGTCCAAGGCAGTGCCCAAGAAACAGTCCAAGCTCAATAAACACTCGTCAGGTGAATGAAAGAACCGAGAGCTGATCATATTTTATTACCTTTGTGATGCTTATCATCGTCTGACATGAGCTTGTTATGATTGATGACTGTGGTTCTCCTGTGATGAGAATGGAAACTTCAGGAGGCCAGAAACCTCATCTCCATTCCTGTTGTACCTCTGGCACCCAAAGCAGTAGCAGGCACAGAGTAGACCATTAACAAATAGTTGCTAGTTGTTGAGTGACTGTTGGTGAAATTTTATCATTTTATCAAATTCTTAAAAATATACATTTTTAAAAGCTGGGATACTATTCAAAAATCATCTCAGCAGCCTGGGTGTGATGGCTCATGCCTGTAATCCCAGCACTTTGGGAGGCGGAGGTGGGAGGATCACTTGAGGCCAGGAGTTCAAGACCAGTCTGGGCACTATAGAAAGACCCTATCTCTAAAAATTTTTTTTAATTAGCTGGGTGTGGTGGGCACCTGTAGTCCCAGCTACTCCAGAGGCTGAGGTGGGAGGAGCGCTTGGGCCCAGGAGGTCAAGAATGCAGTGAGCCATGAACACACCACTGCACTCCAGCCTGGGCAACAGAGCAAGATTCTGTCTCAAAAAAAAAAAAGGTCTCATCATATATTTTTTCTAGCTTGATCACATATGCACAAACACGTATCATTCTTAGTTCTTGTTAGAATTCTCCATTAACCGGCACTATGGATTTTAACAAGTTACTTAATCCATCCAGGCTAAAGGCATCATCTACAACATGAGATTATTCTAATACTTTATTTCTACGACTTCCTCCAGCTCTAATCTCCTATTATTCAATGTATTCTGCTTCATAGTACAAAGGGTTTAAGCCATACCCCAGTCCCAATGTACTGACTTCAGTTTCTGGGCATTCCTTACCCGTGGGTGGGTGTGGGTGCTTCCTGGGATACTTGATGGTATCCCATTAGTGTCAAGACCACATGGACATTCCCATGCAGAAATATTGGTGAAAGTCCTACAGCTGATCCAAGAGCCAGAAGCTCCGCAGGTCCCTGAGGAAGGAAGATAGAGACTCCCTCATGCTGTGCCACTCTGGAAATTCATTGGTCCAGATCAGTATCTGCTTTTTTTTTTTTTTTTTTTGAGATGGAGTTTCACTCTTGTTGCCCAGGCTGGCATGGAATGGCACAATCTCAGCTCACCGCAACCTCCGCCTCCCAGGTTCAAGCAATTCTTCTGCCTCAACCTCTCGAGTAGCTGGCACTACAGACAGGTGTGTGCCACTACGCCCAGCTAATTCTGTATTTTTAGTAGAGAAGGGGTTTCTCCATGTTGGTCAGGCTGGTCTTGAACTCCCAACCTCAGGTGATCCGCCTGCCTCGGCCTCCCAAAGTGCTGGGATTACAGGCGTGAGCCACCACGCCTGGCCAATATCTGCTTCTCATCTTCACAGACACAGGCGATTTCTCTGAGGCCTTCCTAGTGGCATGCCTGTGTTGCTCATGGTCTGGCTGGTTCCATCCTGCAGCCAATCACCATAGAAGTCAACGGATCAATTATGCAGCAAACCCAACCAACTGTTGGACAGGTGGAAAACAACAGACTGGCTGGTAACCTTCAGTCTTTTTGTCTCTACCTGAAATCTAAAAGGTCCAACCTAACCCCTAAATACCGACGGAAAACCTACAGCATAATTAATGTGAAAGGCAAGGGGAGGAAATGGGATGGGATGGAGGAAGGACCACAGTGCAGACCAACAAGACCAAGGTCAATCCAAGTTTCGGCAATTACAAATACAACTTCTATAAACATCCACGGGCAGGTTTTCGTACAGACGTAAGTTTACAAGTTTTCCTTTGGGTAAATACCAAGGACTGTGGTTACTGGTACATAAGGTAAGAGTGTGTTTAGCTTTGTAAGAAACTGACAAACTATTTTCCAAAGTGGCTGTGCCATTTTTCATTCTCACCAGCAACGAATGAGGGTTCCTGCTGCTCCACGTCTTCGCCTGCATTTGGTGTTGTCAGTGTTCTGGATTTTGCCCGTTCTAATATGTGTGTTGTGGCATCTCGTTTTGGACATAGACTTTTTTTGTTTTTGTTTTTTTTGAGACGGAGTCTTGCTCTGTTGCCCAGGCTGGAGTACAGTGATGCCATCTCGGCTCACTGCAACCTCCACCTCCCGGGTTCAAGCAATTCTTCTGCCTCAGCCTCCCGAGTAGCTGGGACTACAGGCACGCACCACAACGCCCGGCTAATTTTTATATTTTTAGTAGAGATGGGGTTTCACCATATTGGCCAGGCTGCTCTCAAACTCCTGACCTTGTGATCTGCCCGTCTCGGCCTCCCAAAGTGCTGGGATTACAGGCATGAGCCACCATGCCTGGCCTGGACATAGACATATTTAGATGAGAGGGCAGAACACTTCAGAAATTACGATTGACATGTGCAAAAGCAAAGGCTGAAAGGCACAAACTGTGCTTGGGCAGGAGGTGCATGGTGCTGTGAAAGAGACCACCTCGCCAGGCAGCCAGGACCTGGAAGACCTACGGGATGTCAGGGGCTGCACTCGGCAACTCGCACCCAGGATCTCATGTGCTTGTCTATTTCATGTTTCATAGATGCATGCATTGTGCCCCCTCTACATTTTATGTTCCAGGATATCTGTAATCACTTGTACTCATCACTCCACCACTTGTGTGAGTTGTACTTGTCCCAGTATTTGGTCCAGTGCCCCAAACACATTAAGTGATCCTTGTTTTCTGAAAACAAAGGCAGAGATGTGGTCATCTTGCCTGTGTAGCTGGTACCTTGGACATGCACAAGTTGTGATGTAATAAAGCTACAGCTCTTTTTTTTTTTTAGATGGAGTCTCACTCTTGTCACCCAGGCTGGAGTGCATTGTCGTGATCTTGCCTCACTGCAACCTCCACCTACTGAGTTCAAGGGATTCTCCTGCCTCAGCCTCCCAAGTAGCTGGTATTACAGGCATGCACCACCAAGTCTGGCTAATTTTTTTGTGTATTTTTAGTAGAGATGGTGTTTCACCATGTTGGTCAGCCTGGTCTCGAACTTCTGACCTCGTGATCCGCCCACCTCGGCATCCCAAAGTGCTGGGATTACAGGCGTGAGCCACCACACCTGGCCAAATACAGCTCTTTTACCTCCTGCTCTGCATATGAAATCTGTTCGGAGGGAGCAGCCCTCCTCTGGCCAGGATGAAAACTCTGGCAGGCCCTCGACTTTCCTATGTACTCTCAGGTAATAAGCAGTTGCTCTAATTACCAAACACAATCTCTTTAAAAAATTATTATTTTTAGAGACATTGTCTCGCTTTTTCACTCTGTTGCTCAGAATGAAGTGCAATGGCACAATCATAGCTCACTGCACCCTTGAACTCCTGGGCTCAAGCAATCCTCCCACTTCAGCCTCTCTAGAAGCTGGGATTACAGGTGCATGCCACCATGCTCAGCTAGTTTTTAAATTTTTTGTAGAGACAGGGTCTTGCCATGTTGCCCAGAGTGGTCTCAAATTCCTGGCTTCAAGTGATCCACCCATCTCTGTCTCCCAAAGTGTTGGGATTACAGATATAATCCACCATGCCTGGCCCAAATACAGTCTTGATTCAGAAACTCAAGCCCAAGATATCAATCAAGTCTCCAGATTTGATCTAATGTGAGACCTTCTCACATTAGAAGAGTCTGCTTCTACAGGGGAAGTGGGCAGTTCTCCTCCTCTCCATTTCTCTTATCTTGTACTACTCTCTCTCCTGCATCCAAGCCCATCACCCAGCTTCCCAGCCAGTTTTTGGCCCCTGAAGTAGGAAGGTAGGCAGTAAAAAGTGGTAAGGAGATAGAAAAGGACCTAAATTGGAAGCATCAAAAACTAGTTTCACACTGTCCAGGCCATAAATTACCAAAAAAAAAAAATGGCTATAATTCTTCACTCCTTCCTGAATCTGTGCCCTTTTCATGTGACCTTGCAATTGTTCTCACTAAAGAGGCAGAGTTGATTTTCCTACCCGTTAAATCTGGGCTGGCATTGTGACTTGCTTCAGCTGATAGAATGCTGTGGAAATGGTGGCCTTCCAGTTCCAAGCCCAGGCCTCAAGAGATCTTGCATACTTGTGCTGACTGTCATGATCTCCACGTGAATACCAGGCTAGCCTGCTGGAGGATGAGACACCACATGGAGCCAGGCCAAGTCACTCCAGCCAAGGCCAGCCTAGACCAGCCCTGTCCCAGACAACTTGCCAGCTGACAAAAAAACACATGAAAAAGCCCAGCCCAGTCCAGTCTAGACCAAAAAAGTCCAGCGGACAAGTCAATTACCACAGACTTTGTCATGGTTTGGAGCCAATAAGTTTTGGGGATGTTTGTTACACACCCCTATGATGGCAATAAGTAACAGCTACACTCCAGTTCTGGCAAATGTTCAAAGGTGATTCTCTTCTGGGGCACTCTCATGGACTCTTTGAAGAGCCCTGCTGTGGAAGGCCTCTCCCTGCAACTCTGAAGGCGTAGGGAATTCATATTTTCCTTCAGATCCTCCGATCTCCTCCCTCGGCTCTGTTTCTCCGGTGGTTCACTCCACCCTGTCTCTCCCTGTTGAGGTCACCTCATTTGAAATTGTAACTTTCAAATGAAACCCTTCAGGCCTGGAAAAACATAAAAGAGTGCAGAGAAATAAGCCAGGTACAAAAGAACAAATACTGTATGATTCCACAGATAAAGTATCAATAACAGGCAAATTCATAGAGACAAAAAGTCTAATAGAGGTGTCAGGGCTGAGGAGAGGGGGTTGGGGAGTTGTTTAATGGGTACAGAGTTTCTCTCTGAGATAATGAAAAAGTTCTGGGAGTGGATAGTATTGAGAGTGACACAACATGGAGAATTTATTTGATGCCACTGAATTGTATGCTTACACTTAATAGACTTAAATATGGTGTCTGGACAGGGCTGCCAATTCATTCCATGAAGGCAATGTCACTCTGCTACCAAAATCACACAAAGACATCACAAGAAAAGAAAACTAGGACGGGCACAGTGGCTAATGCCTGTAATCCCAGCACTTTGGGAGGCCAAGGTCAGAGGATCACCTGAGGTCAGGAGTTCGAGACCAGCCTGACCAACATGGTGAAACTCCATCTCTACTAAAAATACAAAAATTAGCCAGGCGTGGTGGCACATTCCTGTAGTCCCAGCTACTCAGGAGGCTGAGGCAGGAGAATCGCTTTAACCCAGGAGGCAGAGATTGCAGTGAGCCAAGATCGCACCACTACATTCCAGCCTGGATGACTCCGTCTCAAAAAAAGAAGAAAGAAAGAAAGAAGGAAGGAAAGAAAGAAAGAAAGAAAGAAAGAAAGAAAGAAAGAAAGAAAGAAAGAAAGAGAAAACTAAAGACCAATATCTCTTTTGAATGTACCATAAAACTCCTCAATCAAATATTAGCGAATTAAATCCAGAAACATATAAAGAGGATTATATGCCATGACCAAATGGGGATTTATCCCAGAAATCAAATGAGATTCTTATCTCAAGAATGCAAGTTTGATTTAACATCCAAAAATTAATATGATGTACCATATAGATAGAATAAAGAACAAAAATCACATGGTCATCTCAGGAGATACAAAAAAGGCATTTGACAAAATCCAGAACCCTTTCATAAAAACATGCAGCAAGTGAGGAATAGAAGGAAACTTCCTCAACCTGATCATATGTGAAAAACTCACAGTTACATTTCTTTTTATTTTTTATTTTTTAGACAAAGTTTTGCTCTTGTTGCCCAGGTTGGAGTCCAATGGCATGATCTCGGCTCACCGCAACCTCCGCCCGCCTCCCGAGTTCAAGCGATTCTCCTACCTTAACCTCCAGAGTAGCTGGGATTATAGGGATGCACCACCACGCCAGGCTAATTTTTTGTATTTTTAGTAGAGACTGGATTTCTCCATGTTGGTCAGGCTGGTCTTGAACTCCCGAACTCAGGTCATCCACCCACCTCAGCCTCCCAAAGTGCTTGGATTACGGGCGTGAGCCACCATGCCCGGCCCACAGTTACATTCTACTTGATGATGTGAGGTTGAATGCTTTTCTCCTAAGATCAAGAACAAGGATATCCATTCTTGTTACTTTCATTCAACACATTACTGGAGATTGTGGCCAGAGCTATTAGGCAATAAAAAGAAATGAAAGGCATCCAGATTAGAAATAAAGGAGTAAAACTATTTCTATTCATGGATGACATAACCTTGTATATAGAAAATCTTAAGAAACCCACAAAAACTATTAGAACTAATCAAAGAAGTTCGGTAAATTATAGGATACACGATCAATATCAAAAATTAATTGTATCTCAGCTGGGTGGAGTGGCTCACGTCTGTCATCCCAGCACTTTTGGAGATCAAGGCAGGCAGATCACTTGAGGTCAGGAGTTCAAGACCAGCCTGGCCAACATAGTGAAACCCGGTTTCTACTAAGAATACAAAATTAGCCAGATGTGGTTGCAGATGCCTGTAATCCCAACTACTCGGGAGGCTGAAGCATGAGAATAGCTTGAACCCAGGAGGCAGTGGTTGCAGTGAGCCAAGATTATGCCACTGCACTGCAGCCTGGGCGACACAGAGAAACTCTGTCTCAAAAAAAAAAAAATTAATTGTATCTCTAATATTAGCAATGAAAAATCTGAAGATTAATGAAGAAGAAAATTCCATTTACAATAGCATTGATAAAAATAAAATACTTAGAAATACAATTTAATAAGAGAAATATACTTGTACACTGAAAACTACAATATTGTTGGAACAAAATTAAACAAAACCTGAGTAAATAAAAGACACCCGCGTTCATGGATTGTTAGCGTGGGAGTACTCCCCAAATTCATCTACAGATTCACTGCAACCTCTGTGAAAATTCCAGCTGCTTTTTTTTCTCCAGAAATTGACAAGCTGAACCTAAAATTCATACAGAAATGCAAGAGACCCAGAATAGCCAAAACAATTTTGAAAAAGAACAAGCTTGGAAGACCACATTTTCTGATTCCAAAATTTACTACAAAGCTACAGTAATAAAGATAGTGCGGTGCTGACATCAGAATAGTCACGTACATCAATGGAATCAAACTGAGAGTCCAGAAATAAACCTTCACATTCATGGTCAATTGATTTTGACAAGTGTGTCAAGACCCTTTAATGGGGAAAGAGCAGTATTTTCAATAATTAGTGCTGGGACAACCAGATATTCACATACAAAAGGACGAAGCTGAACTACTACCTCACACCATTGCAAAAATTTAACTCGAAATGGAACCAAGCTCTACCTTACACCATAAACAAAAATTAAGGAGGTGGGCAAATCACTTGAGGTCAAGAGTTCAAGACCAGTCTAGCCAACATGGCGAAATTTTCTCTCTACCAAAAAATACAAAAATTACCCGGGCATGGTGACACACGCTTGTAGTCCCAGCTACTCAGGAGGCTGAGGCAGGAGAATCACTTGAACCTGGGAGGCGGAGGTTGCAGTAAGCCAAGATCACACCACTACACTCCAGCCTGGGCGACAGAGTGAGACCCTATCTCAAAAAACAAACACACAACAAAACTCAAAATGAATCAAAGACCTAAACATAAGACCTAAAACTATAAAATTCTTAGAAGAAAATATGGGAGAAAAACTCCATAACATCGGATTTGGCAATGATTTCTTGGATATGACACCAAAAGTACAGGCAGCAAAATAAAACTTAAAAATTTAAAAGTTCTGTTCATCAAAGGACATAATCCACAGAGTGAAAGGGTGGCCCTGGAACAGAAAAAAAAAAAAGTTTGCAAATCATATATCTGATAAGTCATTAATATCCACAGTATATAAAGAATTCCTGGCCGGGCGTGGTGGCTCACGCCTGTAATCCCAGCACTTTGGGAGGCCGAGGCGGGTGGATCACAAGGTCAGGAGATCGAGACCATCCTAGCTAACATGGTGAAACCCTGTCTCTACTAAAAATACAAAAAATAAGCCAGGCGTGGTGGCGGGCACCTGTAGTCCCAGCTACATGGGAGGCTGAGGCAGGAGAATGGCGTGAACCCGGGAGGCGGAGCTTGCAGTGAGCCGAGATCACGCCACTGCACTCCAGCCTGGGCGACAAACCAAGATTCCGTCTCAAAAAAAAAAAAAAAAGAAAAAAAAAAGAATTCCTACAACTCAACGACAAAATGACTTAATTTTTAAAACGAACAAAGAACTTGAATAGACATTTCTCCAAAAAAGGTATGCAAATGGCCAATAATTACATGAAAAAATGCTCACCAAGGAAACACAAATCAAAACCTAGTGAGATACCACCTCACACCCATTAGGATGGCAACTATCAAAAAATTTAAAAAAAAATAACAAGTGTTGGCAAGGATATGGAGAAATCGTGACCTTTGTGCAGCGTTGGTGGGAATGTAAATGGTGTAGAAGCTATGGAAAACAGGACCGTGGTTCCTCAAAAAATTAAACATAGAATTATCGTATGATCCAGCAATTCTACTCCTGGACATACACCCAAAAGAACTGAAATTGGGGTCTTGAATAAGTATTTGTATATCCATGTTCATAACAGCATTATTCACAATAGCCAAAAAGTAGAAGCAAATCCAAGTGTGTGTGAATGGATGAATAAATAAACAAAAATATGCTATATCCATACAATGGAATATTATTCAGCCTTAAAAAGGAAGAAAATTCTGACACATGCTATAACATAGGTAAGCCTTGATGACATTATGCCAAGTGAAATAAGCCAGTCACAAAAGGACAAATCTGATATGACTCCACAATATGAGGTCTCTAGAGTATTGAAACTCCGAGGGAGAAAGTGGAGTGATGATCTCCAGGGGCTGGGGAGAGGGGGAATGTATTGTTTAACGGAGTTTCAGTTTTGCAAGATGAAAGGAGTTCTGCGGGATTGGTGGTGGTGATTGAGTGTACAACAATGTAAATGTGCTTAATGCTACTGAACCATACATTTCAAAATGTTGAAGGCACTAAATGCTATGTGTATTTTATCACAACTTTTAAAACTAAAAAAGAAAGGATAGAAAAAATACATCAAAGTTCTGAAATAATTTTTGATTCCAAAAACTACTTCTAAAACTATAAAACTCTAAACTATAAAACTCTAAAACTATAAAACCCTTAGAAGAAAAATAGGTTAAATCTTTGTGACCTTGGGTTAGACAATGGTATCTTAAATATGACACCAAAAGTACAAACAACAAAAGAAAAAATATTAGATAAACTGGACTTCAACAAAACTTAAAACTTCTGTGTTTCAAAGGAAACTGCTATGGTTTGGCTGTGTGTCCCTACCCAAATCTCCTGTTGAATCGTAATCACCAGTGTTGGGGGAGGGACCTGGTGGGAGGTGATTGGATCACAGAGAAGGATTTCCCCCTTGCTATTCTCGTGATAGTGAGTGAGCTCTCACAAGATCTTGTTGTTTAAAAGTGTGTAGCACTTCCACCTTTGCTCTCTCTCTCCTGCTCCACTGCATGGTAAGATGTGCCTGCTTCCCCTTCACCTTCCGCCATAATTGTAAGTTTACTGAGGCCCCCAGCCATGCTTCCTGTACAGCCTGCAGAACTGTGAGTCAATTAAACCTCTTTTCTTCATAAATTACCCAGTCTCTGGTATTTCTTTTTTTTTTTTTTTTTTGAGACGGAGTCTCGCTCTGTTTCCCAGGCTGGAGTGCAGTGGTGCAATCTTGGCTCACTGCAAGCTGCGCATCCCAGGTTCACGCCATTCTCCTGCCTCAGCCTCCTGAGTAGCTGGGACTACAGGCGCCTGCCACCATGCCCAGCTAATTTTTGTATTTTTTAGTAGAGATGGGGTTTCACCTTGTTAGCCAGGATGGTATCGATCTCCTGACCTCGTGATCCACCTGCCTCGGCCTCCCAAAGTGCTGGGATTACAGGCGTGAGCCACCGTGCCCGGCCTCTGGTAGTTCTTTAGAGTAGTGTAAGAACGAACTAATACAGAAATCATCAAGAAAGTGAAAAGGCAATTCACAGAATGGGAGAAAAAAATTGTTAATGATATATCTGATAAGAGACTGTTATCCAGGATATATAAAGAACTTTTACAACTCAATAAAAAAAGACAAATCCAATTTTTAAAATGAGCACAGGATTTGAACAAACATTTATCCAAAGAAACTATAACAATGACCAACAAGCACGTGAAAAATGCTTAACAACATCAGTCATAGGAAAATGTTAACCCAAATCACAATGAGATAACAACACTTCACATCCACTAGTATGGCTGTGGTCAAGAAAGGACAATAACTAGTGAGGACATGGAGAAACTGGAACACTTACACATTGCTGCTTGAAATGTAATGTGGTTCAGCTTTGGAAAAGCTTTGGAAAACAATTATTTGGCAGTTCCTCATAATGTTAAACACAGAGTTACCATATGTTCCAGCAATTCCATTCCTAGGGGCGTGTGTGTGTGTGTGTGTGTGTGTGTGTGTGTGTGTGTATTCTACTCTCTGCCTCTATAGGTTTCTGTATTCTGGACATTTCATATAAAAGGAATCATATTGTAAATAGTCTTTTGTGACAGGCCTCTTTCATTTTGCATTATATTTTGGAGATACACCCATGTTATAGCATGCATTAGAACTTCTTTTATTTTTATGGCTGTGATATGGTTTGGCTGTGTCCCTACCCACATCTCATCTTGAATTGTAGCTCCCACAATTCCCACAACACACACACACATACACTCACACACACATATATACACATGTCTCCAAGAGAATTGAAAATATACGTACACAAAAACTTACACAAGTGTCTAGCTGACCTTCTGGACACAAACACAGAAAAAAAAATACTAACCAACTAAACAAAAAAATGTACACATGTGTTCATAGCAGCATGATTCATAATTGCCCAAAAGTGGAAACAATGCAAACATCCATCAATTAAAGAACAGACAATTATTAGTCAAATGTGGTATATCCATGTAATGGAATATTATTCAGCCTGCATTAGTCTGTTCTCACGCTGCCAGTAATGACATACCCAAGATTGGGTAATTTATAAAGGAAAGAGGTTTAATGGACTCACAGTTCCACATGGCTGGAGAGGCCTCATAATCATGGCAGAAGAGCGTGGGATGTCTCACATGGCAGCAGGCAAAAGAGAGCTTGTGCACGGGAACTCCTCCTTATAAAACCATAAGATCTCTTGAGACTTACTATCATGAGAAGGGCACAGGAAAGACCCACCCCCATGATTAAATTACCTCCCACAGGGCCCCTCCCACGACACGTGGGAATTGTGGGAGCTACAATTCAAGATGAGATTTGGGTGGGGACACAGCCGAACCATATCACAGCCATAAAAAGAAAAGAAGCTCTGATGCATGCTATAACGTGGTTGTATCTCCAAAATATGCGAAATGAAAGAGGCCTGTCACAAAAGACTACACACTATATGATTCGTTTTATATGAAATGTCCAGAATAGAGAAGCCTATAGAGGCGGAGAGTAGATTAGTGATTTCCAGGGGCTGTGGGGAGGGAGGAATGAGGAGTGACTGCTAATGGGTACAGGATTTCTTTATAGGGTGAAGAAAACATTATAAAATTGAATGTGAGGATGGTTACACAGCTCTGTGAGGATGCTGAAAACCACTGACTTATACAATTTAAGTTATTGAATTTTATTAGGTGTGAATTATATATCAATAAAACTATTTCTAAATTTTTGAAATGACAAATTAAATTTTAGGTGGTCTGGAAAGCACAATGATATGTTTCTTCTCCTACTCAGGTGGCAATGCTAGGGGATGGTTAGATTTGACCATCCTTCTTTCCTTGCTCTGTCACCCAGGCTGGCTGGAGTGCAGTGCTGCTATCTCAGCTCACTCAACTTCCACCTCCAGAGTTCAAGCAATTCTCCTGCCTCAGCCTCCTGAGTAGCTGGGATTACGGGTGTGCACCACCGCACGTGGCTAGTTGTTGTATTTTTAGTAGAGACGGGATTTCGCCATGTTGGCCAGGCTGGTCTCGATCTCCTGACCTCAGGTGATCCACCTGCCTCAGCCTCCCAAAGTGCTGGGACTACAGGCGTGAGCCACCGTGCCCAGCCATCCTTCCTTTTTTAAGAGCCCATTTCTTTGGAAAATCTGGGCTTCTAGAACAATGCTGACTTATCACTGTCATGTTACTGTAAATACACAAAGCTACAAGCTCACATCAGATGATTTCAAAAGGTTCTTCTGTGCTGATGGTTATTTTTCTTAGCTCTCTTTCCTGCCATCAAATCCTTCTGCACAGCGAGTAAGTATTAAACGTCATTCTTTGGTTTAATCTTCATGATTTAATGGGAACATGGACAAACTGTTGCCAAAGAAAGTTGTTGGTTCTTTTTTTTTTTTAAGACGGATTCTCACTTTGTTGCCCAGGTTGGAGTGCAGTGGTGCGATCTCAGTGCACTGCAAGCTCCGCCTTCCGGGTTCACGCCATTCTCCTGCCTCAGCCTCCCGAGTAGCTGGGACTACAGGCGCCCGCCAACACGCCCAGCTAATTTTTTGTATGTTTAGTAGAGACAGGGTTTCACCGTGTCAGCCAGGATGGTCTCGATTTGCTGACCTCGTGATCCGCCCACCTCAGCCTCCCAAAGTGCTGGGATTACAGGCTGAGCCACTGCATCCGGCCGGTTCTTTTTTGTTTATTACAAATCACAACCCACCAGCGCTTCCTGAGATAATTACTCAAGGAAGATCTTGTCTACAGTTCTGGTAGAGCTCTACTTTGGGCTACAGAACAAACAAAACCCTGGCTTGTTCCAGACACAGTCATTACAGGACGTGAGTCAAAATCTCAGGTTACACATAATAGACTTTTAATATATATTAATGAGAGTATATGAGATGTCTTTGTAGAAAGAGATACAATAAAACCATGGATTCTTCTCATCAACAGCTGAATTGTCATTTCATGACCTCAACCTTCCAGTCCTCCGAATGGCTGATACTACTTAGTTTTGACCTAACAAACCCAAGGTTCTGCTTCTGAAAATGTCTATGTCCTGATATTCAAGAGCCTCGAAAAGGCTAATTGAACGACAGATAAAGAAAGCCATGTGTTGTAAATTGATACATAGTGGCGCTCTGAGAGTCCTTGAGATTCTTAGTTATTCTGTGCGATGGTTCCTACATTAGAAGTAATGGCGGCCGGGCGCGGTGGCTCACACCTGTAATCCCAGCACTTTGGGAGAACGAAGCAGGTGGATCATGAGGTCAGGAGTTCAAGACCAGCCTGACCAATATGGTGAAACCCTCTCTACTAAAAATACAAAAAAAAAATTAGCCGGGCGTGGTGGCGCACACCTGTAATCCCAGCTACTCAGGAGGCTGAGGCAGGAGAATTGCTTGAACCTGGGAGGCAAAGGTTGTGGTGAGCTGAGATCGCACCACTGCACTCCAGTCTGGGCAACAGAGTGAGACTCCGTCTCAAAAAAATAAAAATAAAAATAAATAAAAAGTAATGGCAAAATCCACAATTACTTTTGCCCCACCAACCTAATAGAATGGAAGCATGGCTCTCAAATGAAATTGCATTCTGGGTGGTAGATGAGTTGATCCCACAAGCAGCTATTATGGTTAATTCAGGCCTCAGTCACCTTTCAGCTAAATGACACGATGGCTTTCTAACTCCTCTTCCCTCGTTGCTCTTCTTAGACTGCTATTCAAGGCATCACAGCCTGGCCTTCTGCTGGTACATGGGGCAGAAGTGAAATGCCCCCCCCCCCCAGCCCCCGATGGAGCCCAGACGTAAGGGAAATTAGATTGCTCTCCAAGATATTTGGCTGGGCAGGTTGGCTTACTCCTGTAATCCCAGCACTTTGGGAGGCCAAGGTGGGCGGATCACCTGAGGTCAGGAGTTCCAGACCAGCCTGGTCAACATGGTGAAACCCCATGTCTATTAAAAAAACACAAAAAATTAGCCGGGTGTGGTGGTAGGCGTCTGTAGTCCCAGCTATTCAGGAGGCTGAGGCAGGAGAATCACTTGAACCCGAGAGGCAGAGGTTGCAGCGAGCCACTGCACTCCAGCCTGGGAGGCAGAGTGAAACTCTCTCTCAAAAAAAAAAAAAAAAAAAAAAAGATTGTTCTCCAAGATATTTTCTAAAATTCCTGGACAATGATGACATTAATGATTTGCAGGAGTAACCTGGGAATTTCAATGAAAGTGAGATCCAAGAGTTTGGAACATTCCTCTTCCACCCCCAACCCACCACCCTCAACCCAAGTTCCAATCAAAAAGTCTGGGTGGTGGTGTGCTGGTACATGTTTAACAACCGGCTCTTTGTGGAAGAAGTCCTGATTCACAGTGCTTGCCAATTTCCATGGTGTAACTACTCCCACCATGGCCAATCAAGCTACCCTCTTGACAAAACTGAATGAAGAGTTGGGGGCGACGTGTACCCTCAGTTCTCCTCAGCTGGCATGAGCTGGCTCCTGCACACTCCCGAGTCTCAAAAAGATGGGACTGCAATACCGGTGTAAATTAGTAGCAGAAACCCAATTAACCATATAGCCTATTGGAAGGAATTCTCTGCAAACTAAAAGACAGGTGATCATGGAAAAAAAAAAGGAAACAGAAAAACAAAGAGCCAAGTCCCCAGTGCCTGTATGGGCACTGTCCAGGAAGCGGGTGTCCTGCTCCAGGCCTCAAGCTGCCCCTCACAGAGGAACCAGCCCTCACGTCAGGCCGGCTGCATCAGACTGGAAGCTTCCAACTCTTTTTTTTTTTTTTTTTTAATCATAGCTTCCTGCAGCCGCGAACTCTACCCCCATAATCTGATTCTCTAACTCATGAAGTAACTTTCTGATTAGAACCTGATTTCCCTTGAAGAGTGGGTTTATCTGTCCAGAGGGGAGAAGGCATACTCTACTGCTCAAGTATTTTATTCTATTGAACAGTTTTACTCGCCATTCATTGTTTTGTTTGTATTTTGTTTTTTGTTTCTGAGAAGGAGTTTTGTTCTTGTCACCCAGGCTGGAGTGCAATGGCGCAATCTTGGCTCACTGCAACCTCTACCTCTTGAATTCAAGCGATTCTCCTGCCTCAGCCTCCTGAGTAGCTGGGATTACAGGTGCACACCACCATGCCTGGCTAATTTTTGTATTTTTAGTAGAGATGGAGTTTCACTATGTTGGCCAGGCTGGTCTCCAACTCCTGACCTCAGGTGATCTGCCTGCCTTGGCCTCCCAAAGTGCTGGGATTACAGGAGTGAACCACCGCGCCCAGCCTGGCTTATTCATTGTTAATGATAAACTGAATTTCAAAACTGGAATTCTGAAACTGCTCATAATCCACAATCTTTCATCCTGTCCTGACTGCTTTGGTAGCAGTAACTCCAGCACTCTCTGCTGCATCTTGAGAGAGCAAAAAACTCTGGGCAGCACTTCTGCTCTGGCTCTGAACTCCATGCACAAATCAGCAAACAACCTGAAGAGAGCAATGGCGATAGCCTGGCTGACCCGGTTGGTCTCTAATGCCTTCAAACAGGTGTTTTTGAAATATTATTCAGCTTTTGTGATGGGTCTCAGCAGGAAAGTTGGGTCTATATATTTTTTATTTTTTATTTACTTATTATTATTATTTTTTTAGACACAGGGTCTTGCTCTGTCATCAAGGCTGGAGTGCAATGGCGTGATCATAGCTCACTGCAGCCTCGAACTCCCTGACTCAAGCTATCCTCCCACCTCAGCCTCCTGAATAGCTACAACCACAGACACACACCACCATGCCTGGCTAATATTTTTAGGAAAGTTGGTCTATTCTCAAGTACTTGTCATAGCCAGAAGTAGAACCCTCTGAAAATATCCTTCTCCACCCCTGATGTTTTCTCCTATTTCAAGGTCTAGTTCAAATGACACGTCCATTTCAGTTTTCTCTGCCCAGGAGGAACTGCTTCCTGAAAAACAGCCTATGGTATCTACATTTTGCACTGCCCGAGTGAGTCAAAGAAAACTGCCATAGTGTGCTAAGACTTCTTCCAGCTGTGGGATGGTTTCTATTAGAATCCACAGGGAACGGGAAGGGGGATGAGGAAGCCTGGCAACGAGACCTGTCTTCAAAGTCAAGGTCCACAAAATGGGGTGGCCTCTGCCTTCCTGACATTTAACTGCTTGAAATTAGACTGTGACCCGTATCATTGCTGCCAGATGCCATAGGACACTGTGCTTCCCAACAGACATGGGATACATTAATTAAGACAGAAAGCGCTGTGCATTGAGAAGGCAGCTCCAGGGTGCTTTCCACATGCAGATGCTCTGAGGAGGCAAAAGAAATGACACCCAGGGATCAGAAGCGCAGCTGAGGAGCGGCTTTGTTAAAGACCATCTTTTGGATTAGCGGAAGGTAACAGCCTGACCACGACTCTCACCACTGGCTCTGCTGATGAACTTATTGTGAGAATTGCTATGCTTGCAAGAGGTCTAAATTGTCTTAGATTTTCAGACATAACATAAAGATGGGACAAAATCAAAACCCTGCTGGGCCTTTTTTTTTTAAAAAAAAAAAAAGGAAAAAAAAAAACCTCGAAGCATGAGAACCATTTTTTAAACATCTTAGAACAATCGGCAACTGGTAACCTTTTGCTTGAAATCCCTGGCTCTGACAAAGGCAATGAGCAGCTTTAAAGGATTCCGAAAACGAAAAGGCTGCCGGAGTCATTTCCATTCATTCTGATCTCGTTCTTTACTATTTTATACACTCTCATTTGGAAGCTTTTTAGCTGTCCTTTGTAGGTTTGTGAGAATGATTTGCAAAGCCTTGGAAACATTTAGCTCCTCTCCAACTCCTAATTCCCTAAGTAATTCTGTGGCGTGTTGTTCACGGGGCCTCTGGGTTTCCTCATCATCTCCGGGAGTTCTATGCACTGCCTGTGTCAGGGAGGCACACAAGAAGCTCTTGCTCTCTGTAAACAAGCGTCTTTGCTGTAGGAGGAATGAACTAAAGGCTGGTGGTGCTTTCCAGAAGGATGATGCAGTGAAATGCCAAACGCTGCTGGGACGCTTTCCACACTGACAGCATTCTCTTAGTTACTTAAAGAAACGAGGGAGGGTGACTATTCCTGGAAGTAACCAGGAGTGATGAGTAGCCTTCCCTTAAGGATAACAAAGTATGTCAATTGCCCCCTCACCCTCCCGCCACACCACACTGGGTTTTGCAGCAGTGGCTTCCTGCCTGGCCAGTGAGCCTGGTGTGGTAAGCAGCCTGTTCAGGCTGAAGACAACGGGCAAAACGCAGCTTCTCTGAGGCCATGAAACTGACCTTATCCCCTTCATTCAGACGATAGGTACTGGGTTACTTGAAAGAGCCATCGTATTGACCAATAATATAATGACAGAGACTTCCACAGAATATCTTTGATATGGTTGGGCTCTGTGTCCCCATCCAAATCTCATTTGAATTGTACTCTCATAATTTCCACATGTTGTGGGAGGGACCTGGTGGGAGATAATTGAATCGTGGTGGCAGGTCTTTGCAGTGCTGTTCTCATGATAGTGAATAAATCTCACAGCCGGGGACCGTGGCTCACGCCTGTAATCCCAACACTTTGGAAGGCCAAAGCAGGCAGATCACTTGAGGTCAGGAGTTCGAGTCCAGCTGGTCAACATGGTGGAACCACGTCTCCACTAAAAATACAAAAATTAGCTGGGCATGGTGGCGCATACCTGTAATCCCAGCTACTCAGGAGGCTGAGGCAGGAAAATGGCTTGAACCTGGGAGGCGGAGGTTTGCAGTGAGCCGAGATTGTGCCATCGTGTTCCAGCCTGAGCAACAGAGTGAGACTCCATCTCAAAAAAAAAAAAAAAAAAAATCCTCACAAGATCCGACGGCTTCCTAAGGCAGAGTTTCCCTGCACAAACTCTTTGCCTGCTGCCATCCACGTGAGATGTGACTTGCTCCTTCTTGCCTTCTGCCATGATTGTGAAGCTTCCCCAGCCACGTGGAACCTCTTTCTTTTGCAAATTGCTCACTCTCAGGTATGTCTTTATCAGCAGTGTGAAAATGGACTAATACAATCTTCTACTGGTTAAATCCATATACAGTTGAGCAATTCCAAGAGCATCCCTTTTACAGATCCCTTTTACGGATCATAAGAAACTTTAAGCAAAATTTCTTATGATCTGTAAAACTTGTTGTCTTAGTCAATCTGGGCTGCTATAAGAGTACCAGAGACTGGGTGGCCTAAACAACACATTGGTTTCTCAGAGTTCTGGAGGCTGGGAAGTCCAAGATCCAGATACCTACGGATTCAGTATCTGGGGAGGGCCCACTTCCTGGTTTGTAGACAGCCACATTCTTGCTGTGTCTCCACAAAGAGAGATAGAGAGAGCCAACTCTCTCCCATCTCTTGCTAAGGGCACTAATCCTATCCTGATGGCTTCATCTTTGTGACATAATTGCTTCCCAAATGCCCCATATCCTAATGCCATCACATTGGGGATTAAGGTTTCAACATATGAATTTGGGGTGGACAAACATTCAGTCCAAAGCACTTTTACTCAACCAAAGCATGCCCTTTAATATACAATAAGGAGTCAGTAAAAGATGCCTTTAAATTGCCAATTCAGCTCCCCAATCCACCTAAAGCATAGTTAAGTAGGAAACATCCAATTCGCCATACAGATTATGGAAACAAATGAGAGTTTATTATTAAGAGCAGTTATTCGGCCGGGCACGGTGGCTCATGCCTGTAATCCCAGCACTTTGGGAGGATGAGGCAGGCGGATCATGAGGTCAGGAGATCAAGACCAGCCTGGCTAACACAGTGAAACCCCGTCTCTACTAAAAATACAAAAAATTAGCCGGGTGTGGTGGCGGGTGCCTATAGTCCCAGCTACTCAAGAGGCTGAGGCAGGCAAATGGCATGAACCCGGGACACGGAGCAGCAGTTATTCACTACACAAAGCATTCCTAAGGAAATTTCCACCCTTGAAGTGTTTATATTCTAAGCTGGCAAAGGGAAGGAAAAAACATTGGTTCTTTTTTTTTTTTTTTTTCTCATTTCCTTGATACATAAATTGCACAGAAAGGAACAGGTTTTTTTGGGGGGGTGAGGAGATGGTCATAAAAGAAGGCTCAGAGATGAAGTGTGCCTCTCTGCAGCAAACAAGATGGAGAAGCTCTGCAAGATGTTTCTAGTCCTGCAAAATTGTGGTCAAGTTATCCTTGACACTCTTCCATTAAAAACACCTAAAATTATAGACTAAATATAAAAAGTATTATTTTAAATGCATGGCTGAGCTCATGAAAAAAATGAGAGGCCGGGCGCAGTGCCTCACGCCTGTAATCCCAGCACTTTGGGAGGCTAAGGCAGGAAGACCACCTGAGTTTCAGGAGTTCTAGGCCAGCCTGGACAATATGGTGAAACCCCATCTCTACTAAAAATACAAAAACCAGCCAGCCGTGGTGGCAGGCGCCTATTATCCCAGCTACTCAGGAGTCTCAGGCAGGCTTGAACCCAGGAGGCAGAGGTTGCAGTGAGCCAGGATTGCGCCACTGCACTCCAGCCTGGATGACAGAGTGAGACTCTGTCTCAAAAAGAAAAAAGAAACAGAACAATGGGATGTGTTAGCAGATCCTTGGTGGCCTACTAGCCAGATTCACAGGTCCAGCACCAAAGGGTGAAGACGGGAGCAGCACCACTCACTATTACCCCTAGTGACTCACTAGCAAAATTTTTGCTTCCTGTCCCCGCAGCTTTATGGTCTGCTGAGAGGTCTTAGTCCAAAGGAAGGAATGCTTCCTTCCATTAGAAGACACAAGAATGGTTCTATTGAATAGAAGTTAAGACTGCCCAGTCACTTTGGGCTCCTCATGCCACTGAATCAACAGGCAAAAAGGGAATTCTTGTGCTGGCTGGAGGGATTGATCCTGACTACCAAGGGGAAATTGGACCACTCGGCAGCAGAGGCAAGGAAGACAATATCTGGAATACAGGAGGTCCCTTAGGCTATTTTAGGATTACCATAACTTGTGATTAAAGTCAATGGAAAACAAAACAATCCAATCCAGGCAGGATTATGAAAGGCCCAGACCCCTTAGGAGTGAGGGTTTGGGCCACCCCACCAGGTAAAGAACCATGACCAGTGCTTGCTGAGGGCCATGGGAATGCAGAATGGGTAGTGGAAGAAGGCAGTTATGTGTGCCAGCCATGACCACATAACCAGTTACAGAAGCAAGGACTGTCATTGTCATGAGTATTTTCTTCTTTTCTCCAGAGAGAGATTTTATTTTAAGGAATTGGCTCCCATAATTGTGGGGGCTGGCGAATCCCAAATCTACAGGTTAGGCCAGCAGGCTGGAGACCCAGGATAGGGGTGATGTCTGCAGCCGGAGTTCAAAGAAAATGTGCTGGCAGAACTCCCTCTTCCTTCTGGGAGGTCAGTCTTTTTTTTTTTAGGCCTTCAACTGATGGGTGAGGCCCACCCACATTACCCACTTTACTCAAAATCCACAGATTTATTTATTTATTTATTTTTGAGACTGAATCTTACTCTGTCGCCCAGGCTGGAGTGCAAAGTTGTGATCTCTGTTCACTGCAACCTCCACTTCCTGGGCTCAAGCCATTCTCCTGCCTCAGCCTCCCGAGTAGCTAGGACTACAGGCACCTCCCACCACGCCCAGCTAATTTTTGTATTTTTAATAGAGACGAGGTTTTACCATGTTGGCCAGGCTGGTTTTGAACTCCTGACCTCAAATGATCTGCCCGCCTCAGCCTCCCAAAGTGCTGGGATTACAGGCGTAAGCCACCACTCCCGGCCCACAGATTTAAATGTTAATCTCATCTAAAAGCACTATCTCCACAGCACCATTTAGACTCGGGCTTAATTGAATATCTGGGTACTGCTGGCCAAGTTGACACATAACATTCATCACATGGCTGGATCATGAACATGCATAGCTTGGAGGAAAAGCCAACGGGGTGCACTGAGAGGAGAGAAGGAGATCTGAAAGAAGGAGAGATTTTGTCCCCACGCACCTGGAATTATGGGGATGCCATTAACCAAGATGGAAAGACTGCCAAGAAAGCAGACAAGGGAGGCAGAGTCAAAGGCGGAGATCAGGGGTTCAAACTTTTGAAGTCTGAGACATCTATTAGACATCCAAATATAGGTGCAGCTGGATATGTGAATCTGGAGTTCAGGGGAGAGACTCTGGCTGGAGATAAAAAGCTTATATCATCTTCTGCATGAGCCTTTTGTAAGATTTCCCACACAATTCCTAAATTAAAACAAATCATTTGTGCCCCAGTTTGGGATGTGGGAAATAACTATAATTAAAAATAGAGAGGGCTTAAAGTGTAGGGAGATGAGCTTTGCAGAGGAGGCTGCGGGCTAACCCAGGCTAGATGGTGAGGGTTGAGCAGGAAGCTGTCAGCTGAAGAGAGGCTGGAGGGAAAAGTTAATGAATCGCCTTGGCTCAAAAGATGAAAGTGATACTAAATCAGAATTGCCCTGGAAAATTGCTGCCACCCAGGCACACGGTATTGGCCAATTGTTTCTCGGAGACGTGGTTTGTGAACAAGAGCAAGAGCATGACGTCTCCATGACAAGCACAGCCCCCAGAGTCCTTTTTTCAGAGTTTTCATTCTAGTCCCGCAGTTCTAACCTAGGACAAGTCATTTCATTTCTCTGCACCTCCTTTCCTTCACGTTAAAATAGAATCACACTCCTGCCCACTTCCTGGGGTTGTTGTAAGAACTAAATGCTATGGCTGCATGGCCCAGAGTCCATGCTCCGTAAATACTAGCTCTGATCATGGTTATTTGTCTCTCCGACTTCTGTCTAATGCTGTAAGAGCATTAGATTCATAGCCACTTGTATCACCAGCTCACAGGTTAAGCAAGTGTCTGATGAGTTGAACTGAACAGGAAAGTAGCAACATCTCGTGGCATGAAGGAAAGGAATGTTGTTGCTTGAACTCGCCTGCACCTGCAAGCTTCCTTGCCTCTTGCCCTCCTGGGTTAACGCTTCTGCCTGTGCCTTGGGTCCCAGACCCTCCCACCTTCTCAAGAACTGCACTCTTTCTATTATGCCTGTCAGGCCTCTGAGCCCAAGCTAAGCCATCATATCCCCTGTGACCTGCACGTATACATCCAGATGGCCTGAAGCAACTGAAGATCCACAAAAGAAGTGAAAATAGCCTTACCTGATGACATTCCACCATTGTGATTTGTTCCTGCCCCACCCTGATACGGTATATTCTCCCCCGCCCTTAAGAAGGTACTTTATACGCCTATCCCAAACGTCTAAGAACTAATGATAGGCTGGGCGCGGTGGCTCACGCTGGTAATCCCGGCACTTTGGGAGGCCGAGGCGGGCGGATCACGAGGTCAGGAGATCGAGACCATCCCGGCTAACAAGATGAAACCCCGCCTCTACTAAAAGTACAAAAAATTAGCCGGGCATGGTGGCGGGCACCTGTAGTCCCAGCTACTCGGGAACCTGAGGCAGGACAAAGGCGTGAACCCGAGACAACTAATGATAATCCCACCACCCTTTGCTGACTCTCTTTTCGGACTCAGCCCGCCTGTTCCCAGGTGAAATAAACAGCCTTGTTGCTCACACAAAGCCTGTTGGTGGTCTCTTCACACGGACGCGCGTGACACTCTTTTCCTTTTCTCTGACCTCTCCTTAGATCCTTCCCCTCTGCATTTTAACATGCCCAGGGGTTTCCCACTTAAAGAAACAAAAATGAAACTACTCACCCTTTCACCCCACGGCCCCCTCCAGTTTTCTTCCAGTTTCTAAACTTCTGTTCTCAGCCAAACTTTTTTTTTTTCTGGATAGATGTGATAATGAGGTTTTAATGATTTTTTTTTTTTTTTGAGACGGAATTTCACTCTTGTCACCCAGGCTGGAGTGCAATGGCATAATCTTGGCTCACTGCAACCTCTGCCTCCCGGGTTCAAGTGATTTTCCTGCCTCAGCCTCCCGAGTAGCTGGGATTACAGGCGTGTGCCACCGCACCCAGCTAATTTTTGTATTTTTTTTTAGTAGAGACGGGTTTTCACCATGTTGGGCAGGCTGGTCTTGAATTCCTGACCTCAGGTGATCTGCCCATCTCAGCCTCTGAAAGTGTTGGGATTACAGGTGTGAGCCACTGCGCCCAGCTGGTTTTAATAATTAAGATTTCCTGCTTAAGCAGAATATGATCAGAAGTAAAAAAAAAAAAAAAAACAAAAAAACAAAAAAACAATTTTTTCCCCTCAGGTTTTGAACAATTGGAAAGCATAAAGATAAAGACAGTCTTGAAAAAATTTAAGGAATGAGTTTAAGGTTCTAATTTTCAACCTTCATTGTTCATCCTAGATTTTTGTTTGTTTACTTTAAGTTCTGAGATACATATGCAGAATGTGCAGGTTTGTTACATGGGTATACACGTGCCTTGGTGGTTTGCTGCACCTATCAACCTGTCATCTAGATTTTAAGCCCTGCATGTATTAGCTATTTGTCCTAATGCTCTCCCTCCCCTTGCCCCCACCCCCACACACCCGGTGTGTCTGCATTTCCAAACTTCTGCAAAGTTGTTTACCCATGCTTTCTACAGTTCCCCTTGTCCTCACTTCCCCATTCATTGCAACAGGCTTCAGCCCAACCCTCCCTTCTGCACATGGCTTTCTCCAGGGTCACCAATGACCAATTTTTTTTTTCCTAAATCCAACAGATATTGTATAATCTTCATCTTACTTGCCCTTTCAGCAACATTTGGGACCCCCTAACCATTCCCTTTCTTGAAACACTAAACGCCTTCTCCTAGTTCTCTTCCTTTATCTTCAGTTGACCATCCTCACCCTCAGTCTCCCTGGCTGGCTTACCATTCTCCAGTGACTTTTTTTTTTTTTTTTCTGGAGATAGGGTCTGGCTGTATCACCCAGGCTGGAGTGTAGTGGGGTGATCTTGGCTCACTGCAACCTCCGCCTCCTGGGTTCAAGCTTCAGCCTCTCGAGTAGCTGGGACTACAGACATGCACCATCACATCCAGGTAATTTTTGTATTTTTTAGTAGAGACAGGGTTTCACCATGTTGGCCAGGCTGGTCTTGAACTCCTGGCCTCAAGTGATCCAACCACCTCGGCCTCCCAAAGTGCTGGGATTACAGATGTGAGCTACTGCTCCTGGCCTGAACCTGGCTTTGAATACAAATGAGCATATGTGTATGTGTCTGAGAGAGTGGCAGACTCGGGGGAAGCAGGCTGAGTGAAAAGGGACAAAGGAGGCCAGAGGGAAGAAGGAGAAGCAGAGAGGGGAGCACCAAGTATCTACCCACCACCTGGAATCTTCCGGATCCTGCGTGGCCCTGGAAATGACCTGCCTATGGCTTCAGACACGGCGACTTTAGGATGCCATCATAACACCCTCATTTTGGCAGACCTCCTGGGCCTTAAAGCTTCACCATCTCACTCAAAATTCACGGTGGCTTTTCCAAGCTAGCTTTCATTTGCCTTGAGATTGTCAGAATTACCTAGTGCCTCCCATTTTTCTTGCCTCCTCGCTCATCAATGCCAGTATTGCTTTCATACCCTAAGGACTGCTGTCTTTTAGCATCTTCTCTTTCATAATGAGTTAACTACAAATACACACCCCTCGGGATCAGAAAAGTAATGTGGCCTACAAGGAGTGTAAAAGCATTTGTAAACTTTATTTGTAAACCATATACATTTTAAAAAGAAAGTCAAATATTTTCTTTTTTTTTTTTTTTTGAGACAAAGTCTTGCTCTGTCGCCCAGGCGGTAGTACAGTGGCACTATCTTGGCTCACTGCAACCTCTGCCCCCCCAGGTTCAAGTGATTCTCCCTGCCTCAGCCTCCCAAGTAGCTGGGATTACAGGTGCCCACCACCATGCCCGGCTAATTTTTGTATTTTTAGTAGAGATAGGGTTTCGCCATGTTGGCCAGGCTGGTCTCGAACTCTTAGACTCAAGTGATCCACCCAACTCAGGCCCCCAAAGTGCTGCGATTACAGGTGTGTGCCACCATGCCCGGCCAAATATTTTCTTAAAAAGTAGGATCTAAAGTAATTCAAGGGCTGGGCATGGTGGCTCATGCCTGTAATCCCAGCAATTTGGGAGGCTGAGGTGGGCAGATCACGTGAGATCAGGAGTTCGAGACCAGCCTGGCCAATGTGGCAAAACCCCGTCTCTACTAAAAATACAGAAATTAGCTGGGCATGGTGGTGGGCGCCCATAATCCCAGCTACTCAGGAGGCTGAGGCAGGAGAATCGTTTGAACCCAGCAGGAGGAGGTTGCAGTGAGCTGAGATCGCACCACTGCACTCCAGCCTGGGTGACACAGCAACACTCTGTCTCCAAAAAATAAATAAATAAATAAATAAAATAAAGTAATTCAGGCAGAATTTTAAAATAAAGCCTTCTCCAATTTTTTCTGAGCAAGGAAAAAGAAGGAAATAAATCAGTATTTGTTGGGGGTGTACAAAATGCCCAGAACTGCGCTAGCCCCACCTTCTGTCTCAGTGGTGTGTGGTCTTCCCAGCAATGCTTAGAAAGAGAGAACGGTGTCCTCATTTCACAGATGGGGAAATAATAAGGGCTCAGGAAGGTGACATACTTCTAATAAAACTGAAATCTGAGCTGAGCTTGGTCTGACTTTTACAAGTGCATTGGACTTTTTCCACTCTAGGAAAACTTCCTCAGCTCTAACTTCCAGGTAGACTCGGGTTAATAAATGTCATGTCACAGAAAGTTCTAGCAAAGCCCATGGCTTCACAAAGCAGATGGTTTGATATGAACTTAATGTTTTTGTCTAGAATTATCCTTCATAAATGTAGGAAAGGCAAAGACAGCCCTTCACCTTCTGGTAAAACACAGGCCTCAATTTCTCCTGCTCCCTCCATCTTAACCTCTTCATTGAGGAAAAAATAATGCTAAGTGACTCTTGTCCAACATGAGTTTAGTGGTCAAAGGCAGAGTAGAAATTACTTAGATGAGGCTCATAGTAACACTATACCCATGATAACAGCCATATTATTCAGGATAAAGTCCAGGCAGCTAAAACAGAGAGACTCTAAAAGACAGTGACTCACAGAAAGTCCTTATCATATAACAGTCCCAAAGTCGGGACAGTGAGAGGGCTCATGACGTCACTCAAGGACCCAGGCCCTTTCCACCTTGTTGCTCTGCCAGACTGCAGAGTACTGTTTTCGCCCCATGGTCAAAGCTGGGTGGGAGCACATGCACATTCCAGCTTGTGAGAAGAGGAAAGAGCACCGCTGCAGGACCAGGGCTCATCTTCCATGCCCAGGGCTCATTTTCCATGCTGGGGACGACCTAGAAGTTGCACCATCATCACTGCACACGTTCTGTGCTTGGCCACAAGGCCGCACTAGCAACAAAGCAGACAAGAAGTGTAGTCTCTCCCTGGGCCCAATGGCAATTCTGTTCCTGTGGAAGAAGGGGAGACCAGATTTTAGTGTCCAACTATTAATTGCAACCTGCCACAATAACAACCATAGTTTACATCTGTACTTTGCTTTACAGTTAATCAAATACTTTCATACCCTCCAAGCCACCTAATCTAACAACAAACCTTTGAGTAGGCAACATTTCTCTCATGTTATACATGAGAAAACAGTACCAAATGCATTAAGGAAATAGGGTAAGGCATAGGTTGGAGTTTTAAATGCTCAGTGGGAATGCACCCCCTGTGGTGACTAAATATTGGTAGAACCCAAAAGAAAAGCTTGTTCAGTTTGTTCCAGACAGTATTTATTAAGCAAGTACTAAGAACCTAGGAACTGAGAAAACAGAATGACAAGACAGGGTCCTTGCCCCTAAAGATTTCACAACAGTTGAGGAGAGCAAAACGGTGCTTGTAGTATATAGGCATGCCTTGGAGATATTGTGAGCTTTGCAGGTTCAGTTCTAGAATAAAGCAAGTATCTCGATAAAGCAAGTCACACAAACTGTTTGGTTTCCCAGTACGTGTAAAATTTATGCTTACACTATACAGTAGTCTATTAAGTGTGCAATAGCATTATGTCTAAAACAATGTACATACTTTAAGATTAGATTTTTTTTGTTTGAGACAGAGTCTCACTCTGTCGCCCAGGCTAGAGTGCAATGGCCTGGTCTCGGCTCACTGCAACCTCCGCCTCCTGGGTTCAAGCGATTCTCCTGCCTCAGCCTCCCAAGTAGCTGGGATTACAGGCGCCCACCACCATGCCTGGCTAATTTTTTATATTTTTAGTAGAGATGGGGTTTCTCCATGTTGGCCAGGCCGGTCTCAAACTCCTGACCTCAAGTGATCCGCCTGCCTCAGCCTCCCAAAGTGCTGGGATTACAGGCATGAGCCACCACACCTGGCCAACAATATTCACTTGTATCTCTTCCTCCTGCATTGCTTAGCATGTGGGAAGTTTGCAAAAATGCTTGCTGAACCAAACTGAATATTGTATTTTAAAATTTGCCCATGTGTTGTCATGATGTAGACACATTGTAGACTTTGCTATTGTTCAAATGTTGTCTTATTTGATGAATACAAATACAAAGGGTTTGGCTGAGAACTTGAGCTCTGGTATCAGGTAGGCCTGGGTCTGAGCCTCAGATTCTCCACTAACTAACTGTGGCACAATGTAATCTCTCTAAAAAGCAACATAATTAGATTTGCATGCTCAGATGAGATAAATGCCCACCTGGAATTCCCTGCCCAGCTGAATGTCAATAAAAGAATGACGGAGAGAAGAGTTTGTTTTTCTTAATAGGACTAAAAGAATACCACTGTAAAGATTCTCATTGAAATAAATTCTATAGTATTTATTTCAGAAAGAAAACATTTAAAAGAGAAAAATGTAGGAAACAACGGTGAACAATAATGGGTAACTACGTAGGCAAATCTAAATAAGTATTGACTGTATAAAAACAACAGCAAATTGTAACTAATTTGAATATAAAAATGAGTTGGAAGTAAAATAATGAATAATAATAACATATAATTCTTACTCTGAGCAGGGCAACAGGGGAAAAGTGACATACAAGACATAAAATGACATATTGAGTCCAAACAGGTGTTTGGATTATAGCATTTTAAACTCTTGGCATTATCCAAGACTACAGTAGAGATATTGATTAATTTCAGATAAGTCGAAAATGAATGTTAAATATGCAAATTTTAAAAACTTCTACCCGTGGGATGGGGTAGTTGAGAAGTGGGTATAATGAAAACTCAGACAAAACAGAAAACAAGAAGAGTCTTTTTTAATCAAATAAAAAAAAATAAACATGAAAATTAGAAAGTACAATGTTAGACAGTATCTATAGTCACAATGATAGCAAACAAAGTTTCCACTACAAAACACAGAATCACAGAGGAGACACAGACAAGACAAATTAATCTATATAATACTGAAAGAAACACACCCAAAGCCGAAGTATCTAGAAACACTGAAACTGAAAGAAGCAGGGCGTAGGGGGAGAAATAGGTTTACCTAGTTCTATTTTACCAGAAGAATATGAACCAAAAAAGAAAGCTTGTATAGTTATTTTATTCTCAGAAAAAAATGGAAAGACAGAAAGTATTATCAGAAATAAGAGGCTATAATAAAAGGAACATTTCCCCACAAAAGTATAAAAATTCTGAACCTGTTTTCAACTTAACAACATAATCTCAAAACATAACCAAAAATGGACAGAATTACAAGGAGAAATTGGTAAATCCGCATCAAAGTCGAAGAACGTATCATTTTCCCAAGAACATTTACAAATATTGGTCACATACTAAGCTATAATGTCAAACTCAACAAATACCAAAAATTGATATAATAAAAACCAATTTCTCAAATCCAATTTAATAAAAATAGAAATCATTAACAGAAAATAAGTCTAACATGTCCATGCGATTGGAAAGTTAAAAAATAAACTCCAATATAACTCATGGGTCAAAGAAAAACTCAGCAACTATCATTTAGGACAAAATAATATTTTTGAATATCCCCTCAATGGTGCCACTCTACCCGCTCCTGACCAATGCTGTTAGACAACACACACAAACACACATTCACAGACACTGTACTGGGAATAGAGAAACAAAATTGTCATTATTTGCAGAAGACTCCAATAACAAAAAAAAAAAAAAAAAAAAATGAAAGAAGATCAAAGACAAGGCATAAGAAGAAAAGAATTTAATTAGGCTGCAGGATATAAGATGAATATACAAAAATCAATTGTGTGCCTATATGCCCACAACAAATGGCTGAAAACTGTCACTTTTAAAGAATACAAAGTATTTAAGGTACCTAGGAATGTATCAAACAAAAGATGTATAACATCTTTATGTTGAAAATTATAACACTTCTTGAATGACAAAAATGGATGAGAAAACCTCCCATTTAGAGGAAAATTCTCTCAAAACTAATATTAAATATTAAGCGCAGTTTCACACAAAATCTCAACAGGGTTTTTTTGAAGAACTTGTAAACTGATTCCAAAATGTATATGAAAGAGCAAAAAGTCAAGTACAACTAAGAACATTTTAAACAATGTGAGACTTCCTTTGCCAGTTATCAAAACTTACCATGAAGCTATTAAATTTAAGATATTGATACTGAGATAAATATATGGTGAATGAGACTAGAGTGCACTGGGGAGCAATGGGAGTCGGCTTTTTAAGGGATACAAAATTACAACTAGCAACTAGACAGGAGGAAGAAGTTCTAGGGTTCTGTGTCAATGTAGCATAACTGTAGTTAACAATAAGATATTACATAGTCTCAAATAGCTAGAAGGAGAATATTGAATGCTCTCAACACAAAGAAATAATCAATGTTGGAGATAATGAATGTGCTGTTAGCTCTGATCACTATACATTATACATCTCAAAACATGACTCTGTGCCCCATAAATATGTACATTATATGTCAATTAAAAAATTAAATTTGAAAAGGAGAGTAGCAAACAAACTCATGCATATATGAAAACACAATATATGATAATATATGATAGCTGTTATTACAAAAGGAAAAGGATTTAATAAATGGGGCTCCACACAGCTTGTTTTCCATATGAAAAAAAACCGAACTGCTTTCTAATACTATTCGCAAAATACTATTCACAAAAATAAATCCTAGGTGGATTAAAGACCTAAAAGCAAAACTTGAAATCAAAGGAAACAGAAAGACAAGAAAAATAGCAAAACTTGAAATAGAAGAATAGAACAAAAACTGAATATTCTTATGTTCTCAAGGATAAGAAAGGTCTGAACAGGCAAAACACATCAACTATAAGGGAAAGGTTGGTAAGTTTGATTATATAAACAAATGAAAACTTTGTTACAACCAAAGTCACTGTTGCTGGGATAAAAGTCAGCCTATAGAGCAGGAGACATTCACAATACATATAACTGACTAAGGATTCATTTCCAAAACATATAAAGAATGTCTATAAGGAATAAAGGCCAGGTGTGGTAGCTCATACCTGTAATCCTAGCACTTTGGGAGGCCCAGACTGGAGAACGGCTTGCGGCCAGGAATTCGAGACCAACCTGGCCAACATAGTGAGACCTCGTCTCTATTAAAAAAAAAAAAAAATCTTTAAAAAAATTATACATACATACATACCATATATATGATATATATCATATATGTATATATATGATATATATCATATATATATAAGATATATACCACATAACTAATACATAATATATGTATATATAATAATCCATATATGTCTATATAATAAGGGCCAAAAACTCCAGTAGAAAAATTGGGGAAAATTTAAATAAGCATTTGACAGAAGAAGGAACAAAAGACCAAGAAAATCAACCTCATCGGTAATCAAGGAAATGCAAATGAAAATGATGAGGTTCTCTTTTATACCTAGGAGAAAGGAAAAACTTAAATTGAACACAATGAAGTTTCCAGGGAGGCTGGGCACAGTGACTCACGCCTGTAATCCCAGCACTTTGGGAGGCCGAGGTGGGCGGATCACTTGAGGTCAGGAGTTCGAGACCAGCCTGGACAACATGGTGAAACCTCATCTCTACTAAAATAAAAAAATTTGCTGGGCGTGGTGGCATGCACCTGTAATTCCAGCTACTCGGGAGGCTGAGGCGGGAGAATCGCTTGAACCCAGCAGGCGGAGGTTGCAGTGAGCCGCGAATACACCACTGCACTTTAGCCTGGGCGACAGAGCCAGACTCTGTCAAAAAAAAAAAAAAAAAAGTTTGGGAGGAAATGTGGAGTAAAAAACCCTCGCACATACTGACAGGGTCATACAAACACTTGGGGTAACCATTTGGACAGAGTTGGTAGGTGAAGATGCTGGTACCACATAACCAAGGAACTCTACCGTAGGTATATACCCAAACACTTCCGCAAGGATGTATGTACAAGAAAACACTCGCTGCAACATTAGTAGTGATGGCAAAGATTTAAAAATAGATAAACTCTGTTGCACTTATTTGGTGGACCACGATTCATAGCTGTGATGAGGAGTGCCTGGCATACAAGCACTATATAAGTGTTTGATGACATCATCATTGTCACTGTCATCATCAGCATAGATAAACCTCAAGAGCTGAAGTTCAGTATAAAAAAAAAATCAACAGAAAGTTGTACAGGGTGTGTTATTACTGGTATAAAGTTCATGTAGTTTAAAATCGTTTTGCCAATGTTGTAAGGCATACTTATGGATAGACACATGTGTAAATAATATAAACTACGAAAACCTGCCTGGGAATAAAAATCATGAAACTCGGGATGACGTTCATCGGGGAGGGCAAAGGAGGGAAATGAAGTCAGGGAGTGCAGGAAGGGCTCCATTTGTATTTGCAGTTTTATTTCTAAAGCTGGAAAGACAGTATATGGAAACTCCTTATCTTACTCCCCACGTGTCTTGTCTTTTTTTTTTTGCAGGCAGGATCTTGCTTTGTCATCCAAGCTGGAGTGCAGTGGCACAATCTCAGCTCTCTGCAGCCTCGACCTTCCCAGGCTCAGGTGATCCTCCCACCTTGGCCTCCCAAGTAGCTGGGACTACAGGCGTGTGCCACCACACCCAGCTAATTTTTGTATTTTTTTTTTGTAGAGGTTTATGTTGCCCAGGTTGGTCTCGAACTCCTGGGCTCAAAAGATCTGCCTGCCTCAGCCTCCCAAAATGCAGGGATTACAGGGGAAAGCCACCACGCTCAGCCCTCCGTATGTCTTTATGTACTCAATATTTCATATTTTAAAAAGAAGTCTGGTAATGCCATGTGCCAGTGAGGATTTTCAGGAAAAGAAACTCATACTGCTGCTGGGAATATAAATTGGAATAGCCATTTTGGGGAGCGAAGTTTGAATGTCTGTCCTGGGACCCAGCAATCCGACTTCCAGGAGCCTATGCTAGAGAGGTCTCCTGCATGCGGGCACAAAGACATTGATAAGGATGGTTAACCAACCACTGTTTATAAAAACAAATAGAAACAATTGTTTCTAAATGTCCATCAATAACAGCTGACATTTAGTAAGTGCTTGCCACACACCAGTGGTTGTATAGGGGGATGAACACATAGAAATAAAACGGATAAACAGAATAGCCTACTATTACTATTAAAATGATAAAGAGGACATAAATATATCAAATATGATAAACCTCCAAAAATGTGTTAAAATGGTGAAAAACAGGTACACGCAGTATAAATTTTAAAATCATAAACTGATATCAAATAATGCCACTCATAAAAACATAGAGGGCCAGGTGCTGTGGCTCACGCCTGTAATCCTAGCATTTTGGGAGGCTGAGGTGGGTGGATCACTTGAGGTCAGTCATTTGAAACCAGCCTGGCCAACATGGTGAAACTCCGTCTCTACTAAAAATACAAAAATTTGCCGGGCTTGGTGGCAGACACCTGTAATCTCAGCTACTTGGGAGGCTGAAGCAGGAGAATCCCTTGAACCCAGGAGGTGGAAGTTGCAGTGAGCCGAGATTGCACCACTGCACTCCAGCCTGGGTGATAGAGCGAGACTCTGTCTCAAACAAACAAACAAATAAATAAATAAATGGGGGAAGAAGTTTTGAGAGTCTCTGACCTATGAGGCTGCAAGCACCCTGGGGTATACATTTACTTGACAGCAGTTACCTCTGAGGAAGGAAGGAGAAGAGGAGACAGTGGGCTGTACACTGCAATGTTATGTTTCTTAAAAAAAAAAAAAAAAAAAATCTGGGCCAGGTGCAGTGGCTGATGCCTGTAATCCCACCACTTTGGGAGGCCCAGGAATTCCTGAGGTCAGGAGTTCAAGACTAGCCTGGGCAACATGGCGAAACCTATCTCTACTAAAAATACAAAAATTACCCGGGTGTGGTGGTGGGCACCTGTAATCCTGGCTACTCGGGAATCTGAGGCAGGAGAATTGCTTGAACCTGGGAGGCGGAGGTTGCAGTGAGCTGAGATTGCACCACTGCACTTCAGCCTGGGTGGCAGAGCGAGACTTCATCTCAAAAAAAAAAAAAAAAAAAAACTGAAGTAAATATGGTAAAATATTAACATTTGTTCAGTCTGAATGGTGAATACGCAGGTGTATTAAATTCTTTTGTATTTTTCCATATGCTTGAGATATTTTATGTCTGATTTAAGGAAAAAAGAAAAGTCACCTCCTTTGAGAATGTAAAAAAAGAAAAAAGAAATGAAAAACCCCCAACTCTAAATCGTTCTTTGATTCAAAGGGAATCAAGTTGCTCATTTCCAGTAATGACAGGCAAGCTAGGACTGACCCAACCACTGAAAACATCTAAAAATCTGGATTAAACAAACATCCCATTAGTATTCTATGTGTTAGAAGCAAGTCACAGATCCTGGAGTTACACAGGGCATGAGTAACAGGGGACAGGGATCAGAGCAACCATGTAGCTGGCTGTCCCCACACAACCGCTAAGAACATTGAGACTAAAAAGAAGCTGTACCCAGAGAGGTAGGGAGAGTGTCTCAGAGCACAAGCCATTTGTGCAATGAGGATGTTTTCTAATACACTGGACTTGTGGTCCTGTTCCATGGCCCTCAGGCCAGAATGACAGAGATCAGAACCCAGGACCCACCTGCCTGGGTGGGTATCACATGGAAGACGCTGCCCATATTGGTTTGGGGCAGCACGACAAATACAAAAATACAAGCCAGATTTTCACACACACACACACACACACACACACACACACGCGCGCGCGCGCGCGCGCGCATGCGCTACTGGGAATGCAGAGACCGAAGCCTTGAGACTAAGGAATGAAACTGAAGTTCAAAAAAGAAAATAAGCAGCCTTTGGGAGAATGTGGCCACGGGCCAGCCCTCAGGTGGACTGGCATCCAGGGCACTTGTAGCATTTTTGGGCCAAGGACTCCTGAAACTTTAACTTGGCTAGAGTTATCATCTGATGGTGCCCCTAAGAATCTAGCAGACGAAGAGACGGGAAGGTCCTTCCCAGGCCTCAGGGAACCCACACAAATAATTCCTCCAGGGTAACGGCAAAACGCCAAAGATATTAGGCACTTAAAACAATATGATAACATGCCGGGCGTGGTGGTTCACGCCTGTAATCCCAGCACTTTGGGAGGCTAAAGTGGGCAAATCACGAGGTCAGGAGTTTTACACCAGCCTGGCCAACATGGTGAAACCCCGTCTCTACTAAAAAATAGAAAAATTAGCTGGGCGTGGTGGCGGGCGCCTATAATCCTAGCTACTCAGGAGGGTGAGGCAGGAGAATCGTTTGAACCTGGGAGGCAGGGGTTGTAGTGAGCCGAGGTCGCACCATTGCACACCAGCCTGGGTGACAGGGCGAGATTTTGTCTCAAAAAAAAAAAAAAGGAATATGACAACATGAAGAAAGGCCAAGAAAAACCACAAACAAGACAAATAGAGCTGCACAGGCTTTAGAAACTGGAATTATCAAGGCTACTTTTAAAAACAATTATGAGCTGGGCATGGTGGCTCACGACTGTAATTCTGACACTTTGGGAGGCCAAGGCTGGTGGCTTGCTTGAGCTTGGGAGTTCAAGACCAGCCTGAATGACATGGCAAGACCCTGTCTCTATAAAATATTTTTGAAAATTAGCTGGGCGTGGTGTAGTCCCAGCAACTTGGGAGGCTAAACTGGGAAGACTGTATGAGCCCAGGAGGTTGAGGCTGCAGTGAGCCATGTTCATGCCACTGCAGTCCATCCTGGGCAACAGAGCAAGAACCCTATCTCAAATAAATAAATAAATAAAAACAATTATGCTTACCACGTTAAATGAAACAAATGACAAACTTAAAAATATTTTCAGGGAGCATGAAACTAAAATGTGAAAAAAACATATTTGAAAAAGAGCCAAACAGGATTCCTAAAAATGAAAAATAGGATATCCCAAATTTCAAATTCTATGGACTATTAGTGGCAGACTGGACACAGTCAAGGAGAGAATTAATGAACTGAAAGTCAATGCAGAAGAAATTATCCAGAATGCAGCCTGGAGAAGACAGAAAATACTGAGGAAAGGGTAAGAGATGTGTGGGATACAGTAAGGAGGTCTAATGTATTTGCTCAAAGTCCCAGAAAGAGAGAACTGGGAAAACCAAGCAGAGGAAACAACAGAAGAGATAACGCTGTGAGTTTCACCAGTCTGACCACTTATCCACAGATTTGAGAGCCCAGTACATCTCAAACAAGATAAACAAAAAGAAACTGTCATCTAATATATCATAGTGAAATTGCAAAAAAAAAAAATCAAATAAAAAAGTTGTAAAAGTGTGTATGGAGGGGATGCCCTTCAAAGAAGCATTGACTGCTTTTCCATAGATTGATTTTCCACAGCAGTGAGAGAGATCAGAAGACAGTGTAAGAAAGCATCTCAAAGAAAAGAACTGCCAAGAAAATTTTCAAGAATTAAAATAAGAATAGTTTCAACAAACAAAATTGAGAGTCTGTATCAGTAGATCCTCACTGAATGCAATACTACAAATTGTGCTTCAGGCATTAGAAAAGAGTTCCCAGTTAGAAGTTCTAAGATGAAAAAAAAGAAGTAATAAATGTGTGGGCAACTATAAATAAACATTGATCATATAAAGAATAATCATGTCTACTAAGGTTATAAAAAATGACAATACCAGACAATAGTAACATATGATTAAGAGATGATATAAGGAATAGTAGGTAGGATTTTAACAGGTAGAGATGACAGAGAGAAACATTCTGGGTAGAAACAGAAGCTTGAACAAAGAAATAGTGGTAACAACAACATAGAGAATAAGCAGTCCAGTCTGACTGAAACAGGGCAAATGAAAAGAACCTGGTGAGCAGCGCTGTATTAGGAAGGATGTGAGGACTTGGTCTTTAATGACTTGTGCATCTGGGGCTCATAGGGGTAATTGCAGACTCTTGGTTAATGTCACGGGACTCCCAAAGTCTTAGAAAACAGATAAAACTGATGTGGTTCCTGTCCTCAATAAGCTTTTAGAAGCACAAATGAAGGAACACCAGAGATCTTCACAGTTTATCCCTCCAACACAACTGGTAGTTCTGAAATGAACCTCTAACAAACAGCATGTTGGAAAATTACAAAGAATACTTATTTCCTTAATCTGCTTTCAAGTCCCATGGTAGTTTTTTCTTAATAACAGCTTTGTTGAGATATAATTCACAAACCATAAAATTCATCCTTCAAAGTGCACAATTTAGTGGATTTTAATGCATTCACAGAATTGTGCAATAATCAACCACTATCAAGTGTTATATTTTTATCACTCCAAAGAGAAATCCATACTCCTTAACAGTTGCTTCCCATTCCCCCCTCCCTGCAGCCCTTAGCAACCACTACTCTACTTCCTATCTCCATGCATTTCTGTATAATGGCTATTTCATATAAACAAAGTCATACAATATGTGGTCTCCCGTGACTGGTCTTCTGTTCTTTCACTTAGCATGTTTTCAAGGTAGATCCAAGTTGCAGGATGTATTAATACTTCATTCTACTTATTGCAAATAATATTCCATTGTATGAACATGCCATATTTTATGTATCCACTCATTCATTTATGGATATTTTGGTATTTCTACTTTCTGGTAATTATGAATAATTCTATAAACATTTGCGTAAAAGTTTTTCTATGGGCATGTTTTCAACTTTTTTGGGTGTATACCTAGGCATGGCATTCCTGGGTGATATGATAACTCTGTTTTTTAACATTTTGAGGAGCTACCAAACTGTCTCCCAAAGTGGCTACACCATTTTTTATTCCCCCCAACAATGTATGAGGGTTCTAATTTCTCTACATCATCAACACTTGTTGTCTGTTTTATTATATCCACATAGTGGGTGTGAAATGATATCTCTCTGCAGTCTTGATTTGCATTTCCCTGCTAATGATGTTGAACATCTTTCATATGCTTATTGGCCATTTGTATATCTTCTTTAAAGAAGTGTCTATTCAGGTAGTTTGCCCATTTTTACTGGGCTTTTTGTCTTTTTTATTGTTGAGTTATACACTTTTTTTTTTTTTTAAAGAGACAGAGTCTCAATTGGTCACCTAGGCTGGAGTGCAGTGGCACAATCATAGCTCATTGCAGCCCCGAACTCCTGGGCTCAAGTGATCCTCCTGCCTCAGCCTCCCAAGTAGCTGGGCTGACTTTTCATATTTTGTAGAGAGGGGGTCTCACTACGTTGTCCAGCCTGGTTTCAAACTCCCGGCCTCAAGTAATCCTCCCACCTCAGCCTCCCAAAGTGTTTGTACTACAGGTGTGAGCCACCACTCCTGGTCCCAACATGTCCTTTATATATATGTATACATATATATTATATATATATATATCCCTTATCAGATATATGATTTGCAAATATTTTCTCTCATTCTTTTGGTTATCTTTTCACTTTCTTGAATGGTATCTTAAGAAGTACAAAAGTTTTGAGTTTTGATGAAGTCTAATTCATTTTTTCTTTTATTGCTTGTGCTTTTGGTGTTATAAGTAAGAGATCATAACCTAATTCAAGGCAATGAAGATCTATGCCTATGCTTTCTTCTAAGACGTCTATGATTCTAGCTCTTACATTTAATTGATTCATTTGAGTTAATTTTTGTATATGGTGGGAGGTGGGGGCTCAACTTCATTGTTTCTCCTGTGGATATCCAGTTGTCCCAGCATCATTTGTTGAAAAGTCTATTCTTTCCCATTGAAATCTTGCCTTTTATTTCTTTTTCTTGTCTAATTGTCCTGGCTACAAATCCCAGTACAGTGTTGCAGAGAAGTAACAAGAGTGCCCTTCCTTGTCTTGTTCTTGATCTTAGGGTGAAAACACTCAGTATACTGTTCTTTTTGAGTTTTTCATACCTTTTATCAAGTTGATAAAATTCCCTTCTATTATTAGTTTGCTGTCTGTTTTTATCATGAAAAGCTGTTAGTTTTTTTATCAAATGCTTTTTCTGCATCAATTGAGATAATCATATAGTTTTTTCCCTTTATTCTATTAATGTGGTGTATGATATTGATTTTTATATGTTGAAGTACGCTTGCATTCCCAAGACAAATCTCACTTGGTCAGGGTATATACAGTCATGTGCTGCATAACAGCGTTATATATGATGGTGCTCACTTGAGATTATAATACTTTACTTTTACTGCACCTTTTCTATGTTTAAATACACAAATACTTACCGCTGTATTACAGTTGCCTGCAGTATTCAATGCAGCAACATGTACAGGTTTGTAGCCTAGGAGCATAGGCTATACCACACAGACTAGGTGTGTAGTAGGCTATCCAGCTAGGTTTGTGTAAGTATACTCTAGGACGTCTACACAACAACAAAATTGCCTAATGATGCATTTCTCAGAAAGTTTCCTCCTCATAAGTGACAAATATCTGCAATTCTTTTAATATGCTGCTGAATTCAGTTTGCTAGTATTTTCTCGAGAATTTTTACATCTATGTTCATAAGGAATATTGGTCTACAGTTTTCTTGCACTGCCTTTGTCTAGCTTTGGTGTCATGGTAATGCTAGTCTCATAGAATGAGTTAGGAAGCGTTTTCTTCTCTTGTTTTTTGGAAGTTTGAGAAGATTGGTGTTAATTCTTTAAATGTTAGGTAGAATTCACCAGTGACACCATCTGGTCCTCGACTTTTCTTTGTTGGGAGGGTTTTGGGGTTTTTTTAAATTACTAACCCAATCTCCTTACTTGTTAAAAATCTATTCAGATTTTCTAATTCTTCTCAAGGTTTGGTAATTTTATCTTTCTGGGAATTTGCCCATTTCATCTAGGTTATACAATTTGTTGGCATAAAATTATTCATAATATTCCCTTATAGCCCTTCTTAATCTTAAGGGCATTTGTGATGCCCTCTTTCATTTCTGACTTTAGTAACCTGAGTCTTTTTTTCTTGGTCAGTCTAACTAAAAAGCTTGAAAAGAACAAAGGAGTAACTTTTGATTTTTCTCTATTCTATTTCTATTCTGTATTGCCACTAAAATCCGTGATTTTTTCTCTTCTGCTTGCTTTGGCTTTAGCTTGCTTTACTCCTCGCTGCCCCTCCCCACCCCCCCACCCCTTTTTCTTTTACTTTCTTAAAAGGTAAAAGATTTTAGATTTGGTTATTGGCCTGAGCCCTCACTCTTTTTTTTTTTTTTTTTTTTTTTTTTTTTTTTTTTTTTTAGTCTCACTCTATGGCCCAGACTGGAGTGCAATGGTGTGACCACAGCTCATGGCAGCTTCCAACTCCTGGGCTCAAGTGATCCTCCTGCCTCAGCCTTGCAAGTCCCTGGGATTATAGGCACAAGACATTGTGACTGAGATCTCTTATTAATATAAATTTCCTTCTAAGCTCTGCATTTATTGCTTCCCGTAAGTTTTGGTGTTATGTCTTCACTTTAATTCATTCCAAATATTTTCTAATTTCCCTTGTGATTTTCTTTAACCATTCATTATTTATGAGTTTGTTGTTTAATTTCCATATCTGTGAATTTCCCAACTTTCCTTCTGTTAATAATTTCTCATTTAATTCCCTTGTGAGGGGAGAGCATACTTTGTATGATTTCAATCCTTTTAATTTTATAAGGCTTGTTTTATGGCCTAATACATGGCCTATCTTTGAAAATGTTTTACGGGCACTTGTGAAGAGTATGTATTCTGATGTTCTTGGGTGGAATGTTCTCTAGGTGTCTATAAGGTCTAGTTGCTTTATAGTGTTAAGTCTTCTATTTCCTTGTTGATCGTCTGCCTGGTAGTTTTATCTATTATTGAAAAGTGGGTATTGCATTTCTCCCTTTAGTTGTTGCTTTTTATTTCATGTATCTTGCTTGGTCTTGTTGCTTTTATGGAATTGTTGATTTTCTCAGGTCTTTATCCACTATTCCAGAAGTGCTCCTACCCTCGACATCTGATTTGGAGCTTAGAGAATGTGTAAGCTTTTCAGTTAGAATCAATCTTGTTTTATAATATCTTCTAGGCCACAATATCAAGGTTCATACACTGTACAATGATCATATTCATTTTTTCCAGAATTTTCATTTAACAGATCTTAGCATCAGTGACATGTATGAAGAGTAAGGTAAACTTGAAGATAAAAACTAATATACTAATGCCCTCTTAGGTTTTTTTGTGTAGTAATTATAGGCACCGTATCTCCGATATCCTCAAACATTACATTTCTCCCAGGCTGTATATTTCACCTGAAAATCATAATCATGAAACTATACAGCTGTCAGGATTTTATCTCCACCTAGAATCTATGTAGATGCCAACCCAGTGTACCCTAATATACTCAAGGTCTCTAAATTATTGGTAGAAACGGTCCCTGACTTACAATGAATTGACTTAAGATTTTTCAACTTTACAAAGATGCAAAAGCAGTACCCATTCAGTAGACGCCATACCTTGAGTAATTATACAACTATTCTGTGTTTCCCTTTCAGTACAGTACTCAATAAACTGCATGAGATATTCAGCATTTTAATATAAGCTGTGTGTTAGATGATTTTGCCCAACTGTATGCCAACGTAAATGTTCTGAGCAAGTTTTAGGTAGGCTAGGCTAAGCTATGAAGTTCAGTAGGTCAGGTGTAGTAAATGCATTTTAGGTTTATAATAGTTTCAACTTATGATGAGGGACATAACCTCATCGTAAGCTGAGAAGCATCTATACCCGGCCTTATATATTAGGTATTTCACTTAGATTATTTTGGTTTCTTAAGTGCACACCTGAACATTACTCCTTTCTTTGAAGGTTGGTTTTTCACTACAAAACCAACCTAAAATAAAATCTAAATTGGGATTTCATTAGTCTCTATGATATAGAACTTTACTCAGTAGCTTATCCTCTAGTCTGTATTTATAAAAAAGCTCTAAGTTGTTCTTTTCATATCAAGTTTATCCAATTGTAAATACTAAAAACTTGTTTTGCATTCAGCAGTCTGTGTTTGTCAAGTGTGAGTTTTGCTGGCAAAAAATTCTGAGCCTAAAGCTTAAAACAATTATGAAAATAGTTAAGCTGAGTCAGAGACTGAGTGGCTTATTGCTATTATAAACATCTGAAACGTAATATGTTCTTCTGGAAGATTCCAATGAGAGTGATTGTAATATCCTTGCCTAATACAACTTGGTGCAAGGACTCTGCATATATAATTATGTAGATAATATAATCCTAGAGTATCTTATTCCACGTGTGTTCATGGTTGTCAATATTTGATTCTACCTTTTATTCAAAATATTCTTTTTATTCAAATAGAATTATTTGCCAATAGCTCATATCAATATAGAGACTGGTGTTCACTAACAATTGAGACTTAATTTTTTCCAAATCAGCTTAAATCATGATTGACCATGTGTTATAGGCTGAACTGTGTCCCCCCAAAATTCATATATTGAAGCCCTAATCCCCAGTGTGACTTCATTTGGAGATAGGACCAATAAGGAAGTAATTAAGGTTAAATTAGATCATAAGGGTAGGGCCTTGACCACATGTGGGATTACTGTCCTTATAAGAAGAGACACCAGAGAGCCCTCTCTCCCTCCCCCTGGCCTGACCTCTGTCTTCACATATGCATTGAGGAAAGACGTGAGAACATAGCTAGAAGGCAGCTCTCTACATGCCAGGAACAGACTCCTCACTAGAAACCAACTCTGCTGGGCTTTGATCTGGAACTTCCAGCATCCAGAACTGTAAGAAAATAAATGTTCGTTGTTTAAACTACTCAGCCTGTGATATTGTATTAATAATGGCAGTCTGAGCAAACTAATACACCATGTTTGGCTCTAGAGGTACAAAAATGAATCAGACCTAAGTCCTATACTTTAGGAGCACACTGTCTAATGAGGAGACACTTTCATGAAAATACAATGCCATAAAAAACTTCTAACTCAGCCTGGGAGCCCTGGAAGGCTCCCCAGAGCACACATTTGACTAAGGTTTTCAAAGAAGTCCAACTAGGAGAAGAAACAGCAATCCAGGCAGAGAGAATCCTCAGGAAGGACTCGGAGGCATTCAAAGGCAGGATGTATTCAGTGAACACTGAGAGGTCAGCGGGCATAGAAGGTGTGAGGGACTGTCAGGACAGAAGGCTGAGTAAACGGACCAGGGCAAGATGTCTATGAAGGGCCCTGAGAGCCAATATATAAGAAAACGGTTATTAAACAAAATGTTAGTACTAGGGCTGTCACAGCAAACTACCATAGACCTAGTGGCTAAATAACAGAAATTTCTTTTCTCACAGTTCTGGTGGCCAGAAGTCCAAGATCAAAGTGTCAGCAGGGTGGTTCCTTCTAAGGCCTCCCTCCTCGGCTTGCCGACGCCTCCTCACATGGTCTTCCCTCTGTCCACGCATCTACATCCAAATTCACTCTTCTTAAGAAGACAGGATTCATACTGGGTTAGCGCTCACCCTAATGACTTTATTTTAACGTAATTACCTTTTTAAGGACCCTGTCTCCAAATGCAATCCCATTCTGAGGTACAGGGATTAGGACTTCAAAAGATGAATTTTGGGGGGACACAACCCAGACTCTAGCAAACAACTACCACATGCATAACACAAGTTAAGTTTAAAACATTCACCTCTAGAGAAGTGATTCCTTTTGGACAACTTTTATACTTTTACCCAATGAACTCCCAGGCTTTTAAAGATTTCATCTGCCAAACTGCATTTATTAGCTTACAACTTCATCATTTTTTTTATTTTTTTAAATCAAAGACAAAATGTCAATCAAATTTCATCAGCAGGAAACATCTAGAATGATCATACTGAGTTGAAAAAAATGCCAACCAAGAGAAAAAGCTGACATTCTAATTAAAATGTGAAAACCCGTTGTGGGATAAACATGTGACCAGTGATAAACTTTCTGAAGAAGACCTCCTGAAGCGCACACACCTACAGCTGCATCCTGTGCGTGTCTGTATTACAGCTCTCAGCATACCGTATTGAAATTCTGTTTCTATGACTGGAGCCCGTCCCACACTCTGAATTTCCTATAGATAGGGACCATGTCTCACTCATTTTTACATCTCTAGCAGTGTCCCTGTGATAAGCTGTAATGAAGCCATTACTACCTCTTCGTAATCCCCAGAGACCAGAGGAGCCCAAAGCTGAAAAACACTGCTCGAGGATCTTAAATGTAAATGGGAAGATCACACATGTGTACATATACTCGTGTTCATGTACACACAAACTCCTACTTTAAATGCCAAGACAATGCACATGAAGAGGGCTCAGAAGAATGATACCGGTGGTGCCAGAGGATTCTGAGGAGGAGCTGATCAAAAGCTGGAGCACTCAGGGAAGACTTACTGGAGAAGGTGAGATGGGCTTTGGAAGATAAAGTAGAATTTGGATAAACAAAGAAGAGGGAGAAGGCATTCCAGTGAAAAAAATGACATGAGAAAATTCAGGGACGGAAAGGAAACATTTCATGCTTTTCAGCAATTAAAGATTTTTTTTTTTTTTTTTTTTTGAGACAGAGTCTCGCTTTATCACCCAGGCTGGCATGGCCTAGGGATAGGCCCAATTGTAGTAGGTTAAATAATGACCACCCAAAGATATCAAGTCTTAATCCCAGGAATTTGGAAATGTTACCTTATTTGAAAAAGAGGTCTCTGCAAATGTGACTTGATCAAGGATCTGCAGATGAGAACACACTGAATTAGCTGGGTGGGTCCTAAATGCCATCACAGTGTCTTTTCAAGACAGAGGCAAAGGAAGGTAAGGAGACATGGAGAAGATGATGTGAAGGTGGGGGCAGAGACTGGAGTTTCGCAGCCACACGCTCAGGAATGCTGGGGCAGCCACCAGAAGCTGGAAGAGGCAAGGAAACTACTATAGGGCAAAGTATAAAAAAACACCAATTTATTATTTTATCATTTTGAATCTTATTAGTTTGGCTTTTCTTTGAGGGGGATGAAGCCTCACTCTGTTGCCCAAGCTGGAATGCACTGGCGCGATCTCAGCTCACTGCAACCTCCACCTCCTGGGTTCAAGTGATTCTCCTGCTTCAGCCTCCCAAGTAGCTGGGATTATAGGCGCCCGCCACCACGCCCAGCTAATTTTTGTATTTTTAGTAGAGATGGGGTTTCACCATTTTGGCCAGGCTGGTCTCGAACTCCTGACCTCAGGTGATCTGCCCGCCTTGGCCTCCCAAAATGCTGGGATTACAGGCGTGAGCCACCGCACTCAGCTTTTATTGTCTTGAATTTCTTAACCAGGGCATTCTTTCCCCATACCAGGATACTTGGGAAATGTAATTATTAATGTTTCTAATGTGGTATTATTTTGCTATACAAAGGTCCTGGGCTCAAATACATTTGTGAAAATATTAAATAGTTCAAACAGCTTTATGTCATAACTTCTTGGCTCCTATGATGATGTGCTTGTGAAGCTCTAAGACTGGGGAGATACGACACCCCGAGCCTATTTAACCATGGAATACTTTTACTTCAGAGCATTTCTCAGCACTGGCATTCCATTGGCTATTTTTTGATAAATGCTGAACTGCAGCAAAGAAAGGAATCGTCTTGAAGAGATTTCACTCAGACCAGGAAGCAGCCTAATAATGAAACGTCCATGACCCACTGAACAGAACACTTCAGTAGTAACCAAAATCTTTCGTCTCTAGGCTCCTCATCTCTTTCACCTGGACAGGGATGGATTCATATGGCAAAATATTCTTTTCCAAACCCAGTTTATCTGGTTTTTATTAACAACACCTTCTTCTGATGGCTATTTTTTTTTTTTTTGGAGCAACAGAGTCTCACTCTATTGCCCAAGCTGGAGTCAATGGTGCGATCACAGCTCTCTGCAGCCTCCAACTCCTGGGCTCAGACAATCTTCCCACCTTAGCCTCCCTAGTAGCTAGAACTACAGGCATGTGCTACCATGTGCAGCTATTTTTTTTTATTTTTGCAGAGATGGCGTTTTGCTTAGTTGCCTAAGCTGGTTTCAAACATCTAGCCTCAAGCAATCCTGCTGCCTTGGCCTCCCAAAGGAATTATTTTCTTAAATTTGTTTTTATCATTAGTTAAGCCAGATAGATTTCCCTAATCAACTGGACTTTATTTAGTGGCTACTGAGGCTGCTCTAACAAGTTACCACAAACTTGGTGGCTTAAAACAAGAGAAATTTATTCTCTCACAGCTCTGGAGGGTAAAGTTGAAAATCCAGCAGGGCCACGCTCCCTCCAAAGGCTCTAGGGAGAATCTTTCCTCGCTTCTTCCAGTGTCTGGTGACTCCAGGTGTTCCTTGGCTTATGGCTGCATACCTCCATTCTCTTGCTGTCTTCCCATGGCTGCCTGCTCTTCCTCCCTTAAGAACACCTGTCCCTGCATTTAGTGTCCACCTGGAAAATCCAGGATCATCTCAAGTTCCTTAATTACATCTATAAAGACCCTTTTTCCAAATAAGGTTACATTCACCAGTTGAGTGGGTTAGGATGCTGACATATCTTTTGAGGGCCACTAACTATTCAACCCACTACAACCCTGAAAGAGGTATTAGTGTCGGTCTGCCACCAAGCTCATCTCTGGGTAATTACAAAAGTTTAGACCTGCAAAGTTGAGGGCCAGATCGCAGCCAGTAAACTCATCTGGTAGTACCTTTCTGCTTCACCATGAACCATCCCCATCACCTCGCTCAACCAAACAGCAGAAGTCATTATTTCCATTTTACAGACAGACAAACTGAGGTTCCATGAATGTGAGTAAAACCTCCAAGGGCACAGAACTAATCAGTGACAGAACTGGAATTCAGACTTGAGTCTTTATGACTGTGAAATCACACTCTCAACTCCATCTCACTGTCTTCTGCATTCCTTCTAGGACTATTCGTCTTATCTACTTCTGAGTCACACAAAACACACATAACAGACAACAAACAATATGAGACTTTTCCAGATGTGTCAAATGTTTTATATCCTGTTTTCCCATTTCTAGTCTTAACACCCCTGGCTCCTTCAGCCTTCACTTAGATGACATGGCTTGTCCCCTTCCCTTTTCAGTCACATTCTCTAAATCTGTTGCACTTAGTCTGTATGCTTCTTGAAAGAATGTTTCCCAGAGCAGACTAATTATAAACACCAATTTTTATTTAGTATTTATGTGCCAGGCTCTGTTTAAAGCATTTCAATTGTATTACTTGAATCTTCAGTAATCCCATTAGCTAGGTTACTATTATTATTCTCCATTTTGGAGATGAGGAGACACAGAAGTATCCTGCTCAAAGTCACAATGCTAGGATGTGAAAGACAGTATTAAAATGCAAGCAGCCAATCTCCAGGGCCCTGCATGCTTAGCCTCTACCCTCTATGCTGCCTCTCCTTGTGCCTACTACAAGTTTGGTCTCAACTGCTGGGAGTAGAAAAAGGCCATTTTCCTCCTTCTAAATAGTATTCAATTAATGCCACCTAAGATCATATCATGGTCGTATCGCATATGGGCATCTGGACATTGCTAAATGTGCGCCCAGCACTGATTCCCTTCCTCTTCCTTCTCAAAAGGATCTCAATTTTGTTCACGTATCTATCCTTCCCCCTCCTGAATTAGGGGATGGCGAATTAGTGGAACCATCCTCAGTGTCAGGGGTACAGCTTGACTGGCCTAAGACCTATTCTTAGACTGAAGTTGACCCAAAGAGAACTGAAGGAACACTGACAATTTTCAGAGGGACTCGTACCTCTGTGTGTTAGTTAGCTTGGACTGCTTTAACAAAACACCATAGACTGATGGCTTAAGCAACAGTTTATTTTCTCACAGTCCTGGAGGCTGGCAAGTCAGTTCCTGGTAGTATGCAGATGGCCAGCTTCTGGCTGTGTTTTCACATGCCATATGACATCATTTAACCTTAATTACTTTCTTACTCTAAATTCAATCACACTAGGAGTTAGGGTTTCAACATACGAATTCGTGGGGGACACAATTCAGTCCACAGCATCCTGTAATGTTCTATGACGTAAGCAAGAAGTCAGATGTGTTTGCCTTCTACTCCTGCATTCTCTGAGAAGGAATCCCAGTCCCAGACTCTTGAACTCTAATTTCACTGAATAGAAGCAATTAACTAGGCTCTGAGGCAGAGGAAGAAAGAGGACCTGGGATGAAGACTGAAAGGTCACTGATGGCTGGGGAGAGGGAAGAAAGTCTGAAAGGAGAGGCTCAGGCAAGGCAGATTCAATTCCGATAGGCAACTTAGAGAAAAATCTTGCCCCTGACCCAAGAAGCTGATGCATCTAACACTAAGACCTCTTTCCCAGTAGAAGTCTGTACTGTCCATCCTTTCAACCACTAATGGTAAAACCAGGGCAGTATGCCTTTTTAAACTGTACCCTGAAGGTCAGAAATATACTGATTTCAGAAATGTCAAAGGTACATTTTTTAATCACAGAAATGGGGTATTTCCAATCCCAGCTTTAACTTGGTAAAGCCTTTCCTATTACCCTGCTATGGGCTCAGTTTTATTTCCCTCAAATTCTTATGTTGAAGACCTAACCCCCAGTACCTCAAAAAGTGACTACATTTGGAGAAAGGGCCTCGGAAGTAACTAAATTAAAATGAGGCAGTTAGAAATCCAGGGACTGGTGTTTTTTGTTTGTCTGTCTTTGAGACGGAGTTTTGCTCTTGTCGCCCAGGCTGGAATGCAATGTCACAATCTCGGCTCACTGCAACCTCTGCCTCCTGGGTTCAGGCGATTCTCCTGCCTCAGCCTTCCAAGTAGCTGGGACTACAGACGTGTACCACCATGCCCAGCTAATTTTTGTATTTTTAGCAGAGATGAGGTTTCACTGTGTTGGCCAGGCTGGTCTCGAACTCCTAACCTCAAGTGATCTGCCTGCCTCGGCCTCCCAAAGTGTTGGGATTACAGGCGCGAGCCACTGCGTCCGGCTTTATTTGTTTTTGAGATGGAGTCTTGCTCTGTTGCCCAGGCTGGAGTGCAGTGGTATGATCTCAGCTCACTGCAACCTCACCCTCCCCAGGTTCAAGCAATTCTCCTGCCTTTGCCTCCCAAGTAGCTGGGACCACAGGAGTGAGCTACCACTCCTGGCTAATTTTTGTATTTTCAGTAGAGACGGGGTTTTAACATACTGGTCCAGCTGGTCTCAAACTCCTGACCTCAAGTGATCCTCCTGTCTCAGCCTCCCAAAGTGTGGGGATTACAAGTGTGAGCCACCGTGCCCAGCCTGACTGGTGTTTGTATAAGGGATTAGAGACACAGACAAAATAGAGAGGGAAGACCATGAAGACACGGGGAGAAAGTGACCATCTAAAAGCCAAGGAGAGTCCTCAGAAGAAATTAACCCTGCTGACACCTTGATCTTGGATATCCAGACTCCAGGACGGTGAGGAAATCAATCTTTTGTTTAAACCACTCAGTCTGTGCTACATTGCTACAACAGCACAAGCAGACTAACACAGGCCCCAGTCTGAAATGGTCTCTCCCCTCCCTTCTCTCAGCTACCATTGGAACTTCATTTGGTATTTAATCAAGCACTGCTTCAATGTTATCTCGCCCACTAATATCTCACACAGTAAAACTGCTTACTACTTTTTTCCCATCCATTTTTTCTCCTGTCTCCCCAACCAGGTCCTTCACAAAGTCTATGAGTATAGGCTTTGCCTTACAAAATATACATCTTGAAATCTTTTGATGGCTGAGCCCTCCAGGCAGAAACCACCTGCTGCCAGGCCATGGGATGTGCTGGGGGCCAGCCGAAAAGGTCTGCTAAAGTCACAAAACTGAGAAAAAGTATGTGAAAGAGGGTGGAGACGGACAGGAGGAAAGAACTAAGTACAAGAGAGGGCCAGACACAAAGGGTAAAGCAGCAAGTAGGTCAACACAGTGAAAGCAATGACAGAGCATGTACAGGCAGACTGAGACCTGGTTTGGTACAAATCTCAAAGAGAGGGTCTTCCAGTCGTCACTGGTAAACTCAGCTCTTTCCCCACTTTGTATCGATTTACGCAGAGGACATTCAACTGTAAACGGTAACCAGGTTTTAGTCGCTGGCCAGGGAAGGGGCTCTTAACTCTAAATGCCCCTTCTCCCCAAACACTAGAAGGCATGGAGTTTTTAGGACTAGGTGTGGGACAGGAGAGGAATGTTAGCATGTGCAAAGTGAGACTCTAAATGTGCACACACAATTCATAAACATACGTCTTCATACATCACATGTACACAAAATGGTGGAGACTTTCTTTTAGGAGAAGGAATTTTAGCATTATAACGACATGATAATGATCTGAAGCCAACCAGGGGTTGCCTATCCTGTTCCGCTCTGCAGTCTTATCTTCCTCTGGTATCTGATAAGGGGTCAGGAAGCTCTGGCACCATCCTGGGGCCATCTGGTTTCTTTAAGCAGTTGTGCCTATAAAGGGACTGAAGAAAAATAGTAAGAAAAAGGAGATTTTCCAGTTATTTCATCCAGCACCCTCCCCCCACCTCTCCACCTCTATAAAACCCATCCATCCTAGGAGGTCATTTAGCTCCAAGATGTGAATGTTTAATCGCTTCTGCTTGCATCGATTTCTCCCTCCTCGGAATGCAGAACAATTTTTGCCCCATCATCATTGACTGGTGACATCTCTTGATGGTTTTATTATTTAATTGGCTAATTTTGTTCTCAGAAAAAAGATACGCTTTTATAAGCCACAGTATCTTTAAGTTTTTTTACGTACTATATATTGTTACTTTTTTAGTGACCATAAAGCCTCAAGAAAAAATAAATAACAGCATTAGAAAACTTAGCCATTACTTTTAATCCTTCTGCACTGAAGCCTAAAATATGAAAAAATGTGAAAAATAGAAGTTGTGAAAGTTTCTGAGTGTCCAGCAGATTGGAATCTCTAGGACAAAATAAGTCATGTGCTCTGCCCAAAGTCTCGAGGCAATCCAGTTGAATCCCAGTTTAGTTAAGTCTTTCTTAAAGAGCCAAATGTGTTCATATTGAAAGAGATTCAGTCTAGAATCTATGAATGGGGACAGGGAGTCCCTGACCTCTGGCCAACATTTCAAAAAGCCTACTGGAAATCATAAATCTAACTCATAATAAAACTGCTCTGGCTAAAACACAGCTCTTTGCTTTTAGCCAGAGTTACAGGAACTCAGCTCAATATTAGTGGCGGTCTAGAAGCCAAAACCGCCGAATGTCAGTCACACTTTTTTGTTTTTGTTCTTTTAAGCCTCAGTGGGGGTGAAAGTTATATTTTTGATCAGTTAAAAAAAAAATGAAACTGAATTCCCATTTCACAAATATTTTACTTGTGTTGAAACAAGGTCTTGCTCTGTCGCCCAGGCTGGAGTGCAGTGGTGCAATCACAGCTCACTACAACCTCGACCTCTCGGGGTTAAGCAATCCTCCCACGTCAGCCCTCCCAAGTAGCTAGAACCACCACGTGCCACCACGCCCAGCTAATTTAAACAGTTTTCGTAGAGATAGGGTTTTGCCATGTTGCCAAGGCTGGTCTCAAACTCCTGGGGTCAAGCGATCTGCCTACGTTGGCCTCCCAAAGTGCTGGGATTACAGGCGTGAGCCACCATGCCCGGCCTGTTTTTTAAAAATTTTCCATTTTTGTTTTTTGACGAGACGAGGTCTCATTATGTTGCTCAGTCTGGTCTCCAACTCCTGGGCTCAAGCAATCCTCCTGCCTTGGTCTCCCAAAGTGTTGGGATTACAGGTGTGAGCCACTACACCTGGCCAAAATATTTTACAGTAAAATATTTTAAAACAAGAATTAGAAAAATATTAGCATTAGAAAAAAATGAAAATCTTTTGAGCTGTTTAGGGGAGAAAGCTCCAAGGAACTTAAAAACAAGTGATACTGTCTTATTTAACAGTCCATTTACTCAGCCCCATACTGTGTGCTTTACCTAAGTGTTCACACTTAATCTGTACAACCAAATGAAGGTACATAATACACCCTCGCTTTACAGATGAGGAAACTTGAGCTCAGAGCTCAGTTTGTCCAAGGCTGCCAAGCTGGTAAGTGATACGGCCAGGAGATTAACTCCAAAGCCCCACTGCCAGGCAGATAACAGAACATTTCCTGTTTTCATTCCTTAACATTAGGAGCAAAGTGTAGTTCTGTAGGCTTCCTGTTGGGTGTTTTCTGGTAAATCGTAACAGGAATGACTCCAGGTCGAGGTTTAAGCCTACCTAAAATGAAGGCCAGAACACAGCTAGAACACAGCAATATTATCTTGCCATTTTCTTTGCTAGGTTAAACTGGGCTTGAATGATCTGAGACATTTATGACCTGATCACTGTGGCAAAACTGATACAAAGCTGGCTCCTGGCATGGACCTCTAACAGCAGAAAGAAAGGCAGGATCACATCACCATGGACTCATTTGGAATCAGGTAAAGTAGGTAAACTGACATGTCTGGGTATTTATTTACTGAACATGATGACAATGACCCAGCCTAACAACCATCACAGTCCTTTGGCTCTCAGGGGTTAAGCAAATTGAAAGGGATTTTTGAAAGGCAGAGTATAGGAAAAAAGGGCTAACACCTTTGGAGGAGTATTTCATAACATGAGACTTGAGCTTCATTAAAAGGAAGTAGCCAAATTCAATGGAGGTAGATGTCTGCGTGCAAAGTGCCTCCATTCTTCTGAGTTATAGCCAGTTTAAAGTTGTCATTTTAGCCAGCAATGAAATCCATCCAGTAAGGCGCAAGACAGCTACAGTGCTATCATATACATAAATCTTTTTTATTTGCATTAGAAAGGCATCAGTTATTTCAATGCTACAATGTGTAATTAAGTAAATGTGTTAATCATTTGGCTTACCCTTACAATACTGTATTATTCCAAGAATGAAAGTTCTGATTTTAACTAAGCCACAATTCAATGTTGAGTACAAGAAAGTCTACCTCTACCTAAGCTGCCTCTATCCCTGACATGGTCACAACCTAGAGATCAAGCAGCCAGTTTGTCAGAGGCATTGGAACCAGAGCAATTCCATCTTGAAGAGGCAGTAGGTAAAATCAGGCAGAGACCTGTTGGCTGCATTCTTAGTAGTCACAAGATGTTTAGGGTTACAGGAACAGATTAATAACGTTCACTAAACAAACCCAGGACTTAACAGACCCAGGAAACATTTTGATGTCGCTGTATCTGTTAGTCCAAACTGCACCATTTTCTTTCTTTCTTTTTTTTTTTTTTTTGAGATGGAGTCTCGCTCTGTTGCCCAGGCGGGAGTGCAGTGGGGCAATCTCAGCTCACTGCAAGCTCCGCCTCCTGGGTTCACGCCATTCTCCTGCCTCAGCCTCCTGAGTAGCTGGGACTACAGGCACCCGCTACCACGCCCGGCTAATTTTTTGTATTTTTAGTAGAGATAGGGTTTCACCATGTTGGCCAGGATGGTCTCGATCTCTTGACCTTGTGATCCACCCGCCTCAGCCTCCCAAAGTGCTGGGATTACAGGCGTGAGCCACCACGCCCTGCCAAACTGCACCATTTTCTAAGCCCCCCGCCATTTCGCAGACACTGGTCAAAGCGAAACATTCCACGGGGGTTCAGGCCGTGAGAAATTTCCTGCCCAACTTTCTTACCAAACCCTGTTGGGTAAAGGCCCAATTGAAGGAACATCCCTATCAAACCTTGCTCAGCAAAGGTGCAAGGAACATCACTGTCACTTTCTGAGGGAACAAGGGCCAAACTGCCTGATCATAGAACGTTTTATGGATAGATATACTGGTAAGTATATTCACATGGCAAGCCATACTGCCCATTCCCCTCCTGCCCTATAAGTACCCCAGCCTGTAAGCAGCAGTGGGCTCTGGCATTAAGCTGATCCCCCATCTCTGTAGGTTTTTGCCATATACCTGTGTTGCTGTTGAGCTGCCCTTTGTTTTTTTTTTTTTTTTTTTTTTTTTTTGAGACGCAGTCTCACTGTATTACCCAGCCTGGAGTGCAATGGCGTGATTTTGGCTCGCTGCAACCTCTGCCTCGCGGGTTCAAGTGATTCTCCTGCTTCAGCCTCCCAAGTAGCTGAGATTACAGGCATGTGCCACCACGCCCCGCTAATTTTTGTATTTTTAGTAGAGATGAGGTTTCACCATGTTGGTCGGGCTGGTCTCCCACTCCTGACCTCAGGTGATGCACCCGCCTCGGCCTCCCAAAGTGCTGGGATTACAGGCGTGAGCCACAGCGCCCGACCTGTGTGTCATTCTTTAACTCTCGTCTTCCCTTCAAAACCTAACAATATCTTAAGATCAAAAGCATTCTTCATTTAGGTTTCGCTTTAAAGATAATATAGATCTTTGCCAAAGTCAGTAAACAAAGATGAACAATCCTTGTGTCAGGCCTCTGAGCCCAAGCCAAGCCATCGCATCCCCTGTGACTTGTACGTATACGCCCAGATGGCCTGAAGTAACTGAAGAATCACAAAAGAAGTGAAAAGGCCCTGCCCCACCTTAACTGATGACATTCCACCATCGTGATTTGTTCCTGCCCAACCTTAACTAAGTGATTAACCCTGTGAATTTCCTTCTCCTGGCTCAGAAGCTCCCCCACTGAGCACCTTGTGACCCCCCACCCCTGCCCACCAGAGAACAACCCCCTTTGACTGTAATTTTCCATTACCTTCCCAAATCCTATAAAACGGCCCCACCCCTATCTCCCTTCGCTGACTGTCTTTTTGGACTCAGCCCGCCTGCACCCAGGTGAAATAAACAGCCATGTTGCTCACACAAATCCTGTTTGGTGGTCTCTTCACACGGACGCGCATGAAACCTTGGTCGTGGGCCCTCGTGGTAGAGCCCATGTCCCCCAAGATTTCTTTGGCTGTGTTACCTTAGATTTGAACAAGCACTGTACCTAAGGCGGGCGCCTTCCTCCTCCCGCTTTCAGGAATGCCCTGCTCTGCCATTCTTTTGCTTTCTCACTTCTCTAATACACTTGCTTTCACTTTAGTCCGTGGACTCGCCCCGAATTCTTTCCTACGCGACATCCAAGAAGCCTCTCGCTGGGTCTGAGTGGAGACCTCTTTCTGGTAATAAACGGACTAGGGAGATTCGACTTTGAAGGTGAAAACAAAAACCACCATCCAGTTTATAAGAAGGCGCTCGAGGCCGGGAACGGTGGCTCAGGCCTGTAATCCCAGCACTTTGGGAGGCTGAGGTGGTGGGGCGGGGGGAGGGAATCACCTGAGGTCACGAGTTCGAGACCAGCCTGACCAATATGGTGAAAACCCGTCTCTACTAAAAATATAAACATTAGCCGGGCGTGGTGGCGCACGACTGTAATCCCAACTACTCGGGAGGCTGAGGCAGGAGAATCGCTTGAATCCGGGAGGCAGAGGTTGCAGTAGGCCAAGATCGTGCCACTTCACTCCAGCCTGGGCGAACAAGTTAAACTCTCCATCTCAAAAAAAAAAAAAAAAAAAGGGCGGCACTGGAAACAGCTGGGAGTGACAGGGCCAGGGATGAGGGATCGCAAGCTGCTGGTGAGAAAGGAGCTCAGAGGCTGCCTGGCCTACGGGCCAGGAGACCTCAGCGCAAAAAGCGCAGGACTCGTTCCCCTGCTCTACAGCTGAGTGCCCAGGACGGATCTCACTGGCTGAAAAAAACAGAAGAGAAGGCACCCAATGCAAAATCAAATGTCAGCGAACGAGGGGTCCTTTAACAGGCGGCCCACACGGCCCCTCCTGGCGCCGAGACCCAGCCCCTCCGGGCCACCCCGGCCAGGTACGACCAGCAGGGTCACCTGCGCGCGTCCCCCGAGACGGGGCCTCCTGATGTGAAGCGACCCCAGTGGCACCTCACACGATTCCCGAGGGTTGCGGGCGGCCTCTCCTCAGCCCTGCAGCTCCCACACGCGGACACCGCGGGCCTCGGCCATGTCCACTGACCGACCTTCCTCGCCGGAACTCCTCGCGCATCGCCGGCCCCTCAGCGGCGACTAGCGCGCGAACATCCTGGAAGACGCGTTGCCGGCCCCACGTGAGCCGACGCCCCAAAGCGCGGCTGCTGGCGCCGGCTACGAGATCAAGGTCGGCGCGTGCGCGCTTGCGCGAGACCGGCATTCTCAGCCCCGCGCCGGTTTCCAGGGAGCTGGGCGCATGCGCCGCGTAAGGGGCCCGGCCGGCGGAAGGAGGTGCTACTGCCGGAAGCGCCGGCGCGCTTGCGCAGTAGCTGAACGCGGGCGTTTCTTTCCTCCCTTTTTTTCGAATTGGTTTTGGGGGTAGATTCGAGTTACAAAATGGCCGCCCGGAGCGTGTTCGGCGCGGTTCCCCCAGCTGTCTCTGGCTGAACCGGCGCTCTCGCCTCCCTGCCGAACACAGCGTGAGGAGCCCCCCCAGGGATATGGTGTTTGAGTCTCTGGGCTTGCCGAGCACTAAGTCCTCTGAGTTCCGCAGCGCAGCACCGGAAGCGGCCGAGCGCGCTCAGCCCGGCGACCCCTGCGGGCTCCAGACCCCTGCGCCGCTGCGCCCCGGGTTTCGCCGCAACCAAGACCCAGCGAGTGCAGCGGCGGCCGCCGAGGAGGTGAGGAGCGGCGGCGGGCGCGGGAGGAGAAGAGGCTGAGGGCGGGAGCCTGGTGCTGAGAGCCCAGGGCCGGGAGGGCGGGAGCGGGCTCGGGCCTGGGAGGGGAGTGCGAGTGCAGGGCTGGGGACTGGACCCTGGGGAGGGAGGTGCGGGTTCAGCGCCGGGGGACGGGCCCCTGGGGAGGGGTGCGGGGCCGGGGGACCAGACCCTGGGGAGGGGCTTAAGGGGCTGGAGGACGGGACCCTGGGAAGTGGGGTACAGGGCTAGAGGTCGGGACTCTAGGGAGGGAGCCTGGGTCGGGCGCACGGGCCGGGCGGGGCGCGCGGTGGGGGAGCGACGGGTGGAGGGTGGGGTGGGATGACAGCGGCGACGCAGCCCCGGCTGTTTTTGAAGCGGGGCCCGGGCCCCACCGGGCTGCGGCGTCCGACTCGAGTGAGACTCTCCCCTGCGGCCCCGCCGGAGGTAGGGGGCTGGCAGGGCTGTCCTGGCGTGGTCTTCTCCGTTTCCTTCCTAGCGATTCCTCTCGAGCTTCCTCTCCCCCTGGCCGCCCCTCGTCTCTCTTCTCTTGGGCGCATTACCTCTCTGGCCTGTCTTACTGCGTTCCCGGGTTATTCATCACCCATTTGCTCGGTTCCATTAAGAACCAGCTTGGAGATTAGGTATTTCTGTCTCCTTACTTGGCCCCCTTGTTGTTTTCCTCCAACAAGGCACTTCACTATTAAGTGTAGCCAAATCTGTGTTTTCGTTTTAAGGTGATGTTGACAAGTTGAGCTTTCCAAGGGCAGAGCTACACCAGATGCCAGAGACCACATAACTATATCAGGCACAAATAATGTTTTTTTCCAGTTTACCTAGACTTTCAGTCTCCCACCACGTTGCTTCATACCTAGAAATCATGTCTAATTTGGTTTTTTACCCACAAACGCAAACGTTTTTTAAATTCCCTTTTATTGATTGTTTGATTGAGACTGGGTCTTGCTTTGTCACCAGGCCTCAGTGTAGTGGTAGCTCACTGTGTAGCCTGAAGCTCCTGGGCTCAAGTGATTCTCCTGCCTCAGCTTTCCAAGTAGCTGGGACCACAGGCGTGCGCCACTACGCTCGGCTAATTTTTTATTTCTATTCATCTAATCTATGTCCATCTTTATTTTCGTAGAGACCAAGTTGGTTTCCAACTCCTGGCTTCAAGAGATCCTTCCGCCTCCCTTAAGTTCTTCATAACAGTAGCTAGACATAAGACTCCAGGTGCCAGGCCTTGTTCTGAATATTTTACAGAGGGTTTTTTCTCCCCCCCACTTCTAGCATAAAAGTAAAATGTATTGTCTGAAGTGTCATGCTTTGAAATAAAATAGGGATTTGGTAAAATATTTGTAAAAATCTGGTTTGTAATCCAAGTTATTCTTCTTCCATGCTACAACTTTTACGTTTTGGAGGGAAAATGATAGTTTATAGCCTTTGCTTCTAATAAAACTTGTTTCTTTAATAATTTATTAAGCCCTTCCTCTGCTCCAGGCACTGTTCTAAGCCAGTCTTTGTTTATCTTAACTTTCTTAATACTTCCTGTTCCACAGATGAAGAAACTGAGGCACAAAAATTAAATATAACTTGCCCAAGTTCTCACAGCTAGAAAATGGCAAAACTGGGATGCCAGCATCTTTTAGTATTTTTTGAAATACTTTATGCTCACTGGGGAAATACTTCCCCAGCTCACTGATCTAATGACAGACAGGACACCTGCTGTTTGAGCTGGGCACTGTTGGGGCATTTGGAGTATATCTGTAAACAAAACAAAGATCCCTGCGTTTTGGTTATATACTGATTTGGTGAGTATGTTAGGACGTGGAAGCCCCTACATTTATTTAGACTATTTTACTGCGTCACCTGTCTCTTCATTGTGGGTATGAGTTAGAAGTTACAATTTTACTATTACAGTTTTTGTGTATTCAGCTCCATCCCTTTTTTCTCCACAGCTAATTTTTTTTTCTTTTTCTTTTTTTTTTTTTTTTTTTTTTGAGATGGAGTCTTGCTCTGTCACATAGGCTGGAGTGCATTGGCGCGATCTCAGCTCACTGCAACCTCCACCTCCTGGGTTCAAGAGATTCTCCTGCCTCAGCCTCCGGAGTAGCTGGGATTACAGGTGCCACCACCACGCCCAGCTAATTTTTTTATTTTTAGTAGAGACGGGGTTTCACCATGTTGGCCAGGCTGGTCTCAAACTCCTGACCTCAAGTGATCTGCCCACCTTGGCCTCCCAAAGTGCTGGGATTACAGGCGTGAGGCACTTCGCTGGCCCCACAGTTAATCTTAAATAGCAAACGTGACCGTTGGTGACTTCTTACTTCTCCAACCCTCTGGTGGAGACATTAGTTAATGAGTAGGAAAATTGCCAAAAAGAATCCGTACAGAGACCTGGTTTCTGCACAGTAAAGAATTATGTCTATTCCTGTATTTGTTTTTGTTTGTATGACAAAGATTAATGGCAAAACTTAACCAAGTGTTTTTGGGTGGACATTAAAAAGAGAGGGTTCCCAGCGAATGGAAAGTGTATTTATTTCTCATCCTTTATATTTTAGAATCTTGGACTTTAATATCATTTGTAATCAGAAAAATAGCATAAACTTACAAAATTTAAAAATCACTAAAATGTATTAAAAGCTGACAGCCCGTATGTAATTACTCCACTGGCCATCAAATTGTAGAGGCCTTTGGAATACCAGCATTTGCATTTTACTTTTAGATACTAAAGAGTGATATGTCACCTCATATCTTAGCGACCACTTTGTGGGGTTGTAATACACTCTGTATTACACAATACACCAGAATAAGGAAGCTTACTCTGGTGTATTGTGGTGTTGAGAGCAAACAAGAGTGGGGAGAGTATCACGAAGGAGTTCAGGCAGGTTTAACAAGACCTGGCAGGTCCCCAAAACTAATCAGTAAGTTTTTGGGCGAGGTGGGTAGCAGGGGAAATGGAAAGGTTTTTTGTCCAGCTGGAGAGTTAGTGAAGAAGGCAGCACAACACTCATAGCGGAGCTCTGGGTTGTGGGTTTTCTTTGTTTTGTTGTTATGATATTAAGATCAGAAAACAAATCGTAAATTTTAAGGGATGGACAGGAGCACCCTCTTTGGTTAGGTGCCGGAATCCACTGCAGAGTTCACGCCGTTCCCCAACTCCTGCCCCTTCCACTAATGCCATCGTATTGAAGAGTTAAGCCAATGATTTGTTTTTGAAAGGTTATAAGTTCCCAGAATACTAACACACCCATGTTAATCATTTTGGACTTCTAATTGTCTTGGCAATATACAATTTGAAGCAACAAAATGTTCAGTCTTGGGAACCATGTATCTCTGTCGGCTGTAGCTTAAAGAACAGTATTCGTGTTGTGGAGGCGTTTCCAGCCCGTTATTCGTATTCTTACTGAAAGATACACTTCTTTAATGGGTCATCTTTAAGAGAATTTTAAATATTAAAATTATTTTCTTTATGACAAGACTTTCAGTATGTATATGCGTAGAATAAGTTAAGGACTTTTTGATTATATATACAGTACTTCAGATTCCAGATTTTTAAAAAATCAATTGATATTTCATTTTAATTTTTCCAAATGGAGTCGGTTTAGTGTTGTTCAGGACTGCTGGTGTTCCCTAGGAATCTTCTTCTGCCTCCTGGAAAAAGCCTTTATTGATTTGTAACACTGGGAGCCTAACAGCACCAATGTAAAGTTCTCATTAAAGCAGTTTCCAGATGCTTTTTTTCCCTGATAAAAAAACCAGAGATGTTTTTATCTCACTTCATGCTAGAGTGAATTTTTAAAATTCTTTATAAGAATTTATTCTTCTAGAAAAATAAACTCTTCTGTTTTCTATAACTTAGGTTCGAAAACATGGCCAAAAGAAATGCCGAGAAGGAACTGACAGATAGGAATTGGGATCAAGAAGATGAAGCTGAAGAGGTAAAAAGCAGCTTCCCTAAGAATGATTTCCTGTTTCTTTTGCCTTTTACATTCATTTTGGGGTTCCTCATGAAGACTTGTGACAGAACTAAAAGACCTTTCTAAGAACATCATGAATGGGAGATGACAAGAAATTATATGACCTGTACTTAGTGTAGATATTTATTAATTACATTTCTGTGACCTCTAGTTAGTGTAGAAATGTATTAATTACATTTAGATGTGCTTTTCCACTAGTGCCTGCTCCTTAAATATTCTCCTTAGTAGAAGCACTTTTCCTCCTGAGTTTCGTATACTTGAAGCATTCTGAACCCATGTTTGCAGTAAGCCATTTTAGTCATGACTGAAGGCTGAGTTAAGTGATGTAGTCATGAACTTAGCACACTGCCCAGATGTGAAAGTGGTACACCATCACCATCTTGGTCTGTGGTACTCCGTTTCCCTAATGCTTCTTGGAGGCCTGCTTTATTTCCTTTTCTTAATGGTAGACCTGAGACCCCTAACAATTGCATTTATAGGAATAGAATTGAGATTGGCCTAGTTCCTTTTCCAGCAGAATAAAAATGGTCTCCCCTGAGGAAATCTGATCATTTTTCCCTTATAAACAGTAGGACTGGGCAGCATAGAGAGATCCCGGTCTCTATAAAAAAAATTTTTTTTTTTTTTTTTTTTTGAGACAGAGTCTCACCCTGTTGCCCAGGCTGGAGTGCGGTGGCACAACCTCGGCTCACTGCAACTTTTATCTCCCGGGTTCAAGTGATTCTCCTGCCTCAGCCTCCCGAGTAGCTGGGATTACAGGTGTACACCACCACACCCAGCTAATTTTTGTATTTTTAGTAGAGACAGGGATTCACCATGTTGGTCAGACTGGTCTCAAACTCCTGACCTCAAGTGATCCACCCGCCTTGGCCTCCCAAAGTGCTGGGATTACAGGCGAGAACCACCGCACCCAACCCCCCAAAAAATTGTTTTAATTAGCTGAACATGGTGGCATGAGCCTATAGTCACAGCAATTTGGGAAGCTGAGGCGGGAGGTTTGCTTGAGCCCAGGAGTTCAAGGCTGCTGTGACCTGTGATTGCACCACTGCACTCCAGCCTGGGCAACAGGGTGAGACCCTGTCTAAAAAACAAAGAATAAAACACAGCTGTACTTATAGGATGTGGGCGAAGGATTACCCAGGTGCCGAGGCAAGAGACTGAAGGCACAAACTGTTTCAGTATAATACATAAAATAGTTAGAATAAGAATAGTCATAATACAAATTAGATACAGAGATGATCACGGGCATTATCAATCATTAGTATAAACATTACTAGTCATTAGCTTTTAATATTACTCTTTGTTGTACTACTAATATAACCAAGGAATAACCGGCAGATACAGGGTCAGGTGCTGAAGGGACATTGTGAGAAGTGACCTAGAAGGCAAGAGGTGAGCCAGCCCTCTGTCACGCCCGCATAAGGGCCGCTTGAGGGCTCCTTGGTCAAGTGGTAACGCCAGTGCCTGGGAAGGCACCTGTTACTTAGTAGACCGTGAAAGGGAGTCTCCTTTACTTGGAGGAGTCAGGGAACACTCTGCTCCACCACCTTCTTGTGGGAGATTGGATATTGTCCAGGCTTGCCAGTAGTCATCCAGAGGCTTGAACCCCTCCCTGTGGTGCTGTGCTTCAGTGGTCACACTCCTTGTCCACATTCATGCTCCTCCCGTAGTCCTGGTTCCTCTTTGAAGTTCTTAGTAGATAGCAGTAGAAGAAATAGTGAAAGTTTTAAAGTCTTTGATCTTTCTGATAAGTGCATAGAAGAAAATGCTGACGTACGCCGCCTTCCTTCTCTGCTTCAGCTACCTAAAAGGGAAGGGCCCCTGTCCCATGATCACGTGACTTGCTTGACCTTGTCAATCCCCTGGACGACTCATCCTCCTCACCCTGCTCCCTTGTCTTGTATGCAATAAATATCAGCACGCCCAGCCATTCAGGGCCACTGCCGGTCTCCGTGTCTTGGTGGTAGTAGTCCCCCAGGCCCAGCTGTTTTCTCTTTATCTCTTTGTCTTGTGTCTTTATTTCTTACAATCTCTGTTTCCCCCTTCGAGGAGAACACCCGCAAAGCCCAGTAGGGCTGGACTCTACAGTCGTACCTTATCAGCAGTGTGTTACCCCCAGGCCAGATGACTAAGGAAATCTGTAACCACGACTTTCAGGTTAACAGCATAGTGCTAAGTGAAAAAAGAAAAATGTTAAAACTGCAACTGTTTCCAAGCTTATTCTTAGACGGCCATCTTCCTTCTTTTGGAATCTTTCTGGTACTAGTACTTTTTTTCTCTACAAGTGTATCTCCTCACATATGTTTAGGGAAACCAGAATCCCAAGGATGTGAGTGTTTTGACAGGGTCAAAACTGATTTGGTGCTTTTTAACTAAAATCTTTGGTTATGGGGGTTTTTGGTTTTTTGTTGTTGTTGGTTTAAGATCTTAAGCACAGTTACATTCTGGGCTATAGTAACATCTAGATTACCATGTAACTATTTGCTTAGACATTAAAATATTCAGGAATGAAAGAACTCCCATTCGAACATATGCCAATGAAATGTGTGGAAAGATTACATTTAGTTAAGTACATTTAACTTGGGGCAAGTGCAGCCAGATGGTCCCCTCTATGAGTGTAGGAGCCCGTTAAGTTTAATATGATCTGAAACAACTATAGGTGAGAATTTTTGCATGAGAAATATTTTATTCCGACCCTACAGGGTAAAAGAAGGGCTATAAACTAAAGCCGAAGATATTCAGCAGCTTTCTGACGTGGACATCAGAAGTGTGGACATGAGTGTGCTTTGAGCGCACTGTGGAAGAGCAGTGGTTGTCCAGCAAGGTCCTAGGTGCCTCCGTGGCCTTTCGTACAGTGGGCAAGTTGGGCAGGACTCATCTTAAAAATCATGTGTATGTTATAAATAACAAAATTTATTTATTTATTTTTTTGAGACAGTCTTGCTCTGTTGCCCAGGCTGGAGTGCAGTGGTGCTATCTCGGCTCACTGCAACCTCCACCTCCCGGAGGGTTCAAGTGATTCTCCTGCCTCAGCCTCCCAGGTGGCTGGGATTACAGGTGCCCACCACCATGCCCAGCTAATTTTTCATTTTTAGTAGCGACAGAGTTTCACCATGTTGGCCAGACTGGTCTCAAACTCCTGACCTTTGGCCTCCCAAAGCGCTAGTATTATAGGCGCAAGCCATTGTGCCTGGCCAAAATTTATTTTTGAGAGGCCGGACACAGTGGCTCAGTTCTAGCTTGTTGTTGTTGTTGAGGATTTTGTCATCTGTTTGGCTTTATCTTACTGCTGCTTAATTTGTATTGTATTGCAGGTGGGAACATTCTCCATGGCCAGTGAGGAAGTCTTGAAGAATAGAGCCATAAAGAAAGCAAAGCGCAGAAATGTTGGATTTGAAGTGAGTGCCCCCTTACAGCTCTTGCTATTAAATACTCATTTGATTTCTGGGTTGCACAGCAATCCCTCCGCTGGGAGCAATGATATCAACAAATGCTTTCTTAAAATACTTATTCTTTGATGTAGGTCATGGGAGATAGAAAAAAATAAGAAACGTCAGGTCTGGACCTTAAAGAGAGCTTATCCAGTTGAGGAAATAAGATAAATATAGACAAATTCAAGTTGAGTGACAATCTGGAGAAGAAAAATGAGCAAAGCAATACAGAGGTGGGCGAAGTGGCATCAGATTGGAGGAAGAAAGGAAAACGCAAGGATCTTCTGAGAGTCTTGTCTGCTCCCTGCGATTGAGGCCTTGGTAGGGGGAGCCCTTTCACTATACTAGAGGCATTTTAGGTGTGGATTTTTTGCTAGTATAGTATATTAAAATGATTCATTCCTGTGCTAAGAAGGATGGAAGATGAGTTGTAACTCCTAAATTGAAATAATGTGCTGATTATTAAGCAGTCACTCCGCATCTAAGAACTCGTCCCCAGTACATCCTCTCCCTTCAGATACATTCTAGACCCAGGAGAGTGTGGTCTTGGTGGCCTGGACATCTGGTGTTAGGCAGGAGATGCCGCTTTGAATATCCTGGGTGGCAGCTTTGAAATAAACCTACCCTACCTCACGTTTTGCAGTGTTTAAAACATCAAGAATAGACTATATTCTTGGGTGTCTCTAATCTGGAAATCCAAAATGCTCCAAGATCTGAAGCTTTTTGAGCACCAACGTGATGCTCCAAGGAAATAGTCATTGGAGGATCTCAAATGGTCAGGTTAGAGGTGCCGTGCCAGTAAGCATAATGCAGACTTCCTGGGAGCGGAAATACTTACTTTCCTGAGCGTTCTCCTTAAGGGACATGCAAGCTTATTTCCCTTTTATTTCCAAAAAAAAAGGATAGGAAAGGTGTATCATTCACACTTTGAGAAGCAATGAAAAGAAATTGTTATTACAAAAATATTCATTACATTGCCAAAGTTTTGATCATAAAATGTATTAAAGTTTGAAAACGTAAGGAAGGGAGCCAGGTAGGTGGCAGTGGTGGGGAGGCAGTCAGTAAGACGTTTACAACAGCCAGTCACTCAGAGCGTCTCATAAATGGTGGTATGTGTTAATGGGAAAACAATTCAAATTATAAAAATAAAGTATTCGCAATTTTCCTAAAATATATTACTGTATATACCAATATAGTGTAATTCGAGGCAGAGATACGTAATCCTACATGAAATCGATTCTCAGGTGGTTCTGGGTAGTCTTGAACGTCTTTAGGATGCCATGGCTAATGTCATAAGTGTGTGCTCTTTCTCTGCTCCATTGCATGCTTCAGATGCATGAGAGGAGCTTCATTTCCTGACGTTGTAAAAGCTCTTTCATGTAGAATTCAGGTTAACGGGTTGCACTGCCAAGAAAGGAAGTAGGTACAGAGGAAGCATATCTCAGATCCAAGCTAGAGATTAGGTCTTGTGTTTTGTAATTAATTAATTATATTTTGCTTAAAAATTGTATTTCTTATTTGACAAAAATTATATACTTATGGTGTACAACATGGTCTTATTTTCAGATGCATAATACATTTCTACCTGCCTGTTGTACAGTAAACCTCTTGAACTTCAGGTGTTTTTTTTTTTTTTTTGTCTGGTTTGATTTTATGAATTGCCTTGACTGGTGACTAGGTGGTAGACGTAGGTGTTGAGCTGAGTGATATTTGATGGCTCTTTCACTGGGAAGATACATGGGGGGAGGGACAGTTTAATTAAGGAGGAAATGGTTGGTCTTGGAAATGCTGTATTTGAAAGGCCTTGGTACACTCAAGTGGAGTGCCCTGGAAGACCACTAGGTATACAACAGGAATTATGGCAAGGATGGGCACAGCTCCGGCAGCTTTCGTCATGTGGGGGATTGAGGCCATGGGAATGGGCGACAGGAGGCATGCAGGTGGAGGGTCCTACGAGGAGTGAGAAACAAAGCTCACTGCAGAAGCCAAGGGAAGCCATTCTGAAGGAGGGGCAGTCACCTGTGCAACCGAAGGAAGTTCAAGAGGTAGAAATAGTACAGACCATAATCTACAACTTAAGCTGAAGGGATGAGGGAAGGAGAGGGCAGGAGCCCTTGGGCAACTAAGGGAAATTAAGTGTAGGTGGATAATAGAAATCCACAGATAATTTTAGCTGTAACTCTTAGCCTGAAGTTTTCATATATTAGGACAATTAAATGTCATGTCACCCACCAGAATGCTGAAATGCGGCTTTTCCTAAATAGTGGATTCAGTAGATCTGCTAAGCACTGGAGATGTATTGGTGAGTAAAAAAGACCAAAATCATCTTGCCCTATGGAAGAGAACAAATACATAGTATTAATTTTTCCTCTGTAAGTGCCATGGGGAACAGTAAAACCAATGAGGGAAATTGAGGGATGTGGGGCTGTGTCAGTGCCCATGGAGGAGCCCACATGGGTATTTTCCCTTTTTTTTTTTTTTTTGAGACAGGGTCTTTGTCGCCCAGGGTGGAGTGCGGTGGCACAATCTTGACTCTCTGCAACCGCCGCCTCCTGAGCTGAAGCAATCCTCCTGCCTCAGCCTCCTGAGTAGCTGGGACTACAGGCATGCGCCACCACACCCAGCTAATTTTTGCATTTTTGTAGACAGGGGGTCTCACTCTGTTGCCCAGGGTGGTTTCAAACTCCTGGGCTCAAGTGACCTGAATGTCTCGGCCTCCCAAAGTACTGGTATTATAGGCATGAGCCACCACACCTGGCCCCTTGATGAATATCTTAATCAACTTTTACTCTCATTTTTCTGAATATCTTTTTTTTGTTTAACTTGTGGTTCTTGAATTTTTGTTGTGATTCTAGAGCCAATTTACTATCAGCAATTTCTAAAATCCCTACAAGTGACTTTTAACTTTGTGCAAAATCGGAGGCTCTGAAAAGCCACTTAATGGCTTTATAGTTTGTCCATGAATCATTGTTTTAAAATGACAGCTATCAGTGTGGCGGGTTTGGAATTTTAAATGATGAAAAATCAAATGTAGAGCAACAGAATCTAAGCTCTGTTTATTATGTGCATTAAAACTCATACAAGTTACAATTTTCCATTCTTTGCCTCATTTTATTGCCTTAAATATATCAGTGGTCAGTAAACATCTGAAATTCTGTAGATGAGATTGAAACTTTGGTTTTGGAAAAACATGCAGTAATATTTAGGCTGACTGGCCCATTTAGTAAATGAAGGGGTTCCAGTTTAATTTTTTTTTTTTTCTGGTGAAATCATGGTTATAATTCACTCATGTGGAAACTTAAGATTTGTGAACTGTCTCTTAGATGTTCGGTCTAAGAAGCAGATCACTTCCTATAATGTAATCACTTCTTCGAACAACAACAAAAAAGGGCTTCTAAAAATTGTGGTGAGTTTATTTAGCAAAGCACTATAAACCGAGGAACCTTTCTCCAAAAGTTCCAGGGGCAGAGAGGAGCTTTAGAATTCATACGGAATGCCACACATTTCCAGAGCATCTTAGGTTAGAGATGTGAGCAGGCTAGCACAAAGGGAAAAGGCCTACTAGAAAAACCTTGTTAAAACAATCGAGTTTAAGGAAGCAGTGAGGAAAAGGAGAGTAAGAAGTTGTCCCGGGTTGTTCAGCTAACAGGAACATGTAGATTTGAGACTCGATCATCTAAGTTTTTGTAGGCTGAAAGCAGTTGCAAGCCACAGATGTTAAGAAATTAGGCAAATGGATATTTTTAGTTAACCTACCTTGATGTTTTTATCATTTCTTTAGGCAGTAAATGGTCTTTGACTGAGTAGTACATGAAGTATCTTTCATTTGGGATTTAGTTTTATTGAGCCGCTTCAGTAATTCTGAGGCTGGGTGGTGGGTACATAGGTTTATTGCATTAGTCTTTCTTACCTTTTATGTCCTAAAAATACACATAATATATTTTTTAAATGTCCTTCCTGCCTGTTTCAGGAAAGCAGCTTTGGGTTGCAAAGCTGTTCTTATGAATACAATCTTCCCATCTCATTTCTTATTTCTGCTTGTGCCAGCAGTTTGCCTTATAACGCTGACTGCATGTGGAGTCTAGGTGCTGTTTAGCCAAGATGCTGTTGTCACTCACTTGCTTTTTGGTAATAGAAAGTACACTTACCTAATGTGTGCTCCTCCTTCATACTTCAGTCTGACACTGGAGGAGCCTTTAAAGGTTTTAAAGGTTTGGTGGTACCTTCTGGAGGAGGACGCTTTTCTGGATTTGGTAGTGGCGCTGGAGGGAAGCCTTTGGAAGGACTGTCGAATGGAAACAACATAACCAGTGCCCCTCCCTTCGCCAGTGCAAAGGCAGCGGCAGATCCCAAGGTAGCCTTTGGTAAGTAGCTCCCATCCCCCAGCCGCCTGTGTAAGTATCATCTATGGAAAATAGCTTTACAAAGATGTTTTTCTTATAGCTACCCTGTGTCTTGGAACTGTGTGAGCAAAACCAGGGTGATAATGAAAGAGATGGAACTTAGGGAGGTGTCGGTTACTTACAGAGTAAGTGGGTAGAGCACAGGCTTTTGATCCAAAACATCTCAGCTTTGTTCTCAGCTCTGCTGGCTACCAGTTGTGTGACCCTGGCCTCTAGGCCTCAGAATGTTCAATTTTGAAAGGAGAGTGGCCCTCAGAATTGACCTAGAGTCGAGAGAGAAAAGAAAATGCTATGTAGACCCTTTGTGTGCCAAGGGCTTTCTGTGTGCCTCGCACCAAACTGGCTACTGGGAACTCAGATGCGGTTCTCCGTGGCCAGGGTGCCTCCCACGCTAGGTTTGTTTGGGTATGGGATGTGTTGATTGCCTGATCCTGTTTTGAGGGAGTCAGTCAAAAACTCTTGGAATTAGCAACAGAGAATAGGATCACGGGTTAAAAGCTTGGAAATGATCCTGACTGGTTGGGTTGTATTTAGCTGATTATTCTGAGAGTATATACTGTTTGATTTTAATTTGGCAGAATGTTTAGTGTGATGTAAAATAAGTGTTCTCTGTTAAGTTTTGTTGTTGTTGTTGTTTTTTCTAAGTTGGAGTCTTGCTCTGTCACCAGGATGGAATGCAGTGGCGCGACCTCTGCTCACTGCAGCCTCCGCCTCTGGGTTTAAGCGATTCTCCTGCCTCAGCCTCCCGAGTAGCTGGGACTACAGGCATGCACCACCATGCCCAGCTAATTTTTGTAATTTTAGTAGAGACGGGGTTTCACCATGTTGGCCAGGATGGTCTTGATCTCTTGACCTTGTGATCCACCTGCCTTGGCCTCCCAAAGTGCTGGGATTACATCCGCGAGCCACTGTGCCCGGCCTCTGTTAAGATTTTTAACTACAGCCATCCCCTAGTATCCTGGGGATTGGTTTCAGCACCCCCTTGGATGTTCAAGTCCCATAGTCAGACCAGCATAACTCTTAGATAGGAAAAGTGAGTGTTCGTATCCACTGGTTTCTCATCCCCAGAGTACTGCATTGAGACAGGGTCTCGCTCTGTCACCTAGGCTGGAGTGTATTGGTGTGGTCTTGGCTCACTGCAGCCACAACCTCCCGAGCTCAAGTGATCCTCCCCCATCAGCCTCCCCAGTAGCTGGGATTATAGGTACACACCACCACACTCAGCTAATTTTTACATTTTTTGTAGAGATGGGGTTTTGCCATGTTGCCCAGGCTGGTCTCAAACTCCTGAGCTCAAGCGATTTGCCCACCTCAGCCTCCCAAAGTGTTGGGATTACATGCGTGAGCCACCACACCTGGCTGAGGACTGCATTTCACAGGTGTAGAACCTGCAGGTACAGAGGGGCGACTGTACTTTAATACTGTTCATCCCAACAACCTTGGGGATTAAGTGTTAATGCTGACCTGCTGTTCTAACAGTGCTGTTTGAAATAGGCATCCTTTTGTCTACTGCCACACCACCCTCGACGCGCCCGATCACATCTCAGATAGGCGTCCTTTTGAAGGAAAAGATTATTTTTAAAATGTGTAGAGCAAGCATATGGTGGTTAGTGTTCTTGTATAAACTTTGACTTGATCTTTATTCATCGGCTTTACTGATAACTGGTTACTAAATTCTACTCCTTGAACACATACTTTTTGAGCGGTCACAAAAATAGGGCACAGTAGGTCGGGCGCAGTGGCTCACGCTTGTAATCCCAGCACTTTGGGAGTCCGAGGCGGGCAGATCATGAGGTCAGGAGTTCAAGACCAGCCTGGCCAACATGACGAAACCCCATCTCTACTAAAATACAAAAATTAGCCGGGTGTGGTGGCGGGTGCCCGTAATCCCACCTACTCGGGAGGTTGAGGCAGGAGAATCGCTTGAACCTGGGAGGCAGAGGTTGCAGTGAGCCAAGATCGTGCCACGGCACTCCAGCCTGGGTGACAGAGCAAGACTGTCTTGGTGTGGGGGGAGATACAGTAAAAGCAGAAAGTATGAAGGCAGAGTGGCAAAAAAATCTAGATGATTTAATCAAATTAGGCTAAATAAATGGTTCAATTATTAACTTTCTATAGGTTCTCTTGCTGCAAATGGCCCTACCACCTTGGTTGATAAAGTTTCAAATCCCAAAACTAATGGGGACAGTCAGCAGCCCTCCTCCTCTGGCCTTGCTTCCAGTAAAGCTTGTGTCGGAAATGCCTATCACAAGCAGTTGGCCGCCTTGAACTGCTCCGTGCGGGATTGGATAGTGAAGCACGTGAATACAAACCCCCTCTGTGATCTGACACCTATCTTTAAAGACTATGAGAAATATTTAGCAAACATTGAACAGCAACACGGGAACAGTGGCAGGAATTCTGAAAGTGAATCTAACAAAGTGGCAGCTGAAACACAGTCTCCTTCCCTTTTTGGCTCAACAAAATTACAGCAAGAGTCAACGTTTTTGTTTCATGGCAACAAAACTGAAGATACACCTGACAAGAAGATGGAGGTGGCATCTGAAAAGAAAACGGACCCATCATCACTAGGAGCGACAAGTGCCTCATTTAATTTCGGCAAGAAAGTTGATAGCTCTGTTTTGGGCTCATTAAGCTCTGTCCCCCTGACTGGATTTTCTTTCTCCCCTGGAAACTCCAGTTTATTTGGCAAAGATACTACCCAGAGTAAACCAGTCTCTTCACCATTTCCCACTAAACCATTGGAGGGCCAAGCAGAAGGTGACAGTGGTGAATGCAAAGGTAAGTACCAGCTTTGTCGTTGAGTCGAGGTTTGCATAAGATTCTTGTTTCTTGGGAAACCCAGAGACTTTGATTCCAAATATGAGTCTGGATTCACATTGAGACGTTGTTCTCTCCATGTGTGATCTCAGACAGAGCTAATCAGCTTCTCTGAGTTTCAGATTCCTGCTTTATAAAAGAGTAAGACTTTTGTAGGGTTGTTTATAAGGATTAAAAATAAAATGAATTTGAAAACACCTGACTTTGAAAAGTCTCAAACACACATGGTTTAGCATATAAAAAACAAGTGAATTAAAGACGTTTTTTGAAAATTGTGTTTTTGGAAAAGTTCATCAAGTTCATCATGAATGTCCCCTGAATTGATTTGTACTTAGGAGATCTCACTGTAAATAAAGTCATGTGGCAAAACAGTACTTGACTATACATTACAAATGTAGACTTTTCATAGCCATAGAGAAGAAATCAACATTGTTTTCCTCCTGTGGGTTTGGAGGCGCCTCCTTTCCAGAGCGTGGCAGTGGTGTCTAAGTGATGTTTCCTGTGTGTATCGTCAGTGCCCCAGACAAGGCACAAGGTCTGGGCCCTCCAGACCTCTGTTGTTAGCTTAAAAAGTGGGGTGATGTCATGATGCTGCTTCCTCACATGGTGGTTGTGAACAGGTGATGTCTGTGAAGACACCTACTTCTAAGCAGTTGAAAGTGAGGCCAGGTGAGGTGGCCCACACCTGTAATCCCAGCACTTCGGGAGGCCAAAGTGGAAGGCTCACCTGAGGCCAGGAGTTTGAGACCAGCCTGGGCAACATAGCAAGACCCCATCTCTACAAAAATTTTTAAAAATTAGCCAGGCCAGGTGGTGGGCGCCTGTAGTCACAGCTACTCTAGAGGCTGAGGTGGGAGTATCTCGAGCTCAGAAGTTCAAGGTTGCCATGAGCCGTGGTTGCATCACTGCACTCCAGCCTGGGCAGCACAGACCTTGCCTCAACAAAAGAAAAAGTGTACTTCTCAGACATATGGACATACTGATCCTTGAGGAAGAAAACTGCATTTGCCAATTTGCCTCTGAAATATTACGGTTTTCTATCAGGAGTCTAGACTTCCATTACTGTTTTGCCTTGCCCTGCTTTCAAGTATATCCTCAGGCACGGGCCCTCTGGGCACAGGGTGAAATAAGGGTCTCCCCTTTTCTTTCTTCTCTGCCTCCCATAAATAAAACAAATGGGGAGTCTTTCCTGAGGCAGGCACTGGGGATTTGAATCGAGTCCCAGTGGAGGCAGGATGCCCCTCAGTGAGCGCCTGTTCCTTGTCCCTTGGTTATCACAGTTTAAGCATCAGAAGACTCGGGAGATTGGAGGGATAAGACGGACAGTCGTGTGACCTAATCATCTGAGCATCACAGTTGTTTTTCTTAGAATTGCTTTTTGGTGAGTTTTTATGCAACTGCCGTTCTCTTTAAGAGGATCCTTTTATATATGTGGGGTTTTTTATTTTTTTGAGACAGGGTCTCGTTCTGTCACCCAGGCTAGTAGTGCAGTGACGCAATCATAGCTCACTACAGCCTCTACCTCCTGGGGTGAAGCAATCCTCCCACTTCAGTCTGCCAAGTAGCTGGGTCCACAGGCACGTACCGCCACACCTGGTTAACTTTTTTATTTTTTGTAGAGATGGGGGGCGTCTCACCATGTTGACCAGACTGGTGTTGAACTCCTGGGCTCAAGCGATCTTCCTGCCTTGGCCCTGCAGCGTGCTGGGATTACAGGCGTGAGCCACTGTACACAGCCTAATACATGTGTTTAAATGATGGCCTAGGTCTCCCGTGTTTGGGAGACCCCGTTAGTGGGGATACCTTTGGTACCAGAGCAGTGACCCATGTGGCAATTCAGACAAAGCTTAAATTACTTACACTGGGGCTTTGGAATGATTTTTCTGACAACTTGTCCCCTGTTAAAAAAAAAAAAAGTATTTTTCTATCTTTGGCTATTACTGATACTTGTAGATGTAGTCACAGGAATATTCAGGGGTGAAGGTGTTAAAAACTCATCCGAGATGGAATTTTCCAGTGGGTAATTTGCATATAGAGTGTTGATTTTTTTTTTCTGTCATAAGCATGGAGATTTTTCCATTTTAAGGTTTTCTATATATTGGAAGTTATTTTAGAATTAAGAGGTATGTTCCCATTAAAAGGGATTCTTATTTTTCACAAAATAGTTAAAATCCTGCAGGTACTCCCTTCTGGCATCCCCCCCCCCCCCCATTAAGTGTGCATTTTAGTCTGTCAGTTTACATGGAGTGCTCCGGTGGAGGTTTAGGGTGTTACGTAACAAAACTTCAGTCACTTCTTTAAGCTCTGGATTGGAATCTTACTGAATTATTGTCATTTTTATAAAAGGTGGAGATGAAGAAGAGAATGATGAGCCACCCAAAGTAGTAGTTACCGAAGTAAAAGAAGAAGATGCTTTTTACTCCAAAAAGTAAGAATCCCCACAACCTGCTGGCGCATGTGTTTTGCAGGCATGGTGGCATGCTTCAGGCTGGAGAATGTCCTCACGGCACTTGACTGAGCTTCCAGTCTCGGGGTCAAGCTTTGCCTGCTCTCAAGTGGAACAGGAAAGAATTCTTGGCCAGTTTATTTAAAAATCCAGTTCTAGAAATGTCCTGGTGGGCAGGTCTCACTCTTTTCTGTCACTTTAGCTCTTTTAAAGTGCTTTAGAGACAGGATCTTCCATGATCTTCCCAACCCCATCCCATCCCATCCCATTCCATCCCGTCTTCTCTCCCTGTGTCTTTCTCCCTCCCCTTCCTCCTCCCCAACAAAGAAATCGCAGAGTCAGTCAGTGATTTCAGGTTTGGCCTCAGAAGGCATCTCTCATCCCTTCCTGGAGACTTGGTTGGCCTTTCTGGATTTTCTCATAGTCAAAAAGTTAAGCACAGTAACCGTCCCTTCCTGTTGAGGACTTATAAAAACTTTCATCTTCCTTTCAATTAAATGAGATTAGTTTTTACAAAGATATTTGCTGAAAAAACATCTGTGCCATTTCAGAAGCTTTCAAAGATGTGTTTTTGTAATGCAAAAATTTCCGAATAATGAGCCAGCAGTTTTCCATGAACAGGTCACCACATCCTGTGGGATTCCCAGGTGTTAGTTTCAAGAACTTTTAAAAGAGGCCAACAATTTCTTCTGTGTTTAAATTTCATTACTCACATGACATAAAGGAGTGACCCAACTTTAAGATTTTTTTTTTTTTTAATTAGAATCAAATGAGGCCAGGCATGGTGGCTCATGCCTGTAATCCCAGCACTTTGGGAGGCTGAGACAGGCAGATCACCTGAGGTCAGGAGTTCCAGACAAACCTGGCCAACATGGTGAAATCCCGTCTCTACTAAAAATATGAAAATTAGCCTAATGTGGTGGCGCACGCCTGTAATCCCAGCTGTTTGGGAGGCTGAGGCATGAGAATTGCTTGAACCCTGAGAAGCAGAGGTTGCAGTGAGCCAAGATCATGCCACTGCACTCCAGCCTGGGCCACAGAGTAAGACTGTCTCAAAAGAAATACATAAATCAATACATGAGCCATGGTTTTGTATTAATAACCTCAGGAGATGCATAGCACAGGAGGCTGGGAAGATATTTGATTACTTTGTTATTAGTTAGACCCTACCCAAGAATGTTTTCCAAATTTATTTAAAAATGTTGTGCAATCAAAAACTGAAAGAGCCTTGAGGTTTGTTTTTTTTTTTTTTTTTTTGAGACGGAGTCTCTTTCTGTCACCCAGGCTGGAGTGCAGTGGCACAATCTCGGCTCACTGCAAGCTCCGCCTCCCAGGTTCATGCCATTCTCCTGCCTCAGCCTCCCGAGTAGCTGGGACTACAGGTGCCCGCCACCACGCTCAGCTAATTTTTTGTATTTTTAGTAGAGACGGGGTTTCACCGTGTTAGCCAGGATGGTCTCAATCTCCTGACCTCATGATCTGCCTGCCTCGGCCTCCCAAAGTGCTGGGATACAGGCGTGAGCCACCGCACCTGGTCGAGGAGAATTTTTAAAATAAGAAATAGGCCACAAAAAAAAAAGGAGGGAGAGGTGGGCGAGATAGGACAGGGTCTTTGTCCTTTATTTGTTCCTGTCTTTAGAGGACCAGATCGGCGATCTTGAGCTCAGGGCCAAAGGAGCAGAATGGCAGGGGTTGGGGGCGGGGGGGGGGGGGGGTTGGTGTTGAGCCCTGATTTTGACTGACTTGAGAACACAGTTTCAGAAAGTGTTATAAAAAGTTTCATGGGGCCCACTGTTTAATTTGAAAAAATGGGGAGGAGTTTTAAAATCTCTAAGCAGATTTTCTTATTCTGGTTTTTGCTCAGGCTCTGTTTGGATCAATTAAAGATTTATCCTGAAGCTTCCTGTACTCATTTAATAGAGATTTTCCACACAAGTGTGAAGAGTGGTTGTTAGAAAACTGTGTGACTTGATTCGTCCTTGAATGCTTGATGGTCCCTATTATTTTTCTCCATAGGTGTAAACTGTTTTACAAGAAAGACAATGAGTTTAAAGAGAAAGGCATAGGTACTCTGCATTTAAAACCTACAGCAAATCAGAAGACACAGCTTTTGGTGCGGGCAGACACCAATTTAGGTGGGTACCTTTTTTCAGTTAGCACAAAATCATCATCACATAGTATATAAAAGCGTTTACCCTGCTGACTCAAGGTTATTAATATGTTTTTAAACAGAGCGCATTCAGGCCAAATTCATCCTGTATTTACTTATTTATAGTTTTGAGTCCCAGGATAATAGTGTGTAAGGAAACATAAATGTGTTAGAAGCTGTAAACAAAATGATTTTTCATTTTCCTTTGTGTTAGAAATGTGACTAAGAAGCTAGAGATTAGACCATTTAATGAACACCCAAGGGAAATTAACCTTTTAAAGGAATCCTTTTTATATAGCAAGTAATGACTAACTGCTTGCTGTCCATCCTCAGTTTTAACCTGAAAAGAGTCCACTGCAAGGATCCTAGTGCCCGGAGGAGGAGGAAGACGGGGCAGGCCTGCGGTGGAGCGGGCAGTAGTGGTAGAGAACAGGGGGCTGTGTTGCAGAAACTCCAGGGAGGCATTTTTCTTTCCCGTGGGCTTGACTAGGGAGTAATAACATGGTCGTGTCACTTTTGCCCAGGGAGCTGTGCCGGCCTGTGACAGAGGTGTCCTTTGTCCGTGTGGCGCAGTGAAGACACTGGGTTGTGCCACCGTGTTCTTCCTTCAGTGCAAAGACGGACAGTGTTGAGAGGGCTGACGGTTCTGAGCGAGGCTGCTGGCTCTGAGAGAAACGCTGTGTGGGTGCAGAGACCCGGGCTGGAGGGAGGACGGAAGGCCACTCCTCACAGTGAGGGCAAGTGCTCCCCGAGGCCTCCCAGTTCTCAGGGAACCAGTCCTGATTTTGTGCTGTCCTGTTGGCTCCCTGTCTTAGATGTATTAAGTTATTTCAGCATTTAATGTTTAGCATATTACAGACTCCTTTGGTGGAGCTATAGCTTCTATAATTTTGATGGGTTTTGTTTGTTTGAATGCAGGCAACATATTGCTGAACGTTCTGATTCCACCCAATATGCCATGTACGCGAACAGGGAAGAATAACGTTCTTATCGTCTGTGTTCCAAATCCACCAATTGACGAGAAGAATGCCACCATGCCAGTCACCATGTTGATTCGGGTAAAAACCAGCGAGGATGCAGACGAGTTGCACAAAATTTTACTGGAGAAAAAGGATGCCTGAACACGCAAAGTCGGCTGCAGAATTATTGCCAAGTTGCTGCTGCTTCCACCGCCCCTTAAAGTTAGTCAGTTTTTCTTCTCTTCTTTGACATTCTAAGAACTTATAGATAACTTAAAACTTTTGTGAGGAAGATTAATGTGGCCAATAAAACCTTTAAATGTTAAGTGTCAAGAAACTGCACTCTCCCTTCTTAAGAACTGCCTAAAGTGTAAAATACATTTGAATGCAATTTTTGGAAGATTTTTTAATGTTCGTTTATTAAACTAACCCTAAGTGATTTCTTCAAGGACTGCAATCAGGGTATCAATTTGCTTTCCCAAAGGCTCTTCCAACCCGTGGGTTTTGGGGTCCACCGCCACCACGAGAGAGGCTTTTGAACAGGTGCCTGGCTGTGTTCAGAAGGAAGCTGGCCTGTGTGCTTCTCTCCGGTGGGCTCAGCCGACGTGTGAGACTTGTTCTGTTACCAAATGAACCGGGCTGCCACGCTGTGACAGGCGTTTGTCCTCTGCTTTATTTTTACTTTGAAGCTCAAATGCGAGTACTAAGTGTTCACCTCAGCGTTCGAATCATTGGCCTGTAACCCTGTGGGCTGCTTCACGAGAATTCAGGACCTGCATTTTCATTCTAAAAAGAAATGAACAGCTTGTGAAGGAGTTTTTTGGCTTCATAGTTTCTATTCATGAGGTAGTGTTACTTCTTTATCCCCCTAAAGACAAAATGAAGATAAAGGGGGATTGCCAGGAATGGGTTTAAAAGCACAAATGTGGTAGCTTATCATCTACACCATGGAGAGTGAACCCTTACGAAATGAAAGTCAAATGAGACCATCCGAGAAAAAGATGCGCATAGGCATTTGTACCATGATCAACCCCACGCACATGAAAACTGTGACCAAGTGACGTGCCTGGGAGCTTTGACACACGAGCCGTGTGAATTCACTAGGAAACATGTAATAAAGTCATGGAAGAGAAAATCGTGTGTAAACTTTGCCTTTAACTTTAGACCGCAGTATATTATAATACATTTGATATCTGAAATATCTTTACTTTTTTAAGAGTAAGATTCCATATGTCTGTCTGGAAGGGAGCCATGGTTATTCACACGAATATCCCTGTCACTTCTCCAGAGGTGTCAGGTAACTAACACGAGCATTCTTTGAAGACTCTGGGCACATGAATGATACACAGAATTGAATGTTTAAATTTCCACTGAGTCCTCATGAATCATTTGAGACTAGTACCAGCTGATCTTGTGTACAGGCTCAGGGTCAGTGCCCAAGGGCTCCCGCGTGTGTGTTCTGATCTTCAGTGCGTAGCACATTCTCCATTTAGAAAAGAGTGGTCAGAATAATTGTGGACGGTACAGTGGCTTTTTAAAACTACAGTCTTTAGGTGTAAGGTTTGGCGCCGGGAGCAATTTTATGATCAAATATGATGAACTCCTAAGTCACTGAGGTGTGATTGGGCCAATGTTGGCATGAGGTTCTTGCTCTACTTCCAGTGTTTTGATTCCACTGGGAGAATTTGGCCTAGTGTGTGGCTTTGGATGAATCCGTGTAGAGAGAGGTGAGCTTGTCCTGTTACAGATGCTGTCAGACATAGCGATAGTAGGCACCTAGGGAGGAAGTGGCCGTTAGTTTTACACTGACTTTTTAAGAATGGAGAATGCACGTGGGTTTCTGTTGCGGATGATTCATAGTAAGCAAGCGGTTGATGCTGTTAATACCGGCCCCACCCGATTGACATTAAGTTTATTCAGCTTTTAAAAAGATGAAGAACTAAGGGGAACAAATTTAAGTTTGTTGCAACTTAGCCACACATGCTTCCCTGGTACCAGCTGGAATCAGCAGCTCACAGGCATCTTCAGGACACTTCAGTGTATATGACACAGTACTTTGTTAGCGTCTGCGTGTGTATGGAAAGTTGACAAAAAATGGCATGAAAAGATCATGATTGGATTTTCTTTTAAACCTGCCCTTCTGTAAAAAATAGTTTATATATTTTTAAATTAGTAGGTATGTGTGGCTTCCTTTTTTCCTAACATTCCCAGCAAATTTTTGCTGCTAAGACTATCACTGTTAAAGTGAAAATTACAGGGAAAAATGTGATGAATATACCGTAACTCAAAATGTGATATTTTCTTAAAATCACTCTTTTATGCTTTAGGAACTGGTTGGTCTCCACTTTGATTATTAGTGTAAAGAGCCTGAGTATACGTGGATTTCATTGTAAAATTTAACTCCTTGTCTTTTACTTGGGGCACGGGGCCCCTGGAGGGCTTCCCTACTTTCCCCACTATGTTAACAGGTAATTCTGATTTATGCGTTTAGTTTGACTTATTTTTAACAAAATATTAGAAGTTATGCTTTAAAATGTTTAATGTGGACTGAAATTTTCATCTTTTGTTTGAGAATCTATGAAGTGTATCATATACGTGGCCTAAAGCAAGGTGTGTATTTTGTTATTCTGAAATTGTTTTGCATCTGGACAAATACTAAATATCCCAGTGGCCTTTTTTTTTTTTTTTTTAAAACCTGTGTATCCATCTCATCCTTTTGCGCATTCCTAGTAAGCAAAAAAATTTGTTATGCCATCTTCATTATTCGAATTACAGACTGAAAAAATATGGCCAGTTTTTAAAGAAGTTTAGATTATGTTTTCCATGGAAGGACAAGTCTGACTGTTCATAGGCTGATTTTCTTTAAGAGGATTATTCTGTTTTACAATTTCAATTCTAGATCACATTTTATATATGCTGCATGCCAAAAAAAAAAAAAAGAGAAAACTGCCTTTTCTGGTGTGGAGGGGAAGAAAAACTAATATTCTACCTTACTAGTAGAGTTCAAAACAAGTTTTCACTGAGAGCCTTTTCAGTAAAAGTTAAACAAGTTTGTTTTTTGAGCATTTGTCAGTTATTCTATTTCAGAAGAGTCAAAATTCAAGCACGATACATTTTGAAGGCTTTGCAAACTCCTAAACCCCTGATGAGTCCTCTCATTCTGGAAGTGGGAATTTGAGTAGATACTGATTTGTCCCGTAGTATGGCAGATGACAGGGAGGTCTTTTCCAAGCAGGCACTCAGAACACAGGTCACCGTATGTTCTCAGCCAGTAACAATCATACTGAGGACGAAGGACTCTCCGTTTGATGCAGACACAATTGTAATGGAGATGTAAAACTTCTTAGCAATCAGATGGATAAATTGTTTGCTTTTTACTTTAAATAGGAAATTGTTTTCTAAAACTAAAATACTTGAATTGTCAGACAATATAATCTCAGCTTGTATTAGTTTTTGAATGCTCCCATCGAGGAAGTGTAACAATCCATGAAATGTGAATAAATGAAAAGTAAACAAAATCCCAATGTGTGAGTCTTATGTTCCTCTGTGATGCACTTGGCATTAATACAAGTCAGACAGACCTGAGGAAGAAGAATCAACGCAGAAGCTGCAACCGGAAACTTCCTTGAACAACAGGAAGGTCAGCTTGGAGGTGAGTGAGAGACCAGTTTATTATCAGACTCCTTGTTGGGGGCCGAGACTACTTTTAAACCATTCAGACCAAGGGTTTCTGTTGGATTAAAATCTTAACAGATTGGAATGGGAACAATTGATCCTTAATGGGCTAGTGTGCAAAGCATTGGCTAGGTGCTTTATATGTATTACCTTGGTTAGTCCTCAAAGCAAACCTTTGAGACTTATTTTTTAACCTTTCCTATGTTACTCAGCATTTATTTGGTTTATAAGGGGTATTTTCTGGTTTAAAAAAATAATATTGCAAAGATTTAAGTTATCCATCAAAGTATTTTCCTGAACCGTTAACATCTAATAGAAACTAAATGACACTAAGAGAATGTCATCTGAAGAGGAAGATTGCACCTGAGCCGCAGCAGCCCTGTTTAGATACTCAGCTGCATGGCTGGGCTAGAACCTGGGTTCTCAGAGTGGTCCTGGGACTGACACATAAGAAGTTGATGGAAATGCAAGCCCGGCCGGGCCCAGTGGCCCACGCCTGTAATCCTAACACTTTGGGAGGCCGAGGTGGGTGGATCGCTTGAGCCCAGGAGTTTGAGACCAGCCTGTGCAACTGTTGGGAAAAGGGCTTGTGGGGTGCCTGTATAAACTGGCCATAAAAATACAGGACACTAAGTTGTGGAAAGCCACAAGAGGTCTCTGAGGAGGAGAGCCTCCTAATTGCCATCATGTTCCCATGCTCAGAGTGAGACCTGCTCTCGTATCTGTAAACACTGTGTTCAAGGAGAGAGACACTCCTTTGAAACACTGGAATGCGGACAGACGTGCAGGCTCCGAGTTAAGCCCGCTCCCACCAGCTACTCTCCGATAAAGATACGCTGTTTGAGCAGCACAGAGGAGGTTCGTTGAAACCGCTGTTGCCGTAGATGATGCCTGTGACGCGCCGCCGCCCTTCCACTGTTTCGCCCCGAACATCTGCTTAAATCTAAGTGATTGGACTCAATAGTGTGGAGACCAGAGCTCTAAGCCTTTTGCAGCCTCCACATTTTGCAACTGGCCCCCTGGCTCCCACCTTCACTCTTAACCTGTCTCTTCTCAATCCTTTGTCGCCACCAGACTTCGGGTACCCTACGGGTGGTGTTGAGGCTGGTCCCCAACATGCAACATAGCAAAAACCCTGGCTGTACAAAGAATACAAAATGTAGCCAGGCATGATGGCATGCACCTGTAGTCCCAGCTACTTGGGAGGCTGAGGTGGGAGGATGGTTTGATCCCAGGAGGTGGAGGCTCCAGGGAGTGAGCAGTGATCATGCCACTGTACTCCAGCCTGGGTGACAAAGCAAGACCCTATCTCAAAAAAACAAAAAAAAATCAAACCCGGCTGGGCGAGGTAGCTCACGCCTGTAATTGCAGCACTTTGGGAGGCTGAGGTGGGAAGATTGCTGAGCCCAGAGTTAGAGACCAACCTGGGCAACACAGCAAGACCCTGTCTTTAGAAAAAAAAAAAATTTTTTTTTTTTAATTAGCTGGGCATGGTGGTGGAAGGAATCGCTTAAGCCCAGGAGATCCAGGCTGTAGTAAGCCGTGGTTGCGCCACTGTACTCCAATCTGGGTGACAGCAAGACCCTGTCCGTGCCCATCCACCCCCCCACAAAAGGCTAACCCATGGGCCCCAACTAGGCTACTGAATCAGCGCCTCAGGTTGGAGCCCATTTTTAAAAATTGAGATAGAATTCATATAAACTGCACCCCTTTAAAGTACATGATTCAGTGGCTTTTAGTATACTCACAGTGGTGCAGCCGTCATCACTGATCCAAAGTATTTTCCTCACCGGTCTTCTGGGTTTGAACGTTGGGTTAGAGCGTGCATTAGGTGATCCTGAGGCATGCTCACATTTGGGAACCGCTGGCACATGCACTCCCGATGACTCCAAAGATGGCCCGTGAAATACCCCTTGCACACGCCGGGAAGAAATGGCAGTAGTGATCAGCGTTGCCAGCAACTATGCCAGCCTTTGGACGTAACCTTGTCTCACTTCAACATCGTCGCGTCCCAGGAAGGAAAGTGGTGATTCTACTTGAGAAAACCCAGGCCCAGGGTTAAGTGTGTCTGAGGTGGTGCAGCTTGAGGTCCCAGCCCCACACACCTCTCCCCAGCGTGCCACGTTAAGTGAGATATACGTGCCCACTAAATTACTCAACTGCACTGGCTTCTGGAAGTGGCTAAAATCTTTTAAGCAAAATTGTTTATTCAGAGTAGCATAAAATTTGGCTAAAAGCCATGGTTATTTCAAAATGAGCAACCTAATTGTTTCATTAAAATCAGATTCCAAGAGGAAAGACCCCAGTCCACACAGAGGAAAGAACTCTCTAACCTGTTGGCTGATGGAGAGGCTAAGTCAGGGGCAATTCAGTGACACTGTAAGGAAAGAAAAGACAACATGATCCTTTCTTTATCCCCAGAAACAAGTATTTTCTCTTCCTCATGTAAATTTTCCAGCTGTTCTTAGCATTTTAACAATCAGGCACAAAGTACAGCATGTTACCACAGTCAACATGTCTATTTACAATGAACTGTGTTATTATATGGATTGAGTTACATTCCCCTCTCCTCCCAGTGTAAGATTCCCAAAGGTTTTCCTTTCCAGTTACCTTTTTTCCTTCTAAGCTAGGGCATGACAGTACTTCCTAAAAGCTCATCTAAGGCTAAAGGAACCGAAATAGCAGATTAGCCTTCCAAGAGGAGGCAATGAATAGGAATGAGGTTCCCGCAGGCAGCTTCCAAGATAGAGACTCTCCCCAAATTTCTATTAAACATTTTTCAGGTGACTGCTTTAAAAGGACTTCCCACTGTTCAACAAGAAGGGGGTTGACCTGGATGGCAAGGAAGTCTTCACCTGCTAGACCGCCTCCTTCCTAACCTCCATCTTCATGGGCTGCCTTTGGGGTTGTGGTCAGAAAATTCTCTTGGTCTGGTGTTTCTAAGGCAGTGGCTGTTCCCAAGAAGTGTCATTGATGGGATGTCCCTTACTGTATTCCGGAATGCTTGCGTTCCTCTCAGACCCTCTTTTCTCTGCCCCTCATTTTCCACTCTGTAACTTTCTGCGGTGTCTTAGGTCTTAACATCCATCGCTGGTAACTCACTAAGTCCATCTGACCGTGGAAAGGAAAAGCTCACAGTGTGAAAGGCGACGATGAGGCTGCTCCCACCTACGAGGGCCCTGCAGTAGCAGACTCGGAAGGATCAGCCGGAAAATGCGAGAGCCTGCTCGAGGTCCCCTCACCTGCTGAGCTGCAAGACAGACGCCTGCTGCAAACACCTCATCTTCCGTTAGATCAGCCAGCTTACCTGGAGCCTGCAAAACCTGAACTTGGGGCTCCTGGCCTCTATTCCATTTTTTCCATTTCTGTGAGGGTTAAGAGGTTCTCTGAAAAAGCCTGGGAAATTTTATAGTACAACTGAAAGGGTGTGCACTACTTTGTGGAGGCTAAAAGCTTAACTTGAAATGCATTTTTTTTTTTTTTTTTTTTTTTTTTTGAGATGGAGTCTCTGTCACCCAGGCTGGAGCGCAGTAGTATGAGCTTGGCTCACTGCAACCTCTGCCTCCTGGGTTGAAGCGATTCTCCTGCCTCAGCCTCCCAAGTAGCTGAGACTACAGGTGCACATCACCACGCCCGGTTAATTTTTGTATTTTTAGTAGAGATGGGGGTTTCACCATATGTTGGCCAGGCTGGTCTCGAACTCCTGACCTCAAGTGATCTGCCCGCCTCGGCCTCCCAAAGCACTGGGATTACAGGCGTGAGCCGTGCCAGGCCTTGAAATGCATCTTGAAATGATTTAATACTGCAAATATGGCATCTCTGGCCAAACCCATCACTGACCTGCCCACCTCTTCTCGGACTCCTCACTGGCTCACGGCAGGCAAAGCCAGCACACAGGGTGATTTTTCTCTGCCTCCAACACACTCTAGTTCAAAAAAGTAGTTTGTGTGAAAGCTCCAAAAAAAGTTTCAGGAATCACTGGGGGCAAATTAAGTTTCAATCATTAAATTATTGCTTTGCTATAATATCTGTATTTACCCTGAAATTCCCATTACAGAAAAAGATTAGAGGAAGACACAGAAAAAAAAAATTTAATATTCAACATGCAAAACAACCTTTAAAAGAAACATGAAATCATAAAGCAAAGCTAACAGCCAACCAACAAATACCGCCTAGCAATGATTTCCACTGGATGTGGAAGAGGGTTAATAAAGACGCTGTTGGTAACGCGTACAGAACTATCACTGGCAATCAGCATACTGAGCTATCCAGTGGAGGCCAGCATCGTGTTTTTGCTAAAATACATGTTGTAGAAGTCATAATTCATAGTGAAGAATCTCAACAGGTTTTCTTACAGATTTAATTACTCTCACACAAATAATTCATTTGGAAACCATAAAAGATACCTATTTACACCTAAACTGCCTGGCCTTCCAGAGCGGGGACTAAAGGGGCAGGGCGGGGAAGAAAGCGAGCGTGTCGCGGGCTCTGTGGGGTTGCAGGGTCACTGTTATTTTGATCTGCTGAGCTCAAGGACTGGAAACGGAATAAAAACGCCTACTCGCCTTAGGCAGGATAAGAAGTTGTAAACTCACCCATCAGCAGCTGCCTCCACTTCTGAGGCTCCCCCTGCGGGAGGAGCTCTGAACCCAGCCCTGAGGCCACTCGGTGTCCCGAGGAGTGCTCCAGGGCTCGGAGAAGGGGCTCAGGGGTCCTTTTGCCACTGAGGATCAAGCCAGCCAGTGAAAAAGAAAAAACAAAAGCCCCAGCAGGTGCCCATCACCCGGCTCCCAGGGGTCATCTGCAGAGTCACGTGGCACTCTGGCCACTGCTGAAGAGCTGCTCTCCCTCGAAGGGCAGTGGCTGCCCCCTCCAGAGGCTGCTTCCATTCAAGCTCAAGGGCACGTGCCTTTCCTTATCTCGTGGAGTGTCCGTCCTATCAGGTGGTTGTTTGTAAAACAAAAGTACAGTCATTCTGCTTTCTGATACAGACTAGAGCAAGAGGACAGGAAGAACCAGTGGGCTGTCAAGAGACACTTGGTTTTTGAAACAGGACATGAAAGCAAATCCCACCTAAATTCAAAAATTGAGGAAAACGTCAGTGAAACCTGTTAAGTTCGCTAAAAAGTTGGCAGATGTTTCGTATGTCTTTAAAGGATTTTGGCCAACAACTTAAAACCACCATATTAGGACATGGTCCAGGCAGTCATTAGAATATACTGGCTGCACAGGGCCTTTCCTCTGGGACATCTTTTAATGAAAAAAAAAAGTTTTACTTTGTTCTTCAAAAGTCTTCTACTAACTAGTCTATTTATGATTAAAACAGCAAAAACAGATCCTGGTTTGAGTGCAGGTACATTCTTTGGGGGAGGGCACCTCAGGAACATGCATTTATACCCTTCCTGTGACTCCGTGTAGAGGGAAGACTAACTCACAGTCCATAAGAATCCAAAAGTGAGCGGCGACTTCACTCAGCAACCCATCCTGCCTCCAAGCTGACTTGGCTATAGAGTATCTTGCGTCCTTTTGTTCTCTTCTGACTACCTGTCACTCATGTTTTAAATAATCTTCTTTTGAAATAATAAGCCTTAGCTGGCTTTGCAGGCAACTAGGCACTTCCAGCAGGACATGAGAATGTAAGATGGCCACTACCGGAACTTACAGGTGCCAAAAGAAGAAAGGGTATAAACGGAGACCACCTATCACTCATCAGAACCTAGGATCATCACATTCCTTTAAATGGAAAAGCCCACCCTACAACTTTCTTTTTAATGTTCTAAAAAGTGACACCTAGGTTTCCTCAACAGAAAGCTGTGCTTCAATCCCAAATCCCCTTGAGACCAACATGCCTTAAAGGGGGTTTGGGTTTAAAGACCAATGTATCTTTTTTTTTTTTTTTTTTTTTTTTTTTTTTTTTTTTTTTGAGACAGAGTTTCGCTCTCGTTGCCCAGGCTAGAATGCAATGGCGTGATCTCGGCTCACTGCAACCTCTGCCTACTAGGTTCAAGTGATTCTCCTTCCTCAGCCTTCCGAGTAGCTGGGATTACAGGTGCCTGCCACCATGTCCAGCTAATTTTTCTATCTTTAGTAGACATGGGGTTTCAGCATGTTAGTCAGGCTGGTCTTGAACTCCTGATCTCAGGTGATCCACCCATCTCAGCCTCCCAAAGTGCTGGGATTACAGGCGTGAGCCACTGCGCCCAGCCCCAATATGTCTTAAAGGGGGTTTGGGATTAAAGTACAGTTTTCCGCTGAGGAAACCTAAGGTCTTAAAGGGGTTTTGGGATCAAGTGTCCTGTTGAGGAAAACTAGGTGTCACCATGCATTAGTCTTCCCCGCATTACACAAAAGGCAGGTGTGTTCCCAGAAAAATTAAAGATGGTCTTACAAGAAGTACAAATGTGCCAACACCAGGACTTTGGGGACCCTGGTTCTGGCCCTGCCACTTGTTACTCTATTACTTTATTCCACATGTCATCTGTTACTTTGGAAAAACAAACCTGGGAGTAACACCTTACTGTCTGGTTCTCAAGTGGCTAAGTGGCTCTGAGCAAGTTTTAAATCCGGCATCGCAAGTACCCTTTGGAGAGGGATTTAGGGCCTGAGAAAGGCAGACTCCACCGAGTGTCTGTCCATCTGTCCGGACAGCACCATGTGGCTCAGCATGCAGGCCAGGCCGCGTGCCTGGGTTTGACTCCCATCGCCGGCCCCTGCTGTTAGTTCCGGACAGTTCCTTGGTGCCTGTGTGCTGGTTTTCTCGTCTGTAAGATGGGGTCGGACAGGCAGCTGCACATGGTAGGCGCTGTGTGTCGGCTATGAAACCACCAGCCCACCGCGTGCCCTGTTCACATGCCTTACAAATTGAGGGCTGATCTCTAAAATAGCATGATTTGTACACGTTTCTGTGACCAGCGAGCCCTTTCACACATCACTGTGACTGGTCCTCATGGTCACCCTGTGAGGGGGGCAGCATTTTTGCCATCTTACAGACGGGGAGCCCAGCTTGCTCTGAGCCATCCAGCAGTGCTGGCCAAGCCTCCGAGCTTGGCCAAATGCTGGCCCCAGAGGAGACAACCTTCTCCCGCCCCTCACCTCTGAGAACAGAGGGCGGGCCGCTGTGCTCCTCACAACCTGGACTGCCTCATCTTCCCACGGACGAGCTGTCAGGGCTGTGTTTCTCCCAAGATCCCCAGAACAACCAGGGGAAGAGTTCCTGAAGAAATGGGTGTATTTTAGCCACATGGACTCAAACTTGGAAGCAGCATTTGGCATCCCCGGAGAGCACTCAAATGGGGCTGGACCATGCTCGGGGCTCCCTGAGGCTCTGTCCCCACACTTTGGGGCATGACATGACCTGGCTCTGTGCTGCCCTAAGACATGGGTTTAGGAACATGAAATCGTGCAGAGCTGAGCTGTCAGGCCTGAGCAGACACTGCTGGGGGAGAGAGAAAGTTCACATCCCCCCACCAAGCACGGTCTCAGATTAGGTTATTACAAAGGGCGAGGGGGAGGAGGGCATCCCAGGAGTCTAACATCCAACCCGACCTATGCAGAATGACGGGTGACCACGCCCTGACCCAGCCACACACTTGAACCCTGGGACTTCAGTGAGGTAGGTGGTATCAGCCCCATTTCACAGGTGGGCAAACTGAGGCAGAATGAAATGCAATAGCTCGCTTTTAATAACAACATACAAAAGTCTGGAGAAAGCCCCAAAGTAGTCCCCTGTTCCCAGAGCCCAAAGAATAAACAGATGGGAGAACAAGACCCTCCTCTTCCTTTTCCCCCACAGAGAAGATCCCTAAACACATCACCGGAACCCCTCAAATATTCCTGGGAACTTCAAACAAAAAAACATAGCAACAAAGAGACCCAGCTTCCAGTTTATTCCCAGTTGGGTAGGGGACAGGCCTGCTCTCGGGGAGGGTACCGTGCATCCTTGCAGATGGAAACGCCTTCATGCTGGACCAGGCCGAGGGCAGGCCTGGGGCTGGGCAGCTGCTCACACGAACCAATGGGGGTGCCCATGTGAGCCTCTGAGCAACTCCTCTGCCTCAGTGAGCTGGTCTGAGAGATGGGACCAACACACGCCGTCAAAGGAAGTGAGTTCTAGGAAACCAGGGAAGATGAAAAGACACCCCCGCCCCCAGAAGACGGGGTCCCACCTAGAACCTTCCTGGGAGGATGCCAGCCCCACCCCACATCAGACACCCTTTGGCAGATATCCTGTTCTGCCTGGCTACCGAGGCCTCCCGACTACCCTCAGAATCCAAATTCTGCAGGTTCCTCCGTGCGAGGCCCAGCGTGGGATGTCCCAGGTTGGAGGTGTGCGTGTTGGCGGTGTTCTTTGGCTGGAAGCAAAAGGCCGTTCTGGCGGGATCGGGGCCGTCTGCTCAGCTGGAGGCCTTTCTGGAACTGGGCGTGGGTGAGGTATTCCCAGCCCAGGGCAAAGCCATCAAACTTCTCGTGTTCCCATCTCCTATTAGAACAAAGTGGTAAACTGGGGAGGATGAGCTGGGACTGACTCGGGTGCTGAAGTTCATCCGCACGGCATTCCAGAATCTTCCACCGGCTTTCCTCAAGAACATGTGGACAGTCCAATGCACTGAGTGCCCTGGCTGGGTGGTTCCGCCTGCTGCTGGGGGGACGTGAACATAGACCCGCCGCTCTGGCCCCGCTCTGGGCATCAGCTGCTCCTTCCGCTCTCTCTCATGGCCGCTCGGCATCTCTAGTCCTCTTTGGGTGCAGAGGGCTCTCCAGAGATGGGTGGGGGGCGATGGGCGGGGGGCACAGGGCGGAGCAGCGCCAGCAGGGGAGGGAAGAGGCACTTCAGTTTGGGCTGGTGTTCGTGGAGTCGGCCCCGGCCCCGGGAGTCGAGTGGCCTCGCCTGGCTGCGGCTCCAGCACTGGCGTGCCATCGCAGACCCCGGTGGCGGTGGACAGGTAGGCACTTGGCAGCACTCCGAGGGCTGGGCCCGGCCGGGGCTCTGCGCAGGCTCCGCACGCGGCTAGGTCATCAGGATGGGCTTCTGCCGAACTTCCAGGATGTCTAGGGCCGGCAGGAGGGAAGCAGGTGAAACAGTAACCCTCAACAGCGGTGAGTGCTATGGTCACGGCAGTGCCACTTCTGAAGGAAGCCCGCCTCAGCCACTCATGCATCTCCTCTCCAGGCCTCACAGACTGCAGAGGAGACGTGTCTCCACCATCCTCACCCTGCAGACTGGGAAATGGGCTCGCAGCAACGGCACACCCTGCAGGGCCTCAGGTGCAAGCTGGTGTGGGGGCCAGAGCCACTGCCTGTCACAGCTGCTGCAGGCCTGGGTCAGCGAGGTGGCCTGAGAGCCTCCCCTCGCCCGTGAGTAACACACACCTGGGCATCTGTGGCCACTCAAGAGGGGACAGCAGGTGCGCCAGAAAGGTGAACAAAGGGAGGACTTCAGCTCTGGGAAAGCTACGGCTCCACCCAAAGTCTGAGACAAAGAGGCCAAGAGCCCTGCAAAGAAACCCAACCAACCGACAGGACAGGGCGGGATGACTCCGGGTGGCTCACAAGTACCAAGGCCCTGGAGGCAGAGCTGGCTGTGAGAAGGTGCGGCTGCTTCCCCACATCCGCCAGCATTACCTGTTAAAATCCGATGCAGCGGCAACGTGACGTAGGTTAAGTGTGCATAGAGAAGGAAGTTTCCATCTGCTCTGTTCAGCTTCAGCCAGGACCCGACCAGGGACCGTCCTGTGCCCGACAGGGACCGAGACCGCAGGTTGGTTGCATTGTGCAGATCGGCTGGAGGAAAGAAGGCCAGGTCAAGGCCCCCACAGCATGGGACGCGGCGGGAGCAGCAGGAGGCCAGCTCCCAGTCCAGGCTGAGGCCAAACTCTGCTGAGGCCAGGACGCTCCTTACCAACACCCCCACACCAGCACCCACACGCTCCAGAGCTGCTGCCTCCTCGCCTGTAACACCCCTCCCTGCTTCCTCTGGCCCAGACCCAGGCCTCCAACTCCAGGAAGACTTTGGCCACCCCCCTCATCTCTCTCTTCTCTGTCACAAGCTTAGTCTCCTCCGGGGGTTCTGGCACACACACTGTGTAATTCTCTGCTTCTGCAGGCCCTGTCCCTGGAACTAGGCACCGCCACCTGCAGAGCATGGGAGCAGCAAGGCTGAGCCGACCTGCACCATTACCCAGTCCTGCGGTCCAGGCTGGGGGAACCTGCCCCAGAGAGGCAGACTAGGGCAGTGATCAGTACTTCTTACTGATTCGGGAACGGGCCCAGGTGGGGAAGGGGCTTGCCCAAGTTCACACAAGAGCAGGTCGAGGCCAGTGCTGGAGTCCCTGACCCAGGCCAGGGCCTTGAGCAGGTGGGACACCCCTGCTTCTTGGTCCCAGTGGTCAGGACAAAGACTGCCACCTCTTCTGATCAATGCTGCAGCCCTGCTCCCTGCTGGGGGAGGTGCTCAGTGGGAGTTGTCAGCGAATCCTTCACGTCGTTTTTTTTTGTTTGTTTTGAGATGGAATCTCACTCTTGCCCAGGCTCGAGTGCAGTGGCACGATCTCGGCTCACCGCAACCTCTGCCTCCCAGGTTCAAGAGATTCTCCTGCCTCAGCCTCCTGAGTAGCTGGGATTACAGGCGCCCACCACCATGCCCGGCTAATTTTTTGTATTTTTAGTAGAGACAGGGTTTCACCATGTTGGCCAGGCTGGTCTCGAACTCCTGACCTCAGGTGATCCACCCGCCTCGGTCTCGCTAAGTGCTGGAATTACAGGGGTGAGCCACTGTGCCTGGCCAATCCTTCACTTCCATACACTCAACAGACACGCACACAGTGCGGAGCCAGGCGCCCGCTGGGTCCTGAGGATGACAGTGAGGAAGGCACGTGGTCCATGCCAGCAGAGCATGGCAGAACTTCCCAACCTGTCTGTGACGGCCACGCCTGTCCCCAGGAGCCATTTCCCACAGAGACTGCTGAGTGGCATTTTAAATATGCTAATCTGATTGTGTCACTCCCTTGCTTAAAACCCCTCAGAGGCCTCCCTGGGGGCTCTGGGAACAACTCCTGTATTCTGGAAGGTCACTGAGCGAGGACAGGGAGCAGGCACGGGTGCTCAGGAGAGAGTGCAGACTGTGCCTGGGCAGGACTAAGGGGCATGGTAACACCCAGATACAGACAACCGGAGTCCAGGGGACAGGGGCACAGGAAGGCCCCGGGGGTAGGCTGCACGAGGTGGCGACTGTGTCACCAAAGAGCACGTGGTTCTGGGAGGCTGCACAGAGCCAGGAGGGCCAGGCCTCACCCTGAGGGCGAGCTGGCCCAAGGCAGCGCAAGGGAGGGAAGCCCTCCTCTCTCCCGCCACACCCCGTGTGTGCGGAGCCATCAGATCACCCATCCGCTTTCTTCCTTAAGCAGGCTGAAAAGCCTTAGAAAGGTGGGAAATCCCCTGAAACTGACCAACTGCTGCACATCTGCGCTCCAAGCACTCTGCCAAGGAGACGCCTGAGCCCACCAGGACGGGACCCCCAGAGGCAGCCATTTCTGCCTGTCCCCAGCTCTACCCCTCAGCTCCTGGAGGGCTGCCTGGCACATGGCACCCACTCTCTAAGTGCTGCTGAATGAACAAATGAATGAATGAATAAATGAATGAATGACTGGTCTGGATCAAGAAGAGACTGAAGGGCACGGGGACCCTAGGGCACGGAGTGGGGGGTCACCTCCACCGTCGTCCTCCCGGAAGAACTCCTCGCTGTCGTTGGCCGAGTGCGACTTCTTCATCTCAGCGATCCGGTTCCGGGGCACCTTCCTCTTGAGGGATGGGGAGAAGAAGGCAGGCCGGTTGTTCCGTTCTGGGGTGGGGGGTGTGCTGAAGGAGGTCACCTGGGAACAAGCAGCCAAAGTCACCAGAGTAGCAGAACAGCCCCCTCCCCGGGGGTCCCAACGCCCCTCCTATCCCACCCTCAAACAACCTGACACAGCTCCCAGGGAAGAGGCCGCTGGCCCAGGAGGACCCAGGCCCAGCCGGCCCGTGCTAGGTGGGGCCTAGAGACTGGAAGATGCGTTCCAGCCCAGGGGCCAGCAGGACACCTGGCCACCAGTGCTACCCGAGGAGGGGCCAGGCTGCTGCCGCAAATGGCAGAAAGACCCCCCTCCTCTGGGCCTCAAACAGTGGGTAGGGGGTGTTCAAGCACAAAGTAACAACAGCTGCTGACGCTGAGTGAGCACTGGCCCCACACACAGACCCTCTGAGCCTCCAGCTCCGTGAGACAGGGGCTAGCGTCAGCCCATCTGACACATGGGGAAACTAAGGCAGGGACCGAGACCCTGGCTTGCCTGTGGTCACCAAGCAGGACGGCAGCAGCCCTGTCTTCTGTCCCCCAGGGCCACGCTCCTCATCCTACTTCTCAGGGCTGACGTGGCCCCATCCCTCTCATTCCCAGCACCCTTCACAGGAAATACTGTGCTAAGTAGCTCTATGCCTCTGTCTTCTCCCCACTTCTAATCACGTTTGGTTCTGTTCACCAAACATTCACACCCACTCAGGGCCAGGCAGGCACAGCACTAAGGACAGACAGGCACATTGCAGGTCCCTGCCCTCAAGGAGCTCACAGTCTGCTGGGGTGACAGACTCAGAGAGTGACAACCATAGACAGCATGCTGGCTGTGGAGACAGAGAAAGAGAAGCACAGGATACATGAAGCACAGAGGCAAAAGGGATCCACAGCCTGGGAAATCAGGGAAGGCTTCCTGGAGGAGATGCCGCTGGAGCTGGGTCTTGAAGGACGAGTAGGAGTTCGCCAGGTGAAGAAGGGGGGGAAGGGCGTTCCAGCCAGAGGGAACTTGGCCCATCTCCTCCCTCCTCCCCATGCCAACAATAATCTGAGGAGCAGGATGAGCTGGGACTGAGACTTCGGGAGCCCCGTCAGCCTCCTCGTCACGGCTCCGACATCCACCAAAGTCCTGGCAGCTGCTGGGCTCCAGACGGTGTTCCCACAAGCCGGGGAAGGTTTTTAAAAGATAAAAGAAACAAACAGCAGCAACCACAATACACAGAGTCAGCATGTGTCACGCACTGGCTCCAGACGACCCCGCCAGAGAAGGAGACAGGTAATAGCAGGCGCACAGGCGGCAGTCCCCAGGGGCCAGCCCTGCTGCTGACCCTGTGTGACCCTAGCACATCCCTCCTCCTGAATCCCAGGGCTGCCCAGCTGCTAAGGCACCAGGGACTTTCACACCCCTCACAGCCACTCCCGCTGGACAGATGGGAAAACCAAGGCTCAGGCAGGTCTAGTGACCTGTAGTCACTCAGCCCTCAGGCTGTGGCTGGAGGTGGCACCCGGGTTTGTCCAGCCCAGAGCTCGGGCCACATCTTCGTAAGGACTTTCACACACACATTTTGTCAGAGTCCCAGGGCATAATTTAGGACCAGGGAGAAGAACCAGGCCCTTTATCTCGGAAACAAACTCAGAAATATAAACCACCTCATTCCAAAGACAAGAGAGGCCCCTGCCTGGAATTCTCACCCATCTTTGCAAAAAATAGCACTTGCTGTCTTTGGCTTGCAAAACACATTCATTGCAGAAGATACCTCCCCCCCAAAAAAAGATATACAGAAGAGAAAGAAAACCAACATCTGACCACCCGGAGATATGCATGATTCAGATCTTTCTCGAACTAAAAGTATAACAAACGCACACTCCCTCATCTCAGGCATGCCTGCGGTAATGCATCGTTTACATTCCCACGCCTCTGCTTTCCAAGTAGGTCAACAGCAACTACTGCAGCTGCCACCTGGGAATCCTCCTGAGGGCCAAGCCCCGGATTCCTCAAAGCCTCCCAAATACTGAAGGAGCAGGTATCCTCGTGCCCTGTTTCTAGATGAGAAAACTGAGGCTTGGAGAGGAAAAGAGACACACCCAAGGTTATGAGAGCAGCAGAGCAGGATTCTGGCTGTGGGTGGCGTCTCTCCTGGACAATGGCTGGGCAAGACTGCCCCTGGACCTGTGCCAAGGGCACCCCCCTGCCCAGCACACCTGTACTCTTCCAAGAACTACAGCTCTGGGCAGTCCCTCTGGAAGAACCAGGTAGAGCAAAGCAGCCAGTGGGCTGGAGACCTTCTCCTGCCTGTGCCCCACCAAAGGCTTCTGGGAACAAAGCTGCTGCTGACCTCAGCCTCCCGCCCTGGGGAAGGAGAGTGGCCTAGGCAGAGCAGGGCCCCAAGCCCAGTGCTATCCCAAGAGACCTTGTGACCTGGGGCAAGCTGGCAAGTCTGGTTTCCGGCTGTGCGAGGCAGGAACGCCTCTCCTGCAGCAGAACCTCCTACAAACCGCGGGGCAAAGAGCTGGGTGGCCTAGGCCTCTGCATGCGCTGGCTGACCCTCAGTCACCATCATCCCCATCTGACTCACCGGGGAAGGCCGGCCACGTGCCCACGCTCACCCAGCAGGTCCACCCAGGCAGGCGCCAGGGCCGGGCCTGGGTCCCCAGCCAGTCTCTTCTGCCCACTGGCTCTGTGGACTCAGCCTGGCTTTGTGGCATCTCAGGGAGGCAGAAAGAGCTCTGGCCCAGCACCAGCCTGCGGTGTGACCTTGGCCAGGCACAGCCCTCCAGGTCTGCAAGGCAGGAACGCCTCCCCTGCGGCAGTGCCTCCTACAAACCGCTAGGCAAAGAGAAGGGCTGGGTGGTCCGGGCCTCCGCACGCTCGGCACCTCGGCCTGCGCACTGGTGGTTGGGGATGACAACACCTATGTCCCCAGGGGGCCGTGAGCACGGGGGAGACGGTGGAAAGTGAACTTGACGGATGGGAGCCCCCGCCCCCAGCTGTGCAGCCCTTACCCGCTCGTGCATGGGCGAAGCTGGGCTGGAGTCCTCTTCAGTCCCACAGGGGGATGTGTCACCTGTAGACACTCGGCTGACCGCCATCTCGGCGTGGCCCTTGCCCTGGGGGCCCTTCATGCGCACAAACTCCATGTTGCTGTACTTGTAGAAGCCAAACGACATCTTCTGTGCCATGCGGGCGGCCACGCTCACCTGGGGGCCGGCGCGGGGCAGCCTGAGTCAGGGAGGTGGCGATGGCTCCATGGGGCCCCTCCCCAGGACATGAACAGCCAGGGCGACCATCCCTCAAGGAGCGGGGGCTGCCCGGGAGGGAGCGTCTGAGCTGGCAGGCGGGGCAGCTGGAATGGACCCACATCTCTGCCTGGTGCCCCTCCTGGTGCCCCTCCCACCGCCCCATGAACCACGGACCAGGCTGAGGACAGGGCCCCAGGCTGGCAGCAAGGCTGGCTGCGGATGGTGCCCGCTGGGGGAGAGGGGCCTGCCCACATCTGCTTGCTTAGTTGGGGGCGACTCGGAGCACTCCCAGGGCCAGTCGCAGGAAGCAAGTGACAGTGAGGAGGTGACAGCGACACCATCAGCCATCACTTCCCAGGGAACTAGAGACTGAGGAGGAAGTTCCCGCTCACATTTCAGATGAAGGCAAGTGGCCCGCATGGGCTGAGGCCGACCATGAAGAATGACGTTAAGAGGACCAGGGAGCGCCTAGAAGGAGCCCGGAGGGGCTGCAGGTACCCCTGGCGGCCGCTACCATGCACAAGCAGGCTGGGGGGCCCCATGGTATGGACCACGGTGGGCTGTGGAGCCGCCGTCCCCGGGCCCAGAAGAACACCCGTGAGGCCGCCCCGCACTCACCCGGTTGTCATACACCTTCTTGAGCGCCTCGTAGCGGATGGAGCCCTGAAAGATGACCCCCTGGAACGTGTTGGTTTTGTCACTAGCCACCAGCTCCACACAGACCATCTCTCCTTCCCCTACGGTCATGTCGCTGAACACCTGGGCCAGGACACAAAGAGACAGGGACGTGACCATCAGCTCCCACCGCCCACACCACAGCCTGGCCCAACTGGCAGGGAGGGCTGCTCAGAAAACCCCATTTTGCAGGGGACAACCGGCTGTCACACACTCCTGTGGCCCCATGCCCTCCGAGCCCCACAGGACAAGAACAGCCTCACACTGGGGCAGGGGCTGAGCAGCAGGGGAGGACAGGGACGCTTACGGAGACTCTGGGACTGGCAGAAGACGCACACCCTCATCACGGTTCACCAGGACCGTCAGCCACCGTCTGGGCCCCTCCACACCGCCTAGGGGTGCCCAGCCCTGCCTGCCACATCTTTGAGGCTCCTGTGTGGCCAAAGGCTCAGTGTGGTGGCAGGGTGACTGCCCACCTGGGGTGACAACACCAGACTAAGGTGCCACAGGCCCCATCCTGCCACCTTCCCGAGTCATTGCTCCCAGGACCTGGTGCACAGACTGTGAGCTCCGAGGCCACAAAGACTTAGACGCAAATCTCAGCTCTGCCCTCTAGGAGCTACGTGTGCCTGGGGAGGGGACATGACCTCCCTGAGCCTGCGATTTTCCTGCAGACGCCCACGCCTTCCTCCTAAGTCCTCAGGGCCCTGAGCACCTTGGATGCGCACAAGGACCCCGACCAGGGCCTCAACAGAGGAGAGACACAAATGGGCAGAGCAGGGAGTGAGCTGCGACCGGCTCCCTCCCCGCCCTCCCAGTGCCCTGTGTTTCTCGGTGAGTCTCCTTCTGCCCAAGCCCGTTTCCCAAACCTTAAAACAAAGGCTTGGCCCAGATAACTCCGGAAACCCCATCCCTCTTTGACATCCTAGGATTCCAAGTCAGTGCAGGCGTGGAGGCGCTTCTTTATCATTTACTAGCATTAATAATGGCTCCTCCCGCCCGGGCAGTGCTTCTTGCAAGAGTTTATGAGGCGTCCTCCCACTCAGGAGCCTTTTAGTCTTCAGCCCTGACAGTAAGTAGGACAGATGATCATGACACTGATTTTACAGAGGAGGAAACGGAGGCTGCGCCGGGGAAATTCACCTGCCCACAAGCAAACACTGGGAAGAGAGAGAGCCACATCTGCCTCAGCCGGACTCTTCCCGGCTCCAAGCCACCCATGCCTTTCTGCAAGGCTAAGGCCGCGGGGAGAAGCGCCTAACACCCATCTCACGAGAAGGGGAAGCTAAGGAGAGAGGCCCTGTGCAGAGCTCACCTCCTCGAAGCTGTCAATCATGAAGAAGATGTTGGGGTAGCTGATCTTGGACTCCTCCCCCTTGCTGTCCATGGGGTGTTTACTGGGGGACGCGAACACTTGCTGGAAGAAAGCAGATTTGGAGGACAAGTGAGGCCCCACCCGGCACACAGGCCCAGAGCCAGTCCAAGCCAGTATAGGGAGGCCACCCGGCCCAGAGCCAGTCCAAAGCCAGAGACCTACCAGGAGATGTGGGGGATAAGCTGGTTCTGTGCTCCTCGAATGGGATACGGGATCCCAGGAGCTGAGCAGATTTCTGGAGTCAGACCCCTCACCTCCAGGGCAGAGAAGCAAGCAGGAGGACTTGTCTCTCTCTGCCACGCCCAGCCTGAACTGGCAGTTAGGAGGCTGGGGGCTCTCGTGCCAGGGCTCACCTGAGATTTCTTCTTATGGATGTGAATGTCCCCGCCGTCAGCACGTGTGCACACCGCACAGGTCACCATGTAGTCCAGCTGGAAGAGAGCACGGGTCAGCGTGCAGGGAGGGGTCAGCCATCCCACAGGGCCAATCCGCAGCCCCACCCATCCCACCCCATACCTTCTGCAGGATGAGATTCAGGCAGACGCTCTCCTCCCAGTCGATGTCAGGGTCTCCCAGGCCTGGCAGCTTCTTGGAGTCCCGCCGGTACACCTCCACCTCCACCTCAGGCTCAGCTGCCTGCGAGGCCCAGAGCAGAAGTGAGTGCCCAGGGCCCACTGTGGTGCTCTTCTTCTTCCCTGACTACTATGCAGGCATTACGATGGACAAGGACTCCAATTCTTTTTTCTTACTATTTTTTGAGACAGGGTCTCACACCGCTGCCCAGGCTAGAGAGCAGTGGTGCAATGACAGCTCACTGTAGCCTCAACCTCCTGGGCTCAAATGATCCTCTCACTTCAGCCTCCCAAGCAACAGGGACCACAGGCACGTGCTACCACACCCGGCTAATTTTTAAAACTTTTTGTAGATGTGGCGTTTCGCCATGTTGTCCAGGCTGGTCTTGAACTCCTGGGCTCAGGTGATCCTCCTGCCTCGACCTCCCAAAGTACTGGGATTACAGGTGTGAGCCACCATGCCCGGCCAGAACTCCAATTCTTGCTCCCCAGTTCTCTAGCGACGGGAGATGGGACCCAGGGGCCATCCATTCTCCTCACTAAGCCTCAGTTTCTTCATCTGTACAATGGACTAAGGGCATCTTCCCCTCAAAGTTGTCATAATGATTTAAAGAGCTCATATTTGCTAAGTGGCATCAATGATAATAGTGACACCTACTGAGCTCTTAGTGGACGGCGGGGTCTGGGCTACACATTTTACAAATTATTAATCCTTTTAAAGCAACCCTGCAATGCAGGTATCATTAGCCCCATGTTAACAGATCAGAGTCAAATTTACTGAAGATCAATAATAAATACATATCAGAGAGAAACCAAAGCATGTCTACACCTCTCCTGGGAGACTGGCTTCCAATTTTTTTTTTTTTTTGAGACAGAATCTCACTCCATCCGTCACCCAGGCTACAGTGCAACACATCTTGGCTCACTGCAGTCTCCGCCTCCTGGATTCTAATGATTCTCCTGCCTCAGCCTCCTGAGTAGCTGGGATTACAGGCACGTGCCACCACACCTGTCTACTTTTTGTATTTTTGGTAGAGACAGGATTTCACCATGTTGGCCAGGCTGGTCTCGAACTCCTGACCTCAGGTGATCTGCCCACCTCGGCCTCCTAAAGTGCTGGGATTACAAGCATGGGCCACCGTGCCCGGCCTCAATTTATTTCTTATTTATTGTTTTGAGACGGAGTCTCGCTCTGTCACCCGGGCTGGAGTACAGTGGCACAATCTTGGCTCACTGCAACCTCTACCTCCTGGGTTCATGTGATTCTCCTGCCCCAGCCTCCCAAGTAGCTGGGATTACAGGTGTCTGCCACCACACCTGGCTAATTTTTTTCTGTATTTTTAATAGAGAGGGGGTTTCACCATGTTGGCCAGGCTGATCTCGAACTCCTGACCTCAAGTGATCTACCCACCTCGGCCTCCCAAAGTGCAGGGATTACAGGCATGAGCCACTGCACCCGGCCTCAATTTATTTCTTATTTTTTTATTTTTTTGAGATGAAGTCTTGCTTTGTCACCCGGGCTGGAGTACAGTGGCACAATCTTGGCTCACTGCAACCTCTACCTCCTGGGTTCACGTGATTCTCCTGCCCCAGCCTCCCAAGTACCTGGGATTATAGGCGTCTGCCACCACACGTAATTTTTTTTTTTTTTTTTTAATAGAGACGGGGTTTCACCATGTTGGCCAAGCTGATCTCAAACTCCTGACCTCAAGTGATCTACCCACCTCGGCCTCCCAAAGTGCAGGGATTACAGGCGTGAGCCACCGCGCCCAGCCTGGCTTTCAATTTTGAAGCAGCTGTGCTGACTGGGGGCCTCTGGTCCCGGTCCTGGGTGCTCTCACTGACTCGGGCTCCGAGGGGCTGGGCACTGCTGGGCCCTCTTGCAGGTGCACAGGCCTGCACCCCCCAAAGGCAGAGCTGGGATCTATGGAAAGAGGTGCAAGAGGCCAACCTTGCCTAGGAGCGAGAAACAGACGTCCCCGGGTCGGGGGGCCCCACTTCCACCGCCTGTATGGTTCTGCAGTCACCCCGAGCCCCTGAGCTGAGAGTCCTGGGGTTCACAAGACTCTGCTGTTCCTCCTGGTCTCGCTTCATTGACCTGTTCATTTGCTTTTGCTCAGCAAAGCGCTGTGGACTCAGTGAATGAAAGGCTCGGGGGCACGATCACACGGCTGTTCGGGGCAGCACCACAGCACAGGCAGGCGAAAGAGCAGGTTCCCCATCAGAAAGGTGTCCGTGTGCGCACCAAAGCCAGGCCCAAGAGGACACTGGGAGCTGCCCGGTACCCACTGACAGGAGGGTGGCCAGGCCGCCATGGTACACTCTGCAGGCATTACACAGCAGTGAGACCAGATTACAACCACCTGTGTCAACAGGCATGACTCACAAACATGACATGCGGAGAAAGAAGCCTGAAACAACATATACTGCCCGATTCCAATGTATGAGCTGTGAGAACAGGCAGAACCACCGACTCCACACACATGAGCTGTGAGAACAGGCAGAACCACCGACTCCACATGCACGAGCTGTAAGAACAGGTAGAACCCGCCAACTCCACACACACGAGCTGTGAGAACAGGCAGAACCCAACTCCACACGCAGGAGCTGTGAGAACAGGCAGAACCACCGACTCCACACGCACGAGCTGTAAGAACAGGCAGAACCCACCGACTCCACATGCAGGAGCTGTGAGAACAGGCAGAACCCGCCCGGGAAGTTTGAGGAGACAGAGCAGCAGCTGCCCAGGGGGAGGTTGAGCCCTGGGGTGGGGTGAAGGGGCCTCGGTGTTCTCATCACACTCTGTATCTGGGGGCTGGTGAAACCAGGTGTTCAGTCTAAGAAGAATCAAACTGTGTACACGTCTGTGTTTTTCTGTATAGACGTTATATTGAAAACAATCTACTAAAAAGGAAAAAGTGAGACTGGGGACAGGGCTTCGCCGCTGGCAAACTGTGTGACCCCAGGAAGCTTCCTCCCCGTCTCTGAGCTTTGGTTTTCTGAGTGGGTGTGAAGGTGATCGGCACCTTAGGATCCTGAGGTGTCACGTGACCGTGAGACACAGGGCTCCGGCCACCAGCGCAGAGCCAGCAGCACACAGAGCCAGGTCCCCCTCCTGCCAAAGGCACACAATGGGCTGCCCAGGAACACAGAGCGTTTTGTCCAGGGCTGGAGGAAACAGAGGGCAGGGAATCCAGGACATCCCTCCCTGGGAAAGGCTGGACTGGGGATGTCCCTTGGGCCCTGGAGCACTCGGGGTTCCTGGCATCCTGTCCCCCTGACACTGCAGCTCCTGCCCATCCACGCTCCCCTGCTAGGTGCAGGAGGCCCGGCTGGTTGCTATGGCAACCGGGTACCAGCGGGATGGGCATGGGGAGGGGGCGGGAAGTAGCCAGGCTCCCGCAGAGGACTTGCAGTGCGCAGGCGACTCCGCGGGTCCCCCACCTCCACCGAGCGCTCAGGGCTTTTGCCAGGGGGGGTCTCCCCGTCTCCCCATCAGCGCCTCCAGCCTGCCCCCTGCAGGCCACCCTCAGCACTGCAGCCCGACAAGCTGGGAAAAATGCCAAGTTGGGGCAGCCCCAGGACCCACCCACCAGGCCCCGCAATCTCCATCGGCCTAGTCTGGCAGGTCCCATGTGGCACTCGTCACACACCCTCCCACTCTGCACTCACTGGTCCCTCCACGGGGCGTGTCCTCAGCCCACTGCTGCCCGCTCTCTCTGTCCTACAACCCGCCCGCCAGATGTCACCTTCTGCACTCCCCCCACCACCGCCGCCCTGCTCCTCTTCCCACCATCACAGCACTGATGGCTCCATAGCACTGGCCATACCGTCTGTCTATCCAAACAGACTGAGGCCAGATATGAGTCATTTCTGTGCTCCCAGCACTGAGTGTGGGGGGGCATCTGCACATGGCTCACAGTGGGTGTTCAATAGAACATTCTAGCATGTAAACAGCTGGACTGCCACCTGCTCCCGTGGGACTCAGGCTTCCCTCACTGACCTCGACACCCCCAAATTTTCAGCAGATCCTGGATGTGACCCCATCCCCTCTGCTCCAAATTCCTCAGGCCTAGATCCAGGGCTGCGCTTTCTCAGTGGAGGGCTCTCACCTTTAACTTCTGCTCCACCCAAGATGGACCCCTCATCTGCCGTTCCTTTCTCCTCCCCCTACCCCGGCCTATCCAGGGTGCACACAACCCGTCCTCCCACCTCCCTGTCTGCCCTCTTGACCAGAGTCGTGACCTCTCTGGAATCAAAATTCAAAGTACAGCTGAGAGTGTCTCAAATGCACCAAGTCCTCGTTAGAGCCCTGGCTTGCAACAGACTCTGCCTTGGGGAAAAGACCAACATTTGGGGGTGGGAGAAAAGTTCTCTGCAACCTGAACTCCAGCAGAAGCTGAGAGGCCACAGTGGACGGAGGCAGGGGTGGGGTCCACAGCCCTGGGACGACAGAGGGCCTGAGCCTCCGAGTTCCGGTTCCCATGGGTGAGAGGAGTCCCTCCCCCAGAACTGTGCAGAGGTGAGAGGAGCCTGTGCCCGCCATGAGGGTCACGGGCAGTGAGGATCCTGAGGCACCATCCACCCCCCTGCCAAGGGCACTCATATGGTCACACTAACCCCAAACATCCCAGCCTCCCAGGTGTCCAGAATGGGAGGGCCCTCACCTTTCGGGGCACCTGCCCTGATCCCCTTTTACCCCAGAGAGGAGATGACCTGGCAGTGTCATATGGTAAACCAGGGAAAAACAAGACTGGCCTTGAAAGCTGGTCTCTCGATTGTACACCCAGACAGGGCGGGCGTGGCAGCAGGTTCTGAGGAGCCCTGAGCCAGCTCCAGAAGGTTCTTACTCGGGGATCCCATCACCAGTCAGGCCTCCTCTTCATCCCTCCCAGAAAGCATTCCCTGCCTGCCCGAGTGTGGCTCTAGTCCCTGCACACCCTGCCTGCCCGAGTGTGGCTCTAGTCCCTGCACACCCGCCACTGAAACTGCTGCGCCAAGGCCGCCACCCCTCCCTGGTACCGAATCCAATGGGCCCTTCAGACACTGCACCCCACTGGCTGCACCCACGTCTCCAGACCTCCCCTCTTGGGGTGCCCTCCCCTCTCCTGGCTCTTCCCCCACCTCTCTGGCCAGTTGTTCATGGTCTCCTGCTGGTCCCTCCAAAGTGGGGCTAGCTCAGGGCTCGGGGCCAGCATGCAGGCACCCAGGCCCTTCCACTTGCAGAAAATCCATCCCGCGTGTGTTCAGGCTCAGAAAATGGGCCCAAGGCAAGACCAGGCTCCAAGTAATCCCTGCATGAGCCTCTGCCAGCAAACCATGGCCCCGGAGTTACAGAGCCAGGCAGGCTGCAAGTTCCAGACCTAGCTACACGGCCCTCTCATTTCTTGTTTTTGAAGGAAAACAAAAGCGTTTCCATGTCTGGCATATGGAGTTGATTAAACATTTTACGAACAGCAAAAGCTTGTGAAAAACAGAGAAGGAAGCATGCAAAATGTATTTTATTAGCTCCTCCCACACTGCGATTTAGTGGATGAAATACGTTAGGCGAATCACTTCATCTCCGAGCCCTCCGTTTCCTCATCTGTAAAAGGGGTAAGAACACCCACCCTGTCGAGTTGTTGGGACTTCACAAGGAGGCTAAGAAGAAGAGAGCTCAGCACTGTGTCTAGATGATGGCGAGGGCTCAGTAAGTGGAAGGCACCGTCATCATCACCACCACTGAGTCAGGTCACCCTGCCATGGCCAAGGGAGGGCCCTGGGCTCTGGAGTCCGACCTTTGCTCTACCATCTACTGACTAATTATAAGAGGCCAGCCGAGTTAGCTGTCTCTGATCTGTTTCCTCAAAGCTACGACGGTGACGGCAATCACTGCCCTTCAGGGTCACAGTGAAGATGAATGACAATGTGTACAGACACCCAGCACATCCAGATTTGCACATGAGACTGTCTACACAGTTCCTGGAATACAGTAGGTGCTCAATAAATATCACTCACCCTCTTTGATATGCATGAGCACTGTAGGAAAGCCCACATGTACACCGAGAGCAGACACCACAGGGATGCTTGGGGCACAGACGCAGGGGCAGGGGCCGGGGGTCACTCACCTTCCTCCCGTCTGCACCGCTTTCGCTGCCGGAGTACGCCAGCTTCCGGCGCACATAGAAAAGCATGTCGTCCTGCCGGGGAGCCCATTTCTCCATGAAGTAGGTGGAGAACATCCAAGTCCAGAAGACGATGCGGTCATCCTTGAAGCACCCTGCAGAGGGAGGCCAGACAGGAGTGAGGAAGGACGGCCACCCTGGCCCTTGCAGCATGGCCTTGGCCAAGCTGCGCCCATACCCCCACATTTCTGGCCAGAAATTTGCGAGGGCTCTGAGATGCGCCACCCTTCCCTCACCACTCCCGACCCCCACCCATGGAGCATCCAGAGAGGCTGGAGGACACCTCCCAGGAGGCCCAGTTCCTCCACTCAGCAGCAGCCTGAGAGCCCATGCTCCCAGCCCCACAGCTGAGCCTGACTCCAGCCTGGGGATGAATCAGCAGCTTCGGAGGAAAAGGAAAATCCCGAGGAGCCAGGAACGCCACTGGCTGGCTGGTGTCTGGGCTGGAAGCCGGGAAGGCTTGGCTGGGGGGGAGCCTTTGGAGAGGCAGGGCTCTCACCAACATCTCTCACCCCCACCCACTCCCCCTGGCTGCGGCAGTCCCAGCGGGAACCCGACTTAAAGGGACAGCCGCCCTCCAGCCAGCCAAGGCTGCAAGCGGGAACCGCAGGGAGACAGCACCCGCCCCACCCCTGCCCCACGTCTGCGCAGCTTCGTGCTCATCTGATCCTCACAGGGACTTCTCCTTCTATTACAAATGGTATTTCTTTATGATAAATATTTGTAATATTTTCCTGCAAAAGAGAAAAAGCCCACAGGCTTTGGTAGGGAAGATCTGGGTTTCCATTCCAGCGCTGCCGCTGGTGATGGGACAATGGGCGGGGGCTCTGAGCCACAGGTTCCTCGGGGCACATGCAGACAAACCGAGACCACGGGCACACAGCAGGATCAACATAGGTGGGTCTGTCCCCTCTCTAGACAGATTCAACACTTCAAAATATGCAGCCAAGCTCTCTCTTATCAACTCAGTAGATTAAACCGGGTCTGCTTTTGTTTTCTGTCTTCCTCACTGACCAGTGCAATCTAGTGCTGGTACTCGGGCTGGAAGGCACTAATCCCGACACTTAGAGATGGGGAACGTGAGGGCCAGTGGTGCCAGAACCCTCTCTCGCGCTCACAGGCAGGCCAGTGGGCTGACCAGGACTCGGCCACTAGCTGAGTCAAATGCAGAACACCCCAGCCTTGGTTGACGTCAGCCACAACACTAACCAAAGAACCAGGACTCACAGCCAGCCCCAGCCCTCGGCCCTCAGCCCTCAGCCCTCTGCCCTCTGCCCTCAGCCCTCTGCCCAACAGTGTGTTGCTCACCCACTCCCATGCCCTGCCTGGCTCCTGGGCTCTAGGGCAGTGAGAGGGAGGAAAAGAGAAGGAGGCTTCATCGGTGAGGGTCTGGGTCAGCGAGCCTTGTCAGCCTCCAGGGGTGAGGGCCAGGAGAGCCCACGGGACTGGCAAGACCTCCCAGGCTCACAGGACCCGGGGGAACGAAACACGCGTGCTGTCTGCAGAGTCGCTTTGAAATTCCTGCCGCGTTTTTGCAACAGGCAAAGCCCAAGTCACGCTACTACAGACCCTTGCAAAATTAAGCAAAGCGCTGTGATTATTCCTGGATAAACTTCAATTCTTTTTTACTTCCTCTTTACATTGCTTCACTTTTGGTTCCCTCTTAGAGCCCAACGGAATAACAGAATAAATTTGGTCTTTAAAAACCAGCCCTTGGCTGGGTGTGGTGGCTCATGCCTGTCATCCCAGTACTTTGGGAGGCTGGGGTGGGTGGATCACCTGAGGTCAGGAGTTCAAGACCAGCCTGGCCAATATGGTGAAACCCTGTATCTAGTAAAAACACAAAAATTAGCCAGGCATGGTGGCGGGTGCCTGTAATCCCAGCTACTCGAGAGGCTGAGGTGGGAAGATCACTTGAACCTGGGAGGCAAGAGGTTGCAGTGAGCCGAGATCGCACCATTGCACTCCAGCCTGGGTGACAGAGCAAGACTCCATCTCGGAAATAAATAAATAAATAAGCCAGGCATGGTGGCAGGCGCCTGTAGTCCCAGCTACTCTAGAGGCTAAGGCAGGAGAATCACTTGAGCCCGGGAGGCAGAGGTTGCAGTGAACCAAGATCGTGCCACTGCACTCCAGCCTGGGCAACAGAACGAGACTCTGTCTCAACAAACAAACAAACAAACAAAACAGCCCTTAAGAAAACTGCCAGATTCTCACAGAGTTATACATATACTTACAAAACCAGCCACTAGCCACTCCTAGGTACCTGCCCAAGAGAAATGAAGCACATGTCCACAGAGACTGGTACACAAATGTTCACAGCATCTTTATTCGTAACGGCCACAAACTGGAAACCAGGAGAATGCACACATGTCACAATAAAAACAAACTAGTGATCCACACTACACTGTGGATAAACCTCAAACTTGTCCTGCAGAGCAAAAGAAGTCAGGCGCAAAAAGCTATTTACTGTATGATCACATTCACACGATGTTTCGGAAAAGGCGGAATCGTAGTGACTTAAAGCAGGAGGGTGGTTGCCCTGAAAGGTTCTAGATCTTGATTGTGACGCTGGTTTCACAGGTGCGTATAACCATCAAAACTCATCAAACTTAGCCGGGTGAGGTAGCTCATACCTGTAATCCCAGCACTTTGGGAGGCCAAGGCGGAAAGACTGCTTTAGGCCAGGAGTTCAAGGTCAGCCTGGGCAACACAGTGAGACCTGGTCTCTAAAAAAAAAATAAAAATTAGCTGGGCATGATGGCATGTGGCTATGGTCCCAGCTACCAGGGAGGCTGAGGTGGGAGGATCACTTGAGCCCAGGAGTTCGAGGCTGCAGTCAGCTATGATCGAACCACTGCACTCCTGCCTGGGGGACAAAGTGAGACCCTGTCTCTAAAAGGGTATTAAAAAATAAAATTTAGGCCAGGTGCAGTGGCTCACACCTGTAATTCCAGCACTTTAGGAGGCTGTGGCCGGCAGATCACTGGAGGTCAGGAGTTCAAGACCAGCCTGAGCAACATGGTGAAACCCCATGTCTATTAAAAATACAAAACTTAGGTGGGTGTGGTGGTGCTCACCTGTAGTCCCAGCTACTCGGGAGGCTGAGGCACTAGAATCACTTGAACCCGGGAGGCAGAGGCTGCAGTGAGTCGAGATTGTGCCACTGCACTCCGGCCTGGGAGACAGAGCGAGACCCTGTCTCAAAAAATTAATTAATTTAAAAAACATAAAAACTTATCAAACTGTTTAGTCTACATATATGCAGTTTATTTTACATAAACCATATGCCAATAAAATTGTTAAGTTGTAGCTAATGCTGGCAAGGGTGCATTGAACTGGAACTCTCCGATATGCTAGAGAACAAAACATGTGAGAAGCTAAAGAGCATTTTCTCACTCCTATGCATCTACCTGACGGCAGAGTACAAAATTAAAGGCCTTCTGCACAAAAACATTTCGTGTGTTACTCATGAGAAAAAATAATATAACAGCAATAACCACAATGAAGACGACGAAAGGAAAGGACACAATATCCTGCCATTTCTGACATTTCCCCGAGGTAAAGCATGCCATACGGATTCAACCAAATCGCCACCAATCTTTTTAAACGATGGCTATAAAGACTACACACAGATGCATGGGAATACGTGTAATACGATGTTTAGTGGAAAAGCGGAACCCCAAGTTGTAGACACAATGATGACAACTACGTAAATCACATGGAAACACCAGAGGTAAACAGACGAGAACGCTAGGAGTGGAAGAATTGAACACAGCATTTTTTTTTACTTAATATTTTCAGTCATAAGATTATAATACTTTCTCCCATGAATGTACAACTTTTAATATCATAGGACTCATTAAGAAAGGGAACGGGGAGGCGGGTGCCTGTAGTCCCAGCTACTCGGGAGGCTGAGGCAGGAGAATGGCGTGAACCCGGGAGGCGGAGCCTGCAGTGAGCCGAGATCGCGCCACTGCTCTCCAGCCTGGGCGACAGAGCGAGACTCCGTCTCAAAAAAAAAACAAAAGAAAGGGAGCAGGGAGAGTGGAGAGAAAAGAGATTCTCTCTCTTCAGAGGGAGGAAGGGAGGCAAACACAGACACACTCCACATCCAAGAGCCAGGAAAGGTCGGGACTGGAGGGATATCTCTGATTCCCGGAGGCACAGTACAGTGTTAGGAGTTGCAGTCAAACATATGTGTGCTCAGGTCCTGACGCCACCCTTCCCTACTCAGATGGCCAATTCATTCAGCCAACCTCTCTGACCCTCAGTGGTTCTACCTGTCAGATGGGTCTCTAACCTGCCACCCTCCCAGAATCCAAGGTGAGGACTTGGCTGAAAGTGAAAGTGCTCTGCTGGCTGCACGGCTCCAGCTGCTGCAATGTGGGCTGCTGGAGACCCTCTGCTCTGCTGCCCTGCATGTCAGAAACACTGACACCGAGCACGGCAGTGTGGCCTGCTTGGATGACGTCAGTGGATCCCAAACCTTCCAGTATCCTTTGGCCTCACGGTGCAGCAACTGGCTGTGAATAAACACACGAGGCACAGCTGGCCTGTGAAGTCACTGCTGACTCTTTCTCCCACAAGCAAACCCCTTCTCCCTTCACCCTTTCCCAGGGGCTGCCGAGCAAGAAATCCCCTGGGTCACAAGCCCCGGGAGCTGCTAGTCCAGCACAGAGCCTCGTCGTCTCCAGACTCCTCTCTGTCCCTTCTCCCTACCGTCTTGCCAGTCAGGGCTGCAGGTTTTCCCCACCCTCAAGCAGAGTGGAGACTTACGGAAGCAGATGTGGCCCCGAAAGCTGAGCCAGGCTTACGGTGGTAGCACCTCGGACAGCTCTGTGCTCACGGCCCTGCCTTCCCTCCCTTCCCTCCCGGGGTCCTATGAAGCCAGATTATAATCCATTCTCCTGATTTGAGGCAGCCGTGAACACTGAATTAGTCAGTACCGACCCACTGGGTCCTAAGGCAAATACAAGGTTAGGGTCCTCTGATCACATTTTCAGCAACTGATCAATTCATAACCTTACTTTATGTATGTTTCTCTTTCAAGACACTTTATTTAAGGCCAGATGCGGCGGTTCATGCCTGTAATCCCAGCACCTTGGAACGCTAAGGCAGGTAGAATACTTGAGGTCAGGAGTTCAAGACCAGCCTAGCCAACATCGCAAAACCCCATCTCTACTAAAAATACAAAAATTAGCCGGGCATGGTGGCGGGCGCCTGTAATCCCAGCTATTTGGGAGGCTAAGGCAGAAGAATCGCTTGAACCCGGGAGGCGGAAGTTGCAGTGAGCTAAAATCACGCCACTGCACTCTAGCCTGGGAGACAGAGCAAGACCCCGTCTCAAAAAAAAAAAAAAAAAAAAAAAAAAAAGACACCATATTTAACATATAGTTCATTCACTAACACTGAACTCATGGCCAACAACAATCAATGTTGAACGAAGCTTCTCTAACACATGTATTTTCTCCATAAAGTACATCACAGCCATCTTGTGCCTGGGACTAGATAGCATCTCAGCCCAGGGCCATTTTAAAGCACTGACAAAAAGCACAAAAAATGCAAAATACATGGCACTAACTAGACTGCAAAAAGGACACTTCTTTACAGTGTGAGACGGAGCATCGCCTTGTCTGACCTCAGCTGGAAACCTGTGTCAGGTAAGGAATTTTTCGACACTGCATGAATGTCAGTCATTAACCCGAAAGTGCCATGAGTACTGATTTTAGGGTTACAAATAAATTTCAGTGAGTAGGTGAATCCGTGAATAATGACAATGGCCTGGACCAGGAAAACTGATATTTGCCAGGAGTTCTGGTGATCCAGCTGTCTCCCCTGCCTCAAGCGAGTGACCTGCTTCTGTAAGTCACTCTCTTCGAACTCCAGAACTGGAAGAGCCCTTTCCAGGTGAGTGACTCCAGGGACTAGCAGGGGAGAGGGCGCGTGGGAAGTGAGCACTAAGCCTGGGCCGTCCACACCCCAGTGCGGTGTCTGCCACCTCTGAATTGCCACTAACTCTCCTCCTGGTTCTGCACGACGCTGGACTGGTGGCATGACAGCACCAAGAGCTCAACAGTGCTGGTTTCAGGAGCGAGGAACGTGATGACAGCTCGCGCGTGCCCTGCACCCTACAGTGTGTTTATTTATTCATTTATTTTTGAGACAGAGTTTTGTTCTTGTCGCTCAGGCTGGAGTGCAATGGCACGATCTCGGCTCACTGCAACCTCAGCCTCCCAGGTTCAGGTGATTCTCCCATCTCAGCCTCCCAAGTAGGTGTGATTACAGGCATGCACCATCACACCCAGCTAATTTTTTTGATTTTTTTTTTTTTTTTTTTTTTTTTTTTTTAGTAGAGACAGGGTTTCACCATGTTGGCCAGGCTGGTCTCAAACTCCTGACCTCAGGTGATCCACCTGCCTCAGCCTCCCAAAGTGCTGGGATTACAGGTGTGAGCCACTACGCTCGGCCACCCTACAGTTTATAAAGCCCTTTCACCCATTGTCTTTTCAGATCCTCATGGCAACTTTATGAGGTGGGGACCACCTCAGCTTAGTTTCAAACCTCAGTCTTCATTTTCAACCAAAACTTGAGACTCTAGTGGCTAGATGGTGTGTGCAGGAGCTGAGACACAAACCCAGCCCCTCCAACAGAGCCCATATCCTTCTCCTGGATAAGCCCACATCCTTATCCTTAGCCTGGCCCTGCAGGAGGATTCTCCCAGCTATGTTACAAATGCAGAAACTAAGCGAACCCGGGGGTCACCTGGTGAACAGCTAGGAAAGCAATTCAGGCTTTCAGACCTCTCCCCTCCCCCAACTTCTGAGTCCCCAGCGGGGTGGGCTCACAGGGGCCACTCTGAGCCCTGAAGCACCATCAGGGCTTCCTGGGATAGTCTAAGAACCCGTGAAAGAACTTCAGACAAGAGCTTCATGCACAGGGGCTGTGGGATCCACTTTCCAGCCGAGTGCCAATTTAACATAATTTAATTATTTTCCATGGGGATGGTTCTTCAGATGCACACTGAAAAGGGAAACTTTTATCTTTCGAGGCATTTCACGTGAATCCAATCACAATATGGGATGGGGGAAGACTGTCAGATTGGAGTTCAAGAGCAGACTTGATTCCCATTTGTGATGCACTGCCCACGTGGGTAAGTGACTGAACCTCTCAGACCTTCAGTTTCCTCATCAGTAAAATCAGAACAGCTGCCTCCTACGGTTACCATGGAGACCAAATGAGCTCCTACACAGTGCTCAGCAGTGCAACACGCACTTAGAAACGATGAATGACAACTGCCACTGTGGTTACTATGATAACTTGGAACATTTTCCACTAACCAGACCCTGGGAATAATCGCGAATTACTTTAGGAGGCATTCCTTGAAACCCACCCCAATCCTTTTTTAGAAAAGGATTAAACCATTAAACCACACAAGCAAGTTATGGTAAAGCCCTGATTAAAATAGTTTATAGCCATTAAAAATGATGGTTCTGTATTAAATAAAGAAAAATGTCCAAGAACTATCTCCCAAAAAAGTACATTAACACAGCAGGCCAAGAGGTGATTGTTTTTTTTTTTTTTTTTTTTTTTTTTTTTAAGATGGAGTCTCAGTGTCACCCAGGCTGGAATAACATCATGTGATCTCGGCTCACTGCAACCTCCATTTCCTGGGCTCAAGCCATCCTCCTGTTTCAGCCTCCTGAGTAGCTGGAACCACAGACATGCACCACCAGACCCAGCTAATTTTTGTATTTTTGGTAGAGACAGGTTTCACCATGTTGCCCAGGCTGGTCTTGAGTGCCTGAGCTCAAGCAATCCGCCTGCTTGGCCTCCCAAAGTGCTGGGATTACAGGTGTGAACCACTGCGCCCAGCCCAAGAAGTGATTTTGGGAAGGCAATCCTATCAGATTTTCAGGAAACAGACAGCTAGCTTCAGGGCTACTCACACAACTTCAGAGCCTAAGAAACATGCCAATTCTTTTTCACAAGGAGGCACAGTATTGATTTCGAAGACCACACACACAGAAAATTACAGGCTAATCTCACAGATGTCAAGACAAAAATCTTAAAAATAGTATTTAAAAGAATCCAGCAACTTATTAAAAATATATGCCATTGGCCAAGCAGAATTTAACTGGGAATAAAGAATGGTCTAGGCCAAGCTCAGAGGCTCACGTCTGTAATCCTAGCACTTTGGGAGGCCGAGGCAGGAGGATTACCTGAGGTCAGGAGTTCAAGACCAGCCTGGCAAACATGGTAAAACCCCGTCTCTACTAAAAATACAAAAAAATTAGCCGGGTGCGGTGGCAGGTGCCTATAATTCCAGCTACTCAGGAGGTTAAAGCAGGAGAATTGCTTGAATCCAGGAGGCGGAGGTTGCAGTGATCGAGATCGGGCCACTCCAGCCTGGCGACAGAGACTCAGTCTCCAAAAAAAAAAGGTTCAATATTAGAAAATCTATTAATATATTCATATCTATTTAGAGCTCAAAAGAGAAATAACACAGGATTATCTCCACAGATGCTGAAGGAGCATTCAATCAAATTCAACACGCATTCTTGATTTTTATTTATTATTTTATGTTGGGACAGGGTCTATCTATGTCACCCAGGCTGGAGCACAGTGCTATGATCACGACACACTGCAGCCTCGACCTCCAGCCTCAAGCGATCCTCCCACCTTACTTTCCCAAGTAGCTGGGACTACAGGCATGCAATACCATGCCCAGCTGTGTTTTGTATTCTTTGTAGAGGCAGGGTTTCGCCATGTTGCCCAGGCTGGTCTTGAACTCCTGGGCTCAAGCGATCCTCCCACCTAGGCCTTCCTAAGTGCTGGGATTACACGTGTGAGCCACTGTGCCCGGCCCCCCCAACCCCACCCACTTCTCACAAAACACTGCTTCCACCTTGTGCTAAGCGTCCCCATCCTGGCCTGTATCACCATCACTGCCTGCTCACTGGTCTCTGCGTTTCCACCCTGCCCACTGTTAGAACACACATCAGTTCTGGTCACTTTTCAGCTCAAATTCCTCCACCAAGCTTATTTCCTGACCTGCCCCCAGGCTCTTTACTGAACTATCACCTTCTCAGACAGGCCTTCTCAAACCACCTGATTTAAAATTGCAAATCCCACCCTCAATATGCCCTATCCCACTTCCAGCTTGATTTTTCTCCACAGCACTTGTCACTATCGAATATATATTTTGCCTATTCTGTTTACTTTCAGTCTTTCCCTAGCAAAGGAGTCAGCAAATTCCATGAAAGTCCAGAGAGAAAATATCTTCAGCTTTGCAGACCATAGCTGCAAATGGCATGGCAGTACGTAAAGAAATGGCATGCCATGGCGATATGTAAGGAAATGGACATGGCTATGTTCCAATAAAAGTTTCTTTACAAAAACAGGAAACAGTCCGGATTTAGGGTTATAGTTTGCCAACACCTGCCCTACCAAAGCTGATGTATGTTTTCACGCAGATGCCCTACCAGAACTTAAGCTCCATGAACACATCATTAGCTTTGCTCTATGATCATTTTGTTCAATGCTATACATTTAGTTTCCAGAATGGCATATATGACATAATAAATATGTGCTAATTGAATAAATGAATTAAATGATTAATGAAAGCAAGGTGGTATCAGTACATGACTGGACAGATCAATGGAACAGAATAGAAAGCAAAAACACAAAACTCAAACACACAATAACTGGGTTTTTGTTGTTGTTGTTGTTGTTTTTTGAGACAGAGTCTCACTCTTGTTGCCCAGGCTGGAGTACGGTGGCACGATCTTGGCTCACAACAATCTTTGCCTCCCAGGTTCAAGCGATTCTCCTGCCTCAGCCTCCTGAGTAGCTGGGACTACAGGCATGCGCAACCACGCCAGGCTAATTTTTCTATTTTAGTAGAGACGGGGTATCACCATGGTGACCAGACTGGTCTCAAACTCCTGACCTCAGGTTATCTGCCCGCCTTGGCCTCCCAAAGTGCTGGGATTACAGGCATGAGCCACTGCGCCTGGCCAAGAGTTTTTATGAAGACAGCACTTGAAATCAATAGGATGTAGATTATTCTTCCACAATTGGTCTTGGTACAAGTGGCTTGCTGAGGAAAAAGAATAAGGTTGGGTCCCTGCTCAAGCCAAAATAAATTCCAAAAAGATTAAAACTTTTAATGTTAAAAGTAAAACTATAAAAAAGAAAAACCATGAGAGGATTTTTTATTCCCTCAGAGAGGGAGAAGCCTTTCTAAGGAGAACATAAAAGCTATTAAGGAGAAGAATGATCAATCAAACTATATAAACACTTAAAATTTCTCTTATTTGAGACAGGGTCCCACTCTGTCACCTAGGCTGGAGTCCAGTAGCACAATCACTGCAACTTTGACCTCAACAGGCTCAAGTGATCCTCCCACCTCAGCCTCCTAAGTGGCTGGGACTATAGGCGCACGCCACCACACCTGGCTACTTTTTGTATTTTTTGTAGAGATGAGGTCTCACTATGTTGCCCAGCTGGTCTCAAACTCCTGAGCTCAAGCAATCCGCTTGCCTTGGCCTCCCAAAGTGCTGGGATTACAAGCATGAGCCACTGGGCCTGGCCAAAAATTAAAAATTTCTATAGGGGAAAAAAAACCACCCCCGCCCCCCCACCACCACACACATACACCATAAACAAAGCAAAAAACAAATACCACACTGGAAACACAGACGGAACCCTTACATGAGGGCAATTTCCTTAACAAATACTAAGTTGTACACAATGCATAAGAAAATAAAATGGCACGGAAAGCAGAAGGAAATATAAGTGGTTTTAGAACACAAAAACATGCTCAGCTTGACACAATTAGAGAAATGTAAATTAAAGCCTCAAAATTCTATTTTCCATCTATCAGGTTTGCAAAGATCAAAATACCTGACAACACTTCAGGTCAAAGAGGATGTGGAGAAACAGGGACTTTATATCCTGCAGTAGGAACGTAAACTGCCAAAAATATCAGACAGTCAAAATCACAAACGCATTTTACCTCTGACCCAGCGATCCCACAGATGAATTTTTCCCTGTGGTCTCACTACCTACCACCTACATAAGATTCTTTAAGCATTACAGCACTGTTGGCAAAATAGTGGAGTGGTCCTATCAATAGGGATAGTAATTAAATAAACTAACTTATAAGACATTCACAGAACAGAACACTACGCAGCAATTAAAAAAGATTGAAGCAACTCTATCTGTTCCAAGGAAGAAAGTTCTCTAGAATAAATGAAGCAAAAAATGGAGAGCAGACCAATATTAGAGGTTTTTCCTATTAAAGCCAATCGTTTAAGATGACTCCAATGCTTGCTGGAGCCTGCGGAAGAGAAGGGAGGTGAGGAAGCCAGATGGTCAGGGTCCATCCTGGCTCTGGCAGTTCTGGTCATGTGACAGACAAATCCAAACCTCCTGGTGCCTGTTTCCTGACTTGTAAAATGGCAGTAACAATGGTATCTACCTCCTGGGTTGTTGAAAGTTAGTCCATCCACGTGAAGCCTTTAAAATTGTGCTGGCACCGAGCCAGCACCTAGGATCAGCACCAGATAAGCACCCAGGGTCAGCACTGAGCCAGCAACTAGGATCAGCACCAGATAAGCACCCAAGGTCAGCACTAAGCCAGCACCCAGGGTCAGCATTAAGCCAGCACCCAGGGTCAGCACTAAGCTAGCACCCAGGAACAGCACCAGATGAGCACCCAGGGTCAGCACTGAGACAGCACCCAGGATCAGCACCAGATAAGCACCCAGGGTCAGCACTGAGACAGCACCCAGGATCAGCACCAGATGAGCACCCAGGATCAGCACCAGATGAGCACCCAGGATCAGCACCAGATAAGCACCCAGGGTCAGCACTGAGACAGCACCCAGGATCAGCACCAGATGAGCACCCAGGGTAACCACTGAGCCAGCACCCAGGGTGGGAAAGTATTATTACATCATTACTAGTATCCTCATGGCCTCTGGGGAGAAAAACTATGAAGGAGAAAGACTCAGTGTTTTCATTAAGAACCTTCTCAAACCTTTTGTATTTTGTACCCTGAGCACGTTTACCTATCCAAAAAGTAACCAAAATATTTCTAACAATGCAGTTACTTGGAAAAACGCTCATGGTAGAGGAAAAAAGCCAGGACACAAAATTATACCTGAATACTTAAATGAAGGAAACTGTCTATTTTAAAAAATGCCTAGGAGGAAAGACTGAAGGAATTACACGCACATGCCCACAGTGAAGGGTTAAGAGTGGTGCAGTGCACAGATCCTCATCCCGCAAATAAAACAAAGACAAAAAAAAGTGAGGCCAGAATAACTTCGTCCTGTTTTACAAATACTCTGCGGCATGTTTACAAATACACCCAGGGCTGCCTGTGTGCCAGGCGTGGTGCTCAACACTGAGGCCTGACGCTCTTGATCTCACAACAACTGAAGCAGTTTATTTTACAAACGAGGACATGGCAGGAGGGAGACTGCCCGGCTCCCGCGGTTGGAAGCTGGTGTTTGAACCCACTCGTCCTCACATCAGTTAGTTTGGTCTCATGCGGTCCCTGCTGCCCCCGCCATCCCCAGCTTCAGTGGAAGCAGGATGAATTTTAAGTAACACAGACAGAAGTGAGATGGTAGCTGTGGCAGGCACCAGTAGAAGGTGGTGGCTGGACAGGGAATGCCAGTCAGCTGGAGACTCAAGGAAAACTAGGAATCAAGCAGGCAAAGGTGGACGGCATTCAACGCTCCCCTTGGGGGAAGATGAGTGAGGCCAGGATGGTGGATCAGCCCTGAGGCTGAGGAAGTAGAGTGGGAAGAAGAGCTGGAGGGGCCGGGCCCTCTTCCCTGGGTCAGGGGTTCTGTGTTATCCCCAGAGGGCTGGGGACCCCTGAAGTGTTTGGTGGGGAGGGGGCTGAGAAGGCGTCTGCCGTGGGGTGGCCTGCAGATGCTGGGTGCCTGTCCCGGGACTGTCTGGGTCAAGGGCCTTGAGAGGGTCCTCTCCAGAGAACACCGGGCTCAGCAATAGACTCCACTTGGCCCTGGTCATGGTCCAAAGGTGGGGGTCAACTGGACTCTTTGGGGAGAGTCCAGGCGGCCCTTGGCCCTCTGTAAGCCTCCGCACCCAGGCAGCCAGGGCTGGCTGAATGGGCTTCTGTGGCCCCTCAATAGGCCTTTCATCCACTCGTGCCTCGCAGAGCCTCTCCCAGAGCCTCTCCAGCTGAGGGCCTCCCTCCCTCGGGGCACAGAAAACAAAGGCACTGTCCAGGGAGGCCCCTGGCTGCTCTGACGAGGCACTTGGGGGAGGGGAGCTGGACCATTGAGTCCCCACGTGAGCAGTGCCATGCCCTCTCCTCTGACCAAAGGGAAGCGTGGGGTCTCCACGTTGCGTGCCTAAAACCCCTGCCTGGTTTCACATCTTCCTTTGGAAGAAGTCCAGGCTCCCTTACCAGGCAAGCCAGGCTCTCCAGGCAGCCCCCGCATCTGCCATGTGGTCCCCGATGTTCCAGCCAGCCTCGGCCCTTCTTCTCTGACCAAACGCCCTGCATCCCCCTGGAGAGCCTTGCTCCCTCTCACCAGGTCTCGACCACACCACAGGGCACAGGGCACAAGCACGGCGCCCATTCCAACTTGGCCTGTGCAGGTCAGCTCAGGGGCCACCTCCACCTTTGCAGTCACCCCCTCGGGGTGCCTTCCTTACCACCCCACCCCAGCACCGGCCTTCCCTGACCCAGCTGGGGCCCTGCAAGACATCCCGAGTGCTGCCCGTGCCCACGTGCACCTGACGGCATTGCCTCACTTGATCTTCACAAAGATCCTGAGAGGTAAGAATAATTCCCTTCATTGATCTGATGAGGAACTTGGGGCTCAAGGCCCGAGCGCCTGGTCTGCAGTCAGGCCTGTCAGGGCCAGGCCAAAGCCCCACCTGCCTGCAAAGCCACGCTCCTGGCTCCACACTGCAGGCTTGTCACACTGGCCCCTCCCCACCCAGAAAAGGCCCTTTGCTGGCAGGGCGTCCGGGGCCCAGCGCAGGGCAGTATCCACCACAGAGAGCCAGTGAACGACAAGAAACACAGGACGTGCCGAGCCCTGTCCTCGGTGCGTTCAGAGAGCACGCGGCAGCCTCTCCACTCACCCTCAGCTGCTGGCAGGCAGAACTTTATTCATGGGCCTGTCTTAGACTTGCACAACGCTGTGAAATCCTCGAAGTGCTTTCACAATCCCCAGGCCACATGTGTGACCACCTAACAGCCATTTTACAGTTAAGGAAACCGAGACCTTCAAGTCCGGGCACCTGGCAAGCTCGTGGGGTTGGGCTTCGTATCCAGTTCTGTGGGCCTGCTCTGCCCCAGGCGCTGCATGAGGTCCTAGGGGACAAAGGGGAACAAACCCTGACCTCAAGGTGCCTTGCATGGCGGGGGAGGCTCCTGCTGGATTGGGGCTCCCATAAAGCATCCTTTATCCTCCTCTAAGCAACAATTCCCACAAAGCCCCCTACCTCCTGTGACCACCGCACCTGCTGCCCGCCCCGACCCCACAGCTGTTTCCAGACAGTTTCAATATCTCCTAAGCACAATCATCAAGCTGAAACAGTGGTTCCATATTCAAATTCCTGTTTTCTGTGAGATCATCCTCACAGGGGCCTTATCCAAGATCCTAACTCACTGCTCTGCTCAGACACAGAAAATGGCCTCCTACATGACCAGCTGACCGACCGACCGACCACTTCCTGAGTAATTTCTCAAGCTTCTCCTGACACTCACGCAAAGGTGCCCCATCTCAGCCAAGAGCCAGCACTGCCAGCTTCCCCGCCCTTTCCTCCACTGCCTGGGCTTGAGGCCACCCAGCCACTGCCCAGTCATCATTCCACCTCCTCCCGCCTCCATGCCAGCATGCTCTATGGCACGAGGAAGTCACAGAACCCTTGAACCTTGAGGCCCACCCACGCCCCCAGCTCACGATATCTGCAGAGATGCCAAACCCTGGCAGAGGAACTCAGGCCATGTGCTTCAGCTGCTCCCTCACTCCTCCACTCCCTGCCCGGGCCCTGAGCCAGGAGCCAGGCACACAGCTGGACCCATCCGCCAATGCCACCCACCCTTGTGCCCAGCACCCGGCCCACGGCAGGTGCTCAGTGTGCAGGCCCACATGTACTAGGTGCAAGGCAACGACACACCACACAGGACAAGGATGCAAAGCACCTTCTGGGCCCTTCTGCGGCTCTGCCTTCCCAGGGGTCTCAGTCCCCTGCTCGATCTCATGCTCTCCGCAGGCAACGTCCTTGGAAATGCCCACTCCCACACCAACCCTCATTCCTAGCCCTCCTCTACTCTGACTTCTGAGACCCACTGCATTGTGAAAACCAGGGGGCTGGGCTCTGCCTCGTACACTATGCCAGGACAGGCCCACCCAGGAAAAAAAGGGCATCGAACATCCTTCTCTGGAGAAAGGGATATGTTTGAGCATGAGAAGGGAAGCGCCAGCCTCGAATCCAGGACAATTAGGTCCAACATCCCCTGCTGCTATGGGACCCTGCACAAGTGCCTTAGCCTAAGTCCCACTGTCTCCCTCTGCCAACAGGGACAACACCCCTCACGTCACCGGGCTGTCACTGGAATGAAACGCTGCCAATACAATACTGGAGGAAATGAAGTCCCCTCCGTAAAGGGGACTGCAGTGGTTCTGGCTCCAACTGTCCCCGGGAGAGAACGGGCCCCACTGAACTTCAGGGAAGGATCCTGGACGCAGAGCCTTCTTCTTGTCGCAGCCTCTGATAGAGATGACCTCATCCCTGTACCCTAAAGCAGAAGCAGCTCCGGCTGGGGCGGATCCATCGGGGTTTGCTGCAGGGAGAGGGCTCCCGGGAGCTGAGCAGCAGCTAACGAGCTCCCACTGTGTGCGGGGGCAGCTCCCTCCTCCCTGGATCAGGAGAAACCTGGAATCCTAGACCCCTACACCCCTGGTAGGCATGGTCTCAGGGATGGCCCAGGTCAGCACCGGCCAATGCAGACAATCCGTGGGCTGGCAGGAGGGACCTGCAGATAGAGCTGGGGGTTTGGGGCAGGAAATCTAGGACCCAAAGTGTGAAGTCACAGTTCACAGGGTTGTGGGATGAGAGGGTTCGATTTCTATTTTGTGGGGCCAGAGTGGGGTGTGATTCTTCTCGCTTGTCTTGCTTCCTTCACTTCTGATGTCCCCGATCCCCAGCACACACAGCATCAACCTCCCTGAGCAGCTGGTCCTGCCTACCCACAGTGCTTTTTACAAGTGGCTTGGTTTCAAGTGGTTAAGAGTGTGGACCAGTGAAATGTGTCCCAGAACCTTGGCTGTGAGCAGTGACCAGGCCAACCTTCTTCTCCCTAATTCATAAAAGGAAACTGAGGCACAGCGCTGCCACCTGTCACAGCAGCCTCCATGACACGCTCTGAGGCTCTAGGTCTGACCCTCGCTCCTTCCTCAGGCAGAGATAGAGCAGCAAGCAGTACTACTCTGCAAAGGGGAACAGAGCCCAGAGGCCTACAGTGACTTCCCAGAAGCGGCTCAGCAAATTACAGTGTGAACCTTCATTGCCCTTTTCCTGCCGCCTCTGCTCAGGCAGGGCCCTGTGTGGGCAATACCTCGCTCAAGGGCCAGTTCCCCAACAAATGATCACCTCTTCACCGGAAAGATCCCTCTCCACCCCCCCAACCACCAAACACTCACCCGAAAGATCCCTCTCCACCCCCCTACCACCACTCACCCGAAAGATCCCTCCCCATCCCCCCCAACCACCAAACACTCACCTGAGAGATCCCTCTCCACCCCCGCCATCACCACTCACCCGAAAGATCCCTCTTCACCCCCCAACCACCACTCACCCGAAAGATCCCTCCCCATCCCCCCAACCACTCACCCGAAAGATCCCTCTCCACCCCCCAACCACTCACCTGAGAGATCCCTCTCCACCCCCGCCATCACCACTCACCCAAAAGATCCCTCTCCACCCCCACACCACCAAACACTCACCCGAAAGATCCCTCTCCACCCCCCCACCACCAAACACTCACCCGAAAGATCCCTCTCCACCCCCCAACCACCAAACACTCACCCGAGAGATCCCTCTCCACCCCCCAACCACCAAACACTCACCTGAGAGATCCCTCTCCACCCCCGGCACCACCAGTCACCCGAAAGATCCCTCCCCATCCCCCCCACCACCAAACACTCACCCGAAAGATCCCTCTCCACCCCCCAACCACCACTCACTTGAGAGATCCCTCTCCACCCCCGCCATCACCACTCACCTGAAAGATCCCTCTCCACATCCCCACCACCACTCACCGGAAAGATCCCTCTCCACTCCCCCATCACCAAACGCGCGCCTAGGCAGCTCCTCCTGTCACTCCCAGGGGCCTGCGCCCAGGCATCCGTCTCTGAGCTGGTGCGAGGGATGAAAAGTCAGAGCCGTGGAGGGGAGCTCAGGTGGGAGAGGGACAGGAGCCACACACGAGGGACTACGCAGTGTCACAGCACAGGGGCAGGAATTGACAGGTGGCACCAAGAACAAGGGTAGCAGTGGCTGATTCCACCAACGGGTCAGGAAGAGGCCACAGAAGGGCCCTAGAGCCAAGGGCCCCCCTCTCCGCCAACAACGGGTTGAGGAGGGTGATTCCAGGCCAAGTGTGGAGGGGACCTCGGGAAACCCCCTCCAACAAGTCTTACGGCTGGGGCTCAGGGGGTCAGCTGGGGCAGGTCACCAAGGGTCTTGGACTATATGCCTGGCAGACATCAAGAGGTTCTTAAAGGTGTGAACGTGGGCCAGGTGCAGTGGCTCATGCCTGTAATCTCAACACTTTGGGAGGCCAAGGCGGGTGGATCACCTGAGGTCAGGAGTTCAAGACCAGCCTGGCCAACATGGCAAAACCCTGTCTCTACGAAAAATACAAAAAAATGAGCCAGGCATGGTGGCAGGCACCTGTAATCTCAGCTACTCAGGAGGCTGAGGCAGGAGAATCACTCGAACCCAGGGGGCGGAGGGCGCAGTGAGCCGAGATTATGCCACTGCACTCCAGCCTGGGTGACAGTGACAGGAACAGCCACATGGGGACATATGGGACAATGCAGGTGGGGAGAGGAGACAGCCCAGGCACAGCCTGGACCTCAGCCACAGCTGGCTGAGGGGCAAGGGAGGGCTGACTCTTGGCCTGCGGCTGAGGAGTGCAGGGGAGAGCAGACACAGGGCGGGCAGCGAGTCACGTCTTGGTCAGGCTGAGCTGGAGGCACCCGAGACACATACAGGTGGGAGCAGATGTCCCAGGGCAGTTGGTGATAGGGTTCAGGCCACGTTACCCCAAAATACGACACGCTGGCACTTGAGAAAATAGCAGAAGCAGGAAGGTCTCTCTCACCCTCCCTCTGCCCTTCTCCCTGAAGCAGGTCATGAGACCCTCATGTGAAAGGCACCCTCTCTATGTCCGGAGGAAAAGAGCATCCTCATCTCTGAAGACACAGCAATTAGTTGAGAGAAGAATCTCAACAAACAGGCCTTGCTAAGTGCCCCCAGTTTATTACCCCAGATCACATTCTTTTTTTTTTTTTTTTTTTGAGACGATGTCTTGCTCTGTCACCCAAGCTAGAGTACAGTGGCGCAATCTTGGTTCACTGCAACCTCCGCCTCCCGGGTTCATGCAATTCTCCTGCCTCAGCCTCTTGAGTAGCTGGGATTACAGGCACCTGCCACCACACCCGGCTAATTTTTAGATTTTTAGTAGAGACGGGGTTTCACAATGTTGGCCAGGCTGGTCTCGAGCTCCTGACCTTGTGATCCACCCACCTTGGCCTCCCAAAGTGCTGGGATTACAGGCGTGAGCCACGTCGCCCAGCCCAGATCACACTTCTTTATCCAGTCAGACTCCTCCACAATGACCCACTTCTTTATCAAACCTAGCATAGAAAATAAACAGGTTGAGGCTGGGCACGGTGCCTCAACATACCTGTAATCCCAGCACTTTGGGAGACTGAGGCAGATGGATCACCTGAGGCCAGGAGTTCAAGACCAGCCTGACCAACATGGTGAAACCCCATCTCTCTACTAAAAATACATAAAAATCAGCCAGGCATGGTGGTGGCCGCCTATAATCCCAGCTACTCAGGAAGCCGAGGCAGGAGAATCGCTTGAACCCAGGAGGCAGAGGTTGCAGTGAGCCAAGATCTGAGACTCCGTCTCAGAAAAAAAAAAAAAAAAAGAAAGAAAATACACAGGTTGAGCCCATTTCTTTGGATTTTCACTTCCTTATGAAGGCTCCTGTATCATGTAAAACTTACACTAAATTATACTTTTCTCTCTTCTGCCTTTTGTTATAGGAACCTCAGCCATGAACCTAAGATGGGAAGAAAGATAGTTTTCACCTCCTACATTGGCAGTGGGGCCTGAAGATCCGAGGGATGTCTGGGCTTGTCCCAGCGATGTGTGTGAACAGGATACAGAGGCAGGGGTGGGAAGCCAGAGGCATGAACAATCAGCCTGTACCTGCCTGCCACCACCCCCTCCCCAGGGAGGGCCAAGCTCCCAAGAGTCAGATCAACCCTAATTCAGCACTGCATTTCCAGGGTTCAATATATATGACCTCCACAAATGACACAATGGTGACTACAAATACATAAAAATGTACACTCAGACAGGGGTAAAAACTGCAGAGAAGGTAAGAAATTAACAGGCACACCAGGCGCAGTGGCTTATGCCTGTAATCCCAGCACTTTGGGAGGCCGAGGCAGGTGGATCACAAGGTCAGGAGATCAAGACCATCCTAACATGGTGAAACCCCGTCTCTACTAAAAATACGAAAAATTAGCTGGTGTGGTGGCGGGTGCCTGTAGTCCCAGCTACTCGGGAGGCTGAGGCAGGAGAATGGCGTGAACCTGGGAGGCGGAGCTTGCAGTGAGCCGAGATCGCGCCACTGCACTACAGCCTGGGTGACAGAGCGAGACTCCCTCTCAAAACAAACAAACAAAATTAACAGGCACAAGGGTCTTGAATGGCTGTTGTTGCTGGAAAGGTGCCTATGAAGCAAGGTTTCAGAAAGAACCAGAAGGGAGAAGCCTAGTCCAAGGCCACCTCACCCCAGGTCCACCTATCACTCTGAGGCCTGGTCCCCCTCTGTAAATGGGACAACACCCCTCCTGCCTTCTGCTCAGCACTGCTGTGAGGACACACGAGGGTGTGCAGGGCAGCACTTCTCTATTATAATTACATGGATAATCCACACGCTTCATAACATGTGGATTTGTATTCTGCTTTTCTCCCTTTCTCTGCCATAAGTGTTGCTCCAAGTGTGAAAAGCATTTTTCAAGATTCAAAGCACATCCCAATACAAAGCCCTTTTACATTAAAGATAATGGACACGTGGAGTAAGGGAACTCTGCCTGTTGTTCACCTGCCTCGGTCTCCTCACTTGCACCACGGGGCAAGAGGCAGCACTGGTGAGATCAGGCAGCCAGCCCTCCTGATTCTTCACCCTGTTTGAGACAGTCGGGGTCCACTCTGAGTCTCCCCTGTCTGTGTCAGTGATAGGGCTAGGCTGGTTGAATTCTGGGACTCTCTCCATCCCAGCTCCCCCAGGACGGGCTGTGACCCAGAGGGCATTCTGCTGCCTCAGCCGAAACTGGGACACTGGGAGCAAACTGCCCCCCTACCTTGGGAGGGTAGAGCTCATCAGGCACAGGAAGCCTGGAGTCACATCTTCTCCCAGGAGAATGCCCATCCTGCAGAGTGGGCTGGGTGGGGACCGGCTCCAGGGGAGGCTGGCCCACCGCCTCTCCATGTGGTGGGGCTGAGCCAGGGCTCTGTATGTGACCTCAGCCTCCGTTTCCCTGATGTGCAGAGTTCGGCTTTGACTCAGGGGCACAGGTATCTCTGGGGGTGAGGAAGGGACCCCGTGGAGTGTTAATTTTCCCACCCACCCCCGCCAGGTGTCAATGTCGATGACATTAAGGTTCATGCTGTTGGGGCTCAGGTGGATCCAAGGACAGGTGGCTGGGAGCAGGCCAGATCAGGAAGGTGGAGGAAGGCATCACAGCCAGTCCCTCCTGCTTCTGAGCCTCAGTGGCCCCATCTATCACATGGGGGCAGGGGTGGTAAACAGACAGCCCAGTGGCCACCAACTCAGGCTGACACACCCAGACAGAGGGAACGAATGAATTACACCACAGACTCCAGGGCCCCCCAGGAGGACTTTCACTCAGATGCCCAGGTCGGGGGAAGGAATGGGCATTTTGTTTTAAAGTTCCCCAGGGTTCTGTGCTCTGGACACGGTGTGGTACAGGGTGGGCAGACTGAGGCAGGCGAGGTGTTCTAAGGAGTGGAGGCTGAGGTTCAAGTGGAACGGGTAAGCACAGGTGCTAGGCCGAGTTCCCCAGCACAGGCCACGCAGGGCATGCAGCCCCACTTCCAAGGAGTCGGTAGGCCTGGGTGGGAAAGCTCCCCTCAGCACAGCAGCCACAGCCATAAAGGCCCAGAGGCGGGCATCACCTGGAAAGTGGGAAATCACATCCAGTCAAAACACGCTTCTACTTCAGCTGCAGAACAGCCCGGGTGCCCACCCGGGTGGCAGGACCTTCACTAGGCTGACTCACCAGGGGACCTGGTGGCTGCTCTCAGGACGCTGGGAGGGTGGGCAGGACAGCCGGGTTTGGGTGATAGGCAGTGAGCTCTGCCCTCTTAGGAAGCTGAGTGCACCAGACCCAAGCTGCTGGAAATGACCGAGGGAAGGTCTACTCAACCCTCTGAGCCTCTGCTTCATCCCTGTAAGACACGGGCTAACTCCTACCTGACAGGGGTTATGATATTAGATGACGTATTGTTTACAAGTCCCGCTTGGCCCTGCCTAGCCCAGCACCGCATGCAGGAGGGATCAGAGGTCCAGAGGGACAAGGGCCTCCAGAAGACAGAAGAGCGGGGCTGGGGCTGCACAGGAGCTGCAGCTATGCACCAGGGCTTCCCCAATCCCACAGAACCCTTAGCGGGAGAGCCTGGACTGGGGCTTGCAGAGCTCCTGTCTACAGCAGTGACAGGGAGAGGCTGGTTGAATTCTGAGACCCGGGGGCCTTGGCAGAGGCCGGGCACATGTACTGACCCTGAGGGGCAAACGTCTCTGTTGTCTCTGAGGCCCGGCAAGCTGGGGTGGCCTGCAGTGAGGGGTGACCAGGAGTGGAAGGTCAGTGTGCGTGTGGGTGCCGTTGGGGAGCTGGCCTGGCCTGTGCTCAGGGCTCAGCTCCCAGGCCTCATGGTCCTCCGATGGGGAAGAGGGGGCCTCTGCTTCCTGCTCGGGGAAGACAAGCCTGAAACGCCAGGGGGAGAGCTCTCAGGTAAGAAGACAAGGTTGGAGGATCACAGACTGGCAAGGCATGGGCCCAAAGTCTAGTCTGAGGCTGGATCCTTTCTCAGCTCCCTGCATGCCCTCAGCAGGGACGCCCATCACTACCTTCTGTGGCTCACCTTCCTTCCTAGTCCACACAAGCTAACTAAAAGGGTTCTCCTTCAGCCCCGTGAACACCCGTCTACCACCTACGGTCCTACCCCTGCCCTTGGGGGTCACACAGCAGCCTCCAAGAAATGGCCTCCCAGGTGGCCAGCTTAAAGACATAATCCAAATACAGACACCTTTGCACGTATAAAAAGCTTTGCTGCAAGTTATTTCTAACAGTGAAAACTGGATCCCAGCTATGTTTCCAACCACATGAGACCAATTAAGTAAATCACGGCATTGCCCACCCAACTCTCGAGCAGGCATTTAATGTTTGGAGTCTGAGCAACATGGGAAATGTGTTAGGAACCTTAAATGAAAAAGCGTGATTAAGAAACCTGCATAGAGAAGATCAAGTACTCTTTTAAAAACCTCTGGAAAGATCAGAGGGCAGGACTTTGCAAAGTTAATGGTGTGTCTCTGGGTAATTGGAACTAGGCATAATTGTTTCCTATTTTCTAGTTTCCGTAATGTGCATGTGACTTTTTTTTTAATTAGAAAAAAATGTGTTTGGGAAATCTGAGGATGTTAACAAGTCTCCTGCTTGGGGCTTCTTTACAGCAGCCTAGTGGTGTGGCTGACACAAGCCTCCCCAGCTCGATGAAGGAGGCAAGGAGACCCAGGACAGTGAGGGGACGGCTCATGCCATGGAAGTTCCTCTGCAGAAGGCTGGAAGCTGGAGGCGGAAATGACTCCCCAAGGCCCCTGAGCAGGGCAGCACAGCATTCTTACCCAGGCCAGTGGTGCCTATGCGGCCGCTGCAAAGATGTCCATGCAGCTGTGGTCCTCGGCCTCTTTAAACTGTAGGGTCCAGCGTCCTCAGGTTCCGTCCGGAAGGACACAGAGTCTCAGCCTCAGGAGAGGGCCTCCTGGGCTGCTCCAGTCCCAGGAACGGGTAGAGGCCGGAACCCACAACCCTTAAAATAGGCCCAGGAACCGAAAGAGGCTCTGCTGCCATGCCACACGGCCACACTTCCTCCCCGCTGCGCTGGCCCACAACTAGCTCTGACTGCTGTGGGGTTGGAGGGCCCCAAGGAGTGCAGGGAGAGCTTCCGCATTGACTCAAAGCAGCCCGAGCGTCGGGGCATAAATACAACCCTGATTCCACGTGCAGGCACTGCGCCAGGTGCTTTGTATCCTGGATAATAACAGCAGCCTGGACTGCACCCGACTCCACACCAGGGATTTGTGCTGAGCCTGTACCTGCCACGTCTCATTTACTCCCTGTCACTTCTCTCATACAATCCCTAAGTCCCTAGAGAATTTGTGGTCTCCAGTCTACAGATGAGGACACTGAGGCCCGAGGGCTGGAGTGCTTAGCCAGGGCTCACAGTCTTCCTTTCCAGCGGCACCTCCCACTAAAGGCCCCCCGGCCCCCATCACTTATGCCCAGCTACACCTGGCCTAGCAAAGTGATGGCGGGTTGGGGGAGGTGAAGGGTGCACAGCGCTCTTCCCCATTCGCAGGCCTAGCACACACAGGTGTTCAGCACAGAGGCAAGGCCGTCTCCCTCACTCCTCTGGCCCATTCCACGAACCCTTCCGGGTTGGCTATTTGCACATGATGGGCCTCAGCTGGAATGGCAGCCCTGCCACCTGCCAGCTACGTGGCTGTGGGTACATCCCTCCCCACGCTGAAGCTCAGCTTCCTCACCTGCAGAATGAGGTCAAGACAGAACCCACCTCTCCGGGAGCAGGACTGAAGGAAACGCGGCAGGTGTTAGGCACCGGCTCGCGGCAGGCACGCAGCATCCTCTGCACTGATGGCCCCTCCCGTGCAGCCGCCCCACAAATCACACCTGCAGGGCTTCCCGAGGCCAGGGCTGGGAAATACCAAGTTCTGAGCCAGGGATTACTCCAGCCTCGACTTATACAGCCCTGCTTAGAGCAAAGTGAGCTTCTGCTCCTCCATCCACACAAGCCCATCCAGCCTCAGCCCTGCTTGAAGACTACGCTGTCCACAAACCCCTCCCATGGGCCACGCTGGTGGCTCCATTCTCTGTGGCCTCTGGCTAAGTGTTCACAGCTCCACTGGGGTCCTGCCTCCATCCACTGTGGCCAGGCTGCCACACAACCTGGAACACCATACCCTCAGCACCCTGAGGACGGGTCTAGGTGGGCCTCACCTCTGCGCAGGGTTAAGCAATTAAGAGCTTGGGCTCAGCAAGATTCGGCCACTTCCTAGCCTTGCAGCTGGGGGCACCTTACTTCCCCCCAACCTGTGTTCCCTCATCAGGACAAAGAGAAGAACAGAACAATGTCTAGCCCACAGGATTACTCCAAAGACAAAAGGAAAGAATGAACATAAAATGCCCCTTCTCTGCACCACTCCGGACACAGGGAGAATCCCTTAGCCCCAAATGCCAGGCACAAATTGCTCCAAGAATGCTCAGCTGAGGCAGGGCACAGAGACAAGCAGCCGGATGTGGGTCCCACCTGCTCACGGCACCTCTCAGGACTCACACCAGGTCTTGGGCCCAGGTCGCGTCCACGTTACCTGACCAACTGTCGGGTGGGCTGCCCCTGTTGAAAGGGAGCCTGTGTGCTTGGGCTGAGGCCCAGGGCCCAGGAGAAGGCCCAAGCCCCGGGAAGAAGTGGCAGGGTTTGTCCCCCTTCAGTCCAAATGTCTGCATCGCACACCTGGGTCCTGAATCACCTGGTTCATCTGTGACCTGGAGTCATGAGCAGTGTCCTGTGGATGCAACACCAAAATCTTGCTCCGGGCAGCCGCAGCCCCACTGCTTCCAGCAGGGTTTGTACTTCAGCTAACAGTGACCTGTGCTCCTGGCTGTCTCCCCCATGGACTGTGCCCTCCCACAAGGCAGGGATCAGGGCCCAACACTCCCGCCCCCTCTCAGTACAGAGCAAGTGCTCAACTCCCCTTCTACTGCAGAGGCTGCCACAGACAAGCCTCAAAAGCCAGATGTGAAATCTACAAGGTGCCTTTCATCACGAGAGCTGAGCGATGACCCCTGAGTGAGGAGGGCCAGGAGCTTAGTCCCATCTCAGAGACAGACACTGACTCAGAGAATGACAACCACTCAACCAAAGCCCAGCGCCTCCACCTGAGGCTCCCTTGACACCTTCAAAACAACGTCAGAGGACACAGCAGGTTTCTGAGTAACCCAAGCTTTTGCTAAACAACAACAAAAATCTGGGAGATTTAAATTCATTCATAAATCTAACAGGCTGTCACAGAGGTGAAGTGGAGATGATCAAACACAACCCTGCCCCCACAGCTTGAGAGTGTTGATGATTCAGTGGACGCAGAAGTGCTCCGGGGCTGGTGTTCTGGCTCCTCTCAGGACTCACACCTGAGAGGTGAGAGGTGCGCTCCACTCTGGGCATCAAGTTCCTAGTAAGCTCACCCCTCGCTGAACATCAAATCTCTCATCTGAAAAATGAGCCCTTTTTTTTTTTTTTGAGACAGAGTCTCACTCTGTAGCCCAGGCTGGAGTGCAGTGGCGTGATCTCGGCTCACTGCAACCTCCGCCTCCCGGGTTCACACCATTCTCTTGTCTCAGCCTCCTGAGTAGCTGCGACTATAGGCGCCCGCCACCACGCCTGGCTAATTTTTTTTTTTGTATTTTTAGTAGAGACGGGGGTTTCCTCATGTTAGCCAGGCTGGTCTCAAACTCCTGACCTCATGATCCGCCCGCCTCAGCCTCCCAAAGGGTTGGGATTACAGGCATGAGCCACCACGCCCGGCCAAAAATGAGGCCTTCTAAGAAGCTAAGATTCCCATCTCCGTGGCCCTCCACGCCCTTCATCTGCCAGTCCAGATAATAATTTTCTCACTTGTTCACTAAATGTTTACTGGGCACCTGCTCCGTATGTGCCCCATGCTGGGCACCAAGATGAATCAGACTGGGTAATGCCTTTGAAGGCCTCACCTGCTAACTGGGGAGACAGCACACAGACCATGACAAGGCCACAATCATCCTGATTGTCCCAACAAACATGTGCCTGGCACAAAGAGAACACAGGCAGAACAGGACTGTGTGCCTGGGAGCTGGAAAGAGTTCCCGGAGAGGCAACACTGGAGCTGAGACTTAAAGGAAAACTTAGAGATGCTTGTGGGGCACATGAGTAGGGGCGGCTTTCCGGGCAGAGAAAACAGCAGGTTTTCTCTGCTTCAGAGCCCTGCAGGGACTGAGTTCAGCAGCAGGGGAAGAGGGGAGACCTGGCACGTGCGGGAGGCCTGGAGAAGAGACAAGGAAACAGCGTGAGTATCGTAGGCACATAAAGACCTGGCTGGGGATATTCAGGGAGTGGAGGGCAGGCTCTGAGGTCAGGCTGGCAGAGGGTCAGTCCCGGCTATGCTGCTATGCTGCTTCCTCATTGGTTGTCCCTGGGCAGGCTCTCTCTCTCTCTCTCTCTCTCTCTCACCCTCAGGCTCTTCATCGCTGATATGGAGATAATACTGCTCCCTGGCAAAGTCAGCATTGTGTCAGGATTAAATTTGCAGCATGAGTAAAGCACCCGGCACATAGTAAGTGCTCAGTAAATGCTAGGTGCCATTTTCACTGTTCACTGTTCTTCTGGGAATGGCCCTGCAGCCTCCTTGCGGGAGGGGCTGCCTAGAAGAGGAGAGAAGGTGCTCACAGGTAAAGGTGGTCAGAGGACAATAGGTGTGTGTGGACAGGGGAGTGGGGAGGGACTGCTTGAAGCTGCTGAGCAAACAGGGCCAAGTGACCTGCAGCAGATGGTCCTTCAGATGCATCCCAGCTCAGATATTCGGTGCCAGCTGACAGGTGGGCCTGCCACGGTGGCACACAGTAGGTGCTCAATGAATGTTTGCAGAATGAATGAATAAGCACGCTCCAACTTCTGCTCAAAAGTAAATCTTGACACCTTTTCAGAAAGAAACCATTGAAACCTTGTCAACCATTGAAGTTCTTGTCCATTTCACTTCATAAGCACCCCCCACCCCACCCCTGCATGAGGAAAGGCTCGCCTGGGCAGGCTAGGCTGGGGCCTGCTCACTGGGAAGCCTCCCATGCTAAGCCTGCCTCCTACAAAAGGGATTCAAATTTACTTCCTCTCTCCACTCCAGCCTCCAGGGTGTGGCCTGCTGAGGGGCCCTGAATGCCTGGGACTGCCATGTCCCTGCAGCTGTGTGACCTTAGGGGGATGCACTTGTTCTCTGGGACTCAGTTTCCCCAACGGTGAATGAAGGGGTGAATCTGGAAGGCTGACATTCCGTACTCAGCAATGCTGTCACCCCCTCAGAAATCCCCAGCCTAGCCTGGGGGTGGGGTGGGGGGTGGCTGACAATGTGGTATGAAGTCATTCCCTGCACGGAGGAGGGAGGGGTCTTTTCCATGGAGAAAATGACGAACCTGAGACGACAAAAGAGGGGGCTTCTCCTGGGCTTCAGTCTGGGCATGATCCATCAGTAATGGATTACCTCACTGGCTGGGAGACCCCACCCACACCTGCAGTCCCAGGCCCTTCCAAACAATACGAGGCACCCCCATCCCACGCCCCCCAGCAGATCCATGACTTAAAGCCCAGAATCACACCGAGAGGCAGCAGGCCCTGCCCCTCAGCCAAGCGGGCGGGTTCGGGGGGCCATTGCCCAACAGGTCCCTGGATACAGCTAAGGGATGAGAGGGGCCGGTGGGTGCGGAAAGACAAAGGCTTCGGGTAGCAGGAGACAGTGGCCAGGGCACGCTCGCAGCGAGGTCCACCCAGAGCCCAACGAGGGCCCGACCCTGCCGCGCTGGGCTAAGGGTGTACCCAGATCCCACGCCCACACTCCCTACCGCGGTGCTGAGGGCCCGGGGCGGGCTTCCTGGAGAAGGAAGAAGACCCGCAGAGACACGAAGAAGAAGGAGGAAGATGAGACAGACACCCGGACGGACTGACAGGGGGAGACGCCGAATGAGACCCGGGCACAGGGGTGCGGGGCGCTCGTCGGACGGAAAGCAGAGACAGACCCAGATGCAGGGACGGTGGGGGGGGGGCCATGGAGGAAGACAGGGTACCCAGGCAGACCCAGAGACCACGACACCCGCGCAGAGACAGAGATGCGCGGGGCGCACAGAAACACGGACGCGCAGAGGCGGCCCCGGAGACGCTCACCTCTCCCGGCCCGGCCTCGCCCCCGGGTCCCACTCACCGAGGCCGCAGACCTCGCGGCGCAGGCTAAGACGGCCGCGCTCCTCCGCTATGGCACGCAGCATGTGCTGCAGCGAGCGCTCCTCGGCCTCGGCGCCGCCCGCAGGCTCGGGGGCGGCGGCGGCGGGGAGGGCGGGCGGCCCGGCCCGCAGCCCGCCGCGAGCACCAAGGAAGCCACAGTCCGCCTCTGTGCGCGTCGCCGTCGCCGCCGCCGCCGCCACCACCCGCCAAACACAGCACCGGCGAGCGCACCTCCGCGCCGCCGCCGCCCGCGCGCCCCCGGCTCCGCTCGCCCCGCCCCGGCCCGGCCCGGCCCCGGTCCGGCCCCGCCCCTTCCCCGCCCCGGCCCCGCCCCTGTCCCCTCCCGCCCCGCCTCTGAACGGCCCGGACCCACCCCGGCTCCCTGGCCCCGCCCCCTGACCTCCCTTGCCCCGCCCACTTCCAAACGGCCAGTCTCCGCCAATCTTCGGATGCCCAGGACAGCCTCCCTCAAACCGCTCGCGGGGTCCCGCCTCCACCCAAGGTCCTAAACGCCCCACCAACGGGATCACGCCTCTGAGCCCCTCCCGCCGCCCCTTCAGGGCACCTCTCCCCTCCCCCGCTGCTACCCCACGGGATGTGTACTTTGTCACCCGCCCTGTGCGTTGCCACCTCCACCAAGTCCCCTCGGCTGACTTCTGGGAACTTCCTCCGCAGAACCCCTCAAGAGGTCACCTGCTCCCAGAAGGTGGTCTCCTGGGGGACACCGTGGCAAAGCCCTTCCGGCCCCCCTCCTCTGCACCTGGCACAGTGCAGAGTGTTGCGCCTCCATTTCCTCAGCTGCACCATGGGGGACCTTTCCCTGCCTTGCCTCCCCAACATGGGGGAGTGTTGATGAAGGGGGAGGTATGAGGTTAGCTGGGCGTGTCATCCTGATGAAGCCAGGTCTGGCCAGCATCCCTCCGTGTGCTAGTTGTGGCTGATACAGGAAGACACCGGAGAAGCAGCCAGTGGCCTCCCCAAACCTCACGCCTGGTGGTCCATTTCCAAGAACAGGGGGAGATGGAGAGACCAGCATTGATTTCCAGGTCTCTCCAAAGCTAAATCTACATCACTCCCTGCATTCACAGCCTGTGTGTGGACCCCAGACCCATCAAGGTCCCCCTTTCCCCTGTCTGGAGTCCTCTTCTCCCCATTCCTGTGTAACTTGCTTCCTTTGTGTCCCGAGTGTCACATCCTCAAAGAAACTCCCCTGACCGCCTTCCCTCCCTCTCTCTTCCCTTAGTCTGTTTCTCCTTCACAGGGTGACACTTACCTCCTCCCGACACATTGGATACCTATGGGTTCACTTGTTCTCTTCTCTACCGAGGGAGGGGCCTGTCTACTACACAGCTGTTGTCTCAGTACCCAGAACATTGCCTGGCACACATTAGATGCCCAATAAATAGATATGGGCTGCAGGCTGGGCACAGTGGCTCATGCCTGTAATCCCAACACTTTGGGAGGCCGAGGTAGGTGGATTGCCTGAGGTTAGGAGTTCCAGAACAGCCTGGCTAAAATGGTGAAACCCCATCTCTACTAAAAATACAAAAATTAGCCGGGCATGGTAGCACACATTTGTAATCCCAGCTACTCTGGAGGCTGAGGCAGGAGAATTGCTTGAACCTGGGAGGCGGAGGCTGCAGTGAGCCGAGATCCCGCCACTGCACTCCAAGCTGGGAGACAGAGCAAGACCCTGTCCCCCCCCAAAAAAAAAGAAAAGAAAAGAAAAAAAAATGTAGGCTGCATAAACGAAGAATGATGGAGAGGTCTGATGGGGACGCAGGGGTCTTCCTGGGAGGCACAGCAGGAAGGAGCCGTGGGGTTGGGCAGAGCCCCAGAAGGGAGATGGGATCTGGATCCTGCTTCAGGCCTCTGCCCCAGTTTTGTGCCACTGGCCCCTGAACTCTTCAGAGCAGAGCCACATCTGACCCCTCTGTGTCCCCAGTGCCAGGCCCAGGAGGGCTCTGTAGAAAGGTGAGCAGTGAGGGAATGAAGGAAGTGCGCGACCAGCCTCACGTGTATTTCTCTTCTCCAGTGGGCCTGCATCCCTGTCTGTAAAGTGAGGACACTGGCATGAGGGCTGAGGCCTCTGGTTCTGCGTCTGGAGAGCTGGGGTTTGGGCTGGTGGACGTGAGAACTGGGGATGGTGGATCAGACAGCATGAGCGAGTGCTCCAAGGCTGTCAAGTCCAATAGTCACATCCCTCTTTGCCTCCCCAAACCCCACAGCACCCCCTGCCTGTTCCCACTGCCATGCGTTTGCCCACAGTGTTCCCTTGGCCTGAAATCCTTTCTGCTCCGCAACTGTAGTTGCCTTTGGGACCCACATTGCCTGGTTACGCTTGGCCAATGCATTGTGTTCTTATTTGCTTCACAAACCCCCTTTCCCCACCCCACCCTCCTGCACACAGTTGCCTCCGTGTATTCTGTGTCATATGACCAGCATTGAACCAATTCATCCCACTTCCCGTGGCACCCAGCCCAGGACTGGTGCCAGAAAAATATCTGTTGAATGAATGAGTAAACAAACATCGCTTGGGCTCTCTCCTTTGTATTTCAATAATACTCCAGGTATTACCTATACACAGAATTTTCTTTCTTTCTTTTTTTTTTTTTTTTTTTTTGAGGCGGAGTTTTGCTCTTGTTGCCCAGGCTGGAGTACAATGTCGCGATCTCGCCTCACCGCAACCTCCACCTCCCAGGTTCAAGCAATTCTCTTGCCTCAGCCTCCCAAGTAGCTGGGATTACAGGCATGTGCCACCACGCCCGGCTAATTTCATGGAGATGGGGTTTCTCCATGTTGGTCAGGCTGGTCTCGAACTCCTGACCTCACATATACACAGAATTTTCTAATGTCAACAAATGCTAAATCACACTGTGCATGGGAAGAGGGCAGGAGCAGGACTTCTGGGGCTACAGAGCATGTTCTGTTTCTTGATCTGGGGGCTGGTTACACGGGTGTGGTCAGTTTATGAAAATTAAAAGGCTGCACAGCTGGGCATGGTGGCTCACGCCTGTAATCCCAGCACTTTGGGGGGCCAAGGCGGGCAGATCACCTGAGGTCGGGAGTTCGAGACCAGCCTGGCCAACCTGGCGAAACCCCATCTCTACTAAAAATACAAAAATTAGCTGGGCGTAATGGCACACACCTGTAGTCCCAGCTATTCTGGAGGCTGACGCAGGAGAATCGCTCGAACCTGGGAGGCAGAGGTTGCAGTGAGCCGAGATTGTGCCACTACACTCCAACCTGGGCAACAGAGCGAGACTCCATCTCAAAAAAAAAAAAAAGTTAGAAAATCAAAAGGCTGTGTGCTGTGGTTCAAACCTGTAACCACAGCACTTTGGGAGGCCAAGGCAGGCAGGAGGCTGGCTTAGGCCCAGGAGTTTGAGACCAGCCTGGCCAACATAGCAAGACCTCATCTTTACAAAAAAAAAAAAATTAGCCAGGTGTGATGACACACGTCTGTGGTCACAGCTACTCAGGAGGCTGAGGTGGGAGGATTGCTTGAGGCGGGGAAGTCAAGGCTGCAGTGAGCCGCGATCACACTGCTGCACTCCAGCCTAGGCAACAGAGTGAGACCTGGTCTCAAAAAAAAAATATATATATATGTATATATAACATATATATATGTAATATATATAATATATATGTTATATATGTAATATATGTATGTAATATATATATAAAGCTGGCATTTTGTAATTATTTATGCACTTTTCTGTATACAAATATTCAGAATATAAAATAGAATTGAAAGTATATAGGCAGAATAATGGCCCCAAAATGCCCACACCCTAATTCCTGTGCTAATTCCTGTGAATATGTTGCCTTACCTGGCAAAATGGACTTTGCTGACGTGATTTTTTGTTTGTTTGTTTTCGAGACAGGGTCTCACTCAGTTGCCCAGGCTGGAGTGCAGTGGCACGATCTTAGCTCACTGCAACCTCCACCTCCCCAGCTCAATCCATCCTCCCACCTCAACCTCCTGAGTAGCTGGGACTAAGGGTGTGTGCCACCACACCCGGCTATTTTTTGTATTTTTTGGTAGAGACAGGGTTTCACCATGTTGGCCAGGCTGGTCTCGAACTCCCGACCTCAAGTGATCTGCCCACCTCGGGCTCCCAAAGTGCCGGGATTACAGGCATGAGCTGCCACATGGGGCCTAAGAGTACAGACACTGAGATAGGGAGACTATCCTGGGTTATCCAAGTGGGCCCAATCTCATCACATAAATTCTTAAAATCGGGGAACATTTCCTGGCTGTGGTCAAAAAGAGATGTGACAACACAAGAATGGTCAGGTAAATGCAATGTTGCTGGCACTGAAGAGGGAGGAAGGGGCCACAAGACAAGGCATACAGGCAGCTTCCGGAAGCTGGAAGAGGCAAGGAAACAGATTCTCCTACAGTTGCCCCCAGATATGACACAGCCCTGCCTGCACCTTGACTTTAGCTCAGCAAGACCTCAGTTGAACTTCTAACCTACAGAACTGGAAATGTGTTAAGGCAATAACGTTGTAGTAATTATTACAGCAGTGATACCAATACGTGGGCAAGCCTGAGATGTGGGCATTGTGTCAGCTCTCCACCTAAGCGCTTCTATCCCTGAGGTTTATTTTGCAAACACTTAGAACAACAATCAAGCAAAGTTTAGCAGAAAGAAAAAACAACCACAATCCAATTGCTTTAATAGGTCAGTCTTGCTTCATTTTTCAGAGTTCCTGCCCGGGGTTTGCCTAATGCCATCCCTCTACACTATTGTAACAGCGGTGTCCGACAGCACACATTTTTATCTCCAAATGCTTGGGGCTGATCTTATTCAAAGAGCCAGACAGTGTTTTTTTGTTGTTTTGTTTGTTTGTTTGTTTGTTTTTTTGAGACTGAGTTTCACTCTGTGGCCCAGGCTGGAGTGCAGTGGCGCGATCTCGGCTCACTGCAAGCTCCGCCTCCCGGGTTCACGCCATTCTCCTGTCTCAGCCTCCTGAGTAGCTGGGACTACAGGCGCCCGCCACCACGCCCGGCTAATTTTTTGTATTTTTAGTAGAGACAGGGTTTCACTGTGTTAGCCAGGATGGTCTCGATCTCCTGACCTCGTGATCCGCCCGCCTCTGCCTCCCAAAGTGCTGGGATTACAGGTGTGAGCCACTGCGCCCAGCCACCAGACAGTGTTAAGAACAAAAACTTTTTTTTTTTTTGAGACAGAGTCTTGCTCTGTCACCCAGGCTGGAGTACAGTGATGCAATCTCAGCTCACTGCAACCTCCGCCTCCCAGGTTCAAGCAATTCCCCTGCCTTAGCCTCCTGAGTAGCTGGGATTACAGGCGCCTGCCACAATGTGGGGCTAATTTTTGTATTTTTAGTAGAGATGGGGTTTCACCACGTTGGCCAGGCTGGTCTTGAACTCCTAGCCTCAAGTGATACACCTGCCTCGGTCTCGCAAAGTGCTGGGATTACAAGTGTGAGCCATCGTGCCCAGCCACAAAAGCTTCTTTAGAACTCCCCCGCCGTGTTTTAAGTGACTGACAGGCCCAGAGACTTGCCAGTTCAGCTTCGAGGCCCTGGCCACCACCCTCTCCTGTCTAAGCCTCAGTTCACGTCACAGTCTGTATAGGAGGTGGTGGGACTGGCTGATCTCTGAGATCGCTCTTGGCCTTAACATTCTGCAAGACTGTTATTAAACTCCAGCTGTTCATCTTTTCTCCTTGGTCCCCAAGAAGAAAAGATAACTAATTCCCAGTCACGTTAGGTATAAACAGCTCCAATCTCAGGTCCATGAGCTCATGTTCCGAAGGCCAGGTTCCAGGGCTCTCCCATCCACCCTTGTAAATCATTAACATACTTGCCATAGTCCTGTGAGAATGTGTGTCAGCAGCTTCCGGCCAGACTTTTCCCTGTGACTCATGGTTCTCCTTTGCTGGGAATCCCTGCTTCTCATCTGGAAAACAGATGAAACCCAGCCATCATCCCCAGGCCTAGACTGCAGCAGCCCCTCTAATACGGGCCTTTTCTCACCTGCTACAAAGATAGAGGCACTACTTGACAAGGTTCAGTTGCCTCCCTTCCTCCCTTCCACACCATTGCACCACCCCAACACCCCCACCTAAGCTAACTCCACACAAAATATTTTCTCATTCTCAGATGTTGTCAGAAATTCTACCATAAGCGATCAGCTTTTTTTTTTTTTTTTTTAACAGATCCCTGCTAAAATTCCCCTGGAGGGAGTAGCCTTAAAATTATTATTAAGCATGACACCTTGGTGAGAATAAAGGATTCAGAAGACACTTTGAAAGAGGAAGCACCTGATGGGATTGGGGGTGGGGAGAGACATACTAATATTTCCTGAGGCCCTGCCGTATGCCCGGAGCTTCATGGATGTGGACAACTAGAACCCCTGAGCCCCGGAAGAGGCAGCCAGTGTTTTTTCTTCATATGTTAGCGGGGGCAAGCAAAACCCAGAGAGGTTGAGTCATGCTCAAAATCACACGGCGGGCCGGGCGTGGTGGCACATGCCCATAATTCCTGCACTTTGGGAGTCTGAGGCAGGCAGATCACCTGAGGTCAGGAATTCAAGACCAGCCTGGCCAACATGGTGAAACCCCGTCTCTGGGCTGGGCACGGTGGCTCATGCCTGTAATCCCAGCACTTTAGGAGGCTGAGGTGGGTGGATCACCTGAGGTCAGGGGTTCAAGACCAGCCTGGCCAACATGACGGAACCCCGTCTCTACTAAAAATACAAAAAAATTAGTCCAACGTGGTAGTGGGCACCTGTAATCCTAGCTACTTGGGAGGCTGAGGGAGGAGAATCACTGGAACCCAGGAGGTGGAGGTTGCAGTGAGCCGAGATCACGCCATTGCACCAGCCTGGGCAACACAGCAAGACTCCATCTCAAAAAAAAAAAAAAGAAAGAAAAAGAAAAGAAACAAAACTCTGTCTCTACTAGAAATACAAAAATTAGCTGGGTGTGGTGGCGCACGCCTGTAATCCCGGTTGCTCAGGAGGCTGAGGCAGGAGAAACACTTGAACCCAGGAGGCAGAGGTTGCAGTGAGCCAAGATCACACCACTGCACTTTAAATGGGCGACAGAGGGAAACTCCACCAAAAAAAAAAAAAAAAAATCACACAACAAATCAGAACTGAGCCAGGATTCCAATCCTCCTGTAGCCACGAAGGAAGAGATATCAGTGTACACTCTGGTATTAACTCATTCCTTTTCTGGTTTAAGGTGGGAAGGTCCACTGGAAAGCAGAGTGTGGAATGCTAAGTTGTTGTTGTTGTTTTGAAACAGGGTCTCACTGTGTCACCCAGGCTGGAGCGCAGTGGCATGATCACAGCTCACCACAGCCTCCATCTCCCCAGCTCAGGTTATCCCCCTGCCTCAGTCTCCCAAGTAGCTGGGAGTACAGGCATGTGACACCATGCCTGGCTAATTTTTTTGTATTTTTGTAGAGATGTGGGGTTCTGCCATGTTACCCAGGCTGGTCTCGAACTCCTGACCTCAAGTGATCTGTCCACCTCCATCTCCCAAAGTGCTAGGATTGATTACAGACACCCAGCCCTGGAATGCTGTGTTTTTTCTTTTGTTTTGTTTTGTTTTCGAGATGGAGTTTTGCTCTTGTCACTGAGGCTGGAGGGCAATGGCGCAATCTCGGCTTACTGCAACCTCCGCCTCCCAGGTTCAAGTGATTCTCCTGCCTCAGCCTCCCAAGTAGCTGGGATTACAGACGTGTGCCACCACACTCGGCTAATTTGTGTGTGTTTTTAGTAGAGACGGGGTTTCACCATGTTGGCCAGGCTGGTATCGAACTCCTGACCTCAAGTGATCCACCCACCTCCGTCTCCCAAAGTGCTGGGATTAATTATAGGCATGAGCCACCGCGCGCAGCCCTGGAATGCTGTTTTGAAGGAAGAAAACCTATGTCATGCAACACAGGACAGCTTCATTGCTGGGAAGTGGAGTGGAGATGCAGGGTGCTCCAGGGCAGGGGCACCTGAAACCAGCGCAGCCTGAAACAGGCAGATCCCTTCTGCTCCAGCGCCCTGCTCCATCTGTCAATGAGAAGGAGGCTAAACTAGATATCCCCTTGGGCCTTTCCAGCCCCAACATCATGGGAGAACAGGTAGGGTGGGCCAGGGCAGGGAGAGCTGGAGAGCCTGCTCCCCTTTTCCTGCCCCCTGAGGCTCCAGTTCAGAAGATGTTCCCCTTGTCCATGAACACACAGCCTTGGCACCCTCTGCCTCCTGCCTGGTCATGGCTGTGATCCAGGTGAACCTGACCTACCTGTCTCTGGACAGAACCTTTTGACTTCTGCTAGCACAGCTCCCTGGCATCTCCCCACCCCCAAAGCTTTGGTGAGCAGAGCCAGGTGGGACTGGGCAATAGGTCTGGTCATTGCCTCCATTTGGTCATCTCAGAATCAGCCCCCTTGGAGGCATCTGTGTGACCTCTGCCCCTGCTGATGCTAGGTTATTGGTTAGGCTCACAGGGCTGGAGCTCACAGAATTTTGAGGGGCGATGAACACTGTGTTAATAATTAACATTGTGTACTACTGTAAAATGCAAAAATAAAATGGCAAAATTAAAATTAATAGACATTTCATTAAATACCTACAAGATGGAAGATTATGTCATCTTTTCGATTTGGTATTTATAAAAGTTTTACTACATTTGAAAACTCTTTGTGGGTTAGATTTTCTCACGTAGCAAGAATTCTGAGAGTTCCAGATGGTCGACGAGAAATCAGAAACTGAAAGTTACTGGTATTTTAGTTTATTTGGCAAACGTGTATTCAGGACTTACCTCTGCTGGGCGTGGTGTTATGAATTTACATATGTCAACACACTGAATTCTATGACTTAAGAGCCATCATTATTCCTGTTTTATGCATGAGGAAACCGAGGCATACAGAGGTTATGTACCTTCTCCAAGATTAGCAAAGGCAGAGTCACGTAGCCAAGAAAATTCAAAGGCAAAATTATAGAAATCTTTTCAGATTTTTTTTTTTTTTTTGAGACGGAGTCTCACTCTGTCACCCAGGCTGGAGTGCAGTGGCGCTATCTCAGCTCACTGCAAGCTCCGCCTCCCAGGTTCACGCCATTCTCCTTCCTCAGCCTCCCTAGTAGATTACAGGCGCCCGCCAACACACCCGGGTATTTTTTTTTTTTTTTTTTTTTTGTATTTTTAGTAGAGACTGGGTTTCACTGTGTTAGTCAGGATGGTCTCGATCTCCTGACCTTGTGATCCACCCGCCTTGGCCTCCCAAAGTGCTGGGATTACAGGCATGAGCCGCTGTGCCTGGCCTGAAATCTTTTCAGAATTTTTCAGGGGAAACATTTTGATAAGGGTGCATTCATGTTGCAGATGATATAGGCTGAGCCTCTGAAAGCTAGAGTGACTCAGGCCAACAAATGCCTGGAAATGGCTCTGTCCTCCAGCCCACATGGATGGTGGGGCCCACACGTGGAAGGTAACTATTGATGAAAGAAGAAAATTAGGCCAGGTGCAGTGACTCACGCCTGTAATCCCAGCTCTTTGGGAGGCTGAGGGGGAGTGGATCACCTGAGGTCAGGAGTTCAAGACCAGCCTGGCCAACATGGTGAAACCCTGTCACTACTAAAAATACAAAAATTATCCAGGCATGGTGGTGGGCGCTTGTAATCGCAGCTACTTGGGAGGCTGAAGCATGGGAATCACCTGAACCTGGAAGGCAGAGGTTGCAGTGAGCCAAGATGGCGCCATTGCACTCCAACCTGGGCAACAAGAGTGAAACTCCATCTTAAAAAAAAAAAAGAAAGAAAGAAGAAAAATTAACAACTCATTGCTCACTTGGAGGGATAGCGTCTCCAGAGAAGGGAAAAGACAGCACTTCTTAATAACACTCAGTGGTATGCCGAGGTCTCTTTAATCCCCCTTTAATCCCCCTAAATTAACTGCAGGATTGTACTGGGTATTTTTGGGTTTTGTTTTTGTTAGAGACGGCGTCTCGCTCTGTCGCCCAGGCTGGAGTGCAGTGGCGCAATCTTGGCTCACTGCAACCTCTGCCTCCCAGGTTCAAGCGATTCTCCTGCCTCAGCCTCCCAAGTAGCTGGGACTACAGGCGCGTGCCACCACGCCCGGCTAATTTTTTGTATTTTTAGTACAGATGGGGTTTCACCGTGTTAGCCAGGATGGTCTCAATCTCCTGACCCACCCACCTCCCAAAGTGCTGGGATTACAGGCGTGAGCCACCGCACCCGGCCTTGTTTTTGTTTTTGAGACAGTGTCTCACTCTGTCGCCCATGCTGGAGTGCAGTCCACAGCTCACTGCAACCTCTGCCTCCCAGGCTCAAGTGATCCTCCCACCTCAGCACCCCTCCGAGGAGCTGGGACAACGGGCTCACACCCCTACACCAGGCAGATTTTTGTATTTTTAGTAGAGACAGGGTCACGCCATATTGCCCAGGCTGGTCTCAAACTCCTGGGCTCAAGCAATCTGCCTGCATCCACCTCCAAAGTGCTGGGATGACAGGCGTGAGCCACTGCACATGGCCCGGATTGTACTGTTATCATCCCCATTTTATAGGTGAGAACATTGAGGCTCACCTTTTGACAACATTTTGCAGGGAGTGGAGATGCCGAGTGGCTTACTCAAGGCCACGAAGCCAGGGGGTTGTGCCCGTGGTAAGCGCTGAGAAGAAGGCGGTGACTGTACTTGTATATCTGGCCTCACTTCAGTTATATTGATGTGTTTAGCACCTACTTAGTGAAGAGCCCACACCTGTTCCCACCCAGTGCCGCCCTTTCCTACGTGGGCGATGGAGCAGTGGTGCATCATGGGAGCCACGGATAAGGGCTGGATGGGAAAGTTTGGGCACATCTGGAAGCCCCAGGCTGTTGTATAGACCTTCAATCCTGGGAGTCATGACCAAGGAGTATTTATGGTGCTTCAGAAACATGAGCCGAGGCTGGGCACAGTGGCTCACATTTATAATCCCAGCACTTTGGGAGGCTGAGGCATGTGGATCACCTGAGGTCAGGAGTTCAAGACCAGCCTGGCCAACATAGTGAAACCCCGTCTCTACTAAAAATACAAAAATTAGCCAGGTGTAGGGGTGCACACCTGTAGTCCCAGCTACTCAGGAGGCTGAGGCAGGAGAATCACTTGAACCTGGGAGGCGGAGGTTGCAGTGAACCGAGGTGGCTCCACTGCACTCCAGCCTGGGCAACAGAGTGAGATTCCGCCTCAAAAAAAAAAAAAAAAAATTAGAAACGTGAGCTGGGTGAGTGTCAGTTTCCTGTGGCCGCCGTAACCAGTCACTACAAACTGCTGGCTTAAGCCAACAGACATTTATTCTCTCACAGTTCTAGAAGCCAGAAGTCAGAAACCAAGGCATCCATGGGGCTGTGCTGCCTCCAGAGGCTCCAGGGGAGGAGGCGTCCTGCCTCTTGCAGCTTCTGGTGGCTCCAGGCACTCCTTGGCTTGCGGCTGCACCACTCCAATTTCTGCCTCCATCTCTTCACATGGCCTCCTCCTCTGTGTCACTGCGACTCAGTCTCCCCTGCTGCTCTTAAAAGTTCAGGCTTGGCCAGGTGCGGTGGCTCACGCCTGTAATCCTAACACTTTGGGAGACCAAGGCGGGTGGATCACTTGAGGGCAGGAGTTTGAAACCAGCTTGGCCATGATGGTGAAACCCCGTCTCTACTAAAAAGACAAAAAATTAGCTGGGTATGGTGGTGCACGCCTATAATCCCAGCTACTCAGGAGACTGAGGCAGAAGAAATCGCTTGATCCTGGGAGGCGGAGGTTGCAGTGAGCCAAGATCGTGCCACCGCACTCCAGCCTGGGTGACAGAGTGAGACTCCTTCTCAAAAAAAAAAAAAAAAATTCAGGCTCACACCTGTATAGGCTCACAGCTATAATTCCAGCACTTTGGGAGGCCACGGCAGGCAGATCACCTGAGGTCAGGGGTTCGAGACCGGCCTGGCCAACATGGTGAAATGCTGTCTCTACTAAAAATACAAAAATTAGCTGGGCATGGTGGCAGGTGCCTGTAATCCCAGCTGTTCGGGAGGCTGAGGCAGGAGAATCGTTTGAACCCAGGAGGCGGGGTTTACAGTGAGCCGAGATTGCGCCACCGCACTCCAGCCTGGGCGACAAAGCAAGACTGTCCCCTCCCAAAAAAAAAAAAAGTTCACTTGACATTGAAGTGAACCACCGTGAATCCAGGATGCTGTCACCTCAAGAGACTGAGCTTAATCACATCTGCAAAGATTTTCTTTCCAAATAAGGTCACTCGCATTCACAGGTAGACATCTCATTTTGCAGGAAGTAGGGGACAAACTTCAACTCACTGCTGCAGCCTCTTCCACCACTTTTGCTAGTACAGCATCTGTTCTGTCCTCTTCTCATGATGGGGTTTTTCCTCTGGGACCCACCTTGTGCCCATTTCAGTTCACGAGAGCTGAGCCAGGTCTGGCCCATTAAATCAGAGCATCTCCCTCGCCATAGTGATAGTCCAGGGATGGTCCAGTCAGGGCCAATCCCAGGACTCTGGATGTCTTTGCAGTAAGGCCACTAAGAGGACAGCTGCCAGCCGCCATCTTTCCAGCAGCCATCTTGGTAGGGCGACCTGGCTGAGAATGGAGTCCACACAGAGGAGAACAGGGCCGAGAGATGGAAAGTGAAGCCCAGTCTTTCAGTTGCGGAGCCAATACACCCCCTTTCCTGCTGAAGCCAGCTGAGAGGGGTTTCTGGCCCTTACTCATTGTTAGGTTTTGAAGGAAAGGCAAGGGTTAAAGGAAAAGACACACACACACACGCACACACACACACACACACACACAGAGAGAGAGAGAGGTGGGGGGTGGGGATGCGGCTCTACAGCAAACACAGGCATTTATGTCCAGCATCAGCCCTGCGGAGGTGGGGACCAGCTTGATGCCAGTGGCTACTGCCACTTATAGGCTGGAGTACGTATAGGCCTGGGCAGGAGGGGTCTGGGGGGCATGGCCTGCTGCCTGGAAAAATGTTCATAGCAGGCTGGGCGCGGTGGCTCACACCTGTAATCCCAGCACTTTAGGAGGCCGAGGTGGGTGGATCACAAGGTCAGGAGTTCGAGACCAGCCTGGCCAACATAGTGAAACCCTGTCTCTGCTAAAAATACAAAAATTAGCTGGGCATGGTGGCAGGCACCTGTAATCCTAGCTACTCGAGAGGCTGAGACAGGAGAATCACTTGAACCTGGGAGGTAGATGTTGCAGTGAGCCGAGATAGCACCACTGCACTCCATCCTGGGCAACAAAGCAAGACTCTGTCTCAAAAAACAAAAAAGAAAGTTAATAACATGCCATGTTGAGGCAGTTTGGCCCTTGTTTCCACAGAATGTGACAGTGATGCTTCTTCAGCTGGGTCTTTGCCTGGCAGGGTATGATAAGAAAGTCAGGCAGTCAGGGAGGATGTTTGTCACCACCTGAACCCCTGTGGAATATTTCACTTTGACCAAGGCCTGTGAAATGGCGGGGGGCTTACAAAATGGTGCAGTTTGGGCCGGGCACGGTGGCTCACACCTGTAATCCCACCACTTTGGGAGCCCGAGGCGAGCAGATCACCTGAGGTGAGTTCGGGACCAGCCTGGCCAACATGGTGAAACCCCATCTATACTAAAATACAAAAATTAGCCAGGCATGGTGGCACGTGCCTGTAATCCCAACTACTCAGGAGGCTGAGGCAGGAGAATCGCTTGAACCCAGGAGGCGGAGGTTGCAGTGAGCAGAGATCACGCCATTGCACTCCAGCCTGAGCGACAGAGTGAGACTCCGTGTTAAAATAATAATAATAACAGTAATAATAAAATGATGCAGTTAACACTCATCAGTGGGTTATGACTGAAACAGAGACCACCATGAGCCCTCACTTAACAAACGGGGGAGTCCCAATGGTACGTTGGCTGCTGGGCCCTCCCTACCAGAGATGAAAGTGGGACGGGCAGTAGAGGGTGAGCCCTGGTAGGGCCCTAGGAGGCCTCTGGTCCAGCCTGTCCATTTCACATTGAAGGGACAAAAGCCAGAGAGGCAGGGACCAGCCTGAGGTCACATGTGTGCTGCCCTCAGCCTAGAATGCCCATTCACCCTCACTCTCAGCTCAGGCCTCTCACGTGGGCCCTCTCCGAGGGTGGGCTGGCTGTCAGCAGGCACTGTCTTCCTGCTGAAGCCCAATATGTCCTGTCTGCACCCCCCCATAACAGCCCTGCTGATTCTGCTGCCGCTGCTTGCTGACATTTTCTTCCCTTCTGGCCATGCTGTTCTGTTCACGAAGTGCACCAATCCATGCCTCATCGTGGCATAGAGCTTGGGCCCTTCATCCTGAGTAGAAGTCTGTGGACAGAATTCAGGAGATCTGTGAACTTGGATGGGAAGAAAATAACACCTTTAGTTTTACTAATGTTGAGCGGAAATTTGGCATGTCTTTCATTATGACTGTAGGCTACAGACCACAGATATACTGGTAATATCTGTGACTTTGTCACCAGCATCCACACAGGGCCTGACAAGAGGGTGAGTCAGATGTGGTTCCTGCCTTCCCAGAGCTGCCCTGAGTTTGCAGGGGTTTGCAGGAGAGGCCGGGAGACCCAGGCTGGAGTGTTGCTGTGGGAGTGAAGAAGGGGAGGAGACCAAATCCAGAGATAATGAAGCAGTCACAGTGGCAGGCCTTGGTGGCCTGTGTGACATGCAGCCAGCACTGAATTGCCCCTCACCCTGAGCCCTCTCCCCTCCCTGGTGTTTTGGTCTGTTTTGTGCTGCTATAACAGAAGACTGGGTAATTTATAAAGAAGAGAAATTTGTTTCTCGCAGTCCTACAGGCTGTGAAGTCCAAAACCAAGGTGCCAGCATCTGGTGGGGGCCTTCTTGCTGTGTCCTCACATGGCAGAAGGTAGAAGGGCAAAAGAGCACTCAAGTGTGCAAGAGAAAGGAGGCCAAGTTTATCCTTTATAAGGATGCCACTTCAACAGTAACAAACCCACTCCCACTCCATAATAATGACATTAATACATTTGTGAGGGAAGAGCCACCATGACCCAATCACCTCTTAAAGGCCCCACCTCTCAACACTGTTGCATTGGGGATTAAGTGTCCAGCACAAGACACACTCAAACCATAACACCCAGCTTTTAGGACCCAGGAATCAGTCCCTCCAGGCTTCTTCGGAGTCAGGTCCTTGGGGGTCCATCCTGGGCCAAGCTCCTCCCTCCCATGGCACCAAACTCCATCACACACCAACCACTCCCCACATCTGCTTGACCTTCAGCCCTTACCTTTTCCTGTGCCCAGCTGAAAGTTCAAGAAGTTCATAGAAATGCCTGAAGGGACACCTCAATGTGTCCCCCAGATCTCATCCTCCTGCAGGCTCTCCCTCTCCATTTCTTTCCAGACACCCCCTCCTTTGCTCTCAGCTCTCATCCATCTGGTGATTTCATCTTCTAAGTACTCTCAGGTCCATCTGCTTCACACCATCCCCACTGTCATGAGTTCTTCTGCTTGAACTCTTTTAGCAGTGTATTTGTTTTCTATTCCTGCATAAAAAATTATCACAAACTAAGTGCTTTGTCAGCCCACCATGTTATTGGTTGGTAGCTCAGGCTCACCGTATCTGGGTTCTCTGCTCAGGGCATCCCAGGGCTAAAATCCTGGTATTGGCCAAGGCTGAGGTCTTACCTGAGACTTGGAGCCCTTTTCCCAGATCATGTAGTTGTTGGCAGAACTCATTTCCTTGCAGCTAGAGAACTCATGGAGGCTTCCTTGACTTTTTTTTTTTTTTTTGGCAGGGTCTCGCTCTGTTGTCCAGGCTGGAGTGCAGTGGTATGATATCAGCTCACTGTAGCTTCATCTTCCTGGGCTCAAGGATCCCCCCACCTCAGCCTTCCAACTAGCTGGGACCACAGGTGCACACCACCATGCCCAGCTAATTTTTGTATCTTTTTTTGGTAAAGATGGTGGCTTGTTATGTTGGTGAGGCTGGTCTTGAACTCCTGGGCTCAAGCAATGCATGCACCTTGGCCTCCCAAAGTGCTAGGATTACAGGTGTGAGCCACTGTGCTTGGCCTTTATTTTTATTTATTTATTATTTTTTAAAAATAGAAACAAGGTCTCACTATGTTGCCCAGGCTGGTCTCAAACTCCTGGGTTCAAGTGATCCTCTTGGCTCTGCCTCCCGAAGTTTTGGGATTACAGGCATGAGACACTGTGGCCAGCCCCTTGGAGTGTGTGTGTGTGTGTGTTTGAGATGGAGTCCCTTTCTGTCACCAAGGCTAGAGTGCAATGGCATGATTTCAGCTTACTGCAACCTCTACCTCCCGGGTTCAAGCAATTCTCCTGCCTCAGCCTCCCAAGTAGCTGGGGTTACAGGTGCCTGCCACCATGCCCGGATAATTTTGTTTGTATTTTTAGTAGAGATAAGGTTTTACCATGTTGGCCAGGCTGGTCTCAAACTCCTGACCTCAGGTGATCCACACACCTTGGCCTCCCAAAGTGCTGGGATTGCAGGTGTGAGCCACCACACCCAACTGAACTTTTTAAAATGGACATTTTTTCTCCATAACTACAATACCATCATCACACCTAATGAAACTAACACTAATCCTCTAGTTCCTTCTTCAGGCCAGCAGAAGCACATCTCTCTGACTTACCCTGTCTTTAAGAGTCCCCTTTCAAGAGATCACCTTATTAGGTCAGGCCCACCCAGGACAATCTCCCTTTTGATCAGTTCAACTGTGAGGGACCCGAATCACACTTGCAAGTTTCTCTTTTGCCAAATAATGTAACACAATGACAGGAGTGATATTCCGTCATATCTACAAGTCTCACCCATACTCAAGCGGAGAAGATGACACAAGGACATGGTCACTGGTGGTCATTTTAGAATTCACCTACCACGAACATCCTCTTCGTGGGGCGATATGGCTGGGATGTTTGTCCCCTCCAAATCTCATGTTAAAATGTGACTACTAATGTTGGAGGCGAGGACTGGTGGGGGGTGTTTGGGTCATGGGGGCGGACAACTCATGAATGGCATGTGTCCTCATCATGGTAATAAGTGGCAATGAGTTCACACAAGATCTGGTTGTTTAAAAGCGTGTGGCATGCTGGGCGTGGTGCTTCATGCCTGTAATCCCGGCACTTTCGGAGGGTGAGATCGGCAGATCACCTGAGGTCAGGAGTTTGAGACCAGCCTGGCCAACATAGTGAAACCCTGTCTCTGCTAAAAATACAAAAATCAGCCAGGCGTGGTGGCAGGCACCTGTAGTCCCAGCTACTCAGGAGGCTGAGGCAGGAGAATCACTTGAACCTGGGAGGCGGAGGTTGCAGTGAGCCGAGATGGCTCCACTGCACTCCAGCCTGGGCAACAGAGTGAGACTCTGCCTCAAAACAAAACAAAACAAAAAAGCATGTGGCCCCTCCCACCCCTCTTGCTGTCTCATTGCGTGATGCACTTGCTCCCTCTTTGCCTTCTGCCATGATTGGAAGCTTCCTGAGGCCCCACCGAAGCTTACCAGATGCTGGTGTCATGCTTCTACAGCCTGCAGAACCATGAGCTAAAATAAACCTCTTTTCCTTATAACTTATTCAGTCTCAGGTATTGCTTTATAGCAATGCAAAATGGACTAACCCATGGGGTCTCCCAACTTAGGAGGCCTGGCCCCTCCAACCCACCTTCTACCCAAAAACCAGGGAGATCTATTTGTCTGTCTGTATATCATTGACCTATCTTTTCTTCTTTCTTTGTTATTAATTTTTTCTTTTTAATATGAAATATTTCAAATAAATCCAAAAGTAGAGTGAAGTATATAATAGAAAATTTTTATATCCATCCCCTAGATTTAAATTATTAATATCTTGCCATATTTTCTCCATTTGTTTTGTTAGAAATATTTTTGTTTGTTTGTTTGCTTGTTTTTGAAACAGAGTCTCGCTCTGCCACCCAGGCTGGAGTGCAGTGGTGTGATCTCGGCTCACTGCAATTTCTGCCCCCTGGGTTCAAGCAATTCTCGTGCCTCAGCCTCCTGAGTAGCTGGGACTACAGGAGCACGCCACCATGTCTGGCTAATTTTTTGTATTTTTAGTAGAGATGGGGTTTCACCATGTTGGTCAGGCTGGTCTCGAACTCCTGACCTCAGGTGATCCACCTGCTTGGCCTCCCAAATTGCTGGAATTACAGGTGTGAGCCACCAAGCCCAGCTCATCTTGTTAAAAATATTTTAAAGTTAATTTTAGATATGATGCTCATTCACACCCAAATGCTTCAGTAAATGCATTGACTTTTTTAGGTGGACATTTTTTTCCATAACCGCAATACCATCATCACAATGAATGAAACTACCAATAATCTAGTTCCTTCTAAATCTCAGTCACATTCAAATTTCCCTTATTGTCTCTAAAAAATTCTTGTTTTTGTGTGTGTTCGTTCGTTTGTTTGTTTGTTTGAGATGGAGTCTCACCCTATTGCCCAGGCTGGGAATGCAGTGGCAGAATCTCTGCTCACTGCAACCTCCACCTCCCAGGTTCAAGCCATTCTCCTGTCTCAGCCTCCCGAGTAGCTGGGATTACAGGCGCCTGCCACCACACCCGGCTAATTTGTGTATTTTTAGTAGAGATGGGGTTTCACCATGTTGGCCAGGCTGGTCCCGAACTCCTGACCTCAGGTGATCCGCCTGCCTTGGCTTCCCAAAGTGCTGGGATTATAGGTGTGAGCCACTGCGCCCAGTCTCTATAACATCCTTTATAGCTGGGTGTTGAATCAAGGTTAGGATGATCTTTCCAGAATCCAAACTTGAACATGTCACTTTCCTGCTTAGCAGTTAGTGGTTTCCCTCACCCTGGGATACAGGCCGAGCCCCAGCCTGAAGAAGGCAGGACCCCCAGGCCCCTGGGCCCCTGTCCCTCACTCCTGCCCTCCTGCCTCATAGCCTTTTGGCTTCTCAACAGGCCATCATCCTTCCAGACACGAGACCTTCTTTGCTGTTTGCTCCTCCTGGAATGTTCTTTGCGCCTTCTCATCCTCCCATCCAGTTCAGCCATCATTTCCCCAGGGCGGCCCCCAGGAATCCCTGAACCAGACCCTACTCCTGTCTTATCTGACTCCTTAGAACCCTGTTCCTGCCCTGAACCCCCTCCTTCCCCTCACAGCACCCAGTTTGATTCGTGGGTGTGACGGCTCTACTACTCTCTCACTCCCCCATGGCCTGCGGCCCTAGGAGTGGAGTGTGTCTGTCTGCTCACCAGTATAGTCCCATACCTGGCCCAGAGCTGACACATAGTAGGTGCTCCATGAACATATGCTGAGTTAGCAAATGCACGAGTGAGCCAGGATGAGGAGGAGAACTGTGTCACTGTACCACCGTCTGAGGGCTTTGCAAGTCGCTGCTGGCAAGAGGGAAGACAATGATAGAACAGCATGGCCCCCAGGGGGACAGGGCCAGCTGTGGGAGAACTGCTGCCCTGGTGGGCATCGGGGGGACAGTAACTATGGGGATCCCTGAGGTCACTGCCCAGAGTTCCCTCTAGGACACCTGGCTTTCCTGGCTGCTGTGGGCCATAGACAGAAAGGACAGGACAGGAGCGACAGAGAGCACTGTCTCTTTAAGAAGCAAGAATGTAGCCGAGCAAGGTGGCTTACGCCTATAATCCCAGCACTTTGGGAGGCCAAGGCAGGTGAATCACTTGAGCCCAGGAGTTCAAGACCAGCCTGGGCAACATGGAAAGACCCCCGTCTCCACAAAAAAAATACAAAAATTAGCCAGGCATGGTGGCACGTGCCTGTGGTTCCAGCTACTCGGGAAGCTGAGCTGGGAGGATTGCTCAAGCCTGGGAGGTTGAGGCTGCAGTGAGCCGTGATCACGCCATTGCACTCCAGCCTGGGCAACAGAGTGAGACCCTGTCTCAAAAAACAAAACAAAACAAAAAGAAGCAGCAAGAATGTGCTCGTTCTCCCTTATAGGTGCTGACTGAAGCTGCACGGGAACCACCAGGTCTAGGATAGAGGCAGGAAGGGCAAAGGTGGGGGGAACACCAGGGGAAGTGAGGGCTACAGGAAGAGGGGCCTTGGGGCTGGGTGCGGTGGCTCACGCCTGTAATTCCAGCACTTTGGGAGGCCGAAGTGGGCGGATCACCTGAGGTCAGGAGTTCAAGACCAGCCTGGCCAACATAGTGAAACCCTGTCTCTCCTAAAAATACAAAAGTTAGCCGGGTGTGGTGGCAGGCACCTGTAATCCCAGCACTTGGGAGGCTGAGGCAGGAGAATCGCTTGAACCCAGGAGGCAGAGGTTGCAGTGAGCCAAGATCGCGCCACGGCACTCCAGCCTGGGTGACAGAGTGAGACTTTGTCTCAAAAAAAAAAAAAAAAAAGAAAGGGGTTGGGGGAGGCTTCAGAACAAGGATGTGGGCTGCAGGCCCGACTTGTCTCCTGGCATGCTCAGCGATAGGCAGGTCCCCACATACCCTGGGCCTCAGTTTCCTCATCAGTAGGAGAAGGGGGCCCCTCATTCCTCCTGGATACTGAGAGCCACGAGGAAGTGGGGAGAGCCACACTCGGGGCTAGAATCCCAGCTCCACCAGCCCCTCGCTGGGTGAAGCGGCTCAGCCTCTGTGAGTCTCAGGTCCCTTCTCAGCAAAGTGGGGGTCATGGGGGCCGTGCTTCCCCATGGGGCTGTGCACACATTCCTTGCGGTCCTGCCTGGAAGCCTCTAGCACTTTCAATACAGGAATGGTTTTCATGGTCCGTTTTCCTTAAGACTCAGCACACAGAGACATCATTCATTCATTCTCCCCTCTTTCATCGTTGCCTGCCTCCTCAGGGTAGGCCCTTGATGGCTGGGTTCTGGGGACACCAAGTGCTCCCCACAGCCTGAGATATCAGTGGTTCATGGCTTGGCAGGCTGCCCTATGATTGAAGAAACAAGGAAGGGACAGGTGTGTGTACAGACGTCAGAGCAGCCAGGTGCAGAGGCAGGTGCGTGTACAGATGTAAGCGGGGTCAGGTGCCGATGTTATGGAATCTTTGGGGTGTCGCTTTTCTGGGCAGAAACCTCTGTGGCCAGTGGCATCTTTGTCTGAGTTTTGCTTGGGCCCACTGGGCTCATTCCGCCCACTTGTCCTGGCAGACTGCACTCGGCTCACACTATCGGCCTGGATCCCACGTCTACCAAGGGAGACTGCGTGGGGTGGTGACGGGTGTGTAAGCACGCGTGAGGTCCGGCCACTGCACAGTCAGACACGCCGGCTGCTGCAGTGGGGCAGGCAGCTCCGGGTGCCAGCATGGGCCCCAGCTCTCTGCGAGGCTACAGCTGGACCAGGCGCACTGCAAGCAGCTTCCACAGCTGGCACTGGGGAACACAGTGGCTCTCAGAAGCTTGGAGATGCCAGAAACCACAGGGACCCAAAGAGGGCATCACAGCCCTGGCTTGGGAGACTCCCCGGTCTGGGCTCCCCAAAGGGCTGCAGCTCTTCCTTCCTTCTCTTCCCCTGCAACGTGGCCAGCAAGGGGCATGTCTCAGCACTGTTTGTGTTATAGCTCTTTTAGCCTTATTCAGTGGGTCCCAAGTTCTTGTCCTCCACTCAGGAAGAATGAGGTACGGAAACAAGAGGGTGAGCAAGACGAAGAGGAGCTTTATTGAGTGACAATAGCTCAGAGGAGGCCCTGGAGAGGGCAGTTCCTCACTACAGCTGGTCATCCGACGTCTGCTCAGCTCTGGCTGAGCCTGGGGCTTCTGTCAGCCTCAGAGAGGGGGAAGTTCATGCTGACTGGTCCATGGGCGGCCATGGGCAGGCCCAGAAAAGGCAACACAAGTTCGCACTCCAGTCCACGGCACTGACAGCCTGGCCCCCAGCCTTCAGGGCCTCCCTGGCCTGAAGGTGGGCCTCACCAGGGACTCACCCCCTTCTGCCCAGAAACCTGTCTGCCTCCTGCTGCCATTCATGGCGCCCAGGCTATAGGTACCAAGGGGCGTCTGCAGGCCACTGCCAAGCTGCCCTCAGTTCCTCCTCAGCTTCATTCCTATGCTCATCAGTGCCCAAAATCTGGAGAGGGCTGAGACGGCAGGGGGCTGGCATGTCAGCACTGCCCTGAGTGTGTGCACACCTGGCTGGGCTGTGACAAAACCCAGGCTCGGCCCCAATTTTGCCCCAAGATCAGAGCAGGTGCCGACAGCAAGGAGAAGCCAGGCAGTGGGAGCAGGCATTTCCAAGCCTGTGAGGGCAGGGGGGCCTTCCAGGGCCCCCAAGAGTGCAGAGATGCCTGGGTCCGCAGTGGCAGTTAGGGCCGGTGCAGCTATGTGGGATGTGGGGCAGGACTCCAGCCTGCTCCGTGGAGCGGGAGGCCCCGGTCTGCAGCTGTGGTTTGGGCGGCTGCAGCTGCACCTGGGAGGGTGGGGTTCCCACCTGCTCCCAGGCTCCGAGAGCACAGGGATGCCTGGGTCCACAGCCGTGGCTTGGGCAGCTGCAGCGGCATGCAGGGAGCTGCCACCCCGACTCAGAATGGGAGAGGCTCCTGCCTGTCCCCAGCTCCTGCCAGTTCCATGGAACATGCAGCCCCAGCCGTGCCTCCCTGCTGCAGCTGGTGTGACAGCAGCAGCCGCTCCAGATGGCCTGCCACTGCCACCACTGAGACAGGTGTGTGTATAGAGGTCCATTTTATTCAGGCTGGCGAAGGAAGGCTTCTCAGGGGAGGTGGCCCTTGGGCTTCCTCCAGATGCTCTGGAGTCCTCAGTGTCTGACTCCGGCAAGTCTTTCTGAAGAACAAGCAAAGCTCTTTCTCTTGCCACCGCCAAAACATTTCCAAGGGACTCTTCAGAAGAGAGTCAGTCTGCACAGCTCCCCTGGGGCCTGGGCGGTGGGGGCAGAGATCTTATCCAACTTCTCAAATGAGATTCTGCAGGCTCCAGTGACTCGCTGGAGGTCACCCAGCTGGTAAGAAGAGGAACTGGAACTTAACCTCAGGGCTTCCACCCCGGCTCCTTCTTCTGCTCCACAAATGCAGCCCAAGCCTTGAGGGCAGTGAATAGGTCAAGGGCCAGGACAGTAGCCTGGAGCCACCCCACGAGGGTGTGGGAACCGAGGGCGGGGTGGCATGGTGAACATGGAGGAGGGAAGCCCCTATTTTTCCTGAATCCCATGCCCTGGGATCCCAGAGCAAGGCTGGCCAGGGCTGACCTTCCTTCTCATTGCAGCATCTGCTCTCAGGGCCAAGGATTGCTCTGATGACAGACTACAGGCAGAGCGAGTGGCCGGCAGGAGCCACGTGCTTCCGGAGCCTCCTGCGGCCACCCCTGCCTCCGCACTCCCCCTACAGTCCACCTCGACACAGCAGCCCAGGCCACGTTTCCAAAGCCAAAGTCAGATCATGCCATTCCTGTTCTCATCTCACACAGAATAAAACCTCAATTCTTGTCTCCGCCTGCAAGTCCCTGTACAATCCGGCGCCTGCTGATCTCATCAAGCTCTCCTGGAACCAAATCACCAGAGCAACACCATGGCAGGGGCCTCCCTCTCAGAGGAGGAGGCATTGACAGGAGATGATCTCAGGGCAGACAGTTCTAGACCAGGACAGAGCTGGAGCTGAGGCCTGAGGCAGCAGGTGCCTAGCCAGGGGCCAGCAAGGAGGTCTGAGTGCTGGAGGTCAATGTTAGAAAATAGTCGGGGCCCAGACCAGGCAGCCCATGAATGGGTTTTTCTTTGGTTCACACAGTATATTACAAAACGGACCCACACATATGTAGTTAACTGAATTTGTTTGTTTGTTTGTTTTTGAGAGAGTCTCTTGCTCTCTTGCCGAGGCTGGAGTCCAATGGTGCAATCTCGGCTCACTGCAACCTCTTGGGTTCAAGTGATTCCCCTGCCTCAGCCTCCCGAGTAGCTGGGACTACAGGCACACACCATACCTGGCTCATTTTTGTAATTTTAGTAGAGACAGGGTTTCACCATGTTGGCCAAGCTGGTCTTGAACTCCTGACCTCAAGTGATCCACCTGCCTTGGCCTCCCAAAGTGCTGGGATTACAGGCGTGAGCCACAGTGCCTGACCAAATTAACTGATTTTTGACCAAAGTGATGAAGCAACTCGGTGGGGAAAGGAAAGTGTTTCCACAAAAAGTGTTGGATCAACTGGACGTCCATATATATATAAAAAAATGAACTTCCACACTTACTTCATACTACATACTAAAATTAATTTGGGGCTGGGTGCAGTGGCTCACACCTGTAATCCCAACACTTTGGGAGGCTGAGGTGGGTGGATCACAAGGTCAGGAGTTTGAGACTAGCCTAACCAACATGGTGAAACCCCATCTCTACTAAACATACAAAAATTAGCCGGGTGTGGTGGCACTCACCTGTAATCCCAGCTACTCAGGAGGCTGAGGCAGGAGAATGGCTTGAACCCAGGAGGTAGAGCTTGCAGTGAGCCAAGATCACACCACTACACTCCAGACTGGGTGACAGAGCGAGACTCCATCTCAAAATAAATAAATAAATAAATAAATTTGGGGGAGTCTATAAAATGGACCACAGACCTAAATGGAAGAGTTAAAACTGTGAAACTTTTACAGGAAAACAGCAGAAAATCTTAGTAACCTTGAGTTAGACAGAGGCTTCTGAAATAGCACACAAAAAGCACAAATTATAAAAGGGATAATTGATAAATTGGACTTTATCCAAATTAAAATTTTTTGGTTTTTGCAAAGCATACATCCAACAAAGGACTTGTATCTCGAACACTTTCTCAGCTTTTTTCCATTCCCTTCCTCATCCAAGGAATATTTTTAGACAATCCTTCCTAATCACCCCCATGGAAATTTAATACACAGGTACCCGTTTATGTATTGTGCGTTTATTGTGCTTTGTACATAAAGAGCACAATTTTTTCATTTCACGAGAACCAATTTTTTCCCATTGGGGGCAATTTTGCCTTCATTGAAAATGCATGATCAGGCCAGACACAGTGGTACACGCCTGTTGTAATCCCAGCGCTTTCAGAGGCAGAGGCAGGCAAATCACTTGAGCTCAGGAGTTTGAGACCAATCTGGACAATATGGTGAAACTCTGTTATCTACAAAAAAGTAAAAAAACTAGCCGGGTGTGGTGGTGCATGCCTGTGGTCCCAGCTACCCAGAAGGCTGTGGTGGGAAGTTCACCCGAGCCCTGGAGGTCGAGGCTGCAATGAGCCACTGCACTCCAGCCCGGGCAACAGAATGAGACCTTGTCAAAAAAAAAAAGAAGAAGAAGAAGAAAATACATGATCTAGAATATTAAAAAAACTCTTATAGTAAACAATAACAACCCATTCTTTTTTTATTTTTAATGGGCAAAAAATTTGAATAAACTTTTCACCAAATAAGATATACAGATGACGAAAATGAAAAGAAGTTCAAAACCATGAGTTCTGGGCGGGCACAGTGGCTCACACCTGTAAGCCCAGCACTTTGGGAGGCCGATGCGGGAGGATCACAAGGTCAGGAGTTTGAGACCAGCCCATCCAACATGGTGAAACCCTGTCTCTACTAAAAATACAAAAATTGGCTGGGCGAAGTGGTTCACGCCTGTAATCCCAGAACTTTGGAAGGCCGAGGCAGGTGGATCACGAGGTCAGGAGTTCGAGACCAGCCTGGCCAAGATGGTGAAACCCTGTCTCTACTAAAAATACAAAAATTAGCTGTGCGCAGTGGCAGGTGCCTGTAATCCCAGCTACTTGGGAGGCTGAGGCAGGAGAATCACTTGAACTCATAAGGCAGAGGTTGCAGTGAGCTGAGATCACGCCACTGCGCTCTAACCTGGGTAACAGAGTGAGACTCCATCTCAAAATAATAATAATAATAATACAGAAATTAGCCTGGTGTAATGCTGCATGCCTATAATCCCAGCTACTCGGGAGGCTGAGGCAGGAGAATCACTTGAACCTAGGAGGCGGAGGTTGCAATGAGCCAAGATTGCGCCATTGCACTCCAGCCAGGGCAACAAGAACAAAACTCTGTCTCAAAAAAAAAAAAAAAAAAAAAAAAAAGATTCCCTAGGGAATGAGATGTTACAGTGAGACACCACTATACATATACCAGAATGGCCAAAATGAAGAAGACTGAACACACTAAGTGTTGGTGAGGATGTGGAGGAACTGGAATTCTCACGCACTGCTGGTGGGAATGTAAATGGATATCCACTGAAAGACAATTTGACAGTTTCTTAAAAAGTTGAACACATGCCTGCCACATGGCCCAGCCATTGTACTCTTAGGTATTTATCCAACTGAAATGAGAGCACATGTCCACATGGAGACTTGAACAGGAAGGTTCATAGCAGCTTTAGAGCTAAAATTTTAAAAGCGCCCATTAACAGGTGAACGGATCAGCTAACTGCATATCCAGTTGCATATCCTACAATTGGATACTACTCGGCAATAAAAAGGAATGAACTATTAATGGCATCTAAGAAAATGGATGAACCCCAAAATAGTTATGCTGAGTGAAAGAAGCCAGACCAAAAAAGAACACATGTTATGATTCCACTTACATGAAATTCTGAAAATCTCAGTCTCATCTATAGTGACAGAAGCAGACCAGTGGTTGCTTGGGGGTGGGATGGGGGTGGGGTGGAGGAGAGGGGAGGGGGGATGAAGAGGGAATGGATTACAAAGGGACAAGGACATACTTTTTCTTTTTCTTTTCTTTTCTTTTTTTTTTTTTTTGAGACGGAGTCTCACTCTGTCACACAGGCTGGAGTGCAGTGGTGCGATCTCGGCTCACTGCAACCTCTGCGTCCGGCGTTCAAGCGATTTTCCTGCCTCAGTCTCCGAAGTAGCTGGGATTACAGGCACCTGCCACCACACCAGCTAATTTTTGTATTTTTAGTAGAGACGGGTTTTCGCCATGTTTGGTCAGGCCGGTTTCAAACTCCTGACCTCAGGTGATCCATCTGCCTCAGCCTCCCAAAGTGCTGGGATTACAGGCGTGAGCCACCGGGCCCCGCCAGGGGCACACTTTTGGGAGTGACGGAAATGGTCATTATCTTACTGTGGTGATGGAGTCACAGAATATACATCTATATTCAAAACTCATCAAATTGTATACTTCAAATATGTGTGATTTATTTTATTTTATTATTTTATTTTGAGACAGGGTCTTGCTTTGCCACCCAGGCTGGAGTTCAGGGGCACTATCATAGCTCACTGTAGCCTTGAACTCCTGGGCTCAAGCAATCTTCCTGCCTCAGCCTCCCGAGTAGCTGGGATTACAGGCACGCGCCACCACACCCAGCTAATCTTTTATTTTTGTGGAGATGAGGTCTCACTATGTTGCCCAGGCTGGTCTTGAACTCCTGGGCTCAAATGATCCTCCCGCCCATGTCCACGCATGGTCCTTCCCTCTGCCGCACACAGAGGAAGGACCTGGGGCAAGAGGATCTGTGGGAGCTGAGTGGGGGAGCCTAGGAGAGAGGGGGTCCGAAAGAGGGGGTGGAAGGGAGAGGATGCATGCCCCGCCACTGCTGGGCTTCCTGTCCCCCTCTCCCTCCCCGCCAGCCTGCAGCCTTCCAACCGCTGCCCCTGCCCCTCCGCTCAGACCTTCCCCGAGCTCCAAAACCGTCCTGGGCTGCCAGGCCCCGCCCCGTCGCCCCCCATCCTCCACCCCCTGCCCCTTGCTGACCTCATCACCCAGCCCTCTCCCCTCCCTCCTCCTGACAGCCGCCGGTGAGGTTCCCTCTGCCTGGAAGATCTTCCCAGTCTCCCCAACCTCCCTCTGTCCCCTCCTCCAGGTCCCCGCACAGTCCCTTCTGGTGAGGCCACCGACGCAAGCCCCGCCTCCACCCGCTCACCCCTCACTCGCCCCCATCCCCGTCACCCGCCCCACTCCCCTCACCCGCTTCCCTCACCCCTCACCCTCCCCTATCTCCCTGGCCCGCCCCCACCCCCCTCACCTCTCACCCGCCCCCACCCCCGTCACTCCTCACCCGCCCCCATCCCCCTCGCCCGCCCCCATTCCTCCCGCCCCTCGCCCGCCCCATCTCCTGCCCTCGTCTCTCCCAGCACAGGAGAGCGCCGTGGGTTTGCTGACCGCGTCCCTGCTGAAAGGCGACTCCGGGAGCACAGGCTTCTGCCCTCTCCTGATGTCCCTAGCAGCGCCGGGCACGCAGCAGTGCTCGCTGGGTTTTTGTTGCACCTTTGAGAGGAAAAGGAGCTCGGTGTCCCCTGCAGCCCCTGGAAGTGAGGCGAAGAAGGCCAGGATGGAGTTGGGTGGGCACCCGCCTGTGGTCGTACCCGGATCGTGGAGGCCGCGGGCCCTGAACCCTAGACACTGGGCGGGACCCTCCCTCCATTATAAAAAAAAGTAATAAAGCAAAAGCATCTCGCGACTGCGCTGCCATAATGGCAAATGTGTCGAAATTATACGCGAAAACAATTGCTTCCCCCTGAGAGGGCATTCTTCTGATGCTAATAGAAATTGGGGGAGTCAGCCTTGCTGTGGGCGCGGCACCGCCCCCTCCCCGGCCGAACCGCCCGCGTTGCGCCGCCAGGGGGCGCCCGACACCAACGCGAGGCTCCACGCGCCAGCGGGGCGGGGCTGAGAGGAGGTGGGGGCGGAGCCTGGGTAGGCGGAGGCGGAGGCGGGGGCGGGGGCGGGGGCGGGGGCGGGGGCGGGGGCAGGCCCCGGGCGGCGAAGCCGCGCTCCACAGCCAGGACCCTGCTCTCCCGGCCCCGGCCCACCCTTGCGGTCCCGGCTGCACCCAAACCCGACCCCCTGCACTTCTCACCTCCCGGCGTAGTGCATACTGTTCCTTCCACCGGGAACACGCGGAATACCTTCCCCGTTCAAGATCTAGTCGAGGCACCACCGCCTCCAGCAAGCCTTCCCGAGCCTCAGGCTGAACCAGGCACCTCCCTTGGGCTCCTACAGGTCCCCTGGCCACACTGTCACTCTGTATTCTTCTCCTGGGACAGTGGACAGTGAGTCCCCCGGCCGGGATGGGGCTGGGTCACCCACGATCCTAGCACGTGGTGAGTGGGTTTCAGGTGAATAAATCTGGGAGCCGGGAGCCCCAGGCAGCTTACTCAGATGATCGATGGTGGAAGTCCTGTCCCTCCACCCACCTTTGCTTAGAGCCTGGGACCACAGACGCTCAGTAAGTAACTGGGCTCCCTGGCTCCTGCCCCAGCCTGTCAGCCCCCATCTATAACTTCTGAGGGCTGAATCTTCCTCCTGCAGAACCTCGGGCTCTGAAGGTGATCCTTAGTAGGCCAGCTTGCAGCCCAGCCTTTGCATCTAACACCCTCCCCGCTTTTCACAGTCTCTCCCTGTTCCCTTGTTCAGTTGGGGTGGGGGATCGTTTGTGAGACTTGTCTTCATATTGTGAGCAATAATAAAGTACTTAAAGATATTTGAAAACTATTTTCTTACGAATAATAGAGAAGATTCCAGTTATCCCTGTAGTAATCTCTCACTCATTTGCAACCTTGCAGACTTAGTGGTTTCAGAAAGTCTTGCAAATACTCAGCCTTTCATTCCCCGGGGTCCCGTGCTGGCATCAGGCTCACACATGCACCAGGTGACTGGTTCAGGCACAGAGGGAAGCGGACTGCCTGGGTTTAAATTCCAGCTCCACGCTCCATGGATGTGTGACCTTAGGTAAACTACTCAGCCTCTCTGTGCCTCAATTTCTTCATGTGTAAAGTGTGATGGTGATGTCAGAGCCACCCCTGGGATTCTCAGGACGATTCGGGAAACTGCCTGTGGTGCACTCAGGAGGGAGTGGACCACAGAGGAAGTGCTCAGTAGGGGTTAGTAGTGAGCAGTGCTATTAGGCCTTCAGGGTCACTGTCATGTGCTCAAGGAAGCGGGAGAGAAAGGAGCGAAGCTTGCCTGGCCCCAGGACAGCACTGCGTGAAGTCCCTGAGACCCTCTTTTCTCACACTCCTCTCATGTAACCCTGAGGTGGGGATGCACCTGTGTTTGTCCTCCCCCCCATCCTCCTGACCCGGAACTCCTGGAGGGAGGAGAGGGCTGAATTGTTGGGGGCAAGGGAGAACATGGCTGCCCTCCTCTCCTGGGTGAGAACTCTTCATTCTGGGGTGGGAGTCAAGGTCCTGACTTGAGGAAGCAGGAGCTCCGCGTGTCGGCTGAGTGAATGAGTGAATGAATGAATGAATGAATGAATGAATGCATATGCCAGAGGCAGTGTCACACAGTGGCTAAGGATGGGGGCATCGGCTTCCAATAGCCTCAGATTCAAATTCTGGCTCACCTGCCTGCCAGTCATGGGGACCCTACTACCTGACTGCTCTGAGCCCCGGCATCCTCCTCTGCACTGCCCACTCCGTGCCCAACCTCTGGATGTTTGTGTCTGCCTTAAATCTGTCCACTGAAGCCCCAAGCACCTGTATTTGGAGATAGAACCTATAAGGAGGTAGTTAAGGTTCAATGAGGTCACGAGGGGGGGGGCATAATGAGGGGATTAGTGCCTTCATTAGGGAGAGCTTGCGCTCTCACTCTCTCTCTTTTTTTTTTTTTTTTTTGAGACAGAGTCTGACTGTGTCACCCAGACTGGACTGCAGTGGTGCAATCTCAGCTCACCACAACCTCTGCTTCCTGGGTTCAAGCAATTCTCCTGCCTCAGCCTCCCAAGTAGCTGGGATTACAGGTGTGTGCCACCATGCCCAGCTAATTTTTTTTGAATTTTTAGTAGAGAAGGGGTCTTACTATGTTGCCCAGGCTGGTCTTGAACTACTGAGCTTAAGTAATCCTCCCACCTCAACCTCCCAAAGTGCTGGGATTACAGGCATGAGCCACCAAACCCAGCCAAAAACTGAATTTTGAAATTTAATTTTAATTAATGTTAAACAGGCATGTGTGTCTAGCGGCTATAGTGTGAGACAGTGCAGTTCTAGAGAAAGGAGAGGCTTGGCCACACAGACTGATTTGAGGGGCAGTGAGAGATCAGCTTCTTCCCAAAAGGCACCCTCTGCCCCACCCCTTGGTGTGCTTCATCCATCAGTGCAGGTTGTCTGAAGCAAGGTCCCACTAAACAAGCAAAGGCCCAGCATTCAGTCACCAAGCACTTGTGATGTGCACCGCCCCATTTAATCTTCACAATTGGGTATTGTTGTGTGCATTATTTAATCCTAAGAGCTGATTCACAAGGGAGAGACTGTTACCATTTTCATTTGGTCTTAGCCAAAAGGCCGAGAAGCGATGGTTATCATTTTCGAATGTGGATACGGTGCAGAGAGGCAAAGCGCCCTACCCAAGACCCCAGAGGCGAGTCCTTTAGGCTTAACCTTCATGCCTCCCAGCCTCCCCAGGAAACCGCCCGGGACAGCTGGAGGCATTCACAGCCCATGTGAGCAAGTTTGTTAGGACTTAAAGCCTGGCGGCTGTTAAGGGTTGAGTGGGGACAGGGACATGGAACTAGTTCTGGAGCTCGGGTTTCTGGCAGAATGTTCCAAAAATAGGAACTAGCAGCCAAAGGACAACGTCAGAAATGACCGAGTCAGGAGTGGTCTGTGTCTGAGCTGGGAGAGGCAGCAGAGAGGATTGTGGTTTGATACACATTTGTGTAAATAAGCACGCCTGTTTTGTAGATGGGGAAGCTGGGGCAGAAATGGGGCAAAAATACGATTTTAAAGCCAGTCGTGTACAGACATGGTGGCTCAGGCTTATAATCCCAAAACTCTGGGAGGCCAAGGTGGGAAGCTTGTTTGAAGCTAGGAGTTCGAGACCAGCATGGGCAATAAAGCAAGACCCCATGGTATGCGCCCGTAGTCCCAGCTACGCAGGAGACTGAGGCGGGAGGATTACTTGAGCCCAGGAGGTCGAGGCTGGAGTGAGCTATGTTTGGGCCACTGCACCCCAGCCTGGGTGACAGAGCAAGACCCTGCCTCTAAAAAAATAAAGTAAAATAGGCCAGCCCTGCTGGGGCCGTGCTGGTGGCTGGACTCTGAGCTTCCCTCTGAGCCTTGGTCTCTTCACCAAAACCACTTGGGGGTGGATCTGACTCACATAGAGGCCCCTGCCGCTGGTCAGGCACTGCCTGGGATGGACCACGCAGGATGGGGGTGGGCAACGGTAAAAATACACCAAGGCCCAGAGTCCAGGCTCCTAGTGTCCAGCTATCACTGGGGCCTAGGAGTGCCCACCCCAACCCTCCATCCACAAGAACTCCTGAAACGGGACTCGGGATCACAGCATCCATTCAGTTTTTGTCTGGGTCCAGTGGCTCACGCCTGTAATCCCAGCACTTCAGGAGGCCCAGGTGGGAGGGTCACTTGAGCTCAGGAGTTCGACACCAGCCAGCGCAACATAGTGAGACCCCTTCTCTTCTAAAAGAATGTATCTGGGCTGGGTGCCGTGGCTCACGCCTGTAATCCCAGCACTTTAGGAGGCCAAGGCAGGCAGATCACGAGGTCAAGAGATCGAGACCATCCTGGCAAACATGGTGAAACCCCGTCTCTACTAAAAAATACAAAAAAATTAGCCGGGCGTGGTGGCGGGCACCTGTAGTCCCAGCTACTTGGAAGGCTGAGGCAGGAGAATGGCGTGAACCCGGGAGGCAGAGCTGCAGTGAGCCGAGATCGCACCACTGCACTCTAGGCTGGGCAACAAAGCGAGACTCCATCTCAAAAAAAAAAAAAAAAAAAAGTGTATCCAGAGATCTGGCAGGAGACTCAGGGAAAAATCACTGCAGCGTTGTAACCCCATTTTTCTCCTCTGTAAAGCGGGGGTGGCATGGACAGTCTCCTCGAGTTGCTACAGGGTTGAAGGGGCACTGTTTGGGAGCTGTGAGGTGCTCCTGCTTCCACCCGGGGCCTGCACGAGTCCTCCTGGCTCTGAACCCCCGACCCAGGACTGGCTCAGGGTGAGGGGTCAGTGGTCCGCATGGTGGAGAGAGAGAAATTCTGAGCCAACAGACTCTGTTCAGGGGACAGGAAAGGCCCTCATCCCCGCTGGCTTCCAGATCTCCCAGATAAGGAGAAATTAATGTTTGATCTGAGCTTCATTCCAGAGACAGACAAACCAGTTTACTGCTGCTGACTGAGAGGACACCCCACCCCTGCTATCGCACCTCACCGCCCTTTGGACTTGACACAGGACTTCTCCTGGGCCCCATGGGTCCCATTGTCCTCAGGCCCCTGTGCTTAGCATGGACCGGGCAGTCGGTGGGCCTGGGGGATGTTTGCTAAAATCAGGTTGCAAATCCAGCCCGCCACCTTCCGCCACTTCTTAGTGGGAGAAGCTGCCTCCGAAGCCAGGGATGGGACCCTCATCAGGAAGTCAGCCTCATGGATCCCAACGTAGACGCTGCCAGGAGGAGAAGAACACAGAGATCTGACTGCCTCACTGAGCAGCTGTTAGCCTTGGCCGAGCCACTTCCCCTCTCTGGGCTCCAGACCCTCAGCTGTAGAAAGGAGTCTTAATCCCTTCTCCCCTCCAAATCTGCTCTTCCCCATCTCATCTCAGTTGGGAGCTCCCCAACTCCATCCTTTTGGCTCCTCAGGCTAGAACTAGGGTCCCCCTTGACTCCTCCCTCACTCTCACCCCACCTCCAGTCCATCAGCAAAGTCCTGTGGGCCCAACCTTCAAAATACATCCACCACGAGAACTTTCCTCCGGCCCGCACCGGTGCCAGCCTGCACCACGCCATGCTGCTCCCTCCTTTACCTATCTGGTGTGATCCAAGACGAACTTAGCACCTAGAAAGAGCCTTCCGTCTTCCACGCATGTTAATTAGAAAATTTACCTGTTTGGCCTGGCACGGTGGCTCGTGCCTGTAATCCCAGCACTTTGGGAGGCCGAGGAGGGTGGATCACCTGAGCTTGGGAGTTCGAGACCAGCCTGACCAACATGGTGAAACCCCGTCTCTTCTAAAAATACAAAATTAGCCAGGTGTGGTGGTGCATACCTGTAATCCCAGCTACTTGGGAAGCTGAGGCAGGAGAATCGCTTGAACCCAGGAGGTGGAGGTTGCGGTGAGCCAAGATCGCGCCGTTGGACTCCAGCCTGGGCAACAAGAGTGAAACTCTGTCTCAAAAAAAAAAAAAGAAAGAAAGAAAGAAAGAAAATCTACTCATTCATTCATTCATCAAACACTGCTGAGAATGTGCCCTATGCAGGACACGGGAGGAGGAGGATTTGGGCCAGGCCTTGGAGAATGGGGGGCTTCCATGATGGAACGTGCAGCATGGGCACCCCAGGCAGTGGGCACAGCAAGTATAAAAAGAGCTTCAAGGCAGGGGTGGGGGGCTTCGACTATTGATGTCAGAGTTGGAGGGCACTGCAAAAGTCCTCATCCTTGGAGCCACCAAAGGGCAAGAGAGAGCTGGGTGAGCTTAGGGACCTGTCAGTGTTCAGTGGGGCTGGTGCCAGGGAATGAGGTAAGACAGGAAGGAGGGGAGGTGGAGAGGTTGCTGGGAGCTGACTGGCCACCAGGGCCTTGCACACTGGGGTAGGAAGCGTGGGCTTTATTTTTTTATTTTATTTTATTTTATTTTTGAGATGGAGTCTTGCTCTGTCACCCAGGCTGGAGTGCAGTGGTGCGATCTCGGCTCACTGCAGCCTCCGCCTTCCAGGTTCAAGCAATTCTCCTGCCTCAGCCTCCTGAGTAGCTGGGACTATAGGTGCACGCCTCCACACCTGGCTAATTTTTGTATTTTTAGTAGAGACGGGGGTTTCACCATGTTGGCCAGGATGGTCTCGATCACCTGACCTCATGATCTGCCCTCCTTGGCCTCCCAAAGTGCTGGGATTACAGGGGTGAACCACTGCGGCTGGCCGGAAGCGTGGGCTTTATTCAGAGGACAGTGGGTGACCTTGAAGGGCTTTACATGAGGAAAGTGACAACCAGACTTGCGCTTTAGAAATGTCACTCTGGGGCCCAGATGAGACGCAGAACCACGCTTGCCCCTTCCTTTCCAGCTGCGGCCCCGGAACTTGCAGCTGCATTGATGTTGATGCCTAGGAAGAACCAGATTGCCGTTTATGAACTCCTTTTTAAGCAGGGAGTCATGGTGGCTAAGGAGGGTGTCCACCTGCCTAGGCACCCGGAGCTGGCAGACAAGAATGTGCCCAACCTTCACATCATGAAGGCCATGCAGTCCCTCAAGTCCCAAGGCCACAGGGAGGAACAGTTTGCCTGGAGACATTTCTACTGGCACCTTACCCGTGAGGGTATCCAGAGTATCCGTGAGGACCTCCATCTACCCCCTGAGACTGTGCCTGCCACCCCACACTGCAGCCCTCCAGAGACTGGCAGGCCTCGGCTAGGTCTGGAGGGCAGTCGACCTACAAGACTCACAAGAGGGGAAGCTGACAGAGACCAACAGATGGGGCACTGTGCCTCCTGGTGCAGACCAGAAAGCCGAGGCTGGGGCTGGGTCAGCAACCAAGTTTAGAGGCAGATTTGATCGTGGACATGGTCAGCCATGTCAGTAAAACTGGAGAGGATTATTTTGCATTGAATAAACTTATAGCCAGAAAAACTTTTTATTTTATTTATTTTTTATTTTTTTTATTGAGACAGAGTCTCACTCTGTTGCCCAGGCTGGAGGGCAGCAATGTGATCCCAGCTCACTGCAACCTCCCCACCTCCCGAGTTCAAGTGATTCTCCTGCCTCAGCCTCCCAAGTAGCTGGGATTACAGGCGCCTGCCACCATGCCCGTCTAATTTTTTTTGTATTTTTAGTAGAGATGGGGTTTCACCATGTTGGTCAAGCTGGTCTTGAAGTTCTGACCTCAGGTGATCCGCCCTTCTCGCCCTCTCAAAATGTTGGGATTACAGGCGTGAGTCACGGCGCCCGACCCAGAGAAACTTTTTTAAAAAAGAAATGTTACCCTGGCTTCTGGGTGGGGACGCATCAGAGGAGTGATGCATGAACAGGGAGACCCAGTAGGAGGCCAGTCTCCGTAGAAGACAGGGTGTGGACACCAGGGTCCCATGGCCTGGGTTTAAAACCCACCTCCCTACTCCCTGTGTCTTACCTGGAGGACGCTGGGTCTGTCTACCTGTCCATCTCGGCAGGGTCAGGCACTGTGCGGGTGCCGCGGTTAGAGCTCGCGTTTTAGCGGGCAGTTATTCAACTGCCTTGAGCCTCACTTCATCTGAAGGTAATGGAGGTAATAACAGTACCTGCCTGCCAGACCAGATGTGACAGATAAGTTGAAATGTGTAAAACCCCTAGCACAGTCCCTGACACGTGGGGTCAATTGTTATTATGTTATTAGTCCAGGCATGAAAGTGTGGAGGGGGCCAATTACATGTGTGAGGGCTCAACCACACCCCCCAGAACTCATCTGTCAAAGTCCTAAGCTTTAGTACCTCAGTAAGTGCCTGTATTTGGAGACAGGTCTTTAAAAGGGTAATTAAGCTAACATGAGGTCATTAGGGTGGGCCTAATCCAATATGACTGGTATTCTTATAACAAGAGGAGGTTAAGGCTGGGCGCGGTGGCTCACACCTGTAATCCCAGCAGTTTGAGAGGCTGAGGCGGGCGGATCACCTGAGGTCAGGAGTTTGAGACCAGCCTGGCCAACATGGAGAAACCCCGTCTCTACTAAAAATAAAAAAAAATTAGCCGGGCATGGTGGCACACACCTATAATCCCAGCTACTCAGGAGGCTGAGGCAGGATAATTACTTGAACCCAGGAGGCAGAGGTTTGGAGTAAGCCGAGATCGCACCATTGCACTCTAGCCTGGACGACTGAGCCAGACTCCATCTCAAACAAGCAAACAAAATAAATAAATAAATAAATAACAAGAGGAGGTTAGTGGGCTGGGCGTGGTAGCTCACACCTGTAATCCCAGCACTTTGGGAGGCTGAGGTGGGAGGATTGCTTGAGGTCAGAAGTTCAAGACCAGCCTGGGCAACAAAGTGAGCTCTTGTCTCTACAAAAATTTAAAAATAAGCCAGGTGGCGGCAGGCGCAGTGGCTCACACCTGTAATCACAGCACTTTGGGAGGTCAGGGCGGGTGGACCATGAGGTCAGGAGTTCAAGACCAGCCTGGCCAAGTGGTGAAACCCTGTCTCTACTAAAAAAAAAAAAAATACAAAAATTAGCTGGGCATGGTGGCAGGCACCTGTAATCCCAGGTACTCGGGAGGCTGAGGCAGAGAATTGCTTGAACCCGGGAGGCAGAGGTTTCAGTGCACTCCAGCCTGGTGACAGAGTGAGACTCTGTCTCAAAAATAAATTAAAAAAAAATAAGCCACGTGTGGTGGCACATGCCTGTGATCCAAGCTATCTGGGAGGCTGAGACAGGAGGATCGCTTGAGCCCAGGAGCGGGAGGCTGCAGTGAGCTATGATCGTGCCACTGGACTCCAGCCTGGGCAACAGAAAGAGACCTTGTCTCTTAAAAAAACAAATAAACAAACAAAAAACGGAGATTAGGACACACACACACAGAGGAAAGCCCATGTGAGGACACAGGGAGAAGACTGCCATCTGCAAGCCAGGAAGAGTGGGCTCAGGAAGAACCCTTGATCTTGATTAGCCAGCACCTTGATCTTGGACTTCCAGTCTCTGGAACTGTGAGAACGTGAATTTCTGTGTAAGCCACCCGGTCTGCCTTACTCATTATATCAACCCTGGAACACTAATGCACCGTGCCAGGCAGCGGTGGCAGCATCAGAATGGAAGAGGTGGGTTCCAGAGTCACTGGGAAGATCCGTGTGCCCAGCACGCAGTAGGCACTCAACAAACACCTGTTGAGTAAGTTTGGATTCTACGTGAGAGGGGCCTGAAAGGAAAGAGATGGCCCAGAGGAGACAGGACTAGTCCAACAGAGCCCAGGGCTGTGGTGACACCTGGGGAATGTGGGGGACCCTGCCACTGCCCACCACCGCAGTCACAGGGCACATTCACACCCACGACTGCACTTCATCCCACCCCTCTGCAAGAGGACCCCTTGAGCATCCCCATCTTCCTGAAAAAGAAACCAAGGGTAAGGACCACCACAATGAGAATCACAGCCAGGGCTGAACACGGCTCTTCAGAGAGTCCTGTCATGCGCGGCCCCTTGGAGTCACCAAGGAGGGCATGTTCTGCAGGACGGGCAGCTGGAAATGTGGGTCTGGAGCTTGGGAGACAGGTGGGGGCCCCTTAGAGCAAAGTGGGCGTCCTCATCACAGAGTGAGGATAGACGAGTGAGCACCAGGCAGGGACTTGGGTTTCTCCACTGGGGTTTTTGTTTCTCGTTTTAAAGTGACTGAATCTCTGGTCGGGCACAATGGCTCACACCTGTAATCCCAGCACTTTGGGAGGCTGAGGCAGGTGGATCACCTGAGGTCAGGAGTTCAAGACCAGTCTGGCCAACATGGTGAAACCCCATCTCTACTAAAAAAAATACAAAAATCAGCTGGGTGTGGTGGCACGCACCTGTAATCCCAGCTACATGGGGGGCTGAGGCAGAAGAATCGCTTGAACCCGAAAGACGGAGGTTGCAGTGAGTTGAGATTGCCCCACTGTACTTCAGCCTGGGCAACAGAGCAAGGCTCCATCTCTAAATAAATAAATAAAGTAGCTGAATCTGAAAGCACTGAAAAGCTTGACTTCCAGAGTCCTGGGACAGAGCCCCCACAATGAAAGCCAGCACTTGCTGTGGTGGGATTCCTGCAACTTCTCTGACTTCTGAAGAGAGGAGTCATGGAAACCGACTGGACCCGGGCTCTTCAGTGTTTGGAGAGACATTTCTGGGTCAAGAATTTCCAGCCCATAAATTCCCCATGCTTCAGATTCAAAGGAGGTCTGTGAAGGGCTGGGCTTTGCTTAACCTTTCACATCGCAAAACTTCCTGCCTCTCTGGCCTCAGACAAACACATCCTCCAGGCCAGGGTTCAGAAGGACGGTCTGATGGATCTAGATGTATAAATGACCTCAAGTCAGACTGAATCTGAGTGCTCTAGAAGTGGCCTGATCAAAAAGGAAACATTAAAAAAAATTTTTTTTTAACTTTGGGCTGGGCACAGTGGCTCATGCCTGTAATCCTAGCACTTTGGAGGCCGATGCAGGAGGATCAGTTGAGCCTGGGAGTTTTAGACTAGTCTGGGAAACATGGTGAAATCCCACCTCTATAAAAATACAAAAATTAGCTGGGTGTGGTCGCCCCTGCCTGTAATCCCAGCTACTAGAAAGGCTGGGGTGGGAGGATAGCTTGAGCTCAGCGAGGTCGAGGCTGCAGTGACCAGGGATCATGCCAGTGCACTCCAGCCTGGGTGACGCAGAGAGATCTTGTCTCAAAAAAAAAAAAAAAAGAAAAAAACAAATAAACTTAGGAAAGTGCACGTGGAGCAGCAAGGGACACTGGCAGGTGTCAGGCCCCCTTTTTCTCCTGTTTCCCCTCCACTGACACAAGCAATGGTCTCTCCCAAGTGAATTTCCCACCATGACTCATTTCTCCTGTACTTCCCCCTCTTCAGAATGAGCCAAACAAAAGTCAGCAATCTTTGAAGTGGACATTTGTTTATAAATCTAAGATTTTTTTCTTTCCAGAACATGTTTTGGGCCTTTGCAGATTATTGTTTTAACATTTTCCTTCAAATGTTCTCCCCATATTTGGGCAAGGCAAGAGACAAGAGGACTTTTTGGGGTTTTTGTTTTTTTTTTAAAGAAACTGCAGCGTTTTGGAGAAAACAATTTCCTGGGCCTACTTCCTCTCACAGGTGATTCTGAGCTGGGCCTTTAAGATCAACCCTGCTGAGGCCAGGCACGGTGGCTCACACCTGTAATCCTTGCACTTTGGGAGGCTGAGGCTGGTGGATCTTGAGGTTAGAAGTTCAAGACCAGCCTGGACAACATGGTGAAACCCTGTCTCTACTAAAAATACAAAAATTAGCCAGATGTGGTGGTGCACACCTATAGTCCCAGCTACTTGGGAGGCTGAGGCAGGAGAATGGCTTGAACCTGGGAGGCGAAGCGTGCAGTGAGCCGAGATCGCCCCACTGGACTCCAGCCTGGGTGAGAGAGCAAGACTCCATCTCAAAAAAAAGAAAATCAACCCTGCTGGCCTCTGATAAACTGCAGGTTCACAACCAGGTTCACAAACAATTGTTGAACAAGAAATGTCAGTCTATAAAAATTCTTGGAAGAAAACCGCAGCCCTGTTCAAGAGTTCCTTACCTCTGGGACATTTTCTGTGTGCTGAAGATAAGGATCTGATCATCCGCTCTCTGCATGTCAGGGCTGAGAGGTGACCAAACTCCCTCCCCACTTTCTAGAAGGTAAACCGACACCCAAAGAGGGGAACAGTGCATTTCTGTGGCAGAGAACAGACTCTGTCCCCCAACATTTTCACTTTGAAAAATGTCAAACCTACAGAAACATTTCAAGAACACTACAGTAAATACTCATACTTATTTACCAATTGCTAACATTACACTAAATTTACTTTCTCTTTTTCTCTCGAATCTCATATATATGTTAGTTTCAGGTATCATGACACTTTATCCACATGCAAGCTGGGAGGATCCCTTGAGGCCAGGAGCTAGAGACCATCCTGGGCAACATAGTGAGACCCCATCTCTACCAAAAAAAAAAAAATCAAAAAAAACTTGCTCAGCCTGGTGGTGCATGCCTGTAGTCCCAGGATTGCTTGAGTCCAGGAGGTCGAGGCTACAGTGAACTATGATCTTGCCACTTTGAGCTATGATTAAAGCTGCAATAACAGAGCCAGACCCTATCTCTTAGAAAAAGGATAAAGAAAATCAGCAGAAACTAATTAATTTCTGTATGACGTTGATGACATAACCTCACTGGCAGAAAAAGAATAAAACGATCTGAGTAATTATAGAGCTGGGTTGTCCAGGGGTACCTCCTTAGTGGAGTACACTCTAAGAACTGGGAGGCCTGTGACAGAACCCCAAACCTCACTAGTGACTTTGTTATTGGCAGTGGGGAGGGCGGAGCCATTGTGAAGCAACTTTGGGTTATCCTAGGATTGGTGGTACCAGAACCCAGATTCTCACTGTAGGATGAGGGAGATTTGGAATGGAAGAAGGAAAATGCTGGTGTTTTGTTATTTGTAATTAGTTATGGAAAAAAATTACTAAAACAAGATTTTTAAGTGAAAAGAAAAGAAAAAGGCTGGCCAGGCACAGGCCTGTAATCCCAGCACTTTGGGAGGCTGAGGCGGGTGGATCACTTGAGGTCAGGAGTTCGAGACCAGCCTGGCCACATGGTGAAACCCCGTCTCTACTAAAAATACAAAAAAATTAGCTGGGCATGGTGGCGTGCGCCTGTAGTTCCAGCTACTCAGGTGGGTGGCTGAGGCAGGAGAATCTCTTGAACCCAGGAGGTGGAAGTTGCAGTGAGCCAAGATCACCCCATTGCACTCCAGCCTGGGCAATAGAGTAAAACTGTCTCAAAAAAAAAAAAAAAAAAAAGAAAGAAAGAAGGAAGGACAAAGAAAGAAGAAAGAGAGGAAGGAAGGAAGGAGAAAGAAAGAAAGAAGGAAGGAAGAAAGGAAGGAAGGAAGGAGAAAGAAAGAAGGAAGGAAGGAGAAAGAAAGAAGGAAGGAAAGAAAGGAAGGAAGGAAGGTAGAAAGAAAGAAAGAAAGAAAGAAAGAAAGAAAGAAAGAAAAAGAAAAAACTAGGTTCATTGAGACAGACCGAGAAGCAGTAATACCCAGTTGCAAGAGGCACCTTGCCACTGTTAGATCTTAAACTCCAGTCTCCAGTGAAAGGCACCAGTGCCCCTTGGAGAGATGGCTGAATCCAGAGCTGGGACAGGGAATGTCAAGAGGAGCCCGGGACATTTTATTGTGCCAGAAAGTAAAGAGGTTCTCAAAGAATGGTGGGAGCGTGAAAGCAGCTAGCACAGAGCTGCTGGAAGGAGCTGCCAACAGCCAGGCCTGGGAACATTTGAGCACAAAATAAATAATGGAAGTCATACATTCAGCTTGCTTTTTTTTTTTTTTTGAGACGGAGTCTCACTGTGTCACCCAGGCTGGATTACAGTGGCACGGCGCGATCTCAGCTCACTGAAACCTCCACCTCCTGGGTCCAAGAGATTCTCCTGCCTCAGCCTCCCAAGTAGCACTGATTAGAACTCACCGTCATGACCATGTCCTGCCCAAAAGGTTTAACTTGAATTTCATCAATAGGAAACCATCAGACAGATCCACATGCAGGGACTTTCTGCAAACCAGCTGGACTGGATGCTTTGCAAATGTTCACATCAGGAAAGACAGAAGCAAAACAAAACAAAAGGCTGAGAACTGTCTGATGGTTTCCTATTGATGAGATTCAAGTTAAACCTTTTGGGCGGGACATGGATGTCCAAGTAGCTGGGACTACAGGCGCCTGCCACCACGCCTGGCTAGTTTTTTGGGTTTTTTTGTATATTTAGTAGAGAAGGGGTTTCACTGTGTTGGCCAGGCTGGTCTCAAACTCCTGACCTCATGATCTGCCCACCTCGGCCTCTCAAAGTGCTGGGATTACAAGCGTGAGCCACCGCATCCAGCTGGGGAAAGATTTTTAGGGATCAAGGGCCGGGCGCGGTGGCTCACGCCTGTAATCCCAGCACTTTGGGAGGCTGAGGTGCGTGGATCACAAGGTCAGGAGATTGAGACCATCCTGGCTAACACAGCGAAACCCCGTCTCTACTAAAACAATACAAAATATCAGCCAGGCATGGTGGCAGGTGCCTGTAGTCCCAGCTACTCGGGAGGCTGAGGCAGAAGAATGGCGTGAACGTGGGAAGTGGAGCTTGCAGTGAGCCGAGATCACGCCACTGCACTCCAGCCTGGGTGACAGAGCAAGACTCCGTCCCCCCCAAAAAAAAAAAGAAAAAAAAGATTTTTAGGGAACAAGACATACATTAATCCAGAGATACCAACTTTACCAAATGATGAAATGGAACATCCCCAATAATGGGACACACTGACCTCATGTGCTTCCTTCCTCCATTCCAAATCTCCCTCATCCTACAGTGAGAATCTGGGTTCTGGTACCACCAATCCTAGGATAACCCAAAGTTGCTTCGGAATGGCTCCGCCCTCCCCACTGCCAATAACAAAGTCACTAGTGAGGTTTGGGGTTCTGTCACAGGCCTCCCAGTTCTTAGAGTGTACTCCACTAAGGAGGTACCCCTGGACAACCCAGCTCTATAATTACTCAGATCGTTTTATTCTTTTTCTGCAAGTGAGGTTATGTCATCAACGTCATACAGAGATTAATTAGTTTCTGTTGATTTTCTTTATCTTTTTTCTAAGAGACAGGGTCTGGCTCTGTTATTGCAGCTTTAATCATAGCTCAAAGTGGCATGATCATAGTTCACTGTAGCCTCGACCTCCTGGGCTCAAGCAATCCTGGGACTACAGGCATGCCCCACTAGGCTGAGCTAATTTTTTTTTTTTTTTTTTTGGTAGAGATGGGGTCTCACTATGATGCCCAGGATGGTCTCTAGCTCCTGGCCTCAAGGGATCCTCCTATCTTGACCTCCCAAAGTGTTGGGATTACAGGCATGAGCCTCCTTGCCCCTCTTCTGTTGTTTTTTTCCTATCCTTGTTGACTTACTTTTATTTCTTAAATGTAAAATTGATTTAAGGTGCATCCAGAGATGTGCACAGATTCTTGTGATGGAGGGAACCGCACAGTCATGGTGAGGAGTCCATCATAATTTTCAAACGCCCCTTTAAGAAGTAGGCATTAACACCCTGCTCCATCCCTTTGGAGGCAGCCCTGGGCTGAGCACTGGACTCCTGGGTTCCACCAGCCTCAGTGTCTCCAGGAGACCAAGCGCGGCCGGGGGTGAGTCCCTGTCCCCGCGCCCCCCACCACGCTCCAATACTTACCCCCTGCCCCACCCCCCAGCCTCCCGGGCCTTGGCTTGTACCTGTGAACCGAAGGGGTCATACTAGGCGTCATACTAGGGTCTCTGGATAGCTCCCAGGCCTGGACTTCGTTTTCCAGGATATCACCTTTACTGGTCAACCCATTTTGTTTCGCGAGTGCCCAGTGAGTGTTTGGCACGTAATAGAGCCTCCATAAATAGTTGTAGAAATTAGCGTCATTTTACAGTATGGAAACTGAGGCTCCAAGTGGGAGTGGCTTGCCCTCAAGGTCCCATTGGTGAGAGACGCTGTGGAAGGGCTGCCCTGGCCTGGGCACACAGTAGGCGCTTTGATGCGGGCTGGAGAAGGTCCTGCCCGGTGGGATTGCGCCCTGGGGCACCGCGCACGGGTCGGGGAAGCCCGGGGCAGGGCCGTATGCAAATAGCGCGCGAGGAGGCCGCGGATTGGCCAGCCCAGGCGGGGGCGGGGCGCGCCGAGGGCCCAGAGCTGGCAGGTGCCCTGGCAGGGACAGGTCTGGTGCCCGCGCCTGCTCGCTGGACCGCCCGCCCCGCGCTCTGGCGGCTCCTCCCGGGCGATGCCTCCGCTCTGGGCCCTGCTGGCCCTCGGCTGCCTGCGGTTCGGCTCGGGTAGGCGGTGAAGGGCAGGAGGGGGCTGAGCCCAGAAAGAGCGGGCAGCTCTGCCCTGGGGCGCCCGCCGCCTGGACCCTGATTCCTGGCGCTGGGGACCCAGATATTACTGTTATGAATAATAGTGATAGCCAACGTTTACGGGCCTCCTCTGTTGGGAATCCGAGGGCTCACAGATGGCTGCAGCCCTGCGATGTGTGTTGCAAGAGACCAACATGCAGGGGGGCTGCGGTAGGACAGAGAAGGGACTAGCCCCAGCCCCATGGTGACGCCTGGACGGGGGCAGATAGAGAGATATTTCGGCCGAGGAAGCAGCATGGGCAAGTTCATGGAGGGGAGACAATATTGGGCTGTCCTGGGAACTGCCAGTCCATGGGACCAGCTGGAGCCTGGGGTGAGGGGAGCCTGTGGGGGAAGGGGTGAGGCTGGAGACCGAACAAAGCAAAGCCCAGAACTTCAGGACCTCACTGCCTTTCCAGAGAGGCTGGACTTCGTCAGGGGGCGCTGGGGGACCATGGGAGGGCCATAGCCAGAGAATGAGGCAGTCAGACTTGCATGTGGGGGGAGGGCCCAGGTGAGGAAGGTGGGACGGAGGAGGGCTGGGCCGATGGCATGGAGAGATGCTTAGGAGGGGCAGTGGAGTTCTTGGCAACTGAGTGTCTGCAGCAGGGAGAGAAGGCAGCAGTTTGGCCCGACCGCTCCATTTCTGAGCAGGATGACTGGGCAGGGGGCAGTGTCTGAGACAGCTTATGCGGTGGCCCAGGGGGAGGGTGAAGCCCAGGGCCTGGCACACAACACGTGCTCAGTAACTGCAAGCAGAGTGGGTGTGGACAGTTCTGCCGGAGGTCAGTTCCCATCCTCACTGCCTCCTCCAGCTGTGAACCTGCAGCCCCAACTGGCCAGTGTGACTTTCGCCACCAACAACCCCACACTTACCACTGTGGCCTTGGAAAAGCCTCTCTGCATGTTTGACAGCAAAGAGGCCCTCACTGGCACCCACGAGGTCTACCTGTATGTCCTGGTCGACTCAGGTAAGGGTCCTGCTTCCCTCTGGCTACTCCAAAAGGGGCTCTGACCTGTCTGCAGGGAGGAGGGAAGGAGGCAGATAGAGGAACCCTCCATGCCTGTAGTCGTCTCATTAAACAGGTACTGCAGCCACAGACCTGTCCTTGCCTTGCAGGGACATCCAGTTAGTGAGGGAAGTAATAACACCACCAGTCACTGAACACCTACACCATACCAGGCACTTTGCACACCATAGAGCTAGTATCTACAACCAGCTTGTAAGGTAGCTATTACCAATCCCCATTACAGAGCAGGGAAGCAAGGCTCAGAGAGGTGGAATAACCCCCCCTGGACCTCCCAGGGCTGGAGAGTGAATCCTGATCTCTCTAGTCCCCAAGCCCAAGGTCCTTCCTGAGGCTTCGAAAGGTGGCTCAAGATTGGTGTTTCTGAGACAAAACCATGCATTTGGACCTGCTGCTGTGGCCCAGCCCCAACCCCTGCCCTGGAGGGGATCCTGAGCTTCTGAGACAAGCCAACATCAACTCTTGCATTTCTAGCAGCCAGTCATTTACAACAGCTCATTCGGGACCATCCTTTTCTTCTTTCAGCATGTGTTTATTGACTATAAACTAAAGTGCCTGATCTCCGGGCACTGTAGGGAATTTCTCTCCCATTTCATAGAAGACTAGGGTCTGAAGAGGTAGAGTGAGTTGTCCAAGGTCACCCATCTAGTAAGGAGGAGAGCTGGGTCCTGCCTCCACGTTATTTCCCTTGGACCGATGACCTTCCTTTCCCATTTTACACAAGAGAGAATCCAGGGCTTTCAGCAATGAAGAGACAAAGGTCTGTTGGGATGGGGGGTTGCAGGAATGTCACAAGATAAGGCGAGAGTCAGACACAGCGCCCAAAGCAGGGAGGTGATCCTTGTCCATCTCCCACATTGCACTGAGAGGGCAGAGACTAAGTTTGCCCCATGCCTGTGATGCCAGTGCCCAGCACAGAGCTGGGGCAGAAAGGATGATCAGGCATTTGATGAATAACTGAGTGAGTGTCGCTGAGCCGGAGTGGCCAGAAGCCTGACTCCCTGCACCGCCTCTGCAGCCATTTCCAGGAATGCCTCAGTGCAAGACAGCACCAACACCCCACTGGGCTCAACGTTCCTACAAACAGAGGGTGGGAGGACAGGTCCCTACAAAGCTGTGGCCTTTGACCTGATCCCCTGCAGTGACCTGCCCAGCCTGGATGCCATTGGGGATGTGTCCAAGGCCTCACAGATCCTGAATGCCTACCTGGTCAGGGTGGGTGCCAACGGGACCTGCCTGTGGGATCCCAACTTCCAGGGCCTCTGTAACGCACCCCTGTCGGCAGCCACGGAGTACAGGTGGGTGTAAACAAACCACTACAGGAGAGCCGCGGCAGTTCCCCAGTCCTGATGAGGGAGAGCAGGGGCAAAGTAGGAGCAGCCACACTTCTTGAGAACTTATATGCTGAGAACATCCCAGGTTCCAGGCAGGCCACGCTGAGCCTCAAGTTCAGAAGAGGCCCCTCTTGGATTGACGCTCTGCAACTACCGTCTTGAAATTCTGTATTTTATTTATTTATTTATTTTTTGAGACGGGGTCTCCACCATTTCCCAGGCTGGAGTACAGTGACACAATCTCAGCTCACTGCAACCTCCGCCTCCCAGGTTCAAGCGATTCTCTTGCCTCAGCCTCCCGAGTAGCTGAGATTACAGGTGCACACCACCATGCCCGGCTAATTTTTTGTGTTTTTAGTACAGATGGGGTTTCATCATGTTGGTCAAGCTGGTCTCGAACTCCTGACCTCCAGTGATCAGCCTGCTTTGGCCTCCTCCATAGTATTGGGTTACGGGCGTGAGCTGCCATGCCTGGCCCATCTTGAAATTCTTAATTGTTGAACAAGGGCCCACATTTTCATTTTGCTCTGGGGCCCACAGATTATGCAGCTGGTCCTGGCCCATCTACGTGTGTGGAAGTCACCCACCCAAACCCCTTCGTCTTACAGGAAAGGAAACTGTGCCAGAGAGGGAAGGTCACCCAGTGGAAAGCTGGGGCCCAGCATGAACAGAAACCCTACCAAAGCCTTGCCATCTGCAGCCTCAACTTCTGCTTTTTTTTTTTTGAGATGGAGTTTCGCTCTTGTTGCCCAAGGTGGAGTGCAGTGGTGCAATCTCGGCTCACCACAACCTCTGCCTCCCGGGTTCAAGCGATTCTCCTGCCTCAGCCTCCTGAGTAGCTGGGACTACAGGCGCCCCCACCACGCCTGGCTACTTTTGTTTTTGTATTTTTAGTAGAGACGGGGTTTCACTGTGTCAGCCAGAATGGTCTCGATCTCCTGACCTCATGATCCGCCCGCCTCAGCCTCCCAAAGTGCTGGGATTACAGGCGTCAGGCACTGCGCCCGGCCCATTTTTGTATTTTTAGTAGAGACAGGGTTTTGCCATGTTGGCCAGGCTGGTCTCGAGCCCCTGACCTCAGGTGATCTGCCCGCCTCAGCCTCCCAAACTGTTGGGATTACAGGCGTGAGCCACCATGCCCAGCTTCAGCCTTTTTCTTTTTCAGTTTTCTTTGTGATGCCAAGGAGCAGGCTTGGAGTCACGGAAGGCAGAAATGCAAGGAAGACAGATGCATTAGTGCTCAGCAACTATGCCACGTGTGTTACATGGAGGAAAGAAATGGAGGGGAGCTCTAAGAGGGAGCGCCTAGAAGGGCAGCTTCTGATTCTGAAGGCTTCATGGATGCAGGAGGTGGCAGCTGATCCAGGGAGGGGTCCTGGGGGGGGTCCTATTGGCCAAGCTCAGCACTGTCCTGTTGCCCAGAGCCCGCTCAGTAGCCGTCTACATTTCCGTCTCCTGGAAGGGCCCCCGCTGCCGTCTCCCACCCCTAGGCCATCCTACATCCCCCCACCGCCTCCCTGTGGGTGGGGCTCACAGGAAGCATAAAAGTCACCCTGGCTCCGTCTCCTTCCAGGTTCAAGTATGTCCTGGTCAATATGTCCACGGGCTTGGTAGAGGACCAGACCCTGTGGTCAGACCCCATCCGCACCAACCAGCGTAAGTGGTGGGCAGTGGTGGTGGTGATGCTCAAGGGGACCCGAGAAGGCGGGGCCAGCCACGGCGGTGAGAACCAAGGCTCCTCTGTCCCTGTGAAAGCCTCCCAGGCCAGGCAGTGATGAGTAAAATGCTCCTTAAAGCTGTTGAGCCAGGCCAGGTGTGGTGGCTCACATCTGTAATCCCAGCCTTTGGGAGGCTGAGGCAGGTGGATCACGAGGTCAGGAGATCGAGACCATCCTGGCTCACACGGTGAAACCCCGTCTCTCCTAAAAATACAAAAACAAAAGTAGCCAGGCGTGGTGGGGGTGCCTTTAGTCCCAGCTACTCGGGAGGCTAAGGCGGGAGAATAGCGTGAACCCGGGAGGTGGAGCTTGCAGTGAGCCAAGATGACACCACTGCATTCCAGCCTGGGCGACAGAGTGAGACTCCGTCTCAAAAAAAAAAAAAAAAGAAAAAAAAAATTAGCTGGGCGTGGTGGCACGTGCCTGTAATCCCAGCTACTTGGGAGGCTGAGGGAGGAGAATCGCTTGAACTGGGGAGTCAGAGGTTGCAGTGAGCCGAGATCACGCCACAGCACTCCAGCCTGGTGACAGAGTGAGACTCTGTCTCAAAAAAAAAAAAAAAGTCGTTGAACCTGGAACTTCCTCCTTCCTCCTTTCCATCCTTGAGGGCCAGGTGTGGGAACAGATCAAGGTGCAGGCCTTGGTGGCATTTGGGCTGGGGATGGGTGTAAGCGGATCAAAGCCGGCCCATTCCTCCGTCTCTCCAGCCCTTACAGTGGGTTGGCCTCAAAGGCACGCGGAGCTGACCCGGCATTTACGTCCTAACCAGCCCCTTTGCTAAATCCTCATAGCAGCAAGCACCCTATGGCCAGGTAAGATGTTTCCAAGGCCTAAAACCAAGATGGCAAAGGCAGCAAGGAACCGCTCTCCTTCCCTGCACACCTACTCCTTAGCACCTGGGCGGCTTTCCTGAGGTGGAACGCCAGGGTGCTGCGCTGTTCCTTGCTCAGCAGAGACCCAAAGTTCATATACAGAGTCGAGTCTGCTGAATGACAGGGGCCACGCCAGGGTCTTTGATGGTAATTTTGGGCAAATGATATCCTAACTTAAGACCTCCTCCCGCCACACCTTGGCCCCCAAGACGAGGCTGTCTGGCAGGATGAGTGTCAGGGTCCTGTGCATTTCACCTGCAGAGCCTCCTGTTGAGCCCATGTGCACCCCCAGGGGCGTGGGGGGCTCTGAAAGGTTGCCTGAAGTCACACGCGAGTGGGTGGTAGAAAGCCTTGTGTGTGAGTATGTGAGTGCCCGTGCCTGTTGTGGTATGTCTATGTGTGTGTGTTTGTGTTGCGTGTGGCGTGTGGTAACTGTATAATGTAGTTTACGGTGTTGCGTATGTGTGTGAGTGGTGTGTGAGTGTGAGAATGTGTGTGGTATGTGGTGTGTGGAGAGTATGTGAGGAGTGTGGTGTGGATGAGTGTGACAGTGTGTGGTGTATATCAGGGGTCCCCAACCCCTGGGCCATGGACCAGTACCAGTCCATGGCCTGTTAGGAACGGGACCGCGCAGCAGGAGGTGAGCAGTGGGCGAGTGAAACTTCATCTGCATTTGCAGCCGCTCCCTGTAGCTCGCATTACTGCCTGAGCTCCGCCTCCTGTCAGATCAGCAGTGGCATTAGAGTGTCACGGGAGCGCGAACCCTGTTGTGAACTGCGCATGCCAGGGATTAGGTTGCATGCTCCTCACGAGAATCTCATGCCCGATGATGTGTCACTGTCTCCCATCACCCCAGATGGGACCGTCTACTTGCAGGAAAACAAGCTCAGGGCTCCCACTGATTCTACATGATGATGAGTTGTACAATCATTTTATTATATATGGCAAAGTAATAATATAGAAATAAGGTGCACAATAACTGCATATAAGGTGCTTGAATCATCCCGAAACCACCCCCAGCCCACTCCCGTCTGCAGAAAACCTGTCTTCCACAAAACCGATCCCTGGTGCCAAAAAGGCTGGGGACTGCTGGTATATGTGGTGTGTGGTGGGGTTGTGTGTGTGAATATGAGGGTGTGTGTGGTTAGTGTGAGAGTATGTGTGGTGTGTGAGTGTGAGAGTGTGTGTGGTGTGGGTGGTGTATGTGGTGTGTGGTGGGGGTGTGTGTGAATGAGGGTGTGTGTGGTGTGTGTGGTTAGCGTGAGAGTATGTCTGGTGTGTGTGAGAGTGGTGTGGGTGGTGTATGTGTGTGTGGTGTGTGGGTGGTGTGAGAGTGTGTATTGTATGTGTGTGGTGTGTGTGGTGTGAGAGTGTGGCAGGTGTGTGTGTGAGTTTGAGTTGTGTGATGTGTGTGGTGTGTGAGTGTGAGAGTGTGTGTGTGAGTTGGAATGTGTGTTGTGTGGTGTGTTAGAGTGTGGCAGTGTGTGTGCGTGTGTAAGAGTTTGAGTTGGTGTGTGGTGTCTGAGTGTGACTGTGTGTGTGTGGGAGTTGGTATGTGTAGTGTGTGGTGTGTGAGAGTGTGGCAGTGTGTGTGAGTTGGTATGTGTGGTGTCTGGTGTGTGAGAGTGGCAGTGTGTGTGAGTTGGTATGCGTGGTGTGTGTAACTGTGTGTGTGTGAGTTGGTATGCGTGGTGTGTGGTGTGTGAGAGTGTGGCAATGTGTGTGTGTGTAAGAGTTTGAGTTGGTGTGTGGTGTCTGAGTGTGACTGTGTATGTGAGTTGGTATGTGTGGTGTGTGAGAGTGTGGCAGGGCGTGTGAGTTGGTATGTGTGGTGTGTGGTGTGTGAGAGTGTGGCAGTGTGTGTCAGTTGGTATGTGTGGTGTGTGGTGTGTGAGAATGGCAGTGTGTGTGGCTGGGGTGGCTCCTCCCATCCTCACTCCCTACCGCCCCTCCCGTGGCATTCCCACGCAGTGTGGTTTCACCGAAACAGCCTTGGAACCCTTGGGACTAAGAGTCCTGAGCCCAAGCCCCGCCTCTGCCCCTCACTGCGGTGTGAGCCGTTATGGACCTCGGTTTCCTCATCTGAGAAGAGGGAAGAAGAATTCTTGATGGGCCTCTGCAGCAGGGTTCCTTTGGGGAACCCAGGCAGAAGCACAAGGCCCAGTTTTTTTGGGGGAGGACCGTGGGGCCCATCTGGGGGACAGCATGCACCTCAGGACCAGGCTGGCCCAGCTTGAGCCTGGATTCTGCATGTCCTTGGCTGGGGACTCAGGCTCCCTGAGCGCAGTGAGTGATCTGCAGAATGGGGTCTCCAGGGGACCTACCTGGAACAGTAGCTGCAAGTGGCTGGCTGCAGTAGGACCTATACATCATCTGTTCACAGCGTTCCAAAGGGTGAGGCCATCCCCAGAAGAGTGACAGCCACCGTCCACCTGGCCCCGTCAGACCAGGGCCCTTTGCCTCATCTTTACTTGTAATCCATATCTCAGCCATCTCACCAGAAGACTTGAGTCAGTTTATGATTTAAAATTATGCAAAGCCGGGGCACTCTGGTGGTGGCTCACACCTATAATCCCAACACATTGGGAGGCTGAGGTGGGAGGATTGCTTGAGCCCAAGAGCTCAAGACCAGACTGGGCAACATGGTGAAACCCCATCTCTACAAAAAAAAGTACAACAAATTAGCTGGGCATGGTGGCGTGCACCTGTAGTCCCGGCTGCTTGGGAGGCTGGGGTGGGAGGATGGCTTGAGCCTGGGAGTTTGAGGCTGCAGTGAGCCAGGATGGCGCCACTGCACTCATGGCTGGGTGACAGAGCAAGACTCTGTCTCAAAAACAATAACGTAAAATAATGCAAAAAAAAAAAAAGAGAAGAAAGAGTTAAAAGAGGAAGTGGCCAGAAACACACAAAAGAAAGTTGGAAAGTGGAATGTGGGGGAAAATAAGGTAATTGTGCCTAAAACCTGAGAGAAGTCGCCCCACTGGGTCCCAGGGTCATCCCTGGATCCCCGGCAGCCAGGGCGGGGGAGACACCCGCCGCCTCCTGGGAGAAGGGTGAGGGTGGTGCGGTGTCTGGGAAGTAACCGGGCTGCATCCCACCACAGTCACCCCATACTCGACGATCGACACGTGGCCAGGCCGGCGGAGCGGAGGCATGATCGTCATCACTTCCATCCTGGGCTCCCTGCCCTTCTTTCTACTTGTGGGTTTTGCTGGCGCCATTGCCCTCAGCCTCGTGTAAGTACCTGCCTGCTGGGAGGGCTGGACCCCAGGGACATGCCAGACACATTTGGCTCACAGGGACTCAGCAGTGGGGTCCTCCGAGGCAGGGGACAGCCCGGAAGGCAAGGAAGCTACCCTCTGCCCCGCGGGTGGGGTCTGGTGAAGAGGGAGCAGAGTCCTGGGATTTCAAAGCGGGAGGATCATCAAAGTCAAGTTGCTCAGCTGGGAAGGGTGGGACTCAGCACCTGGGCTTGTGGGCAGACAGCCGATTCAGATCTTAGCTCTGACACTGAAGAGTTATGCAACCTTAGGTATGGCTTGCTATCCTTCTGTTCTTCAGTTTCCCCATCTGGAAAATGGAAATAATAAATATTAGTCATCTCACGGAGTTGTGAAGGTTAAGTGGAATAATCTCTATAGAGTCTCTAGAGCAGTGCCTGGGAACTCAACAAGCATTTGCTTTCGTTGTCATTATAATACACCTACTTGCAGTACAGAGGGGGAAACTGAGGCCCAGAGGGGGTCAGAGTGGCCCAAGGCGACACAACCTGGGACCAGAACCCAGAGTTGGGGGCCTAGAACCTGGGACTCGGGACTCCACTGACACCTCTGATTTGTGTCGCCTTTGGATGAGGACTTGAGGTCTCCCGAGGGGTGTACCAGGTTTAGCAGGGCTGTGGGTGGGAAAGACAGGTGAACCCACAGTCCACTAGCCCCTGGGAAGACCAGGCAGGGGACAAACCAAGGTGCCGTGGGAATCCAGAGGAGGGCCGGGGGGGTGCTGCCTGGAGCATCAGGGTGGCCTTCCTGGAGGAAGGGTCAGTGTGAGCAAACTCTCATCAGCAGAGTGTTCCTCAGTGAGAGGCAGGGAGGCAGGGAGGCCCAGGGGACTTTGAAGACTGAGAGAGGTCCCAGTGTGGGTAAGGGTGGAGCAGATAGGAAAGTTTCTTGGAGTAGGTATAGTTAAGTGGATCCATGGAAAGCAGCCAGGCAGGAAAAGATAGGTGGGGCGGGTGGAGATCGAGTGAGGAAGGAGGCTGAGAACTTGTGAATCAGGTTGGTGGGCTGTGGGCTCACCTGTCTTCCGCACCCCCATCCCTGCTAACCCTGGTACACCCCCCCCGGGAGACCTCGAGTCCTCATCCAAAGCTGACACAAATCAGAGGTGTCAGTGGAGTCCCGAGTCCCGGGTTGTAGGCCCCCAACTCTGGGTTCTGGTCCCAGGCTGTGTCACCTTTACCATTTAATGACAAATGACTCTGACATTTAAGTGAACAAAAACAAAATAGATGATATCAGCCTCCCAGAAACTCTGCCTGGCTGCACCCGGGAGCAGTCAGAACACAGCAATGTCCCTCCTTCCTTTTGGACAGTGCCCTAATCTGGCACTGAAGACCCTGCTATCTGAAATTAGCCCCAGTTTTTCCATGTATCCCTCTTGCTATCCCCACTTTGTTCCGGCTCCAGCTGCACTAAACTGCGATCTGTACCATCGCTCCAGATACTCCTCAGCCCTTCCTGCCTCACACCCACCATGTGCTGACTGACCCCACACTTGGATGCCTTTCTCTTCCCCTACGCTCCTTTTTTTTTTTTTTTTTGAGACGGAGTTTTGCTCTTGTTGCCCAGCCATCTCGGCTCACTGCAACCTCCGCCTCCCAGGTTCAAGCGATACTCCTGCCTCAGCCTCCTGAGTAGCTGGGATTACAGGCGACCATCACCATGCCCAGCTAATTTTTTTGTATTTTTAGTAGAGACAAGATTTCACCATGTTGGCCAGGCTGGTCTCGAACTCCTCACCTCAGGTGATCCACCTGCCTTGGCCTCCCAAAGTGCTGGGATTACAGATGTGAGCCACTGCACCCAGCCCACACACCTTCTTTAGGGCCACGTGAGCTGCCGCCTCCTCCAGGAAGCCTTCCTGCAGCTCCCACCTGCGCTTGTCCATGCTGCGTGGTCATTGTTGCAGTCAGTCTGCCCCTGCAACCTTAGCTCTTTGGGAACATGGGACAATGGCCTCAAATTGTCCAGCTCCCAATAAGACCTATAAGTTGTTCACATCATTCCAAAAGGTGGACCTCTTCCTTATTCCCAGGGCCTGGCACAGGGTCAGTGCTCCAGAAAGATGGATTGATTGAATTCATGTCTACGAAGACGATATCTGTGAAAGCTATGTCTGAGTATGAAGGTCCCCAAGCAGCTAAAGGCATTTGGGTTTGCTCTGGTCCCCTAATCCTGGGTCTTTCCATCCCCTTGGACAGGGACATGGGGAGTTCTGATGGGGAAACGACTCACGACTCCCAAATCACTCAGGAGGCTGTTCCCAAGTCGCTGGGGGCCTCGGAGTCTTCCTACACGTCCGTGAACCGGGGGCCGCCACTGGACAGGGCTGAGGTGTATTCCAGCAAGCTCCAAGACTGAGCCCAGCACCACCCCTGGGCAGCAGCATCCTCCTCTCTGGCCTTGCCCCAGGCCCTGCAGCGGTGGTTGTCACACCCTGACTTCAGGGAAGGTGAAACAGGGCTTGTCCCTCCAACTGCAGGAAAACCCTTAATAAAATCTTCTGATGAGTTCTAGTTCAGTAACTACTTACAGAATGAATGAGTGAGAAGGTGAATGAATGAATCAATGCCAAACTGAGGGCTTGAATTGTTTCTCTACAGGGTAGGTGGGAGCAGGGGGGCTAATTTTCAGTCAAGGCTACGGCATGTGAATTGCCAGGCAGTGGCACATGCCTGTAGTGCCAGGGACTCAGGAGGCCGAAGTGAGAGGGTCGCTTGAGGCCAGGAAGGCAGGGCTGCAATGAGCTATGATCGTGCCATTGCACTCCAGCCTGGGCAACACAGCAAGATACTGTCTCAAAAAACAAACAGGCTGGGCGCGGTGGCTCATGCCTGTAATCCCAGCACTTTGGGAGCCTGAGGTGGGCAGATCACCTGAGATCAGGAGTATAAGACCAGCCTGACCAACATGGTGAAACCCTGTCTCTACTAAAAATACAAAATTAGCCGGGCGTGGTGGCGCATGCCTGTAATCCCAGCTACTTGGGAAGCTGAGGCAGGAGAATGTCTTGAACCCGGGAGGCAGAGTTTGCAGTGAGCTGAGATCGTGCCATTGCCCTCCAGCCTGGGTGACAAGAACAAAACTCTGCCTCAAAAAACAAACAAACAAACAAACAAACAAAAAACAAGTTGGTTGACCCTCCCTTACCCTCTAAGCCCCTAGTCTCGGTCTTCTCATCTGTAACATGGGCTGGTGGAAATGGTGAATTTCTGAGGCCATGCATACCTGGCTAGCAAAAGAGAAGAGCTGCCCAGCCCCCCTGCTCCAGGCCTCAGTACACTCCCACTCCAGCAGGAAGACCAGAGGATGGTGAATGAGGCACAGCGACAGAAGCTATCACTTCCGGGCTGAGGCTGCCGGATGCCTGGGAGGGGGCATCAGGTCAGCCTGGGGGGTGAAGGGGCTGTCCCAGTCTAGGGTCTCCATTCAAAAGCTTCAACTCTCTCTTCTGAGCCAGGCAGAAAGACTGCTTCCCCATTGGGCGTGCAAGACAAAATCACAGTCCGTCTTCCTGTTGCTGAAGGAAGATGTGGTTTGTCAGAGCAGGGTTGGTTACAGAGTGGATGCTACCCAAGCGCTACAAATACAACAGCCCAGGCAGGCTGGCGGGTGCCCCAGGTGGACCAGATACTTACCCCAGGGCCACTGTTAAGCAATGAATGTTTGTGTCCCTCGACATTCATGGGTTGAAATCCTAACACTGGCTGTGATGGCATCTGGAGGTGGGACTTTTGGAAGGAGATGAGGCATGAGGGTGGAGCCCTCTTTCCACTTGTGAGGATACAGTGAGAAGGCTGCAGCGTGTGACACAGAAGGCGGCCCTCATCAGAACCCCACCACGCGGGCACCCCGATCCTAGGTGTCCAGCTTCCAGACCTGTGAGAGAGAAATTTCTGTTGTTTACAAACCACCCAGTCTGCAGTGTTTTTTTTTTTGAGATGGAGTCTCGCTCTGTCGATGAGGCTGGAGTGCAATGGCACAATCTTGGCTCACAGCAACCTCCACCTCCAGGGTTCAAGTGATTCTCCTGCCTCAGCCTCCCGAGTAGCTGGTACTACAGGCGTGCGCCACCATGCCTGGCTAATTTTTTGTATTTTTAGTAGAGATGGGGTTTCACCGTGTTAGCCAGGCTGGTCTCGATCTCCTGACCTCGTGATCCACCCGCCTCACCCTCCCAAAGTGCTGGGATTACAGGCATGAGCCACCGCACCCGGCCTCCCCAGAGAGTATTAATTCCTCCCGCTTCTGTCCCCAAAGAGACTGTTGGGAGAGGCTGCCGAGGCAGTAAAGTGCAGTCACTCTGAAGTCAGAGGGGTCTGACTTAACCTTTCAGCCAGGTGACCTTTCAGCAAGTGCTTCTGGAGGAGCTACCCCACCTCCTGCAGCCTCCATTTCCTCATTGGTAAATGGGTGCCGCACACGGTGGGGGTGAGGGTGAAGTGGAACAGTGCGTGTCCACTGGTATCCCTGCTCCCCGCTACATTACAGCCCCCATGTTCCAGCTGGTGAGTGTCTCTGCAGCGTCTAGACTGAGCTACTGGAGGGCCGGTAAAGGTTGGATCCATTTTTGTGACCCCCACCCCACGCAGCACACAGCAAGGAGGGGAAGGAGTTTGGTCATCATAATAATCACTCACGTCGTTATTTATTGGACACGTGTTTTGTGCTCCGTGTTCATGGGAGGAATGAGGCATCCACTTTAAGGAGCTATATATATATATTTATTTATTTACTTATTTATTTTTTTGAGACAGTGCCTCGCTCTTGTCACCCAGGCTGGAGTGCAGTGGTGCCATCTCAGCTCACTGCAACCTCCGCCTCCCAGGTTCAAGTGATTCTCCTCCCTCAGCCTCCCAAATAGCTGGGATTACAGGCGCCCGCCACCACGCCTGGCTACTTTTTGTATTTTTAGTAGAGACGAGGTTTCATCATGTTGACCAGGCTGGTCTCGAACTCCTGACCTCAGGTGATCTGCCCTCCTCAGCCTCCCAAAGTGCGGGGATTACAGGCCTGAGCCACAGCACCCGGCCAGGAGCAATATTTTGCCAATGTTGGAATATTCAAGGCCAGCAAGAGGAGAGGTGGCCAAGGGTGGGAGAGGCTTGAGGCCACCATGGGGAGGCTGGATTTTATTCCGGGGCTAATGGGAAGCTCTGAACAGTTTCGCACAGAGAACGGTCTTCGTGAAGCCCACTTCACAGCTGTGCACAGGATGGATTTGGGGGCAGGAAGCCGAGGGGTGGCAGTGTAACTCTGATGGGGACACGGAAGAACTTGCTGATGAACTGGCTGTGGGGGAGGAGGGAGAAACGGGATCTGGCATGACCTCTGGGTTGGGGACCAGGGCCACTGAACACACGGTGGTGCCCTCAACCAGAATGGGGACACGAAGTTTCAGCTAGAGGCAATCCAGAATGCGGGGTGGGCTCAACGCGAGCTGCATGGCATGCATCAGTAGGGCTGAGTAGCAGGCTACGGGGTATCCAGGTCTGGCGCCCCGGGGGAGGAAGGGGCTGCAGATATCCGTGTTGGAGTTGTCAGAGTTATCAGAGGGGTTAGAGCAAATGGTTGCTCCCAGATACTCGCTGCCTGGATTGGAAAGGATTATACTCCCTCCCGCCCCTCATTGTCAGGTCTGGCCGTGGGACAGGCAGGGGCCACTCTGAGCAGAGGTTTGAAGAGCCTTTGGATGGTTCCGCTGTTGCTCAGCCTCTGCCGGGAGAACAGCATAGCCCAAGCGGGACTGCTATGTGTGCCTGGGCCCTGAATGAGGAAGACGCATGGAGCCGAGTCACAGCCTGCTCACAGCCAACAGGGATCCCAGACAGGAAATTCACCTTTGTATTGTAAACCACTGAGACATTAGGGGTGGTTGTCACTCACTGTAGGGGAACCGCTCGGAGCAGAGCCGATGTCCCTCAGTCCTTGCCCGTATCCACAGAGGCCACAGAGGCCCAGCTTCCCCGCTGCTGGTCTAAGCCTTGGCAGAACTCCCCGTGGTCCTCCCAGAACATGAGAGCATGGGAGGTTTGTGAGTTGCTGCCACATGGCCCTGTCCCCACCTCCCATCTTCCTGGGGGCCTTTATGAGAGTTTCTCATGGCCCTCAGCTCTGATGAGGTTTGAGGCTCCTTCCTCGTCCTCCTCAGGGTACAGCTGCAGCTCAGCAACGGGGTGCCTCCTGCTCACGCTGTCCTTATTGGGCCCCTCTTATTTCAGTGTCATCCTGTGGGATGAGGATGCAGGGAGCAGGGGGCAGGCATCTCTGATCTTTTGCTGTCTGAGTCTCATGAGGACTCTGTTTTTGCTTTTTTTTTTTGGCCAGCTGAATCCATTAGCCTTACTTTGTCAGTCATATTAAAGCAAAAAGAACCTATGGCAAGCTTTCTGATACGCCAAGCAATGAATGATAGTATTTGAAGCTCCAGGACTGCTGAGATCACGAAAGGCTAAGGACCAGAGAGGCAGCCAAGGTGAGGGACAGAGCTGCGGTAGTATTTGGGTGGGGACGGAGGGATACCACGGAGGCCAGGAGAGAACTGATGGGAAAGCCGGACCCTGCTCTGTCTCCTGACAGCCCTGTTACTGAGAAAGCAATGGTGCTACTCTACCGGCCACTCCACCCGCACTTTTTTTTTTTTTTTTTTTTTGAGACAGAGTCTCGCTCTGTTGCCCAGGCTGCAGTGCAGTGGTGTGATCTCAGCTCACTGCAACCTCTGCCTCCCGGGTTCAAGTGATTCTCCTGCTTCAGCCTTCCGAGTAGCTGGGACTATAGGCACCCACCATCATGCCCAGGCTAATTTTTGTATTTTTAGTGGAGACGGGGTTTCACCATGTTGGCCAGGCTGGCCTTGAACTGCTGACCTTGGGTAATCCGCCTGCCTCGGCCTCCCAAAGTGCTGGGATTACAGGTGTGAGCCACCACACCTGGCCCTCCACCCCCACTTCTGCAAACAAAACAGCTCCTCCTCTTTGGATGGGTCCTTGCAGAATGTGGATCCCAGGCCCCTCCTAGGCAGCACCAGGGCAGAGGCAGTAAGTTTGGATTCTGAGGGGTAGGACAAGTCCTTGCCAGCTTCCAGTCAGCTCTCCCCAATCCCCCTGAGCTGAATAGCCCAAGCTGGTGGTGGGGGTGAGCGGGAGTTGCTGCGCTTGGCTCCTGAGCTCTGGGCTGGACTCAGGCTTCATAGAAACTGCTAATTATAAATCCATGCAGAAGCAGTTTTATTAGCTTGCTTCTCCAAGTCTGTAGGACTCATCTGCCATGGCCAGGATGGCAGGGACTTCACAGCTGAGCTTCCTACTTCTACACAGAGGCGGCTTCACCTTCCTCCCACTCCAGCCATGGTTCATGGGTTAGCTACTCACCCTAGGTGAGCTGTGTGATCTGGGGCAAGGAGGTAACCTCTCTGGGCTCCCCTGACCTCACCTGTGCAAAAAGGGTCAGATGCTTGGGAAGGCTGCTCCCAAATGGGTAATTTCTTCTGAGTTCAGGCCAATCACAAGGGATGCCATTCAGTTTGATCCAATGGAGCCCGGAGCCCGGAGCCCGGATCCCCAGGCTTAGGAAACCTGGGAGCCACCCATCCGGTCAGAAGAATGGAAATCCCCGAGGAATTGTCAGAGCAGAATCTTGGACAGAATTGGCACCCTAAATAAAAGGGCATATGTTCCTCGTCACCCTCTATCAACTCACCCAGCTTGATTTTCCCACTTTATTGGGGCAGCACTGATGTATAATAAGATGCACCTATTTAGAACATATCTGATGAGTCTTTTTGTTTGTTTGGTTTGTTTTGTTTTGTTTTGAGAGGGAGTCTCTCTCTGTCGCCCAGGCTGGAGTGCGGTGGCGCAATCTCAGCTCGCTGCAACCTCCGCCTACCGGGTTCAAGTGATTCTCCTGCCTCAGCGTCCTGAGTAGCTGGGACTAGAGGCACCTGCCACCATGACTGGCTAATTTTTGTATTTTTAGTAGAGATGGGGTTTCACCATATTGGCCAGGCCGGTCTTGAAGTCCTGACCTTGTGATCCGCCCACCTCGGCCTCCCAGAGTGCTGGGATTACAGGCGTGAGCCACTGCGCCTGGCCCGGCCACTGTGTATACACTTTAACAAATGTATACACCTGTGAAAGCTCCACTGCAATGGTGATAACATCCATCTCGTCAAAAACTTCCTTGGGCTTCTTGGTAATCCCTCCATCCCACCCCTGCCCACCCTGTACTGCAGTGATCTTTTTTTTTTTTTTTTTTTTTTTTAGACAGTCTCACTGTGTTGCCCAGGCTGGAGTGCAATGGCACAATCTTGGTTCACTGCAACCTCCGCCTCCCAGGTTCAAGTGATTCTCCTGCCTCAGCCTCCCGAGTACCTGGGATTATAGGCTTGAACCACCATACCAGGCTATTTTTTGTATTTTTAGTAGAGACGGGGTTTCGTCACGTTGACCAGGCTGGTCTCAAACTCCTGACCTCAAGTGATATGCCCGCCTCGGCCTCCCAAAGTGCTGGGATTACAGGCGTGAGCCACCGCACCCAGCCTGAGCTTCTTTCCATCACTAAAGATTAGTTTGCAGTTTCCATAATTTTTATATAAATGGAACCACATGGTATGTTCTCTTTTGTGTCTGGCTTCTTTCACTCAGCATAACAATTTTGAGATTCACCATCCTGCTGCGTGTATCAACACTTTGCTCCTTTTCCTTGCTGAGAAGTACCCCACTGTGTGGATATTCTATAATGTGTGGATCCATCATTGACCTGTTTTGTTTCCAGTGTGGGGCTATCACACATAAAGCCGCTGTGAGCACTCATGTGCAAGTCTCTTTGTGGACATCTGCTTTCACTTCTCTTGGGTAAATACTGGAGAGTGGAATGGCTGAGTCATATCATGGGGCTATGATGAAAAAAAATTTTTTTTTTGAGACAGTCTCAGGCTAGAACGCGACCTTGGCTCATTGCAACCTCTGCCTCCCAGGTTCAAGCGGTTCTCGTGCCTCAGCCTCCCAAGTAGGAGGGACTACAGGTGTGCCCCACCACGCCCAGCTAATTTTTTGTATTTTTAGTAGAGACGTGGTTTCGCCATGTTGGCCAGGCTGGTCTCAAACTCCTGGCCTCAGATAATCTGCCCACCCCCACCTCAGCCTCTTTTTTTTTTTTTGGAGACAAGGGTCTCACTCTGTTGCCCAGGCTGGAGTGCAGTAGCACGGTCTCGGCTCACTGCAACCTCCGCCTCCCAAGTTCAAGCAATTCTCCTGCCTCAGCCTCCCGAGTAGCTGGGATTACAGGTGTGCACCACTACACCTGGCTAATTTTTGTATTTTTAGTAGAGACGGGGTGTCACCATGTTGGCCAGGCTGGTCTCGAACTCCTGACCTCAGGTGATTCGCCCGCCTCACCCTCTTAAAGTGCTGGGATTACAGGCGTGAGCCACCGCTCCTGGCCGCGGGGTATGATGAATTTTTAAAGAAACTGCCAAACTGTTTTCCAAAGCGTTTGTACATTTTTTAGAGAAAACCTTTTTATTTTGAAATGATTCACAGGAAGTTGTAAAAAAGAAATGTACAGGGAAGTCCTGAGCACCTTTACCCAGCCTCTCCCCGTGTTAATGCCTCATATAACTACAACACAGTTATGTCAAAAACCAGGAAATTCAAATTGGTACGATACACAGAGCTTATTCAGCTTTCACTAGCCACAAGTGCTCGTGTGTGTGTGTGTGTGTGTGTGTGTGTGTGTGTAGTTCTATGTAATTTTATCAAATATGTAGCTTTGGGTTACCATCAACACAATCAAGATACAGAACTGCTTCATGTCCACAAGGCTCCTGCACCCCTGCACAGCCACACGCACCGCTTCCCCAGCCCCTAAACCCTGGGAATCACTAATCTGTTCTCCATCTTGACAATATTGTCATTTAAAAACTGTTTTATATGACATTTTGGGCTGGATGATAAAAACAAAATTAAAAATGAAAACAAAAATAAAACAGAAACGGTTCTAGAAATGAATCATAGAGTTTATGTAACTTTAAAAGATTGCCTTTTCTTCATGCAGCATAATTTCCTTGTGATCCATTCAAACGATTGCATATATCAAGAGTGCATTCTGGCCGTACGTGGTGACTCATGCCTGTAATCCCAGCACTTTGGAAGGCCGAGGCAGGTGGACCACCTGAGGACAGGAGCTCAAGACCAGCTTGGGCAACATCATGAAACCCCATCTCTACTAAAAATACAAAAATTAGCCGGGCGTGGTGGCGGGCGCCTGTAATCCCAGCTATTTGGGAGGCTGAGGCAGGAGAATTGCTTGAAGCCGGGGGGTGGAGGATGCAGTGAGCCGAGATCGCGCCATTGCACTCCAGCCTGGGAGACAGAGCAAGATACCGTCTCAAAAAAAAAAAAAAAAAAAAAAAAAAAAAGAGTCCATTCCTTTTTTTAGTTTTTGTAGAAACAGGGTCTCAACATGTTGCCCCGGCTGGTCTTGAACTCCTGTCCTTAGGCAATCTTCCCCCCTCAGCCTCTCAAAGTGCTGGGATTACAGGCGTGAGCCACCGTGCCTGGCCTCTTACTTATCGCTGAGTAGTATTCCACAATATAAATGTGCCACAGTTTGTGTAACCACTCGCCCACTGAAGGACATTTGGGTTGTTTCCCGTTTTTGGCTATTATATCAATAAAGTTTTCATTTCTGTGGGATAAATACCGAAGAGCACAATTGCTGGATGTTTTGGTAAGTGTAAATTACTTTTATGGTTTTTTTTGTTTGTTTTTTTGAGACGGAGTCTTGCTCTGTCGCCCAGGCTGGAGTGCAGTGGCGCAAACTCGGCTCACTGCAAGCTCTGCCTCCCGGGTTCATGCCATTCTCCTGCCTCAGCCTCACGAGCAGCTGGGACCACAGGCACATGCCACCACCCCCGGCTAATTTTTTTGTATTTTTAGTAGAGACGGGGTTTCACCGTGTTAGCCAGGATGGTCTCCATCTCCCGAACTTGTGATCCGCCCGCCTCGGCCTCCCAAAGTGCTGGGACTACAGACGTGAGCCACCGCGCCCGGCGCAAATTACTTTTAAAAGAAACTGCCAAACTATTTTCCAGAGTGACTGTACCATTTTACACTCTCACCTGCAATGTATGGATGGTCCAGTTTCTCTGCATTCTCACCAGCAATTGCAATTGGCATCATCTCTCTTTTTTATTCTAGCCATTCTGGTATTTTTTTTTTTTTTTTTTTTTTGAGATGGAGTCTCGCTCTGTCGCCCAGGCTGGAGTGCAGTGGCGCGATCTCGGCTCACTGCAAGCTCCGCCTCCCGGGTTCACGCCATTCTCCTGCCTCAGCCTCCCGAGTAGCTGGGACTACAGGTGCCCGCCACCACACCCGGCTAATTTTTTGTATTTTTAGTAGAGACGGCGTTTCACCGTGTTAGCCAGGATGGTCTCCATCTCCTGACCTCGTGATCCACCCGCCTCGGCCTCCCAAGGTGCTCGGATTACAGGCGTGAGCCACCGCGCCCAGCCTATCCTAGCCATTCTGGTAGGTGTATAGTGGTATCTCATTGTGTTTTTGATGTGCATTTTCCTAACGAATAATAATGTTGAGGATGCTTTCAGGTACTTATTTGCCATCCATATATCTTTGGGGAAGTATCTGTTCAAATCTTTTGCCCAGTGTGGTTTTTTTTTTTTTTTTTTTTTTTTTTTGAGACAGGGTCTTGCCCTGTCATGCAGGCTGGAGTGAAGTGGCGCGATCTCAGCTGACTGCAACCTCTGCCTCCTGGGCTCAAGTGATCCTTTCATCTCAGACTCCCGAGTAGCTGGGACCACAGGAATGCATCACCACACCCAGCTAATTTTTTTATTTTTTGTAGAGACGCAGTTTCGTCATGTTGCTGAGGCTGGTCTTGAACTCCTGAGCTCAAGCAATTTGCCAGCCTCGGCCTCCCAAAGTGCTGGGATTGTAGGTGTAAGCCACTGTGCCCAGCCTTACACAGATTTTTAAGATTGAGTTGTTGACCTTCTTCTTATTTATTGTTTTAGAGACAGGGTCTCGCTCTGTCACCTAGGCTGGAGCACAGTGGCACAATCATACCTCACTGAAACCTCCCAACTGCTTCACTCAAGCACTCCTGCTGTCTCAGCTTCCCAAGTAGCTGGGACTACAGAGGTACACCATCATGTCTGGCTAATTTTTAAATTTTTTTAGTTGAGACAGGGGTCTCACTATGTTGCCCAGGCTGGTCTCAAACTCCCAGCTTCAAGCAATCCTCCCACCTCGGCCTCCCAAAGTGCTGGGAATACAGGCTTGGGCCACCGTGCCTGGCCCCTTCTTATTGAACTGTGAGTGTTCTTGTTATATTCTAGATTAGGTCCTTGGTCTGACATATATTTTGCAAATTTCTTCAGTCTATGTCTTGCCCTTTAAATTTTGTAGCAACATCTGTCCCTTACACAACTTCATTTGTCTTCATAGCCTCATCACGCCCTGACACCCGGGTTCACTGTCCATTTCCCCACCCACTACGCTGTGAATGGCAGATGGACCTGACAGCAGTAACTTAAGCATACCCTGAAAATGACCCTTTGGTCTAAGAAGAAAGTGTGTTTGGAGTCTTGAGCTAAGGAATCTGGGAGTGGCCAACTAGGAGTCTCACTTCTTTTCTATGAAGAGATCTGAACCCCTGGCCTGTTGGTCCCTTGGAATGCAGGCCGTACAGGGGATCCAGGCCCTTTGTTGTGGCTTAAATGGAGGTTGCTAGGTGGAGAGGGCTCCACAAAAATTGCTATATAAATTGCATGCTTTTTACAAATGATAGTGTTTCTCCTGTCCAGGCCACTGCCACTGGATCACTTTTGTATCTAAGTCCTCAATAAACTCCATGTCTCATTCACTGGCTCTGGGTCTCTTCTTCGGCCTCTTGGACATGGTGCCATTCTTATTGGAGTCAATAGGGGCCTGGCGCACCATGTTGTCAGCTCCACGAGGGCAGTGCTGGTTTTCCCGCTATGTCCTCGGCTCCTTACACAGCGGGTGTTCAGCAGATATTGTTCAGTGCTCCTGCCAGTCCTCCCGGACATGGCGTGTCTTGGTGGCAGGTGACATGGACTGGTGAGTGGAGACCTCAGAGCAGCCTGTTGCAAAACTTCCAGGCCAGCAGTAAGGGGTCCTGAGCTGGGGCACGGGTGGGGTCTGGGGAAAGGAGACGAGCTGACGGAGAAGGAGGGCCAGAGAGACTTTTCCAAGGTGCAGGCTCCCCTCTTCCCTTCCCCTGCCTGCCATACACACCCCGCCTGCTGCTCAGCAATGGCATCACAGCCCCTCCTGCCAGCCTGCCCGGATGCAGGGAGCAGCAGGAGAGTTTCTACAGGAAATAGACATGGGCATGGGTGGCATGTGGGGAGGCTCTAAAAGGCTTGATTAGCTCCTTTACCATGAGTGTGTTTACAGCATGTATGTGTAATGACACACACAGTGTGAGGGTGTATATTGCATGGTGCGTGTTATCTCTGTGGGGTGTGTTCTTGTACACCGGTGCAGGGCATATATGTGTTATGATGTGGGTTTGTCCAGAGAATAAAGCAACAACTTCCTCTCCAGGATGGGAGGACTGTTATGTGGTCTCTGGTGTCCTTTCTGTCCATTCTTTAGAGCATCCCACCAGGGACCCTGCCTGTGAATCTGTTGGCTCTCTCTTTTCTGACAGTGCAAAACAAAGCTCCTTCTGCAGCCAGACAGACCCTGGCAGCAATTCCAAGCAGATGCCCACTTACCAGCTCGGACTAGTTGCTCTAACGCCTCTGAGCCTGTTTTTTGGTCTGTTAAAGGAGATTAATAACACCTACCACGCAGGGTGGCAGCGACAGTGAGGAAAGGTATGCCTATGAAGAGCTTAGAATAGCGCCTGACACACAGTAGGTGCTCAATTCACAGTAGTGTATATGCCCACACACAGGTATGTACATTCCAAATGCACCAACGCCCCTCAAGATACCCTCAATACACAAATAGATTGAGTCTGGGCTGGATGCGGTGGCTCATGCCTGTAATCCCAGCACTTTGGGAGGCTGAGGTGGGAGGATCACTTGAGCCCAGGAGTTCAAGACCAGCCTGGACTGGTGGAGACATGGTGAGACTCTGTCTCCATGAAAAATAATTAAAAATTTAAAAAATATATTTTAATTTGAAAACTTTTAAAAAGGAAAGATATGGACTAGGTCTGGTCGCTGGGCTCCTGACGACAAGGCTTGCTGTGCACATACATCTTCATTAGTGTGAGCTGTGCTCACGTCGGCTGCGTGGAGGCTGGGACAGACACGGACACCCCACAGTGCCCAGTGATGTGTCACACCCACACATCAGCACCACGCTGACCTCTTGCCAACCTGCCATATCTGCCCCCTTATCTACTCAGAATGGTCAAGGTGCCCAGGGGGCAGTGTCTCTCAGTAATTTTCCACAACCTGAGAAAAAGCTGTGTTTCTCTCAGATGTGGGGAAAAGGGGAGCCCTTGTTCCTGAGGCATCCTTCCTGCTGTCCTTGCTCTTGTAAGGCTGACTGGCTGAGTTTTTGGGTGGAGGGGCTGAGGCTCCCAGCCTATCTCAGATGGTGCTGAATGTGGCTGGAGGTTACGATTGCTTTGGTCCCACCACCCCTCAGAGGATGCCCTGCGCAGAGTCTTGGGTCTGACTGACCTCGGCAGCACCCAGCCCATAAGGTCCTGTTAATCAAAATCCTTGCTGGGGCCTGGGAGCTCCATGAGGGAAGGGGCCACATCTCCCACAGGTCTCGGGCTTCAGCACCCAGTACAGGAGCAGGTGTTCATGAACTGAATTATATATCTTTTGCATTAAAAAAAATTTTTTTTGAGACAGAGTCTCGCTCTGTTGCCCGGGCTGGAGTGAAGTGGCATGATCTCAGCTCACTGCTGCCTCTGCCACCCGGGTTCAAGTGATTCTCCTGCCTCAGCCTCCCGAGTAGCTGGGATTACAGGTGTCCGCCACCACGCCCGGCTAATTTTTGTATTTTCAGTAGAGATGAGGTTTTGCCAGGTTGCCCAGGCTGGTCTGGAACTGCTGACTTCAGGTGATCCACCTGCCTCAGCCTCCCAAAGTGCTGAGATTACAGGCGTGAGCCACCGGCCTTTTTTTGCATTTAAGTCGCACCTCCAGGGGTTGGGGAGCTGTATGCAGTGGTGGTTACATGTGTGGGCTGAGGCATGGAACTACACAACCTCTTGGGCCTGAGCTTCCCCTTGTTAAACTGGAATAACAATGAAGACGCCTTCCTCATAGGGTTGTTCCAAGAACACCATGAAGGAACGCATGCAAAGTGCTCAGGGAGTGCCTGACCCCACATACAGAGCACCCAGGGGCTGCCCTCTTCATCCCAGAGTCACTGCTCCCACTGTTTTCTGGGCTCTGGCCCCCCCTAAAATTTCACAGGCCGCTAACACAACACTACCTTCTGTCACAAAATGAGAGCTTTCTGGTGGGCTAGGGTAGGGGGAGATATTAACAGCCAACTTTAAAATCAGGCAGGAAAAAAAGGTGCCAAGGAGACAGGAAGTAATAAATGACTCCAGGTTGGGCAGGGCAGGCTGGGAAGAGGAAGTGGATTGGGTCTTGTTTAGGTAAAAGACTTCAGTGGCAGACAAAGGAGGAGTAATAAGATCGCTAGGGGGCCCGTGCCCAGCCCACCCACGCACAATCTCAGTCCTCGCAATACCCACAAGGTAGGTGCTAGGATCACACCCTTTACGGACGCGGCACCTGCGACAGGGATGCGCGAGGAGTCAGGGGGCCTCGCCGGATCGAACCTAAGCTGGGGAAGAGTATTTCTTGTATTTTTAGGAGAAATTCTCAGCCTCGGGGAAGAGTATTTCTTGATGAGGGAAGAGCGCGGGGAAGACACTCACGCACGCACAAACATGTGGGCGGCCATGGTGTGCCCAGCGCCGTGCTGGCTTCTGGGAACCCCCAGTGGACAAGACGGACAAGGTACCGGCTCTCAGGGGAAGTGGGAGCCAGTCACAAGCGTACCTAATTTCGGAGAGTGACAAGTACTCTGAAAAAGAAAGAAGGTAGGGCTGGTGACTGGCCAATTTAAGCGGGCAGGAGTCTGCTGGGGGACGGAGACCAGCCTCAGGTCTGGGTTGGGGACAGAAGCTGTGCCTAAGTGTGGTGCAGGATGCAGTTGCAAAGGAGCGCTTCCGATCGCACTTGATGCTCGCCACGTCCCTGCAAAGTGCTCCCGCCCCCTTTCTGCAAATGAGGAAACGGGACGCGCGGCTCGCCGGGCCAGGTAGGGCTAGGACGCGGACTCTAGGCCCAAGCGCTCCCCAGCGCAAGCCCTCCCCCGCACATCCGACCGCGCCTGCGCTGGAGACCCCGGGGGCGTGGCCTCCCCGGTGGGCGGGACCGTGGTCACCGAGGTGGGCGGTGCCAGAGGATCTGGCGGCGGGGCGGGGCGGGGCGCGCGTCCTGGCTTCGCCCTTCCCCGGGGCGGGGCCTCCGGGGACCGCGGGGCCGTTGGTTTCGGGACGGAACGTTCACGCGGCTGGGGCGGGCGCGCGGGGGAAGGGTTTGCGGCGGCGCCGCTGCCGGCTAACGCGGAGGGGCGCCTGGAGGCGGCGTGGCGTCCGCTCTGGCTCCGACTCCGGCTCTCGCTCTCGCTTCTAGCCCGCGTGCCTGCGCAGTCCCCTCCCCGAGAACCATCCCCTTGCCCCGCCCAGCGTCAGGGGTGCGCGGCCGCCGAGAGACCCCGGAGGCGTAGCCGGCTGCGGAGGCGAAGAGGTGGCAGCGCGAGCTGGGACCAGCGTCTCGGAGGCGCCGCAGGTGAGGGGGCGGGGCGGGCCCGCGGTCCCTGCATCCGGAGCCCCTGGGGACCCCGAGATCCTCAGGATCCGCCCCGGCCCCGGGGCCACCCCAGGACTCCCTCTCAGCTCTTCCCCTGGAGCCCCTGCCCCCGAGACCCCCTCAGGATCCGCCCTGCCCCTCCAGGCCCGCGAACCCCGAAACTCCAAGATTTTCTCTGGACTCCGAGACCCCCTGAGGACCCCGGCCGCTAGTGGGCCCTGAGAACTGTTGGTTCCGGAAACTCTCGAGGTTCCCTTGGGACTTGCTTCCAGCAACCTCCTCAGAAGCCCCCAGGCCCGGGGCATCTTCCTGTGGGGAGCCGTGGTTCCCAGTGTCCTTAGCCCCGCGAGACCCCGGGTCCCCGTGCCGCCCACCCTGAGGCTCCCTCTCCGACCTGATCTCAGGGCTAGGTTTCTCCAACTTGAGGTCCCTGGACCTGCGGGGCGTGGGTGGAAGTGTTCCCAGGTCTGGTGATAACTTAAGACGGTAACAGCGCGCCCGACGACCACCTCCTAAGCTGTGGTCCCCGCGCCTGCAGGTGCAGGGCCGGGTTTAAGTTTTAATGTTCTGCTGAGACTCAGGTGGCCCCACAGGACAGTCTATAGAGCAGGAGACCTGAGGTGGCCGAGGGCGGCCGAACCGGGGAGGGAGCGAGTTAGGGCACATGGGGACGCTTTTAGGTTGTCTCCTCCTTAATTTTTTCATTCAAGGAACTAACATTTTGTTTTTGAATGCCTGATAGGCTCCAGGAATTGACACTGGAAATAGAGATGAGACGGTCCCTGCTGTCAGGGCCTAGGGACCTGGGGCATAAGACAAGTAGGTCGTTTTTATCTGGAGGAAGCTGTGTCGTCGCTGGCAGGGAACCCATCTGGGTGGGCATGGGATTCTGGGAAGGGGTGGGTGTTAAGGAGGGCGTCTTAGGAGTCGTGGGGAGGAGATGCTAAGCAGCAGGTGAGCTGATTCTTGAAGGTTGAGCTAGAGGAGAAGTTTGCCAGGGTCATTCCAGGCAGAGTTTCAGGGGACAGCCAGTATGTCAAAAGGCAGAGAGGCTGCCACGGCACACAGTGTTGGAAGGCGGGAGGTGTGGCTGGAGCACACCTAATGAAGGTGGCGTGGGAGTGAATGCTAACTGCGGAGAACCCAGCTTTGCTCCCGGAGGCCCACCGTGCCCTTGGCCCTTTCTTGAACGACTGCACCTGCCATTGTCCTGAGAAATGATCCAGCTGAGCTGAAGGAAGGTGGGAGGTGGTCAGGGGGAGAAGTGAGGGAAGTGTCTCGCTAGAGACCTGGTATGGGAGAAGCTGGGACTTTTGCAGAGTACTGGGTTTGAGGTGGGAGTGACAAGAAAGAGGGTGTGATTCTGAGAGCCAGTCAGGACCAAAGCATGCCCAGTTTAAGCTGAGTGGAGGGTTTGGTACTTAAAGGGAGTGGGTGGCCATTGAAGGGCTTTGGGAGGAGAGGGGCGGGAGTTGGTGTGTTTTTGAACCATCCATGTGGCTGTGGTGGGGAGACTTTTTTGGAGGAAGCAAGACCCTATGAGAGATGGGGGTGACCTGGACCAAGGCGGTGGTAGTGGGGGACTGTGGCTTTCTGGAACGGGGCTAAGCTTCTGAAAGCCCAGGCCCAGAAGACTGGTTCCCGCTCTTTCCTGTCTGAGCCTGGGGTCTGAACTTTAAGTGAGGTTTTTGTCCTATTACCGTAGGGTCTGTGGTCGCCTTAGTGCTTCATGGTGACTGTGTGTGTGTGCTTCACCATAGTCTAATGACCACACAGGACGCAGTGGGGCAGGGTGGGGAGAGGCTGAGTCTCAGAGGTGGGCCAGGACCATGCTGGGCTAGGGGTCCTGAAGAGAACCTGTGTGTGGAAAAACCACCCATCGTGCTTTTTCTATTATCTCACTCAACGACAATCAACAGAGATGTCTTCTGTGACCAAATGTGAGGAGAGGTTTCTCCCTGCCACCAAGCGGGCAGTCATTTGTGCAAGAGACACCAACTGGGTATCTTCCAATTCAGTTCTGATACTACCTGGAGATAGCATCAAATCTCGCAAGTTGAGGGCTCAGTCCCCCAAGACTGCCCTCCACCCCTTCGGACACCAGTCACAAGCCTGAGCCTCTGGAACTTCTGATCGATCAGCTTCAAGTTGGGGTTCCCATGACCCTTCCTTAGGTTTGATTAATTTGCCAGTCGCGGTGGCTCACGCCTGTAATCCTAGCACTTTGGTAGGCCGAGGAGGGTAGATCATCTGAGGTCGGCAGTTCGAGACCAGCCTGGCCAACATAGCAGAACCCCATCTCTACTAAAAATACAAAAAATTAGCTGGGCATGGTGGTGTGCACCTGTAATCTCAGCTACTCAGGAGGCTGAGGCACGAGAATCCCTTGAACCCGGAAGGCTGAGGTTGCAATGAGCTGAGATTTTGACACTGCATTCCAGCCTGGGAGACAGAGCAAGACTGTCTCAAAATTGCTATGGAACAGCTCACAGAACTCAGGGAAACACTCAGGTTTACTGGTTTGTTATGAAAGATATCGCAAAGGACACAGATGAGAAGATGCGTAGGGTGAGGCGTGGGGGATGCTGTGCAGAGCTTCTGTGCCCTCCCCGGGGTGTACCATTCTCCAGAAACTTCGGCATGTTTGTATTTATCTCTCAGGAAGCTCTCAGAACCCAGCCCTTTTATGCCTTTTATGGAGACGACTTAAGCATGTAGGCATGCTTAATTAAACCATTGGCCTTTGGTGATCAACGTAATCTTTAGCCCTCTCTTCCCCAGGTTAGTGGGTGGGGCTGAAAGTTCCAAGGATCTAATCCTGCCTTGGTCTTTCTGGTGATAAGCCCCCTTCTGAAGCTGCCCAGGGCCTATCTGCGTCAATCAGCTCATTAGCATACAAAATGACAGCACTTTGGAGATTCCAGGGATTCTAGGAGTAGTAAGACGGGAAACAGGATGAAGACCAAGTAGAGATTTCAACAAAATGCAAAGCTGTTGGAGGGGAGACAAGTTCAGATGTGTCAGAAATTTCCCTCTGGTGACTATGTGGGACTAGAGGACTAGAGGGGCTGGAACTGGAAGCAGGTGCCTTTCAGTGTCAGACATGTCGTGAGGGTTTTTTTTTTTTTTTTTTTTGAGATGGAGTTTTGCTCTTGTTGCCAGGGCTGGAGTGCAATGGTGCGATCTCGGCTCACTGCAACCTCTGCCTCCCAGATTCAAGCGATTCTCCTGCCTCAGCCTCCCAAGTAGCTGGGATTACAGGCGCCTGCCACCTTGCCCAGCTACTTTTTGTATTTTTAGTAGAGACGGGGTTTCACTATGTTGGCCAGGCTGGTCTTAAACTCCCAACCTCAGGTGATCCATTCGCCTCGGCCTCCCAAAGTGCTGGGATTACAGGTGTGAGCCACCACTCCCAGCCAAGTTGTGAGGGCTTTAAGACTGTGGCAGACGGTATGGATTAAACAGATTTAGGAAGAAAAATCTACAGGACTTGTTTGTTGAAGTCTGGGCTTAGGTGAGGGAGAGACAGACTCAGGGATAACTGCACAATGGAACTTCCTGTGGTAACCAAAATGTAATGACTGTTGTCCAGTACACACTGGCCGCTTGTGGCCGCCGAACACTGAAAATATGACTAATGTGACGCAGCTGTTTAATTTTATTTAGCTTTAATTTTAATTAAATCTAGGAAGGATTCCCTATCACACATCTAGGGTGTAGTAGGAAGCACACTGTTCCAGGCTTTGTTCTTTTATTCCATTTAATGCTTCCAGCAACCTTAGGAGGTATAAGATATTCTTTCCTTTGTAGAAAAAGTAAATAGGCTCAGGAATGAGTCCTTGCCCAGGTAGTAAGGAGTTCAGCCAGTACTGATTTGTTGGCCAGGCTGTTGCTGCTGTATCCTACCTCCTTCCCCCAAGGAGCCTGCAGCATCTCCTTGTCAGGAAAATGCCGTCCTCTTGAGTTGGTAGCATTGTTCCTCCATGTGGCCCTCCTTATCTGTTCCCACCCCGCCCCCCAAGCTAACATGGACAGTTGAATGATAAGCACACTGTGCAGGGGCTGGTCTTTTTCCTGGAGCTGCTCTGCCTGCCGCCTCTTCTATCTGCCTAATGGCAACTCTTTCAACATTTCCGGGGAAGGAGAAACTGTAGAAAACTAAACTGTGCCTTATTTGTAATGATTTGGTGGTAAAGAGGTAGAAATGAGTGCCTTAAAGTGTTGGGGTCACAGTGGACCAGACAATGCCCAGGCCGGTGGGAAGGGTATGGGACATGAGCCAGGAGTTACTTTATAGCTTGTTCCCAGCCCCGTGGGGGAAGTTGACAAAGTCACTGTCTCTTAGTCTCAATTTTCACTTCTGAAAAATTAGGGCATTTGGTTTCATGTAACCTTTAAGATCCTGCCCGCTCTGAAATTCTGTCATTTTACATTTTGTTGGAGGTTTACCTTCTAGAACATGTCTTACGTATCCTCTTGAGGTGGGGTAAAGGCAGGTGGGTCCACAAGCCCCTGGCCTCTGTCTTGGCGTGTTTTAACATTGGCTTGTTAAGTAACACGTTTATTTGAGTTAATGTGTCACATCTGGTGGACAAACTGTATGTAAAATGCTGAATGCTTTAGTGGATGGCAGAGTTCCCAGTAAAATATCAGGTATATTTGTTTGCCATTTCAAGCTGCACTGATGTTAGGAAGAAAGGCGCAAGAATATATAATACACAACTTGGGGCTGGCCTGTTAGAAGGGTTCACTATCGGCCTTGGCCAGGCTGTGGGTCATAGGAGTCGCCACCTCATCGGGTTATTGAGGTTAACTGAGATAGTGCGTGTAAAACGCTTAGCATTTTCCCTTGAATCTCTATTAAAGGCTGAAAAAGTGGCAGTAATTAATGTTGCTCTTTGAATTAATTTGTGACCAAATTAAACTAAATTTGAATTAGATTCTTTTTCTAGTGGTGGGTTTTGCTGTTTTCCTGGTTTGGGTGTATACGTCCAAGCAGCTCTGTTTGGTGGGACTGGTTTCAGGAATCCAATTAACTTATTTCCATCATTACAAAATAAGGCATTTTTCCCATTATAATTAAGTTCAACAGAATAAAAAGTAATTGGTTAAGTGGAGTGCGTTCAAATTAAGGGTTCATATTTTCTGTAAATTGAAGAAAATAACTCATCCTGAAGATCCCTTATTATTAGTAATGGCTGAGATTAAGTTTTACCAGAACCATGATTACACTGAAATGTAGTTGTGGTGACTGCCTTGGAAGAGTGGTGCTAGCGTGAGGCGGTTGAGAGTAACAGACACTGTACACTTTATTAAGTGCCTTTCAGATACGCGTCTCCCTTGAATGTCTGCAGCAGCCCCGTCGGTGATGTGCATGTTGGGATCCCCATTTGGGAGATGGAGAAACAGGTTTAGAGAGGTCTACCTGGCTGGGGGAAACAGGTTTAGAGAGGTCTACCTGGCTGGGGGAAATAGGTTTAGAGAGGTCTACCTGGCTGGGGGAAACAGGTTTAGAGAGGTCTACCTGGCTGGGGGAAACAGGTTTAGAGAGGTCTACCTGGCTGGGGAAAGGGTGGTGTTTCCTTGTCTCCAGATCCTGTGTTTTCTGCACCTTAGTCCTAATGCTGCTTCAGGTGGGGGTGTTGTGGTTTCAAGGCTAAGCCTCTCCTTTGCAGTTCCAGAAGCTTAATTTTTTGCCCATTTGTGCCTTGTTTCCAGTTCAGGTGACCCTAGTCATGCTAATCAAACTCACCAGAAACCTATCAGCTGGATCGCAGATGGTTCATTTGTGGTTAGAAATATGACTGTCACATGTGCTTGAAGACTGTTGCTCAGTGATTTGATTTGATTTTTGAGATGGAGTCTTGCTCTGTCACTCAGTGTGGAGTGCAGTGGCACGATCTCGGCTCACTGCAACCTCTGCCTCCCGGGTTCAAGCGATTCTCCTGTCTTAGCCTCCAGAGTAGCTGGGATTACAGGTGCGCACCACCATACCTGGCTTATTTTTGTATTTTTATTAGAGACACGGTTTCACCATGTTGGCCAGGCTGGTCTCGACCTCCTTACTTTAGGTGATCCGGCCGCCTCGGCCTCCCAAAGTGCTGGGATTACAGGTGTGAGCCTCCACATCCAGCCTTGCTCAGTGATTTCTGCCGCCACACTCTTCTCCTCTCCCAAGCCTACGTGGGAACCTGATGGCTGTGAAAAAGGAAGTTTGTGGGAATCACATCTAGAATGAAGGGAGAGGAGGATATTAATGAGCAGGGTCTGGCCGTTGAGCTTCCATAGCATGCAGTCATCTGTCTTGCTGAGGGTCATGCTGGGAAGGGCTTGCTTGAAGGCTCCCGGTCTTCCAGAGCTGCCTTGGTGTAGTCAGAATGCAGTGGATAGATTCTGGCCTCCTTTAAGGACATTCCAGTCCTCAAGATCCACCCTGGCTACACTGATTAAATTTAGTATTTCCCAGCCTCTTGTCTCCTGTCAGTAGCACATTTATAAATGCTTTCTTAGTGTGAGGCGCTTTTGTCACAGTGGCAGTGGTAATATTGGTACTAATAGCCTACTGTGTTGCCGGGCTTTGCTCTAAGGGCTCAACATAAATCAACTCCTTTGTAGTCACAGTGACCTTGTCTGACTTTGCAAATTCTGGGGTCATTTTATGATCACTGTGGATTGACTACAGGTGAGTTAAAGGTGAGCATTCGGAAACTTTGCCGAGTAAATGTGACACCACTCACTCCTGTGTGAGATGGATGTAGTTTGAGCTTATGTTTACTCTGAGTCCCTCTTGCTTCATTGTAATCAGATGCTGCTTGGACACCCTTATCTCCTTGCTTTTTGAAACTGCTCAAAGCCCATGTGATCATCTATTTATAGAAAGAAATTAAGAAAGTTGGGCACAGTGGCTCACACCTGTAATCCCAGCACTTTGGGAAGCTGAGGCAAGTGGATTGCTTGAGGTCAGGAGTTCGAGACCAGCCTCTGACCAACATGGTGAAACCTGTCTCTACTGAAAAACCACAAACTTATCCAGGTTTAGTGGCGTGTGCCTGTAATCCCAGCTACTTGGAAGGCTGAGGCAGGAGAATTGCTTGAACCCGGGAGGCGGAGGTTGCACCAAGCCGAGATTGCGCCATTGCACTCTAGCCTAGGCAACAAGAGTGAAACTCACTCTCAAAACACACAGAAAAGGTTTTCTTAAAGGATACTTTTGAGGATCCCAGAATCTGGACACTTCCAGTTGATGGTTTGTGCTTGTTAAGTGAACATATAGCTTGTAATGGAAAGCGAGTAATTTAAGGTTTTTTTGTTACACCACTTTTAATCATTACAGTTCTTGACACACATTCCCCTCTCCCCACAGAGCCTCGTGATGTTCGTTCATTCGTCCATCTGCTCTGTTTTCCTTGGCACTCTGGGCTTCTCCCTGTCCCGCCAGGGTTTAAACAGCCACAGCCTATTTGCTAGCTCAGCGCCAGGCCCAGGTCCCGGCCCAGCAGGTTCTTATGCCAGGCTCGCTGGGGCCACTCATGCAGTTGTGGCCCAAGGCAGCCTTGCTCTTGTGTGGGTGGATGGTACCTCGGCTGCCCACCAAGTGGCAGGCCAGAGCTCTGCAGGGCAGAATTCCACCGGGACAGGCTCTGTCGTAAAGGGTGTGTCGGACTTGTACTTGCTTCCCGTTATCCCATTTGCCGATATCTCAGTGGCCAAAAAGTCACATGGCTAAGCCTGGAGTCTGTGAGGGGCTGTAGAAGGGTGTGGCTGCCAGCAGGCATGAGGGGCGGGGCCATTAACATCCTACCACGGTAGGGTTGTGAGGTACTTTGTTTTACTACCTGTAAATAACAAGTTCGATTTTGGTAGCTTGTATTTTGCATTGAACTCCGTTTGATGAACGTTTACGTAGTGCTGGATGCCAGGGTTTGAAGAATAAGACAGTCTCTAGCTACTCTATGCTAGTTTATAAAATGCTAGTGATCTTAAGTTCTAAGCAGACAGCATCCTGGTAAGAGTTTGGCTTTGGATTAAAAAAGACAGGAACTGCTTATAAGAATCTCTGCTGGGGCCAGATTTTGCTTTCAGAAATGCTGATAGGTCCTTGAAAAAAAAGAAGGGTTGCTATGATGACTTGGCTCTGGGCCCACACACCGTGGTGACGACATAGTCACTAAGGAAACCGAGAGATGCAGCGTCTGAAAGGCCTCCGAAGGGTTTTGTTACTGTTTTCTGGGATCTGATTGGCTTAGACGGTGTTTGGATGGGAGCAGAACGCTGGAGCTTGCTGTCCTGCTGAAACTTCTAGGACCTGGTGCCGAGTGCTTTTGAGATCACCTTACTTGGATTTTGGTTTAAAAACAAGGGGGAGATTTAGGGTAATTTCTAGATTATTGTGAGATTTGACTCTGATGTTTAGGCTGCTGTAAAACAGGAAATGAGGTAATGTCTTTAAACATGTAGTGTGATAATGAACTGTAAATGTCTAAATATGGGCAACTGTGCAGTTCAAGTTGCAGAGTTGCTGTGTTGAGTTTTTATATAATTGGGTACTTTCCGTGTTGGCTCCTTTGATCCTTAAAAGTATGCATCAGTATTAAAGTCTAGAGGCCCATCTGCCTATTGAGGTTGGACTCCGTGTGGTTGTGTTTGAAATACTGTCTGAGGAGCCAGCACCAGACCTGCAGTTCAGGCTGAGAAAGAGGTTTTGAGCACTTAAGCGAGCCACAGACCACCCAGGAGTGCGAGCTGTGGCCTGTTACGTAAGTGTTAGGAATAGTGTGATACCTCGTTCTTTTGAGAAACTTTGAAATCACTTAATTTCGGAGTTAAATATAGCCTGCAAAAGTTTAATTTGTTCATACTGTTTTTGAAGATGTGTAAATGCAGTATTTAGGATTTGAATTTGTAACCATAATCACTTATATGTGGAGAATCGAAAGCAATTGAACAGTGGTTGAAAGAACTAGAGGTAGATTTTGAAAGTTCTTTACTGTGGTAACAGTTTTAGGCATGTGGTTTTTTTACGTCACTGGTTGACCAGTGCGTGTTTAAAAAATAGTCTAAAATGTCGTGTACAGACGGCTGAACTAAACAAGCCCTTCTCATAGACAGGGAGGAGTAACTATTTGGAAGTGATGTGGATTATTTTGGGGGGCGGGAGTAGGGGGCACTTGAATTAGCCAGCTGATGAGCCCTCTTATCGTCCCCTTCCAAATAGGATTGAACAGGAGTGGCTCCCAAGTCCTGCCCCACAGCAGGAGGCCGGGAGTGTGCAGGCCGCCTCATCCACAGGCCAGAGCCTGAGCTGTTGGACTCAGCAGTTCCAGCTGCCAGAGCACTTTCATACAGAGGCCTGAGCTTTCAAAACTCGGCCCATTGGCAAGAATCCATGTTTTATGGTTAATAAAACTGAGGATTGGTGAACAGTTAAATCAGTCATTGAAATCTCAGGGGTGGGGTCCAGAGTTGCTTATATTATTAATAGATGGTGGAGGGATTATATTATACAGCGGAGAAACTCAACTTCTGTTACTTTCCTTAGAAAGTATCTAGTAGATTAAAAAAACAAAAGATTAGTTTGATGACTGATGTTAACTCCTCAATGGGAAGAAGGATGTGTTAGGGCCAAGCCCCAGCCCGGACTCTGCCAGTCTTTCCCTGGGGCAGGTTACAGGCATCTGTGAGCCTCGTTTTCTTTGCCTGTGGACTGTGATTTCTTAGCATTTGGGGTAAGGTCGCAGACATGTTTGGGAGTTGATGGAAGCTGTGAACTCTCCCTAGGAAAATATATGCATGGACTTAGGTAGTTGTTTACATTTTCAAAGGATAACGGGGATCCCATTTAGCTCTGCGATCTAATGATGCTTATGGACTGATTAAGCCTTGTTTCCTTACCCTGGAAAATTACTTTTGATGACCTGATTCTAGTGGCTGGGTGTGTGTGTGTGAGTGAAGATTACACATGTGAAAAAGTGATTTTTCAGCCAGTTGCTGTGGCTCATGCCTGTAATCCCAGCACTTTGGGAGGCCGATGCAGGCGGATCACAAGGTCAAAGATCGAGACCATCCTGGCTAACATGGTGAAATCCCGTCTCTATGAAAAATACAAAAATTAGCCGGATGTGGTGGCGCAGGCCTGTGCCACTGCACTCCAGCCTGGTGACAAAGCGAGACTCCATCAAAAAAAAACAAACAAACACGTAATTTTTCTTTTTCTTTTCTTCCTTCTTCTTCTTCTTTTTTTTTTTCTTTTTAAGACAGGGTCTCACTCTGCGACCCAGGCTGGAGTGCAGTGGCACAGTCGTGGTTCACTGCAGCCTCAACCTCCTGGGCTCAGGTGATTTTACCATTCAGCCTTCCAAGTAGCTGGGACTACAGATGAGCACCACCACATTGGCTAATTTTTGTATTTTTTGTAGAGATGGGGTTTCCCCATGATGTTGCCCAGGCTGGTCTTGAAATTCTGGGCTCAAGGGATCCTCCCACCTCAGCCTCCCAAAGTGCTGGGATTACAGATGTGAGCCAGCGTACTCTGCCAAAGTCATTTTCAGTCAGTGCTGGTTTGGATGTGGCAAAGCGAGCACTGACGTGTTCTGCTGACCACTTTTCTGGAAAGCGGTTTGGTGGTGTGTGCTAAGATATTTTACAGTGTTCATACTCTCTAACTCAGCAGTTCTTCTCAGAAATCTCTCCTAAATAAATAATTTCACAATATACAGGCTTTGTGCACTAAGTCGGTGGTCAGGGTGTTATACTAACATTCTGCATCAGACATGTGTCAGTAAGAGAGAATTCCATATATATACATTACACTTACATTTATGAATAGTTTTTAATAACATAAAGGAGATGTATTTATTTTAATGCATGAAAAAGTAGGATATGCACTGTGTTCTCAAATTATGTCAATACTTTTGTTTGTTTGTTTATTTTTGAGACGGAGTCTTGCTCTGTTGCCTAGGCTGGAGTGCAGTGGCGCGATCTCAGCTCACTGCAACCTCCACCTCCTGGGTTCAAGTGATTCTCCTGCCTCAGCCTCCCTTGTAAACATTTTTAAAAGAGAGTAGAGGGAATATATAAATGTTAACAGTTACTGCTCACAGGTCATAGGATTATAGGCAAAACCTTATTTTTCTGTATTTTTCCTTGCTTACAGTAGATATTATTTCTAGAATTGGGGGGAAACGCGATTTTGGAAAATTTTTATTTTTTATTTATTTTTTATTTTTGAAACAAGGTCTCACCCTGTTGCCCAGGCTGGAGTGGAGTGGTGTGACGTGGCCATGGCTCATTGCAGTCTCAACCTCCCAGGCTCAGGCGACCCTCCCACCTCAGCCTTCCTAGTAGATGGGACTACAGGCATGCACCACCATGCCTGGCAAATTTTTTTATTCTTTGTAGAGACAGGATCTTGCTGTATTGCCCAGGCCGGTCTTGAACTCCTGAGTTCAAGCAGTCCACCTTGGCCTCCCAAAATGCTGGGATTACAAGCATGAGCCACCATGCCTGGTCTGATTTTGGAAAAATTAAAGAATATGGAGATAGCTTGGTGAAAGAGACCCAGATGGTTTGGGATTTCTGTTTTTATATAAGGTAAGAATTGGCTTTTTACTTGGATGACTTCTTTAGAGTGGATTTCAGTAAGGCCGAGGGGAGGGCTGGTGCCTTGGAGCTGGTGCCGATGCTGAGGATGGCCATGCTCCAGTCCAGTGCTCTGCACCTTAGAGCACTCGTTGGCTTCCTCTGCAAAACCGCCTCTGGCTTCGCTTTGTTGTGCCGCTTGCTGTGTTTTGCTTCTCTGATAAGTCATCTGTGTTCATGTGCACTGGAAATTCTTCTAGAGCAGTGTCCCAAGAGACAGCGAAAACCCCAGCTCGGAGCCCACAGAGCCCATCCTTCATCTGCTCCTGTGTGTGCGTTTTCCTTCTGTGCTGTCCCGTGTAGAACAGCGAGAGTCCAACCAGCCTGATGAGTCTCATGAGATGAGGAATGGTGGCTTAGGAAGCATTTTGGATGTACGTCATTTGCGTATGACATTTTTCAGATATTATAATTTAAGTAAAGATTGAGGACCTTTGATTTTAATTCTAGCCTTAACTATCTTCCAGGGTGCAAATAAAAACTTTTACCTGGGAGACAGAAGTCACTTCTGACTAATTTTTCTCTTTAGAATTCACAGATGGATTCAGTGGAAAAGACAACAAATAGAAGTGAACAAAAATCCAGGTAATTAAAGGCAACTATACCTTCAAGCAGCTTCATTGACTTCATCTAGCGTCTCTCGTGAGTGTGCGCACTCGTTCTTTAGTACCTGCAAGGGCGAAAGTGAAATGGAAACACTGGGGCATGAGAGAACCTCGAGGGCCATTTTCCACCCTTGGCTTCAATGTAAGGAACGTTCCAGAAGGCAGCTTTCTGCCCAGTCTCCAAACCAAGCAACATGTCATTAGAGGTGTCATGTCTAGAACTGGGAGTGTCAGGCTTCCTAAGAAAGAATTCTTTGACTACAGATGGACAGCAGCTTGTGTTTGCTATAAAGTGAAGCGCGATAAAGAGGTACTTACTGTTGGGATTGGTGGGTGGCAGGAAACCAGCATTTGCCAGTAACTGTCTTATCCGTCACTGCAAGCAGGGGTCATTTTGTCATCATCGTTTGTATTCATAACCTGTGTGCAGCTTCAAAGGAATGATATGTATCACTTAAATTGAGCTTAACACTGGGCAACTTAAAATGCATGAGACACAGCTGTCCCACGTCCTTTAAGGAATAAGGGTAGAACATGTGAAATAAATACGCAAAGAAGGATACACAGGCCGTCTCCCCACAGCGTCAGAGGGGACTGTGTGTGTGTGTGTGTGTGTGTGTGTGTGTGTGTACACAGCACAAGGCCGGAACTCGCAGACAGTTCCAGACTTTGTGTTTGCAATGTTTCCGCTTTGACTTTCATTCTCTTGCTCCCTTCTTTTCAAGTAGAAAGTTTTTAAAAAGCCTCATCCGGAAACAGCCCCAGGAACTGCTCCTGGTTATCGGGACTGGCGTCAGCGCAGCAGTGGCCCCCGGAATCCCTGCCCTTTGCTCGTGGAGAAGCTGCATCGAGGCCGTCATCGAGGCTGCAGAGCAGCTGGAGGTGCTGCACCCCGGAGACGTCGCCGAGTTCCGGAGGAAAGTGACAAAGGACCGGGACCTGTTGGTTGTCGCCCATGATCTGATCCGGAAGATGTCACCTGTAAGTGTCAGACAAGTACCTCTTGGGGACAGCTTGGTTCTGCAGCAGGTTGGATGAGTCTGTGAACCTAATGTTAAACTCTGCAGGCCTAACTTGTGTTCAGTGCTCAGCAGAGTCGGGCTGATGAGCCAGAAATCCTTGAGTCCATCGGGGTGTCGTCTTTTAAAATTGAGGGGATGCCAGCCACACTGCAGCGTGGGGCTCCTAAAGTAGCTCCTATTAAATGGAGCCTGACTGTGTGAGATCGTCTCAGGGAGATTGTCCAGCTGCACTCAGTATGAACTTTGTGATTGTATATTCACTTAGTGAAGGGATATCCCTTAGGCGTGTTTGGTGTAAGCAGGCCGGCCATATTTCTTCAGATGACAGGTGCTTCCTAGAAAACATCTGAAGATGGGAGAAGTTCCAGCTTCTTTGTCTGCTGCAGAGATGATCTAGATGATCTAGTTGAGAGGAGAAGCACTGATGATTCAGGAGCTATTCCTGAGCGAGGCCCTGGGGCCGATGGGTCTGGTGCAGGGGAAGGTGCGTGGCAGGCCATTGTTGTCCCCGTCAGCTATGGCGTGTGGCCATAAAGGCTGGGAAGCTGGACCCTATGGCTGGGGCTCTTGGCAGTCATTGTCTTCTTCTGCTCTTGTATTTACTGAAGAGGCACAGTCACCATCTGAGAGTCAGGACGGGAGGAGATGTTGGACGTTTGAACAGAGGAGAGAGCACGAAAAAAAGTGAGCTCGTCACCAAGGAGAGTGGGAGAGTTGAGGTTGGCTGTGAAAGGAGACCTTAAACCACATGGCTTCATGTGAGCACCTTTATAATCCCCACCTAGAGACCCGGGTGGGCAGCCCAAGGAGAACATGGTGGCCGGGCAGGGCCCCTCTTTGCTGGCTCTGCCACCCTCAACAGGCAGCTTCCGTCGGGTGCCCTGCGGGCAGCTGTAAATGATGTGCGTGCGCGGGGAGTGCGTGGAGGAGGGAAGTGCGGGGAGGGGAGGAAGTGGGGGGCTTCAAGGGCCACCACTGAAGTCACATACACCGCTTCTGTTTCATCTCATTGGCCAGAGTTTTAGCTAGGGCTGCACCTAGCAGAGCTTGGGAAATGTTTTTAGTCAGGTGACTCTGCCACTCATGGGTGTTCTATTAATAAGGAACACCTTTCATCACAGGCCAGGGGTTGGAAATGTACAGCCTTGGGCCTGTTTTTGCAAATGAGGTTCTGACAGGCGGCCACACCCATTCATTTACGTATAGTACGTGGCTGCTTTCATGCCTCCAGGCCCAGGTGAGTAGTTGGAACAGAGACTTTCTGGCCCACAAGGCCTAAAATACTTCCTCTCTGAGGCAGGGGCGCGGTGGCTCACGCCTGTAATCCCAGCACTTTGGGAGGCCGAGGCAGGCAGATCACCTGAGGTCAGGAGTTTGAGACCAGCCTGGCCAATGTGATGAAACTCTGTCTCTACTAAAAATACAAAAATTAACCTGGCGTGGTGGCAGGCGCCTGTAATCCCAGCTACTCAGGAGGCTGAGGCAGGAGAATCGCTTGAACCTGGGAGGCAGAGGTTGCAATGAACCAAGATTGTGCCATTGCACTCTATCCTGGGCAACAAAAGTGAAACTCCATCTCAAAATATTTTCTCTCTGGCCCTTGTAGACAACATTTGCTCACCCGTCATAGGAAGAAGAAGGGAGGAGTCGAAGGGAGGCCAGGGAAGGGTAGTGGGGTCGCTGGGCAGCACTGAGGGCCCTTGTTGTCCTTCAGGTGAAGAGAGACTGTTTGTCTAGAATGAGAATCGTTTGTCTTGAAAACAAGTAGTTGAGCATCATTCAACTCTTCTGTTCACTTTTGCGTGTTTTTGAAAACCTCCATCAGGAAGCGTTGAGGTGAGGCTGTCGACACAGCTGTGTTGAGAGTCGGAGAACAGGCATGGGGGAAGCTGAGAGTTGGTTGCATCAGGAATTCCAGCAACACCAGAGAAGGGTGAGGGGCTTGCAAGTGTATTGGGGGAAGTTGTAGTGATCCATTGTAGACTCTAAGCTGCTTGATGGAAGAAGGCAGGACAGGACAGCAGGGCAGCTAGTGACTGGTCAGTGATAGTGGGGTCAGTAGCTCACGGGCCTCAATGGGCTTGAAGTTTCCCTGGGAGCCAGGGTGCTAGAGAGGTGGGCAGATGGGAGGGAGTGGTTGGACAGGGGAAGCTGGCCCAGAGGTTCTGGAAAGGATCCAGGTCTTGGTAACGATAAGGCCTTGGGGGCTGTATGTGTGGATGGCTGAGATGGACCAGGACTATTGGAGGAGAGTGATGGCTGGAATTTAGAGGCCATGATCCCAGGGAGAATCATCCAAGCGGACATGAGAATCACCCCAAATTATGACGGCACAGCTGGAGAGACTCAGCCCTCACCTTCATCGGTGCAGGGAGTGCAGGGGAGCCCCCAGGAAGGGTCTCAGGGATGCATAGAGCCAGGTCTCAGGTCGGGGAGAAGGTGAGCATTCCCAGGAGATGATGGAGATGTGGGGGTTGGCTGATGGCAGACCCCCTGGGAACAGTGGGAGGGTTTGGGTGGTGGGAGAGTCAGAAGAGCTGTGGCGATGAGTGGGAACCTATGAGTCTTGGTTTTCTTGTGCCGGCCAAGCAACACGAACAGGCACAGAGGGCGAGGGGAGGTATTTTGATACCCAGGTGCCGAGGCAGAGGGTGACAATGAGGCTGGGAGCCGGGCAGAGGGGACCCTGTGTCCTCCTGAACCCGCCCCCACCCCGCCTCTCTGTCCCCTCCCAGCAAAGCTCTGCAGCATGGTTGCTGCATCTGCTGTCACCAGCCCTTCCTTTTTCTCTTGAAGCCATCCCAGCCAGGCTTTGGCTGTCAAGGCCCCTTGGAGACAGCTCCTGTCAAGGCCACCGGTGAAACACTGAGGCTGCTTCCGGAGGCCAGGCCTCAGTCCTGATCCTCTTGTGTCTCTCAGAGTATATGCGGCACTACGGGCCAGGTGTGCTGGCTCATGCCTGTAATCCCAGCACTTTGGGAGGCCAAGGTGGGCAGATCACTTGAGGGCAGGAGTTCAAGATAAGCCTGGGCAACATAGCGAGACCTCGTCTCTACAAAAAATAAAAAAAAATTTAGGCCGGGTATAGTGGCTCACGCCTGTAATCCCAGCACTTTGGGAGGCTGAGGCAGGTGGATCACCTGAGGTCAGGAGTTTGAGACCAGCCTGGCCAACATGGTGAAACCCCATCTCTACTAAAAATACAAAAATTAGCTGGGTGTGGTGGTGCGCACCTGTAGTCCCAGCAACTTGGGAGGCTGAGGCAGGAGAATTGCTTGAACCAGGAGGGGAGGTTGCAGTGAGCCAAGATCACGCCACTGCATTTCATCCTGGGTGACAGAGCAAGACTCTGTCTCAAAAAAAAAAAAAAAAAAAAAAAGTTAAAAAATTAACTAGGTGTTATGGTGTGTGTGCACCTATAGTCCCAGCTACTTGGGAGGCTGAGGTTGGAGGATCACTTGAGCCTGGGAGATCAAGGCTGCAGAGGGCCGTGATCGTGCCACTCACTGCACTCCAGCCTGGGTGACAGAGTGAGACTCTGTCTCAAAAAATAAAATAATAAAATGAAAAATGAAATAAAATAATATAAAAAATTAAATTAAAAAAATTTTTAAAAAATATAATGAGTTGGGTGTGGTGGTGGCACCTGTAGCCCTAGCTACTTGGGAGGCTTAGGTGGCAAGCTCGCTTGGGCCCAGGAGTTGGAGGCTGCAGTGAGCTATCCTGGCACCACTGTGCTCCAGCCTGGATGACAGAGCAAGGCCCTATCTCAAAAAAAGAAAAAGAAAAAAGAAACACTGCCTCCCGCCTCATTGAAGGTGCCACGAAGACACGCTGTTTCATTACCACCGAGAAAGAGAAAACTGGGACTGTGCAGCGCTCAGGGAAAGCCAGAGTCTTTACAGTGGTCCTCAAGGCCCAGGTCATCTGCTTCTGCTGCCGACTCTTCCCCTCACTCCTCTCCTGCCTCCGTGGCCTCTTGCTGACCTGGGACGTACCTGAGCCGTGACCTCAGTGCTGTGGCCCTTGCTCTTCCCTCTGCTTAGAACATTCTCCACGAGCCCTCACCTCCTCAGGCCCCTGTTCAGATGCCCTCTTCTCAGAGAGGCTTGCCTAGTGTCTTGGTCCTGTCCACCTCCCCTGACAGCGCCTGCCCCCGTCTCTGCCGTGCTTTCCTGTGGCAGCGTCACCGGTGGCGTGCTACACGTGAGCATCCCCTGTCCCCCTGCTCTGGGGTTGCGGCGCACGCTGTGAAGCCAGATTTTCTTTGTTTTCAGCCGCTGTATCTCTGGCACCCAGAAAATGGCCTGCTTAGGTGCTCAGTAGTTGTTAAGAGCTGATGTTTTGGTAACTGTCGTTCCACCTTTTTGTAGCGCACAGGCGATGCCAAGCCCAGCTTCTTCCAGGACTGCCTGATGGAGGTGTTTGACGACCTGGAGCAGCACATCCGGAGTCCTGTGGTGCTGCAGTCGATCCTCAGCCTGATGGACAGGGGCGCCATGGTCCTGACCACCAACTATGACAACCTGCTGGAGGCCTTTGGCCGGCGGCAGAACAAGCCCATGGAGTCCCTGGACTTGAAGGACAAGACCAAGGTATGGGCTGGGGGTGCGGGAGGCCTTTGGCCGGCGGCAGAACAAGCCCATGGAGTCCCTGGACTTGAAGGACAAGACCAAGGTATGGGCTGGGGGTGCGGGAGGTCTTTGGCCGGCGGCAGAACAAGCCCATGGAGTCCCTGGACTTGAAGGACAAGACCAAGGTATGGGCTGGGGGTGCGGGAGGTCTTTGGCCGGCGGCAGAACAAGCCCATGGAGTCCCTGGACTTGAAGGACAAGACCAAGGTATGGGCTGGGGGTGCGGGAGGCCTTTGGCCGGCGGCAGAACAAGCCCATGGAGTCCCTGGACTTGAAGGACAAGACCAAGGTGTGGGCTGGGGCTGCGGGCAGCCTGCAGGTGTGGGGAGTTCTGTGCCCTGGGAGCTGCTCTCACTTTGTAGCAGTGAATTACTAATAAAGTAGCCAGGCATGGTGGCGCCTGCCTGCAGTCCCCGCTACTGGGGAGGCCGAGGTGGGAGGATTGCTTGAGCCCAGGAGTTCCAGACTGAAATGAGCTATGATCATGCCACTTATTCCAGCCTGGGTGACAGAGTAAGACCCTTTCTCTTAAAAAAAAAAAAGTAATAATGGAAAGTGGCACACTGGCAACTTGGGAGGCTGAGGCAGGAGAATAGCTGGAACTGGGAGGGAGATGGTTGCAGTGAGCTGAGATCACTGTACTCCAGCCTGGGCAAGAGAGTGAGACCCTGTCTCAAAAAACAAAAGAAAAAAAAAAAGAAATACCTGAGACTGGGTAATATATAAAGAAAAGAGCTGTAATTGGCTCACGGTTCCACAGCTGTCTAGGAAGCATAGCAGCATCTGCTTCCGGGGAGGCCTCAGGAAGTTTCCAATAGTGGCAGAAGGCAGAGTGGGAGCAGGCATGCCACATGGCAACAGAGAGAGTGGCAGGGGGGTGGTGCCACATGCTTTTAAATGACCAGATTTCTCAAGAAGTCACTGTCACGAAGATGGCACGAAGCCATGAGGGATGATCCTGCCCCGTGATCCAAGCACCTCCCACCAGGCCCCACCTCCAGCACTGGGGATCACAGTTCAGCATGAGATTTTCGTGGGGACAAATGTCCAGACTATATCAGTTAGCATATATTTACAGTTATAAATAACACTACAGGGTCCTCATACTTTTATGTCCTGTTTTCAAGATGAATTCCTAGAAGAGTTTTATGGTCAAAAGGTATGAATGTTTTAAAGACTGATGATGTAAATTACCAAATTGTTTTCCAGAAGGAGCACCAGTTACACTCCCGGTAGTGGCTGAGTGTGGGAGTATCCATTTCCTGTATCTTGCCAACACATGGTGTTATTAAGAAACAAAATGAAATACACCTTGTCCATTTGATAGCTGAAATTTTCAACATTGATTTCTTGTGTTACTAAAGGTTGAGCGTAGTTTCATGTGACTCTTGATATTTCTTTTGTGACATACTTGTGACCTTTGTGTGTCTGCTTATGTTATTCATAACTAACACTGCTGCCTGTGTTGTCTGGGCTGCCTTGTGAGGTAAGGCCCTGGCCCCGCTCTGTGTACAAAGAGACTGAATTACGGGGCACGGGGCAGTGTACACGGGGGCAGGGCCGCCTGAGGGGAGCGGGCAGGGCCAAGGCACCCACTCCTGCCGGTAGTGCCATGGAGTAGACATCTGCTCTCTGCGTCTGAGCCACATGGTCCCCACTGCTGGGGCTTGCTGTTGGAAACAGACAGCCAGTTGCATAAACAGAACTGCCAGCTGGCTCACCGCCCAGTGATGGCAGCAGGGCTGTTGGTGTTTGTGTCCATTCCACCTGCTGCTGTGCGGGCTCCGGGGTGAAGATGACTTGACAGTGACCCGATGGGCATCTTTGTAAGGTCCCGTGTTCTGTATCTTGATAAGGTCCTGCGTTCTGTATCTTGAACTGAAAGGAATGCACTTAGCCATTTGATAAATACTTTTCTCCACATACATATGTATATTTTTTTCTGGGTGTGTAGAAGTAATACAGAAATAGCAGTAATTAAAATATAACATATAACTTAGAAGTGAAAGTCCCCATAGCCCACCTAAAGTAATCACTCTTAACAGTTTGCTGTAACCTCAAGTGTTAAAGACATTTTCTATGTAACTGTCTGTCTTTAAATAAGTCCTTTTTTTCCACCCTGAGACAGGGTCTCACTTTGTTGCCCAGGCTGGTCTCGAACTCCTGAGCTTCAAGTCTTGGCCTTGGCCTGAGTAGCTGGGATTATAGGTATGAGCCACCCAGAAGCTCTTTTGCTATCATGGGACCAGCATGACTGGCGCTAACAGCCGATCCTCTCTCAGGTTTTACAGGTGTGACTGTACCGTCGTAGGACGGGAATAACTAGGGCTCACAACCAAGTTTCTCTTAGGTTTTGAAGGTATAAGTGTAAAGTGAAGCATCTCTCGATGATTCTTTCCAAGATAGGTTTAAAAACTATGAATCCATTTTCAGTATTTTCTTCTCTCTGTTTGAAACAGTTTGAGGATGTGTTTCTTTTTCTTGGCTTGATGTTTGGTAGGTCCTTGAATGGGCAAGAGGGCACATGAAGTACGGCGTCCTCCACATTCACGGCCTCTACACGGACCCCTGCGGGGTGGTGCTGGACCCATCGGGGTATAAAGACGTCACTCAAGACGCAGAAGTCATGGTACGGCCCGTCCTAATTAGCATCGGTGCGTCCTCTCAGGGATTACTGGTGGCCACTGGCCATTGGCTGCAGTTGAGTGGCTTCCCAGGCTCCAGGCGTCCGTGCCCTTCAGGTCGGCCCTGCACACAGTTGCTGAGGGAGGGGCCACGTCTCTTGTCCTCGTCTGTGTCTCTGGGGTCCCGCATGGTGCCTCCATGTTGAGTAGATGCTTGGCGAACATTTGTTGGAGGAAGGAATTCATGATTCCTTTCAAAGCAGAGATCTGCCTGTACCCTCTCTAGGAGCCCTGGCCATTTGGTGGTTCTCACCTGCCCAGGTATATAGTGAAACTCCTCAGCATGACATATAGGCCCCGTGCAGTCTAGAATGTTGTCCTTGTTCTTCCAGGCTTCTTCTGGTCTGAAATTCTCTGCTCTCCTTCCTGTAGTTGTAAAGCTTCATTTTTGGCCTGGTATAGTGGCTCATGCCTGTAATCTCAGTGCTTTGGCAGGCCAAGGCAGGAGGATTGCTTGAGTCCAGGAGGGAGAGGCTATGGTGAACTGGGATCGCACCACTGCACTCCAGCCTGGGCAACAGAGCGATACCTCATTTCTAAAAAAATAAATAAATAAAAGTAAATAACACTTCATTCTCTGTGAGGTTTTATTTTTCTTCTTCTTAAATAGACAGGGTCTTGCTCTGTGGCCCAGGCTGAAGTGCAGTGGCATGATCAAAGCTCACTGCTTCCTTGAACTCCTGGGCCCAAGGATCCTCCTGCCTTAGTCTCCCGAGTAGCTGGGACTGCAGGTGTGTGCCCCTACTCCCGGCTGTGAGGTCTTCCTGATGCCCTAGAATGCAGTGTGGAAAAGCTGTGCTTCTGGTAAGCACTGAGAAACTCGGTGTCTGTGGATTTACCCTCAAGCACACAGCTAGGCGCCCTGTTCCTCAGTGCTCATCCCTGGGCCGGTGTCATTCCGTGACAGGTGTCAGCAGATGAGTGACTGGGCAGATGCTTTTCAGTTGCATCATTAATACTGCTTGGTGATAAGAAATACCTGGGCTGAGACTGAGCCTCTCTGAGATATTTGGTTAGCTGCATTGGCGATTCCCTCCTGCCTGCCTGAGTGACCCCATGCAATCTGCTTTCCCTGTGCCCACCCGACCCCGTCAGTCATGGTCACTGATCCCCTCCTCAGCTCTCTTGCCCTCATTCGCAAAACCACCCCTGCAAGAATTCCCACATATGGCCCACTGAGATCAACATTAATTTCAGGGTGTTTTATGTGCATAATTCTGAACTGAAAACATTTACTGTCCTCATTTTGTGTTTTAATAATTTAAAATCGTACCCAATTTGAGAAGATTTGAGTTGGGTGACTGCACTGGTGAGTGTGTGGGGTGGGCGATGGGCTGGCCTTGCTGTTAGGGGTGTGGGCACTGCCACCCGCCTCGGCCAAAGACCAGCTACCCTGGCTTAGCTGGGGACAGGCAGGCTCAGCCCAGCTTTGGTCTTTGCTGCCACAGGCTGCTGCTGGGGGGTGGCCTGAGTGCCATGTCGGGAAGGATACTGTCCTTCTAACTGTGCTCCTCAGCGTGGCCCTGGGAACGCCTGTCAGGGAGCAGTGATGTAAAAGCACACACATGTGACTTGGTTAGTTGTAAGCTCTTGCTGTCTTTCAAATGAGCACTCAATTTCTTCATTGGCCTTTTCTAGGAAGTCCTCCAGAACTTATACCGCACCAAGTCCTTTCTGTTTGTGGGCTGTGGGGAGACCCTTCGTGATCAGATATTCCAGGCCCTCTTTCTTTACTCCGTGCCGAATAAGGTGGATTTGGAGCACTACATGCTTGTGCTGAAGGAGAATGAAGACCATTTCTTTAAGCATCAGGCAGATATGCTTCTGCACGGAATCAAAGTTGTATCCTACGGGGACTGTTTTGACCACTTTCCAGGATATGTGCAAGACCTTGCCACTCAGATCTGCAAACAGCAAAGCCCAGGTATGGGATCTGGCTTCACTTTCCTTTTTCTTTCTTTTTTCTTTTTTTTTTTTGAGACGGAGTTTTGCTCTTGTTGCCCAGGCTGGAGTGCAATGGCACCATCTTGGCTCACCACAACCTCCGCCTCCTAGGTTCAAGGGATTCTGCCTCAGCCTTCCGAGTAGCTGGCATTACAGGCATGCGCCACCATGCCTGGCTAATTTTGTATTTTTAGTAGAGATAGGGTTTCACCATGTTGGTCAGGCTGGTCTCGAACTCCTGACCTCAGGTGACCCACCTGCCTTGGCCTCCTGAAGTGCTGGGATTACAGGCGAGAGCCACCGCGCCCGGCCTGTCTTCACTTTTCAAGTACAAAACTCACAGGGCTCTTCCAGTTGTTTCTCTCTGTCTTTTTTTGATGGAACCCACATACCCCTAAAATTCACCAGTCTTCGTTATTATTTTTTAAAACTGCCTCTGTAATTTAAAATTAGAAGATTGGAGTAATTGGTGTCCTAGTGACAGTCTGTAACTAGAACTTTAAAGTAACTTCAGGCTGGGCACCGTGGCTCACGCCTGTCATCCCAGTTTTTTGGGAGGCCAAGGCAGGAGGATTGCTTGAGCCCAGGAGTTTAAGACCAACCTGGGCAACATAGGGAGACCTGGTCTCTACAAAAATGTTTTTAAAAATTAGCTGGGTTTGGAGCGGGCGCGATAGCTCACGCCTGTAATCCCAGCACTTTGGGAGGCTGAGGTGGGTGGATCACGAGGTCAGGAGATCGAGACCATCCTGGCTAACACGGTGAAACCCCGTCTCTACTAAAAATACAAAAAATTAGCTGGGCATGGTGGCGGGCACCTGTAGTCCCAGCTACTCAGGAGGCTGAGGCAGGAGAATGGCATGAACCCGGGAGGCAGAGCTTGCAGTGAGCCAAGATCGCACCACTGCACTCCAGCCTGGGTGACAGAGCAAGACTCTGTTTCCAAAAAAAAAAAAAAAAAAGAGCTGGGTTTGGTGGTGGACATCTGTGATACCAGCTACTCTGGAGGCTCAGGTGGGGGGATTGCTTGAGCCCAGGAGTTAGAGACTGCAGTAAGCTGTGATCAGGCCACTTATTCCAGTCTGGACGTCGGAGGAAGACCCTGTCTCTAAAAATAAAAAATACAGTAACTTTGAAGTTTACAGCTGTGCACACATGTATAGCTGGACACATTTATTCCTGTTTCAGGTTTCCTTAACCAAGAAGGAAAACTACCAGGCTAGCTTTATCAGTTGTGATACTTAACACTTGAAAGACGCAGATATCTCATATCTGTGTCCTATTACTGCAGTTGAAAAGTTACAACTTCACAAGCACAAAATGATTTCATGAACACTTTACTTCTTTTTTCACGTAATGTATTTTCCCTGTTCTGAATGCAACACCTCTTTTAAGTAGTGCTCCTTGGCACTTTTGAGAAATTGCTCATCTATCAGGAATGACCAGGGTAAGTGAGAAATTCTTAAACTTGGTCATCTTGATATAAGGGAATTAATAGCTGCGAGTTTGGCATCATAAAACATTGATGATGGCAAGCTTGGAAAGGCCTGTGCTGGCTCGTTTAATTGTAACAGGAAACCCAGGCACACTCACCACACACTAGAACGAGGTTAGCCACAGAGGCAGGTATATGTGACCAGCTGTGAACTTGGAGACCAGAGAATGCACAGATAATCCAATCGCTAAAGTTTTTGTTGTTTTTTTAACCACTATCATTTCTTTTCAGAATTGCTAATAATTAGCAAAATGGACCAATGTAAGTTCCATTTCCATAAATAAAAGTATGATTAGGGCAACAGCTTCTTATTAAGGGCAGAAGAAAAGAGCTCCTGCTTGCCATGTGTCACCCTCTGCTCGGAGTTCCATATTCTCACCTGACTTGGTTTTTCATGGCAGCATGCAGTGCTAGTAAGTAGATGATTTCATAGACGAGATGAGCTGAGCTGGCACAGGCACATAACGTGCCCAGACATTTTGAAGCTGGGATTGGGATCCTGGCCTGACTGCAGAGCAAAATACACCATTTGGTGCATCCTGGCACCGGCCCACATGTGTGGCTCTGCAGAGAGGCAGCGGGCTTTTCTCATCTCTGCCCCCGTCCGCCGCTTCTCATTCCACCCCCACACTCCCTGGAAGAACAGGACCCAGAGTAACCCTGCATGTGCTCGGGCTCCTAGAGTGGGGCTGAGCAGCTTTCTGTCCCACTGAGCCTCCCTTTCCAGGTTGGGGCAGGCAAGTGGATTCGACAGGCTGCCAGAAGACTGCAAGGTCATTGGGAGTTTTAATCTGTGACTGTGTCATGAAGGACATTTGTACTCGAATTCATGGAGTGCCACTCCTGATGGGAGAGGAGGCCCATGACAGTGACAGTCATGCTAGTGATCGCGGACACCACACCATGCTGCCTTTGCCAGCTGGCTCCTTCAGCGAGTCCTCGCACCAAGCCTGGGAGGTAGAGGTGAGGGCAGCGAGCAGCGCAGGAGTCCGCAGCCCGCGCGGGCTGACCTGCCCAGAAGCCTGTTCCCAGTCCCTGCCGTTCCCAGTCACTGCCTCAGGGTGGCCGAGGAGGACGAGCTCTTGGTGTCTCGGCTCCACTGACTGCTTTTCTTTCTCCTTCAGATGCTGATCGCGTGGACAGCACCACATTATTGGGTAAAGCAGATCTTTCTTCTTGCCAGCCTGTTTTTTGCCTACACATTCCATTGTCTTCTGTCACTAACTGTAAAATCATAAACGTTTGTTTTTCACCTTAAATAATTAGCTTGTATTAAAACAGCCCCACTGAAGATGATAAATAGCCATGCCTTAGCATGGTCCCTGCCACACCAAGAGACTAAAAGCCATCCCTTTGACGAGGAAGCACAGCCGAATCACACGTGAGCCAGCTGGCACCTGAGAATAATTTCTTGCCCTAGAACCAAGAGTGACGGGACTTGGAACAGGTTCTATTTGTGTGATACCATGTGGTGCCAGATGCAGTGCCTTAGAATGACCCAGCTCTTCCGAAATGTTCGTTGCACGGGTCTGAGCTTGCACACAGAAGCTTCCTATTTAATACTTGTTTTGAAATGTGAACGCTCTTCTTGCTGGGCTCAATTCTGCCTGTTTATAAATTTAATGAGACTCGGTGGCCATGAGCGTCCTCCTGTGTGTGCGCTGGGCACCAGGTGCCTCCCCTTGCCGAATCATTTGGGTAAAAGGGACTCTGGTGAGTGGCGCGGAGGCCTCTGTGCGCAGCCCTGTTTTCCCTGGCTGTTTGGCCCAGCGCGTTCACAGATGGGAAAACGCGCATCGATGTGGGAGCTGCTCGCCTCACATCCATGTTAGTGGTGCAGGAAGTATGAAACCGCCGCAGTCGGCTCCCCGTTGCCACCTATTCCCATGCGAAAGGACATCTTCATTACACTTGCTTTCTCACTGAAATGCGACTCCTGGAAGCATGGCTCTCTTTGGAGAGAAGCCGTAGCGTGGTTGATGTCATCTCTAGTGGATGGCAGGGTCTGCTTGGCCAGTGCTTCAGTAAGGTCACATTATGAACTGTGCCTTGGCGAGTGGATTCTGAATAAACAAGCTTCTTAATAAATTCTTCTCTTTTAGGTAATGCATGCCAGGACTGTGCAAAGAGGAAGTTAGAAGAGAATGGAATTGAAGTTTCAAAAAAACGCACACAATCAGATACTGGTATTGTGTCTGTTCTTTTTGTGGGGAGCTGCCTCGGGTCTCTCTTGTTGGCAGGCATCTTCAGGGACCGTGCTGCGCTTTAATGCCCCGCGCCCTATGGTGGGAGGACGGTGCATACGTTCTGTCAGGGCCAGAGAGCACAGGAGGCTTACTTAGCAGAGACCCTGACCTCTCACCCCAACCCGATTCCAACTGCCCAGAGCTACTGGTACCTCTTTAGAAAAATGTTACGGAGAAAACATACACTAAGAAGGTGCAGCGGGCAGAAGGTGCTCTCTCCAAAAAGAAAAGTTAAAAAGATGAATAAAAAGTGCACAAGTTACATAAGGTCAGCTCCGCATTTTTGCGAAGTGAACGCTCCCATCTAATCACACGCAGTTGAGGAAGCAGCATTGCCAGGACACCCCTTGTCACTGTCCAGCCTCCTCCAGCCCCCAAGGGTGACCACTAGCCTGATGCATGTCACCTGAGTCTCTGGAGAAAAGCACTTTAACTCATTTGAGCTTTGTTGCCTCTGTTACAGACTAAGATTTATTTAAGTGATTGAACTATTTATCTAAACAGTGTATTTGAATAGGCCTCTCTGTTGACGCTATGAAGGGCGATCTCGCTTGTTCGTGCCGGTCCCTCCCTCTCCTCCCCTCCTCCTCCTCCCAGGTTTGCGTAGTGCTGTGTGTTATTTCTCATTCTTTAAATAACATACTTAAGCCAGACTTCCCCACACGAAGCCTGGGCTGGATGGGCCCCCACATGCGTATCCCACCCCCTAGCCCGCTGGCTTCCCCGTTTTGTCGGTCTCCGTGGTGACAGGACAGAAAGGAAACGAGACCCCCAGTCTGTCTGTAGGTTGATTGTAAAAGTTGGCAAACAAAAGCATTTCCGTGATGAAAACAGCGTCAGTGTTCTTTCCTGCTTAGCCAGCATGTGTGTTGTGTCTGTGGGCCCAGTGCCACGCCGCCTGTGCCAGCTGCGGATGTGTCCTCAATGTCAGGGTCAAATGTGGCTTGTTCTTATATTCCATTCTCCCATTTTTTATTGTTTAATATTGGGGCTTGAAGACATTTGTGTTACTTCTTACTTTTTGAGGAGTTTTTAGGTTCTTCTTTCCCCTTTGTGTTCCAAAAACTAACGTTTCCCAATATTCTTAAATGTATGCACTCCCTCAGCTTTCAGAACTGAATAAGAAATTTTTTTTTAAAAAAAGTATGCATTCTCTTCATCCTGCCACCCCACATCTCCCAGGACACCTTCTCCTGGTCGGCTCCGCTGGGGACTGCTACCTCCTGAGCTCCCCTCCTTCTCTCTGAGATGGAGGCCTAGGTCTCCCTTGCTCTGGCCCCCCATCCATCCTGCTAGTACCTCCTGAGGCCGCTTCTGCAGACCCCAGTGTGGGGTCGCCTCCTGAGGGCCATGTGTCTGCAGGTGTCTGTGCCATCCTCATGCTCGCGGGAGTTTTGGCATGGGATTCTCCGTTGTGATTCCCCCGGACTCCACTGTCTGAAGACCAGGTTTCCTATGAAGAGGGTCTGATGGGAACCTGTTCCCAGTGATTTGAAGGTACCCGTTGCTTTTTTTCCTGGGAGTTTTTAGGATCCTCTTTTCCCTTGATTAGAAATTCAATGAGGATGTATTTAGGTGGAAAACTTTTTTACCTGCCTTACTCACATGTTCTTTTTCCTCTTCCATTTCTCCAGTTCTGGAATGGTCTGTGATTCTCTTTATTTCTTCTTTCCATCTTCTCTGTTCTCCCTTTCTGGAAGTCATACTAGTTGGGATTGCCTGGATTGATTTCCACCGTCTTTTAAGTTTTCTCTGATGTCTTTTTTTTTATTTTTTGAGACAGAGTCTTGCTCTGTTGCCCAGGCTGGAGTGCAGTGGCGCGATCTCGGCTCACCACAACCTCCGCTTCTTGGATTCAAGCTGTTTTCCTGCCTCAGCCTCCTGAGCAGCTGGGACTACAGTCGCACACCACCATGCCCGACTAATTTTGTACTTTTAGTAGAGATGGGGTTTCACTATGTTGGCCAGGCTGGTCTCAAACTCCTGACCTTGTGATCCACCCACTTTGGCTTCCCAAACTGCTGGGATTATAGGCGTGAGCCACTGCGCCCGGCCAAGCTCTTGTTTTCTTAGTTACCTTTTCTCAGAGCATCTGCTGTTGTAAGTCTGCGAGAACTCTGGAGACAGAAGTCAACCTGGTTATCTGACTCTACTACATTCCTGAAAACATTGAGAGAGGATTTTCATATAATAGGAGTTTATATTTAGTACTTTATATAAGTAAGCCAAAGTAAAACACTCTTAAATACCTATATAGCAGTCCACCCAAAATTTCTGAGAGCTACGAAGCATCCAGCTTATCAGTTACCTCTTCATTTAACATTTAAATCCTTCAGTGGGTATGCTGGAGCAGTATCATGTCCCTGCACGTTCCTTCAACACCACAGGGACCATGTGCAATAGTCCATGTTATAAAGATTCTTAGTGAGTGCAAATTTAGTCAAGTAAAATAAGGCAGTTCTAAAAGGGCCACCTGCAGAGTGAATTATAGCACAAGCGAGGGCTGGTGGCAGGGGGTGGGGGCGCCCTAGCGTCCTGCCGTCCAGGGGCAGGGAAGATGAGAGTGAGCTGATGTGGCAGTCCTTGTGGGAGAGCTGTGAGGGGCAGCTGTCACAGACTCGACATCCTCTCATTTAGTTTTATACAACTTTGGCTGGGCTTAGTGGTTCACGCCTATATTACCAGCACTTTGGGAGGCTGAGGCAGGTGAATCACCTGAGGCCAGGTCAGCCTGGCCAACATGGCGAAACCCCGTCTCTACTAAAAATACAAAAATTAACTGGGTGTGGTGGCGGGCGCCTACTGTAGTCCCAGCTACTCAGGAGGCTGAGGCAGGAGAATTGCTTGAACCCAGGAGGCGGAGGTTGCAGTGAGCCGAGATCACACCATTGTACTCCAGCCTGGGCGACAGAGCAAGACTCCGTTTCAAAAAAGATAAAATAATAATAATAGTTTTATACAACTTCAAATGCACTTGGGGGCACACATGTTTTAGAGAATTCGATTTTGATATTGTTTTGGATCAAACTGTTTGAAATCTTTTTGCAAATATTTGGATTGTGAGTTCAGCTAGTAGAACCATCATATAAGTAAAAACAAAACACAAAACTGGTGTTCTGTGAACTGTTTCCTCCGGGGTAGGTGGTTCTTTTCCACTACTTTCTTTCACGTTCATTGTTTTGTTTTCTGCATATCTGGGCTCCTCCAGTGCCTGCTGACAAGAACGAAGGCCCGGGCGATTATTCTCAATAGATTGGCTTTCTTCTGCTGTTGCTGCTGTTGTGTGTACATAGATTTTGTCCCCCCGTGGCCTACCTCTGACTGGTGTGCACATCGCGGGTAGGGCCTACTGCCTGGTAGACCTTGCTGTGGAGCATTGGGCAGGGGTTTTCTTCAATACCTGTGAGATCTGTGCTCCTAGACGCCATCACCTGCACCTGCAGCCCCGGCTCTCCCCACCCAGTCATGTCTCCTTAGGGCGAAGCTCCTGGCCTCTGTTGTACAGAAAGCCCTGGCCTGTCCTGCATGTGGGTGAGAGAAGCCAAGCCTGGGGATCCCAGAGGAATCGACAGGCTTATTCTTCTCCATACCTCCAACAGGCTCTCACTGTATGTTTGTTGAAATTGCCCCATCCTCAGTCCACTAAGAAATAAAAGAGCATCCATGTTCATGGATTGAGATTCCCACAGATCGTTGCAAATGTAATGTCATCATTTGCTTGATCCCCTGATAGTACTGATAATTACACAAGGTCATTTCCAGACAGTGGCTACTGTTTCCATTGTGGAGGGGTTTTCAAAGTCTTCCGTACATAAGAACAATTGTAAAGCAGTTTCTGAAATAGAAATCTATTGCAAATAACTTCTTTTAGCTGGACTTTAACCCTTGGGCATTTCATTCTTTTATTTAAACAGATGATGCTGGAGGGTCTTGAAATCTTTACAGTAAAACCTGCAACTTGAAAACTAGCCTTCTGTAACCACAGTGCCCAAACGAAGAGGAATGTATGGAGAACTCCACGTGGATCTCTGATTGCGAAACCGTCACATACACCAAGAGAGCCACATGGGCATGTGGCCCTCAAGGCTGGGTGAGAGGGCTCCCCTGTGTGTTGAACTATGCAGGAGGGTGACGCGGACACATTTCAGGTGGACTTTGCAAGGACTGATGGATAGCTACCTCAGGGACCAGAATCCGTGGGAAGGGATGGACCTGGTGTTCCCGTTCCCATCTGACAGGCTCTCTTTTGTCAAGGTGGTATTTTTCGTAATAAAAGGGGAAGAGTAAAGACTGTCCAAGCAACAGTAGCTGCCAAAGAGAAAATACGAAATAGACACTTTTTTTTTTTGAGTCAGAGTCTCACTCTGTCACCCAGGACAGAGTGCAGTGGTACGATCTCAAGCTCACTGCAGCCACCACCGCCTGGGCTCAAGTGATTCTCCTGCCTCAGCCTCCCGAGTAGCTGGGATTACAGGCGTCCACCACCATGCCCAGCTAATTTTTTTATTTTTAGTAGAGTTGGAGTTTCACCATGTTGGCCAGGATGGTCTCGAACTCTTGACCTCAGGTGATCCACCCGCCTTGGCCTCCCAAAGTGCTAGGATTACAGGCATGAGCCACTGCGCCCAGCAAAATAAACACATTTTATAATTTGTATGTGGAAACATGTTACTATAGAAAGCATTTTAAAGGTACGTTTTAAAGGTCCACTGTTAAATAGTAAAGAATGAATCCGCTAGCGAAAATGTTTTTAGGGAGAACAGCTGGATCAAAAGGGCTTCTTTGGAATTAGGTTGTTTTAGTAACTTCTGTTCCAAAGAAACACAGGTCTGATATTGCTAAGAACTGAAATCGGAGGAGCCAGAGGCCCTTTTCAGTCCAGGCCAACATTGTGCACGGCCACTGTGGGACTGACAACCGGGATAGCTCAAGTTCGAGAGACCAGGTTTCAAACATTATAAGTTCCAGGCTTTGCAAGTCTTTATTCTCTGGGGTAATATCCAGTCTTTCTGTTATTGTCTCTTAAAATTCTCTTCCATGGCCCACATTAAGGGAGTTTGCAGAGAGTGAGGGAGGCAAAACTTGAAAAGGGCCTGCAACACTTTAAACCTTCTCAGGTTCACCCACATGAAACGGCTGTGCTGAGTGTGCTGCCGGTGCCCGGGGAGCTTCTCTGACTGTGACCCGGCAGAGGCTTCTGTGGCGGTGCATGAGCGGCCCTACAGTGGAGGGTTCTCTTTGGAAACAAACAGCCCTGCTTGGTTTCAGTTTGAGGCCACTTATCTTCAATGTGACATTTCTTGCCAAGCCCTGTGACACTCCCCATTGATGACTCCCATAGGTACAGATAAAGTTAAGAACAGGAAACAGAAGGGTAGGATGCATAGGGAGGGAGAGAAGCCCTGAAAACTTTTTTTTTCTTTTTGAAGCATGGAAAACAAATCTTTTATGCCACTCCAGCCATAAATAAAATTTTAACTTCAACCCTGTGTGCTCAGTGTTTCTTTAGTTATGCCAAGGCTTGCTAGAATGTTATTTAGTGAGAATTTTTAGCTTGAGTTGCCACCCAACTGTGAAATCAACTAAATGATTACTTGAATGTATTTAAATGTTTTAAAAAGCAAACATTATAAATTTTTCTTTAATGTCATTTAGTAAGTGCAGTCAGGGAATATCTGAATCTAAGAGCTGGCCAGACACAGGGTATAGCAGAATTACAAGCATAGAGGATGCTATGCAGTAGGATGTAAAGCTCATTACAGCCCATTTTTAAGAAAAGCTTTGTGTGCTCTGCTGGAGGACACAGCCATGTTGCTGCACCACATGGATGTATCTAGTCAGTTCTGTTGTATGCTCGTTGTAGAATGTAAAGTTTATTCCAATCCGATTGATAGATTAAAGGCAATTCCAGCATAGTGCACTTGCTTGTGTATAGTTTAGTCCGTGAGAAACATCACATCAGGAGGTAACAAAGTTGGCCCTGCTGTTTACTGCCTCAAGCTAGAGTAGCTATTACATTTTAAAATGGTTATATTTTAAGACAGGGCAGGTAGCTCAAACCTGTAATCCCAGCACTTTGGGAGGCTGAGGGGGGCGGATCACTTGAGGCCAGGAGTTTGAGACCAGCCTGGCCAACATGGTGAAACCCTGTCTCTACTAAAAATACAAAAATTAGCCTGGCGTGGTGGCGTGTGCCTGTAATCCCAGCTACTTGGGAGACTGAGGCAGGAGAATCACTTGAACCAAGGAGGCAGAGGTTGCAGTGAACCAAGATTGCACCACTGCACTCCAGCCTGGGCGACAGAGGGAATTCCATCTAAAAAAAAATAAAAATAAAATGGTTACATTTTAAATAGTTATACAAGTACCTGCTAAGAACCTCCTTACTATCTCAACAAAGCCTGAATATGTGCTGTGGCCCTTAAATTAGGTTACTGGGCATGCTCTGTTATATCAGAAATGACTGAACTTGGTGGGATCACTGACAGTCTATAAGTCAAAGTTATGAAAGAGAACAGCCAAGCGCGGTGGCTCACGCCTGTAATCCCAGCACTTTGAGAGGCTGAGACGGGTGGATCACTTAAGGCCAGGAGTTCGAGACCAGCCTGGCCAATGTAGTGAAACCCTGTCTCTACTAAAAATACAAAAATCAGCGGGGCACGGTGGCAGATGCCTATAGTCCCAGATACCTGGGAGGCTGAGGCAGGAGAATCGCTTGAACCCAGGAGGTGGAGGTTGCAGTGAGCAGAGATCGCGCCACCGCACTGCAGCCTGGGCAACAGAACGAGACTACGTGTCAAAAAAAGAAAAAGGAGGACAAATAGAGTGGCTTCTGCTGTCTGCAGTTCATAGAGGTCAGCTATCTCACCGTACCGGAAGTCCCTTCCAGGAAGGAACCAAATCTTTTTGAGATTTAATTTCTTCCTCACAGAGTGCATTCTGTTATTACATGAAACAGTGTTGTTAAAATGGATACATTTACTCAGGAGGCTACTCCTTGGTTAGCACTTGGGCCCAAAGCAGTCTGAAGTGGAAGCCCACCTCAGAATTTTCTTGTCCCTTTTTTTTTTTTTTTTTTTTTTTTTGTTGAGACAGTCTTTGTCACCCAGGCTGGAGCACAGTGGCGCAATTTCAGCTCACTGCAACCTCCACCTCCTGGGTTCAAGCGATTCTCCTGCCTCAGCCTCCTGAGTAGTTGGGATTACAGGTGCACCCCATCACACCTGGCTAATTTTTATATTTTTAGTAGAGACAGGGTTTCACCACATTGGCCAGGCTGGTCTCGAACTCCTGAGCTCAAGTGATCCACCCGCCTCAGCCTCCCGAAGTGCTGGGATTACCAGCGTGTGAGCTGCCGCTCCAGGCCTGTCTTGTTCCATTTTGAAGTGGAAATGAAGTGGTGAAAGTGCAGCTTTCTGCACATAATAACGTTTGTAAGTGGAGAAGTCAGTTGTCACTTGAGAAACTCTGTATTCTTCAATATTTCCGTAACAGAGATTCTATTTATAAAAATTCAGATTGCATTGAAACAGACATAATTCAATTTCACCATTAAAATATTTTTGGCTTCTAAAATTCTACATTGGAGACATTTGAAATTAGAACATTTTTTATTGATATTTTCAATACTAACATAGTTTCTCTGAAACAATTTCCCAAAAGCCAGGTTCAACAGTTTATTAACAATCTTATAACTAGTATGTTTAAAAACCAAGAGAAGTTCCCTTCAAGATTACTTGGGTGCAAGGCAAGATCAGAGTGAAGATGAAGCTGAATTCAAAATTTTTCCAACCAAACTAGCTTATTTCAAAATAGAAGTTAGAATTATAGTACAAAATTGTACCTTTTGTTTGTTTTTTAAAAACTCATTTGACACCAGCTCTCACTGAAAACTTTCCCTACTAGAATGAGGTCTGAACACTCAACTAAAGTGAGCCACAGCCTCTTTGGCTAGAACGACTAAGGTTTCTCTTAAAGGGTGCACCAGGCTGGTCCTGCTTGCTCCAGAAGTCTCCTGTGGAGGAGCTGTGTGAGTATTAGAGTGGGAACTGAACAGTGATCAGGTGACTGCTGCAGGACTGCCCCTAGCGGGACTCTCCGTGTCTCTTGCTGCTTTCTTGGCCTTCAGTGTCTGGATACTGAGAAAGATCTAGGGTCAAAACTCGGCTGAACATGCAGTCATCGTACTAAAATGGAGAGAAGACAGTTAAAAGTTCCCCTAATTAGGGAAAAAGTATTATTAAAGTAAGAGCCATTAGTGAGTCTAGAATTGCATTCAAAAGGAATCTTCTTCAACCTAGTAAGATATCTGCATTTATATTGGTTGTGGGTTTTTTTGGTATTATCTGGTATGAGAATTTCCATTACTCATGCATTATATTTCCAGGTGGTCCCCTAACATTCTGTAGGCACAGGAAGGTAAATTTTTATCTTTGCTTAAAGGAAAATTCAGGAAGTAAATCCTAACTGTCCAAAACCAAATGACCTGAACTAGTGGCTCTACTTCATGAGTTCAGGTTAGTATTTTCAATGGCTTGAGAAAGGTGTGTTCACATTTTAGAAGTTACTATACAACTTGGAACTTCTAATGTATTTCTTTGTTTTGTCCTCTGATACTTTTGGAGGATAAATGGTTCCTTGCTCTACCACAGTGCATTTGTTTTTGCTTAAAACACTGAAACACTGCAGAAATAAGAAGTATAATGTTAACAGTTCGTGTAAATTAACATGGACTTATTTCACGAAACAAAACTATCCTACTTACTGTTCTGCAATTTTCCATTTGCTTTTTTCACTTAAAATATATCTTCAATCTCTATGTATTGTCTAGGAAAGCACCAGTAGTTATTTTTAATCTTATTTGATTAAAAAGTCATTTCAGCATTAGACTCCATTTGGAAGTTTTAATTAGGAAAGCCCAGTGGCTGTCAGGGTACTAAGGGAAGTTGGCATTGGGTACACTCCTCTCGCCTCTGATTTGTCTTTACCTCAGGATAGATGCCGATCAGCGCGTCGGCTCTGGAATAGAACTCTTCTTTTAGGGAGATGACTATCATCTGAAACTGGTCTTGAGTTTGCTCTTTGATGTAACTTGACACCTGGAAGAAATAAAAACACACATTTCACTAGGAAGGAAAGGCCTTGTCTGGGCTCTGGAGACAGTAATTCTGCATGTCTCTGAGTCTGGTCAGTTTAGGTGACAAGGACTTATCCACCTTTCCAATAATTCAATAAATCCTCAACAACTGCAGAAATGGAAATAGATTCTAAAATGAGATAAACTTCATTAAACCTATGATCTAAAACTTTAAGAATATTTTAAAGAATAAAGCTCCAACTTAAGATACTGTGATGTGAATAGGTAACCAGCCTTTATAACAAGAAAAAAACTACCACTCAGAGTATTTTTTGAGGGTGAAAAAGGGCTGGTATTTAAACGTATAACCTCCAGGCTGGGCGCAGTGGCTCACACCTGTAACCCCAGCACTTTGGGAGGCTGAGGCAGGCGGATCACCAGAGGTCAGGAGTTCAAAACCAGCCTGGCCAACATGGTGAACCCCGTCTCTACTAAAATTACAAAAAAATTAGGCAGGCATGGTGGCAGGTGCCTATAATCCCAGCTACTCGGGAGGCTGAGGCAGGAAAATCGCTTGAACCCGGGAGGTAGAGGTTGCAGTGAGCCGAGATTGTGCCACTGCACTCCAGGCTGGGCGACAGAGTGAAAGACTCCATCTAACAACAAGAAGAGCAAAAATCCAAAATAATTTCCACCTTCCTATTTTGCCAACTCAGCCTGAAAGGAAAAACAGGGCAATTATATATGTATTCGTAATCCATAATCAAGTCATTTGGTTAGAGGTGAACTCTGGTTCCCTAAGGAAGCTCAATTCCAAGGAAATGAGAAGTGCAAAATGGACTCAATAGAGATGAGTCTTGGTGAACAAACCACTCAGAACTTGGACGGTGATAAACCCCAAGAAGAGAAAAACTACCAACAGTCTAACAAAGGTAATACCAACTCCTGGATTTCTCTGAGGGCCTAGAATGGGTCTTCTCCATGTGCACCAAAGATCCTGTGGACACAAGCTCTGGAAGTAGGAATGGTAGCTTCCATTGAGGAATGAGTGGCCATGTTTTACGTGAGAAAGGAAAGAAACTGCTCTAAGAGGCTGAATTCATAGAAGGAACTTCCAGCATTAGAGGCAATGGTAGTAGCCACTATGACAGGGCTGAAAAAAGGTCTTGGGCCCATAATAGGAAAAGAAGGGGAGATAGGATGCGAAGATGCAGGGCATGCGTTTTTCCTGGAGAGTTACCTGTTGGGCACCCTGATCACAAGAGGGAGTGGAGGGTGCTTCATAGTTCTTCATACTACATAACTGCTCATACTCAATTCAGCAACGGAGTATCAGAAAAATACATCTCAAAAGGGATAATGCAATTAAGAGCTTTTAATACATAGGATGGGTACTAGTAGGAGTCTGAAGTAAGACCTAGTACCTGGAGATGCCACCAATGCAAACATCTAATTTTTCCTCAAACAAATACCTTCAATACAGCCAAGAAAAAGACAGCCACCAAGATTTCCCCTCACAGAATGTGGGATATAAAGTGCCAAAATTCTCCTCCTAAGGGGAGATTTCTCCCAGATGAGTCTGCCATGGAGTCCAGTCATTTGATGCATGCTGGCTGGCATTCAGGAGACAACTCAAGATGCTCTTCTTTCCTGTTTCCTTCCCAGCTACCATGTCCTGTTTCCTCCCCAGCTACCATGTCCTGTTTCCTTTCCCAGCTGCCATGAAGCTTCTGGCAGAGACTTTTTGGGGGTATGGAGTTGATGTGATACTCTTGTGTATCCCTGGGCCATGTTAAAAATGCAGGGCCTTCAAGAGATTTTCTCAGATGAATACAATTTGAGAAATGCTCAAAGACTACATTCATGCCATCAGAAGGTACCTCAGGTTGCAGCTACCCAGGCAATTCACATGAGACTCAACAGAGTAAGCAATCAAGGAGGTCAGCTTCAGAGGTGCAGAACCTACTGGGTGGTACCCCGAGACTGAAAACATCTCTCAGCCACGGGCTCCTTAACATCACTCACAAGACTAGGTTATAAACCAGAATGCCAATTTATTTCTTTTTTTCTTTTTAAATTTATTTATAATAGAGACAAGGTCTCACTATGTTGCTCAGGCTGGTCTCGAAGTCCTGAGCTCAAGTGATCCTCCCGCCTCAGCTTCTCAAAGTGTTGGAATTACAGGCATGAGCCATCACGCCTGGCCCAGAATGCCAATTTATAAGTAAATGATGAGAAATACATCTCTCAACATGACCAGAGCAGCCACCCTGTAAGCAGCCGTTAATGCAAAGCCTGGTCATTTCTAGAAGATGGATGGGCCTGGAATCAGAACCAGGAGAACCTAATTCACCCATCTCCAAGAATGAATGGCCCCAGTAGCAGAACCATGGTACTGGGAACTCTGCAGGCCGGTGCTGCCCTTCCCCTGGGCAGTGTCGGGCACTGCCAGGATTTGCCTCCATCCTTTGTTCATGTTCCATAGCAGACCCCACTCTCATGTCCAAAATTCAATCTAGTCACTGTCAATTTGTTTGGGCTGAGAGCCCAGCTCTTTTAGGTGGGCTCTGAGTATCTACCCACTGATCCTTGAGTACTGACTAAAATTCAACTCCTAAGTGTGAAACTGTTCCTTAGTTCTCTCATTCTCTCAAAGACTGAAAACAGGATCATGCTCAAGTACAGTAAATTATTGGATACATTTTGATAGAACTGGGAAGTAGGGCTGGTGTGGTGGCTGACGCCTGTAATCCCAGCACTTTGGGAGGTTGAAGCGGGTAGATCTCTTGAGCCCAAGAGTTTGAGACCAGCCTTGGTAACATGGTGAAACCCCATCTCTACCAAAAACACAAAAATTAGCCAGTCTCATAACCTGGTCTCAAATAAATAAATAGATATAAAAACTGGGAAGGTAGGATTTTAAACTTTAATTCTTTTGGAATTTAGAGATGGTACTCTTGGGGCCTGTTATTAGGGGTTCTCTAATTCCCAATATCTAGATTTGGTGAGAAACCTGTTATGCCAGCAGTAACATTGTTGATCAAGTACAGTGATCCTCATTTGACCCCCATGTTGATTTCTCATCAACTCTGGAAGGTCCTCTAAGCCTTGAATGAAGACTACCCTGAATCAACTTGTTTTAGATATTTAGCTTAGATTTCAAAAGGACTGTTTTTTTTGTTTTGTTTTGTTTTTTCCTGGAGTGCAGTGGCACGGTCTCGGCTCACTGCAATCTCTGTCTCTCAGGCTCAGGTGATCCTCCCACCTCAGCCTCTTGAGTAGCTGGGACCACAGATGTGTGCCACCATGCTCAGATAATTATTTTTTTAAATTTTTTGTAGGGACAAGGTCTCCTTATGTTGCCCAGGCTGGTCTCAAACTCTTGGACTCAAGCAATCCACCCGCCTCAGCCTCCCGAAGTGCTGAGATTACAGGCATGAGCCACCAAGCCCAGCCTACAAGGACTGATTTTTTTTTTTTTTTTTTTTTGAGACAGAGTCTCTGTCGCTCAGGCTGGAGTGCAGTGGCACAAACTCAGCTCACTGCAAACTCCACCTCCTGGGTTCAGCCGATTGTCATGCCTCAGCCTCCCAAGTAGCTGGGATTACAGGCACCCACCACCACGCCTAGCTAATTTTTGTATTTTTAGTAGAGACCAGGTTTCACCATGTTGACCAGGCTGGTCTCGAACTCCTGACCTCAAGTAATCCACCTGCCTCAGCCTCCCAAAGTGCTGGGATTACAGGCGTGAGCCACGGGTGCCTGGCCAAGGACTGAATTTTTTGTTTTGTTTTGTTTTGTTTTTTTGAGACAGAGTCTCACTCTGTCGCTTAGGCTGGAGTGCAGTGGTGCAATCTCGGCTCACTGCAACCTTCACCTCCCGGGTTCAAGTGATTCTCCTGCCTCAGCTCCTGAGTAGCTGGGATTACAGGCGCACACCACCACACCTGGCTAATTTTTGTATTTTTAGTAGAGACGGAGATTCACCATGTTGGTCAGGCTGGTCTTAAACTCCTGACCTTGTGATCTGCCTGCCTCGGCCTCCCATAGTGCTGGGATTACAGGCGTGAGCCACCGTGCCTAGACCAAGGACTGATTTTTAATGAGCATTTTCCATTGCTTGCCTCACATGATCCTTGAATTGTAGACAGTCTATTGAAAATGAAAAGCAGAAACTTACTTTGCCTATGTTAGTATTGTCTAGGGCTGCATCCACTTCATCTAAAACAAAGAATGGGGCAGGACGAAAACTAGAAAAAAATTACAATCAAGTAAGTTACAATTTTCTATTTGTTTTACAAAAGACTTGGAGGAAAAGATTAACAGTATTCAGAATAAATAAAACACATTCTTTTGGATATTTCTAAGTAATCGGTGACCTCTATGTTACTAAATCCAGTGCTCAGTTATCAGTCCACATGTATGTGACCTATGCAAGGAGTATTTGGGATTGGTCACTCCCTCCTTGAAATACTGCTTTGTGACTTGTAAGGGGACACAGTCTACTTCCCCTCAGCCCCTGCTTTTTCTGAGTCTGCTGAGAACTCTTCATCTCTCCAACTTTGGATGGCTGCAGTGCCCTCAGGGCTCTGTGCTTATCTAATCAACTCCCTTGGTGATTAAATCTGGCCTCAGGGTTTTAAATACCACCCAAATACTGATGGCTCCCGCCCTCTTACCAATAATTCTAACCTGTCTCCTGAGTTCTTTTTTTTTTTTTTTAATTTTTTTTAAATTTTTTTATTTTTTGAGATGGAGTCCCGCTCTGTCACCAGGCTGGAGTGCAGTGGCACAATCCCGGCTCACTGCAACCTCTGCCTCCCGGGTTCAAGTGATTCTCCTGCCTCAGCCTCCCGAGTAGCTGGGATTACAGGCGTGCGCCACTATGCCCAGCTAATTTTTGTACTTTTAATAGAGATGGGGTTTCATCATGTTGGCCAGGATGGTCTTGATCTCCTGACCTTGTGATCTGCCTGCCTCAGCCTCCCAAAGTGCTGGGATTACAGGCGTGAGCCACCGCGCCCGGCCCTGTCTCCTGAGTTCTAACCTCAAATGTCCAACTACTTTCTCTACAATTCCATGTGGGTGACTAATACATATCTCAAACTCATCTCAAAGCAAACTTCTCCCCTGCCCTCCAAACATGTTCCCTCCTGTGGTCTTCTCCATCTCAGTTAATGGCAGCTCTTATTACTCTAGTTGATTAGGTCAAAACCCACAGAGCCATCCCCTTCACATCACTTCCTTCACACCCGTACCTGTCAGCAAATTCCGTCTGCACAACCATATCCTCTCACCTTGGCCCAGTCACCATCGCCGTCTTTCACCTTGATTGTGACCAGTCTCCTAGCCCTGTGCCTGCCACTGCTGCATACAGTCTATTCTCCATCCATGCTGTGCTCACTCTGGCCTCGGGGCCTTTTGCACTTGCTGTTGCTGATGTCTAAGAATATTCTTCCCTTAGCTGTCCACATGACCTGCTCCATTTATTCCTTCAAATCTTTGCTCAAATGTTACCTTCTCAAATAGACCTTCCCAGATGACTCTTTAATATTGCTAACCACTTCCCTGCCACTCACCATCTCCATTCCCTGCTTTTTTTCTCTATAGAACTTGTTACTTTCTAATATTCTCTATATTGGATAATTAGTTTACTAATTTACCTTATTTATTATCTGCCTTCCCCAACTAAAATTAAGTATCTTCGAGGCAGGCATTTTGTTTTGTTCACAGCTGTCTCCCCAGTGCCTGCAACAGCACCTGATACACAGTAACTAGTAAATATCTGTTGACTAAATGGATGTGGGTGCCACCTGTCTGATTTTGCTCAGATGACTTGTTCAAAGCAGGCCTCCAGCTTTTATGGTTTTCTCTTTTCTTTTCCTGTGGCGGCCTATTCCTTTTCCTTCTAGAGACCAGTAAAAAGTTTTCAAACTCTTGTATGTTTTTGTTCCTGGTCATGGAAATAGAGAAGCAGCAGTATCTATATTTTACTAATTGTATTATGCATATATTTTTTGAGACAGAGTTTTGTTCTTTCACCTAGGCTAGCGTGCAGTGGTGTCATCACGGTTTATTGCAGCCTCGAACTCCTGGGCTCCAGCAATCCTCCCACCTCAGCCTCTGGGTAGCTGGGCCTACAGACATGTGTCACCACATCTGGCTAACTTTTTTCTATTTTCTGTAGACACGGGGTCTCACTATGTTGCCCAGGTTCAGCATCTGTACTTTAGATCTTCATCTAATGTTCTGAATGTTGAAAGAGGTTAATTGCCTTAATTGTAGATAACTTTTTGTTTCTTGATTTGTTTTACAAAGAAACAGTTCCACCACCATCAGTGGAAATAAGGAGATTAAATACTTTTATAGAAGAAATACTTCAACATTCTTTACTAAGTAGCAGATCTTGACTATTGACTAAGAAAATAATACACAAATTGGGATTTTTGTCAATCCTGATGTTACCTCTGGCTATTCCAAGTATTTTTTCTTTTCTAAAATGGAATAGTAGTAGCTATTGATAATAACAGAAATTGAATAAAAATCTGTCACTAACTAGCTGGGCATGGTAGCACATGCCTGTGGTCCTGCCTACTCAGGTGACTCAGGCAGAAGGATCACTTGACCTGGGAGTTTGAGCCTAGCCTAAGCAACATAGTGAGACTCTGTCTCCAAAAAAAAAAAAAAACCCCACTAAAAATCTAAGAATTCTGTCTTCGATTTGCTGTGTAAAGTCTAAATTGTTGTAGGCCTAAAACATAATCTGAATTGTCTGGCTGAAGAAGATAGTTTTGTATCTCATTTGCTAAATATTAATAAAGACAATAGTTAATATATCTTCTGTAGGAAGGTCCCCTTGGCTTCTGCCCTGATATGAAAACTGAATAGCTTTTGTGACCTTACCTGTGCACAGCAAACAGGAGAGCCAAGGCTGCCACACACTTTTCTCCCCCTGACAAATTGTCCATTGGCATAAACCGTTTGCCTGGGGCCACACAGTTATAGCTAATTCCCTCCAAGTAAGGTTCTTCAGGGTTCTCTGGGCTAAGAAATGCCTGAAACGCATGTTATTTATTTAGCAATATCAGAAAAGCAACTGATAAAGTTCAACTTGGAGTTTAACTGCAAAATATTCTATTGGTTAGCTTTTCTTCAATTTTGATGGAAAACTACCAATGCCTATAAATAATGTATTTAGTTCTACATGTAATCACAGACAACAGGGTTGTCTGGGTAGGCGGTAGAGGGAAAACACTCTCCTAACATACCCAGGGATCAGCCCTTTCCACCAGACTGCCAGTCAAACCTCAGAGGCACATGCCACAGTCTTACAAAACAGTCTTCATGCAGTTCACTCACTGATACGTTCATCAAACATGTACTGAATACCTATTATGGGCCAGGTACTGTAGATAAACAGAGATGAATCTTGTTTTCAAAGAATTAGGCATGGTGACTCATGCCTGTAATCCCAGCACGTTGGGAGGCCGAGGCAGGCAGATCACTTGAGGTCAGGAGTTTGAGACCAGTCTGGCCAACATGGTGAAACCCTGTCTCTACAAAAAATACAAAAATTAGCCAGGCTTGTTGGTATGCGCCTGTAATCCCAGCTACTTGGGAAGCTGAGACACTTGAACCCGGGAGGTGGAGGTTTCAGTGAGCCGAGATCGCACCACTGCATTCCAGCCTGGGCAACAGAGGGAAACTCTGTCTCAAAAAAAAAAAAAAAAGAAAGAAAGAAAGAAAAAAAAAAAGGGTTAATGGGTTTTAGTCTTACTTTACTGAAAGTAAGTTATTTTCAGTTCAAGTTCTAAATATCTGATCCAGGATCACCTTTTAGTCATAAAAGAAAATGAGAAAACAAAAGCAGAGCAGGTACATAAGTCCCGACCTACATCTTCATTTCACATTCAATTCCACAAGTATTTGCTATGGATACTGATAATGGAATGGGAGTGGTTATCATTAAAAGGGTCATATCTGAATTTGAACCCTGCCTTTAGTTATTTTCCTCTCTTTTGTTACTCTGGTCAACTCCACAGATGAACCATCTTCCCAGGATCCTCTATTATTCCACATTTACCACAGAAACCAACAGTTCTATAAAATCAAATTAATACCAGACTACAGAATTTTGGAACTAAAAGAGAATTTGGAAACAAAATGATTTAGTCCATTTATTTTTCAGATGAAGAAACAGACCCAGAGAGGTTTTGACTTGTCCACACTGAACAGTGTGGAGTGAATGGGATCTACAACGCAGGTCATTAGATAACCACTCTTCATGAACTGACTTTGCCCCATGAGTGAGTTGCTCAAATAATGTGGCAGTGGTTATTTCCCACCAAAAAAAAAAAAAAAAAAAAAAAAAAACAACCACCACCGGTAACACAGAATTCTCACTAGTATTTGAGGATGAAAGATACATACTTGGGCGCTGTTGTTTCTGCAGAGCTTCTTGTAGATTTGATCAATTGAGATTGAGACATGCTCAAAACACTGGGTGAAAAGATCGTATCTCCTTTTTTTCACTTGCTCGAACTCTTGCCTACACAGTCTGGCTTCCTTTCTGCTGGCCTCAAAAGCTAAGAGAGAATCAATGTTCTTTATTTTAGAGACCACTGAGGAGGTTCTTTTACTTAAACTGTAAAGCATAAAATATTTTTAAAATTGGATTTGAGTTTGGATCTCTTGAGTAAAGGTACCTTCAAAATACCTAAACTATTATTAATTCCAAGAAAATAGCTCTTAGAATTCATGAGCCTCTTTTCTAGTAGGGCTAATTGTTAAATAATATTGACAAGTTCTGATAGGGTATGTATGTATGTATGTATGTAAGTATGTATGTATGTATGTATTTAGAGACGGAGTCTTGCTCTGTTGCTCAGGCTGGAGCTCAGTGGCGTGATCTCGGCTCACTGCAACCTCCACCTCCCAGGTTCAAGCAATTCTCCTGCCTCAGCCTCCCGAGTAGCTGGGACTACAGGTGTGTGCCACCACACCCAACTAATTTTTGTATTTTTAGTAGACATGGGGTTTTACCATGTTGACCAGGCTGGTCTTGAACTCCTGACCTCAGATGATCCGCCCACCTCAGCCTCCCAAAGTGCTGGGATTACAGGCGTGAGCTACTGCGCCCAGCCTGATAAGAGTATTTATTATGTCAATTTTTTTGGTATTAAAAAAATACATGTGTTTTAAAATCACCAATAAACCTGGTTTTAAATTAAAGCAAAACATTTCAAAAAGGAAACAATTAATGATTCAGTATTAAAAGCACACATTAATATAAGACCACAGAGGAAAAAATCTATAACAAAAAGGGACAACAGAGGGGAGATTGTTGGCAAATGTTATAGCAATCAAAACACCCATGAATATAATCTTGTTAGTGACTACACTCAATTTTACCATCTGTGGACTCTTGAAACTTGTCTCTGACAGTCTTTAAGTTCTCCAGTGCTCGTAGGTTTGGGGCTGCTGTTTTCAGTAAGATATCTTCCTGGGATGCTACTTGCTGCAATAAGAGCCTAAGGTGGGCCTCGATTTCTTGATCAGACTGTAGAGCCTATTATGGGCAAAGAACAACACTGACTGGCATGGCATGTCTTTTACATCCAGCAAGGTAGGGTGCGTGTGTGGGGCACTTCACCATCCCAGGTCCCTGTGCATCCACTCCTTCTCTCCCCAAAGCCCTCTCTGAGCCTGGAGGTGCAGTCCTGCTGCAATATTTGTAGCTTCCTGAGTCGGCAGTGCTCTTTTCTTTGAACACATTTCAGCTCATTTTTTAATCTGGGTAAAGAGCAACAATTTATACTTCACCTTCATTTATTTAAAAATATTCATAATCTACTATGTATTACACTGAGGATTCAATGATGGAAGCTATTCAGTCTTTGCCTTTAAAGACTTACAGGGAAGTCAGACATATAAACTGGATTAAAAATTTTTTGTAAGAGACAGGTCTCACTCTGTTGCTCAGGCTGGTCTTGAGCTCCTGACCTTAAGCAATCCTCCCACTTCAGCCTCCCGAGTAGCTGGGATTTAAACCAGCTTTTACAGCGAAGTGAAAAGACTTCTAATAGGGCAAGCATAGGTACTACGGGGCAGGGAGAGGGGATCCAATCCAGCTAGACAGGTTAACACTTAAACCTGACACAAGTGATGAATAGAAGAGAAAAAGTGCCACGCCCTTCCAGAAGCTTTTTTTGCCACAAATACAATCAGAGTACAAAAAGTAGGCCGTGTGTGGTGGCTCATGCCTGTAATCCCAGCACTTTGGGAGGCCAAAGCATGTGGATCACCTGAGGTCAAGAGTTCAAGACCAGCCTGACCAACATGGTGAAACCCCATCTCTACTAAAAATACAAAAATTAGCCAGGCATGGTGGCGGATGCCTGTAGTCCCAGCTACTTGGGAGGCTGAGGCAGGACAATCGCTTGAACCCGAGAGGTGGAGGTTGCAGTGAGCCGAGATTGCACCACTGCACTCCAGCCTAGGTGACAGAGCAAGACTCCGTCTCAAAAACAAAACAAAAAAAAGTCTAACAAAATATATTAACAGCATATAAACTGAAAAGATGTGGTGGATATTGCTACTCAGCATCTGTTCTCCATTTTTTTTTTGTAATGCAGCACATGCTTTTGACCAGGTAGATCCACTTCTCCATCCTGGACCACATGTACTTAGACTTAGAGGCAGGGCCTGCTTGGTCTAAGGTAAAGTCCACCATCCTCCTCCCTCTACAGTGATTGGTTCAGCAATGAATATGTGACCCCATTCAGGCAACTGTGATGAGGGGACAATTGCTGGGGCTTTGTAGGTAAAACCTTTCTTCAATTTTAGAACAGCATGTAAACCAAAGAGTATCTGAGACAGGTCTCAATCAATTTAGTTTATTTTACCAAGGTTAAGGACTTGCCCCAGAGAGAAGTCTGTGCCTTTCTCCAAAGATGATTTTGAGGGCTTTGATATTTAAAGGGGAAAAGCAGGCAGGAGCAAGAGGAAGTATATGGTCACATCACTGAATCCATATATCGCAAGAGAAAAGGAGTAGGCAGGAAACAGTCAATTATGGATTCATCTCATGCTCAGTAAATCAGCACTTTACCATAAGATGAGAAACCATAAATATCTCCCCACGGAGTTGCTACCTGGGGAAATACTTAATTTTTCTTTTCTTTTTTTTTTTTTTTTTTTTGAGACAGAGTCTTTCTCTGTCACCCTGGCTGGAGTGCAGTGGCACAATCTTGGCTCACTGCAACCTCCACATCCCAGGCTCAAGCAATTCTCCTGCCTCAGCCTCCTAAGTAGCTGGGATTACAGGCACGTGCCACTGTGCCCGGCTAATTTTTTGTGTGTTTTTAGTGGAGACAGGGTTTCGTCATGTTGGCCAGGCTGGTCTCGAACTCCTGACCTCAGGTGATCTGCCCATGTCAACCTCCCAAAGTGCTGGGATTACAGGCGTGAGCCACCACGCCCGGCCTGATACTTAATTTTTTATATGTAGCTCTCTGCTTAGGAACAAAAGGAAAGGCAGTTTTTTGCATGACTCAGCTTTCAGCCTAATTTCTTCCTCTTGGTACAATGAATTGGGGTCCAAGTTTTCATTTTCCTTTCACTAGCACCACTACAAAAGACAGCTTCTTTCATCTCTGAAGGTTGTAGCTGTGTGGCTGTAAAGCCAAGAATAGCTGCACTCATGTGGCATTCAGGAGAGAAGCAGCTTCAGAATGAAGCCAACACCCAAAGAAATGTATGGCTACAGGGATGACTGGGAAACAGAGCCAGAGCTGCTCAATTAAAGGCACTAAATAAAGTTAAATTAAAGCTGGATTCCAGGTCTGTGCTCTGCAGCTGTGAAGGGTGTGCCACACCATCACCTACAATCCTGAGAGAGGCCTGTGTCTACTAAGGGTACTGCAGTGGGATGCCAGTGAGCAAATTTGGGATGCTGGAGTAAGTAGTTGGTTACTTTTGTTTATTGAAGGACTTCTCAAAAACTTTAATATCCATTGTGAATCTCTTCTCTTCCCTTCCCAAGAAGGGAAAAGACTTTCTCAAAAAGTAACCACAGAAACTTTTCTTCTTTGGCTAGACATTTCATGACACCAGTGTTCTACACAACACAGTCAGAAATGCTGACATAAACATTTTTTAAAGTAACCAATATATTTACTAGCTATTTTGTGATAACATGATACAATAAATATATATTTGGTTTTCATCCCAGTTCTAGGCACAGCATACCTAAAACCTTTGCAATTTCCTGAGTGGTAGGAGTGAGAGGGGCATCTTTTATTATTCATGATAAGCCCCCGTCAATCATACCTAATGAGCTGACTGTTGGAGGATGGGGACTATTGCAAGAGGAACCAACCAGGTGATTGGAGGGCTGGAACCTTCAGCCCCTCTTCTCTAAGGAGGTGGGGGAGAAAGGCTGAAGATTGAGGCTGGATCACCAATTGCCCATGATTTATCAATCATGTATGTAATGAACCTCCCATAAGAATCCCTAAACAGTGGGTTGTGAAGAGCTTCCAGGTTGGTGACCACACAAGAGATGCTGGGAGGGTGACATGCCCGGAGAAGGTGTGAGAGAGGGCATGGACCCTTTCTCATACCTAGTCCTATGCATTTCATCCATTTGGCTGTTCCATGAGTTGTAGCCTTTAAAAATGAACTGGTTAATGTAAATAAAGTATTCCCCTGAGTTCTATGAGCCATTCTAGCATATTATCAAATCTGTGGAAGGAGTTGTGAAAACTCCTGATTTACAGCCAACTGGCCATGAGTCTGGGAGGCCTGGACTTGTGATTGGTATCTGAAGAGTGGCCAGTCTTGTGGGACTGAGCCATTACTTTGTGGGATCTGATGCTAACTCCAGGTAGACAGTGTCAGAATTGAACTTAATTGTAGAACCCCCATTTGGTATTCAAAGAATTAGAGAATTGCTTGGTGTGGCAGAGACCCACAATTTGTGTCAGAAGTTTCATGATTACAGTGTTTTTCCTTTGTATATTTCTTCCAAAACCATTAGGAAATCTTTTAAAAAAAAACAAACTTAATTCTATCATCCAAAAATGATTCGGTAAGATTTAAATATTCCGTATTACTGTGAGTGATAAACAACAGAAAGCTTTCCATTACCTTCAAATCCTCTTTTAGAGAGCTGTAGTCTATTTCAAAGGCTTCTTCTTTTTCATAGATATCAATTGTTGCCTGGGTACTTTCTGCTTCAGTTCCCATCTGAAAAATATGTGAACACATACATTTGTTGATTAAGTTTGTTGTCTTATATGGGAGTGGTTCATGGCACTCCAAAAACAATTACAATAGTAACATCAAAGATCAGTTATATAGATCACCTTAACAGACATATAATAATAAAAAAGTTTGAAAGATTTCGAGAATTATCAAAATGTGACACAGAGACACAGAAAAGTGAGCATATGCTGTTGGAAAAATGGTACCAACAGACTTTATCAGCATGGGCTTACCACAAACCTTCAATCTGTAAAACAAAAACAAAAACAAAAAAACCCCTGCAATATCTGTGAAGTAGAATAAAACGAGGCATGCATGTATATGGGAGGATGCGCATAGGTCATATACCAAAACTATGCCATTTTAGATAAGAGATTTCAGCATCCTCGGATTTTGATATACATGGGGGATCCTGGATCCATCCCTGTGGATATCAAGGAATGATTGTACTTCCAGCCAATCTAAAGTGTCCTGTATAATCCAAATGTGGTGAAAAAGAAAGAAAAAAGGCCAACAGGGAAATGTTAGTGAGCCTTGGTTTTATCCTGTGATTTCTTTGGTGTCCATTCTTGCCTCCTCCTGTTCCGTCACCACCTGGAGATACTCAGTAGGGCACGTTTCTTCTGAGAAGGACCTCAATACAACTGTTGGAGAAGGTGCAGAGCAAGAACCACCCCCGCACATGATGTAAAATGTTATGAGAGTGCAGGGAACCGCTGCATACTGCCTGTGGCTCATTGTGCAAAAACATTCTTGACTCCAACAACTTTAATTCTCTGATTTCTCTTGGGTATCTAATATGTAGGTAAGAAACATGGGTTCATCCCGTGGCCCTAGTCCTCTGAGATGACAGTCATTTTGCCCTTTTTCCCTCCTATGAGATGTCTTCACCACCCCTAAAGGGGCTACAGAACAAGAGAAAGAATAAGCAAAGGGCAATGCATTAAGTTCCACACAACGGCACATATTTTACAGTCATTTGCTAGAATACCTCCACTTCAATGATGTCATCCAGTGACCCCGACAAAAGGATTATCTCAATGTCTTGCACTTTGCAATCAAGCAGCAAGTTATGCTTCTCTAATCGTTTCTGTTCCAGAGAAGTTTGAATACTTACAACTTCTTTTTGCAATTTCCCCACTTCCCTGTAATTACACAGATATGAAAAAGTAATTTTACTCATTATGTAACACTGCACCAAGGAAGAAAAATGTATGCTATAAACTTTTATGAAAAAAGAATTATTTATTCCTGTGAGTGCTGTAAGTTCTAGAATCCTCTCATTGATGCTTGTAATTTAATTGTTAACACTCCTGAGAAAGGTCACGAATATACTCAGTTAATCTAAGGGAGCATTTTCCACTAATAAATGTTACTGATTTAATCAGGGTTACCAAAAACAGTGCTTTCCTCACTCAAATATAAGCTCTACATTTTAGACCTCAAACCAAGATAAACAGACTCTTAGCAAAAGAAATCCCTTGCCAGTAAGTCACATACACTTAATAATCTGTTTTCCTTGCTACCACCACCACTAATGTAGTAACGCCTTCTATCTGAAAATGAGGGCTTGGGTTTTACTAATCGAAATGATGTGAGATTTTTAAAGGAACCTGGAAAAAGGACCAAAAGAAAATGGAAAAAAAAAGAAAGAAAGAAGAAAGTAAGAACTATGTGTTTTTCAAGAATATGAAGGGAAAAAGAAAGTATTCTGTTTGGGCTGAGTGTGGTGGCTCACGCCTGTAATCCAGCACTTTGGAAGGCCAAGGGAATAGGATCATTTAAGCCCAGAAGTTTGAGACCAGCATAATGAGACCTCATTTCTTAAAAAAAAAAAAATGGAAGAATGTGTTCTATTTACACAAAAAACAAGAGTTTTAAAAAAGCAAGAGTAAACGGACTTTAATTCCACTCCAAAATCTTAGACAAAGAACTTTCTGGCTGTATCTTGAAACACCGAAGGTCTTCGAACAGTGAGAAAAACTGTGAAATGCCAAAAGGCTGAGCAAAAACAGAGAATTAACTTTGTCTAATCACTCATGGTTATGTAAATCATGATGCATGACAGGAAAGCAGGTGTCATTTTGGTACAGGCCAGTCAATTCAAATCGTCATTGCCATCATCATGGCAGACACACAAGCTAATCTTGTGCCAGGTACTTTTTTTTTTTTTTTTGAGACAGAGTTTCACTCTTGTTGCCCAGGCTGGAGTGCAATGGCACTCTAAGTGCGTATGAATATTAACATATGTAATACTTACAACGATTCTGTGAGGTAGGCACTATTACTATCTCCATTACTGATGAGGAAATTAAGGTATCATATGTCAACAGCAGAGCTGGGATATGAAACCAGAAATTGTGGCTCCAAATTCTATCTCCTTACCCTCTGTGCTATCTTGCACAGACTAGAGGGAATCTCTGTACAACAGGAAGACACCAATGTCAAGGTAGAATTAGGGTAAGGGACTCTATACAGGTTCATGTTTTCATCCAACAAAAAGAACTATTTGCTCTAGGCCAGGAGCAGTGGCTCACGCCTATAATCCCAGCACTTTGGGAGGCTGAGTCGAGCAGATCACTTAAGGTTAGGAGTTCGAGACCAACCTGGCCAACATGGTAAAACCCTGTCTCTACTAAAAGAGAAACACACACACACACACACTAGCTGGGCATGGTGGTGTGCTCCTGTAGTCCCAGCTACTTGGGGGAGACTAAGGCAGGAGAATCATTTGAACCCGGGAAGCAAAGGTTGCAGTAAGCTGAGATCATGCCACTGTCCAGCCTGGGCAACAAAGGGAGACTCCGTCTGAAGAAAAAACAAAACACTATTTGCTCTAAACAACTAACCACTTCTCCTGGTTGAGAATGTTTGAAAAAAATTACAATGTTTGAAGGGTGTGATGTGAGACCAAGAGCAACAAAGGGCACATATTCAAATGCAACTCATTTCATACATTTCAGATAGTTGGTGTCCATGTTTAAAACTCTGACTAGGTCTTTCAAACTGATGAAGTCTTAATTACCTATCAACAGCCAGAAACTTCTTCCGTTCCTCTTCAATTTGAGTTTGAACTTTCTCGGCACTGGAGTTCTGAGTGACACGTATGTCCTTAAGTTGCTGCTGCTTTGCCATGAGTTCATTCACTGTCTGCAGACAGTTTTCTTCAGCCTGAACAGAGAGGATCTGCATTGTAGATTTACTATCTTTTATATTAATAAGGTACTTCTATGTTCTTATCAATAACACCAAACCAGTTATCCCGAGATGAACCTTCTCACCCTATGTGCTACCTGACCTTCCATCGTGGACTGTGACTCACGTTCTACACTTTTTAGAAACTGGTGATCATTACCTGCCTTTATCCTTCATTTTGTTTTTGTTTTTTTGTCCTTATTTTGGATTCATTCCTCAGCTCACTGACTTCTGTTCCCATTCTCCAATGAGAGTGTTTCTGCTATCATGATCTCTGTCAATTAAACATTTTCCAGACTTTTACGTTTTTGACAGCCTTGATCATTTCCTCCTTCCTGAAACTCTGGGGCTTCTGTGATACCACCTCTTTTGACTCTCCTCATAAGCTAAGTGACCACCTTCCAGATCCCATCGCTGCTCCACTGCTCTTCACTGCCTACCTCCCTGCTAGGGAGTCTCAACCATTCTCATGTGGTTTCAGTTTACTCCCATAAACCAGCAACTCCCAAATCTGTATCTTCAGCCTAGACTTCTCCCATTATCTACTGTTTAACAGCCTGCTGGAAATTGCCATCTAGACATCACATAGGCAACTCAAGCTCCACAGGTCCAGAATTTTCTCTCCTTAACCTGCTGCTCCCATTCACCAATCACCCCAGTTAGAACTAAGGAGTCATCTGTGACATCCCCTTGCCCTTCCTCCCATGTTGACATCCAGTAATTCATAAAGCTCTGCTGATTTTACTTTAAGTATTTCTTAAATCTGTCCCCAACCCCTTCACTAACAGGACCCTTCAGGAGCGCACAAAAGGTTTACCACATGAAGGAAGTCATAATTTCAATGAAGAGGCACTTCAGCTACCCATTATTAATTACCTTCTTTAGGTGATCAATATCTTCACTACCTTTCTGGATAGTTTCTTTTAATGTGTTGATCTTATTCAGTTTCTTCTTAAGGTGACTGCGACTATACTCAAGTTGAACATTAAGCCGAGTTTTTTGTTTTTCAAATTCTAATCTAGTATAATAAAGTCAAGCATTACAAGTGTAAACAGAAAACTTTGATTCCTTCTTTTTTCTTATGGGAAATTTCAAACAAATATAAAAGTAAAAGGAATACTATAATGAACTCCCAAGTAGCTGTCACCCAACTTAATAATTATCAATTCATGGTCATTCTTGTTTCATTGATAACTCCACTAATTGACCCTCCCACCACTGGCTTATTTGAAGCAAGTTCTAGACATGATGTAATTTCACCTGTAAGTATTTTTGTATGTATCTCTAGAAGTGAAATGACTTTTAACTCATAAAGTATTATGGCTAAAATATAATTCATTAATATCAAATTGCTGTCATTGCCAAATTTCCTTTTTAAAAATTTTCTTTTATTCTGGGCGCAGTGGCTCATGCCTGTAATCCCGGCACTTTGGGAGGCCAAGGTGGCACATCACTTGAGGTCAGGAGTTCGAGACCAGCCTGGCCAACATGGTGAAACCCCACCTGTACTAAAAATACAACAATTATCCAGGCTTGGTGGCGTGTACCTACAGTCCCAGCTACTCAGTAAGCTGAGGTGGTAAGAACTGCTTGAACCTGGGAGGTTGCAGTGAGTTGAGATCACACCACTGCACTCCAGCCTGGGTGACAAAGTGAGACTCCATCTCAAAAAAACAAAAGCAGATACAAAAAAAATTCTTTTTTAAAAAAGAAAAATTGGTTGTTTGAATCAGTATCCACACATTGCATACAGATGATGTTTCTTAAATCTTTTATAATCTACAGATTTCCTCTCCTCTTTTTCTTTATGTGTTTATTCTTATTATTTAGTCTTTTCAAATAACTATTTTTTTTTTTTGAGATGGAGTCTCACTCTGTTGCTCAGGCTGGAATGCAGTGATGCGATCTCAGCTCACTGCAACCTCCGCCCCCTGGGTTCAAACAATTCTCCTGCCTCAGCCTTCCTAGTAGCTGGGATTACAGGTGTGTGCTACCATGCCCGGCTAATTTTTGTATTTTTAATAGAGACAGGGTTTCGCCATGTTGGCCAGGCTGGTCTCAAACTCCTGACCTCAAGTGATCCACCTGCCTCTGCCTCCCAAAGTGCTGGAATTACAGGCATGAGCCACCGCGCCTGGCCCAAATAACTATTCTTATATAAACACCAAACTTGGGAACGTTCATTCCTACTTTGCCAGCTTCATAAACTCCTCATAAAGAATTCCATTGTCAACTGTAGCTCATCCTTTCCATGCTCACCCTGCCCCCCCACCACACCCTGCTAACAGAATCATTTGTTCGAGAAACATTTTTAAGTACTAACAGCTATTGTGCTAGATACTGCTAATATAAAAACAACTATAACAATTAAAACATTAATAACTATTTAATGAGAGGTTACTATATACCTGACAGTGTTATAAAAGTTTTTACATGAATTAACTTACAAGTTTTAAAACTCTACTAGGTCAGTAATATTATCATCTTTATTTAACAGATGAGAAGACCAAGGAACAGAGAGCTAAGCAACTTGCCCAAGGCTACCCACTTAGTGGTAGAGCCAGGGATGACACACTCAGACAGGGGGACAACAGAATCCCTGCTCTTAATCCGTGACCACACTGCCTGTAGGAGAGCTTAAGAAATTTATTTGTGCTGCAGGAGGCAGACATACAGATGATGTAGAAGTGGAACGCTTCTTCACTTGGCTTTGGGGTGTCACATTACCCTGGCTTTCCTTTCCCCCAACTAGCTGCTCTTTTAATGGTTCTTTCTCATCTCTTCGACTTGCTAACATCTTGTAGGATCTCTTTTCCTTTTTTTTTTTTTTTTTTTTTTTTTTTTTTTGAGATGGAGTCTCGCTCTGTTGCCCAGGCTGGAGAGCAGTGGCACGATCTCGGCTCACTGCAAGCTCCGCTTCCCGGGTTCACGCCATTCTGCTGCCTCAGCCTCCCAAGTAGCTGGGACTACAGGCACCTGCCACCACGCCCGGCTAATTTTTTGTATTTTTAGTAGAGACATGGTTTCACCGTGTTAGCCAGGATGGTCTCGATCGCCTGACCTCGTGATCCGCCCACCTCAGCCTCCCAAAGTGCTGGGATTACAGGCATGAGCCACCGCACCCGGCCGGATCTCTTCTCCTTTCTATCCACATTCATTCCGTTGTTGCTCTTGTGTAGTTACATGACTTCAAGTGCCATTTATATACGGACATTCCCAAAATTTATACCTCTAGCCTGGGCCTCGCCTTTGAACTCCTAACTTGTGTATTCAGCTACCCATTCTATACCTCTAACTGGATATCACAGACATCACAAACTCAGTACCTAGAATACACAGTGAATAAGCCACTAGAAGTAACAGAGGATTTAGCAAAGTTACTAGATGTTAGATCAATCTAAAATTTGAGATTAGGCCGAGCATGGTGGCTCACACCTGTAATCCCGGGCACTTTGGAAGGCTGAGGTTGGCAGATCGCTTGATCCCAGGAATTGAAGACCAGCCTGGGCAACATGGCAAAACCCCATCTCTACAAAAAATACAAAAATTAGCTGGGCATGTTGGCACACACCTGTGGTCCCAGCTACTTGGGAGGCTGAGGTAGGAAGATCACTTGAGCCCAGGAGGCAGAGGTAGCAGTGAGCCAAGATTGTGCCACTGCACTCCAGCCTGGGTTGACAGAGTGAGACCCTGAATTAATAAAGATAAAATAAAATTTGAGATTATTTTTCTACACTAGTAGAAACCAACTAGCAAAAGCATCATAAAAACACATACTATTCACAAGAAAAAAATAAACCCTATAATTATCTAGAAATTAATAAGAAAACATAGATCTCTATGGGAAAAAACTCCAAAATTCTAATAAAGGATATAGATGATTAGAATAAATGGAGAGACATTCTATGTTTTTAGATGGGATGACAATATTTTGAAGGTATCAATTCTCCACAAATCTATCAATCCAATGCAATCTCAATTAGAATTCCATTTTGGTTGTTTTTTGGGTTTGTTTGTTTGTTTGTTTGTTTTTGAGACAGAGTCTCCCTCTGTCACCTAGGCTGGAATCTGGTGGAACGATCTTGGCTCACTGCAACTTCTGCCTCCCAGGTTCAAGCAATTCTCTTGCCTCAACCTCCTGAGTAGCTGGGACTACAGGCATGTGCCACCACGCCCAGCTAATTTTTGTATTTTTAGTAGAGATGATGTTTCGCCATGTTGCCCAGGCTGGTCTCAAACTCCTGAGCTCAGGTGATCCGCCTGCCTCGAGCTCCCAGATTGTTAGGATTACAGGTGTCAGCTACCATGTCCAGCCTCCAGTTGGATTTTTGTGAGAACCTCAATAAACATTGTAATAGGCAGAATTATTTAGAAAGCAAGTCTAAATAAGAGGTCCAGGCTAAAGGTACAAATTTTGGGAATGTCAGTATATAAATGTTACTTAAAGTCATATAACTAGACAAGTTCAAAGTTTACCTCAGAAGAAGAAATATGACAAGGTTAAAGAGGGGGCATTTTATGATGATGAATTAATTCATCAAAAAGACAGTGATCCCAAATATGTATGCACCTAATAACAAGGCTTGAAAATACATTAAGTAAAATCTGGCTGGGTGTGGTGGCTCACACCTGTAATCCCAGCACTTTGGGAGGCCGAGGTGCATGGATCACCTGAGGTCAGGAGTTTGAGACTAGCCTGGCCAACGTGGCAAAACTCCAAAAAACTAAGTGCTGGGATTACATGCATAAGCCGCTGCACTCAGCCACAGATAATTCTTAGATTTGCTCTTGAGATAATTTTCTATATCTTGTAGGCATTCTTCATTCCTTTCATTCTTTTTTTCTCTTCTGTCTTTTCCTGTAGCCTATCTTCAGGCTTACTGATTCTTTCCTCTGCTTGATCCATTCTGCTGTTAACAGCCTCTAAGGAATTTTCCAGTTCAGCAAATGTATTTATCAGTTCCAGCATTTCAATCTCTTTGTTAAGCTTCTCCGATAAATTTCTGAGTTGCTTTTCTGTTATTTTGGAGATCACCAAGTTTCCTTAAAACTTCTATTTTAAGTTCTTGATCAGAGAGCTTGCCTACTAGTCTCACTAGGCTCAGTTACTGGCTCCTTGCTTTGTCTGTTTTGGGAGGTCATGGTTCCCCGTTTGCTATTGTTTCTTGTGGATGTACATCTATCTCTTCACATTAAAGGATTATCTCTGTCTGGCTTGTTTTTGTTTTTTTATTTGGTATGTTTGCTTAGAAATTTGCAATATACCTGTTGGGTACCTTTTCTTTTTTCCCCGCTGATAGGCTCACTGCCTGCTTTTTGGCACCAGGTGATGCCTTAAGCTCAGGTTTGCTTCAGCTCCAGCAAACTTTGGAGCGTTGCCTATCTTGCATGGGGGAGATCCTAAAGGGGATATCCTGACAATTTGGGAAGGCTGGCTACAGGCTGGTGCCCAGGGGACCTATGGAACCTACCTCTGTGTGGTGTTGCTGTGTGATGCTGCTGAACAGCCACTCTAATTTGGTGTCTCCTTTGACCAAGTTACACAGCAGAGTTTCCTGGACTGGGGATGCTAGTCCTGCTTCACTGCTTTGTCTGTCGGTCCTCAGGAACTTTTCTCCCTTCAGTGATACTTCCTATGGGCTGAGGCAGGGACAGGCCCCTTGCCAGGGAACCCAAGATGGTGAGGAAGCTGGTTGTCCACCTTGATCTCACTCTTTCCAGGGTAGTAACCACGAGTCAGGGGAAATTTTTCTGCACACTTGGTGCCTGACATATTGGGATAAGGGCACCACAGATGTAAGTCCAATTCTCTTATTGTCTGCAAGATTTTTCACTTCTCTGTGGCTTCAGGAACTGTCTCATTCTTGTTTTTGAATTCTGGGATATTGCTGGTGACAATCTCAGCACTGTATATTTGTTTATGGTTTTCTCTGGGAAGCAGTGAAGCCAGCTTGATTCTATTCTGACATTTTGGTGATGTCACTGCCAAATTTGTATACTTTATTTTTCTTGTCTAACTTTATTGACTAGTATCTCTAGAATAATATTAGATAATAGTGATACTGAGTATCTCTAATTTCTGACATTACTAGGAAGTGAAACCATGAAACCACAATGCTGATTTCTGAGATGTATTTTTTCATATCATAGGTATCTTAACTATTCACATCTTAAGAATATTCAACCAAGAATAAATGCTGAATTTTGTCAAGTGTTTTTTCATCATCCTTAGAGTTGATCATATGATTCTTTCTTAATATGGTGAATTAAACAATAGATTTCCTGATACAGAACCATCCTTATAGTTCTGATATAAAGCCCACTAGATAATGGTACATTATTTTGTTGTTGTACTGCTGATTTGTATTTAACCTTGTTTTACTTGGTTATTTATAGGTGACATTGATTTACAGTTTCTTATTGTATGTATACTTTTTTGAATTTTGGAATCAGTATTATGTTCCTTTCATAAAAAGATGCATTTTTTCCTCTTCTACATTCTGAAATAGTTTTTTTTTTTTTTTTCTGAGACCGAGTCTCGCTCTGTCACCCAGGCTGGAGTGCACTGGCATGATCTCGGCTCACTGCAATTTCTGCCTCCTGGGTTCAAGCAATTCTCTGCCTCAGCCTCCAAAGGAGCTGGGATTACAGGCACCCACCACCACGCCTGGCTAATTTTTGTATTTTTAGTAGTGATGGGGTTTTACCATCTTGGCCAGGCTGGTCTTGAACTCCTGACCTCATGACCCACCTGCCTCGGTCGGCCTCCCAAAGTGTTGGAATTACAGGCGTGAGCCACCACACCTGGGCTGAAACAGTTTTAATATTGAACATCTGTTTAGACATTAAACACTGAAGTTACATGTGCCTTTAAAGTCTGCTGAGATAATTCACCTGTGAAGCTATCTGTACCTGGTGTATTTGGCAATGGGGTGGGTAGGAAGCCTTTTTACTTTCTCTTCCTATTGTAACTGGCCATCTTAGATTTTTCTATCTTGAGATAATTTTTGGTAATATATTATTTCTTGAAAATTACCACTTACTATCTACATATATGAATATTTACAGACAAGCAAATTATTGTCTCATTCTTTTGTTTTTTTTTTTGAGACGGAATCTTGCTCTGTCGCCCAGGCTAAGTGCAGTGGCACGATCTCGGCTCACTGCAAGCTCCACCTCCCAGGTTCATGCCATTCTCCTGCCTCAGCCTTCCGAGTAGCTGGGACTACAGGCGCCTGCCACCATGCCCAGCTAATTTTTTGTATTTTTAGTAGAGACGGGGTTTCACCGTGGTAGCCAGGATGGTCTCTATCTCCTGACCTCATGATCCGCCTGCCTCGGCCTCCCAAAGTGCTGGGATTACAGGCATGAGCCACTGCACCTGGCCTATTGTCTTATTCTTTTAATAACCAGTATACGTGTAATTATGCCCCTATTCTCTTATTTTGTGTATTTATGCTTTCTCTCTTTAAAAAATTATGGAACAAAAAAGTTAGATCTCTTTGTAAGAATATAAATTTTTACTAGCTGTTTCTTTTTTTTTTTTTTTTTTGAGATGGAGTCTCGCTCCATCGTCCAGGCTGGAGTGCAGTGGCGCAATCTCCGCTCACTGCAAGCTCCGCCTCCTGGGTTCACACCATTCTCCTGCCTCAGCCTCCCGAGTAGCTGGGACTACAGGCACCTGCCACCACGCCTGGCTAATTTTTATTGTATTTTTAGTAGAGACGGGGTTTCACCATGTTAGCCAGGATGGTCTCGATCTCCTGACCTCGTGATCCGCCTGCCTTGGCTTCCCAAAGTGCTGGGATTACAAGCGTAAGCCACCGTGCCCGGCCTAGCTGTTTCTTGATGAAATGAAACTCAGGCATAATTCCTCTAAATTATGAAATAATAACTATTTTTATAAATATGTAAGCTCCTTACCAACATCTTTTTATAAAAATACCTTTTTTGATCAATTTCTTGTTGCCGTTTAACATGTTTGTTCTCAAATTCACGAATATTTTCCACGCCAATTTCTTCACAGAAGTGTTGGAAGATATCGTCTTCTACCTTTTAAATTATTTTAAAACAATTGATTTAATAAGCAATTTTAAGAAATATATAATCTTAAATATGTTTTTCCCTCCAAGATTTTCCTGAATTAGGCCAAAAACTAATCCCACCAAGCATTACTGTATTCTGAGAAGCCAGTACTTTTTTTTCCTTTAATTCCATAAATTATGCCATCTACTTTCAAATTTCTTATTCAAAAAAACTAAGAAAGATCATAATTGGCCTTATTAAGTGCTTTGGCTTTATGAATGTTTAGTATAAAACTGGAAGAATTCCTTTTACTTTAGACCCACAAAAATATTACATTCTACATAAATAAAGGAAAGATTCTTTATGTATGAGTAATACAATAGCACCTTTGCCAGTATAGTAACAAGTGGAATGGGGCATAGAATTAAGAATGAAAAAGACTTGGAAAAGCTAGAATGGGGAAATTCAACAAAGTAAAATTTAACCTCAATGTTTTAAAGCTCTCATTTTATGTATAATTATAGGATGAGAAAGAACTATTTTAAGAACAGGACATTTTTAAAAACTTTCAGATTTTAGTTGAATATACATTAAATATGAATGTGGTATGACTGACGCAGTAGTAAGCTACAGTTAGCATGACTAGATAATCCAAGTCATGGAAAGTTACAGTTATAAACATACAGACCCACAATATGCTGTACAGACAATATTTTGACATCATGCTCTGTTCAGGGGCATTGATAACATCCAGAGGATGGTTACCAGAGCTGGTCTTAAATCCATGGTAATGTGAAATGAATAAAGAAACTAGGGATATTTAACCTGGAAAAGAGATAACTAATTAGGAAGTAACGTAAGTGTGGTTCCAAATCGTGGTAAACGTCAGGCCTAAAAGCAATGGGTGGAATTAATCAATGGGTGGTGTAACAAATCACTTTGTAAGGATCAGAGATACCCCACGGTGGAATGGATTAAATCAGAAAGTTTCTATCCCTTTATAAGCAGAATCTAGGTGACCAAATTTTTATTGTCCTAGAGCCAAGTACTGTGCCTGACACAGAATAGGTGTTTTAAAAAAAACTCCTGAGTGAATAAATAACCTTAAAAGATAAGCTGAATGACAGTTCTTTCCCTCATGGTATTAGGGAAGTGGGAGAAAAGAATGAGACTATAATTTTCACAGTGGGCAAGGAGAGGTTGGAGTGCAGAGGAGAGTAGGCACAGGTCATTGTCTCTTGAGGTGAGCAACAGAGGTTCTCAAAAAACACAAGGAAAATTTGGCAAACCAATAAAACTTAGCTTACAACATTGTTGTTTCTGACAGGGCACTGTTACCTATCAACCTTTGCTTTAGCATATATTTAAGAAGCCCTAAATCTAGTATCTGGTCTAGAACTACATATACCATTTAGGAATAAATATAACATTCATGACCTTATCTATCTTTTCTTGAAATTCTTTAATTCTTCGTTGTCGTTCCTTGATTCCTTCACTCAACATAATACATTGAGACTCAATATTTAGTAGTTCACTTTGTAACTGAGATTGTTCCTAATAACAAAAGAGAAAAATTTTTTTAACATGGCTGTTTTAGCTTTATATAGTGAAGCCAAAAATGTGATAGGTATCTTTTGGAATAAAAGAAGAATCTATGAGATAAGATGAATTCACCTGGATAAAAGGTTAAATACCACATAAATAATTAAGGGACTATAATATAATCTCAATCATGGGATAAAGTATCTAAAAATTGGCCAGGCATGGTGGCTGTAATCTTTGTGAAGCCAAGGTGGGCATATCACCTGAAGTCAGGAGTCTGAGACCAGCCTGGCCAACATGGTGAAACCGCATGTCTACTAAAAAAATACAAAAATTACATGCCTGTAATCCCAGCTACTCGGGAGGCTGAGGCAGGAGGATCACTTGAACCTGGGAGATGGAGGTTGCAGCGAACAGAAATAAAGCCACTGCACTCCAGCCTGGGTGACAGAGTGAGAGACTCTGTCTCAGGAAAAAAAAAAAAGTATCTGAAAATTACATGGAGCTATATAAATGTAATTCCTGAAATTCTATGTTCTGGGTCAAATGCCTATCATATTTTATGTAAGTCTATATTACCTGGTAAAAAGCAACAAGGTGCTTCTTCTTAATCATCTCTAGTTCATTTTGTGAATATTTGAGTCGTGTTTGAGTTCCCTGTATCAGGGTCTGTATTTGTTTCAAATCTGTTTCTTTGCGGAGTGTCTTCATTAAACCCTAAAAGGAAAGAAAAACATGAGAATATTTTATGATAGAAAAGCACTTTCACTTTTCAAAGTGCTTTCATATGTAATAATTCACTGATTTTTACATACCACCACACCTGCACCTTACCTCCCTTTCCTCTGATAAGAGACTGGGCAATTAAGTACATTAGTGATCTGGAGTAACCAAAATGCCATACAGCTTCCTCAAAAAAACTAACAGTGCTTAATAGGAAAGAATTGGGAATGGAAAATGAAGAGGGGTGTGTATATTCCATCCAACGCACATTAATGACATAAATAGGATCATGTAATTGCCTTGTTTTTAGTGCATCTTTCTGTTTTGGCTTGCCTCTCTCACTCCCTTCTTCTTTCACTCACCTTATTACTCAACCAAATTAACTCCCTCAGACACTCCCTCCCATTGACTCCAGGTCTTTTTTTTTTTTTTGAGACAGAGTCTTGCTCTGTCGCCCAGACTGGAGTGCAGTGGCACAATCTTGGCTCACTGCAAGCTCCGCCTCCCAGGTTCACGCCATTCTCCTGCCTCAGCCTCCTGAGTAGCTGGGACTACAGGCACCCGCCAGCAGGCCCAGCTAATTTTTTGTATTATTAGTAGAGACGGGGGTTTCATCGTGTTAGCCAGGATCATCTCGATCTCCTGATCTTGTGATCCACCCACCTCAGCCTCCCACAGTGCTGGGATTACAGGCGTGAGCCACCGCACCCGGCTGACTCCAGGTCTTCAGATAAACTCTTTCAACCAACTGCCAAGCAGAAACTCTGAATCTACCTATAACTTGGAAGTGCTTTCTCCAACCCCCAGCTCCCAGTTCTTCTGCCTTTCTGGACTTAACCAAGGTACATCTGACATGTATTGATTGATGTCTTAAGTCTCCTAAAACATATACAACCAAGCTGCAGCCTGGTGACCTGGGGCACACGTTCTCAGGACCTGTTGAGGTGGTGTCACAGGCATGTCCTTAACCTTGGCAAAATAAATTTCTAAATTGATTGAGACCTGTCTCAAGATACCTTCGGTTTACAATAAGATGGGGCACAAAATTACTTTCTCCAGATGTGCCAATACCATTTATTAAATAATCTATCCTTTTCTCACTGAACTAAAACATCATCTTGGTTGAACATTAATTGTTAAGCATACTGGGCTCTATTTCTGGAATTCCTGTTGTTTCATTAACCTGTAAGGTACCTGTAAATAGCTATATCTTGAATTTAGTAAGATTACCATAACTTCTAATTTGAGGCTTTAGGCAGTCTAGTCCACAGGCAGTAAGGTTTGTTTTGGGAAAGGGCTGTTACTGTCTTTGTTTCAAAGCTAAACTATAACCTAACTTCCTCCCAAAGTTAGTTTGGCCTAGGCCCAGGAATGAACAAGGACAACTTGGAGGTTAGAAGCGAGGTAGGGTCAGTTAAGTCAGACGTTTTTCACTGCCTCAGTTATAATTTTGCAATGGCGGTTCCATAACTTTAAATGATGACTATTGCAGTTTTCATAAATAATCTAGGTAAATGATTAAAATAATTAGGCAAATGTGATGGGATAAATACTTGTAGACAAACTCATAATTTGGAATCTAAAGTTACATTAAATAATAGATATTTCATTATTTGGGTATTTTCCAATAAAAATATATTGTAGGAAAACATTCTAAAAAAAAGGGTGTCCATTTCAAAAAGGTGAACAATTTTTGTCTAATTCAAAGCTTATTTAAAGGTTATGTATAAAACAAGGTAAAAGAAACCGGAAAATAAGAGAGAAGTAAAGAAAGTTATAAAAACAAAGACGGTTTTTTTTTTTTTTTTTTTTTTTGGTAAGAAAGCTTAAAGAGAAATAATTTTATATGAGAAAGAATCTTGTGTAGTAAATTTAGTCCTAGAATAAAATGACTGGTTGTTTAAGAAAAAGGGATGTTCAGGACAAACCAGAAAGTTCAAGCATATCATGAGTGGTCTGTGTAAGTCACAATAAAAAGATTTATAGAAAAAAAAACAAAAAACTTTTAGATGATCAAGTTGTCTCTAATTAAAGGGAAATTATAATGGTCTTTCTAGAGATTGGGTTTGATGTAAAAAATTACTCTTGCAACATGTGTACAAATATCAGGCCCAGTACAATACAGCAGTTCAGTCCTACCATGACTTGTCTTTAGTAAAAATGGAAAACTGGAGAGAGAAATATTATGTTTCAAAAACTAGTACACCTGTTGTTACAGTCTAGTCTTGCCTAATGTTTTTGAATTTTTACAGTTTGGACCAAATTCTAATTTTTCTTGGTTACAAGTCTTCAAAATAATGTTTTCAATTGTTTTCCTTCTTTTTTCCCCATTTTTCCTAATTTGGAGTTGCTGAAAACTAAGCTGTGCTTTTCGTAAAGCCCTACGAACTGAAGCTACACAACTTAAACTTCAGAAGAAAATAACAGCAACCTATTTATACACATAAGCCACTTTCATACCTGCCTACTAATGTATGGACTTCAGAGTAATGTGGCCTATATCGATTTTCCAGGATTGTTCTTCTTTTTTTGTTGTTCTTCCTTCCTTCCCCTATTTTCACAGGACATGAGAAAATCAGCTTTCCTAGTAACTTGGAACCTACTCATCTAGAAATAAACCATCCTAGCCATGAGAGATCACATGAAACCTGAGACCAGAGAATCATTTTCCTCTAAAATGCTTTCTCCAAAATATTTTTAAAAAGAAAAGGGGGGAAATGTGAAAGGAAAATAAATCTTGGGGCTCCAAAATCACTAAGCTAAAGGGAAAAGTCAAGCTGGGAACTGCTTAGAGGAAACCTGCCTCCTATTCTATTCAGAGTCCCCACTCTGTTCACCAAGATAAATGCATATCTGACTGCCTCCTTTGGAGAGGCTTAATCAGAAACTTAAAATAATGCAACCATTTGTCTCTTATCTACCTATGACCTGGAAGCCCCCTCTCTGTTTCGAGTTATCCTGCCTTTGCTTCCAGTTGTCTTGCCTTTTCCAGAGCGAACCAATATTCATCTTACATATGTTGATCGATGTCTCATTTCTCCCTAAAATGTATAAAACCAAACTGTGCTCTGACCACCTTGGGCACATGCTGTCAGGACCTCCTGAGACTGTGTCATGGATGTGCGTCCTCAACCTTGGCAAAATAAACTTTCTAAATTAACTGAGACCTGTCTCAGATATTCAGGGTTCACACTTCCAAGACTACATTGAATAGTGATAACAGATAACTATTTCTTGATTTTAACTGAAATGATTTCAGTGTTTTCACCATTTAAGCAATTATTTCTGTTCAAGTAAGAGCTATTTATTTTATTTAAATAATTTCCACTAATTAGTCTTTTACTTAGTAGTATTTAAACTAGGTCTGGCTGCTGAATTTTATCAAATGCCTTTTCTACATATGATGACATGACTTTTCTCCTGCCTTTAATTCATTAATAGATTATGATGATCACTTAAACACCCTTGTATTTGTGAAATAAATTCTATCTAGTCAGATGTATTATTTTACTACAGTGTTCAATTCTCTAATACTGACATTTAGATATTATATATTTATACTCATAAGGGAAGTCAGTTTTTAGTTTTATTTTTTGTACTATATATTTTATATTAAAGTTATACTACCTTTATAAAATAAGCTGGAAAGTTTCCATCTTTTTTATATGTTACATAGAACTGAGCTGTAAGCCCATCTGGTCCCAGAGGTTATTTTTGGTTTTTACTTGTGGTAAAATATACGTAACATAAAATTTACCATCGTTACCATTTTTATTTGGCTAGTCAAGCATAGTCGTGAGAGCTTTACCATTTCTAAGTGTACAGTTCAGTAGTGTTTAAATATATCCACATTGTGTGCAAGCAATCTCCAGATCTCTTCATCTTCCAAAACTGAAACTCTGTCTCACTTAAACAACAACTCATTCTCTCCCCTTCTACAGCCACTGGCAACCACTGGCCTCCTTTCTGTCTCTTATGAATTGGACTACTCTAGGTACCTCATGTTAGTGGAATCAGACAGTATTTGTCTTCAAGTTTCATCTATGTTGTAGCATATGCCACAATTTCCTCCATTTTTAATGCTGAATAATATTCCATTGTATGTATATACCACATTCTGTTTATCCATTCATCTGTTGATTGACACCTGGATTGCTTCTACCTTTTGGCTATTGTGAATAATGCTGCTATGAACATGGGTGTATAAATCTCTTTTTAAGACCCTACTTTCTTGTTTTGGGTATATGCCCAACATATTCACAGGTTTCTGGGGTGACAAAAAAAAGAATTGCTGGATCATATGGTAATTCTATTTTTGATTTTTTGAGAAGCCATCATACCATTTTCCATGATATGATACACCATTTTATATTCCTGAAGTCTTTTTTCAGTGTAGATCACAGTGGCATTAAATATAGTTTTTTTTTTCCTCACACAAAACTAGTTAGACTGATGCCATGACTCAATAATGGATCTAATTTTCAGCTCCTTAGTACAATGGCTTTGATCCTCATGTTTGCTTTTCCCTTGGTGCAATATTGCTGCTGCATCTTGACTGCGTTCCAGTCAGGAGGAAGAAATGCAGAACACCAAAACTTTCATTTATATCTCACTGGCCAAAACTTGTCACATGGCCAGCCCTAGCTACAAGGCAACTTGTGAAATTAAGTTGTTTTTGTTTTTCACAATCTTGTAATAGAGTCTAGAAAGGAAGGAAACTGTGGATGGGGATTAGGCCAGCAAACCACACCACTGCCTATCTTTTCAAACATTTCACTTTTTTTTGTTCAATCTTGGTAATTTATATTTTCTAAAAAATATCCATTTCTTCCAGATTATCAATTTTTAAAACTATACAGTTATTTGCATGTAGGATTCTTTTAAAATTATTTTAATGTTTTCATTCCTGATCATGTATGTTTGCGTCTAGCTTTTTTTTCCTTCATTAGGATTGCAGAGTTTATCTAGTCTTTCAAAAGCACTAGCTTTTAGATTTGCCCCTTTTCTATTTTCATTTGTTTTCTACGAAATTAATGTCAGCTTTAACAAAATTTCCTAGCCTGGGCATGGTGGCTCATGCCTGTAATCCCAGCACTTTGGGAGGCCAAGGCAGGCAGATCACAAGGTCAGGAGTTCCAGACCAGCCTGGCCAGCATGGTGAAACCCCGTCTCTACTAAAAATACAAAAAATTAGCTGGGCATGGTGGTGTGTGCCTGTAATCCCAGCTACTCGGCAGGCTGAGGCAGGAGAATTGCTTGAACCCGGGAGGCAGAGGTTGCAGTGAGCCAAGATCACCCACTGTACTCTAGCCTGGGCAACAGAGTGAGACTCTGTCTCAAAAAAAAAAAAAAAATTCCTTGTATAACTTTTGTTATTTTGTGGGTATTCTAATTTCTTTTATTTTTGTTTATTTTTAAATAGAGATGGGGTCTTACCATGTTGTCCAGGCTGGTCTCGAACTCCTGGGCTCAAGTGATCCTCCTGCCTTGGCTTCCCAAAGTGCTGAGATTACAGGCAAAAGCCACCACGCCTGGCCAGTTGTTCTAATTGCTTTCCTTTTTTTTTTTGAGACAGGGTCTCCTTCTGTTACCCAGGTTAAAGTGCAGTGGCATAATCACTGCTCACTGCAGCCTTGACCTCCCAGGCTTAAGTGTTCCTCCTGCCAAGTAGCTGGGACTACAGGTGCATGCCACCACTCCTGGCTAATTTTTTAATTTTTTATTTTTTGTAGAGAAGAGGTCTCACTATGTTGCCCAGTCTGTGATTCCTCTATTTTTTTTAGAGTGACTAATAAGTTCCCTTATATTTTCTTTCTTCTTTAGTAATGTAGACATTTTCCTCTTGATGTAGCTTTTACTGTGTCTCAAAGATAATGGTAGGAAGTATATTCCTATTCATCAGTTTTGAAATATTTTGTAATTTGCCTCTGGATTGCTTCCTTAATCCCAAAACTATCTACAAATACACTTCTTAATTTCTATAGAGACAAATATTATTTTGGTCACTATTTCTTATTTCATTAAATTATCATCTAGCTGACCTATAAAAAGCTCTACTTTAAAAAAACTATTGAGGTTTCCATTGTGGCCGAGCATATGATCAATTTTCATAAATGTTTAACAGATATTTTTAACAGTATCTCACATTTATTGAGCACTTACTGTTCTATGCAATTTACATTTATTAACCAACTTAATCCTCTTAATGCTACGAAATAGATGTTATTATTATCCCCATTATACTGATGAGGAAACTAAAGCATAAAAGCGTGTAACTTAGAAGTCACTCTGCTGAAATGTTCCACTATATTTTTATTTTTAATTAAGAAGTAGTTTCAAGCCTTCTTTTCCCTAATTCAACCAAACTAAACACTTAACCTTTCCTTCTAAGAGTGATTTTCCAACTCCTGAGTTATCTTTTCCATTCTATTAAAAAAAATTAGTCTCACTCTAAATATTAATATTTAGGTGCTATGTGCTGCAAACAGATTTATAATGGAAATCTTTGTCTTATGTTACATATAATCTTCTTTATTCAATTAAATTGTAAGTACTTACTGAAAGCTTACTACACACAAGGATTTTTAACCTTAAAGTTCACATTGTCTGATATTATTACTTTTGTTTTCTTTTTGTTTGCATTTGTCAGGTAAGCATCCCATTATTTTTCAACATTCAGGTTTTTTTCTTTTTTCTTTTCTTTTGAGACAGTCTTGCCTTGTTGCCCAGGCTGGAGTGAAGCGGCATGATCTTGGCTCACTGCAACCTCTGCCTCCCAGTTCAAGCAATTCTCCTGCCTCAGCCTCCTGAGTAGCTGGGACTGCAGGTGCGTGCCACCAAGCCCAGCTAATTTTTGTATTTTTAGTAGAGACAGGGTTTCACTATGTTGGCCAGGCTGGTCTCGATCCCTTGAACCCCTGGCCTCAAGTGATCCACCCACCTTGGCCTCCCAAAGTGTTGGGATTACAGGCGTGGGCCACCATGCCCAGCCTCAACATTCAGTTTTAAAATGACTTCTTGTAAATAACACTCACTTTTTAAATCTATGAGTCTTGATCTTTTAATGGGAGACTTAAATCTACTCATGTTTACCGTAATCACTGACATACAAAAATTTCATTACTTCCATCTTGCTTTTGTTTTATTCTTTTCACTCATTTTTATTGGTTTTCTATTTGTCCCTGTGTTAGCTTGGTATACTTTTTAACACTCTAGTCCCTCCTGTCCCCCTGCGTCCAATATACATACGGTCTTTAGAATATTCTAACTTCCTCTCCTCACAGATGAGACTTTTGGAACACATTGACCTTTCTCTCCACTTCTAATTCCTTGACTTTGCTGAGTTAGTTTAGCACTATTCGTTTATTATAATTAGGTCTATTCTAATTCATGTGTTGCTTAGAGTACTTTCCTTTTTCTTTTTACTTTTTTTTTTTTTTTTTTTTTTGAGACAGATTCTTGCTCTGGAGTGAATTCTTGGCTGGAGTGCAGTGGCGCAATCTGGGCTCCCTGCAACCTCCACCTCCTGGGTGCAAGCGAATCTCCTGCCCCAGCCTCCCAAGTAGCTGGGTTCACAGGTGCAGGCCACCACGCCCAGCTAATTTTTGTATTTTTAGTAGAGACAGGGTTTCACCATGTTGGCCAGGCAGGACTTAAACTCCTTCCTGGCCTCAAGTGATCCACCAGCCTCAGCCTCCCAAAGTGCTGGGATTACAGGTATGAGCTATTGCTCCCAGCCACTTAAGAGTACTTTCTCTAGTATTTTTGTCACATGGAGTACGTGGATGACAATCTGAATTTGCTTATTGGCAGATCCTCGAAAGGTAAATAATATCTTGGTTGTAGTCCTCTTCCTTTTAGCTATTATTCCATAGTCCCATCCAGTTTTGCAGTCTGATACGAGCCTTTTTTTTGTTTAAACGTATAAGGAATTTTTCTTGAAGGGCAGGTAGCTTAGCATTGCTTCTATAACCTATAGGTTAAGGAGTTACACCCAGATGTGTGTTATTGTGGGCCCTTTCCCACCAAACGTACGTGAAACTCTGTGTGTCCTTTCAACTGGTCAATTAAAGTTGATCCTTAGAGAAATTTTCTTGTTTTTAATTTTCTCCTTCTCTATGTTCTTTTCCTCCTTTCAAGAATTTATTAGTCTCACATCAAGTTTCCTGAGTCTATCTACTAAGTCTCTATTTTCCTCCTACTTCATATTTGTAATTTTATTACCCTAATTGAGAAGCTTCTTCCACTTAGTCTGCCAGGTTACAAATTTGGTTCTCAGCAATGACATGCTTTCCTTCAATTCATCTACTACATTTTACAGTTAAGAAATATGTTTTTGGCCAGAGGTGGTGGCTTATACCTATAATTCCAGCACTTTGGGAAGCCAAAGTGGAAGGACTGCTTAAGGCCAGGAGTTCAAGACCAGCCTGGTCAATATAACAAGGCCCTGTCGCTACAAAAAATTAAAATAAAAAAAAATTAGCAGGGCCTGGTGGTACACCCCTGTAGTCCCAGCTACTTGGGTGGCTGAGGTAGAAGGATCCCTTGAACCCAGGAGTTCAAGGTTACACTGAGCTATGATGGCACCACTGCCCTCTAGCCTGGGTGATGGAGCAAGAACTGTCTCTTTAAAAAACAAACAAACAAACAATAAAAGAAGTACTTTTTTTTTTTTTTTTTGTGAGATGGAGTTTCATCCTGTTGGCCAGGCTGGTCTCGAACTCCTGACCTCAGGTGATCCACCCGCCTTGGCCTCCCAAAATGCTGGGATTACAGGCGTGAGCTACCATGCCTGGCCAGAAGTACGTTTTTTAGTCCTAGGAAATCTTTTTGTGCGCTGGGGATTGGCAGGGGAAGGATGACACTATACTAAATTTCCTTAATGCTCCATTACTTTTTTTGTTCAAGTTATTGCCTGGCTCCTAGAACACCTCAGATACGTTTATGTATTTCTTTGCCCACTGAGGATCATGTCTGAGTATTAAAGTACCCTAAATCACAGCACCCCACAAGGATTTTCTATACCTGAGGGTCAGTAATTACAAGAGAAGACTGTCAGTACCACCCTGAGACAGAGACCACCCTGAGGCAGAAGAAAAGATACCTCTCTGGTATCCCTGGACTCTTCCAAACTCAGGAATAGGGAGGCCACAAACTTCCTGCTAAGCTAATATTTAGCTTCGTGGGGTTCAAGACCAGGCATCTTCACATGGGACAAATGTTTAACTTACCCCCAGATTCCACTATGTCCTGATTCTTACCCAAGCACTTTTCACATCAAAAGAGACGAAGCCCTATATCAGCTTTTCCCAGCAGCCTCCCTCAGAACCCAAGACATCATTCCCTCCTAGCTGCCACCTGGTTCAGGTTGTGACACACAGATGGAACCTTAGCATGGACATGGATGGGAAGCAAGATTTGCTTTAAGTTGGCATCTTCCCAGAACTTTTTCTGTGCCTAGGCCTAAATTTGTTAAAATCTTTAAAAGCTGAATATTCCTATACCTTAGATTAAAACATAAAATGTAGTCTTATGCTTCAGAAAAAGATGAAAATTAGTCAAGTAACCTTGCCAAAATATATGCTTGAATCAACCAAGGAAGAAAACTAAATAGAAACAATAAATAAATAATCTGAAAGCATTCTATATTGATTTAGCATCTGTAAAATTTGGCTTCAATAAATGAGGGAATTACAATATTCAACAAATGATACTTTTGTAAAATGGTAAGTCAGTTGGTAAAAATAAAGCTGGATCCCCAGTCATCAAAATAAATTCCAGATGAATAAAAAATATAAATGTTAAAAACACAAAAGCACTAGAAGGAAGCATTATTGAACTTCTTTTGTGATCTTCAGAAAGAATTTGGTCTTTCTAAGCATAACACATCCTAAAATCCAGAAGTTATAAAAGATTAAATTTGGCTACATAAAGATTAAAAATGCATGTATGACAAAAAGAACAAAGTCAATGTGAAAGAAATACTCAGCAATTAAAAAGGAATAAACTTTTGATACATACAACATGAATCTCAAAAATACTAAGCTAAGTGAAGAAAACATAACACAAAAGACTACTGACTGTATGAATCCATTTATATGAAAGTCTAGAAGAGGAAAAACTATAATGACAGAAAGTAGATTGGGTTGTGAGGCCCCAAGGGGTCCAGAAGAGGGGACTGAGTAAAAGGAACCCAAAGGAATTCTGCGGGGTGAAGAAAATGTTCTATGTCATGAGTGCAGTGATGGTTACGTGACTACATACATTTGTCAAAAGTTACTAAATTATACTTACAATGGGTGACTGCTATTGTATATAAATTATATTCCACCTGAAGCTGACTAAAAATCAAATGAAAAAATGTTTACAATACATATGACTAAGAACTAATTTACTTAATACAAATAATTCTTAAAATAGTAATGAAATAAGAAACAATGTACTAGAAAAATGTGCAGAGAAAATAAGCAGTTCACAGAAGGAAAAATTACAGAGGACCATTAAATTCATGAGGAAATGCCCAACCTCAGTTATACTTTAAGAAATGCCTATCAGGCCGGGCACAGTGGCTCACAACTGTAATCCCAGCACTTTGGGAGGCCAAGGCAGGCGGATCAACTGAGGTCAGGAGTTCAAGACCAGCCTGACCAACATGGAGAAACCCCGTCTCTACTAAAAATACAAAATTAGCTGGGCATGGTGGCACATGCCTGTAATCCCAGCTACTCAGGAGGCTGAGGCAGGAGAATCACTTGAACCCAGGAGGCGGAGGTTGTGGTGAGCCAAGATCGCACCATGGCACTCCAGCCTGGGCAACAAGAGCGAAACTCTGTCTCAAAAAAAAAAACAAAAAACAAACAAAAAACTTGCTGCAAACACTATTTATAGCAACAGTCTATCATAAAACAAAGAAAATAGGAAAAATAATACATACACTTGCACACACAAAGAAAATTTCTGGAAGCTGTGTATCAAACTGTGTTTAGTAAATAACTCTGAGATATAAGGAAGAGAGTAAGGGAAAGATTTTTATTTTTTATTTTTATTTCATTCTGCATTATTTGAACTCTTAAACTATAGAATTGGCACTGTTATTATAAAAAACCCACCTAGTTTAAAAACACAATTATTCTACTTAGTATATTACAACTTTTATGACATGGATTTACCTTTAGCTCTTGGATTTTCTGGCTTCGTCTGTCTCTTAGATTCTTTAACTCTTTCTCATCCCAGCATCTAGCCTTGTATTTTAAGTCACTTGACCCTCCAGAGATCACTCCAGATTTTAAAAATAATGTTCCATCAAGAGCTACTGTCTGTAAAAGTAAAAATATTTTGCCCTGGAGAAATGTACATAAAGATACAAATAAAGACACAATGTGTCAATTTTTAAAGCTAAGAATAAAACATATGAGAAAAGCCACTTACTGAACTTTACTAATAAAATATCTAGTTTATGAAGAGACCCCAAACAATAAACAAACCACAAATATAAAACCCATTTTACTAAGGCCCAAAGCAATTCTAGGCAATAAATTATTGATTTAGTCTTATATCAATATCCGGGTTGGTTCCAATTTTTCCTATTATACACAATGGTTCAGTGAAAAAAGCTTGTACACATATCATTTCATATACATGTAAGCTAATCTACATGCTAAGTTCCTCAAATGTACAAGTGAGATAACTGCCCTTCACAGAACTGGTATAAATTTAGGTTCCCACAGCAGTGAACAGAAGAATCTCTTTCCCCATAAAGTGTTACTAAACATTTTGATGTTGGTCAATCTGACAGGTGAAAATAGTACCTCAGTGTAATTTTAATGGGTATTTCCCATATGAGTGAGGTTGCATTTTCATGTTTAAGAATTATTATATTTCCTCTTATGAAAACAAGTTTGTTCATATCCTTGCCCATTTTCCCACTATATTATTGTTCTTTTCCATAGTGATTTGTAAGAACATCTGCTCTTTACTATGAGCTACAAATATTTTCCCCAGTTTGCCATTTTTCTTTTGATTTTTCTTATGGTAGTCTTTGCCATGCAGAAACTCTTTATTAGGTGAATTCATTCATCTTTTATAGCTTTCGGGTTTTTTGTCATATTGGAAAAGGCTTCCTGTCTCTGAGATTAAGAAAAAATTTCCCAGGCCAGGAGTGGTGGCTCATGCCTGTAACCCTGGCACTTTGGGAGGCAGATCACTTGAGGTCAGGAGTTTGAGACGAGCCTGGCCAACATGGTGAAACCTCATCTCTACTGAAAATAAAAAAATTAGCCAGGCGTGGTGGTGGGCACCTGTAATCCCAGCTGCTCAGGAGGCTGAGGCACGAGAATCGCTTGAACCTGGGAGGCAGAGGTTGCAGTAAGCAGAGATCACACCACTGCACTCCAGCCTGGGTGACAGAGCAAGACTCCATTTCAAAAAAAAAAAAAGAAAAGAAAAAATTTCCCATGGTTTCTCTTAGAAATTTTATGGTTTTACTTTTTAAATTAATATTTCTAATTCATCTGGAATTTATCCTGATACAAGGAAGAGTTTTAGATTAACTATATTTTATTCCAGGTGGTAACCAGCAAAGTGGTACCCTGCACTTTATTCATTATTGTTTAATATGTGCAATTTTGGAAAAAATAATCTTTTCACAAATTTTCCAGCTACTTACTGACATTTTTCTGGGTCTGTTTTTTGCTTCACCATATTAAAAGGGCACAGTATAAATAGATCTTTTTATAATATATATGTTTTAGAGTAACAACCAACCAGTCTATAGGAGAAGAAAATAAATAATTGTATCTCTGGTTAAGTGGAACAGATAGAATAATTACATGTATGTAAAGAGATTCAGGATTTTTAAATTTTGGTACATAAATTTTTTAAATATGTAAAAACTGAGTTATCACTAAAATATGGTGCCCAAACTATAGCTAGCAGAATTGATGTAATCCATATTTGTAGTTTACAGATACTGTATGTAGTTTATACATACTATAGTTTATAAGTAAACAAGTAAACCAAAATATTTAATACTACTTGCAATGTTTGACTAAAGAAAATTCTATAACATGGTATCAAGTATATAGAAAACCAAAAGCACAAATTGCAGATGATTCACCAGATGATTTCTGTGAAAATGTGACATCTATCCAATTGTTTGACCCAATCTAAAACACAGAGAAAATTCTTTCAAAGTTCCTGAGATATAATTAAGATACAAATAAGATACATCTGATTAAAATTTTGAAATACTGATAAAAATAAGATACAATCTGAAGGGGTAAAGATGTTACTGTGAACAAGATAGAAACCATAAATATTTGTTATATGAAGGAATAAGCAATCATATCTTCATGTGACTTCTTTAATTTGACTATACAAATCTTCAAATATCAATTCTATAAAATATACAAATATACAAAAGTCAATGTTAGTGCAGTTAATTAGGCAGAAAAATAAGAAAAACACTTAATAACTTACTACCCTAGCTTAAATTTAACATGTAGAACTCAATGACAGTGATCACATTATGCTTAAGATTATTGATCAGAAACACCAAAATGTATGAAAAATTAATCATGTTAGATAAGTCAATAAATTTAACACTGGAAATCTTCATGTCTCATTAAGAAGTGCCTGCTTTTTGTTAATTTGCAATTCTGGACATTCCAGATTAAGTGTGTTAATTGACTAGTAGGTAATAAAATTACTACCAGTTTTTGAGAGCTATTTGCCAGGCACTATAATAGCATTTTTCATGTTATTACTTAATTTAATTCTCATAACCCTATAAAATAGGTAATATTATTTCCCCAATTTTAGATGAGAAAACTAAAACTAGAGGTTTAGAAACTTCCCTAAAGTCACATAATTAGTTACTAAGTAGCATCACTGGTCTTACTTTATAGCTTATACCCTTAAGCATTATGTGATACTTCATCATAAATGTAGTTTTAAAAAAAAAACTATGTCAGATTATTTGAGTTTAACATTGCTCAACTAAATACAAATATAACTAAATACTCTCTATTCCACTGAGAGTAAAATAGTACTTATTTTTAAGACCAAAATTATTCCCTCAAGATACTTGTATTTAGTAATCTCATTTCAATTGTGTTTTCTAGAAATTCAAATATGTTAAACCTTGAATATGCAAAAGGACAGTTAGTATCTCCACTAAAGTATGGAAGAATTAGCCCACATTGTAAAATAAATACCCAAAATCTTTCCTGGTATTCAAAACCACAGGTACCATATCCAGGGTCCATATAAGGTTTAAAACAACAACAACAACAACAACAACTAACTGCTTTAAGATATTATTAAAAGAAATCTAATTTCCAAAATTATAATTTATGATGTTGAGAAATGCTATAAGAGTTTTTTTTCTAAATTCAACAGAACATTATAAAAACCACTGAAGCCATAACCACCTTAGGTTCTATGTTGGTTCTCTTTAGAAAAAAGAACACATAAAACGCATATGTAAATATTTGTGTGTGTTTGTGTATGCTAGTCTTATAAATACTACTTCAACTTATCCAAAGGTGTGATCCAAGCCTCTTTTCTTACTTTCTGTCTTTCAGGTCCACTGAGTGCAATATGCCTTGCTTCTTCCATAGTCTCACAAACAAGACCATTTCCACACACAAACTGAATCACTTTCTTCAGCTGAGGAAACTGAGTCTTTATGACATCAATCACCATTTTACAGCCTTTAAGCTCCCTTAGTCTTTCATTGATTGGCTTGATCTAAAGGGTTTTAAAATATTTAACATGTTACATACACTGAAATAAAAACCAAATGTTCATTATATTCTTTCTCACAAAACATATATACGCATGGCAGCAAAAGATCAACAGTATGTACCCAGCCAGGCGTGATGCTCACGCCTGTAATCCCAGAATTTTGGGAGGCTGAGGTGGGCAGATCACTTGAGGTCAGGAGTTCGAGACCAGCCTGGCCAACATGGTGAAACCCTGCCTCTACTAAAAATACAGAAAAATTAGCCAGGCATGGTGGCACATGCCTGTAATCCCAGCTACTCAGGAGGCTGAGGCAGGAGACTCGCTTGAACTTGGGAGACAGTAGTTGTAGTGAGCTGAGATCGCGCTACTGCACTCCAGCCTAGGCAACAGAGTGAGACTCCGTCTCAAAAACAAAACAAAACAAAAAAAAGTATGTTATTACATACCATAAAAGATTGATAAGAACATGATGAACTACATCCCATCATTGGTTTGGGTAATATTTTTTAAAAACAAAACTTCATCGAAAGCCACAAGACGTAATTTCCAGTTTCAACTCTGTCATTAACTAGTCAGGATAAAACAATGCATAGGAAGTGTTCCACAAAACACTTTCAAAATCATAAAATCTAGTGAAAAATAATGCCCATTTTAGATATGTGTCAAGAGAGCAGAAAAACACTATGGAATTTAAAAAACCACTTTTGGGCCAGGCGTGTAGCTTACGCCTGTAATCCCAGCACTTTGGGAGGCTGAGGCAGGTGGATCACCTGAGGTCAGGAGTTCAAGACCAGCCTGGCCAACATGGTGAAACCCTGTCTCTACTAAAAACACAAAAATTAACCGGGTGTGGTGGCAGGTGCCTGTAATCCCAGCTACTCAGGAGGCTGAGGCAGGAGAATTGCTTGAACCCGGGAGGCGGAGGTTGCAGTGAGCCGAGATCACGCCATTGCACTCCAGCCTGGGTAACAAGGGTGAGCCTCTGTCAAAAAAAAAAACAGCAAAAAAAACCCACAAACAAAACACTTTTGACTTAAATGATCAGGAAAGCCTTCAGAGCTTCTTAGTCATGACCTTTAGTTTGGGTTTACAACAGATCACAAAGTGTCTGCAATATATTACCAAAACCCAGCAAGTATGATCTCACTTTTTAATAAAACAAAACAAAACAAAGCAGAAAACTCATATACAACTAAAATGTGTGTGTGTATGTGTGTGTATATACATTTGGGAATATGTAGTTATATACATTGAGTGTATGGAAGCAATCTAAAGTAGTTACTACTAAGGAATCAGGCATTATGAAGGGGTAGGAGTATCCCCTTTATATTTGATACACTTCTGTGTAAGATTTTTTAAAAAATGAGTTTGTCTTGGAAAAAACCTCAAGTGAGAAATAAAATAGGATTCTAACAGACAGATGAGATGGGGTAAAGAGTTTTAGTGAGCAGAAGGTAACAACAGTGTGGAAGTACAAAAGGGAGGTCTGGACCATGAGTAACACCAGCCAGCATTTGCTGAGCCCCTCCTCTGTGCAGGTCCTATGCCAGGTGCTTTACAAGTAACAATTCCTTGTAGCAATCCAATAAGGTAAGAATTAATTCTTCCATTTCCACACATGGAAAACTGATGCTCAGAAAAATTAAGAATAGGACAGGCGTGATGGCTCACGCCTGTAATCCCAGCACTTTGGGAGACCGAGGCAGGCGGATCACCTGAGTCGGGAATTTGAGACCAGCCTGACCAATGTGGAGAAACCCCGTCTCTACTAAAAATACAAAAAAAAGAAAAAAAATCAGCCGGGCGTGCTGGCACATACCTGTAACCCAGCTACTTGGGAGGCTGAGGCAGGAGAATTGCTTGAACCCGGAAGGTGGAGGCTGCAGTGAACCAAGATCGTGCCACTGCACTCCAGACTGGGCGAAAGAGCAAGACTCTGCCTCAAAAAAAAAAAAAAAAAAGAAAAAGAAAAAAGAAAAAAAAAAGAAAAATTAAGACTATATTAAGTAACTGCTAATTAGAAGTAGGGCTGAGATTCAAACTCAGAGCAGTCCAGCTCTAAGGCATGTGCTCTTAACTATTACGCAGACTGCCTGCAATTCAGGGTCTTGACTGGTGAACCAAAGAGAACATTTTCTTGAGTAATCAATGAAAAATCACTGAAGGATATCAATCATGATATGACAGAGTTCCTGCTTCATGAATTTAGACTCAGGATATGTTAAGGTATCTCAATACATACCTCAAGGCTCAAAATTTAGCCTTTTCCACAAAGAGCTAACACACTGGGTCAAACATTTACAATTGAGGCTGAGTTGGCATTTCCAACAGACCATACGTCTTATCCATTTCCTATACTTTGCTATATAGGACAGAATATATTGCTGGCTAATAGGTAGAGTGGTGCACTGCTAGTGCAATGAAATCAAAGGTAGAATTCTGTAAAAACTAGATAGGGAAGAAATGGTATGATGTCAAGAAAGAGAGTAGCCACTTGATATTATTCTTTGCTTGCCAATATATTTAACACCAGCCATTAAAATGATTGCCTAACTGGCATCCAAGCTACAATTTTTCTCTATCACTATCATAGTTTTAGGCAATAAGATCATTCTTTAAAAGACAAGATTTTTATCACTATAAATACCAGGCATTACAAAGTTCTTACATCAAGGTAATCTAGAGCGAGGAATGTCTCAGGTTCAGCTCTTTCCTCCTTCAGAAATCGAATACAATCTTTTGCTACCTTTTCAGAGGCTACAACAATGGCAGTGATGAACCGGCCAAAAACCTTAGTAACAGCCAGCTGGTATTTCTTATGAATAGGATGACACAGGTCAAATAGTCTTCCAAACTTAGCAGGTTTCAAAAAAGGAGAGAAAAACAGATATATTAGAGTGAAATATATAATTCATTATTTTCTAATGTAACAAAGTAGCGCAGACAAAAACTAATTTTATAAAATTACATACATCATAATTAATAGAGTTTTATTCAAATAGACCTAAGTTTCATTATGCAATGTCCATCTAGCTATGTAACACTTCATTTAAAAAAAGAGTAACAAAGAGGGACTAGCCTTACCAAAATATTAAAATATTTTCTAAAACTACACAATTAAATAATATTCATTTATTCCCTGACCTATTAAACAAGAATCTATAAGGGACCTACTATTGCAGGTACTGAGCTAGATACTGGATAAAACATAAATGAACAAAGCAGATACTTTCTGACCTCACAGAATTTTCAGTCTAGTGAGGAAGACATAAATAATCAATAATCACATGTATGTACAAAATGGAGCTAGACACTGACAGAGAGTGCTCTGAGAATATTTAACAGGGACCAGGTTGGTATAAGAAGTCTAGGAAGGATTTCCAGCTGGGCGTGGTGGCTCACGCCTGTAATCCCAGCATTTTGGGAGGCCGAGGCGGGCAGATCATGGGGTCAAGAGATCGAGACCATCCTGGTCAACATGGTGAAACCTTGTCTCTACTAAAAATACAAAAATTACTGGGCGTGGTGGCGCACGCCTGCAGTTCCAGCTGCTCGGGAGGCTGAGGCAGGAGAATCGCTTGAACTCGGGAGGCAGAGGTTGCAGTGAGCCGAGATCATGCCACTGCACTCCAGCCTGGCAACAGAGCAAGACTCCATCTTAAAAAAAAAAAAAAAAAGTCTAGGAAGGATTTCCATGAAGTGTTACTTGAGCTGAGACCTGAAGAATGGTCAAGAATTAATTAGACTGAAGTTCAAAAACTTTACTAGAAAATGTTTGAATGTCAAGCATCATGTATCAGTGGTCTCTAGAATATTTGAAGGTTTAATTTTGTATCTTTGGACTCTTTCCTCCGTTTGTTAGGTTCTACTTCAAGAATACCATTTTCCTATGATAAACCATCACTGTCTTTGCTGTTTAAATATCTTTGACTTTTTCTTCTCCATTAATTTGTGATTATCTCAGGCCTTTCTTCAGGGTCAATAATTTGATTTTCAGCTGTGTAATCCATTATTTGCTACCTTTTTTTTTTTTTTAAAGAGATGAGGTCTTGCTATGTTGCCCAGGCTGGTCTCAAACTCAAGTATTCTCCTGCCTCAGCCTCCGAGTAGCTGAAACTATAGGCGCACACCATCACGCCTGGCAGCTACTTCTAATTTATTAGTATTTCTTGCTATTAATGCTTCTAATTTGTTAATTTGTCTATGTTATTTATTACTTACATGCTAACTATAATTATTCAGTAATAATGCCTATTCTTGATTTGTTTTCACAGCTTACATTTTCCTTTTTATCTTATTGTTTTACCTCATATTTGAATCTAGTTTTATAAATTCAAGTTCTTATTAAATTGCCCATAGTGCAAAACATTTATGGGGATTTTGTTCTGTAACCTTCTAGACTGGGCTCTTTGACTTCTAAATGTTTTAAAATAGTTTCTTTCTCTTTGTTGTTATTATATGTACCTATAGCTGCCACAGTGATTCTTTTCACTTTGCTTATGTTTAATGTGAGTAGCTCTGTTCAGATCTTTGATTTGCTATGGCGGATAACTTTTATTAATTCCCTTTCTCACAGAAGTGAGACAATCACCTCCTCCGAGCAACAGTTGATAGAATAAGTATTTCCTATTCTGTTTACTTTCTTGTAAGGGATTGGATGGTAGGGGCAAGTGAGAACTCACCTAAGACTTTTAAAGAACATACTTCATTTAAGTACCTGAATTCTCTCGTCTGAGTTTTTAATTAATATCCCATACCAAGGTTCTTCTACTTTGAGGGAGGAGGACAAATCCCATCTTGAAGAGAGGGCTTCAAAATGGCCTCTCAATTTTAAAGCCCTAGTAAGTGAGAACTTGGGTCTTCACTTCCATTAGAGAGCATATGAGCTTCACATTCCCCAATTCACCAGTGTTTTTTTGTTTTTGTTTTTTTGAAACAGTCTCACTCTGTCACCCAGGCTGGAGCGCAGTGGTGCTCACTGCAACCTCTGCCTCCCGGGTTCAAGCAATTCTCCTGCCTCAGCCTCCCAAGTAGCTGGGATTATAGGCATGCACCACCACGCCCAGCTAAATTTTTTGTATTTTTAGTAGAGACAGTGTTTCACCGTGTTGGCCAGGCTGGTCTCAAACTCCTGACCTCAAGTGATCCATCCACTTCGGCCTCCCAAAGCGCTGGGATTACAGGCACCCAGTTCACCAGTTTTTAAATCTCTCTCCAGTTAGAAGAGGAAAAGGAAACACATACATGTGAGTTTGCTTCTTGCTAGATCAAGGAATACTAGGTGAGAATTCTCAGGAATTAGTCAATTTATCAGTTCAGCTTCTGTGGAGTTGAGAAAAAGCAATGCTATACTTCAATACTTTTTTTTTTTTTTAAATCCTAGATTATCACCATTTTCTAAAGTTTATGGCATCAGGTCGATTTTTTTTTTAACTAGTTGTGTGTGTGTGTGTGTGTTTCACTAGTTTTTGTCACTTGGATAGGAATTGGGGGATCTAGATTTTGTGACCTAGATTTACTCCTCCATCATTATCCAGAAGTCGAAACCAACATTTAGGAGTCAGAAAGTCAAAACAGATGCTATAAAGGAGATGAAGATGGGTGGCCAGAGACATAGGAGGAAAACCATGAAAGTGTGGATATGGAGGCCAATGGTAGATGTTTCCTTTTTTTTGGAGACAGAGTCTCACTCTGTGGCCTAGGCTGGAGTGCAATGGTGTGATCTCAGCTCACTGCAAACTCTGCCTCCCGGGTTCAAGCGATTCTCCTACCTCACCCTCCTGAGGAGCTGGTATTATAGGCGCCTGCCACAATGTGCGGCTACTTTTTGCATTTTTAGTAGAGACAGGGTTTCACCATGTTGGCCAGGCTGGTCTCAAACTCCTGACCTCAGGTGATCCACCAGCCTCAGCCCCCTAGAGTGCTAGGATTATAGACGTGAGACACTGCCCTGGCCGGTAGGTGTTTCAAAACAGAGCAGTGGTTACCAGTCTCAAATGCTGAAAACAGGCCATATCATAAAATAAGGACTGCACAGTATACACTGATGTTAGGGACAAGAGGATCAGATGCCACCCCGATACAAAAGGAAATAATCTTGTGATGCTGGCACCCCAAGCAACAAGTGATACTGTATTTTGGCTAATGAAATACACTAGCAATACCAGATGCACAGTCATACTTACAGAATAAAAATATGCCAATGATGTCTGCTGAAAAAATATTTCAAAAACAAATAAAACCATGAAAAACATGAGGTTTGAGGCTATGTGTCTGGGTGGCTCAGAGTACTTCACAGCATCCAGGTCCTTTTGGGGATACTGGCCACAATTTGAACTTTCTGGGTACTATGTTCATGTCAAGCTTCTCCCCAATAATTACGTTATCTACAGCTACTACTGGAAGTTTTACCCTAATTAGTTACTGTCACATTTTAAATATAAAGAGTCAAACACAAAACTTAAAGATGTCTGAAATAATATTGCTTTGTAATAATGGTAATATTTCTAATCCCAAATGAGAAGATACTGTTGAAAGCAAACAGGAAAGCTTAGTTTTTTTTGTTTAAATTAACTATTCATTCTCATTACCACAGAATCTGGGTACAGTCTTTTAAGGTGTTCCAGAACCTCTGCTCTCTTTTGCTGACGTTTTCCCTCATGGGTATCAATCCCAGCATTCTGCAATTCACTTCTAATAAGATTCAATTCTTCATTAACTTCAGACATTCTTGATTTTGTTTTTTCAATTTCATCCACTAGGGTTTCCTCTTGCTGTTTTTTCTCTTTCAAGCAATCCCTACAAAATAACAACAAATTATACAGCAAAATGATAAACCAAAATTTAGGAATTACCAGGTACAACATACTCCTGTCTGGCATTGCAGGGGAATAGAGCAGTGCTCTATCAATTTTTAAAGGGTAAAAAATGCAATAAACCTGACACCAAACATGGGCAAAAAAGATTTTGCTCATTCTTTGTTGATTTGAAAAATGTGGCTGGGCCAGGTGGCTCACTCCTGTAATCCCAGTACTTTGAGAGGTTGAGTGGGTGGCTGGCTTGAGTCTAGGAATTTGAGACCAGCCTGGCAACATGGCAAAAACCTGTCTCTACAAAATACAAAAAAAAAAAATTAGCCAGGTGTGGTGGCACACACCTGTAGTACCAGCTATTCAGGGGGCTGAGGTAGGTGGATCACTTGAGCCCAGTGGGTGCAGGCTGCAGTAAGCCATGATCACGCAACTGCACTCCAGTCTGGGTGAGAGTGAGACCCTGTCTCAAAAAAAAAGGAAGAAATACATAAATAAGAAAGCTGCAAGGGGTGCGATGGCTCACACCTGTAATCCCAGCACTTTGGGAGTCCGAGGAGGGTGGATTGCTTGGTCCAGGAGTTCAAGATCAGCCTGGGCAACATGGTGAAACCCCATCTTTACCAGAAATAGAAAAAATTAGCTGGGTGTGGTGGCATGTGCCTGTAGTCTCAGCTACAGGCTGAGGTAGGAGCGTCATGTGAGCCCCGGAAGTTGAGGCTACCGTAAGCCATGACTGCGCCACTGCACTCTGGCCTGGGCGATGGGAGTGAGACCCTCTCTCAAAAAATAAAAGAAAATTGCTGCAAGAAATTTTTTTTACTCTACCTACATGCATGTCTTTGTATACTCCTCTAACTTCTCTATTCGTTTTTTATGATCTTCTATTTGTTCTTTTATTTGTTTTAGATTTCCCTAAAAGAGGAAATAAAATCTAAAATCAATTACGGCAATTCCAAACCAACAAAATTACATGCCTAGAACTTACTATAATATTATAAGCTGTTATAAAATTGAAAGATATCAAATATAATTATATGAAAACACTTATCAGAGCAAATTACAGATCAGGGTTCAACTCCTGAATCTTTACCATTTGCTAGATATTTGATCTCTAGCGATTTCTCTCTGTAACTTCAAACTTCAAGGAGATTATTTTCAAATATCTATATAGTTCTTACCCCTTAACTAATGTACTGAACAAATATATTAGGTTGGTACAAAAGTACTGCAATTACTTTTGCAACAATCTAAATATATTCACTGGCTACCATGTGATAGGAACTAGAGGTACAGAAATAAGCAGGAAAGAGTCCCTGCCCTCAAAGAACTAATGTCTGGTAGGAGAGACAGATAATTAAATAAGTAATTATAGTAGAGTGGTTTTGTGTTATAATAATATAGGCACCTGTAGGGCAACTAATAGCCTTGTGGATGAGGATTTCGGGAAAGTTTTGTTCTATTCACTTTATCATTAAATCCAACTGGAGACTACCACAAGTCTTCTCCATCTGTCTGCAACTACATGTGTTCTTCTTGTTTTTTTGTATTCAAAAGACAACAGCAATTCAACCAACACTTATTGACATCTACTAAGTGCAAGGTTTACAATGGACACAATTAGAATCCTGCCTTTAATAAGCTTCCAGTCCAGTAGAGAGGTACCAATTAATTTTAATTTTTATGCGATCTGACAAAAGCCCTTAGATATAGATAAAAAATTGACTGGGCACGGTGGCTCAGGCCTGTAATCCCAGCACTTTGCAAGGCTGAGGAGGATGGATCACCTGAGGTCAGGAGTTCAAGACCAGCCTGACCAACATGGAGAAACCCTGTCTCTACTAAAAATACAAAATTAGCCAAGCATGGTGGCGCATGCCTGTAATCCCAACTACTCAGGAGGCTGAGACAGGAGAATTGCCTGAACCTGGGAGGCGGAGGTTGTAGTGAACCGAGATCGCGTCATTGCACTCTAGTCTGGGCAACAAGACCGAAACTCCGTATCAAATAATAATAGGTAGTTATATGAGGAAGAAATTATTTTTGGCTTTTTTAGGAGCTGGGATATAAAGAAAAGGAGGGCCAGGGAAGGCTTTGCGGTGTTGGTAACTCTAGATTTTAACATGTAAAGATGAATAGGTTATTCCAAAAAGAAACTAGCATGTACAAAGGCAAAAATGTCCAATGTGTATTTTCATAAATCAGTGTATAATTTTATAACATATCAATTACACAATTATACAAATGTTTTAAAAGTAATTCCTGCTATGTTACCACCTTTGTTTTTCTCCTTGCACAAAATGCCTCTTCTACTCACAGAACTATCACAGATTATGGCTATTATATTTGTATCTTCATCTGCCAAATCATGAAATAAATGAAATGAGACAGTATAGTGTAAGGTTAAGGAGATTCATTCTGGAGACAGGTACAAAAAGGAAATAAAATTTCATTAAGAATGATTCTAAATCATTACTGTACAACCCAAGACACCTGAACTTCTCCATGCCTCCTCTTTTCAAATGCCAGTCTTTCTTCATCTGTCTTCTGTTCCCACTGCAGTTTTTCCAGTTGTTGAGTCATTGTAGCTACTTTCTTTCTTACTTGTTCCTTAAGTTCTTTATAACGATCCAGCTGCATAAACAGTATTGAAAAATTGCTAATTCACCTTAAGAAGCATGAGAGCAAATTTCTTTGTATGAAATCCTGTACTAGAAGATAATTAATCTTCCCAAAAGCTTGCTTTATATAAATTAAATCATAATCGACCACCTTCCCCCGGTAAAATAATGTGAGCATGAAAGCTTCCTTTAAAAAAACTGTTTATTATTTATTTATTTATTTATATTTGAAACTTATTTATTTATTTATTTTTATTTTGCCCAGGCTGGAGTACAGTGGCACAATCACGGCTCACTGCAGCTTTGGCCTCCTGGGCTCAAGTGTTTATCTTATTATTCATAAGGTAATCATTTTTTCCTCTCATAAACACTTAAAGATACATGTGGCTTTGAGGAGACATGATCACTTAATTGACAAGAAGGAAACTGATTACTTAAGGTGCTTTAAAATGTTCAGTGATGAATTAATCTCTAACTTATTATACAAGATTTAATTATAATAAATCACTAGATGGCAAAAACATGTAATCGACAAACAACCACATTTTTATCGTTTATCTCTTTTATCAATTTTATGATAATCTTATATCACAAATATACCAAATACCAAAACAATTATGACTATATATACCAAAATAATTATAACTATATAAGTAGAAAAAAATATATCATTTTCTCTGGATTCTCCTTTCTCTTTTAAGATTTTTGGACAGAGACCTTAGTATAGAGGTTTTTGTTGCTCTATTTTAAACAGTCTTTTAGGCCAGGCACAGTGGATCATGCCTGTAATCCCAGCACTTTGGGAAGCCGAGGCAAGAGGATCACTTGAGCCCAGGAGTTTGAGACCAGCCTAGGCAACACAGTGTGACCTCATCTCTACAAAAAATTTAAAAATTAGACAGGTGTGGTAGCATGCGCCTGTAGACGGGAGGATCAATTGAGCCCAGGAGTGACACTGCAGTGAACTATGATTGATAGCAGCAGGAGACAGACAAATCCTAGACAGACAGGGGTGGGTCCCCAGTGAAACCTGACCTTCAAGCCAAAGACAGTTTAAAGCCTAGCTACAAGTGCTGGGTAAATCCACAGACAAGACTGAGAAACTCTCTTGCTGTTTGGTGTGCTTACCTCTGATTGATCCCTACCCTTCACCTATTTTACATACACCTACCCTTCCCTAATTGGTTTTTCACATTGTTGTACCCACTTTAGGGTGGTGCCGTTGTTTTAGCCTTTTTTTGCATACTCACAAACCAATCAGCACACATTCCTCCATTCTGAGTCCATAAAAGCCCCAGACCCAGCTACACTGGGGGAGAAACCACCTGACTTCAGGTAGTGGATGACCTCTTGCATCCCCTCTCTGCTGAGAGCTGTTTCATAGCTCAATAAAATTCTTCTTTGCCTTCCTCACTCTTCGATTGCCAGTGTAGCTTCATTCTTCTTAGACACAGGACAAGAACTGAGGACCCACTGAACGTGGGTACACAGAAGGCTGAAACACTGTGGCCCTCTGCCCTCTGCTGGCAGAGGGCAGCTGCCCCACATGACAGGAAGCAGTGGTGGGGCCGAGCAAGCCCCAGAGCTGAGGGCCAGAGTGGGTCAAGAGGCTGACAGAGCTGTTAACATGCCTTCGGACGTGCATCCTTCAGGCTGCAGACAGGACTAAAGAGCTGATTAGCACACTGTAACACCCCCTCTGGGGCTTTGGGGTCAGGAGCACCCTTGCCTGGGTGCCACTGTGTTCCCCTCATCTGGGCGCCAGAGCCCACTGTGGAAGTGGCTTGCAACACACCTGGTCCAGCTCCAAGCACCACATGAAGCCTGCTTCTGTGCCGGTACTTGGAACAGCTGGCTGGAAACTAAACTTGCTCGCTCACACACCCTCTTCTGCTGGGGGCTGAGTGAGCAGTCGTGGCAGCTGTGGGATTCGCGCCAGAGTGCAGGCCAGGTGCGGCCTGGCAGGCTGACAGGGTGTCTCCTGCAGTGAACGTGGGACCAAGCAAGGCCTGAGCAAGGGCGTCACCAACTGAGGGTCTCTGGCTGACAAAGTGACTGAGAAAAATCCTGCATCGGCCGGGCATGGTGGCTCACGCCTGTAATCCCCGTACTTTGGGAGGCCAAGGCAGGTGGATCACCAGAGGTCGGGAGTTTGAGACCAGCCTGACCAACATGGAGAAACCCCGTCTCTACTAAAAATACAAAATCAGCCAGGCATGGTGGCGCATGCCTGTAATCCCAGCTACTCAGGAGGCTGAGGCAGGAGAATCGCTTGAACCCATAAGGCGGAGGTTGCAGTGAGCCAAGACCACACCATTACACTCCAACCTGGGCAATAAGAGCGAAACTCCATCTCAAAAACAAACAAAAAAAAATCCTGCATCATGATTATGCCACTGCACTCCAGCCTGAGTGACAGAGCGAGACCCTCTCTCTACAAAATTAAAATTAAAAATAAATAAATCTAGTTCTGTATACAGGCTGAAAAATTTAAATCCCCACAATTTACATTGAGGATAATCTCTTAAAATATCAGAGAGGTCATCTTTTAAATTTTTTTCTAATTCAAAGCAGCTGAAATAATAGAAACACAAGATTTCCCCTAAGTTGTCCTTTTTTACCTGACTGGCTTCCAGTTCAATGTCTCGCTTTTTATGTAAAATTTCTTCCTCAATCTGCTTTTCAAAACTTCTCCATGCAGCATCTAAATCAGCCAGCTCTGTCTCCAGGGCTTTTATATCATCTTCCTGTTTAGAACATTGTTTTTCGCTGTCCTTTATTGATTTCTTAGCCACATCTAATTTCTTAAGGTGGTGAGAAGTGTTTTCTTTGGCTTTAATGTACTGAGGCCTCTTCTGATTTAAAAGGGTTTCAACCGATCTGAAAAGGGAAAAATGTTTGCTTTAAAGAAAATTTCATTTCTTTAATATATAAAGGGAAGAAGTTGTTTTGATCAAACCACTTTAAAAAAGAAATCCTAAAAATCAACTTTCAGAGACTGTAAGCAGATCAATGGTTGCCAAAGGTTGAGCAAGGTCAGGGGGAGGGATGAATAAAGCACACGGTCACTTTTGAGAGTGGTACTGTAGTGGTAGACACTTGACACTATGAATTTGCCAAAACCTGTATTACTTTACAGCACCAAGGATGAACCTTAATGTAAGCAAATTAAAAAAGAATCACTCAGGAGGCTAAGGGATCCTATATGGAATGTAGAATGCAATAAAAAATCTAACTTTATTATAAATGTAGAAACAGCCTTACTGAAGGGGTGGAAGGAAAACATGCTGACCTAATTCTAGAAATGAGTGGAGTCTGTAAGACTAAAAGCAAAAGAATTGTATATAAGTACTATACTGTAGTTACAAAGATGCTTTCCATGGGGGTACGGGTTAACAATTCTGACGCTATTACACGTGATTACTGGAAATGCACAATTAAGCAAATGGATGGCAGATGGTAGAAGCCAGATTTCCCATTGTTGAAGTGGGAGGTTACAGATAAGCAAGAGAAGGCTAGAATGATTAATGTGGTAATGGCTTAGAATTGGGAGACATCAATATGAACTCATGTTTAGCTTAATATAGATGGTCACATATGAAAATATTTATAGCTATGTGTATAAATAGTATACACAGGTATTTCCTAGTTCCAACAGCTGAGAAAGCCTAGAAGCAAGGACACTCCAGTAGCAACGAACACACCTACCACCTAGATGTTGGTTCCTAATACTGTTCTCCGATAAAAGGAACCAGGGTTCCTTGGAGAGCCTGGGGCAGGCTCATACAAGCTGGGGCAAGCTGATGCTTGGACTGGCTTATACAAGATGACAGTAGAAGATACTTATCTTCTAGAAAGTAAGGAAGAGCTCCAAAAAAAAATCACAGTAATGAGAATATTTCAAAGGGACACAGGAGCCAACTCAAAGAGTTCTCAGTGGCCACAGCAGGAACAATCTAAGCAACAAAATCAACAATGTAATACTGGATTATAACTCTAAATGTAAAATATCCATAAATCTATACTGATGTAAACAAATAACAATTAATTTAATTTTAAAATAATTAAGTAGAGACAAATCTGTGCAGAATTCCAAAAAAATCATGTAGATACTTTGCCCTCAAGGTAAAACATAACTCTCCTTACTCCTTAAGTGTGGGCTAAGCATAGTGACTTCCTCTCAAAGATTATAGTATGAAAAGGGAGAAAAAATAACCTCACAGAGGAGAAACATGACAAAAACTACTTCAGTCAGGTGATCAAGGTCAACATCAACAGTGATACCATGTTGATATGACACATGATATAGTACATGATAAATGTCATGTAACATATATAATACACTGACACTCTGATAGAATATAATGAGAAGGACATTTTACTTCTGTGGGCTTCCTCCCCACAGTCTGTATCTTCAGTCTAATTATGTGAAAACCATCAGACAAATCCGGATTGAAAGATGTTCTATAAAAAAACTGACCAATATTCCTCAAAATTGTCAAGTTCATCAAAAACAAGAACTGTCACAGCTAAAAGGTGCCTAAGGAGACATATAACTAAATGTAATATGGTATTCTGGATCATAAAAAGGACATTAGGCAAAAGCTGAGAAAATATGTATAAAGTATGGACTTTAGTTAATGTATCAATATTAGTTTATTAATTCTGACAATGTATCATAATAATGTAAGATATTAATAATAGGAGAAACTGAGTGTTGGGAATATGGGACTGATACAGGGGCTAAAAATAAATTATTTAGGCAGATAGTGAAGGTTAAGAGAGTCCTCAGCAGAGCTTCCCTTTTAACGAAAAGCAGCCCCAAAATCATTTCTTTTCTAACAAAGAGGAGCCTGAAAAATTAGGCTACAAATGGGGTACATAAGCAAGCTGGAAGCTTACACGAGTGAATGCCGGCAGCTGAGCCAATAGAAAAGGGGTACTCAGAAGCCAGCTATGTTCAACATGAAGGCTCCATCTTCCCTTTTCTTTGTCACCACGTGTACAGTAGAAAAGCTGGCAAACATGGCGCCAGCCAGGTACAGAATCTGCATAATAAAAAATTAGGGTGGGATGGCCAGCTTCTTTGTGCACTATGCAAATGGCACATCTAGTCCTAAGCGGTTCTTCACGTGCTATGCAAATGGAATACCTGATCTGAACAACCCTTCATGCCCTAAATCAGACACCGCCTCCTCAAGCTCATCTATAAAACCGCCTGTACTTCACTGTGGACCAGAAGACCCAATTGGGAGCCCCTCTCTCTGCATGAGAAAGCTTTTCTCTTTCTTTCACCTATTAAACCCACTCTTAACCTCACTCCTTGTGTGTCTGCATCCTTGATTTCCTTGCTGTGAGGCAATGAACCTCGGGTATTACCCCAAACACCACCACTTCAGGACCATTCTACACCACCTTTTTTTTTTTTGAGATGGAGTCTCACGCTGTTGCCCAGGCTGGAGTGTAGTGGCGTGATCTCGGCTCACTGCAAGCTCCACCTCCCAGGTTCATGCCATTCTCCTGCCTCAGCCTCCCGAGTAGGTGGGACTACAGGTGCCTGCCACCATGCCCAGCTAATTTTTTGTATTTTTAGTAGAGACGGGGTTTCACCGTGTTAGCCAGGATGGTCTCGATCTCCTTACCTCGTGATCCACCTGCCTCAGCCTCCCAAAGTGCTGGGATTACAGGCATGAGCCACCACACCTGGCCTATACTATCTTTATAATTTTTCTGTATATCTAAAAGTATTCCAAAGTAAAAAGCTTATTTTTAAAATCAATTTTCAAAGTGTCACTTATATTATTCCCTCTATCAAGCTACATATAACCCAACTGTTAATATCTACTTTTAAAAACTCACTTTAATTCTTTTTCTGTTTGTTGTAGTTGTCTAGTTAGCATTCCATGTTCCTTTTTCCTGGCTTTAACTATGTTTTCATGATGAGACAAAGACTCTCTTTTGACACTCAAATCCCTATTCACATGCTCTAACTTGGTGTTCAGGAGATGAATCTTTTTCTCATTATGGTATAGTTGAAAAAGCTGCAGTTGTATCTTGTTCATTTTCAGTTCTTCAAGGAGACTCTGGTAACGTTCTGCCTATAAAAGAGTATAATTCAACAGCAGTTAAAAGGGAGTGTATTTAAGTTGGCCTTTCATAAACTCAACTACTATACCAACAAATTAACTAATGAATGTTTATTTATTAGGACATAATGTTCTTGCCAAAAGTAGCATAATTTGGCGAGGGTTTCTGAATATACTTTTTAAATAACCCAATACACCAGCAAATGATTTTGTGTTCTTGCGCTCAGTGGTATGATGATGAGAACAAAGAAGTGGCATGCATTAGCCTGGGTCCCTTTTGTCTGGACCTGTGAGTTTCACAACTCAATCAGTATTTCTGGCATCAGCTTCCTCCTTTGTAAACTGAAAGAAGAGTGTGATATGACTTATAAGGTGCTAGTAACTTTAAATTCAATGACTCCAGGAAAAATTCCTACTACAGGAAGTAGTTTTTCTACCGATAAAACAGGACTCTTACAGTGCTAAATTATATGTGAAAAATAATAATTTCCTTAACATTTGTGCTATTAAAGAAATAAAGGAACAGGCTACCTCAAGAGGAGCTCCTAATCAATATTGGAAGTATTCAAAGTAACAGGCTATCCACTAGGATGTTGTAAAAAACAATTAGGAAGTTGTTTCGTTCTAACTGTCCTTAAAATGTTTAAATTTTGCAGTTCAGTATATTGTGATTATTATAGTCTGACTTCCACTGCTGCCACTCCTTTCCACTAACAAAACCAAGGACATGTATACATATTAGAAAACATGAAGACACAGAGAAACATCACTAATAAGAAACATCCACTTTCCATTTACTTCTTCAAATATGTATTGAGTATCTACTATGAGCCAGGTGCTGGTCTATGCATTGAGAATATAGCAGAAAATAAGACAGACTATCCCTGATCCTGTTTGTTTGTTTGTTTGTTTGAAACAGAGTTTTGCTCTCTCACCCAGGCTGGAATGCAATGGCACGATCACAGCTCACTGTAGCCTCGACCTCCTGGGCCCAAGAGATCCTTCTGTGTCAGCCTCCTGAGTGGCTGGAAAGACAGGCGTGTGCCACCACACCAGGCAAAGTTTTTTATTTTTATTTTTGTAGAGATGAGGTCTCACTATGTTGCCCAGGCTAGTCTCGAACTCCTGGGCTCAAGGGATGCTCCCACCTTGGCCTCCCAAAGTACTGGGATTAAAGATGTGAGCCACCATACCCAGCCCAACCCTGCTCTTGTGCAATTTATATTACAGTTATTCTAATGGGGAGAAGAGAGGAAGAAAAGTCAGAGAATAAACACAAGGACTAAACTCTGATCTTTTTTCTTCTCTTGCCCAAATTTCTATCTAAGGAGCCTGGGGAGTCTGCTCTACAAAGTTTCATCAGAGGGTGTTTTTTGTTTGTTTGTTTGTTTGTTTGTTTTGAGACAGAGTCTCACTCTGTCGCCCAGGCTAAAGTGCAGTGGTGCAATCTCGGCTCACTGCAACCTCTGCCTCTTAGCTTCAAGTGATTCTCCTGCCTCAGCCTCCTGAGTAGCTGGGATTACAGGCATGTGCCACCACGCCCAGCTAATTTTTGTATTTTTAGTAAAGACAGGGTTTCTCCATGTTGGCCAGGCTGGTCTCAAACTCCTGACCTCAAGTAATCCACCTGCCTCGGTCTCCCAAAGTGTTGGGATTATAGGCATGAGGCGCCATGCCTGGCCAGAGGGGTTTTATTCACCCTATATCATATAGCTTACTTTCCAACCTGATGCTGGCATAGTATCACATGACAGATAAGGAAGGAAATTAAAATATTTTAACTGCAAATATGTTTCTTTGCCATATCTTGAAATAGCCGTGCAAAGTTGTCTCTTGTGGGGAAAAAAATCTACATTCTGTAGAGAATCCCCTTTCCCTTTTCCAAACCTTTTTTCCTGAACCAGGAGACAACCAACTAAGAGTCCCATACCTTTTCAAGTCTGATAAGAAACATTTACAATGTATTCTCTCTGAAGCCTGCTACCTGGAGGCTTCCTGTGCATAACAAGAACATTGGTCTCTACAATCCGTTATCTTAATCCAGACATTTCCTTTCTATTGATTCCAGGTCTTTAGCTAAAACTCTTTCAATCAATTGCCAATCAGAAAATCTTTGAATCCACCTATAACCTGGAAGCCCTGGCTCCCCCTCCTTTCCAGAATGAAGCAACATACATCTTACAAGTATTGACTGATGTCTTATGTCCCCCTAAAATGTATAAAACCTAGCTGTGGCCCAACCACCTTGGGCACATGTTCTCAGGATCTCCTTAGAGCTGTGTCACAGGCCATGGTCACTCATATTTGGCACAGAATAAATCTCTTCAAATATTTTACGGAGTTTGACTCTTTGTTGACAGACAAGCAAACAAATAATAAACAAGATAATTTTATACAGCAATAAACGCTACAAAAGAAACAAAATAGGGTAATGTGCTAGTACAAGGGAGGGGGTGCTAATTTAGATTGGAGGAATGAACAGTAAATGCCTACCTGAGAAAATGGCTTTTTAATAAAAACATGAATGAGAGACTACCAGGTATGTAAAATCAGGCACACAGCTATCTAGGCAGAGGAAATAGCAAAAGCCCCAGAATAGAAAGGAGTTTGGTGTGTTCAACACATAATAAAGGTCAAGGTGGTAGCAAAGCATAGGAAGTTAAGGCTCAAGAGGTAAACAGAGACAAGGCTAGTACGCCTTATAAGAGACAAGATTCTTGGCCAGGCGCGGTGGCTCACGCCTGTAATCCCAGCACTTTGGGAGGCCGAGGCAGGCAGATCACGAGGTCAGGAGAATGAGACCACGGTGAAACCCCGTCTCTACTAAAAATACAAAAAAAAAATTAGCCAGGAACGGTGGCGGGCACCTGTAGTCCCAGCTACTCGGGAGGCTGAGGCAGGAGAATGGCGTGAACCCAGGAGGCGGAGCTTGCAGTGAGCCAAGATCATGCCACTGCACTCCAGCCTGGGGAAAAAAAAAAAGAGACAAGACTCTCAGTGCAGTGAGAAGCACTGCACTGGAAGGTTTTATGCATGGAAAGTTAGGATCTGATTTGAGTTTCAAAAATATCACTTTAACTACAACTGAAGATAAGGTACTATATTAGGCATTTTGAAGGGGCCCAAGAAATGTATAGAAGTACATTTGCATGTAATGTGGTCATGGCCTCCTAGGAGGTTCCCAAGACCCTTTTAGGGAGTCCCTGAAAACAAAATTATTTTCATAATAATACTAAGACTTTGTCTATTTCAATGTGTCGACACATGCACTAACAGTGTGGACAAAATTGCTAGGCCTTAGCATAAGTAAGATTTAACACAGAAATGTTTATGAGAATTCAGCTGTCTTTTATCAAGCTAGACATTAAGGAAATTATAAAAGTGGTAAAACAATGTCTCTCTTCTAATTGGTTGTGGAAAATACAGTTATCTTTCATAAAAATGCTATTTATATTAACATGTAATGAGTTTATTGCTATTTTTACAGGGATCATTAAAATATTTTTTAAATTTCCAGTGTTAATTTCACATACAATAAATATTAATAGATATAACCCATATGAACAAAAACTCTTTGGGGTCCTCAATAATTTTTAAGAGCATAAGGGGTTTAATATCCAAACATCTGAGAGCCTTTGCCACATAAGACATAAACCCCTCAAGCTTGTTTTTAGTTGGGAAAATCAGACATTTTTCTAGTTCAGGCTGTCCTGCCTATTCGGAAAGAAAAACCCAAATAGTGGGAAATACATCAAAAAGTTTATCTTAATGAATATTGGGCTTTAATTGTCTTATACTATTAAATTAATCTTCTTGGTAAGCCCAAGCCCATACCTAGTGATTCTAACATAGAAAGTTTTATATCCAACAACTAATGGTTACATCTTCATGACATCTTACCTCTTCCTTCTCTAATTTTGCTTGTCTGCGCTCTGCCGCTATATTTTTTTTCTTATTAAAGTTAAACTGTGCATCCTCTTCGGCTTTTTGTAACTTTCTTTTCTTTTCTTCATATTCTCCTATAAGCTCTCCTGAAGTGCTGATTTCCTCAAAAAACTGGGTCCTTTCTTTGGGTTTCTTCACTGAAATTGACTCTACAGTTCCCTTTTAAAAACAGTAATGCACATCAACATATAAAATATAGTGATGTATTTTCAAAACTCTGAATCAAATAAACTACTATAGCTACTTACCTGAAAAACCAAACAATTTTGTGCTTTGACTATTATGCCTATCTTTTCCAACTCTGCAATGTAAACAGAACGACTCACAAGATTATCATTAAAGCGAAATTCTGAGCATCCCCCTAAAATAAAAAAATAAACCCTGTTAAAAAATATATAAATACCAGATATACCTCAAAATCCACCGAAAGTTTAATAAAATTATTTTTCTTATTGAAATGGCCAGTTATATAATAATATACATGGGAATAAATGCATTTAATGAGTCAACAAATATTGAGTGTCTATTACATGTCAAGGTCTCTTTTACAGTGGCGAACAAAACACATGAAAGTCTCTTATCTGAAGAGCATATATCCTAGTCAGGATGTAAAAGGAAAATAAATCTCAGAACCCCTAACTCACTAAGCCAAAGGGAAAAGTCAACCTGGGAACTAGGTCATGCAAACTTGCCTCCTATTTTGTTACTAAATAAGGTAGCTGTAAAGATTGAAAAACAACAACAGCAACAAAAACTGCATGCCTCCCTCACAATTTACCCACAGGGAAATTCCTTGTGGGCCCCAAGATCTTTACCCTAAAACAGTTCTGTTGAATTTTAACCTGACAATATAAATTGATAGCTTATCTTCACATGTACAGGACAAAGGACAGAACTCAGTCATCCCTCTGCTCACCTGAGATAAATGTATATCTGATTGTCTCCTCTGCACTATCTTTATCTTTTTTTTTTTCTGAGACAGGGTCTTGCTCTGTTGACCAGGTTGGAGTGCAGTGGCGCAATCTTGGCTCACTGTATCCTAGACCTCCCGGACTCAAGTCATCTTCCCACCTCAGCCTCCTAAGTACTGGGACTATAGACTCACGCTACCACACACAGCTAATTGTAGAGACAAGGTCTCACCACGTTTCCCAGGCTGGTCTCAAACTCCCGAGTTCAAGCAATCGTCCTGCTGTGGCCTCCCAAAGTGCTGGGATTACAGGCATGAGCCCCATGCCCAGCCTATATTATCTTATATAAAAATGCAGATTCACTGAGCTAGCCTAATGCAGAAGTGACTATGCCTCTACCCCTGTCACATGTGAACAATTGATCAAAGGCTCAAAAGAATGCAACCACTGGTCTCTTTTCTATCCACACCTTTAAAAAAAATTTCTTCCTCTTTCCCAAATCCCCGCTCTTTTCCCGTAAATGTATATATACACACACACACAAATTCAAACATTTCACTCAAGTTGCTTTTTGGTGGTAGAAAAAACTGTCTATAATAAAGCCAAAAATATGCATACAATTTGTTCATCACTAAGAAAAACTGATAAACATAAAGAACCTCAAGAATAAATTTTATGATTTCTCTGTCTTCAAGGTACTCCTTCCTTCATCTTATTATTATTTTTTTGAGACGGAGTCTTGATCTGTCGCCTAGGCTGGAGGGCAGTGGCGTGATCTCGGCTCACTGCAAGCTCTGCCTCCCGGGTTCATGCCATTCTCCTGCCTCAGCCTCCCGAGTAGCTGGGACTACAGGTGCCTGCCACCTCGCCCAGCTAATTTTTTGTATTTTTAGTAGAGACGGGGTTTCATCGTGTTAGCCAGGATGGTCTCAATCACCTGACCTCGTGATCCGCCCGCCTCGGCCTCCCAAAGTGCTGGGATTACAGGCGTGAGCCACCATACCCGACCCTCCCTCCTTCATCTTAACTAAATATCCAGATTTTAAAATGTTATTTGACAGTAGGGGGATTTGAACAATTATGTCAGTTAAGGAAAAGCAGACATAATTGGAGAAATATGTGGCGAATCAAACAGGTTCTGTTACTTGCTTCTGAGATATGCTATGCAAGAGAAAAAAGAACTCTAGTTCATTACACCAGTAGAATAATAAACCATACCCTCCAAAGAAAGAAAAAATGGGCAATCTTACTTGACTCTTGAAAAATAAAATGAAAAAAAATTATAAAAAAATACCTCGGATAATCCTTGCAAATGTTTTCTCTTCGCCACTTTCCTCCACATATATAATTTTTACACTTGCAGAAGAAGAAATAGGTTTTCCAATATGTGCTCCATGAATGAGTTCTTGAATATTTTTCACTCTTAAATTAGCTATTTTCTCTCCCATTACAAAACTAAGTGCATCCATTACATTAGATTTTCCTGGGGAAGAAAAGAGATAAAACATTATTCATTCTTAATGATAAAAAGCCCTACCCAGAGCTGAAGAAATCAGGCCACCAATCGAAGTGAAATATAGCCAAAAGACATGTCCTTTTTAATCAATGTTCAAAATGCATGACTGAAATATTTGATGTAGATAACTCATTTCTTCTATGCATCTATTGTAGACTATTAAGAGGTCTAAATTTAAGGACTGAAATACACCTATCTAAATCCCAGCTCTCTTCCATTGTTAGGTATCACACCATGGCAAATCATTTAACTTCACTGAGTTTCAATTATCCTCATTTTATAAATATGGAAACTACCTAAAGCATTGGTGCAGCACCAAATCCTCTTATACTCTAAAAAAGAGAGGCTAAGGCTGGACGCGGTGGCTCATGCCTATAATCCTAGCACTTTGGCAGGCCAAGGTGAGCAGATCACCTGAGGTCAAGAATTCGAGACTAGCCTGGCCAACACGGTGAAGCCCCCTCTCTACCAAAAAATATAAAAAATAGCCGAGCTTGGTGGCACGCACCTGTAGTCCCAGCTACTCAGGAAGCTGAGGCAAGAGAATTGCTTGAACCTAGGAGGCGGTGGTTGCAGTGAGCCGAGATTGCACCACTGCACTCCAGCCTGGGCAACGAGGAGAGACTCCAACTCTAAATAAATAAATAAATAAATAAATAAATAAATAAATAAATAAATAAAAACAAGAGAAGCTAACTAAATCCAGGATCGAGGGCTAGATTAAAATTGTTTGATTGGTATGAGATGGTGCTACAGAAAATTTATATAGCAGGCTTGATACTGTTATCTTTTGAAAGTCCTACTTACAAGGTTGGCTGGCTTACAGGGATTTGGATTTGGATGTTGGGAGGGTTTCTAACATTCCCTATTAAGAATGGCTCACAGTGCCTAAACTATCTGTACAAACAATATGATTTAATCTGAACATATGCTTTCTTTCTAGGATTCTGGAATATTATTTTATAATTTCTTTTGAGGAAGGTCTGGCCTAAGAAGATTCTGGAACTTGGGTACATGATAGGCAAACGGTGCCTATGTGACAATCTCCCGATAAAAACGCTGCACATTGAGTCTTTAGTGAGGTTCCCTGGTGGGCAACATTTCACATGTGTGGACTAGCTGCTGGAGGAATGAAGCACTGAGTGACACCAATGGGTAAGGACTTGGAATCTTGCAACTGGTTTCCTAAGACTTTGCCTCATATATCCTTTCCCTTTGCTGAGTTCGCTTTGTATTTTTTCACTGTAATAAATAATAGTATTGAGTCAAACTATATGTAGAATCCTGTGAGTTTTCCCAACAAATTACTGAACCTAAGGGTAGTTGTGGGCATTCCTAACCCCAATGTTAAATCTGTTACCCAATCATTGGCCCATAATTTTCTCTAAGACAATTTCCAAGGTGCAATGTCAATGCAGCTGTCACCATCACTATTATTTCTCCTTTTCACATCCCTTCCCCTATATCCACAAAGCAGTTTAAATTTTCAGGCTGGGCGCAGCAGCTCACACCTGTAATCCCAGCACTTTGGGAGGCCGAGGCAGGAAGATCACCCGAGGTCAGGGGTTCGAGACCAGCCTGACCAACATGGTGAAACCCCGTCTCTACTAAAATACAAAAAATTAGCCAGCTGTGGTGGCGTGCGCCTGTAATCCCAGCTACTCGGGAGGCTGAGGCAGAAGAATCACTTGGATCCAGAAGGCAGAGGTTGCAGTGAGCTGATATTACACCACTGTACTCCAGCCTGGGCAAGAGAGCAAGACTCCATCTCAAGACAAAAGAAATAATTAATTAATTTTCAATGCCAAAACTAGGAAAGTAACATAAACAAAGCAAAGGAATACTATCAGCCACCGGAAATATGGCTTAGTTTTAGAGGTTTAGGGTCTTTCTAAAAAGAACTAGAAATAAATTGCTGCAAATTTATTTAGCTGAGTCTCAGTCAACTAACAGGTATGAAACGGCTTTTTTGGGTTAATGGATAATCTGCACATTGAGGGCTATTGTAAGACAGTGCATATGGACAAGATAAACATTCACTGAATTAAATTATTAAGTAATTTAAGTATTAAGTAACAAAACTAAACATAAACTTTTAAAATCAATAAGTCAATCCTTATTTAAATCTGCCTAAAATAAATACTTCTCATCCAAATCCATTTATTCCATTAAATTTCATTAATATTGTCCCTGCCTAATAAAGGTTATAGTCTGTCAAGAGAGTCAAGGCAGCATAACATACCACAAAGTGGCAACAACCCAAACTATCAACTGATGGATAAACAAAATGTAGTATATCTATACAGTGAAATATTATTTGAAAATAAGAAGGAAATAAGTACTAATACAAGGAGCAACATAGATGAATCTGAAAAACATTATGCTAAGTGAAAGAAGTCAGACACAAAAGGCCATATATTGTCTGATTCTATTTATACGAAATGTCCCAAATAGGTAAATCCATAGAGACAGAAAGTGAATTAGTAGATACCAGGAGCTAGGTGGAGAGGAAATAACAGGGAGTGATTGCTAATGAGTACAAGGTTTCTTTGGGGGCAATGAAAATGTTTTGGAAGTAGATGGTGATGATGGTTGCACAACTTTTGAATATACTAAAAACCACTGAACGGTGCATTTTATTTATTTATTTATTTTTACTTATTTATTTTTGAGATGCAGTCTTGTTCTGTTGTTGCCCAGGCTGGAGTGCAGTGGCGTGATGTCAGCTCACTGCAGCCTCTGCCTCCCAGGTTCAAGCGATTCTCCTGCCTCAGTCCCCTGAGTAGCTGGGACTACAGGCGTGCGCCACCACGCCAGGCTTTTTTGTATTTTTAGTACAGATGGGGTTTCATCATGTTGGCCAGGCTGGTCTTGAACCCCTACCTCCAGTGATCTGCCTGCCTCAGCCTCCCAAAGTGATGGAATTACAGGTGTGGGCCACCATGTCAGGCCTTATTTTTTTGTTGAGACAGAGTCTTGCTCTGTCGCCCAGGCTGGAATGCAGTGGCACAGTCTTGGCTCACTGCAACCTCCGCCTCCCGGGTTCAAGTGATTCTCCTGCCTCAGTCTCCCAAGTAGCTGGTATTACAGGCACGTGACACCACCCCCAGCTAATTTTTGTATTTTTAGTACAGACAGGGGTTTCACTATGTTGGCCAGGCTGGTTTCTAACTCCTGACCTAAGGTGATCCGCCCGCCTCGGCCTCCCAAAGTGCTGGGATTATAGGCATGAGCCACGGCGCCCGGCCAATTTTATTTTATATTTATCTTATTTTATTTTATTTTAGAGTCGAAGTCTCGCTCTTGTTACCCAGGCTGGAGTGCGGTGGTGCTATCTTGGCTCACTGCAACCTCTGCCTCCCGGGTTCAAGCGATTCTCCTGCCTCAGCCTCCTCAGTAGCCGGGATTACAGGTGCATGTCACCACACCCGATTAATTTTTGTATTTTTAGTAGAGACAGGGCTTCACCATGTTGGTCAGGCTGGTCTCGAACTCCTGATCTCATGATCCACCCGCCTCGGCCTCCTAAAGTGCTGGAATTACAGGTGTGAGCCACCGCGCCCAGCCTTTTTTTTTTTTTTTTTTTTTTTTTTGAGACGAGAGTCGCACTGTGTTGCCAGGCTGGAGTGCAATGGCGTGTCCTTGGCTCACTGCAACTTCCACCTCCCAGGTTCAAGCGATTCTCCCGCCTCAGCCTCCAGAGTAGTTGGGATTACAGGCGTGTGCCACCACACCCAGCTAATTTTGGTATTATTAGTAGAGACCTCCGCAGGTCCTCTGGCCTCTCCAGACCTCAGTTTCCCCAACTATAAAATGGGGAGAGCAGCCATGCGCCATGGCTAACCAAAGACGGTGTCGCCAGGAACTTAGGAAAAGCTCAGTAAACTGGGTCATCATCACTACATTCCTGGGTCAAAGCTCCCTTGGATCCAAATGGTGGTTCTGGCTGCTTGGAACCCATTACCTCCTCGACAGCTCCCTCTCACTTCAACTTCGGATGAGAAGGGAAAAGGGACGCGAGTGACCAGGGCCAAGGGCAAGAGCAGTCCCCGAAGCAGGAGTGAGGGCAGAGAACAGGGCCCAGGGCGGGACCGGGGCGGAGAGGAAGCGTCAGGACCCCCAGGGTGGGGGGCGAGGGTTGGGAGCCCCTGAGATGAAGGGCGAGGGCCGGAGCTGAGGTGGGGTGGGGTCCCTCAGGGTGTCGGAGGAGGGTCGGGAGCCAGGAGGTGGAGGGCGAGAGCGGGGCCCGAGGCGGGGCCGAGTGGAAGGGTCAGGACCTCCGAGGTGGGGCGGAGGGACAAGGGTCGGGACCCCTGAGGTGGACGGCGAGGACCGGGGCTGAGGTGGGGTGATGGGCAGGGGCTGGGCCAGGGCCAGGCCGGGATCCGGTCGCGGTCAGGCTCCGGGACTGGAAGGGGAAGGCCGGCCAGGCGCCCGCGGCAGACGCCCACACCCCACAGGCCACGTGTGGCCTGGACGCCTGGGACGGCGGAGGCGCTCCGGTGGCGCCCTGAGCTGCTCAGTTACCAGAGCCGTTGGGGCCGATGATGCAGGTGAACCTCCGGAAGGGGCCAATGACCTGGCGGCCCCGCCACGACTTGAAATTTTCCACAAGCAGCAGCTCCAGGTGGGCCATGGCGCCGCCCTCCACGCCTCACCCGCGTTATCAAGCGCCCGCGGAAAAAGCGCGGGAAGGGATTCGCCAAGTGTCGCGAGAAGAGAGCGAGACGCGGCAAGCGCGGAGCCGTTCCTTAGCAACGAGTTGTTGACATTTCCGAGAGAGCGGGAGCGTCTGTACCTCTGCGGCGTCACTGGGAGCCCGACGGAAAACTGCGCTAAAGGCTTGTCTTTCCCCTGCCCGACCGAAGGAGCCGACCTTGCCTGCGCTACAGCTTCCTTATTTTCGTCGCCTGTTCTCCTGATCCTGCGTGTTCTAAAAACCCCTTAGGCTTTCCATGGGTTCCCAGACCATGGCGGTGGCGCTGCCCAGGGACTTGCGGCAGGACGCCAACCTGGCAAAGAGGAGGCACGCGGAGCTGTGCAGGCAGAAGCGGGTCTTCAACGCCAGAAACAGGATAATTGGGGTGAAAGGGCAGGGGCCGGGACGGGGTTAGAGCGGCAGATGCGGGCGAGGGGCTGCGTGGAGGGGGAAAGGAGATGAGTTCTAGGATGAAACATCTGAGCCAGGAGGCAGCAAACGGCCTCCTGCAGGGCCAATAATGCTCCCTCTCGAGCTCGCCTGGAGTCACCAACGGTTCTCCTCCCCTGAGCCAGATTTTCTACAACTCGTTTACAGTGGGGCAGAGATTAAAAATAATAATAAGTAGGATTGTTATTACTGAATAAAATGATCTGGCTCTAACCCTTCTCCTCTGTTTTTCCATTTATAGGGAGACACTGAAGCCTGGGATGTTCAAGTTCATGACCAGAAGATAAAAGAAGCTACTGAAAAAGCTAGACATGAAACCTTTGGTGAGCATTTCCTGAATGCTTATCTATTGGTTTAGGATTGTGTGGCTTTAGACTCCAGTCTTCCCCACCGTCCCCCTGCCCCGCCTTTTTTTTTTTATTTTTTATTTTTTTTATTTAATAGAGATAGGGTCTCACTATGTTGCCCAGGCTGGTCTGGAACTCCTGCGTGCAAGTGATCCTCCCACGTCAGTCTCCCAAAGTGCTGGAACTACAGGCATGAGCCACGGTACCCAGCCCTCCTTTCTTCACATATATAAAAAGTTGTCATTTTCACACTCTTCTTCCTTTTAAATTTCACAATTTCTTGTGCCCAGTTAACTTAATGCACTGATTCTTCTCTTAAAAACAGCTATTGAATTCGAATGTGGATTATAAGAAATAGATTTTAAGGGTATATGTATGTTTTCCTTCATTTTCTTAAAAAACTGGATAGGAAAAGCCTTAAACACAGAAAGACACACACACACACTCACTTGCTCTGCTCAAAAGTTTAAGACCGTCTATGAAGGACAGCTGTTTATACCAGACAACACATATGTCCGGGCTCACACCCTCAAGCTGACTCAGAGACAGACATGATTCAAATCATAGTATTCAAGTACCTTGAATACTGTTATTCAAGGTATTATTATTCCACTTCAAATACAACTTATTTTCCCCTATCGTGTCCAACAATTTCAACAATTGTTGAAATTTCACACTTTGAGAGGCTAAAACTAGAGGATCACTTGAGACCAGGAGCTCCAGACTTGCCTGGGCAACAAAGCGAGACCCCATCTCTACAAAAAATAAATTGAAAAAAAAAAAAAAAAGAAATTTCAGTGTTTTTAAACACCATAAAGATTTTTATAATAGAAAAAAAAGCAGGATACAAAATTGTACATACAATGGGCTGTTATGTTTTTAAAATATTTTAAAATATGCTCAGAAGAAGAAGAGAGGAAATATGCCAAAATGTTAGCAGGGTAATGTTGGAGGGATAGAATTATGAGTAAACTTTATTTTCTCCTTTATACTGTTCTGTATGTTCTAAACATTTTATCTTTTTTATTAATATTTTTAGTTATGAGGTAATTCAATCTTACAAAAACAATGTGACAGGTACATATGTACCCACCATCAGACTAGATGTTAACATTTTGCCAGATTGGCTTCAGATATCTTCAGTGTTTTTTGAGAATTGTGTTTTTTATATATGTGTATATATATATATATATATATAACAACACTGCCCTGCCCCCTACCTCTTAATTTTCCCCTCCTTTCTCCTCAGAAGTGTTTATCATTCCCATGCTTTTTTTTCTATTTTCTTTTGAGATGGAGTCTTGCTCTGTCTTCCAGGCTGGAGAGCTGTGGCGCGATCTCAGCTCACCGCAACCTCCGCCTCCTGGGTTCAAGCAATTCTCCTGTCTCAGCTTCCCGAGTAGCTGGGATTACAGGTGCACACCACCATGCTGGGCTGATTTTTGTATTTTTAGTAGAGACGAGGTTTCACCATGTTGGCCAGGCTGGTCTCGAACTCCTGACCTCAGGTGATCTTCCCGCCTCTGCCTCCCAAAGTGTTGGGATTACAGGCATGAGCCACCAGGCCCAGCCCCCACGCACTATTTATGCTTGTACTATTTATGTATGTATTCATAACAATATAAAATTGTTTTTATGTGTTTTTAAAATTTATGTAAATGGTATCCTATTGAATAGATCCATTTGCAGTATGCTTTTCTTTCATCCAGGCTTGTATTTTTGAAATTAATCAGTGATTTACATATAGAGAGTATTCATTTTAATTGTTTTATGGCATTTTGTTATATGAATTAACTACAGTTTCTTCATCCATTCCCATACTGATGGCTGGTTTAGATTTTTTTTTTTCAGTTGTTTTGTCATTGTGGACACTGCTGCAATGACTGTCCAAGAATTGTGTCCCTAGCACATGTGAAAGGGATAACTAGAAGTGGAATTGATGGATCAAAGGTAGTTTTATGGGATATTGAAAAATTGTTTCGTTGTAAGTGTACCAAGTTACACTCCTACAAGCAGCAAATGAGAGGTTTTTGTTTTGTTTTGTTTTGTTTTTGAGATGGAGTCTTGCTCTGTCACCAGGCTGGAGTTCAGTGGAGCGATCTCGGCTCACTGCAACCTCTGCCTCCCGGGTTCAAGCGATTCTCCTGCCTCAGCCTCCCAAGTAGCTGTGACTATAGGCACGTGCCACCAAGCCCAGCTAATTTTTGTATTTTTAGTAGAGACGGGGTTTCACCATCTTGGCCAGGATAAGCTCTATCTCTTGACCTTGTGATCCGCCCACCTCGGCCTCCCAAAGTGCTGGGATTACAGGCGTGAGCCACCATGCCTGGCCGCAAATGAGAGATCTTGTTTCCCCACATCCTTACTAATGTGTGCCATTATTAGCATTTTAAATATTTTGCCTTCGATTCATTGGATGTTTCCCACCTTGTATGGGTGATCATCCTTTCATAATTGTATTGATTACTCAGGTTTTTTTTTTTTTTTTTTTTGAGACAGAGTCTCATTCTGTAACCCAGCCTGGAATGCAGCGGCGTGATCTTGGCTCGTAGCAACCTCTGCCTCCTGGGTTCAAGCGATTCTTTTGCCTCAGCCTCCCGAGTAGCTGGGACTACAGGCTCCTGCCACCACGCCCGGCTAATTTTGAATTTTTAGTAGAGACAGGGTTTCACCATGTTGGTCAGGCTGGTCTTATACTCCTGATCTCAGGTGATCCGCCCACCTCGGGCTCCCAAAGTGTTGGGATTACAGGTGTGAGCCACCACACCCAGCCTCAGGTTTCTTTATAGTGATCTGCCTGGCCGTTCCTACACTTTGCCCATTTATTGGGTTGGGGTTTTGGGGTTTTTTTAATTGATTTGTAGGTACTCTTTGTATATTCAGGATACTAATCCTTTAATGGCTGTGTTACTTTTTTGGAGGGTTGTATTACTTTTGCAATCACTGAAAAAATTAGTTTTTAAAGTAGATTCATGGGCTGGGTTCAGTGGCTCACTTCTATAATCCCAGTGACTCAGGAGGCTGAGGCAGAAAGATGGTTGGAGGCCAGGAGACCAGCCCAGGCAACATAATGAGGCCCTATCTCTAAAAAAGTAAATAATAAAAAATAAAATGGATTCAAATTTATTTTTTCCTCTGAATCCTAAGCTTATGGATATGCTGTATCTCTTCCAGCTGCTGAAATGAGGCAAAATGACAAAATCATGTGCATATTGGAAAACCGGAAAAAGAGGGATAGGAAAAATCTCTGTAGGGCTATCAATGACTTCCAACAGAGCTTTCAGAAGCCAGAAACTCGCCGTGAATTTGATCTGTCCGACCCCCTAGCCCTTAAGAAAGATCTTCCAGCCCGGCAGTCAGATAATGATGTTCGGAATACGATATCAGGAATGCAGAAATTCATGGGAGAGGATTTAAACTTCCATGAGAGGAAGAAATTCCAAGAGGAACAAAACAGAGAATGGTCTTTGCAGCAGCAAAGGGAATGGAAGAACGCCCGTGCTGAACAAAAATGCGCAGGTAATGAAACAGAAGAGACGAGCTGGTCTCAACGCTCTCTTCAACAAACCAACCCTACAGTTTTTTTTTTTTTTTAAGCAACCCTACAGTTTTTTTTTTTTTTTAAGCAACCCTACAGTTTTTGTGGGATTTGTTTAAAGTCCTACCAATGTGCACAGACAGCCACATGCTACTTTGGCCCTGTGGGGAAAGAAAAGTCAGAGCCTGCCCTCCAGGAGGGAAACACCTGCAATGACACCTCAGTCATGTGGAAAACACTTTCCGTGTCGGGGTCCCAGTTGGATGCCGGCGTGCAGAGGTAACTCAGAATCGGTCCCTGCCCTCCCAGTCTGCGGGGAAGGTGAATGGGAAAGATGCAGGTCTTCCTGAGTCTCTTGGGTGCTGTGGTAGAAATTCCTACAGGGGACTTTGGGGGTGTAGTTGCAGGCATGGTGGTCACATGCCCTCACCAGGACTCCCCAAGCCCAGGGAACCTCTTGGGCAAAGGCTCCAAGGCATGAAACAGCCTCTCATTGAGGGAACTGCAGAAAGCCCCATGTGTCCTCACTGAGGTCAGCAGCATTCTGCTCTCCCAGCTCCTCTTCATGCCTGCACTCGAGCAGCACTGACCCGCCCAGCCACTTCTGTGCCGGAAAGACCGGGTAACGAAGACGACAACATCCCTGCTCTCTTGGGGTGTGTCAGCGGGTGATGGAATAGTGAGGAGCTATGAGGAAGACAAAACAGGGACCAGGCACAGAGAGGAATGCACTCCGCCTTCTTGAGCGCCTCCTCTCTGCTTGTTAGTTTGCAGTCTCCTTGCTCGGCCCATCCTCCTCCAAGCCTCTTCTCTCCCCAGTCTACTCTCCATGAGTGATGTCTCCCCAGATCATCTTCTCCCATTCTTCTCCCACTCCTACCAGATTTATGCCCTCCCTGCTCCACTGGAACTGCCCTGGCCAACCTCACCAGTGACCTCCATGTCGCCCAATCCAAGGTCGGTTTTTGACCTTCATCTGGACCTAACAGTCGATCACCTCCTGCTCCTGGAAATGCGCATGCAATTCAGCTTTCAGAACACCACTCTCACATTAGCTCCCTTCCCATCCAGGTCCTTTGTTGGTTTCTCATCTGCTCAACCTCTGGATGTTGTTCACACCAGTGCTCTCCTCTACCAGCTAAACTCACCCGAGTGATCTTGTCCGGTCTCATGGCTTTAAATGCCACCTATAGGCCATCATTTCCCAGGTTTATACCTCCAGCCTGGACTCTTCCCTGAATCCAGACTCATAAATTCATCTAACTTCTCTTGGATGTCTAATGCACTTGTCAAGATCAGCACGAGTCCAATAACTCTGTTCTTCCCTGCAGACCTGACCTTCTACCCACATCCGTGACAGCTCCTTTCTTCTAGCTGCCCAGGCCCCAGCCCAGGTAATCTTGACTCCTTCCTTTCTCTCCATTTTTCAGCTACTTTCCACACCCTCCAACATTCCCATTCTGAACTAAGGCTATCAGCATCTCTCGGCTGGGCGCAGTGGCTCATGCCTGTAATCTCGGCATTTTGGGAGGCTGAGGAGGAAAGATCACTTGAAGCCAAGAGATCAAGGCCAGCCCGGGCAACAAAGTGAGACCTCATCTCTACAAAAAATTAAAAAGTTAGCTGGGCATGGTGTCGTGCCCATGTAGTCCCAGCTACTCAGGAGGCTGAGGCAGGAGGATCACTGAGCCTGGAAGGTCAAGGCTACAGTGAGCCGTGATTGTGCCACCGCCCTCCAGCCTGGCCAGCAGAGTGAAACCCTGTCTCAAAAAAAAAAAAGACCGGGCACAGTGGCTCATGCCTGTAATCCCAGCACTTTGGGAGGCTGAGGCGGGCAGATCACGAGGTCAGGAGATCAAGACCATCCTGGCTAACACGGTGAAACCCCATCTCTACTAAAAATACAAAAAATTAGCCGGGAGTGGTGGCGGGTGCCTGTAGTCCCAGCTACTCGGGAGGCTGAGGCAGGAAAATGGCGTGAACCCGGGAGGCGGAGCTTGCAGTGAGCTGAGATTGTGCCACTGCACTCCACCCTGGGTGAGAGTGAGACTCCATCTGAAACAAACAAACAAAAAGCATCTCTCAGCTGCTCTTTGGGTCTCTCCCCTTATCCTACAGAGTAAACATTTCACTCAGAGTAAACGATTTTTTTCAGAGACCTACAACGCCTTCACAGTCTGGCCTTATCTCCTGCTATGCTGCCCTCTCACTCCATTCTTTCCACACTATCTTGCTGTTTTCAGACGTGAGTATATCAGGCTCACTTCTGCCTCAGGGCCTTTGCATGTGCTGTTCCCTCTGCTTAGAAATGTCTTTCCCCAGATATCTGTAGGGATCACCACTCTCCTCCAGGGCTGTGCTAAAGTGCTATCTTATCAGTGAGGCTTCCCCTGACCCCCCTATTTTAAACCCTGTACCCTCCTCCCACCCCACATTCCGTATCCTGTTGCTTAATTTTTCTCCATAGCCTTGATCACTGACGTGTTGTATGGTTCATCCATCTCCCAAGTGGTCTAAATTTCCACCTCTGGCCAAAAGGCTTTGTTTCAGCTGTGGACTTGGTTCTTCAGCAGTCTCCTTGACATCTCACAGGACCCTTCACAACATGTCGGAAAGCAGCCCTGGATCCTCTTCTGCATCTGCTCCTTTTTCCATCTTTCTCCTCCAACTAACTGGTACCTCCTGCCCTTAAACCAGAAGTCTAGGGAATCATCCATGACCCACCCCTGACTCCAGGCCATCTCTGACTCTTGTCCCTTCTACCTCCTGCATATATTTTGAACTGTCCGCTTGTCCCCATCCCTGCTGTCACCCTTGTGATGCAAGCCACCATCTCAGCTGAACAGACCTCTGCCAAGATCTTTCTGATGGCCTCCACTTCCTTTCTTGCCCCTCTCTGGTCCATTCCCAAAACAGCAGTCAGTGATACTTTTAAACAATGTGGAGTTTGGCCAGGTGCAGTGGTTCACACCTGTAATCCCAGCACTTTGGGAGGCCGAGGTGGGTGGATCCCCTGAGGTCAGGAGTTTGAGACCAGCCTGGCCAACCTCTGCCTCCCAGGTTCAAGTGATTCAACACTGTTCTTACTTTGGGAGGCCAAAGTGGGCAAATCACGAGGTTAGGAGTTCAAGACCAGCCTGGCCAACATGGTGAAACCCTGTCTCTACTGAAAATACAAAATTAGCTGGGCGTGGTGGTGCGCGCCTGTAATCTCAGCTACCCCGGAGGCTGAGGCAGGAGAATTGCTGGAACCCAGGAGGCAGAGGTTGCAGTGAGCCAAGATGCACCACTGCACTCCAGCCTGGGCAACAGAGCGAGACTCCATGTCAAATAATAATAATACTATTATTATTATTAATACTATTATTAATAATAATAATTAAATAATTAATTATTATTTAAATGCCACCTATAGGCCATCATTTCCCAGGTTTATACCTCCAGCCTGGACTCTTCCCTGAATCCAGACTCATAAATTCATCTAACTTCTCTTGGATGTCTAATGCACTTGGATGTCTAATTAATTATTATTATTAATAATAGTATTATTAATAATAATAATAGTATTATTAATAATATTAATAATAATAATAGTATTATTAATAATAGTATTATTAATAATAATAATAGTATTATTAATAATAATAATGTTATTATTCTGCAAAGGAGGTATGTCCTGCTTCACAGGTAAGGACACAGGCTCAGCAAGGCTAAGTAATAGTTGAGGTTAACAGAGCTCGGAAATGTCTGGGCTGGGATGTGAGCCTCCTCTGACTCCAAATCTTCACATTTTGCTTTTGGACCTTCTACCTTGACCCCTTCACCTCCTACTCTTCCTCTTTCTCTTACTCATTGGCCTGACCAAGTCCTCCTGCCACTCCACAGTATCTGTCATCTGGCCCCACTTCCTCCATAGAGTCCTGTCTGGTTTCTTGCTCTTTCACTTCTGGATTCCCCTGAATCCTTTCCCAAAACCTCTGCACCTGCTCCCAACCCACTTCTTTTGTCCTGCAGGTCTCAAACGTCATTTCTTGGGGCTGTAGAGTATCTCTTGCCCACTGTAAGGATGTAGCTGCCTCAGGATAGAGCAGGACAGCAAGGGGCACACCACCAGCCTGTCCCAGGACCCCAGCATAGTAGTGATCACTAGCACTCATCTGGGAGCTTGACTCTCCCACAGCCTTCAGAGGCAGGTCCTGTCATTATTGTTCCCGTCCTCATGCTCATGGCTAAGGACGTGGTAGGAGGCAAAGGCACGAACGGCCACACGTGGGAAGGTGCTCCTGTGGCCAGGTCGATCTGATTGCTTCTTGCCTCCTTTCAGAGGCCCTCTACACAGAGACAAGGCTGCAGTTTGACGAGACAGCCAAGCACCTCCAGAAGCTGGAAAGCACCACCAGAAAGGCAGTTTGTGCATCTGTGAAAGACTTCAACAAGAGCCAGGTATAGGTACTCCGCGACCTCGGGCTCGACGACTGGAGGGGAGGATGAGCCCACTACGGCTTCCCAAGGCTCTCCGGCTTCCCTGGGATCCCAGTCTCAGCCTGCTCCCTGGTCACATGACCGGCCCTGACAGAGACCCTGATGGGCTGCCTGATGACAGAGATGGATGAGACCCAGTCCTGTGCCTTAGCTCTGAATCTTGGAGGGAAACCTGCCAAACTAGCCATGTAACCTGGGGAAGTCAGCTCACCTTTCTACACCTCGGTTTCTTCTTCTGTAACATGAGGATGGTGACATCCACCTAGACTGTTACCGCCTAGCTCTGCTCCACTGCCTGGTGCTGGTTTCCATTCTTCCCACCTCTCAGACTTCCCCTTTACTGAGAACAGCTACTTGGATGCTCACCGATGGCAGGGATGATGAAGAAGATCATAATGAGCTCGAACACTGGGGCCTCCTGAGACCTCCCACCTCCTCTCTAAACTCTGGCCCCCCTCCTCCCACACACTCCCCTCCCCTCCAACCTGATGCTGAAATTGCTGAAATAGGTTCTTCTTTTTGTTTCTTTGGTTTTTTTGTTTGTTTGTTTTTGAGACAGGGTCTCACTCCATCACCCAGGCTGAAGTGTAGTGGCACGATCATGGCTCACCGCAGCCTCGACCTCCCAGGCTCAGATGATCCCCCCACCTGAGCCATCCAAGTAGCTGGGACTACAGTCACGCGCCACCATGCCCAGCTAATTTTTGTATTTTTTTGTAGACACAGGGTTTTGCCATGTTGCCCAGGCTGGTCTCAAACTCCTGAGCTCAAGCAGTCCTCCCGCCTCAGCCTCCCAAAGTGCTGGGATTACCACATCTGGCCCTCTTTTCGTTTTGGAAATTAGAGCTCGCCCCCCTGCCTCTCCCTCCCCCCACAAGGTTTTCTTTTCGAATGCAATTCTGTTTTCTGGTGGGTGGGGACTTTGCCTGGGTTCATTGATCAGGTTCGCTCGTCAACTAGAACTATGGTCCCCAAAGAAGGCTGTGCAGGATCTGTGGGAGAGCAGATACCAGAGCCCTGCTTTATATTCATTTTTAACCTCATCACTTTTGATTTCCATGTACATGTGTAGTTATAAGCATGTGCTATCATTAAGGTATAGTAGTACCATGCTGTGAACTAAATATATTGGAGATACAAGCTCAAAACTGTCCTGGTGGAGGCAGGCAGTCAAAAATCCCAGAGAGGCTGGACCAGACACCAGAGAATGTGGGTTTTCAACACGGGGGAGAGGAATGAGGAGAGCCAACTGCGGGGGCTGGGGAGGACCAAAAGGCAAAGCAAGACACCTGAAGTCCGAGCTCACCACCCAGTGAGCTGCAAAGGTCTTAGAGATCATCCATCCCTGCCCTTCATTTTACAGAGGGCGACCAAAGAGGGGAGGCTGTTTGCTCCAGTCCCCACTGCAAGTGAATGGCAGGATGTGGGGCCCTTGACAATTAGTCCACTGTTGGCTGGTGATCTGCTCATTCATTTATGGAAGCGATGGTGATGATGATGATGATAATTCACTCATTCATTCATCAATTCAACCAATGTTTATTGAGCCCTTCCTGCTGGGCATTGGAGTGGCTTTTGCTAAACCCTATTGTCTCATTCATCAATTTATTCATTCATATATTCTAGAAGATGTTTAATGGGCATCCACAGCCTGCCTGGTTTTCTCAGACCCCCGGCTCCTCACGTGGATGCCACGAGGCAGCACCATTGCAAACACTCCTGCACTGGGAAAAGCCGCCCTCTGGCTTCTGCAGCTCTGCTACTAACTACAACTAGGCTTTTTAATTAACCTGGGATGTTAATCCAAAGCCCAAGCAGGCCGGTCCAGTTCAACAGGAAGGACACACGTGAGGGCCTCCAGTTCTTGGGTCGGGGCTCATTTCGTCAGAGAGGCATTGTGGCATCAGGGTGTGGCACGCAGGCTCTGGAGCCCGACCACACGGGGTGCAGACCAGGCTCTGCCCTGCAGCCTTGGGCAGGCCACCCACTGCGTCCATTTGATCATCTGCAGAATGAGGAAGCGACAACACCCTCCTGTGTCGGTCAGAATGTGCTAACCCTTGCTGGGATAAGAAGCAGCAGTCTCAGTGGCTTAAACAGAAAGTTGATGTTCCATGCATGCTCCCTGCCCGCCATGGACAGGCTGTGAGGCCTGTTCCTTGGCATCCTCACTTTGGAGCCCAGGTCCTGGGATGGAGCGACCGCCAGCCAGAGGATCCCTGCAGGAGGAGGGAAGGAATGTGGCTAGTCCCCGCAGGCTTCCTCCCAGGAGCAGTACTGCCACCTCTGCTCACATTTCTTTTTTCTTTTTTTTTTTTTTTTTTGAGGTGGAGTCTTGTTCTCTTGCCCAGCCTGGAGTGTGTAGTGGCGCGATCTTGGCTCACTACAAGCTCTGCCTCCCGGGTTCACACCATTCTCCTGCCTCAGCCTCCCAAGTAGCTGGGATTACAGGCCTCTACCACCACGCCCAGCTAATTTTTCTATTTTTAGTAAAGATGGGGTTTCACCATGTTGGCCAGGCTGGTCTTGAACTCCTGACCTTGTGATTTGCCCACTTTGGCCTCCCAAAGTAAGAACAGTGTTGAATCACTTGAACCTGGGAGGCAGAGGTTGCAGTGAGCCGAGATTGTGCCACTGCACTCCAGCCTGGGTGACAGAGCGAGACTCCGTCTCAAAAAAACAAACAAACAAACAAACAAAAAAAAACGGGTGTAGGGGCTTGGAAGGATGAGCTGACTTCCTTAGGGAGTACTCAGTGGCAAGTCCGGTATTGAAGTTGGGCCTGTCTAACTACAAAGCTTGTACTGTGTGACTCAATCAAGCTGGCCTCTGGTGAGCACATGTGGGAGGCCGGCTCCTTGCAAACTGCCCTGTCCATGTGTTACTGAGGACAACTGTAAACCCAAGTACATGTCTCCTAAGCCATCTCCTGACTTTACAGAGAAATGACTGCAGCCCAGAGAGGGGAGGTGACTTGGTATAGGCCACATAGCCAGGGAACCCCCAGGGAATCAAACAGAAATGAGACCTGGAATTACTTTGTACTGGGGGCTGCAGCTCAGGACCACTGAAGTGACAGTGCATTTTCTACCACTGTTGTCAATCACTCTGTTGAGCGTTCTTTGCAGCCCACAGATGTCCAAGGGTTGCCAGGGGCATAGAGCCCTGCCTTGGGTGGGACCAGGCCCACGCGGGGTGTCGGCCTAATCCAAGGAGGGAGTTCCCTGCCTTGGTAAGTTGGTGCAAGACCCGGAGCTCTTATGCATACACCCAACAGGTGGTGATCCCCCGAGTCCAGCCCACCCGCCCAGCAGTGCGCAGGCAGCCAGGGGTTCAAGGACCCACCCACATCCGTGCCTGACAAGTCTCCCCTCCACCCGACTCCTGCTGCCCTTAGCATATCCTCCCCTCGAGGGCCCCCAGTGAGATTTGCTGGCCTGGGTGTCAGAATGCCCCTGGGGTCACTCGGACCATCTTCTTTAATGTCTTCACCTGCTTAGGCCATCGAGTCAGTGGAAAGGAAAAAGCAAGAGAAAAAGCAAGAACAAGAGGACAACTTGGCCGAGATCACCAACCTCCTGCGTGGGGACCTGCTCTCCGAGAACCCGCAGCAGGCAGCCAGCTCCTTCGGGCCCCACCGCGTGGTCCCTGACCGCTGGAAGGGCATGACCCAGGAGCAGCTGGAGCAGATCCGCCTAGTCCAGAAGCAGCAAATCCAGGAGAAGCTGGTGACTGCCCCGCCCCTTTTTCCAGAGCCCATAGAGCCAGGCTCTTTGCTCCCACTGCCTTCCAGGCACAAATGTAGTTGTAGCAGGCCTTGTGCTCTGCCCTAGCACCTGCCCTCAAGGAGTTTCCCTTCTAGTCGGTGGGAGACAAGAGCCAGATAGTGTCACACCCGTATGATGTGGCATTAGGAGTAGGAGTGCCAAGATAGAGGACAGTAGAATGGGAAGACATTGAAGCAAAGACCCAAAAGAGGGTAGGGAGGGAGCCATGTGTCTACCTGGGAAAAGGGCGACCGGGCAGGGTGAGCTGCAAGGGCAAAGGCCTTGAGGCAGGACCCTGCCAGACCTGCTCAGAGAAGGGCGTGGAGCCTGGTGACTAGAGTGGAGTGAGGAGAGGGGCAGGTACGGAGGCCTCAGAGGCAGACGGTCGAGGTCCTGGCAGTCCACTGGGGAGGACTTTGGCTTCTTCTGTGACGGAGACGGGGAACTCTGCAGGGTTTTGGACAGAGAAGTGACAGGATCTGACTTAGGTTGAACAGGATCCCCAGCGTGATCCCCCTGGATTGAGGGCAGACACTAGGGGCTGAGGGGGAAGGAAGGAGATCTCCAGGAAGGCCTTTGCAGTGTTCACAGCGAGAGGTGATGCTGGCTGGGACCACGGGGCAGGCAGTGGGGGTGCTGAGCAATGGTCAGATTCTGGATCTGTTTTGAAGGTAGAGTCGACAGGATTGGATGCATGATTGGGTGGGGACGTGTGAAAGAGAGGAGTTAAAGGCGACTCTAGGTCCTGTGGCCTGAGCAACTAGAGGGATGGAATTGGCATTTCCAGAGATGGGGAAGGTGGTGGGAGGAGCAGGTTGGTGGGTGGGGAGGGGTGGAAATCAGAGTTACAATTTTGGATACGTCAAGTGTGCAAAGTCCATTAGATATCTGTATCTATTAGGATTACATTTGCCTGAATGTGGCAGAAAACCACACATAACAGCATCTTAAACAAAATAGAACTTTCTCTCTTGCAAGTAGACTAAATCCTCAGGAAAACAGTCCAGGGCTGGTATGGCAGCTCTGTGGTCATTGACTGATGTCCTGCTATCCTTGGCTCCTGGCTCTCACTTCTTAGTGCAAGATGGCTGCTTGAGCACCAGCCATCACATGCATAGTCCAGCTACCAGGAAGGAGGAATGGAGAACACTCTAAGGAGATTTCCACTTACATTTCACTGGACAACACTTAGTCACAAGGTTGCCCCTAACTCTAAAGAAGTCAAGGAAATGCGTTTATTCCAGACAGTGAAGTGCTGGTGATTGTTTTACTAAAGAAGAACGAAAAATGGTTACTGGGAGACAAGTAGTATTTTCTGCCACAATCTCCAATTAAAGCCCAGGAGGCAGCTGGATATGTAACATAGGGCTCAGAACAAGGTCTGGGCCAGAGGCATAAATGTGAGTCGTCACCTACAGAGAGAATGTATGCATGTATTTTGAGACAGTCTCACTCTATCACCCTGGCTGGAGTGCAGTCATGCAGTCTCGGCCCACTGCAACCTCTGCCTCCTGAGTTCAAGCGATTCTCCTGCCTCAGCCTCCCCAGTAGTTGGGATTACAGGCATGCACCACCACACCCAGCTGCTTTTTGTATTTTTTGTAGAGGTAGGGTATCGTCATGTTGGCCAGGCTGGTCTCAAACTCCTGGTCTCAAGTGATCCACCCACCTCAGCCTCCCATAGTGCCGGGATTACAGGCGTGAGCCACCATGCCCGGCCCTACAGAGAGTATTTAAAGCTGAGGACTGAGTCCTGCTCCCACCTCCCCAGCACCCCCCTTCTCACCACCACTGTTGATAAAGAGCAAAGGCATCTGAGAAGGGGCCGCCAGGGAGGTGGACAGATGCAAGCCGTGGTTTCCTGGAGGCCAAGTGAGGAAAGGTGTTTGGGAGGGAAGGAGAGGGGAACCCCTGGGTCAAACGCTGCTGCCATGCTCAGGCTAAACGCTGGATCCAGCACCATGGCAGTCACCAGGGACCCTGTCAGGAAGGAGCATGTTTGGCAGAGGAGTGGGGCTGCCAGCCTAATGGGCTCAAGAGAGAACAGGCAGGAAACGAATGGAGATGGCACATGCAGACAGCACTTACAAGGCGTTTGCTGTAAAGGGTGCAGAGAAATGGAGTAGGAGCTGGTGGGGGCCATGAGGTGAAGGGAAAGTTTTTGTTTGTCTTGATTGTAGAAATAACAGCATGCTTGTCATTCAGCCGGAGTGATGCAGTAGAGGGGGAAATTGATGCCAGAGGAGAGACTTGCTGGAGCCGTGTCCCTGGGCTGCAGGAGAGCGAGGGACATGGAGTGCTAGTTGAGGGCTTGGTGTGGCCTCTGGGAGCTCAGAGCCATCACTGGAGTCACGGGAAGGGGCATCAGGGCGGGAGCTTGCGGGTGAACAGAATTGAGACCTGAGTTGATCTGTACTGGGGGCTGTGGCTCAGGACCACTGAAGTGACCGTCATTTTCTACCTTTTAGAAGTAGAACTGAGCAGGGCCGGGGGGAGTTAGTGCTAAGTGGTCATCTAGAAGAGCTGGAGAGGGAACAGCCTGGAGGAAGGGGACAGGATGGTCAGACAGTGCCCAGGGCCCACTAGGGGGTCATAGTCAGATGACTGGGTCACCCCATAGGTCTGGGTCACCCCATAGTCTGGGTCACCCCAGAGAGCACTGTCAGGGTGTCCCCCACCATGCTTAGCCAGATTCATTGTGGTCACCGCCTGCCTGATCAAGTGAAGGACTCAGGGGGCCGAGGGTATTGGCCTGGGAGCATCTGCCATGAGACGAACCAGGGGGCCAGAGAGAGATTGGAAAAGTGGCGGCCAGCAGACTGGAGGTCACACTTTGCGGGGGGCATAATCATTGGAATCAGGGACTTGGAGAGAGAGTGGAAGAGACAGGTTAGAGCAGTGAGACTGTTATTGGTAATGACAACGGAAGGGTGGAGGGTCCCAAAGGGAGGGTCTCCGGACCCACAGCATCGGCCGGGTGGGGCCTGCAGTCTGTGGTTTCGAAAGCCCCCAGGGGATTCTGATGCCTACTCAAGTTTGAGAACCACTGGTAGGGTGTGCCCAGTGGGTGAGAAGGTGAAGCCGGGACTAGATCTTTGGAGAGGAGGCAGGAGAGCTGAGCAGCTGGGGACAAGAGAGGGCTGTCTCTGTGTGTGCTGAAACCACTGAGAATCCTGGCAGGAGAGATCTGGAGAGGGTCTCAAACCTGCAAAGAGTGGGTGGAAGAGGCCAGGCTGGGGTGGCAGGTGCCATAGTTGGTGTAAGCTTCTGATCTGGTGGGTCTGGGGAGGAGGAGGGACAGTGGCGGTGGCGTGGACCAGGGCATGAGGAGTGGGTGGGGCAGCTCGTCCACCTGCTTCCCTGCAGGCCAGAGGTGCACATGTGTGGGAGGCTGCAGTGGGGCCGGGACCTGGGCAGGCAGGGGGCGTGAAGTTCAGGAAGTAGTCCAAGGTGGAAAGGGCGCCGGGGCTGGAATGGGGGTCCAGGGCCCTGCTCTGTGCTTCAGGACTGCCGCTCTGCCTGGACCATCTGGCACAGGAGATCGGCCGGCCATCCTGAAAGCAGTATTGCTGTCTAGTTTTCATTTTTTGTAGAAAATTAAGAAGACAGAAAAGCACAAAGGGGGAAAAACACACATGAAACCTCCCCACTCAGAACTACTGCCCGCTTCCTTTCTGGGTCCTTGCCTCCATCCCCTTTTCTATGCTTGGAGGTAACTGGGAAAGTTGAGATCTCACCTCAAACAGCTGGGCTGTCTGCTTTGCTCTTAGCCCGGGTGAGTGTGTCCCATGCCATTCCCTGTTTGCCACCAAGCAGCTTGTGTGATGACCCTGGGCTCCTGAGAGCAGCCTGGCTTTACAGCGGGGGACACTGAGGTTCATGAGAGCAGGGTGACTTGCCTCGTGGGTGACAAAGCCCGCCAGCCTGCCTTCAGTCCCAGGATGGGGCCGCCCAGACCCCCGTGCCACTCACCGGACACATCCTTGCTTATTTGGCGGGAGGAGGCTCTGCCCTAAAAATGGCAAACGTGGGCAAAGGGGACTCGTCTTCAGCCCTAACAAAGCTGACAACACACGGGGAAGTACCCCTTCCTCCACACAAATCCAGCTTCCTCTTCCAGGGCTCCAGAGTTTTCACAGTGAGGAGGGCAGTGAGGAATGAGCTGAAACATAGCAACTCAGGGGTTGGGGTGCCCCTCTAGGACCATAACCTTCCTGTCACCGGGTGAGGCTGTGGTGTCTGCATGTTCTGGAAGCTGCCCAGGTGATCTGCGTTCAGCTGTGGGGCAGCCGGCCATGGCTCATGGAGGTGGCATCTGACAGCTGACTGAGCCAGGGAGCCCCCTGAGGACCTGAGAAGGAAGACTCTGGGCCCAGCCTGCACCTGGGAGCCCTGCACCCCGGAGCTGGGAGTGGAGGCTGCTGTAGGAATTGAGTCCCTGCTGTGCCTTTAGGAGAAGGAGGACGGCCAGCACCTCCTGACGGGGGAGGGCAGCTGGGCCACATGGAATGAGGGCAGGCTGGGGGTCTCCTCTGGCTTCCTGCATGACATCGGTCACCTACCTGCTCGTCCTCTGAGCCTCAGTTTCCCCATCTGTAGAATGAGAGGCCAGGCCTCCTAGATAATCCCCTGGGGTTCTTTGGCTCTGGGGAAAGGTGGTGGTGAGCCGCCTCTTTTCCTTCCAGAGGCTCCAGGAAGAAAAGCGCCAGCGAGACCTGGACTGGGACCGGCGGAGGATTCAGGGGGCTCGCGCCACCCTGCTGTTTGAGCGGCAGCAGTGGCGGCGGCAGCGCGACCTGCGCAGAGCTCTGGACAGCAGCAACCTCAGCCTGGCCAAGGAGCAGCATTTGCAGTGAGTGCTGGGTGGGACCAGGGCCAGGTGGGGGACCGGGTGGAGGGACCGCGGGGCTGTGGAGGTCAAGGACGAGGAGGGGGCAGGAGGGGAAACACCCCGCCCTGGTGGTCCTCATCTGGACACTGTGGACCTCAAGTGGGCTGGCTTGGGTTGACAGACCCATGGGCCACAGGTCACTGCTGTCCACACGGGGTGCATGGGTGGAGGGCACCGGAAAGCCCCAGGGAAGAGCACTGAGTCTGCTGGGGGAGTCAGGAAGGCTTCCTGGAGGAGGCTTCATTGGTGAGACCCAGGAGGAGGATGGCACTGCCTATTCAGGGACGGCTTTCCAGGTAGAGAGAGGGGCTCCTGGGCTGCCCCAGAAAAGCCTGGAGTCTCTTGGTTATAGACAGGACTCCAAGAGTTCAGAGCTCCAGCTACAAGAAGATGTCAAATGCAAGCAAACAGGTGAACTTGCACCTGAAAAACACAGTATTTATTTACTTATTTATCTAGCTCTTGGCTTAAACTCAGGGGGGACCCAGGAATATTTTCTCCAATCCGATATCTGGTTGCTTGTGGGTCCATCTGTTATCACTTCTGCTGAAGGCCTAAAAGGAGCATTAAGAGTGATCTGAGGGCTGGGCTCGGTGGCTCACGCCTGTAATCCCAGCACTTTGGGAGGCTGAGGCGGGCGGATTATGAGGTCAGGAGTTTGAGACCAGACTGGCCAACATGGTGAAACTAAAATAAAACTAAACTAAAAAGACAAAAATTAGCCAGGCATGGTGGCACACAGTTGAAATCCCAGCTACTGGGGAGGCTGAGGCAGGAGGATGGCCTGAGCCCAGGGGCTGGAGGCTGCAGTGAGCAATGATCGCACCACTGCACTCCACCCTGGGTGGCAGAGAGAGATGTTGTCTCTAAAAACAAGAAAAGAATGATCTGAGAAATCAAACAGGGTGAACACCCACGGAGATTTAATTTTCTTATGTCCCCAAATGTTACTGGTGTAAGTCCCTAATCTAACTGCAGTGTAATTAAAAAGTGACCCTCGCCGCTGAGGAGCGGTTGAGATGGATCATTTTGGGGGGCTCATTAGGTATGAAACGTATTCTGTATTTTGGGGATAACACACTAATAAAAAGTTTGTGTGCCTTTTCAAAAAAAAAAAAAAGAAAGAATAGGAAGTATACACATTTGCTGACCTTTTTTTTTTCTCATTTTGTTATCAGGAAAAAATATATGAATGAAGTCTATACAAATCAACCCACGGGAGACTATTTCACACAATTTAATACAGGAAGTCGATAATGAGGAACACACCCTTGTTCCCGTCATTCACGTATAAAGAGTGGCTACCTTAAAGAGTCACGTTTCTTTTTTAAAGATACACTCCTTGGGCCACAAGTACCCTTCAGCTGTAATCGTCCACTGTGGACAAAACATTTATCTAACCTCTCCCGTGTATTTCTGTGAGGAACATTCGTTTCTGTTCAACTCAGCTCAGCGAAGGTCTTGAGTGGGGCTCTAGGAAGTAGCTCCACACGGGCCTGCTCAGGGCCACCCTAGAGAGAGGTGGTATTTAAGGTGGTATTTAAGGTGGGCCTGTGTTCCGCACAGACTCTAGGTTCAGCTGCAGTAATCGTTACTGCTGCCAAATGCGAGCTCTGTGCAAATCCAAACACTTCATGTAGAATTCACTAATGTGATTCTCACAACAGCTGGTGGTGCGTATTTTTACTACTCACATTTTCTAGTTGAATAACCTGAGTTACAGACACGTTAAGTGACTTGGCGAGGTCATACCCCCAGGAAGTGTGGGCGCTTGGGATTGAACCCAAGGATAAGTGGCTCTCAGGCACTTCACTCGGCCAGCTCCTACAGCTGACCTGAAACAGCAGTGGCCTTGACACAACAGAGGCTCGGCCAGGCACTATGGCTTACGCCTGTAATCCCAGCACTTTGGGAGGCTGAGGTGGGCGGATCATGAGGTCAGGAGTTCAAGACCATCCTGGCCAACATGGTGAAACCCCGTCTCTACTAAAAATACAAAAATTAGCCGGACGTGGTGGTGCGCGCCTGTAGTCCCAGCTAGTTGGGAGTCTGAGGCAGGAGAATTGCTTGAACCCAGGAGGTGGAGGTTGCAGTGAGCCAAAATTGCGCCACTGCACTCCAGCCTAGCGACAGAGCAAGACTCTGTCAAAAAAACAAACAGACAAAAACAAAACCAGAGGCTAATTTCTGCTCTCATAGAAGTGCAAGCTCATATGGTGGCTCTGCTGAGGCTCCTTCCAGCTTGTGGCTCTGTCCTCTCCGCTGCCACACGCAGCTCCTGTCTTGTGGTCCAGGATGCTGCTCCGGCCTCCACCATCCTGCCACGCTCTGGCCAGCAGCGAGGAGGAAAGGCAAAAAAGAAGGGGGTCGGCATGCTACTTCTCCATGACAACATGGAGACATGGCATGGAAAGTGCATTTCACCTCCGCTTGTATCGCATGGAGCAGAATTCAGTCATGTGACCACACCTACGTGAATGGAGGCTGGGAAGCTTAGCTGGCTGACCGTGTGACCAGACCATCATTCTACAACTGTATACAAATGAAGTAATACATATTAGGGGACAACTAGCTATCTGCTGCAGGCCACACTTGAAGAGTGACTTGGAAATTGCCAGGCAGGAGGTGTGGGGAGGCATTTTCCACTGAGAGTGGGGACTAAGTCCAGCCCTGTCCTTGAGGTCAAGGACAGGATTTCTGGCCCCAAAGCCTAGAAATCACTGGGTTCCCCCACCCCAGTTAACCTCTTCCTCCTCCACATGGGTTTCTTGTGGGGCCATATACCCAGGGCCATTGACAGATGGCAGCTCTTGGCATGTTATCCTTAGCTGAGATAGAGCTGGATACTCCAGTGCAGACAGCTTAGCTCACTTTACCCTCCGTCTAAATGCCCCTCTGGTTCTTCCCATGCTCAGACCCTTCACTGGCTGACGTTTCACCTGAGCCTCAGGATCGGTAGGGTTTTTAGGTGGACAGAGTGGGGCTGGACTTGCTAGCAGGCATAAACAAAGGCACTGCGGTGTCCAGGAGAGAAGTGGCAGGGCAGTATCCGCTGAGGTGGGTGTGTAGAGGGCCTGGGGTCTGGTGTGGGGTGGGGGTGGAAGGAAGAGGTGTGTGGCCAAGGTGTGAGGAGCAGGCGGGCCGACGAGGAAGGCTGCAGACTTTATCCTGAAGGCAAAAGGGGAGCTTGGAGAGAGTTGTCGGCCAGGCAGAGAGGGCTGGGTGTGCTCTAGCAGCCCAGCAGGCTCAGGCCACCCAGGGGCTGCCAAAAGGGAGGCAAGGCTTTGCAGACAGACTTTATGCCTCCCTCTGGATCCAGGCCCACACGGGCTCCCAGGCAAAGCATTTGAACAAATGACCACACTGAAGACGTTGTTCAAATTCACAGTCGATCAAGTAATGCTGCCACCCCCAGGCTGGTGTGGGACCACGGGTGGGACCCAGGGGACTGCCTCAGGACCTGTAACTAGAGTGTGGATTGTGATGTAAAGCCAGAGAGGGGAGGGCGAGAGTCGGTTTGTTAGCACGCCCTGTGTACCAGGCTCCCACTGGGCCTCTTGGGCAGGTGGTCTCTTTAAACTGCCCCCATCGCACCGCTGGAAAGCAGCTGCTTAGCCTCGTTTTGCATCCACAAAATGAAGGACCTCACTGTTCTCACTGCACCAGGCAGGGCCACCATGCGGATCCCAGGGCTTCAAAACTCTCAGCCAGCTGCTCACCCCTTGTTTCCTGAACTGGAGCTGCGTATTTTCACAGTGACTAACGGTAACACGGACACTCCCTGTAGGGAAAGGGGTTCGGGGTGTACTCATTTCCCAGGCTGCCATTAACAAATGCCTGCAGACTGAGTGGCTTAACCAGGAGAAACTTAGAGTTCCTCGAGGTGCTGGAGGCCAGAAGTCCAAATTGAGGTGTAGGCTGTGTTGCTTCCCTCTGAGGCTGCGAAGAAGGATCTGTTCCGGGCCTCTGCCCCAGCTCCTGGTAGTTTGCTGGTGATCTCTGGTGTTCCTTGGCTTGTACATGCATCACTCTGATCTGTGCCTTCCTCTTCCTGTGGTCTTCCCTGTGTGCGTGTATGTGTCCAAATTTCCCCTTTTCATAAGGACACCAGCCACGCCGGGTTAGAGCCTAACCTAATGACCTCATATTAACTAATTTCATTTACAATTAACCTATTTCCAAATAAGGTTCTATTCTGAGGTACCTGGGATTGGGACTCCAACATATCTTTTGTGGGAGGACCCAATTCAACCCACAACAAGGGGAAAGGCAGGAGAGCACCTGGTTCCGTTGCCTCCCAGGATAACTCCATTAGGAACATTTGTGTCCAGGCTGAACAAGCCAGGCTCTGGGAGGGCCCCAGTGATGGGCGAGTGACAGCCAATACTGTCATTCACCCTCCTGCTTTCAAGTGGGGAGATAAAGGGAGAAATGGGAAATAATGTCGGTTCATTCAATGAGCACTGAGCACTCTTCCTGTCCTGGATCAGGCTAGGCCCTGGGCCAGGATCGCCACGTCTAATGGGAGACAGGGACAGGGAGGGAAATCCTTGGGAAGAAGGCAGAGGAGAAAAGGGAGACAGCGCTAGGAGGCCGCCGCAGCCATCACCACTTCGTTTATATGCCTGGAATCACGCCCCAACGTGGAGAGGCTTGCTTTAACTCTGAAGGCTGCAACTTTGTAAAAAATACTCCTGAAGGAAGGAAGGGCAGGCGTGAGAACTTTGGACGCAGACTTGCTTTCTGTGCGCCCTCTGCTGGTGACCAGCAGCACAACACAGTCCCTGCCGTTCTCCAGGCAGGAAGAGGAACGAGGTGATTAAACTGCGAAGGCCCAGGTCCTGTGCTGGGCAGTTTCTTGCAACAGCCCCGACACTGCTGGATGTTGTGATTCCCGTCCACAGGATGAAAGACGTTCCGTGTGTTGCCCCTGGGTGGAAGGCAGAGCCGAGGCCAGACATGGGGGGTTACTCTCCCCTGAAAGGCCCATTGTGATTTCATAAATCCAAAGGGTTTTTGTTACATTTCCCCCCTAATTTTTTTTTTGAGAGGGGGGTCTCACTTTGTCGCCCAAGCTGGCGTGGCACAATCTTGACTTACTGCAACCTCTGCCTCCTGGGTTCAAGCGAGTCTCCTGCCTCAGCCTCCCGAGTAGCTGGGATTACAGGAGTGCACTACCACGCCTGGCTAATTTTTGTATTTTTAGTAGACACAGGGTTTCTCCATGTTGGCCAGGCTGGTCTCGGACTCCTGACCTCAAGTGATCCGTCCACCTTGGCCTCCCAAAGTGCTGCGATTACGGGCCTGAGCCTCTGCACCCAGCCCTCCCTGCTACATTTTATTTCAAGCATAAAGAAAAACTGAAGGAATTGTACAGAATGTACACATACATCCACCACCTAGATTCTACAATTAATATTTTGCTATATTTGTGTCCTAGTGAGAGGTGACAGCGTGCTGGCAGTCCTCAGAGCCCTCGCTTGCTCTCGGCACCTCCTCTGCCTGGGCTCCCACTTTGGTGACACTTGAGGAGCCCTTCAGCCCACCGCTGCACTGTGGGAGCCCCTTTCTGGGCTGGCCAAGGCCAGAGCCGGCTCCCTCAGCTTGCAGGGAGGTGTGGAGGGAGAGGCGCGAGCGGGAACCCGGGCTGCGCGCGGCCCTTGCGGGCCAGCTGGAGTTCCGGGTGGGCGTGGGCTTGGCGGGCCGCGCACTCGGAGCAGCCGGCCAGCCCTGCCGGCCCCGCGCAGTGAGGAGCTTAGCACCCGGGCCAGTGGCTGCGGAGGGTGTACTGGGTCCCCCAGCAGTGCCGGCCCACTGGCGCTGCGCTCCATTTCTCAGCGGGCCTTAGCTGCCTTCCCGCGGGGCAGGGCTCGGGACCTGCAGCCCGCCATGCCTGAGCCTCCCACCCCCTCCATGAGCTCCTGTGCGGCCCAAGCCTCCCCGACGAGCGCCGCCCCGTGCTCCACGGCGCCCAGTCCCATCGACCGCCCAAGGGCTGAGGAGTGCGAGCGCACGGCGCGGGACTAGCAGGCAGCTCCACCTGCAGCCCCGGTGCGGAATCCACTGGATGAAGCCAGCTGGGCTCCTGAGTCTGATGGGGACGTGGAGAACCTTTGTATCTAGCTCAGGGATTGTAAACGCACCAATCAGCGCCCTGTCAAAACAGGCCACTGGGCTCTACCAATCAGCAGGATGTGGGTGGGGCCAGATAAGAGAATAAAAGCAGGCTGCCCAAGCCAGCAGTGGTAACCCGCTCGGGTTCCCTTCCACTCTGTGGGAGCTTTGTTCTTTTGCTCTTTGCAATAAATCTTGCTACTGCTCACTCTCTGGGTCCACACTGCTTCACCGCGAAGATCTGCAGCTTCACTCCTGAGCAAGCGAGACCACAAACCCACCAGAAGGAAGAAACTCCGAACACATCCGAACATCAGAAGGAACAAACTCCAGACGCGCCACCTTAAGAGCTGTAACACTCACCGCGAGGGTTCCCGGCTTCATTCTTGAAGTCCAAGAACCCACCAGTTCTGGACACACTAGCTCTCCACAGACTGGCTTTTAAAAATTCTAGTTATATATACGCCACTTACAAAAGGCACATCTAAAACAAAACAGCACAGAAAAATTATAATAATAGCGTTCAAAAGCCATTTGTATTTGCCCAAATGACGTATGTCCACACTTGTGTCTGGCACATGGGTGTCTACAGGAGCTGTATTCATAATTGCCAAAACCGGGAAGCAAGCAACGTGTTCTTCAATAAGTTAATGGATAAAAACACTGTGGTACCTCCAGACAATGGAGTCTTATTAATATAAGATATAATAATAAGAAAAGAGCTATCAAGCCACAAGAAAATGTGGAAGAAGCTTAAATGCATATTGCTTGGTGAAAGAAGTCAATCTGCAAAGGTTATCTACTGTATGAGTCCAATCATATGACTTTTTTTTTTTTTTGAGGAGTCTCCCTCTGTTGCCTAGCCTGGAGCGCAGTGGCACCGTCTTGGCTCACTGAAACCTCCGCCTCCCAGGTTCAAGCGATTCTCCTGCCTCAGCCTCCCAAGTAGCTGGGACTACAGGCGTGCACCACCACGCCCGTCTAATTTTTGTATTTTTAGTAGAGTTGGGTTTCACTGTGTTGGCCAGGCTGGTATTGAACTCCTGACCTCAGATGATCCACCCACCTTGGCCTCCCAAAGTGTTGGGATTACGGCATGAGCCACTGCACCCAGCCTGACTTTTCAAAAAAGGCAAAGCTATAGAAACAGTAAAAACATCAGTGGTTGCCAGGGACTGAGGGGAGGGAGGGATGAATAGGCAGAGAGAGCACAAGGATTTTTAGGGCAGTGAAACTTTGCTGTGTGATGCTGTAACCTTGGGTATATGTCATTATACATTTGTCAAAATCCACAGAATGTACACAGGGTGACCCCTAATGTAAATTATAAACTCTGGGTGATGATGATGTGTCAATGTTGGCTAGTCAATTGTAACAAATGTACCACACTAACATGAGACATTAATAATAGGGGAACTAGGGGCCTATGGGAAGGGAGCATATGGGAACCCTCTATACTTGTTACTCAATTTTCTTGTAAACCTAACACTGTTCTAAAAGATAGCCTATTCATTTTAAAATGAAGCCATAAGATAAACAGGAAGAAAAATAGAGTCATTTGCACATGGTTCTTTATTCTGTGTTCAAGTTCTTATGTTTAGAATAATGGGAAGGGGGCCAGGCACGGTGGCTCATGCCTGTAATCCCAGCACTTTGGGAGGTCGAAGTGGGAAGATGACCTGAGGTCAGGAGTTTGAGACCAGCCTGGCCAACATGGTGAAACCCTGTCTCTACTAAAAATACAAACTAGCCAGGCATGATGGTGCGCACCTGTAATCCCAGCTACTCAGGAGGCTGAGGCAGGAGAATCTCTTGAGCCCGGGAAGCGGAGGTTGCAGTGAGCTGAGGTCACACCACTGTACTCCAACCTGGGCAACACAGCAAGACTCTGTCTACAAAAATAAAAATAAGGCCAGGTGCTGTGGCTCGCGCCTGTAATCCCAGCACTTTGGGAGGCCAAGGTGGGCAGATCACGAGGTCAGGAGATTGAGACCATCCTGGCTAACACGGTGAAACCCCATCTCTACTACAAATACAAAAAAATTAGCCGGGCATGGTGTCGGGTGCCTATTGTCCCAGCTACTCAGGGGGCTAAGGCAGGAGAATGGCATGAACCTGGGAGGTGGAGATTGCAGTGAGCCGAAATCATGCCACTGCACTCCAGCCTGGGCAACAGAGTGAGACTCCATCTCAAAAAATAAAAAATAAAAATAAATAAATAACATAAAAATAAGGCCAGGTGCGGTAGCTCACGCCTGTAATCCCAGCACTTTGGGACACCGAAGCAGGTGGATCACGAGGTCAGGAGTTCAGGACCAGCCTGGTCAACATAGCGAGACCTCGTCTCTACAAAAAATTTAAAAAATTTTAGGCCGGGTACAGTGGCTCATGCCTGTAATCTCAGAACTTTGGGAGGCTGAGGCAGGTGGATTACCTGAGGTCAGGAGTTTGAGACCAGCCTGGCCAACATGGTGAAACCCTGACTCTACTAAAAATACAAAAATTAGCCAGGTGTGGAGGTGCACACCTGTAGTCCTAGCTACTCAGGAGGCAGAGGCATGAGAATCACTTGAACCAGGGAGGTGGATGTTGCAGTGAGCTGAGATCATGCCACTTCATTCCAGCCTCGGGTACAGAGTGAGACTCTGTCTCAAAAAAACAAGCAAAAAATCACAAAAAGACCTTTACAGAAATGTTTATAGCATCTTTATTCATGATAGCACCAAACTTGGATCAACCAAAATATCTATCAACAGGTGATCAGATAAACAAAAGTTATATTCCTATCACTCACAGCTGAAAAGAAACAAACTGCTGATATACCCGTCAAAACGGCAGAATCAGAAATCATAATCAGGGCGGGGCGCAGTGGCTCAGGCCTGTAATCCCAGCACTTTGGGAGGCCAAGGGGGCAGATCACGAGGTCAGGAGATCAAGACCAACCTGGCTAACATGGTGAAACCCCATCGCTACTAAAAACACAAAAAATTAGCCGGGCGTGGTGGCATGTGCCTGTACTCCCAGCTACTCAGGAGGCTGAGGCATGAGAATTGCTTGAACCCGGGAGGTGGACGTTGCAGTGAGCCAAGATTACGCCACTGCGCTACAGCCTGGGCAACAGAGCAAGACTCCATCTCAAAAAAATAAATAAATGAAATAAAAAATAAAAATAAAAAATTAGCTGGGCATGGTGGTGAGGGGTGGGGTGGGGGGTGTTCCTGTAATACCAGCTACTTGGGAGGCTGAGGCAGGAGAATTGCTTGAACCCGGGAGGCAGAGGTTACAGTGAGCCAAGATCGCACCACTGCCCTCCAGCCTGGGTGACAAGAGCGAAATTCTGTCTCAAAAAAAAAAATCATAATCAGAAACATTGTAACAGATACAAAGGAGTTCACAGTTTACAATTCTATCTATGGGGAGTTCCAGAATTGGGATAACTATTCCATCAGTGCTTGCCTGGGACAGGGTGAGGGGGTTTGATGGCAAACAGGCATGAGGCTACTTTTTGGAGTGATGGAAACGGACAGAAAAAGAAAACCCAACCACACTCCTACCCCTGACAGGACTGCAAAGGGAGGACCCCTAAGAAACCGGGTACCATCTGTTATGCATGCAGCAGGACGAGCCGCAGACAAAACTCCTCAGACACTGAGTTAAAGAAGGAAGTGGTTCTTTCGGCCGGGAGCATCAGGTAAGACTCCTGTCTCAAGAGCCGAGCTCCCCCAGTGAGCAATTCCTGTCCCTTTTAAGGGCTCACAACTCTAAGGGGGTCCGCGCGAGAGGGTCGTGATCGATTGAGCAAGCAGGGGGTACATGACTGGGGGCTGCATGCACCGGTAATCAGAAGGAAACAGAACAGGACAGGGATTTTTGCAATGCCTTTCCATACAAAGTCTGGAATCTATAGATAACATAACCGGTTAGGTCAGGGTCGATCTTTAACTACCAGGATTAGGTCAGGCAGGCCCAGGCCTGGTTTCGGGTCTGGTTCCTAGGCGCCGGGCTACCTGCATTTCGTTTCGCTTTTCTTTCCTTTTCTGAGTATAAAACAAGATAAAACAATATGAGAGAGTCTGTCTCTCTTCTCTCATGTGCAGTGAGCTGTTGCTGTCTACTGGAGAGCTGTCCACCAGCAGGTGGCACATCTATCTCTCGTGCTCCCAGCATAGCCTCTGGCCATCTGGTTTCCACCTGCACCGGGTCTCCCTCTGCAGAAGCGACAGCCACTTTGGAATGTTGGTGCAATGAGGTGACAGGTCCCCATGCTCCTGGGTGGAGCAGCGTCCTGAGCCTGGTTACAGGAGGGATCATGGGGTGAAGGTTGGGGATGGAGCAGGGGCCTCTAGAGCACCTTTTCCAAAGAGACATGTTTCCTTTTCTTTTCTTTTCTTTTCTTTTTTTTTTTTTTTTTTGGGACAGAGTCTTGCTCTGTCACCACCCAGGCTGGAGTGCAGTGGTGCGATCTCGGCTCACTGCAACCTCCGCCTCCCGGGTTCAAGCGATTCTCCTGCCTCTGCCTCAGCCTCCCAAGTAGCTGGGACTACAGGCGCATACCACCACACCCAGCTAATTTTTTGTATTTTTAGTAGAGACGGGGTTTCACCGCGTTAGCCACAATGGTCTTGATCTCCTGACCTCGTGATCCACCTGACTCGGCCTCCCAAAGTGCTGGGATTACAGGCATGAGCCACCGCGCCCAGCAAGAGGCATCTTTTCAACCATATGGATTGTGCCCACGTGATGTTAAGAGAGTGGTGAAAAGAAGCTGGAGGATGCCGAGTGAGAATGAGGCTGTGAGTGACACAGAGTAGGTAGTTGCCAGGTGGGGCTTCATCTGTGCTTGCCCCGACCAAGTAAAGGCCTTGATCCTCCCCCACCCACCACCTCATCCAGCCCACCCCCAGATTCATGCTCCCCCATCTTCGAACCTCACTTGCTCTCTGCCCAGACCTGGCAAAGTCAGTTTCATCTACTGAGTCTGGAAGGTCTGCCTTCCTTTCTTCTTCCAGCGAATGAAAGATGAATCCAAAGTCCCTGGGGCCAACCCCCAGCATGGCCCCCAGAAGTAAACAGGAATGGGAATGAGGGCAGATGGAATGTCTGCGAGTCAGTGGGTCTTTTCTTTTCACCAGACGTTCCAGAAAGCTCTCCAAACACACTTGTTCTAACAGTGTCAGAAAAGACTCCAGCCTCATTGTCCACAATTGTTGGGGATAGAACATTCCAGAGCCTATTGAAGAAAAAAGTGGGTAGGGCCATCTCCTCCACACCAGGCTGATCTGTGAATTAATCGCCCCTGAAGGTTTTCCCCGGGGCTCTGGAGCTGACAAATGTGACTTTGTTACCTGGATATCCCTTGGAACCTGGCAGAGCCTGAGGACAGGACTCAGCCACAGAGTCTCTCACCCAAAGCCACTCAGTGTCCTCAGCTGCCCATCTGGTAACTGGCCCTAAAACGGCCTTTCAGTTCCAGCACTGCCACCCCTCCCAGCCCCACTGGCCCAGCCTCCTCATTCCCAGCTCAAATTCGTGACCAGGGGGCCTATGGGACCTGGTCGTCTTTTCAGATGGACAGTCCCTAGGTCAAGGCCCACTCCCTGGCCCCATCCTCGCATGGGGAGAGTCGGCTCATAGTATATTCAGAGGCAAAAAGGGCGGTGGGCTTGCAGCACCAATAAACATGTCCAGCAAAATATGCTGATGGTGTACATGGCTGCTGCTTGCTGAGCCCGTGTGTGCTGATGCCACAGAGCTGAGCTTCTTAAAATCTGCAGGAGGCTGCCGGGTGCGATGGCTCACGCCTGTGATCCCAGCACTTTTGGGAGGCCGAGGCGGGTAGATCACCTGAGGTCAGGAGTTCGAGACCAGCCTGACCAACATAGAGAAACCCCATCTCTACTAAAAATACAAAATTAGCCAGGTGTAGTGGAGCATGCCTGTAATTCCAGCTACTCGGGAGGCTGAGGCAGGAGAATTGCTTGAACCCAGGAGGCGGAGGTTGCGGTAAGCTGAGATTGCACCTTTGCACTCCAGCCTGGGCAACAAGAGCAAAACTCCGTCTCAAAAAAAAAAAAAAAAAAAAACCTGCAGGAGGCTACAAGAAGTGTTACCAGTTTCATATCCCCAATGAGGATGAGGAATGTGAACACAAAGTACCTAAGACAAGTCTCAATCCATTTAGAAAGTTTATTTTGTACCTGGGCTTGGTGGCTCGTGCCTGTAATCCCAGCACTTTGGGAGGCTGAGGCAGGCAGATCACCTGAGGTTACGAGTTCAAGACCAGCCTGGCCAACATGGTGAAACCTCGTCTCTACTAAAAAGACAAAATTAGCTGGGCATGGTGGCAGGTGCCTGTAGTCCCAGCTACTTGGGAGGCTGAGGCAGGAGAATCACTTGAACCTGGGAGGCAGAGGTTGCAGTGAGCCAAGATCATGCCACTGCACTCCAGCCTGGGCAACAAGAGCGAAACTCTGTCTCCCAAAAAAAAAAAAAAGGAAAGAAAGTTTATTTTGCCAAGGTTAAGGACGTGTCTGTGACACAGCCTCAGGAGGTCCTGCTGACATGTGCCCAAGGAGGTTGTGGTATAGCTTGCTTTTACACATTTTTGGGAGACATGAGGCATGAATCAATATGTGTAAGATGTACATTGCTTCAGTTTGGAAACGCAGGACAACTGGAAGCAGGGATTTCCAGGTCATAGGCATATAAAAGATAAATGGGTGCATCCTTTTGAGTCTTTGATCAGCCTTTCACTGAATACACAATTTCCATGTGAGCAGAGGGTAGAGGAGTAGTCCTGTGTGCCCTAGTCTGGCTCAGTGAATCTGCATTTTCACATAAACAATAGGGCAGAGGAAGCAATCAAGCAATCATATATGCATTTGTCTCAGGTGGGCAGAGGCCTGATGGTGAGTTCTGTCCTTTGTCCCACATCTGTGAAGATAAGCTATCAATTTACATTGCCAGGGTGAAATTCAACAGAACTGTTTTAGGGTAAAGATCCTGAGGCCCACAAGGAATTTCCTTGTGGGCAAATTGGGAGGGAGGTATGCAGCTTGTTTATCTTTGTAGCTATCTTATCTAGGAAGAAAATGGGAGGCAAGTTTGCGTGATGCAGTTCCCAGCTTGACTTTTCCCCTTGACTTTGCGATTTTGGAGTCCTGCGATTTTCCTTTCACAAGAACTAAGGGCTAGAGAGGGGAACTCACTTTCCCAAGGTCCCAGAGCCAGTTCAAGATGGAGCCAGGAATTGTGCCCAGTTCTAAAGTCCCAGCTACCTCTGACAGAATGCCTGCAAGGAGACAGTCAGCAGAGCTCCAGGAGGGGAAGACAGGTGACAACACTCTAGTGTATTTCTCTAGCTTGACCTCTGCTGTGAGTTCCAGGCTTGGTACCCAAATGTCGACTTGATAGCTTTACTGGGATGTCTAACAAGCAGGCAGTCAACATGAAGGCATCTGAACAGAACTGGTTTCCCTCTACCCACACCTGTCCCTCCAAAGTCTTCCCTGTCTTAGGCTATGGAAACCCCAATGCTTCCAATTGCTCAGGCCAGAGAGTTTGGATCCATCGTTGGGCTCTCTCTCTCTCAATCTATCAGCAAATCCTGTTGGTAAGACTTCAAAATATAAAACAAATCTGGCCAGCCACGGTGGCTCACGCCTGTAATCCCAACACTTTGGGAGGCCGAGGTGGGTGGATCATCTGAGGTCAGGAGTTCGAGACCAGCCTGGCCAACATAGTGAAACCCCATCTCTACTAAAAATACAAAAAAAAAAAAAAATTAGGTGGGCATGGTGGCTGGCACCTGTAATCCCAACTACTCGGGAGGCTGAGCCAGGAGAATTGCTTGAACCTGGGAGACAGAGGTTGCCGTGAGCCGAGATCATGCCATATTTGTTGCATGAATTGGTGAACTGTGGGCGTGAGTTTCACAGCCTGAACCTGAACACCCAGGGTTCAGGCATACTCAGGACAGGTCTAGACAGCAAGGAATGTGGATCCTCCAGAGACCTCTTTGTGTGATGATGGAGTTGCTGCCTGGAAAATCTCATCCTAGGGGCAGTGACAGTCCAGGCACACAGACGTACGTGTCCTAGTTATAATGGAGTGACTGATAATGAAGAGAGCTGGGGCTCAGCTCTGTGGGGTCTGTTGGAGGTCTGGGGGAGGGCACTGGAATCCAAAGGCTAGTATCTCTGTGAGCCCTAGGGGGCACAGGCAGCGTGACCCCACAGTGGCACCCGAATCATGGCCCAGGCTGTCGGAGAGCGTGATCAGCCAAGCCTGGACGCCAGGAAAGTGGCACCACCTCCCGGCGGTGGACAGGCCATGTCAAGAGGCCGGAACAACATGGCCTGAATCACACCCAACCTCATGCTCATAGTGCAGCACTTCTAAGCAATGCATTAGTGCTGCATCCCTCTCTTCCCTGGGTTCAGAGGTGAGAGGACATGGCTTCTGCTGCAGAGAACTCATGCTCTGGAAGTCAAGGCTGCCGTGAGCTGTGACGGCACCACTGCACTCCAACCTGGGCAACAGAGCGAGAACCTGTCTTAAAAAACAAAAAAAACCAAATGAACGTGTAAAATGTGTGTTTATCAAGAGCCCACAACAATATTCCCAAAGTTCTGATCCTGGGCTTCTGCAGCAATGAAGAAGTCCTGGCTATGCACGGCGGCTCATGCCTGGAATCTCAGCACTTTGGGAGGCCGAGGCAGGCAGATCACGAGGTCAGGAGTTCGAGACCAGCCTGGCCAACATGGCGAAACCCCATCTCTACTAAAAATACAAAAATTAGCCGGACATGGTGGTGGGCGCCTGTAGCCCCAGCTACTCAGGAGGCTGAGGCAGGAGAATCGCTTGAACCCGGGAGGTGGAGGTTGCAGTGAGCCGACACGCGCCACTGCACTCCAGCCGAGGCAACAGAGTGAGACTCTGCTTCAAAAAAGAAAAAGGAAAAAAGATTGACACCTTTGGAGGGTTTTGAGCAAAGAGTGATTGGACTTCCATGCTGGAATGACCTGTCTGGCTTCTGGGATGAGACGAGAGTGTAAGAAGGCAAGGATGGATGAAAGAGACCAGAGAGGACAGGGCCGTGGTAATTATCCAGGTAGGAGACAGCAGTGGCTCAGACCCGGATGGGCAGCAGAGATGGTGAGAAGTGATTCACTACTGCACAAATGTAAAGATGTAGCAAAGAAACCTGCCAACAGATCAGACGTGGGGTGTGAACATGGGTCAAGGATGATTCAAGGTTTTTGGACTTGGCAATTATTTAAATAGAGTTGTGGTTACAAAAATGGATGTCTTATTTCAAAAGGATCTCTTGGGCTGAGCTCACCAAGCAGGGACAGGCACTGGACATTGGAGTTAATCCTTCTCCAGCCCCTTCGGTCCTGGTCGTCCAGTGGAGGAGACACCAGGCAGCAGATGGTTTAACCAATCAGGTGGGGCAGGGCTGTAAGGACAGAGAGACCTGGTGGAAGTGAGGAGCGGAAATAGACTGCACCTGTGGCCTTGTTTCTTCTTCTGGGACACATATTTTAGGAAGGACATTGACACATGGATGCATTAAACAAGATCCAGGGCCGGGCGCAGTGGCTCACGCATGTAACCCTAGTACTTTGGGAGGCCGATGCAGGTGGATTGCCTGAGGTCAGGAGTTAGAGACCACCTTGGGCAACACGGTGAAACCCTGTCTCTCCTAAAATACAAAAGAAAAAAAAATTTAGCCAGACGTGGTGATGCGCGCCTATAATCCCAGCTACTTGGGAGGCTGAGGCAGGAGAATCTCTTGAACCCGGGGATCACAGGTTGCAGTGAACCGAGATTGTACCACTGCACTCCAGCCTGGGTGACAGAGTGAGACTCTGTCTCAAAAAAAAAATAAATAAAGATCCAGTGATAAGTCTAATAACTACCCTAATTTTGAAGTACAGCTGGCCATTATTTAGTGAGGAAATAGTCACAGGTGCTGCTAATCTTCCCCTGGAATGTTCTGTACCTTCATCATGGGAAGAAGTACTGCATTCGGGGACGGGCTGGTTGGAATAAAGGAGCAAGTTTCCACTGGCCGGGTGCGGTGGCTCACGCGGATTACAACGTCAGGAGTTCGAGACCAGCCTGGCCAATATGGTGAAACCCTGTCTCTACTAAAAATACAAAAAAAAAAAATTAGCCAGGCGTGGTGGTGGATGCCTGTAGTCCCAGCTACTCAGGAGGCTGAGGCAGGAGAATCGCTTGAACCCGGGAGGCGGAGGTTGTAGTGAGCCGAGATCAGGCCACTGCATTCCAGCCTGGGAGACAGAGCAAGACTCTGTCTCAAAAAAAAAAAAAAAAAAAAAAAAAAAAAAAAAAAAAAGAAGCAAGTTTCCCCCATTCTATTTCATGGGTTCCCTTCTCCTCCAGCTTCTCCATGGATCTCTTGGGAATCTGTGGACTCAACTCAAGAAATCCTGTATTGGCCGGGGCGGTGGTTCATGCCTGTAATTCCAACACTTAAAAAAATTTTTGTCAAGCCAGGCATGGTGGCTCATGCCTGTAATCCCAGCAATTTGGGAGGCTGAGGTGGGAAGATCACAAGATCAGAAGTTCAAGACCAGCCTGGCCAACATGGTGAAACCCTGTCTCTACTAAAATAGAAAAATTAGCCAGGTGCAGTGGCTCATGCTTGTAATCTCCGCACTTTGGAGGCCGAGGTGCTGAGATCACCTGAGGTCAGGAGTTTGAGACCAGCCTGGCCAATATGGTGAAATCCCATCTCTACTAAAAAATACAAAATATAGCCGGCTGTGGTGGCATGTGCCTGTACTCCCAGCTACTGGGGAGGCTGAGGCAGGAGAATCGCTTGAACCTGGGAGGCAGATGTTGCAGTGAGCCAAGATTGCACTACTACTGCCCTCTCACCTGGGCGACAGAGTGAGACTCCATCTAAAAAAAACAAAAATTTTTTTTTCAAATATTAAAAAAAAAGGAACCCTGAATTACACCCATTTTGCTGATGAGTTGAATAAAACGAGGCTCAGGTAGGTGAAGAGACTTGCTCAAGACCATGTAGTCCTGAGCTGGATGGGAATCCAGGCTGCGTGGCCACAAAGCCCACTTCAGACTCCTGCCCTCCATCTGTAAATTGGAGATCACCCGGCTTACCTGGCTCGGCTGCTGTGAGAATTTGGTGCAATGTGTGTGCAAAGGCCCAGTCCATGGGAAGGGCTCCATCAACAGCCACTCCTGGGATCCTGGGATAGCCGGATGAGATGGAGGCCAGACAGAAAGAATGGGCTCTGGGCGCTTGCCCTGTGGCTGTCAGCGGCCTGGATGATTTGAGGCTGTTTTTGAAGAGCCCAGCCCTCCCTCAGGCTGTAAGTTGGCAAGTTGAGTCCCAGGCCCGGCCGGTGGCCTGGGGCCAGCTGGGTGGGGCAGGGAGCTGGCTGGTCACTGAGGCACCAAGCAGGGAGGAAGAGAGAGGCTGCCCCAACCTTGACCCAACCCCGCCTTGCAAGCAAGCCCCAGAGGAGGGAAAGAATGGACTCGATCTCTCGACTCCTTTTATGTAGCCATGTGCACAAGATGAATGGCCAGGGAGCTGTCAGGAGGAAGGCCTCGGCCTCTGGATCTGGGTGGTCTCCCTTCCTGTGGAATTAGCTGCACAGGCTCCCGCTCTCTTGCCTCCTCGCCAGGGTTCCCAAGTCACACCTGGTGCAGTCACAATTGCACTGAGGCCCCTGGAACCTCCTGAGGGGGTTCTTTATTAATTATTATTATTTTTTTTTGAGACGGAGTCTCACTTTGTCACCCAGGCTTGAGTGCAGTGGCGCGATCTCGGCTCGCTGCAAGCTCTGCCTCCCAGGTTCATGCCATTCTCCTGCCTCAGCCTCCCAAGGAGCTGGGACTACAGGCACCCGCCACCATGCCCAGCTGATTTTTTTTGTATTTTTTAGTGGAGACGGGGTTTCACCGTATTCGCCAGGATGGTCTCGATCTCCTGACCTTGTGATCCGCCCGCCTCGGCCTCCCAAAGTGCTGGGATTACAGGCGTGAGCCACCGCACCCGGCCTCTATTTTTTTTTTTTTTTTTTGAGACAGAGTCTTGCTCTGTCTCCCAGGTTGGGAGTGCAGTGGCATGATCTCGGCTAACTCCCAGGTTCAAGTGATTCTTGTGCCTCAGCCTCTCGAGTAGCTGGGATTATGGGCACCACCATGCCCGGTAATTTTTGTATTTTTAGTAGAGATAGTGTTTTGCCATGTTGGCCAGGCTGGTCTCGAACTCCTGGCCTCAAGTGATCCACCTGCCTCGTCCTCCCAAAGTGTTGGGATTACAGGTGTGAGCCATTGCACCTAGCCTATTTATGTATGTATGTATGTATGTATTTATTATTATTTTCTAAGACAGAGTCTCACTCTGTTGCCTAGGCTGGAATACAGTGGCGCAATCTTGACTCACTGCAACCTCTGCCTTTCAGGTTCAAGCAATTCTTTTGCCTCAGCCTCCTGAGTAGCTGGGACTACAGGCATGTGCCACCACGCCTGGCTAATTTTTATATTTTAGTAGAGATGGGGTTTCACCATGTTGGCCAGGCTAGTCTCGAACTCCTGACCTCAAGTGATACTCCTGCCTTGGCCTTCCAAAGTGCTAGGATGACAGGCGTGAGCTGCTGCACCTGGCCCTATTTATTTATTTTTGATGTAGAGTCTCGCTCTGCCACCCAGGCTAGAGTGCAGTGGTGCAATCTTGATCTTGGCTCACAGCAGTCTCCACCTCCTGGGCTCCAGCAATCCTCCCACCTCAGCCTCCCAAGTAGCTGGGTCTACAGTTGCGCACCACCACACTTGGCTAATTTTTGTATTTTTGCAGAGACCGGTTCTCACCAGATTGCCCAGGTTGGTCTTGAACTCCTGGGCTCAAGAGATCTGCCTGCATCAGTCTCCCAGAATGCTGGGATTACAGGCGTGAGCCACCGTGCCAGCCCTCTTGGGGGTTTCTCGGGCTAAGCCATTACCTCTCAGCCTCCGTGCCCCGGTGGGCTCTGAAGGAGCCTGTTTCATCCTGAGCAATGGTGGAGGCGGAGGCTGCAGAGGAGGGGTGAAGTCCTGGGGCTCTGGGGGAGACAAAGGACCCTGCTGGTGTCCCTCAGACCCGGGTTCTGGCCCCTCTGCTTCGTGTGACTTCAGACAAGTCGCTTTACCTCTGTGAGTCTGTTTCCCCAGCTGTAAAATGGGGATCATAACACCAACCTACCTCTCAGGATCCCCAAGAGGAGGAAGTAGGCGAATGTACAAGAAGGCCCCTTCCACCCAGCCTGGGCACTGCTGGTGCTCACAGGGACTCAGGAACAGTGCGTCATGGGGCGTGGGTCACCTTCTCTGGGCCCACATACCAGCTTTGCCTCTCACTGGCCGTGTTCTCTTGGAAAAATGACCTACGTTTCCTAAGTCTATGTTTCCACATCTGTAAAATGAGGATGATCCACATATGGTTGTCCCAGTATTATTCTGAGAATTAAATGAGATACTTCATTAAAGTACTTGATGCATAGGATGGACTTAATAAATTACTACGTAACGATACACTCTGGGAATATGTAAGGCCTGTGAGTGGAGAATGCCATGCCGGGGATGTTATTTGGAAGGATCCAGAATCACTAAAACAGAATTTAACAGGGAGAAGGATAAAAGTTCTCCATTAAAGTTCCAAACATGAGTTTCGTATATTTTTCCACTTCTGTGTCAGAGAAGCCACACCTCTCCCGTCACCAGCCCTCGGAACCTGCAGAAAGAGATGTCAAATGGGAAGACCTCGCATGTGCTGGCTTGTGGCATTTGCCTGTTTCTTTTCACAGCCAACGAACCGTCACTGAGCACCGTCTGTGTGCCCCGAGGTAAGGGGCCTGGGGAAGCCCCAGGAAATGATCCCGGGTCCTCATCCCTAAGGGGTTCACCCTTTGAGGCTGTTCTGCCTTCCTGGTGGAAAGTTCAGATGAACACCCTGAAATTGACCAAGTGGCTGGCTTTCTTCCACCCAGAAACACATTGGGAAATGGATATTCTAGAAGAGTTCTCCAACAACCATTTCTTGGAATTGTAAATGTCTGAGGGCTGCTGCAATACTTCAGATTATCTTGTTTTCTTGATCTGTGGAAGCCAAGATTTTAATGCTACATCTGTGTGAGTATCTTTTGATAATAAGAACCAAATGTTGTCGGTGGAAATGACTGGAAATTACACTTAGGATCAGAATGTGGGGTTTTAGATTCCCTCTTGGAAGGCAGTGCTGAGAAACAAACACAAGGGACATTTTCCCTATAAATCACTCAGGATGTTGCAACACTCAAGGCTCCTGCCTGCTCCTCTCTCCGGGCATCAGGAAGCCTGGGATGGAGCACCCTGGGCGAAGGGGTCCACTGGTCAGTAGTAAATATCCCATAGCTCAAATTAAACCTCCAGTTCCCATCTCCCCTCTAAATTCTTTCTTATTTTTTTGAGACAGAGTCTCACTCTGTTGCCCAGGCTGAGTGCGGTGGCGCGTTCTCAGCTCACTACAGCCTCCGCCTCCCAGGTTCAAGCAATTCTCCTGTCTCAGCCTCCTGAGTAGCTGGGACTACAGGTGCATGCCACCACGCCTGGCTATTTTTTGTATTTTTTAAATAGAGATGGGGTTTCAGCATATTGGTCAGGCTGGTCTCGAACTCCTGTCCTCAGGTGATCCACCCACCTCGGCCTCCCAAAGTGCTGGCATTACAGGCATGAGCCACTGTGCCCGTCCAGTTCCTTCTTTTTCTGCTGCTAGAAAGCTTCACCACAGGCACGTCCAAAATGAACTCATCATTTCCCCCAAACCTGCAGACTCCACATTGATGAAAGACACCACCTGGCCCTGGGAGAGAAACCTGGGAACCATTCCTGATCCTCCCCACCGTGCTGCCCCCACATCAATCAAATCCTGGCCCTTCTCTCTCTCACTTGGCTCCCCCTTGGCACCGGTCCTGGTTTAGGGTCCTCCTGCAGAGCTTGGGCCATTGCTTCAGCCTCCTCTTGCCAGCCGCCAGCAGTCGGCCTCCCACTCCTCCAATCTCACCTCCAGCCAAAGTAATCTTTGGAAAAACCCAGCTCCCACTTGGCCATGGCTCTTCTTGAGAACTAAATTGGAACCTGAATGCATCAGTTTTCTCCACTTGAACTCCACCTTCACATGAAAACATAAATGACATCCATAGAAACTCAGATCTAGGATTTAGGAAAAGGCGGTAGGGAACTTCCAGGAACTGCCCTGAGACCAGGACACTCAGGGTGCAGATGGTCCCCCTTCCTTCTGTCCACTATGTCCTGAACAATGGAACTGAGGGTCTGGTGGCAGGATCTGGTACCTGTGCTGGGCAGGGCCCAGGACATAGAGATGACCCAGAGGCAGTCCCTGCAGTGAGGGGCTCTGAGGATGGGTCGTTGAGAATGACTGAAAGGGGAGGGGCCAGACAGGGGCAGAGCCAGCTTGAGAAGCACCTTGGAAGGCGGGCCAAGAGCTGGATCCATGCCCGTGGGCTGGGGGTGATGGCAGAGCATTAGCAGGACAGGGAATGGGTGGTGCTGGGCTTTCGTGCAATCCGGCTGAAGGCCACAAGCTCACCTATACCCCTTTCCAAATCTTAGCCTGTGGCTTGGGCTTTGCACTTGGGAATCAGGCTGAAGGACAGAGACCACCCTGGGCCCCACCATCCCTCAGCTAGAACTGCTTCTTAGGCCTGGGCCAGCATCTCCACAGTGCTGGGAGGCCTTCCTGTTGCAGCCTGAGAGTTTCTGATTAATAACAGATTTATGTGCATTTGATTCATTTTGCTTTTTAGAGGGCCTCAAGGAAATAAATATTTGCTCAGTGAATGAACAGTCCCCATTTCTCTAACATAACTCCCCTCCCAGTCTGCCCTGAGACACCCAAAGGGCAGAGCTAACAAGAGCTCGATGTGGTTTTGTCAATGATGGGGGCATCTCTAGTACAACAGTAATCATGGCTAATGCCTGCTGGGCCCCTATCATGTTCTCAGCATTTTATTTGGATGACTTCATGTCACGCTGGCAACAATCTGTGAGCTCCATGCTCTGATTACTCCCATTTGCAGATGAGAAATTGAGGCTGTCGTGGGCTAAGCCACCTGTGCAAAGTCACCCAGTCAGTGAGGATCTGGACCCAGGTGGTCTCACTCCAGAAAGCCCACTGTGATGCATGGTGCTGGGCTACCCTGGCCCCAAGATCCAGCAAAGCCCCTTCCTGTGGCACATTCTCTTTCACCCCCTTCTTCCTGCTAGAGCACAGACCTGAGCCAGCCACCCTCCAAGCCTATGATCAGTGGGTGCACAGAGTCTAAAGAACCGTATTGAGGCCGGATGAGGTGGCTCACACCTGTAATCCCAGCACTTTGGGAGGCCAAGGAGGGTGGGTGGATCACTTGAGGTCAGGAGTTCGAGACCAGCCTGGCCAACATCACGAAACCCCGTCTCTAACAAAAATACAAAAATTAGCTGTGTATGGTGGCGCACGCCATGCCTGTAATCCCAGATACTCAGGAGGCTGAGGCAGGAGAATCATTTGAAACTGGGAGGTGGAGGTTGCAGTGAGCTGAGACCGCGCCACTGTGCTCCAGTCCTAGCCTGGGTGACGGAGCAAGACTCTGTCTCAAAAATAACAAACAACAGTAACAACAACAAAAACCAAGAGCTGTATTGCACAGAATGTGGGGCAAACTCAGAACAGTCAGTACTCAGCAGATGTCTGAGGAAAGAGTGACGGGTGCCTTCCCTAATAAGACAGTCAACAGCCCCCACCGCTTCAGGACCCTGCCTTGCCCGGGACCAGCACCTCTTTTGGATCCCAACACTAAAGGCTCTTGGGCAGCTGTAAATTGATATCTGGGAGGGGAAGTCCTCACCCCTCAATCCAGTTGATATAAATGGATCCATCTGTCCTTTCCAAATGGCTGGTCCTATGAGCAGTCAGCTCCGTGGTCAAAAAGATTCACTGAACACCCACAGAATGGTCAAACGTTTTGGTGAATCCATCATAAATCAATGTGTGGTTTTCCTTTGGGAAGGCAGGCATGGGCTTTGGGTACAAGAGCGTCACGGAAGTGACAGTGGAGTACCCTGTCCCCACCTCCCCACAGAGGAGCCCATCCTAAAGGGGCCACTTCCAGCCATTCTGACTGCAGTCACTGCCTCCTGGGCCCTGGGTGCACGTAATTGGTTCTGCATGGTGTTTGTTATGGTTTATGTTGAAATCAGAAAGAAAGAACTTGGTGGGGAGGGTGTCAGAGACCACATGGTTGACTCCCTACTGGCGTCTCTACTAACCTGTTCCCAATTAGAGGTTTGTGGGGCTCAGGACCTGGAGCTTGTTTGCAAAGCTCTTTGACCAAATTCAGCCTCTGAGGGCCCTTTTTGGAGCTGTGTTTCCTTTTTAAAATGCAGGCTAAAAAAGTGGAGGTGAGAAACAGCAAGATCGTGCAGCCGGGAAGGGTTGGGATATTATTAACCCTTGTCCTTCTGCACCAGGCTAAGTCCAGCAACAGGTTTACAGGGCTGACACTCCTCCAGCCAATGCTTCCAGCCATTGCTGGCCACCTGGATTCAAGAAAGAGCCAGGTGGAAATTTGGGAAGAAGCAGTATTTTCTTCCAGGGCTTGGGTACCATTTTTGCCGTCTACAGAAATACACTTCGCTATATTTAGGCAGTGCTATTAGCAGGCCTCTCTCTCTTTTTGTCCCCCTCAAGAATGTTTCTCAGTTTGTTTTTGTCATTTAACATTTTTTTCCTACCACCTGGAGAAATCATCAAACACTCACATCCATGAATCAAGTTTTCCTGCCGCTTGCTAATTAAAATAAATCTCTGGCCAGATCACGGCCATCTAACCTAATTTAGGTGTCAGTGGAAAATATGTGTGCATGTTTCCCCCACCTCGGAGAGCTGGTCGCTGGTATTTATGGGCACCTGCTCTGTGCCAGGCACTGCTGGTTGCCCTACACACATTCGCTAAGTTCAGGCTCTTGTCCGCTGCGTTGTGGGAACTGTGATCCTCATACCACGTTACAGAGAGAACGCTGTGCCCTAGGGAGGTCACGCCACTTCAATTCCACAGCCACGGGGGCTCGGGGAGTTGGAGATCGGAATCCAGATTTGCTTGACTCTCATCTGTGTCCAACATGATGCTAAACAGCCGCCCTTGGTGTGGCACTCAGGTCAGAGCTGGAAGTGAGACATACTTGGGACATCCACTTCTGAGGTTCGGCAGATTTTATTTTAACTTAGAATTCCACTGGCGTGTGACTAATTGATCCTGCCTGAAGCGTGTTCCATCAAAGGGGCCCTGACCTAGGGACTCGAGGGGGTCAGACCTCCCTCCGAATACACCACCCTCCATCAGCACTACCCGAGAAGTCAGCTTTTAGCTTTCAGACCTCTCCCCAAGATGAAGGTGACAAGTGAGGCCTTCTTTATTGCTCCCAGAGGCCCCAGCATTTTAGGTATTTTAGGTATGAATTAGGAAAAACCACCCCCGCCCCCATGCAGGGCTCTCTGGGTGGGTGTGGTCCCTTGTCCAGACACATGGCTAGGCCAGCTTCCAGTGGGTGACATCCAGGGCACAGCCTTTATCCCAACAACTTACAACCACAGGGTCACAAGAAAATGGGTCATATGGATCATATTGAGGGAAGTGCGTGCAGACACCATTCTAAACACTTTTAGTTATATTAACTCATTTAATCTGCACAACCGTCATATGAGGTAGGTTCTATTACTATTGCCATTTCACAGATGAGGAAGCTGGTCGGGCGCGGTGGCTCACACCTATAATCCCAGCATTTTGGGAGGCTGAGGCGGGTGGATTACGTGAGGTTAGGAGTTTGAGACCAGCCTGACCAACATGGCGAAAACTTGTCTCTACTAAAAAAAAAAATACAAGAAAAATTAGCTAGGCATGGTGGCATGCACCTGTAATCCCAACTACTTCAGGAGGCTAGGGCAGGAGAATCGCTTGAACCCAGGAGGCAGAGGTTGTGGTAAGCCAAGATCACACTACCGCACTCCAGCCTGGGCAACTCGGTAAGACTGTATCTCAAAAAACAAACAAACAAACAAACAAACAAACAGATGAGGAAGCTGAGGTTGTCATTTCAGAATACAGGAACCATGGGCCAAAGCTTTTTTTGGGGTTTTTTTTTCAGACAGGATCTCACTCCGTCCCAGTCACACAGAGCTGGGCGGGCGGATCATGAGGCCAGGAGTTTGAGACCAGCCTGGCTGACATGGTGAAACCCCATCTCTACTAAACATACAAAAATTAGCTGGTCGTGGTGGTGGGTGCCTGTAATCCCAGCTACTTGGGAGGCTGAGGCAGGAGAATTGTTTGAACCCAGGAGGCGGTGGTTGCCGTGAGCCGAGATCGCACCATTGCACTCCAGCCTAGAGTGCAGTGGTGCGATCACAGCTCACTGCAGCCTCAGTTTCCCAGTTTCAAGCAATCTTCCGACGTCAGCCTCCTGAGTAGCTTGGACCACAGGTGTACACCATCATACCCAGCTAATTTTTGTATTTTTTATAGAGGTGCTGTCTCACTACCAGCCACCAGCCCAGGCTGGTTTTGAACTCCTGGGCTCGAGCGATTCTCTCACTTCAGCCTCTCAAACTGCTGGGATTACAGGCATGAGCCACCACACCGGGCCCCAGGGTTATTTTATGTGACAAACTCCACCACGTGACTCTCCTGAACCCTTCTGGGCAGCCCTCACTGTAACATCACAGAAGATGGACATGACCTCCAAAGCCCCCTCGGTCAGGTTCCTGCCTCGCCCCCTCCAGGGCCCCGCACCCACCCTGGTCTGGCAGCACTCCAAAAGTGCTCTGAGCCTTTGCACTGGCTATCTATCCTCCTCAGATTATCCTTCCCCACCTGCTCTGCCTGGCAAACACCTCTCCTTCATCTCTCGACACTTCCTTGAGCATCGTGGTTTGAGGGTCTTTTCAAGAGCAGCTTCTTTCTTCCTTCCTCTGGGTCCTGCTGTGTCCACCACATACATCTGTCACAGGACACCTTACAGCTTTTCTGTGTTCACTGTCCACCTCCTGCAATCGACAGTGGGTCCTGGGAGGACAGGTGCCAGGCCACTGTAGGGGTCTTGTGCCCTAGGCATCCTGCAGGCTGGCCCGGGCTAACTGCTTAGTGCTTGGGAAGGGCCCTGCCCTTCTGCTAACCCCCAGCCCAGGCCAGCCTTGTTCAATGAGTGTGCCCCCACCCGATCCCCATGGCACCCATGTTAGGCTCCTCAGGGATGATCTAAACCACACTTAATATTTGCTGAAACCAAAATACCTTCTGTCTAGATCTGATGGTTGTGAAGTTCTGGATAACATAATCTAGCCTGTTCTTTTCTCATACTTGTTCGGTGGCACTGGTTTGCTGGTGTCTTGAGCATCTATGAAACAGTCTCGCAGAGGCCTGGGGAGAAAGCAAACAGACGTAGAAATCTTATGGACATTGCTGCTCATTTCAGTGAACCCGAGGCCGTGTTCTTAGCAAAGCATCCTAGGAAACACCGGGCTAGGCATGCGTGGAGAACATGGGTCCTCAGACTCTCAGCTCCTCAAGGGAGATGTGCTCAAATTCATGGTGACGGTATTCAGATCGCTCAGGGTAAGGGCTTTCCAAATTGAGAGAAGCCCTCAGTACAGACCTCTTGCACCACTAAATACCTTACTCAGAAATTGCAGCATAATGGTTTGCATGGCTATAAAAGGGCCTGGAGTAAGCCATGTTGGCCAGGCCTCATGCCCAAATTCCTAGGGCATTTTCTCCATCCTACAGCCCCACACTATTGGGGCTTTGTAGTAATGTCTGGGCGGCACCCACATGCGGGCCCCCCGTTGCCTTGAAATGATGGCCCATTGGTGCCCTACCTGGCTGTGTGCACTGGGATGACAGGTCCTGAGGAACACGGATGGTGGTGGTGAGAGAGGAGGAGGCAGCATGAATCTCAAGCCGCTTTCTGACTTGGGCAGCTGGCTGGGTGGGAGTCTCTTTCACAGAGGCAGGAAACACAGGAGGCAAGCCAGGGTTGGGGTGGAAACATGTAATCAGCGTCCTAGGGCTGCCATGACAAAGCCCCACAGACTGGCAGCTTAGACCCCAGACTTCTTTTTTTTTTGGAGACTGAGTTTTGCTTTTGTCACCCAGGCTGGAATGCAGTGGCGTGATCTCGGCTCACTGCAACCTCCACCTCCTGGGTTGAAGTGATTCTCCTGCCTCAGCCTCCCGAGTAGGTGGGACTACAGGCATGCACCATCACACCAGCTAATTATTGTGTTTTTAGTAGAGATGAGGTTTCACCATGTTGGCCAGGTGTCGAACTCCTGACCTCAGGTGATCCACCCGCCTCGGCCTCCCGAAGTGTTGGGATTACAGACGTGAGCCACTGCGCCCAGCTTAGATCCTGGGCTTCTTTCCTCATAGTTCTGGAGGCTGGAAGTCCGAGACAAAGGTGTCGGCAGGGCTGGTTTCTTCAGAGGTCCCCCGCCTTGACCTGTAGATGCCTCCTCCTCCTTATGTCTTCACGTGGGCATCCCTCTGTGTGTGTCTGTGTCCTAATCTCTGCTTAAAAGAAGAATAAGGTGGGCTGGGCACAGTGGCTCACGCCTGTAATCCCAGTACTTTGGGAGGCCGAGGCGGGCGGATCACAAGGTCAGGAGTTTGAGACCAGCCTGGCCAACATGGTGAAACCCCGTCTCTACTAAGCATACAAAAATTAGCTGGGTGTGGTGGCGGGTGCCTGTAATCCCAGCTACTTGGGAGGCTGAGGCAGGAGAATTGTTTGAACCTAGGAGGTGGGGGTTGCGGTGAGCCAAGATTGCACCATTACACTCCAGCCTGGATGACAGGGCAAGACTCCATCCCCTCCCCCCCCAAAAAAAGAATAAGGCAACCTCAGCCCTCATCTGTTAAATGGGAAGACAACCAGTCACATTCTTATAAGAACTCACCCTAATAGACTCATCTTACCCTAATGACCCCATTGAACACCCTGTCTCCACGCACAGCCACATTCTGAGGTTCTGGTGATGACAGACTTCAACGTGTAGATTTCTCAGGGACATGATTCCTCCTGGAACAGCATGTGTGCAGTTCTGAACAGGCCAAGTTCTGAGAACCTCTGAGATGTCCAACAGGTGGTGGTGGAGGTATGTGTCTAGGTTCGGAGGGAGGGCGGGGCTGGGGTTGGGAAAACGATGGTGCCTAGAGCCACAGAGGAGGGAGCGTTGAGCCAGGATGGAGGGTGGAGGGAGAAGGAGCCAGGACTAAACACATAGGAAACCCACGGGGAAAAGGGGGATGGCAGCTGTGAATGATGGGACACAGGAGACCCGGAGGACAGTGGAGTCACAGGAGGGACCCACGGAAGGGACTGCTTCAAGGAAGAGGAAGTGTGGCCATGCTGAATTGGTCTTGTTGGGGCAGGCCTCTTTCCCCCTGGCCCTCATTCTATTTCATGTCTTCCCCAAGATGGTGGACATCTTGAGACAGGAATTTGGTTTTATCCAAGTCCCCAGCACTCACCCCAGGGGCTTGGCTCAGGAAAGGAATAAAAATTGAAATATAAAAATATCCATAGGCCAGGTGTGGTGGCTCATGCCTTGTAATCCCGGCACTTTGGGAGGCAGGTTGATCACCTCAGGTCAGGAGTTCAAGACCAGCCTGGCTAAGATGGTGAAATCGTGTTTCTACTAAAAATACAAAAAATTAGCCAGGCATGGTGGCAGGCGCCTGTAATCCTAGCTACTCCGGAAGCTGAGGCAGGAGAATCGCTTGAACCCGGGAGGTGGAGGTTGCAGTGAGCCGAGGTTGCGCCATTGCACTCCAGCCTGAGCAACAAGAGTGAAACTCCATCTAAAAAACAAAAAAATTCACTTACAGTTTTCCTTAATCAGGTATGAATTTCTACCTTAATAAAATCAGCCTCTTTTCTGAGAGTTAAAGATGGGTAGACATAGACTTTGATCATAAGAGGCTTATGCCCTGCCCAGCAAATGGTTCTGAGCTAAAGTGAAACACCCAGACAGGCTGTTCTACTTGGAAGGTTAAAAAAAAAAAAGAAAAAGAAAAAGACCCAACCCAGCCTGTGCTCGCTGTGGCTTTCTTTGGCTTTTAAACACTGATTGGTCGAAGTGAATGATGTTTTCCAGATGCTTCCATCTCCTCCAGCCTGGAGTCCAGCTGGCCAGCTGGGCCCCCACTGTGGGCCTCTCCTTCAGTCCAGCCTCCTGCGCAGCCAGGAGGCCTTCCCCGGGCCCAGCTTCCATCCCTCCTCCCTTCAGCCGTGTGGCTGCGGCGTTGCTTCCTGAGTAGAGGAGGCCTGGGCCCATGGTCCCCATGGACCCTTCTGGCTCTAACATTCTACAGCTGTGTGCTTCGTGGGCTTATGGTGCCTCAGAATCAAAGTCAGGCATTCGAGGACCCCCGGGGGGGTTAGCAGTCATGATGCCTTTTATTTGAAAAGTGCTTCATAATCCTCAGGGACACCCCCTCCACATCTGTCCCAAGCTGCCTGCCTGGCCCCACCTCCTTGAGCACAGGTCCTGGTCCTACTGCCTTGATAAACCCACTGCTGGTGACATGCGTCCCATGCTTGCTCTGCCGCTGAGCTGCTGTCCTGGGGCTCCTCCACCCCTTGGCATTCATCACACACTGGCTTGAATCAATAGATAGCTTTCTTCTCTTGGAATAAATATCTTTCTGGCTGGGTGCAGTGGCTCACGCCTATAATCCCAACACTTTGGGAGGCCAAGGAGGATGGGTTACATGAGTTCAGGAGTTCGAGAGAGACCAGCCTCTCCAACATGGTGAAACTCAGTCTCTACTAAAAATACAAAAAATTAGCCGGTTGTGGGGATGCACACCTGTAATCCCAGCTTCTCAGGAGGCTGAAGCACGGGAATCACTTGAACCTGGGAGATGGAGGCTGCAATGAGCCGAGATCGCGCCACTGTACTCCAGCCTGGGCAACAGAGAAGAATTATGCATTCAGAGGAAGTTGCAAAAAATAGCACAGAGACTTCTATTTCTGGAAAGATGGAGAAGATATACTTTTCCCTATTTCTCCCGCTAGGTACAATCCCAAACCCCAGACATTAAATATGAAACAAACATAAGAATATTCTGAGAGAAGGCCGGGTGAAGTGGCTCATGCCTATAATCCCAGCACTTTGGGAGGCCAAGGCGGGTGGATCATTTGAGGTCAGGAGTTTCAGACCAACCTGGCCAACATGGTGAAATCCTGTCTCTACTAAAAATACCAAAAAATTATCCAGGCATGGTAGCGCATGCCTGTAATCTCAGCTCCTCAGGAGGCTGAAGCAAGAGAATCGCTTGAACCCAGAAGGCGGAGGTTGCAGTGAGCTGAGATCATGCCACTGCACTCCAGCATGGGTGACAGAGGGAGACTCCATCTAAAAAGAAAAAAAGAAAAAAGAAAATCCTAAGAAGGCAAATCGACTAGGGACCACAGGACCCAGGGAGCCAGCATGATGGTGGGCTCTCTGGGTCTTCCTTCTGCCTTGTATATATATTATGAAGTTGGAGCTAGGGGAGCTGGCATCTAGAAATGCCAAGAGGCCCAGACAAAAACAAGTCCCACCAAAAGCCTGTTCTCTCTCACCAAAGGACTAGCAGAGGGGCAGTCCAGCAAGACAGAAAACTTAGACAATAACTGCTCTAGCTAAACACCACAGAAAGAAAACATCACCCCACCCACACCCACGAGAGGCTGTAATGAGGTGCCCCACCATCCTCAGTGAGCTGGAACTGGAGAAGGTCAGGTGGAGAGCCAGGTCTTTCATCCCTGCCAGCTAGTGATGAGGCTCCCCCAACTCATGGTGTCAGTGGAGACACACAGAGAGTCTGGGCTTCCACCCCCACCTGGCATTAGCAAGGCATCCCTCCTCATCTGCAATGGGGCGGTACCCTAGGAGGCCTAGCAGAGAGCCAGGACTCTTTATGATGGCCCAGCGGTAACGAGGCCACTCCTTCCCGCCATCCCAAGGCTTCAGATGGGAAGAAGTGATAAGGCATTTTCATTTCACCCACCAGGAAAGTATCAGTGGAGGTTAGCAGGGAGCCTGAACTCCCTCCCTGATCCAGCAGCAATGAGGAGCGCAGCACCCTCAACATTCAGGTGTCAACAAAGGCTAAGTGAGAAACTTGGACTTCTGCCACCATCTGGCAGTAATAAGGCAGTGCCCCTTAGGTTCCCCTGCCTGAACAGTGTCAGAGAAAGTCAGCTGAAACAGAAGGTTTAAGTAATATCCAGAATCTTGTTTGTTTTGTTTTGTTTTGTTTTGAAACAGAGTCTCACTTTGTTGCCCAAGCTGGAGTGCAACAGCGTGATCTCAGCTCATTGCAACCTCCGCCTCCCCGGTTCAAGCGATTCTCCTGCCTCAGCCTCCTGAGGAGCTGGGATTATAGGTATGGGCCACCAAGCCCAGCTAATTTTGTATTTTTAGTAGAGACAGGGTTTCACCATGTTGGCCAGGCTGGTTTCGAACTCCTGATCTCAGGAGATCCACCCACCTCAGCCACCCAAAGTGCTGGGATTACAGGTGTGAGCCACCACACCTGGCCTGGAATCTTGTACGTTATATAAGAATATCCAGGTTATTGCTAACATGGTGAAACCCTGTCTCTACTAAAAATACAAAAAGAAATTAGCTGGGCATGGTGGTGAGCGCCTATAGTCTCAGCTACTCAGGAGGCTGAGGCAGGAGAATGGCGTGAACCCAGGAGGCGGAGCTTGCAGTAAGCCAAGATTGCACCACTGCACTCCAGCCTGGGCAACAGAGCGAGACTCTGTCTCAAAAAAAAAAAAAAAAGAAAAGAAAAGAATATCCAGGATACAACTGAAAATCCCTCATTATACCAAGAACCAAAAAGATCTCAAACTGAATGAAAAAAGGCAATAGATATCAACCCCAAGATGACAAAGATGTAAGATTATTTGACAAATATTTCAAAGCAGCCATGATAAAAGTGTCAGCAAGCAATTTGCTTAAAACAAATTTAAAAAATTGTAAACTGGGCTGGGCGCAGTGGTTCATGCTTATAATCCCAGCACTTTGGGAGGCTGAGGTGAGCAGATCACCTGAGGTCAGGAGTTTGAGACCAGCCTGGCTAACATGGTGAAACCTCGTTTCTACTAAAAATACAAAAATTTAGCCAGGCGTAGTAGTGTGTGCCTATAATCCCAGCTACTCGGGAGGCTGAGACAGGAGAATTGCTTGAACCTGGGAGGTGGAGGTTGTAGTGAGCTGAGATTGTGTCATTGCACTCCAGCTTGGGCAACAAGAGTGAAATTCTGTCTCAAAAAAAAAAAAAAAAATAGAAAACTGGCTGGGCCTGGTGGCTCACACCTATAATCCCAGCACTTTGGGAGGCCAAGGTGAGCGGATCCTTTGAGCCCAGGAGTTCAAGACCAGCCTGGGCAACATGGCAAAAACCTATCTCTATAAAAATACAAAAATTATCCAGGCATGGTGGCATAAGCCTGTGGTCCCAGCTACAGCTGAAGCTGCTGGGACACAGGGCACCAAGTCCCTAGGCTGCACACAGCTCAGGGACCCTGGGCCAGGCCCACGAAACCACTTTTTCCTCCTAGGCCTCTAGGCCTGTTGTGGGAGGGGCTGCTGCAAAGGTCTCTGACATCCCCTGGAGACATTTTCCCCATTGTCTTGGGGATTAACAATTGGCTCCTCGTTACTTATGCAAATGTCTGCAGCCTGCTTGAATTTCTCAGAAAATGGGATTTTCTTTTCTATTGCATTGTCAGGCTGCACATTTTCTGAACTTTTATGCTCTGTTTCACTTTTAAAACCAAATGCTTTTAACAGCACCCAAGTCACATCTTAAATGCTTTGCTGCTTGGAAATTTCTTCTGCCAGATACCCTAAGTCATCTCCCTCAAGTTCAAAGTTTCACAAATCTCTAGGGCAGGGGCAAAATGTTGCCAGTCTCTTTGCTAAAACATAACAAGAGTCACCTTTGCTCCAGTTCCCAACAAGTTCCTCATCTCTATCTGAGACCACCTCAGCCTGGACTTTATTGTCCATATCGCTGTCAGCATTTGGGGCAAAGCTTTTCAACAAGTCCCTAGAAAGTTCCAAACTTTCCCACATTTTCCTGTCTTCTTCTGATCCCTCCAAACTGTTCCAATCTCTGCCTGTTCCCCAGTTCCAAAGCCACTTTCACATTTTCAGGTATCTTTTCAGCAATTGATACTAACTTACTATATTAGTCCATTTTCATGCTGCTGATAAAGACATACCCAAGATGGGGCAATTTATAAAAGAAGGAGGTTTAATTGGACTTACAGTTCCACGTGGCTGCAGAAGCCTCACAATCATGGCAGAAGGCAAGGGGAGCAATTCCCATCTTGCATGGATGGCTGCAGGCAAAGAGAGAATGAGGAAGACGAAAAAGTGGAAACCCCTGATAAAACCATCAGATCTCGTGAGATTTATTCACTACCATGAGAACAGCATGGGGGAAACTGCCCCCATGATTCAATTATCTCTCACCAGGTCCCTCCCACAACACGTGGGAATTATGGGAGTACAATTCCAGATGAGATTTGGGTGGGGAAACAGAGCCAAACCATATCAGATGGAAAAAGTTATATCATGCAAATGTTAATCAAAGGAGAGCAGGTGGCTATATTAATACCAGATAAAGTGGACTTCAGAGCAAAGAAAATTACCAGAGACAGAGAGGACATTATATAATGATAAAAGAGCCAGTCCACAAGAAGACATAGCAATCCTAAATGTGTAAACATCAAAGAAGAGAGCTGCAAAATACGAGAATCAAAAGCTGGGGCCAGGCGCAGTGGCTCACACCTGTAATCCCAGCACTTTGGGAGGCCAAGCTGGGCGGATCACCTGAGGTCAGGAGTTCGAGACCAGCCTGGCCTACATGGTGAAACCCCCGTTTCTACTAAAAATACAAAAAATTAGCCAGGCGTGGCGGCACACGCCTGTAATCCCAGCCACTCGGGAGGCTGAGGCAGGAGAATCGCTTGAACCCGGGAGGCAGAGGTTGCAGTGAACCGAGATCGTGCCATTGCACTCCAGCCTGGCAACAGAGCAAGACTCCGTCTCAAAAAAAAAAAAAAAAAAAAATTTGCCAAGCATGGTGGCGAGTGCCTGTAATCTCAGCTACTCAGAAGACTGAGGCAGGAGAATCACTTGCACCCAGGAGGCAGAGGTTGCAGTGAGCCGAGATCATGCTACTCCACTCCAGCCTGGGTGACAGAGTGAGATTCTCCCTCAAAAAAAAAAAAAAAAAAAAAAAAAAAAAAAAAAAAAAAAAAAAACTGGAAGGACAAATAGATAAATCAAGAATTATACTTGGAGACTTTAATACCCCTCTCTCAATAAATTATAGACTAATCAGGCAGAATATCAACAAAGATATAGAATAAGAAAACTCAACAGAAACATCAACCAACAGTATCTCAACAATATTTATAGAACACTCCACCCAACAAGAGCAGAACATATGTTCTTTTCATATTTTCCTCATTGTCTTGGGGATTAACAATTGGCTCCTCGTTATTTACGCAAATGTCTGCAGCCTGCTTGAATTTCTCCTCAGAAAATGGGATTTTCTTTTCTATTGCATTGTCAGGCTGCACGTTTTCTAAACTTTTATGCTCTGTTTCACTTTTAAAATCAAATGCTTTTAACAGCATCCAAGTTACATCTTAAATGCTTTGCTGCTTAGAAATTTCTGCTAGATACCCTAAGTCATCTCCCTCAAGTACAAAGTTCCACAAATCTCTAGGGCAGGGGCAAAATGCTGCCAGTCTCTTTGCTAAAACATAACAAGAGTCACCTTTGCTCCAGTTCCCAACAAGTTCCTCATCTCTATCTGAGACCACCTCAGCCTGGACTTTATTGTCCATATCGCTGTCAGCATTTGGGGCAAAGCTTTTCAACAAGTCCCTAGAAAGTTCCAAACTTTCCCACATTTTCCTGTCTTCTTCTGATCCCTCCAAACTGTTCCAATCTCTGCCTGTTCCCCAGTTCCAAAGCTGCTTTCACATTTCAGGTATCTTTTCAGCAATTGGTGCTGGGGAACATACACCAAGATAGACCATATCTTGGACCATAAAACAAACTTTAACAAATTTTCAAGAATTGAGAGATCATGAGGGTATGCTCTCTAATCACATAGAATCCAACAAGAAATTAATAGCAAAAAGATAACAGGAAAACCTCCACATACTTAGAAACTCAACAACACACTTCTAGACAATCTATGGGTCAAACAGGAAGTCTCAAGGGAAGTAAGAAAAACACATTAAATTGAATACAAATGAAAATACAACATATTAAAATTTGTGAGACACAGCTAAAGCAATATCATGAGGGAAATTTATAGCAATAAATGCACATATTAGAAAAAAAAGCCTCCAGCCTGGGCAACATAGTGAGACCCCATCTCTATTTTAAATTGTATCTGTATAATTTAAAAAGAAAAAGAGGCCAGGCATGGTGGCTTACGCCTGTAATCCCAGCACTCTGGGAGGCTGAGGTGGGCGGATCACCTGAGGTCAAGAGTTCAAGACCAGCCTGGACAACATGGTGAAACCCTGTCTCTACTAAAAATACAGAACTGACAACTCAGCTGTTTCCTGCATTCCTTGAGCATGTTCACTGTCAGTCTATGTGGACCGCCTTGACCAGGTTCAAGAGTTCCTTTTCATTCCAGTTTATTGAGACTTTTTCTTTTTTGAGTCGGAGTTTTGCTCTTGTTGCCCAGGCTGGTGTGCAATAGTGCAATCTCAGCTCACTGCAACCTCCACCTCCTGGATTCAAGCGATTCTCCAGCCTCAGCCTCCCGAGTAGCTGGGATGACAGCCACCCGCCATTAACCCTGGCTAATTTTTGGGTTTTGTTTTGTTTTGTTTTGTTTTTTGATACTAAGTCTCAATCTTGTCACCCAGGCTGAAGGGCAATGGTACGATCTTGGCTCACTGCAACATCTGCCTCCCGGATTCAAGCAATTCTCCTGCCTCAGCCTCCCGAGTAGCTGGGATTACAGGTGCCTGCCAGCATGCCTGGCTAATTTTTGTATTTTTAGTAGAGATGGGGTTTCACCATGTTAGCCAGGCTGGTCTTGAATTTCTGACCTCAGGCAATCCACTCGCCTTGGTCTCCCAAAGTGATGGGATTACAGGAGTGAGCCAACATGCCAGCCTGTATTTTTAGTAGAAATGGGGTCTCACTGCATTTTCCAGGCTGGTCTTGAACTCCTGACCTCAGGTGATCCACTGGCCTCGGCCTCCCAAAGTGCTGGGATTACAGGCGTGAGCCACCGCACCTGGCCTATGGAGACCTTTTAAGCATCAATGATTGTTGAATTTTGTCAAGTGTTTTTTCTGCTGTATTAGTTCATTTTCCCACTGCCATAAAGAACTTACCTGAGAGTGGGTAAATTGTAAAGGAAAGAGGTTTAATTGACTCACAGTTCAGCCTGGCTGGGGAGGCCTCCGGAAGCTTAACACTATGGAGGAAGGTGACAGGGAAGCAAGTACTTTCTTCACAAGCCATCAGGAGAGAGGAGGATGAAGGACGAGCTTCCAAACACTTAAAAAACCATCAGATCTCGTGAAAACTCCCTCATTATCACGAGAACAGCACGAGGGAAACCGGCCCCATGATCCATTCACCTTCCTCCCTCCACATGTGGGAATTACAGGTCCCTCCCTCAACATGTAGGGATTACGATTGGAGATGAGATTTGAGTGGGAGCATAGAGCCAAACCATATCATCTGCATATATTGAAATGATTACATGATTTATGGCAACGTGGTGACTTACACTGATTGATTTTCAAGTGTTAAACCAACCTTGAATTTCTGTGATCAGTCTGACTTGGTCATGATGGATTGTCCTTTTTGTATATTTCTGGATTTGATTTGATCATATCACATTAAGGATTTCTGTGAGTGAAAGGAAAATAAATCTTGGGACCCCCAAATCACTAAACTAAAGGAAAAAGTCAAGCTGGGAACTGCTTAGGACAAAGCTGCCTCCCATTCCATTCAAAGTCATCCCTCTGAGGCTCACCTGAGACAAATGCCTATCTGATTGCTTCCTCTTCCCTATCGTTTATGTAAAAATGCAGATTCACTGAACGGGACTAAATTGTGTATTCAGTGGAAGACTGGTCAAGGACTCAAAAGAATGCAACCTTTTGTCTCTTGTCTACCTTTAACCTGGAAGCCCCCACTTCGAGTTGTCCCACCTTACAGGACCGAACCAATGTACATCATACGCAGGAAGCTCAGAAAGCTTAAAATAATGGCAGAAGGTGAAGGGGAGCAGGCACGTCACATGGCAAAAGCAGAAAGGTGAGAGAGAAAGAGAGAGAGAAGAAGGGGAGGTGCCACACACTTTTAAATGACCAGATGTTGTATAAACTCGGGGTTAGAACTCACTTATCAGCAAGGGGATAGCCCAAGCCATTCATGAGAAATTGGCCGCCATGATCCAAACACCTCCCACCAGGCCCCACCTCCAACATTGGGGATTACAATTCAACATGAGATACGGGTGGGGACAAATATCCCAACTGTATCAGCAAGGATATTTCTATATTTTGGAAATCTTTCCATTCGAAATTGACAAAACGAACAAAGGCTTGTCACTGGAAGTGGTAAGCTTCAGTATTGCGGGGGGGGTTGGGGAGGGCAATTGCTCACGGGGAACTGGCATTTTCCAGATTCGTTCCAACTCACTTGATCAATGAGTCATTACTGTGTGGTGTTTTTAAAAAGCAGTTGAAATATTCTATTGCTGCAGCAGAGAAGGATCCAGGCAGCCCAGCTCCAGGTTTTGAGTCTCGGTGGTGACTTCAGCGTTTAGAAACAATTGTTTTTGGTTCAGTTCTAAAGCATTATGAATTCTGTTTAACTATGAACAAATTTTTACTTGACCCTCTAAAGTAGATCTCCTATCTTTATGATCTGTTTCATTTTCCATTAAAGTTTTAAAAACATATTTCAAATATCCCCTGGCATCAAAATGAAGTTATAAGACCTCAGAATCACCAACAAACGCTCTCTTTCTAGAATGCGAATGTGTGGGGAAGTTTTATTAAAGTGATTTTCATGTGCAAAAAGAGATTAGGCACGAATAAAGCCTGCCATAAAAAGCACACACGTTCTCTGGGGAATGTCTCAGTTTTGATTTCAGGGTTCAGTCTCGGTGAGATAATGATAGTCTTTAACATATGCATATTTCTTTTCTTTTTTAGTTTGGGCTTGTTTTTTGTTTGTTTGGCCTATGTCCCCATTGTGACTCTAACTTGCCAAAACTTAAACCTGAAAAACTGGCATTAGAAATTAGGCATAACATTACGAAATTACACATACCTCCAAATTTTTTCATGCCTTTTGGATAGTCTCAATTCCAATGTTGTTTTATGCCAATAATGAACATGTGCTGAGATGCAGTGCGGGTTGTTAAAAGTGCTTGCCAAACATACTTCTAAAGCTAACCCCGTTAGGGGAAGAAAAAAAACATCACATTACAGCACATTGGCTCAAAAGCAATGTACCCAAAGGTTGGCCCTCAAATGTTTCTCATTAAGAATCTTCCCTCCCCAAGGGCAGGCCTGGACTTGTTTGTTCCTTAATTTTCAGCCTTTAGCTCAGTGCCCAGCAGTGTGAGGTGGTTAATTGCTGCCAACCAGACAGGTTATTTGAAAATATTTGCCTTTAAGAGGTGTGTTAAATGAACAGTCCCCAGAAGTAAGATCCACGCCTCAGGGCAAAGGATGTTGTACTGCTTTTCACTTCCAAAGTGGACTTTCAAACTGAGATGTCGCTCTGAAATCCAAGAAGCTGCTTGGCCTGGAGGGAAAGGTTTCTGAGAGGGGCAGAAGAGAGTGCTGGCACCGCTGTGTTCCTGGGTAGGGCTGTGCCATGCCATGCTCCACACTCTCCTTTATTTTTATTTTTTTATTTCTTTTTGTTTGAGATGGAGTCTTGCTCTGTCACCCAGGGTGGAGTGCAATGTCACGATCTCGGCTCACTGCAACCTCTGCCTCCTGGGTTCAAGCAATTCTCCTGCCTCAGCCTCCTGAGTAGCTGGAATTACACGCACTCACCCCCACGCCTGGCTAATTTTTGTATTTTTAGTAGAGATGGGTTTTTACCATGTTGGCCAGGCTGGTCTCAAATTCCTGACCTTAAGTGATCTGCCCCCCTCAGCCTCCCAAAGTGCAGGGATTAAAGGCATGAGCTATCACGCCCGGCCCACACTCCTCCTTTAGGATAGTAGGGCCTGCACCCGGGTGGGGTGAGGGCTGGTGCAGACAGGACCCACTGGTGGCTTCTATCTGGAATAAGCTTCTTTTTTTTTTCTTTTTTTAAATTTTTTAATTTTTTTTATTATTATTATACTTCAAGTTTTAGGGTACATGTGCACAATGTGCAGGTTAGTTACATATGTATACATGTGCCATGCTGGTGTGCTGCACCCATTAACTCGTCATTTAGCATTAGGTATATCTCCTAATGCTATCCCTCCCCCCTCCCCCCTCCCCGCTGGAATAAGCTTCTTCATCCCTAAGTCATTCTCACTTGTTCTTCAAAACTCTGGTGAGAAGCTCCCACTCTGCGGAGACTACTTTGAGGCCCAGTCTGGGTTACCTGTCTCCTCTCCTGCGCTCTCCGGGTCCTCCCCGTGTCTGCCTGTCACAAGCTAAGCCCAAGGTATTGCCATCCTGTTTCCCTCCTGGCCTGTCAGCTCCTTTGGGAGGGGACCACGTGTGGCGCATCTTTGTGTCTCTGTGACCAGCAAAGGATGCTCCTACGTTCCCCACTAGCCCCCCCTCTGCCCACCCCAATTCATCAACGTTCTTTTGAAGGTGCTTTGTCCTCGCCCGCCCACCGCCACCCCCAGCTGCTTTTTCCTTGTGCTTGCTTTCCAGCACTTTGACTGTGCTGTCCCTAGAATGTGGTTTTCTGTATGTTTATCCTGCTGGGGCTAAGTAGAGCTGCTTTATTCTGTGGATTGTCATCTTTTATTATTTTCTGGAAATTCTTGGCCATAATCTGTTCCTTTCTCTGCTCCCGTTCCTCTCTCTCTCTCCTTTTATTCTGGGACTATGCTTACTTGAAGGGGTGATACGGTTTGGCTCTGTGTCCCCACCCAAATCTCATGTGGAATTGTAATCCCCACGTGTTGAAGGAGGAGCCTGGTGGGAGGTGATTGGATTATAGGGGTGGATTTCCCCCTTGCTGTTCTCGTGATAGGGAGTGAGTTCTCACAAGATCTGATGGTTTAAAAGTGTGGCACTTGGCCAGGCACGGTGGCTCACACCTGTAATCCCAGCACTTTGGGAGGCAGCGGGTGGATCACCTGAGGTCAGGAGTTCGAGACCACACCCTGGCCAACATGGTGAAACCCAGTCTCTACTAAAAATACAAAAAGTAGCCAGGCGAGGTGGCATGTGCCTATAATCCCAGCTACTTGGGAGGCTGAGGCAGGAGAATTGCTTGAACCTGAGAGGCGGAGGCTGCAGTGAACTGAGATTGTGCCACTGCGCTCCAGCCTGGGTGGCAAAGGGACACTCTGTCTCAAAAAAAAAATGTGTGGCACTCTGCCCATCTCCACAGCTCCTACTCTGCCATGGTAAGACGTGCCAGCTTCCCCTTCTCCTTCCACCATGAGTGTAAGTTTCTTCAGGCCTCCCGGTCATGCTTCCTGTTAAGTCTGCAGAACTGTGAGTCAACTCAACCTCTTTTCTTCATAAAATACCCAGTCTCAGGCAGTACTATTTTATTTTAATTTATTTATTTATTAATTTTTGAGACAGGGTCTCACTCTGTTGTCCAGGCTGGAGTGCAGTGGCGCAATCTCAGCTCACTGCAACCTCCACCTCCTGGGTTCCAGTGATTCTCAGGCCTCAGCCTCCCAAGTAGCTGGAATTACATCATGGAATTAGCCACCATGCCCGGCTAATCTTTGTATTTTTTTGTAGAGACGGGGTTTCACCATGTTGGCCAGGTTGGTCTCAAACTCCTGACTTCAATTGATCCACCCGCCTCAGCCTCCCAAAGTGCTGGGATTACAGGCATAAGCCACCATGCCTGGTCCCCTTAAGTTCTTAATTGTTTAGTTCTAGAATTTTAATTTCATTCTTTTTCTTCAAAGATGCCAATTTCTCATTGAAAAATATAACTTTTATTATTTTATCTGTATTTCTTCTATTTGACACATTAATCATTATTACTTTTATTGACTTTTTGTTTATTTATTTGTAGAGACAATGTCTCACTCTGTCCCCCACGCTTGAGTGCAGTGACAGGATCATGACTCACTGCAGCCTCAAACTCCTGGGCTCAAGGGATTCTCCCACCTCAGCCTCCCTAGTAGCTGGGACCATAGGCACAAACCACCATGTCCAGCTAATTAAAAAAATTTTTTGTGGAGATGGGGTCTTGCCCAGAGTAGTCTCAAACTCCTGCGCTCAAGTGATCCTCCCACCTTGGCCTCCGTAAGTGCTGGGATTAGAGGCGTGAGCCATCGTGTTCAGCCTCATTATTATTTTAAAGTCCTTGTCTACTAACTTTAATATCTGCATCTGACTCTTTTCATGTCTAGTGATTTTAATGAGGTGCTGAACATTGTATATAAGAAGGAAGAAGGCTCTAGGTGATGTCATTCGCTCCAGAGATGGGTCCTCTTCACCTCCTAAAAATATTCATGCTTAAGTGAAAAAAGCTGTATACAAACTAGCCCTATTGGATAACCAGTATGAAGGGGCTTTTCACCTCATTCTAATCAGAAACTGAGCAGTAAAGGGGCGGGGCCATAGTTCTCATCATACTCAACCTATGTCCAGGGTGTCCTTGTTTCCAGACCATGCCTTCATAGTCTCTCTCTCTTTTTTTTTTTTTTTTGAGATAGAATCTCACCTTGTTACCCAGGCTGAAGTGCAATGGCACCATCTTGGCTCACTGCAGCCTCCGCCTCCCAGGTTCAAGCTATTCTCGTGCCTCAGCCTCCTGAGCAACTGGGATTACAGTTGCACACCACCACGCCCAGCTAATTTTTATATTTTTGGTAGAAACGGGGTTTCACCATGTTGGCCAGGCTGGCCTCGAACTCCTCACCTCAGGTGATCGGCTTGTCTCGGCCTCCCAAAGTGCTGGGATTACAGGCTTGAGCCACCATGCCCGGCCCATAGTCTCTTTATTGAGAACCCCCTGGGCCTTTGTCTCCTCAGCCCTAAAAGATGACAAGACAGCAGCTCTGTCCATCAGAGGTTCCAGCCTAGCTCTCCCCGTTCTTCCCAAGTAGCCTTAAAATCTGGCAAGTGTCTGGGGAGGAGACATTGGCAGTGTGTTTGAGACAGGTCTCCTCCCAGGGCTGATCTTTTGTTCCCTAAGCACAATTCTGCCCTTTAGAAAAAGTTTCCTCCCCACTCCCCAGCTTCCGGCACCAGAACCCAGCAAATGTACCTCCAGGGAGAACAGGCCAGATTCCCACAAGTGTCCTTAGCACACTCTCCCATGTGACCACTGAAATATCTGCTGCTTCCCCCACCCTGCAAAGGCTTTCTGCCTTGAGAAGCCCAATCCTCAGCCCTCAGGAAAAATAAAAAACAAAACAAAACAAAAAAAAAACAGCTGGAGACCCACCGCTCACCTCAGGGCCTCCCAGCACTAGAGTCTTATCTAACCTAAGCCGCATTGCCTCCACAGCTCTTTGATGTCTTTCAAAGTATGTTTTTTGCTATTTATTCAGCTTTTTCTAATTGTGGCAGTGGGAACTTTGGCCTGTGATGATCTACTAAGTGTTCCGATTTAAAAAGTAGAAAAAGAATGTCTCTTAATAGCTTATCCACATACTTGCTTTTTTAAAAAAAAATCACGCTTAAGTGAAAGCACTAAAAGCACAATTGCACGGACACTAGGATTGCAGCTGCAGAAAGCCTCCATGCAAGCAAACCAGAGCTAGAGGGAAACGTGGACAAACGAAGCCTGCTGGGCCGGGCGAGGTGGCTCACACCTGTTATCCCAGCTATCTGGGAGGCTGAGGCAGGAGAATCACTTGAACCCTGGAGGCAGAGGTTGCAGTGAGCGGATGCTGCACTGCAGCCTGGGAGACAGCGAGACTCCATCTCCAAAAAAAAAGAAAAAGAAAAAAAATGAAGCTTGGTGGGCTGGGTGGTTGGATTCTGGGCCCCTGTTTTTCTGTGCTTTTGATTTCCTTTAATATAACTTAAATGACTCAAATGAGGTTTATGGAATTTTCCAGCGTATCATATTGAAAATCCAGGCTTGGCTCTGTGGTTCCACATAAGGTCTGCTTGAAGCTTTTGTCCCAGGTTCTTGAATGGACGAATGCCCACCCACTCTACCTGTTGTGAATCACCCCAGGTGATTCCCTGCTCTTTTTCTTTTCTTTTCTTTCTTTCTTTTTTTTTTTTTTTTGAGATGGAGTCTCACTCTATCGCCCAGGCTGGAGTGTAGTGGTGCGATCTCAACTCACTGCAACCTCCGCCTCCCGGGTTCAAGCGATTCTTGTGCCTCAGCCTCCTGAGTAGCTGGGATTACAGGCGTCTGCCACCATGCCCAGCTAATTTTTGTATTTTTAGTAGAGACGGGGTTTTGCCATGCTGACCAGGCTGGTCTCGAACTCCTGAACTCAAGTGATCTACTCGCTTTGGCCTCCCAAAGTGCTGGTACTACAGGCATGAGCCACCACACCGGGCCAATTCCCTGCTCTTTTGAAGAAGCCCCCACCTCATCTTGCCCCTGTCATTAAGAGTCTTACAAAGGTTAAGGTCTGGGAGAATCAACCATATCAATCCATTTAAGTCTCTTGTTGTCTGGTGCTTTTGTGGATTGAGCTCTAAACTTGGAGCTGGGGAGAGAAGAGAACCAGGCTGAGCCTCTCACAGGCTGCGTGAGAGAAAGCCACTGCCCTTTCCAGCCTCAGTCTCTCCATCTCTAAAGTGGGTACAATACACCTGCCTCTCAAGGTTGTTGGAGGACTCAGGGCCATGCTGTGTGTGGTGCCAGCCCCAACCCATGGTGAGAGAGATTGGCAAACCGTCAATGCCAGCATGAGCTTGCAGTGGGGAAGGACCCGTGGGGACCCAGAGGAGGGCAGAGAGGAGAGGAAACACACATCCCACGTGGCCCCACAGACCACCCACCCTGCACCCCACATCTGCACACTGGTGCATATTGCACCATCAAACCCTGAAACCCCAGGGGGAGTTAAAGGCATCTGGTGGTCTGAAACATGAGAGCGCATACAACATGGTCATAAATGAAGTCAGCCTTATAAACTGTGAAATCCAAGACGCGGGCTGACTTTTTCCTGTTTCCCAATAAACACTGCAGATTTTACATTCAGAAGGAAACTAAGACCAGAGATAAAGTTAGAGCCCCGTTCTGTGGTGAGATCACCACCTGGTATCAGGTGTACCTCTCAGACCAAGAAGCTTCTGTCTGTGATCAGGGAGGGGGACTGCAATGCTGAGATAGTTTTTGTCTGTTTGGTTCGATTCCGCTCCCAGGACAGTGCTCGGCGCATGGTCACACTCAACAAAATCCTTGGTGAGCGAGTGCATGAATGAATAAAGAAGCCATTCACTGAGCATGCAGAGAGAGGAGGCTGAAGATGCAACTGAAGAAAACAGACAGAGTAGAGTGTCCCTAGGGCCACACGTGGCAGTTTGGGAGGCTGGACTGAGTCCTGCAGACACTGGGGAGTCAGGGCATGTGGCAGGATCCTTCTGCTGTTGCCCAACAGTCCCGGTGCTGCAGGAGGGAGGGGCGGGCGTGGGGATGGCTGGGCCTTGGGCATCGCCAGAGACATCATAGCCTTCCGGGACAGCCCAGGGGCTTGGCAGAGTGTCTTGTTGTAAAGCTTGTGGGGTCTGCAGGGCCTACTCTGGCTATACCCACCCACAAGGCCATGCAGCCAGAGGGTGCGGGAGACAAACAGGAGCCGAGCCAAGTGGCCAGAAGGAAGGCCAGGAGCAAGCCCCAGCAGAAGCCAAGCCCAGCAGACAAGGTTTGTGACATCGAGAGGAAGCCACTGTGGTGCCCTGGACACAGCGTGGCAGGGGGACAGGGGGGACAGACTCCCTGGTGGTGCTGAGGAGACACGGAACACCCCACACTTCCCTCTGTAGAAAGCAGATTCCCAGGCCTCGGGGTTAAATGGGAACCAACAGGCAGCATGGGGCCAGGCCTTGGTTAGAGCTCCATAAAGACATGCTGGCATGGAATGGGTGGGACTGGCTCACGCCTGTAATCCCAGTGCTTTGGGAGGCTGAGGCAGGAGGATCACTTGAGCCCAGGAGTTTGAGACCAGCCTGGGCTACATAGTGAGACTCCTGTCTCTACAAAAACTAGGAAAATTAGCCAAGCATGATGGTGTGTGCCTGTAGTCCCAGCTACTTGGGAGGCTGAGGTGGGAGGATTGCTGGAGACTGGGAGGTCAAGGCTGCAGTGAGCCTTGATTGCACCAAGATTGCACTCCAGCCTGGGCGACAGAGTGAGATTCTGTCTAAAAGAAGAAGACATACCAGCATGTGGCTGAAACAGTGATGGAGACACCCACTCCGCCTACAGAGGCTAAGGCCTGTCTCCAAACCTTTGCTCTTCTCTCCGCCTCAGATGCCTCTCCCCTCCCATCTCTGCCCACAGAACTCCTCATACTCTTCCCAGCTCAAGTTTCACAATCTCCACGAAGTTTGCCAAGGTCACCTCTTCCTGCCGCATCCTCCTCCTCCTCTATCATAGCCAACGCTTATCTGACATTGCCAAGTGCAGGGCTAGAAGCTTCATATGTGTTATCTAATTTAATGCTCCCAATACCAGTATGAGAATGGTGTCATCATCCTTTTGTACACAGAATCCACTGCAGCTCAGAACAGGTAAGTGGCTTCCCCAAGGTCATCCAGCCGGTGAGATATAGAGGCCATGTTCAAATACAGGTCTCTGAGGGCAAAGCCCGTTCTTAAGCATTAGGAGCCCTTGCTACCCATGAGACAGTGGACATGGCCCCCAACATTGTCCCTTGGTGCTCTCTCTTGATCTTTTTCTTTTAAGGTTTGTTTTATATACTTGTCTCCACCCGGGAGACCAGGAGCTGAGTCTCTTGAGAGCCAGGACCTTGACCCAGTTGCCGCATGCTCTCCTCTCTTGTTCCCAGCCCTCACCCATGCTGCCCTTCCCTCCCTTCCCTGCCCACCTGGCAAATCTGCTGGGCTCCAGGCAAACACAAGCTCCTCCAAGGGCCCTCCCTGCTCCTTGCAGGCCACCTCTTCTCAGGGATCTCACAGTTTTCCACGGCACTGAAATGGCTGGTGAAAGAATCCGTCTCCCTGAGACCATGAGCTCCTCAAGGAAGCTGGGACTGACACCTCCATGTCTCCAGGGCCCAGCCCAGGACCTGGCACAGCTCTGTGTTCAGTGTTGGCTGAATGAATGAATCCAGTCCACCATGAATTGATCCTGAAGTGGACCTAGAGTTGGAGGGACTAGACTATTGATTTTGCAACTTATTAACTATGGGATCTCAGACAAGTCCCTTCACCCATTTGGGCCTCAGTTTTCTCATCTGTAGAATGGGGATGATTTGAGGAAAACAGAGGTTGAAGCACTTCATAAACCGAGTTGCTGCATAGTTGTGAGGTGAGATGATGGAGGTTCCCAAGCCCAGGCTCCAGGGAAAGACTTTGGCACTTGCCCCTTGCTAAACAAAGCATGCAATTTTAAAGGCTCACAGCTATCGCAGATTTTCCTAAAACATGCGTCAATACAAAAGTTGTTGAGTTCCTTTAGAGAAACACTGTAACGGAGACTCCCTGCACTGACAATTTAGCTGAGCAAGTTTGCTCTGGCTGTGCACGCCCCAGGGATTCCTCCATACCTGCAGCTGGAACCCATGAAGAAACTTTGGGCCTTTAATTAGAACCATTTGCCCTTCCAATGAACGGCAGGTGGCTGGGCCAACTTACAAAGAGATGCTCATTAGAGCAGTATGTGCCCTTTGATCCATCCGTCTGACTGCTGGGACTCTGTCCTAAAGAAATAATCCCAAATATGGAAAGGCTTATGAACAAATACACCATCTTTGGAGTATTTCTTGTAACGGCAGAGAAACTGGAATCAACCGGAATATCCAATGGGGAATAAGTTGCTGATGTTTCCTCAACTGGATGGGACTTTATTACTCACTGAGAAGAAATGGCTGGGAAGGCTTTGGAGCAACATAAAGTATGTTTATGATAGAATGTTAAGTAAACAAATCAGGTTACAAAACTATGTACCCTGAGATGAACTATGCAAACTATGCATATAAATATCAGAAATAGGCTGGGCGCGGTGGCTCTTGCCTGTCATCCCAGCACTTTGCGAGGCCAAAGCGGGTGGATCACGAGGTCAGGAGTTTGAGACCAGCCTGACTAACATGGTGAAGCCCCGTCTCTACTAAAAATACAAAAATTAGCCAGGTGTGGTGACAGACGCCTGTAGTCCCAGCTACTCGGGAGGCTGAGGCAGGAGAATCACTTGATCCCGGGAGGCAGAAGTTGCAGTGAGCTGAGATCGTGCCACTGCACTCCAGCCTGGGCGACAGAGTGAGACTCCGTCTAAAAAAAAATTCATGGTGGACTGGATTCATTCATTCAGCCAACACTGACCACAGACCTGTCCCAGCTACTCGGGAGGCTGAGGCAGGAGAATCGTTTGAACCTGGGAGGCGGAGGTTGTGGTGAGCTGAGATGGCGCCATTGTACTCCAGCCTGGGTGACAAGAGCGAAACTCCGTCTCAAAAAAAAAAAAGTTTATTATAAATTTTTTTTTTTTTTTTTTTTTTTTTTTGAGACAGAGTCTCGCTCTGTCGCCCAGGCCGGACTGCGGACTGCAGTGGCGCAATCTCGGCTCACTGCAAGCTCCGCCTCCCGGGTTCACGCCATTCTCCTGCCTCAGCCTCCCGAGTAGCTGGGACTACAGGCGCCCGCCACCGCGCCCGGCTAATTTTTTTTTTTTGTATTTTTAGTAGAGACGGGGTTTCACCTTGTTAGCCGGGATGGTCTCGATCTCCTGACCTCATGATCCACCCGCCTCGGCCTCCCAAAGTGCTGGGATTACAGGCGTGAGCCACCGCTCCCGGCCTATTATAAATTTTTAAATATCAAAAACATAGACTGTCTCTAAAGTAAAATCAAGACAAAACAAAAAATAAAAAATAATTAAAAATAAAAAAGAAACAAAGGGCTAGTTTTCCAAGGGTAGAGGTAAAACCTGACGTTGTAAAAATGTGTTCTGGAGAATCGTTCATATGGCCTGTTTTAGATTTTTTTTCTTTAATGAAAAAGTAACACATGTACAGGGTAAAAAATATTCTGTGTGAAAGATATACAAACACCACTATCCTAATGAAACTGCCTTTTCCTTCCAATATTTTATCTATATTTGTATATACTTTAACAAAGTCTAGTGTACATACAATTCAAAATTCTGGCTGGGCATGGTGGCTCATGCCTGTAATCCCAGCACTTTGGGAGGACAAGGTGGGAGGATCACTTGAGCCCAGGAGTTCGAGACCAGCCTAGGCAACATAATGAGACCCTGTCTCTAAAAAATAAAAAAGAAAAAAAAAAGCTGGGCATTGTGGCACGCGTCTGTAGTCCCAGCTACTTGGGAGGCTGAGGTAGGAGGACTGCTTGAGCCTGGGAGGTCGAGGCTGCAGTGAGCTGCGATGGCACCCCTGCACTCCAGCCTGGGCCACAGAACGAGACCTTGTCTCAAAAAAATTTTTTTAAGTTTAATTTTTACTTTATATAAAAAACAAATAACTTGGTTGCAACAATCTTTATATTTATAAATTTAAAGAGTTATAGGATACTCCATAGTAGAAATATATTTATTTCACTGATCTTTGATATTATATATTAGTTGTTATGATTATGTTTCCTTTATATATCTCATGGAAATACATATGGTTGTACTCAATGCATATATAGTTGTACATAATTAATACGTAAAATTCATATGTAATATGAAAAATAAGATTTTTTCTTTATATTAACAATAACAAATTAGAAAACACGATAGAAAAAAATACTCCAATCAGAATGACAATAAAAATATTAAGTGCTTAGAACTAAACAAGGCACCCACAACATGGATGAACCTTGAGGATATTATGCTAAGTGCAGTAAGCCAGACACGGAAAGAAAAATATTGCATGATCTCACTTATATATGGAACTCAAAGAAGTTGCATACATAGAAACAGAGAACAAAACCGTGCTTATCAGGGGCAGATACGGCGGGCAGGAAATGGGGAGATGTAGGTCGATGGATACAAAGTTGCAAGATCTAATGTACAATGTGAGGATTATAGTTAATAATATTGAACTAAATTCAGAGTTTTTCTAGAGCAGGGGGATATCATTTGGCTCTGTGTCCCCACCCAAATCTCATGGTGAATTGTAACCATGCATCAACTGTGTTGGAGGAGGGGCTTGGTGGGAGATGATTGAATCACAGGGCTGGACTTCCCCTTGCTGTTCTCGTGATAGTGAGTGAGTTCTCACGAGATCTGGTTGTTCAAAAGTGTGTAGAACTTCTGCCTTCACTCTCTCTCTCCTGCTCCCTTGTGAAGATGTGCTTGCTTCCCCTTTGCCCTTCCTCCACGATTGTAAGTTTCCTGAGGCCTCCCCAGCCATGCATCCTATACAGCCTGTGGAACTGTGAGCAGATAAAACCTGTTTTTTTTGTAAATTACCTAGTCTCAGGTAGTTGTTTATAGCAATACAGGCGTTGGGGACCCCTTGCATTAGTCTGTTCTCACATTGTACTGGTCCATGGTGTGTTAGGAACCAGGTCATATACGGCAGGAACCTGAGCGGGAGGTGAGCTAACATTACCACCTGACCTCTACCTCCTGTCAGATCAGTGGCAGCATTAGAGTCTCACAGGGGTGTGAACCATTTTGTGAACTGTGCATGCGAGGGGTCTAGGTTGCATGCTCCTTATGAGAATCTAATGATAAGTGTAATGCACTTGAATAATCCTGAAACCATCTCCCCACCACCACTGCCCCTTGTCTGTGGAAAAATTGTCTTCCATGAAACCAGTCTCTGGTGCCAAAAAGGTTGGGGACCACTGTTCTAGGGAGTAGATTTTGGGAGCTCTTACCACACACACACAAAGGAAAACTGTGTGAGATGATGGCTATGTTGATTTGCTTGACTATAGCAGCCATTTCACTATGTATAGGTATATCAAAACATCATGTCATACACCTTAAATATATACTATAAAAAATTAAAAAGGTGCAAGATCTAAATATATACAACAAAAAATAAAGAAAAAAGGTGCAAGATCTACACTTTAAAAAACTGCAAGATTTTAATCAACACATATAAAAGAAGATGTGAATAACTAGAGTGACAACTTTGTCACTGATAGAAAGAATCAATATTGAAAAGATGTGGCTGGGTGTGATGGTTCATTCCTGTAATACGAGCACTTTGGGAGGCCCAGGTGGGCGGATCACTTGAGGTCAGGAATTTGAGACCAGCCTGGCCAACATGGTGAAACTGTGCCTCTACTAAAAAAAAAATAGTAATACAAAAATTATCGAGGCATGGTGTCAGGCGCCTGTAATCCCAGCTACCGAGGAGGCTGAGGCAGGAAAGCTGTTTGAACCCAGGAGGCAGAGGTTGCAGTAAGCCAAGATCACACCACTGCACTCCAGCCTGGATGACAGAGTGAGACTGTCTCAAAAAAAAAAAAAAAAAAAAGAAAGGAAAGAAAAGATGCTATTTCAGTCAAATATCTTTGCAATGAACAGGAAGCACTACCTTAAACATCAAGGGAGATTGATGGAAGGATTTTATAGAGCAGGAGTCTCAAACTTGCCCACATCCCAAGATTACCTGGGGCTGCCTGACAGCCACCCCTGGAGATTCTGACTTAATTGGTCAGGCTGTGGCCTAAGTATCAGGATTTCTACAGCTCCCTAAAGCCCCGTAGAACAATGTGCACTATGGTCAGGAATCTCACAGAGTCCAATAATCAGATTAGCTGGGTCCAGGGGTGGGGATAGGGGTCACAGAGGGTCATGTAAGAGAAACACTCTTCCAGGGACCAACCGTGTGGTCAGTGAGAAGGGTGCAGTTCTCAAACAAAAGGAAGTCATGGGCTGGGCACAAGTCCCCAAAGGTGCCCACCACTTTCCATCCCTTGGCTACCCAGTCCACACAAACACTCTTTTCCCTGTATGCACAAACTTGCCTTGGTTTAATTCAACCCAACCATCTCACACACACCTTCCAAGTTCTTAACTTTCCCCTTACCAGAGGCAACCAAAGTCATGTCCAGCTGTTCCATCCAGAGGTAATGAAATTGGGACCACTTTTCTCAGTGTCCACCATCTTTGGGGGTATCCACCCCTCCTCCAATTCTGTAACAATCCTAGCATCAATGATGACTCTTTTTTTTTTTTTTTTGAGATGGAATTTCACTCGTGTTGCCCAGGCTGGAGTGCAATGGCACAATCTCAGCTCACGGCAACCTCCACCTCCAGGATTTAAGTGATTCTCCTGCCTCAGCCTCCAGAGTAGCTGGGATTACAGGCATGCGCCACCACGCCTGGCTAATTTTGTATTTTTAGTAGAGACAAGGGTTTCTCCATGTTGATCAGGCTGGTCTCAAACTCTTGGCCTCAGGTGATCCACCTGCCTCAGCCTCCCAAAGTGCTGGGATTATAGGTGTGAGCCACTGTGCCCGGCCAATCGTGACTCTTAGTTGCAAACAATGGAAACCCGCTCTGACTGCTGCAAATAGGAAGAATTTATTGACATGATATTTGGTAGCTCATAAATTCATCAGGAATACTGCAGATTGAGCCTAGAAGCTGGGCTTACACAGGGACATCTGGAATACAGACAGGGCCATAAAGCCAGTCAGATGATGGCATGACCACCATACCACCATGCCACTGTCACTCCATGCTGGATGCCACAGGTCACTTTGCCATCAGTGCTGGTCCTGAAACCCACCTTCCCACTGCTGCTGCTACATCTGGTGACCAACAAAATGGTCTGGCTACCAGCCCAGTAAGGAGCCCTCATAAGATAAGTAAGCAACAAGGAGGAAAGGGCCCCAGGTCAGGGAGGGCTCCAGGTGGGGAAGCACAATGAACAATTGTTGTGAGAAATGGCTAATCACAAACAACCTGAGGGCACAATGACTTCAGTGAACACAATGACCTCTGTCTGCATGTAGCCCCCTCCAGCAGGACTCTACAAAACTTCCCTTCAGCCCCTGCCTCTTTGCAGACAGCCCCTTCTCTGCTGTACTGCCCGTTGCAACCTTGCAACGTATTTTCATATCTTCTCTCATAAATCTGCCTTTCTTTACTTACTACTGTCTTCATAAATTCCCTTACTGCCTGCGACATCAGTCCTAGCTGGTGGATACTTGCAACATTTTGGTGGCCAGTATGGGGACTCTCTCTTCTTGCAGGGAACCCTCTCCCCTCTCTCTATTTCTTTTATTTCCCAACTCAGGACCCTCAATGGAGTGTGTCTAAACACGGACACAACTGAAAGTCTGTAGCCAAGGCTGCACTCTGGTGAGACTGAAAGGTGTCCATGTGGAAGCCTCTGACCGCTGCTGCTTGATTGGATGAGAGTTCAGAGTTTACTTTCCTTTTCAGTCTCCCAGTGGACAAACTCTAGTGTCCCTCTGGCGATTGACTGCAACTGGCCAGGGCCACTCCCTGGTATGGCCTAAAGGCCAGCAGGTCAACAGATTTGACTGCCTTGTACAGAAGGAAGGAAGGGCCTCTCCTGTCCTTTCTGGTCAAAGGTCCCTGATCCCTCTGTGTGTTGCAATTGACACACGTTTTGTCCCCCTCTTTCTCTTTCTAAATTATTCCATGAAGACAGCCACACCTCTTGCTCTGGACGTCTCCAAATCAGGTGATCTCACGTGGCCTCAGAGTTTCCACATTCCTGCCCCCTCTCCTGGGCTGGCCCCAAGCTGAGTTCATCCTTTACCCTTTTTTCCTCATACCTGGGCTGAACACCCAGTGTGACAAGGCCCCAGAGCTGAGCACTGATGGCAAAGTGACCTGTGGCAAAGTGTCCTTTCTGATAGGTGGGACACCCCTTTAGAAGGTGTACCCAAGTCCCTCAGTGGGCATGAGTGGAACCCTCTTCCTCAGTGGTATACCCCAAAAGAAGGTGCAATTCATGTCCCAGCAGATGTGACTTGCTGGCAGCTCCTTTTCCAGCCCCACCATGGGACAAAACCCATCTATTCCTTCAGATTCACCTCTGGGTTGCATCCTAGAACACAGACAAATTTAACCCTCAGACTCTCAAAAAGAAACACCTAATTTTCTTGTGTAATACAGCATGGCCCCTATGCAGGAAATCCTCAAATTAGCCTCCTCAGTCTTTTATAACTGAGAGCATAATCTGGAGGACAGGGCTAAGGAGAAAGAAAAATGCAGGGACAAGAGGCAGGCTCAACTGTTGGCTGCTTTACAAGCCCCAACCCGGCTCCAGGTTGCCCCAAGGACACTCCTCCAGGTAACTGGCATCAGTGCAGAAGGCCAGGCCACTGGAAGGCAAACTGCCCCAATGGGACACATGGGAAAAAAACCCACATAGCTCGCCCCCTCTGCTACAAGCCTGGCCATTGGAAATGGGACTGCCCTGAGGGCCGAAGGGTCCCCAGGACAGAATCCCAACTATTGATGGCCTCAAGCTGATGGGGGCTCTCTGCCCCGGCTGGCTTCCAAATCAAACATCATCATCAACAAAATGAAGCCAAGGGAAACTCTGGAGGCGGCAAGTAAAATTATAAATTTCCCTTTTGCTTTCAAGAGCTGCTTATCATAAAGATGCCTCCTCTACCCCTTTCTGCAAATGTATACCTCTTAACATATACATGGTAAAAACCTGGAAAATTACTGTCTAGACTTAGGCTTTTAGATTGAGTCACTCTTGGAACTGCATACATCATTGAATGAAAAAGGTTAAGTTAAAAGAAGGATGCATAATAATAACATGGCTAGTCTTAGAAAATTCTCTTGAGCAGTTAAAATCTTTCGCAAGCTTGAAAATGCCCTAAAGTCCTTCTGGAAAAAACAACAGCCGTCACCTTGTGCTGGAGGTCAGTTGCTAAGGCTTTGCCCTTTTCACAGCGGTGGCCTGGAAATTCCTGGCTTTGGAAGTGAGTCCTTTGAGGTTTAATACTTGTGGTATTTTTGCCATTTATTGATTCTTTTCCCCCTCCATGGACAGCTTCTGTCTTGTCGTGGCCCAGAAAAATAGAAACTTTAATGCCTTTTAGGTCACATGGCTCTTATCTTTAAAAAATAAAGACAGTCTGGGCCGGCGCAGTGGCTCACACTTGTAATCCCAGCACTTTGGGAAGCTGAGGTGGGTGGATCACCTGAGGTCAACAGTTCGAGACCAGCCTGGCCAACATGGTGAAATCCTGTCTCTACTAAAAATTTAAAAATTAGCCGGGCACTGTGGTGGGCTCCTGTAGTCCCAGCTGCTCAGGAGGCTGAGGCAGGAGAATTGCTTGAACCCAGGAGGCGGAGGTTGCAGTGAGCTGAGATTGCGCCACTGCACTCCAACCTGAGCGACAGAGTGAGACTCCATCTCAAAATAAATAAATAGATAAATAAATAAATAAAGACAGTCTGAAGATTGTTGGTAAAGTAAAACAAAAATGTCTTCAAAGTTCACACATTTGAACTAAATTCAGCAGGTCAGGTACTGTTTGCCAGATACTTTAAGGCCATAAACTGCCTCTGCAACTTCTATTAATAATAATTGTTTGACTTGTCTGCTTATAGCCATTAGATTCTTTTTTTTTTTTTTTTGAGACAGAGTCTCGCTCTGTAGCCCAGGCTGGAGTGCAGTGGTGCGATCTCAGCTCACTGCAAGCTCTGCCTCCTGGGTTCATGCCATTCTCCTGCCTCAACCTCCCAAGTAGCTGGGACTACAGGCACCCGCCACCACGCCTGGCTAATTTTTTTGTATTTTTAGTAGATACAGGGTTTCACCGTGTTAGCCAGCATGGTCTCGACCTCCTGATGTCGTGATCTGCCTGTCTGGGCCTCCCAAAGTGCTGGGATTACAGGTGCAAGCCACCGCACCCAGCCGTTTACAGCCATTAGATTCTAGGTAAGGCCTGGAGAAATATGGAGTTAGTCTGGTTCCCTGGCTAGGCTGAGAAGAGTCAGATGTGATCTGCAGCTCCATCCTTGTCCTGAGCTGTGCAATCCTGACACGGTTAAAACTGCTTGCTCACCAAGTTTTTCACCAAAAATAAAAGTTGCTAAGAGTTAACATTGTAGCATGTGCTTGAGACTACTTGTATTAGTCTGTCCTCAAGCTGCTAATAAAGACATACCCAAGATTGGGTAATTTATAAAGGAAAGAGGTTTACTGGACTCACAGTTCCACATGGCTGGGGAGGCCGTGAAGGAGGAGCAAAGGTACATCTTACATGGCAGCAGGAAAGAGAGAAAGAGAGCCAAGCAAAAGCAGAAACCCCTTATTAAAACCATCAGATCTCGTGAGACTTATTCACTACCACAAGAACAGTATGGGGGAAACTGCTCCCATGATTCAATTATCTCCCACCGGGTCCCTCCCACAACACATGGGAATTATGGGAGCTACAATTCAAGATGAGATTTGGGTGGGGACACAGCCAAATGTATCACTACTGGAGGAAGAGTTTAGGTGCAAAGTATAGAAGGAAAGTTGAACGTGTTTTTGGCGGGAGGTTAGAAGAAGGCGTGGGAATACAGTTTTTATTAAAGCAGTGGTCCCCTCACCTTTTTGGCACCAGGAACTGGTTTTGTAGAAGACCATTTTTCCATAGACAGGGGGTTAGGGGAATGTTTGTGGGATGAAACTGTTCCACCACCGATTATCAGGCATTAGATTCCCATAAGGAGTGCACAACCTAGGTCCCCCACATGCACAGTTCAGGATAGGGCTCAGGCTCCTATGAGAATCTGCGGCTGCCGCTGATCTCACAAGAGGCAGAGCTCAGGCAGTAATGCTCACTTGTCCGCCACTCACCTCCTGCTGTGTTGCCCAGTTCCTAACAGGCCACGGACCAGTACTGGTCCTTGGCCTGGAGGTTGGGACCTGGTGTTAAAGGGAATGTAATCTTGTCTAGCTCAGAGGGTTTTAAGGATTGGCCTAACCTAAAAGAGTCATGAGACAAAACTGAAGGTTTAAGCAAGTTGAAAAGGGTTTGTAAAGGGCTAATCTTGTAAGAAGTTCTGTGCGTATAAGGAAGTTGGCTAAGATATAAAGAGATTATTTAGTTTTTCCATAGGTTGAACATTGAAATAAAAGCATACTGATGTAGAGCTGGAATCTGGGCCCACGTGTCTGAATAACAGTTTTCCTAGGAAATTGATCTCTTTAACAGAAAATTGTAAAGAGTTATAAGAGGTTTATGGAAATGTTACCTTATGGTCAAACTAATTAAGACTGTACAGATTTGTTGATAAGGTGCTATTAATAATTGGATTTAACATTAATAATATAGTAATGCAAAGGTGAAATCAGGTTTTCTCTTTTAAACAAGACTTTTATGTAAGATTAAAAAATAATGAAAGATTCTTGTTTACCTTTTAATAAACAACAAAAAAGGGAGGGGAGAGGAGACAGATTCAGCTGGCCTCATGCTGTCTTTATTGCATCCTGTTTGGAAAGTTGTGCATCCCCTCTATCAGCAAGTAAAGATTTTTGCATTTAAAAAATTTTGGAGTTATCATTTTCTTTAAAGAAATGACTTACAGTGATTCTCCAATACTCTCCTTTTCTGAGCAACTCTCCTCCAAATCCTGTTGGGTAATGGGAACAAATGGCATTCCCTGACTCCAAAAGAAAAAATTTATACATCTTTATATTATTTAAGGGACCAATGCCATTGTCCCACCAGTCCCTGGTAATATCTAAATACCTCACACCCCTTTGGGCCAAAAATATACTTTCCAAGATAGACGCCTACTTCATATTTACACAGCCTCTGAATTCATCTTTCCCTCTAATAGCCCTATTTCTCCCAAGAAAGCTACCTAAATCTTGAATGAATAACTTCAACCTAGATAGTCCTGCCCCAAGGGTTAAAAATAGCCCACATTTATTCAGAGAACCCCTAGGAAGAAATCTAACTGAGCAATCTCTTGAGGGGTGATAACATCTACAGTGTGTAGATAACTTCTTTAATCTGTTGCCCCTTCACACAGAAATCACACAGCAACATGCTGTACAAACCTTAATTTTATAATAAAAGGAAAATAATTTATGTCTAATTCAACGTTTATTTAAGGTTACATACAAAACAAGGTTAAGAGGAATAATTCAAAGTTTATTTAAAGGTTACATGCAAAACAAGGTAAAAGGAACCAGGAAATAAGAGAGACATAAAATGATCATAAAGGTAAGGAGATATTTTTGGTAAGGAAGGTTATAAAGAAAGAGATTTTATATGAGAAAAGATCTTGTATGGTAAACTCTTGTCCTAAAGGAAAATGACTGGTTGTTTAAGAAAGAGGGATGTTTAGGACAAGTCAGAAACTCTAGGCATGTGGTAGATGGTTTGTGTAAGTCATTAAAAGGTTCATAAAGGGGAATTTATGAAAGGAATTTTATACGGGATTAAGATGATTATAATTGAAAGGGAATTATTTAGGACGATCTTTCTAACAATGGTCCCCTATGTTAAAACAAGGTTTTCTTAAGGTATTAATCTGCTCTTAATAAAATTGCAAGAAGTTTTACTTTTAATGTTTCTTTTAAAAAACTTCTCAGAATCATATCTCAGAAATTCAATGTTTGCTGTGTGCCACTGCTTTCACCATTTTCTCTCCTGGAGAAGGCCTATGATAATAACTCTTTTCTTCAGTTTTTTGTTTGTTTGTTTGTTTGTTTTAAGAAGAGTCTCGCTCCATCACCCAGGGTGGAGTGCAGCAGTGCAATCTTGGCTCACGGCAACCTCTGCCTCCCAGGTTCAAACAATTCTTCTGCCTCAGCCTCCCGAGTAGCTGGGATTATAGGCATGCGCTGCCCGGCTTTTTTTTTTTTTTTTTTTTTGTATTTTTAGTGGAGATGGAGGTTTCATAATGTTGGCCAGGCTGCTCTCAAACTCCTGACCTCAGGTGATCCACCCGCCTTGGCCTCCCAAAGTGCTGGGATTACAGGTGTGAGCCACTGCATCCAGACATCTCTTTCCTTCAGTTTTTATCAGCTCCTGTAACTTTTTCCTCCAGTTCTGTTATGACCTAATGCTAAAATGTTTCAACTTGAAGGTCAAAAACCTAAGCACTGTTTTCCTCTAAAGTAACTTAATTCTGTACCCTTAACTTTTCTTAATATATCTGAATTCTCAATGTAAAAAAAAAACGTGAAAACTTCTCATGCTGCTCCTAAGAGTCATGTATTCCCCTCCTACATTCATAACCCTGAACACACTCTTCTTTTGTCTAATTAAATTCAAACACTTTTTCATTGAGCTTAACTTCCAGGTTATCTAAATGGGCTTCCAATGAGGAAAAACAGTCACACTGCAAAAGGGTTTTTTTCTTTGCCTTTTTGGCAACTGGCTTAAGAAACAAAATTTTATTGGCTGGGCATGGTGGCTCATGCCTGTAATCCCAGCACTTTGGGAAGCTGAGGCAGGCAGATCACTTGAGGCCAGGAGTTCAAGACCAGCCTGACCAACATGGCGAAACCCTATCTCTACTAAAAATACAAAAAGTAGCTGGGCATGGTGGCACATGCCTGGAATCCCAGCTACTTGGAAGGCTGAGGGATGAGAAATGCTTGAACCTGGGAGGCGAAGGTTGCAGTGAGTCAAGATCGTGCCATTGCACTCCAGCCTGGGCAATAGAAAAAGACTCTGTCTCAAAATATTACATGAATAAATAAATAAGACACAACATTTTATCTTCTAGAATTCAGCAGTTTCAACTTCAAATGATGCTGCAAACGGAATATTGGTCTCTCCCCAATGATGTCTGCTACCTTTATAAGTCTCCACTGAATTCAGCTAGACATCAGGGGTTTTTTTTGTTTTGCTTTGTTTTGTTTTGTTTTGTTTGAGATGGAATCTCGCTCTGTCACCCAGGCTGGAATGCAGTGGTGCCATCTCAGCTCACTGCAAACTCCGCCTCCTGGGTTCAAGCAATTCTCTGCCTCAGCCTCCCGAGTAACTGGGATTACAGGTGCCTGCCACCACACCTGGCCAATTTTTGTATGTTTAGTAGAGACAGGGTTTCACCATCTTGGCCAGGCTGGTCTTGAACTCCTGACCTTGTGATCCACCTGCCTTGGCCCCTCAAAGTGTTGGGATTACAGGTGTGAGCCACCTCACCCGGCCTGGACATCAGTTTGCTCCCCCTCTCTGAGTCCCTTCTTCCATCCAGCAAGATCCAATATCCTAGGTCCCGCAGTCTGGGACAAGGACACGTAGGGTCTCTTGACAGATAGATAATCCTAGGTAGGGGTAACCCTATGCCCCGGGGGTCAGCAGGAATCAGTTGAAAGATGAGACCTCTGCCACAATGCCAAAGATTTGTCATTGTTATTTTGTCAGAGGGGGCATGTGGAATCCCTATAAGATAAGTAAGCAACAAGGAGGAAGGGGCCCCAGGTGGGGAAGAACAATGAACAATTGTTCTGAGAGGTGGCTAATCACACAACCTGAGGGCACAACGACCTCATGGCACAATGACCTCTTCTGTAAGTAGCCGCCTCCAGCACAACCCTATGAAACTTCCCTCCAGCCCCTGCCTTTTTGCAGGCACCCCCTTCTCTGCTGCACTGCCCATTGCAATCTTTTAACATATTTCTTTTCTTTTTTTCTTTCTTTTTTTTTTTTAAGACGGAGTCTCGATCTTTCTCCAGGCTGGAGTGCAGTGATGCAATCTTGGCTAACTGCAACCCCCACGTCCCGGTTTCAAGTGATTCTCCTGCCTCAGCCTCCTGAGTAGCTGGGACTACAGGCACCCGCCACCACGCCCAGCTAATTTTTGTATTTTCAGTAGAGATGGGGTTTCACCACGTTGGCCAGGATGGTGTCAACCTCTTTATTTTGTGACCTGCCCACCTCGGCCTCCCAAAGTCCTGGGATTACAGGCATGAACCATCACACCCGGCCACGCAACGTATTTTCTATATCTTCTCTTATAAATCTGCTTTTCTTTATTTACAGCTGTCTTGATAAATTCATTTACCACCTGAGACACTGGGCCTAGCTAATTGCTACCCACGACACCCTGCTCCTTCCCACCACTGGCCCCCATGACAAAGCCCAGGGTGGCCACATTTGATGGCTTGGCCTCGGTCCTGGGCCAGCACCCCAGATTTAAGGGAAGCTGGTGGGGGAGAAGTGAGAGTTTTGTTCCTGTAGTGGAAAGAAAGCCGGGTCTCCTAATGGAGCTCTTAAGTGGGAATTCCTCAAACACAGGAAGAAAAAGAAAGACATCCTTTAGAATCCCACTTCACTGTTCTGCAACCTGGACCAACAGGAAATTTAAAGATCACCATTTCTAAGCAATAGTTATGGCTCATATGGAAGAAATGCAAATCTTCCCTGAAACAAACAAAAACTCGCACGAAACGACTGTCCCATTGCCACTGCTGCCCCCAGGCTATGGGGCAGTCTTTCCAGAACTCCTTTGGTGCGTGTTCTGTCGTTTTGTCAGAATGAGAGACAAACAAAATTGCATTTGCTTCAGCCACGTAATGGTTTTGTTTTGTTCTGTTTCTTCCACATGAGCACCCATGCTTTAATCTTTTGGACATTCACTTTTTCCAGCTCCACCAACTACCATTAGAGAGCCAGAACGGCACTCTCCCTGCCCCCGGTGTTAGGATCCTACCAGCTTTTTTGTTTCTGGACTTTTGTTCCTGTGGCATAGGAACTTCAGTCTTCAAAGCAGAGTAGAAGTATGGAACTCAGGAACTATGGGGTTGATTTATTTATTTTTCTTCCAGTAGAGAGTTTATTTGGGTTCCGTTCGAGGACTACAACATGGGAGTATAGATTCAAGTTGCCCTGGATATAAGCTCCCGGGAACTATGTTTTAACATAAAGATAAATGACGTTCATTTTGTTTGAACTGGTGTCCCAGGATAGTGGAGGTTCTGGAACGTCCTGGAATGTTGTGTTCTCCCGCTCCTTCCTTCCCTGGTTCACACCTATTTACAATGTCCCAGATCAGGCTGGGTGAGGTGGTTCACGCCTGTGATCCCAGCACTTTGGGAGGCCGAGGCGAGCGGATCACCTGAGGTTCCAGCCTGGCCAACATGGTGAAACACCGACTCTACTAAAAATACAAAAATGAGCTGGTCGTGGTAGCACATGCCTGAGGCAGAAGAATCACTTGAACCTGGGAGGCAGAGGTTGCAGTGAGCCAAGATTGCACCACTGCACTCCAGCCTAGGTGACAGAGCAAGACTCCATCTCAAATAAACAAACAAACAAAAAACAAAAGAAAAGAGCTATCATGTCCCAGATCATAGACACATAATTCCTCTCCCTCAAGTCTCCAGCTGTACTAGTTTGCTCGGGCTGCCATAATGAAGGACCACAGACTGGATGATTAAACAACAGAAATGTATTGTAGAGGCCAGAAGTCCAAAATCAATGGGTCGGCAGGGTTGGTTTCTCCTGAGGCCTCTCTCCTTAGTTTGCAGAGGGCTGTCTGTCTTCTCCCTGGTTATCACATGGTCTACTCTGGGTGTGTGTGTGTCTGTGTCCCAACCCCCTCTTCTTATAATCCTCTTCCTATTGGATTAGGGAGGGCCCACTCATATGACCTCTGCAGAGACCCTACCTCCAAATACAGGCACATTCTGAAGGACTAGGGTTAGGATTTTAACAGACGAATTTGCGGGGGACACAGTTCAGCTCCTAACACTAAGCAATCATTTGGCAGTGTGCTGTGTGGGCGCGGTGTGGTGGTGAGAAATGGCTCGGGTCCCAGGCATGCCTGGGTTGCATCCTGGCCCTGCCATGGGTCCTCATGAAGCTGACTGGTTCCTTTATGATCCTGCCTCCCTTGTTGTGAGACAGGAGAGCATGTGTCTCTCACGGCTGACTGTGTAAGTAAAATGAGACCAAAGGCCTGGCACATGCTGGGGCGAACGACACATGGAAATTAACATCCTTAGATAAAAGTGCAAGACGGGCCTCCAGCAGGGAGCTGGGAGGGCAGCTGGCTTCTGCCAAATTTCTTTTTTTTGTTTTGTTTTTTTTTTGAGATGCAGTCTCACTCTGTCATCCAGGCTGGAGTGCAATGATGCAATCTCGGCTCACTGCAACCTCCGCCTCTCCAGTTCAAGTGATTCTCTTGCCTCAGCCTCCCGAGTAGCTGGGAATACAGGCACGCGCCAACACGCCAAACCAATTTTTTGTATTTTTAATAGAGACAGGGTTTCACTATGTTGGTCAGGCTGGTCTCAAACCCCTGACCTCGTGTTCTGCCTGCTTTGGCCTCCCAAAGTGGTGTGAGTCACGGTGCCTGGACTAAATTCTTAACCCTCTTTGAGGTGTTTGGTATAGGACCACTCCCTACTGTCCACCCTTCCTGTGGCGGCCCCACCCATCTTTCAGCCCCTCCTCTGATCACCCCTATCCCCAACCTCTGCTGAGCTACACCCACTATTTGAACCCAACATCCTTCCTCTAGACCTGTACACAGCCTGCTCCCTTATCTGGGATGTTTGTCACCCTCCCCGAGGCCACTTCTCCTGGTCCTGAACCTCTTTAACTCCTACTCATCCTATAGACTGTGAAAGTGCCAGTGTTGGGTCACCTCCTCCAAAAAGCCTTTTTTTTTTTTTTTTTTTTGAGACAGAACCTCACTCTGTTGCCCAAGCTGGAGTGCAGTGGCACGATCTCGGCTCACTGCAACCTCTGCCTCTCGGGTTCAAGTGATCCTCCCACCTCAGCCTCCTGAGTAGCTAGGATTACAGGCGTGCGCCACCATGCTCAGCTAATATTTTTGTATTTTTAATAGACACGGGGTTTCACCATGTTGTCCAGGCTGGTGTCAAACTCCTGACCTCAAGTGATCCACCCACCTCAGCCTCCCAAAGTCCTGGGATTACAGGTGTGAGCCACCGTGCCCGGCCAGGAAGCCTTCTTTGACCACTTCCTTGGTGCTTCCTCAGCCTCCAGGGATTCCCCCATCACCGCCTGGCCTGAGGACATGGACATGGGGTTGTCACTGCAGGAGGAGTCCCATGAAGACAGTAGACCGCATTCTGGAATGCCTTTGTATTAGTCCATTTTCATACCACGATAAAGACATACCCAAGACTGTAATTTATAAAGGAAAGAGGTTTAATTGACTCACAGTTCTGCCTGTCTGGGGAGGCCTCAGGAAACTTACAACCATGGTGGAAGGCAAGAGAGAAGACAGGCACCTTCTTCACAAGGCTGCAGGAAGGAGAAGTGCCAAGTGAAGCGGGAAGAGCCCCTCCCTTATAAAATCATCAGATCTTGCCGGGTGCGGTGGCTCATGCCTGTAATCCCAGCACTTTGGGAGGCAGAGGCAGGTGGATCACTTGAGGTCAAGAGTTCGAGACCAGCCTGGCCAACATGGTGAAACCTTGTCTCTACTAAAAATACAAAAATTAGCTGGGTGTGGTGGCTCGCTCCTGTAATTCCAGCTACTTGGGAGGCTGAGGCATGAGAATTGCTTGAACCCGGGAGGCAGAGGCTGTAGTGAGCTGAGATGCACTCCACTGCACTCCAGCCTGGGCGACAGAGCAACACTCCATCTCAAAAAAAATAAAATAAGTAAAAATAAAAATAAAAAATAAAACAAAATGAAATAATCAGATCTTATGAGAACTCACTATCACGAGAACAGCAGCAGGGATCCACTCCCATGATTCAATTGCCTCCACCTGGTCTCTTCGTAAATCCCTGTGGGTCACAATTCAAGATGAGGTTTGTGTGGGGACACAAATCCTGACCATATAAGCCTTGAATTGGGTGTTGTGCTGTGTGGGAGGCATCTACTAGAGGCTTGGCAGAGCCCGTGGTTCTCCAAATTTTATGTGTGTGGAATAACTTGAAATCTCTAACTTGTTGGCAGCCCACTTAAAAGCATGGAGCTCTTGTTGCATTTATTGCTCATCAAGCCATTGCCCCGGGACCTTCCCAGTGAGGAAAAAAGCCCCTAGTGGAGGAGGGACTCAGAAATGGACCCAGGAGTGACTGGGCGTGGTGGCTCATGCCAGTATTCCCAGCACTTTGGGAGGCCGAGGCAGGCGAATTACCTGAGGTTGGGAGTTCGAGACCAGCCTGACCAACATGGTGAAACCTGTCTCTACTACAAAAACACAAAATTATCCGGGCATAGTGGCGCATGCCTATAATCCCAGCTACTCGGGAGGCTGAGGCAGGAGAAGCACTTGAACCCGGAAGGCGGAGGTTGCGGTGAGGCGAGATCGCGCCTTTGCACTCCAGCCTGGGTGACAAAAGTGAAACTCTGTCTCAAAAAAAAAAAAAAGAAAAGAAATGGACCCAGGAGTGGAGGTGTGGAGGTGGGTGGACCACAGCTCCCATGCTGGCAGAGGGCAGTATCTGGAAAGCCACACCGGGTACAGGGACTCTGCCACCTCTCTAAGCCAGTCTCCTCTGCTGTAATATGGAGAGAATGGCTATCTCAGCAGTGGCTGTCATGTTACACGTGGCTCTGTCTCAAAACGCACGGCATCGCCAGCTGCTAGGCATTGCCCTCTCCATTCATGCACCAACAAAAATGTACTGAGCATCAGAGATGTGCTCAATAACCCAGGGCATAGCAGCAAACGGGGCTGACACTGTCCCTGCCTTCAGGGAGCCCATAGACTAGTGGGCAGAAGAAAAAAAATCAATACATTAACAAAGAAATAAAGGAATATGAAGGGGGATATGTGTCATAAAGAGGGGGGTGGGTGTAGGGTACCAAGGTGCAGGGACTTGGTCAGGATGATGGGCAGGAAAGGCTCTCTGCAGAGGTGGCATCTTGGCTGAGACTTGAAGGACAGGAAGGAGCCTGGTTGAGCAAAGATGCAAGGAAGGTGAGGCTGAGGTGCACCTGGAGGGGTGGGCAGAGACCAGGGCAGCTGCTACTCTCAAAAAGCTAAGAGAGGGAGCGGACGGGGCGTAGCAGCAGCAACACCACGTGCAAAGACCGATGCAGACTTGTGTTCCAGAGGTTGGGCAGCGTCAAAGCTGTCTGTGTCCTAATTCAGGGAAAAACAGTCCACACATGCCAATAATGATCTTTCAAACATTTGGAGGGCTGTTTGTTATCAGGGGAGAGTGACCTGTTGTTCCGCTCCTCTGGGATGGAAAAAAGCTGGACTGTCACAGCAGGACATAATGAATGACTTCCTGCTTGGAGTAGATTCTTTGGGGTGTGTGTCATCTTGCCCAGGACCCAGGGATCAAAGGGTGGGGGGCCTCCCTGGCCCCTACATCCCCTAATGGAACTTTTCCAAAGACAAGTTTCATTTTTTGCAAACTACAAGCAAATTTGCTGCTCATCAAGTCTCTTGACTCTTACATAAAGACTGAGGGGAGCTGGGCGAGGTGGCTCACGCCTGTAATTCCAGCACTTTAGGAGGCCGAAGCAGGTGGATCGCCTGAGATCAGGAGTTCAAGACCAGCCTGGCCAACATGGTGAAACCCCCTTTCTACTAAAAATACAAAAATTTGCCGGGCGTGGTGGCGCACACCTGTAATCCCAGCTACTCAGGAGGCTGAGGCAGGAGAATCGCTTGAACCTAGGAGGTGGAGGTTGCGGTGAGCTGAGATTGCACCGTTGCACTCCAGCCTGGTAGGCAAGAGCGAAACTCCATCTCAAAAAAAAAAAAAAGACTCAGGAGAAAAATGATGATAATTTAATGCCAGAAACAACCATGTCTCTCCTAATGGTGGACTGTCTTTGGTCAGGAAACAAGAACAGTATAATCATAATTTGATCATAATTTGAATTTTGCTTTGGTTGCCAAGAAACTCGGGGTCAGGTTGAAGTGCAGTGACTATATACGTCTCTAGGTTTTTGGCACAAATATTCCTCCCTGACTCAACTGTTTCCTGAAACAAAAAACAACAACAAAAATTTTTCACTCGTCAAACACACCATCCACTTTCTTTCAGTTTCCTTTTAGTCTTTAGCCACATGAATACAGCTTTTACGTGGTCCTCGCTCCACACTCACACTCAATTTGGTTTTCTATTTTTTCACAGAATATTAGTTCACAAATACCATATTTCTATTTATGTATCCTATTCTGTCTTCTCAACAATGGCACAGATATTCCACTGAATCATGAAATATTGATAGGGTTGAATCCAACTGTACATACCATAAATGGGCTATTGTTGAACTCTGTATTTTTCCCTAGATTTTCACTGTTTTAAATAATTCTATTACAAAAATAAACACTTAAAGGTTATGAAGGGAGCCATCCAAAGAGAAATAGAACCAGCTAATAAGCATATGAGAAGGGTTCAACCTCTCTGATGATTAAAAACATACTTTGAAAGAAGATAAGAGTTTCTTTTCCCTGTGGAAATAGCTCAGATTAAACAACGAGGTGACACAATGCTGGCTGGAAGTGGAGAGACTCACAGCTGCTGTGTCTCTCTCTGGATTGTGAATTTGTCAGTTTCTTGGTGCAGCACTTACTCTTCTAGGCCATTCCTGCTGGGAGCCGCAGAGGTACAGCTGAACCTGGAGCGCACAGGTTTCACGGCAGCATCATTTCTAACGCTGCAAAGTTTAAATGACGAAAATGTCCCCTAATAAGAGAGTGAGTGGTTAAGTAAATGTGTATGCGACTTCTAAACATATCCACTCACTGGATATGTAATGGAGATTTCTAATAAGACAGGGAAATGTTACAATGCTATAATTTTTATTGAAAAACAGAACCCAAGATACAAAGGGAGTCAGATGACCTCCATTCAAATAGAGGCACTGCCAATCTCCAGTTCTGAGACTCCTGGGTCAGAGACAGGGACTTTATTAGTTGCAGTAAAATAATAGCTGCAGTTTAAGCATGGTGTTCACATGAGTTCCTTGTGTCTTCCAAGTCCTAGGGTCGGTGTGGAGTGGGCGAGGTCAAGGGCCCATCATGGATGGTGGATGCCTGCACACACAATGGGCTGCATTACACAGGAGAACACTGAGTTTGGGGAATTTACCGATTTTCCGGTAAACTTGTCCAGAGGGAGATGGTACCTCCTCCTTTGAGGTTGCTTTTTGCAAACACGACCCTGAGACACGGGTACAGAGTGACCAGGGCTTTGCATTTGTGGCATACTCAGCAAGAATGTGCAGGAATGCCCGTGCCCATGATGGGTTCTTCTCCCAGCACCTGGGTGTGGCTCACCTGGACTGCAAGAATCTCAGGCCTATGATCTTCCAGTGGGCCTCTGGAAGCTGGATGTGCTGAGAACTAGAGAAGGGGGCCGAGAGTCAGCCTGGGTTTTGGGGTCTGAAGCATGCTTAGAAGCATCCTGGTCCATCTCCTGCATTTTGCAGATAGGGAAACTGAGGCCCAGAAAGGGACTTGCCCAGAGCCAGACAGTGAATGAGGAGGGGGTCAGGACTGGTGCTCCCCTGTGTGGTCCTGAAGGCACATCACTGTCACCACCAGCACAGCAGCTGACAGTGATTACATTACAGAGTTTTCTCTGTGGGGCTTATGTGATGAGAGTCAGCATCTCCTTCAATTCTCACGACCGTGCAAAGTGCAAAGTCCTAATCCTTGCCCCACGTGACAGATGAGGAAACAAGGTACCAAGAAGTCAAATGCTCAATGCCACAGAGCCAGAGAGTAGCGAGCTTGGATTGGAACCCAGGTGGTCTGGCCTCAGACCCTGTCCCAGGCTGTCAGGACCTCTAGCTTGTCCTGGGGGATAGGGGTCCATGGTGGTGCCTACTTCCCTGACACCCAGTGCCTGGCTTTCCAAGTCACCAGCCACAGGGACAAGAGGATGTGGAGAGGCCATGGAGGACAGGCCTGGGATGAGGACTAGAGTGAGTGCCTAAAAAGGGGGCGCCTTGGCTGGGCGCCACGGCTCACGCCTGTAATCCTAGCACTTTGGGAGGCTGAGGCAGGCGGATCACAAGGTCAGGAGTTCGAGACCAGTTTGACCAACACAGTGAAACCCCGTCTCTACTAAAAATACAAAAAATTAGCTGGGTTTGATGGTGTGTGCCTGTAATCCCAGCTACCCCCGAGCCTGAGGCAGGACAATTGCGTGAACCCGGCAGACAGAGGTTGCAGTGAGCCAAGATCGTGGCATTGCACTCCAGCCTGGGTGACAGTGTGAGACTTGCCTCAAAAAAAAAAAAAAAAAAAAAAAATGGTGGGGGCTGTGCCTCAGAACAGGAGTAAGCTCTTGAAGCTTCAGGAAAGGCTGGGAGAGGCCAGGTTTCCATGTCCTCTCTCCTGGCTCTGGCCTCCCTCCCCAGCTGTTGCAGGCTTGGCTCAGCCCTCCTCCTCCCAGCAGTCCCTCTGCCTGCCTAGGGCAGTGTCAGTGCCTAGCTGAATGTAGGAGTCACCTCCTCCTACTGTCCCTGTTTCCTCATCCCCACCCCCTTCTCAGCCACCCACAACACAGCCACTCCCTCCCCATCCCCAGAAAGGGCCCCGGTCACATCGCCAGCGGCCACCTGCTCCATCCCCATTGGGACTTCTCAGTCCTGGCTTCACTGAGCACTGGGCCACACTGGGCAGTCCCAGCCAGAATCACTTTTTTTTTGCTATCACCCAGGCTGGAGTGCAGTGGTACAATCTTGGCTCACTGCAACCTCCGCCTTCAGGGTTCAAGCAACTCTCCTGCCTCAGTCTCCCAAGTAGCTGGGACTACAGGCATGCACCACGATGCCCAGCTAATTTTTGTATTTTTAGTGGAGATGGGGTTTCATCATATTGGCCAGGTTGGTCTCGAACCCCTGACCTCAAGTGATCCACCCACCTCGGCCTCCCATAGTGTTGGGATTACAGGCATGAGCCACCACGCCCTGCCCAGAATCACTTTTTGATTCCTTCTTGGATATTGCCTTCTCCTGGTTTCCTTCTACCCCTCTGCCTGTTTCTACGTCTTCTTTCTGAATCCCCCAGGTCCCCTGGTTCCCCCTTCGCCCTCCACCACCTTCCCTTAGTCATCTAGACTCCTTCCAGGGCACCCCATTCTCCGATGGCTTAAACGAATTAAGTTAATACCAAAGTAGTAATGAGTTCCCAACCTGTTCCAACTCAGAAATGCCTCCCTCGGGCCATCTGCTGATGTGCTGTTTCCGCACCCCACCCCATCCAAAGTCAAAACGGACCAGGATCTCTGGTGCCTCCAAACTTTTGCAGAGACATCAGGAAAGCTGGCACCACCAAGGAAACCCTTCCCACCTCTGCTCACCTTTCACTGGCCAGTCGCATGTCACCTCTTCCTGAGGGGCCTCCTTAACCTCAGAGGCGTGAGCATGCTGGTCCCCTTGGTAAGCTTTCCTGGGCTCTCTGCAAACTTCAAACTTATAAGACACCCTGTGGGGAGATGAGTTCTTGTCCTTTTGTTTTTCATTTTAAAATTTAACATGTGACCGGGCACGGTGACTCACGCCTGTAATCTCAGCACTTTGGGAGGACAAGGCGGGTGGATCACCTGATGTCGGGAGTTCAAGACCAGCCTGACCAACACGGAGAAACCCCGTCTCTACTAAAAATACAAAATTTGCCAGGCGTGGTGGTGCATGCCTGTAGTCCCAGCTACTCAGGAGGCTGAGGCAGGAGAATCGCTTGAACCCGGGAGGTGGAGGTTGCAGTGGGCTGAGATTGCGCCACTGCACTCCAGCCTGGGCAACAAAAGCAAAACACCATCTCAAAAAAACAGAAAGAAACAACATGTATTCAGAAAAGGGCACGTACCATAAATGAACAGCTCAATAAATTCTCACAAACTGAGCCCAACCTTGTAACCAATACCCAGAGTAAGAAAGCTGAACCTAACCAGCCCCCGAAAGCCCAGCACGCTCCCACTCCAGGATCACCACTCTCCTGACCTCTGAACTGTTCTTGCCTTTTTTTTTTTTTTTTTTTTTTTTTGAGACGGAGTCTCACTCCGCCGCCCAGGCTGGAGTGCAGTGGTGAGATCTCGGCTCACTGCAACCTCCGTCTCCCGGGTTCAGGCGATTCTCCTGCCTCAGCCTCCCGAGTAGCTGGGACTACAGGTGTGCACCACCATGCCTGGCTAATTTATTTTTATTTTTATTTTTAGTAGAGACAGGGTTTCACCATGTTGGCCAGGCTGGTTTCGAACTCCTGACCTCAGGCAATCCGCCCACTTCATCCTCCCAAAGTGCTGGGATTACAGGTGTGAGCCACCGCCACCGGCCTGTTCTTGCCTTTTATGTAAATGGAATCATGCAGCGAGTGTTCCTTTGTGGCTGACTCTATTACTCTGACTTACGTCTGTGAGATTTACCCGTTATGTGAGTTGCGGATCATTCACTCCTGTTCCGTTTGTCGTGCTCCTAAGCCCGAATACTCCACGATATTCATCTGCCTTGATGACGCTAGGCTTCCCAATTGGAGGAATTATGAATGTGCGGCTACATGTCTTTCTGTCTTTTGGAGCACATGTTGTATGCGTTTCTGCTGAGTGTAAGGCTGGGCGGGGCGTCGGTGGCTCAAGGGGTCCATGGTGAACTCACAGGAACACCGCTTTGAGCTGCCCAGTGGCGTTCCTATGCGTCTCATCCAGTTCCTCCGCATCTTCACCTGCACCATTTTATTCTTCTTCTTTGGAAAATAAATCTACTTGTGGTTCCAAAGCCTAACTCATCCTCAGTAACCCCGGTAGCTATGAATTCCTATACAAGAGGCTCCCGCAGGCCCAGCGCCAAAGCTGCCTCCCCTGCAGCCTCGGTGACTTCCCGGGTCTCTCCCTCCGGCCCTGGTGTCCCGGGTGAGCCCAGCACACGTTGGGATTTTGGTTGTTTGTTGGCCTGGCCCGACTGTCCCTGTCTCTGAGGGCAGAGTCGGGTCCCATCCCGGGACACGCCTGGGGTTAGCCACCGACCTGCAGCCTCCCGGCCGAGGGTGCGGGGTTGGCGGTAAGGCCTGCCCCAGTGCCCCCCAGCAGCCGGGCCTCCGACTGCAGGCCCGGGTCCCCGCTCCTCCGCGCGGAGTCGGGCGGGGATAACCTTTGATCCCGAGCCCTCCCCTCGAGAGGGGGTGGGGGGAGGAGGGGATCGGGTTTCACGGAGTGTTGGGGGATAGGACTGGGGGCATCCGGCCCGAAGGCGCCCCCTCTGTGCCCCCTCCGGGGAAGTCTGGGATCCAGGCCCTCGCCCCCAGCCGTGGGCGCGCGCCCCTCGCAGCCGGGGTCCGGGGAGGGAGGGTCCCGGCAGGGGGCGCCGGGGAGGGAGGACCAGGAGACCCGCGGCCCCGCCTCCGCCGCGCCCTCCTCCCGGGCGGGATAATTGAACGGCGCGGCCCTGGCCCAGCGTTGGCTGCCGAGGCTCGGCCGGAGCGTGGAGCCCGCGCCGCTGCCCCAGGACCGCGCCCGCGCCTTTGTCCGCCGCCGCCCACCGCCCGTCGCCCGCCGCCCATGGAGCGCGCCGCGCCGTCGCGCCGGGTCCCGCTTCCGCTGCTGCTGCTCGGCGGCCTTGCGCTGCTGGCGGCCGGAGGTAGGGGCGTCCCGGGTCCGCCGCCCCAGCTTAGGGTCCCGACCCCCTCGGCCTCGCGCTCCCTGCGAGTTTCGGAACCACGGGGACTCGGAGTCCGTGCGTTGCCCTGCGCGGCGCCCCCGGACTGTCAGCGCCGAGGCCTCGGCGACGCCCCCCTCCCCCACGGCCAGCTCCGGTCCTCATCTCCTCCCCGGCCTGGGGACTTGTTTCAAAACCGGATTCCCCCACCCCTCAAACACACCGTCCTACCCCAGTCCTAGCAAATCCAGCCGGCTCCGGGGGCCGCATCCCGGGCCCTGGGGGTTCAGGGGCGCTAGCTGGGCTGGGGGACGCTGGCTGGGGGTTACCGAGCCCAGGGCGCCTTGCACTTGACGCTGGAAGCGCCCTCGGCTATCTTTCCTCACCGCTTCCCGCCTCCACCCCCAGGTAGGAGCTGTTGTACCCAGCTTGCGGATGTGAAACTTGAGCCTGGAGGGTGGGAAGCAGTCTTTTCCCCAGGAGACACTAGCGGTCCTGGGATAGGGGCTGGAGAGGAAGAAATGAGAAAGCCAGGGAGCAGCCTGGAGGTTTTTGGGGCGTAGCTGGGAGGATGGAGGGGATGCGGACCTGGCCACCTCCTCCCTGCCTCCCTCCCGGGACAGAGGGCCCAAGGCAGTGGTTCTGCCGGGCTCGGTGCTCAGCGGGGACTGGGGACTGGTCACTTCCACCAACGGCAAGGGGGATGGAGTTTTCCAAGAGCAGATCTGATCGATGGCCCAGACCTTAGGCCCCAACTCTGGGACTGACAGCTCCGGGACAGTGCCCACCCAGCCCGCGCTTTTCTCCCCTCTAACCCTCAAGGCCTGGTCCCTGGGGGGACTGCCACGAGGTCCTCTGATCAGAGCAGCTGCTGGGCGGCAGAGCTATGACCTGTGACCTCTCTGCTGACCCGTGGCTTCTCAGAGCCACTAGCCAGGCCCGGCACTCCTGGCGTCTTTGTTTCTCCAGTGGCCCAGGTCCAGGGGAGTGCCCTAGACCACCCTCAGAATCCGAGTCTTAATCCCTGGTTTAGTTGAGTTCCTTTTAACCTCTGGTGACCGCCTTTGTTAGTCAAAAGGTCGCTTGTCCCAACTAATGCTCACTGGGGGATTCCAGGAAGGGGGCTGAAGGGGGCTGGAGGGGGAGGGGAGGCTGGGAGCTGAGCTCTACAGAGCTTTCTTGACTGGCTGGCTGCAGCAGAGCCCTGTGGAGCTCTGATTGTTCAGGCGGTGCTGGGCACGGCCTGGGCACCTCGTGGGGTTGGAGATGGTGTGGGGAGGCGCAGAGCTCAGTGTTGGCACCAGGAGCCTTCGCAGCCCCTGGGGGCTCCCTGGAGGCTCTTTAGAAGAGATGGAGCTTGATGTAAGGGGAGCGCGGGAAGAGGGCATTCCAGCAAGCAGCAGGCCGGGTGGCTGCCAGCTGGAGGGAAAACCCCGAGGGGCCCTGGGTGATGGGTGGGTGGGACATCCGAGACTCCTGTTAGAAAAGGAAGGAGCCTCAGAGGCCCCGATTGTGTCGATGAGGAAGCTGAGGGCCTGAGAGAAGGCGTGGTAAAACTCTCCCTGGCCCCGGAGTCTCTGCGTTCCCTCTCACTGTTCTTTTCTGTCTGCGGTTTGCGAACAATTTCTCCCTATGTGTGTGTGACTGAATGAACACCCCAGGACTTGCGGGCCCAGTGTGGCTCACTGCTGAGCCACAGAGAAGTTTGTAATTGGAAGGGTTTAAAAAAGCCTCCTAATTGCACACTTCGATAAAAGCAGCTGGATGTCCTGTGGGCCTTTTGTTTCTTTTGGGGAGAAGTCTCTTTGAGTTTCAACAGGTTTAATTTGGTACAGTTTGGGAAGGGGCTTTTGAAGACTGCCTGGCCCCTATCTGCAGCTGTGAGGCCCCCGAAGCCCTGTATGTAAGGCCACAAGTGGCACCGCCCCTGCTCTCAGAGAGCTGTGGGGCCGCAGATGGTGAGCCTGTTAGCTGATCTGCAGAAACTCCTTTGGCGACGGCCGCTTAAATGGAGAAGGGCGCTGATCTTTCTTGCCAAACGGCCGAGAGGAGCCGCCTGTCTGTCCTGTGTCTGTCCGTCCCGTTGGGCTTTACTGAGAGCTGGGTGGGAGGGAGTGGAGAGGAGGAGGTGTTAGGAAAAGACGATTGTGTTTTCTCCAAGGCTTTCTTGGCCTCTGGCTGCAGCCGGGCAGCGTTTCCGACTGATTAAAAGAAAGTTGGGAGGGAGAACAAAGGCCAGGGAGGACTTGGCTTGAAAACGTGTGGTCTGTGCCGCCACTCCTGGAAGTTTCCCAGTCAGGAGGTGGGGGCCAGGGCACTGAATGCATGAAGATGAGACTCTGTGCCATGGGGGTCAGGGCTGGGGCCTCTCCTGCAGCACCCACAGCTCTGGCTCACGCCCCGCTCCTGGCCCTGCTGAGTGCCCCCCAACTCAGGGCTGCATTTGCCACCCCTGTTAGGTGTGTAGGGCAGGAGTAGGGGCACGCGGCTGACTCATCTTCAGGTCCTGGAGGGCTCCACGGGCCTTGTGAGACTAGAAATCAGTTTGCATCAGAAAAAGCCATGAGATGGTTTGGTGGTTTTCTCATTTATAAAATGAAGGGAACAAAAACCTACTTAGGTTGTCTTGAGGATTAAGAGAGAGAACATAGGATAGTGTCTACCATGGCAGCTATATTATTATTATTATTATTTTATTTTATTTTTGAGACGGAGTTTCGCTCTTGTCGCCCAGGCTGGAGTGCAATGGCATGATCTCGACTCACTGCAACCTCCGCCTCCCGAGTTGAAGCGATTCTCCTGCTTCAGCCTCCCCAGCAGCTGGGATTGCAGGCGCCCATCACGCCCAGCTAATTTTTGTACTTTTAGTAGAGATGGGGTTTCACCATCTTGGCCAGGCTAGTCTCGAACTCCTGACCTCAGGTGATCCACCTACCTCGGCCTCCCAAAGTGCTGGAATTACAGGTGTGAGCCACCGTGCCGGCTGGCAGCCCTGTTATTAATGTTAGCTATTATTCCTGTTGTCCCCTTCTCTAGGAAGTGTTGGCACCAGGAGCCTTCGCAGCCCTTGGGGGCTCCCTGGCGGCTCCTTGGAGGAGATGAGGCTTGATGTGAGGGGAGCGCGGGAAGAGCGCAATTCTGCCAATACCCCAGAATTGTTTTCCCCAAGATGCCTCTGCACATTCTACTACTACTGAATTTCCCAGCCAGGCGCTGAGCAGAAGGCCCCATGGGGCTATAGGACTGGTAGTCGTCAGTGCCAAACCCGTGTCAGGAAAGGTGGTGTTCTTAGCCATTCAGTCATTCATTCACTAAGGGACAGCTCAGTGCCAGACACTGCTCTATAACTTGTGGATGTGGCAGGAAAGGAGAGAGACCCAGTTTTTCCCCCTCATGCAACTAGGAGATCCAGAAAAATGAACTGAGCCCTACTGGCAGAGTCAGGGAAGACTTCCCGGAGGAAGCGGCATGCAAACTGGGAACCTAAGGAGGAAAAGGCAGTGGCTAAGTCTGTGGGTAGGGCTGGGAGGATGGGGGAAAGGGTGTTCCTGGCAGGGGAAATGGCAGGGCCAAATACCTGGAAGGAAGAGAAAACACGAGACTTCCAGGGAAACCCCCTCCTTCTACCCACTTCCAGTTCCTTCCAGTTCCACCCCCTCCTCACCACTGGGGGAGACTGTGCTGTCTAGAGACTTCTCCAGCAGCTTCCCTGACCTGGTGAGACTTTAAGCCCGGGCTCTGAGCACTGGGCACCTGGTCAGGGCCGCCTTCCAGGTGAAGTTTATTAGAACAGTTCTAAGAGGGCATGTAGTTATTTTGCCAGCATATTTTATACAACAAGATTTTCCTTTTGCAGAATAGCAAATCATAACAATTTGATGAATGAATCCTTTCGTAGGCCCCATATGGTTCCAGTTTCCTTGTGATGATCTCACATGTGGCCCTATAAGTAAACAGGGTGGGAGGGGGGAACCACTGTGTCAACTTCCCTGGGATAGGAGACCCCCTCAGGCTGGAGGGGAGCTCAGGACTGGCTAAGTCATCTGCCACAAGTCACCCAGCGAGGAGCGGGGCTGGGGCTGGGCCTAGAGCTGGGCTGGGCCCCACCTCCTTTAACCCCACAGTGGTCCTAACTAGAGGCTGGGGTGGGAGGGAGCGAGGCACCAGTCGCCATAGCTTCCTACAGGTTATTTGCGGGTTACTACACTGTGCGGAGCCAACATGAGAAGGGGGTTAGGAAGCTGTGTGTTGGTCCCAATTCTGAAAGTGTCTGGAGAGATCTTGATGACACCCACAAACTCTCTGCCTCTGTTTCCTTCACTATAAGATGTGAGTGTCCTCTGGGTAATTATTATAGGTGAAATGCTTTACATTTAGTAACCAATGTCGTCATCTCAGCAGCCCTACGAAATAGGTGATCCAGTGTTGTTTTGAACCTATTTTTATTTTTTATTATTATTTTTGAGACGGGGTCTCACTCTGCCGGCCAGGCTGGAGGGCAGTAGTGTGATCTCGGCTCACTGTAACCTCCACCTCCTGTATTCAAACCATTCTCCTGCCTCAGTCTCCTGAGTAGCTGCGACTACAGGCATGCGCCACCACACCTGGCTAATTTTTGTATTTTTAGTAGAGATGTAGTTTCACCATGTTGGCCAGACTGGTCTTGAACTCCTGACCTCAAGTGATCCACCTGTCTCGGCCTCCCAAAGTGTTGGGATTACAGGCGTGAGCCACTGCGCCTGGCCCTGTTTTTCATTTTGGATCCTGTTACCCACTGGAGTGAAAAGGTCCTGTGAGTTTTGCTACCTAGGTATGAAGCCCGGCTTCTTGTTTTGGCCTAGAACTCCTCTATGGACCTGCACAGTGCCATTTCTGAGAGTCACTGATGCGTGTGATAGGTTGAGGATGGAAATCCAACACCTGTGCACCCAGCATGGTCTCCCCACAGCACGGGGACTCGAGCACCTTCCTGCCCCACCCCTGCCCCAGTTCACCTGTGTTACCTAGCTATACCCTCACCCTAGCCCTGCAAAGGAGGTGCTGTCATTGTCCCCCTCATCAATGAGGGGACATGGAGGCCCAGAGAGTCCAGGTAGCAAGACTGTGGGTGCATAGCTGCTAAGTGACAGCAGCAGGACTTGAGCTTGGGCAGCTTGGCCCTGACGTCATACCCCTCACCAGCACACTGGACAGCCTCGCGTATCTTTTTTTTTGAGACGGAGTCTTGCACTGTCTGGGGTGTGATCTTGGCTCACTGCAACCTCTGCCTCCCAGGTTCAAGCAATCCTCCTGCCTCAGCCTCCCAAGTAGCTGGGATTACAGGTGCCCGCCACCACGCCTGGCTAATTTTTTGTATTCTTAGTAGAGACGGGGTTTCACTATGTTGGCCAGAGTGGTCTCTAACTCCTGACCTCGTGATCTGCTCACCTTGGCCTCCCAAAGTGCTGGAATTACAGGCGTGAGCCACCGCGCCCAGCCAGCCTCACGCACCTTTAGAAGACTTGAATCTTTAAGTCTAGTTCAGGGGGGGATGCCTGTTTCCTTTGGAGTGTGATGGTGGGGTGTGTATGAGCTTTACAGTCAGAGCTGGATCTGAAGCCTGCCTCTGCAGAGGCTGCATGGCCTCGGGCAACTTGGTGATTCTCTCTTTGCCCCCACTTTATAGAATACCTAGGATCATGTGAGATCATTTGTGCGTTCATTCATTCACGGACATTTATTGAATGACTGCTTAGGGCAGGCATGGGGGCAGGAGGCAGAATGAGACAGTGTCTGGCTCAGACTCATGGCACTAAGTACAGAGTTAATTATTTGTGCTAAGTGCTGGGAAGCTCAGAGTACAAAGAGACCATGCAAGAAAGAAAACATATTTGTCCCATGTGCATGCGTGTATATGTGCATATGTGTGTGCATTGGCGGTAGTTAGGGAGGACTTCCTGGAGGAAGGGACCTTTGAGCTGGTGTGGCATGAACAAGCTGGCCTGAGGAGAGCAAGCGTCCTGGGACCCTCCAGCCTTTGAAGCTCCAGGTTCCAAATGCCAGGTGCAGAGGATGCATGACAGGTGGCCAGAGGGGTGAGAGGAACACCAGGGGAGATGCGTCCTGGAAGCCCAGGAGGCCCTTGGAGCAGGGTGGGATGTTGCAGAAGGATGAGGATGCCCCTCTGTGCACTGGGCTGATGTAGGAAGTTGCTGCCGGGGCCAGAGCTGCCTGGAGGGAACTGTGGGGAGAATGCTTCTCGCCTTCCCAGAGAGGTACCTTCTGCTCCTTCTCTCTTGCTGCCTCCTCCCGGCTGGTTCACCATCCAAGACCCCTGTCATCTCCATGACAGATGCTGGGAACAGGCTCAGCAGTGGACACAGTCAGGTCTTGTGTTGGGGATGGGGCCAGGAGCCCTAAGAGCAGGCTCCAGTTCGCCCTGCTTCCTCCTGCAGAGGCCAGGTGGTCTTGAAGAGGGGACACGAGTCTGTCCTCATCCTGGAACTGTAAGGGATGCAGGGACATAGGCCAATCTGGCTGGACCCCTGGTGGCTTCCCAGACAACATAGTAAAACTCCGTCTCTACTAAAAATACAAAAAATTAGCCAGGCGTGGTGGTAGGCGCCTGTAATCCCAGCTACTCAGGAGGGGCAGGGTGCAGGTGGGGGTTGGGTGGAGTCGCCCAGTCCTGTTTGGTTGGAACTTTCCATCAGGGTCTCTGTGGTTGACATCTTGTTGCATTTCAGGCTTTTCGGTTCCTTGGTTCTGGACACCACGGAGGCCACTCCAACTCTTTGCTGTAGCTTTAGACAATGCTGTGGGGCAGGTGGGGTGGGGGCATGATCCTTTTGTGTGGTGAGTCCGGGAGGCACACAGGATGAAGCCTCAAGCTCCCATTCACTTTTAAAAACTCCTGACGCCCTCAGCTGCCTCTGAGTTTTTGAGCTTGAGCAGAGGAAATCAAGGAAATTGAGGCTGGCTTCTGATCACATGCCTTTACTTCATCCCCAGCTATTCACGGAGCTTTGCCAACTTAAAATATCCTCATTTGCCCGATGAGGATATTAAAATAAAAAACAGACACCCATTCAACCACCATCTCATATCGTCACCACTTCACAGAGGTAGGGGACATTTTAATGCCCCGGATTTTGGAAGGACGCGGTCTCACAATAAAAGACAGTATTGTAGATGGAATCGGGCCGGCTTTGTAGAGGTCCCTGGATCCTGCTTTGCTTTCACCCTATTTTGTTGCAACCCAGTGGAAATTTTGCCAGAGCAATGCCCTTACACAGGGTGGGATTGGGGAAGCCTGCTCTTAACTGCAGGCCAAATCCTCCATTCAGTTTATAAATGAAAAAACTGAGGCCCGGACTTGCTCCGGGTGGGAAAACTCTCAACCATGAGATCAGAAGCAGACTCCAGGCCTCCCGGTTCCCAGCCCCCAGTCTCCCCTCTGTGACAGTCTGCTTGCTCAGCAACCTGGGAATTAAGATCCTCGTGGCTCACAGGCTGCTGGGGATGGGATCAGGCATTGCCCAAAGCTTCTGCGATGTTTACAGCTAGCAGGCTGACATTCTGGAAGCTTCCACCCAAGGAGTGGTACAGAATCTCTCTGAGCATCTGTAGTCTTAGAAAGAGCACGTGGCCATATCCTTCCTGGGTGTCCAGGGCATGGTCCCCGCAGGCCATGTGACCTGTGTTTCTCTGCATGCCTTGGAACATGGGGCATGCCGCTGATCTACACCATAATCTTTATGGAGGTTTAACTCACCTGGAAAAAATTTAGTTTTAGCAGCTGTCCCAGGCAACAAACGGTATCTGAGGCCTGTGAACTGAGCCAGCTCCATCCATCTGCACCAGTTACTCCGGCAGGCATGTGTCTCTCCTGAAGAGAGGTGGTGGATGTGGTGGCGTGTTGGCCATCGGGCACCGTGTCAGCCTGGAGGAGTGTGTGGTTCCTTTGAAAAAGAATGTTCTCCCAATCCTGGTGTGATAACTTTTCCTTTTGTTTAATTTTGAAGCTTCTGTTTTTTCCTGTGGTCAGTGTGCTAATGTAAGCACTTTTCCTGGATTATCTCATCAATCTTCCCCCATTTTTTTTTTTTTTGAGACAGAGTTTCGCTCTTGTTGCCCAGGCTAGAGTGCAATGGCATGATCTCAGCTCACTGCAACCTCTGCCTCCTGGGTTCAAGTGATTCTCCTGCCTCAGCCTCCCGAGTAGCTGGGATTACAGGCATACGTCACCATGCCTGGTTAATTTTGTATTTTTAGTAGAGACGGGCTTTCTCCATGTTGGTCAGGCTGGTCTCAAACTCCCAACCTCAGGTGATCCACCTGCCTCGGCCTCTCAAAGTGCTGGGATTACAGGCATGAGCCACCATGCCTGGCTTTTTTTTTTTTTTTAGACAGTCTCACTCTGTCACCCAGGATGGAGTACAGTGGCACGATCTTGGCTCACTGCAACCTCTGCCTCCCGGGTTCAAGTGATTCTCTCACCTCAGCCTCCTGAGTAGCTGGGATTTCAGGTGCCCGCCACCATGCCCAGCTAATTTTTGTATTTTTAGTGGAGACTGGGTTTTACCATGTTGGCCAGGCTGGTCTCGAACTCCTGGACTGAAGTGATGTCTGCCCACTTCAGCCTCCCAAAGTGCTGAGATTACACCCATGAGCCACTGCTCCCGGCCTCTTCCCCCATTTTTACAGATGAAGGAAGTGAGCCTCCTTGAGTCTTAGTAAGGGAGGGAGCTGGATTCAAGGCTGAGCAGTTTTAACCCGCAGCGTTGCCTTCCCTGGGAACATTCGAGTTGAAGGTTAACGAGATTTTGCAAGAGTTTGCTCTTGGTTTATATCTAATATTATGCTTTGGATCTAACTCACATGGTCAGATGCAGGGGTCAGATTGAGACTGGTTGATTGAAACTCCTCCGAAACAACAGGAAATGATCTGGGAGAGAAGATTCCAGGTCCCCTGAGGCCCTGCTTCTCTCTTGATCCCCCACAGCCCAGTGTCGAGTTACCAGCGAGTGCCTGTTCTGCTTGGGTGGGTGTCCAGTGTGGTACTGGTCAGAGGTAATTTTTGGATCTCAGAGCTGCTCACAGCTGTTGGCGGTCTGGGATGGAAGAAGCAGGCGTGGCTTCGGTTGGCCCACATTATCCTCCTGACTCACAGTGTTCCAGGGCTGCTCAGCTGCCCTAGGGTTTGTGTACAAATGGCCTTGATTTGACACCCTTCTGAAGGTGGGGGGCCTGACTGATCAGGCAGTTGGTTGGATGCTGTTGACCCCCGCAGAACTCTTGGTACCTATGAGGCGTGGAGTTGGCGTGGGGGATCTGTTAGCCCCAGTCCCCTTTTTGCCCCCACCCCAGCCTGGCCGAGAGTCCTGGGCAGGCACTGAGAAGGCAACACATGGGGTAGGACTTGATGAGCAGGTGGATAGGACAGTGAGGTGGGAGGTGCCTCTGTGGGCCTCAGATGGTCCCCAGCCTGTGTGATGGGGCAGCGAAGCTCAGGACACCTGGTGTTTGGATATCCACAGGTGACCGGATCCCCAGGCAAATGAGCAGCTGGAAGTCCCTGCAGGGATGCGGGAGGCACAGCCAGGGTGGGGCTGGACCCCAGGCCCTTCCCCACTCCCATCGCCCCACCCTCACAGGACACACGGGGGAGCTGTGATCCTCAGGGTGTTCTTTTGTTTTTAGTTTTTTTGTTTTGAGACAGGGTCTCCCCCTGTCCCCCAGGCTGGAGTGTAGTGGTGCAGTCGTGGCCCACTGCAAGCTTGAACTCCTGGGCTCAAGCGATCCTCCCACCTCTGCCTTCCAAAGTGCTAGGATCATAGGCTTGAGCCACCATGCCTGGCCTTTTTGTTGTTGTTGTTCTTTTGTTGTTGTTAAGTCATCTTTATTTTGGTTGCAAAGTTGCAATCTATTTTTTACTGAACATTTTAAGTCTCATTTGAAGTTTCATAGCTTGCCGTGTAAACCATTGCATACACTGTCAAACTGCTGTACAGAACATTCTGAAATACAATCTACTAAATTAATTCGCTTGACACTGTTCAGATTACTGCATGAAAACAACATTGATTGAAGAAGGCAAGTAAGTCAACGGGCAAAGCATCGATTGCTTTCCTACTGTAGGATGTTATAAGATGACCAACAAACACTAAATTATTTTGCTTAAAAGATGTACTTTTTATTGTGGTAAAATACGCATCACATGGGATTTGCCATTTTAACCATTTCCTTTTTTTTTTTTTTTGAGATGTAGTCTCACTCTGTCACCCAGGCTGGAATGCAGTGGCATAATCCCTGCTCACTACAACCTTTACCTCCCAGGTTCTAGTGATTCTCCTGCCTCTCAGCCTCCTGAGTAGCTGGGATTGCAAGCTCACCCCACCAAACCCGGCTAATTGTAGCTGGGATTACAGGCGTGAGCCACTGCGCCCGGCCCATTTTAACCATTTCTAAGTGTATGGTCCAATGGTATTAAATACAGTCACATTATTGTACAATCATCACCACCTCCATCTCCAGAACTTTTCATATTCCCAAACTGTTAAATACTAACTCCCCGTCCTCTCCCCCGAAGCCTGTGGCACCCACCCATCCTTTTCCTTCCTGTCTCTGACAAATTCCCTACAAATTTAACTCCTCTAGGGACCTCATAGGTACTCTTATCCTGGGTCACCATACGTGCCTTACTGGCCTTTCTTTTCATAACCAGAGTAAAGCTTGTTTATTTTATTTTGAGACGGAGTCTTGCTCTGTCGCCCAGGCTGGAGTGCAGTGGCGTGATCTTGGCTCACTGCAACCTCTGCCTCCCAGGTTCAAGCGATTCTTCTGCCTCAGCCTCCTGAGTAGCTGGGATTACAGGCATGCACCACACGCCTGGCTAATTTTTGTATTTTTAGTAGAGACGGGGTTTCACCATGTTGGTCAGGCTGGTCTCGAACTCCTGACCTCATGATCCGCCCACCTCGACCTGCTGGGATTACAGGCGTGAGCCACCGTACCTGGCCAAGCTTGTTTATTTAAAAGGGGACAGAGACAACTTTTTTTCGTTTCTAATCGGAATGTGTCTTGGAAAGGATATGTCTGAGGGGTGGGAGTGGAGTTGGTTTTGTGCTTCAGGGAACCTGTTCCTGCCCTGTCCCAAGGTAAGCTTGTAAAGAGGTCGGTGCCCTTGTTTTGGAACCCAAGTTAATGACGCACCTTTTCTTGTGTGGGCTACACACATCTTTAACCTGCTGCAGATAGTACTTTTGTTGGCATCTGGAGCCATGATGCCAGGCCCCTCTTCTCCCTGAAGCTCAGTTTTCCTCTAATGGGTGGGAGGTAACCAGTGCTGAGTCCACTAGGAAGATCGAGGCACATCTCCAAGGCTAAGAAACCGGCAGTTCTGTAGCCTCAGCCACTCCCCCACCCCTAGCTCATCCCTGGCTTTTGCCGAAATTCTAACCAGCCCCGTATTTTGTGTGGGTGGGCTCCAGCCCCTCGGGATTTTCCTGGGGGTCACTGCCTCCACCCCCTGGGACGATGGAGGAGGAGGAGGCTTGTTTGTGGGGGCAGAGGATCTTGCCCCAGCAGCCTTTGCATGTCAAGAGTGGTCTTGCAGATCGGGCCCCTTGCCCTGGCTCTGTTTAACTGGTGCTTACTGAGCCGTGACGTTTGTGCTGGGCATGGGCAGGTGCGACATGGACAGTGAGAGGAGGAAGACACCATCCCTGGCCCCGAAGGAGGTTTTAATTCAGGAGGAGCAAGAAAGAACAGTGTTGGAGGCTGCCAGGACTGAGCCTGATGCCAGAACTCAGGGCCCAGGAGCCGTGGGTGAGAGCAGTGGGCAGGAGGGCGTGGGGGCCTCCAGTGTCCACTGAGCCCTGTGAGGAGCTGGTCACACACTGGTTTGCTGTGGGAGCAGGGACACCTTAACATGTATGTTCATGTCACTGGTGACTTGACGCTTTTCAGCTTCCTCTGTTCTTAATTCCATTTGGAGCCCAGGCAGGATGATAGCAGAATGAATGGAAGGGGTTGAGGAGTGAGAGCCGGTGAATGAGAGGGGCCTTGTCTGTAGGCCTTTGTGGGTCAGGGCCCGGCAATTGATTGGTGAGTGTTACAGTGAGGATGATCGTCCACCTCTTGGGTCCCCTCCCCATGCCTCTGCCTCGTCGCCATCCAGCCTGGCCATGGTCCCTGCTTGGCTCTTTGTGGACTCCCTGATGGGGCTGTGCAGGAGCTCTCCCTTGGCTAATGACGGGGTGAGCTCAGCTCCCCTCGGGCACAGCCCCCAGACAGCCCTGCTTTGCAGAGTTCAGCTCTGGGGCTGCTCAGAACATGGGAGCTACCTTCTGAGTTTCCGGAAGACCAAAGGACTTCACATTTGATTGTCCTGCTGAGAGTGAGGTTCACAGTACCCAGACTCCCCAGCAGGAAGCATTTCCAAACCGTTTCTGCAGCTCTGGGTGCAAAATTCCCAGGGCTACGGGAGCCTGCCCTTCCCTGTGTTTTCCTTTCTCAGAGTCCGAAGGAGGCTCTGGGGCCACAGCTCACCTGCGGGGGATTCCGCACACCAGCACCCGGCTGTGTCTCCCCCATTTCTTATGAGCAGCGATAAGTCAATCCCCTTCGACGGTTTAATCCTCCAGCGACTGTTTACAGAGAACTTTCTGTGTGCTTGGAACTTTATAAAGTGCATCCCTCTTCTCAGCAACCCTGGGAAGACAGTGCAAGCCCCGTTTTCCCACTGGGGAAGCTGTGATTCAGAGAGGCGGCGCTGCCTGCCCAGGGTTAGAGAGCAAGAAAGTGCTGGAGCTGGGATTGGAACCAAAGGCTGTTTGGCTCCAAAGCTTACACTGTTTCTACTCAACTCTGTAGCTGCCACATGCTGGCATGGATGTCGGGGGTATACAAGGACAGGAGACAGAGCCTGCCCTCAAGACATTTGTGGCTATGAGGGTAAGGCAGGCAGGCAGGGCTCTGGAGGATGGAGAGACATGCGCCAGGCACGGGGTGATATGGGAGCAGAGGGGCACCCGAGCTATGCAGGGTGGGCAGGCAGGCGGCCAGGAGAGGGTGACAGGGCATGGGAGGTGGGCTAGGATAGGAGACGGGCTGTGGAAGACACGAGGGTGAAACTGCAGGTGGGGGCTGAGTGGGCCTGGCCAGAGAAGGGGTGAAGGGAGTGTGGGGACAGACATGGGAACCGGGGTTGGCTGCAGAAAGGGTGAAGGGGGTAGGGGGACAGATGGGAACTGGGCTTGGCTGCACAGGGGAGAGCAGCCTCGCTGTCAGGCCACATGGCTGGATCACATCCTGTTCATCCAGGAGTGCACCACGGCCTGTCTCGTCTGTAACAGATAAGGTCCTTGGCTTAGTGAGTACTTTTGCTTTTCTTAATGAATTAGAGCAAGAATGAATGAATGAGTGAATGGGGACATTCAAGGTTATCCCCATGATAACACGGTTGTCACTCCTGATGACTTTTCCTCTGGTGCTGGGAGGCAACTCCAGACAACTTGACATTAGCTCTGCCTCCTGGTGAATCTCACGTTCACCGAAGAGCATCGCTGGAGAGGGGACACCTGAGGTGGGAGGGGGGCTGAGTGGTCAGGCTGCTGGAAACTGTTGGGCTTTGCTGTGGCACGAAACTTCACCCTTACCCACGCCACTGCAGGACTCCTCCTGCCAGCCTCGGGGAGCCGGGTGAGAGTCAGAAGGGTGGGTCTACCTTGCACTGCAGAAAGCAGCTCTGAGTTTCCTGGAAGCCCTGGGGAAAAGGGAAAGCCCAGAAGTTGTCACTGGGGGACATGGTTCTAGGTGAGACCCCCCTCCTCCTGGCCTTGTGGAATGGCCTGGCTGAGCCCTAGCTCATTCGTGCACTGACCTTATCCATTCTGGAATGTTTCTGCAAGTTTCCCCTCCTCCCCTGCTGAGAACGGGATGGAGCATCTGAAGGACGCATAGTCTAGAAGTGCTTACAGTGGCTGATGACTGATAGGGTGGTTTAGCAAGGTGCTGCCTCACCCAGCAGACAGCAGCCGCCCTCTGGGCCACCCCGAGGGCCCAGCCTGGAAGAAGAATGTATTCAGGCAGGGCACCCACAGTTGTGTGTGCGGAAACGCTGCCAAGCCCAGTGGGATTTACCCTCTAGGGGCTGGAAAGCCATTAGGAAGGAAAAGTGGTGCTTCTTAAAGCCCAGTTTTGTAACATCCTGCCGAGAGGTGACCTTCTGCCCAGCAGCTGGGGCTGTCGTGCTAATGCTTTCTGGCATTTGAGTCCTTTAGAATGAGGTCCAAGTATGTGGGCACCTGGCACCCGGCCGCTCCTCCCTTGGGGCACAATGGGGTCTTCTCCCTTCCGTGAGCTGAGGGGCTGGGAGGGTGCCCACTGGGGCTGTAGCCTGGGCTGGGGCATGGGGCACAAGGGCCTGTGTGCCCAGCTCATTTGGGCCGTGGCCTGGCTCTGAGGGTGTGGGCCGGCTGCTTGGAGCGTGATCCTTTCATCTGCCCTTTTTGCGAGTGGGAGATAAGATGGCCAGGCTGCGGTTACTCCTGAACCTGTGCTCTCTGCTTTGCCAGTCCTGTCCTCACCAGACTTCTCACAGGTCCCCGTTTCTGTGGAAGAGGGGATCTTGTGGTAAGTCAAGGGCAGAAACCATCACCAGCCTCGGTTTCCTCAATCTGTAGCTTGAGGCTTATGTCCCCCCTCCTGCCCCTTTGCTCCCAAGATTAAAGGAGAAAACACGGATGTGGGTCACAGAAGCTGGTCTAGAAATGGTGGTTTTTAGGCTGGGTGCGGTGGCTTATGCCTGTAATCCCAGCACTTTGGGAGGCCATGGCTGGCCAATCACGCAAGTTCAGGAGTTCCAGACCAGCCTAGCCAACATGGTGAAACCCCATCTCTACTAAAAATACAAAAAAGTAGCCGGGCGTAGTGGTGGGCACCTGTAATCCCAGCTACTCAGGAGGCTGAGGCAGGAGAATCACTCGAACCTGGGAGGTGGAGGTTGCAGTGAGCTCAGATCGCGCCATTGCACTCCAGCCTGGGCGACAGAGACTCTGTCTCAAAAAAAAAAAAAAAGAAAAAAAAAGAAAATTTTTTTTTCCTTCTTACTTGACTCAGCTCGTTGCATTTTGAACCCCCTCCCTGTTTGCAGTCTCTCCTCTGGAAAGAGTCATGTCGGCTGTTCCCTGACCTGCTGGGCTGGGCTGGCCGGCAGCATGGCCGTGCCTCTGTCATCAGGGGCTGTCTTTCTTGCCTACTGGACTGTGAAGGCAGGGACCCTGTCTGGACAGGGACCGCATCAGCATCTCCAGCATGTGGCTGGAGCAGGGATCCATGTGTGCTTGGATCTCAGGGGCTGAGCCGCAGCCCTGTCCAAGCTGGATTCAGATGGGGGAGGATTCAGGTCTTTCTTCTAGGAAGGAGTGGGGTGTGGACTCGCAGCTGGGGTCTGGTGGGGTTTTCAGTACTGGTTTGCAGAGTGACTAAGGGATGTGCCCCCAGCCTGATGCTGTCGTCAAGACAGAAGGACGTGCGTGTCCTGGTGGTGCATCTGGGAGGGCCCTCCACCCGCTGAGTGGTGAGCCACCTCTCAGCTTGTTCTCTTCCCTGCACAGTGGACGCGGATGTCCTCCTGGAGGCCTGCTGTGCGGACGGACACCGGATGGCCACTCATCAGAAGGACTGCTCGCTGCCATATGCTACGGAATCCAAAGAATGCAGGTACGTTTGCCAGTGGCCACTGTTTCACTGGAACAATGTTCCTTTAGAGAAAAGTGGGGGAGGAAGGGACAGTGTGTGCCAGACCTCTCGGGAGAGGCTGGACACCCAGGCCCGGATCCATCCAGGCTGCGGGTGCTGCAGTGGGTGACTCCTGCCTCCCTCCTGGCACCGGCCTGGCACCGGGCCTTGGCTCACCCTTCCTGTGCCACTCTGTGATTGTCGGGGTATGTGTCTCTTTCACTGGGCTGGGAGCAAGAAGATCTGGGCTTGCAGCTGTGGGCAAGTCAGTTTTCTCTTTTAAAAAAGGGGGGACAGTTGTGGGGGAGCAAAGGAGATGATGTGACTAAAGAGCTTTGCGAGTGGAAACACGGACCACCTACAGACCCCAAAAATGCCAATGAGCCGGCGCAGAGTGAAGCGTTCCACCAGCCGGTTTTTCAGCTTCTGCAGCAGCCAACATCTGGATCGACCGTTTTTATTCTTCTCTCCCTACATTGACTCCAGCTCTCTGAAAATTCTGAGACCGTGTAAGCTTAGAATAAATAATGAGAAGCCGGGCGCGGTGGCTCACGCCTGTAATCCCAGCACTTTGGGAGGCCGAGGTGGGTGGATCACCTGAGATCAGGAGTTCGAGACCAGCCTGGCCAACATGGTGAAACCCCGTCTCTACTAAAAATACAAAAAAAATTAGCTGGGCGTGGTGGCATGCGCCTGTAATCCCAGCTACTTGGGAGGCTGAGGCCAGAGAATTGCTTGAACCTGGGAGGCGGAGGCTGCAGTGAGCTGAGATCGCGCCACTGCATTTCAGTCTGGGCAACAACAGCGAAACTCTAACTCAAAAAAAAAAAAAAAAAGGAATAAATGATGAGATTAGGTCATGCTGATCATCATCATAAAAATAATAGTGAAAACCCCAGAATGCCCGTGTGGAGCACCTACTTTCTGTGTACCGTCTGCACGGACAGCAGCCAGTCTGGCCCCGGGAAGGACAAGGGCTGGGGAGGTGGACCAACCTGGTTGGGTTTCAGGCTGGGTGACCTGAGCCAGCTCAAAGGCACCATGATACCTCCTTTCTGGGGTTGTTATAATGATCAGAGATCACCCGGGCGCGGTGGCTCACCCCTGTAATCCCAGCACTTTGGGAGACCAAGGCGGGTGGATCACCTGATGTCAGGAGTTCCAGACCAGCCTGACCAACGTGGTGAAACCCCGTCTCTACTAAAAATATAAAAATTAGCTGGTTGTGGTGGCGGGCGTCTGTAATCCCAGCTACTCGGGAGGCTGAGACAAGAGAATCGCTTGAACCCGGGAAGCGGAGGTTGCAGTGAGCTGAGACCGTTCATTGTACTCCAGCCTAGGTGACAGAGTGAGACTCCGTGCCCCCACCATCAAAAGAAAAAAATCAGAGATCACCTATGAAATCAGCACCACAAAGCCAGACTGTGGCAACGTATTGGTTTTCTAGGACTGCCAGAGCAGAGTATAAGGGGCAGGGTGGCTCAACCACCGGTTCCTCATAGTTCCGGAGGCCAGAAGTCTGAGACCGAGGTGTCAGCAGGGTGGGCTCCTTCTGAGGCTCCTCTCCTGGGCCTGTAGATGCCCTCTTCTCCCTGTGTCCTCACACGGCCCTCCCTCTGTATGTGTCTGTGTCCTGCTCACCGCTTCCTCGAAGGACACCAGTCCTTTGGATTACAGCCTGCCCTAACAACCTCATTTAACTATGTCACCCATTTAAAGTCACTGTCTCCAAATAGAGTCCCATTCTGAGATACTGGGGGTTAGGACTTCACCAGATAGATTTTGGGAAGACACAATTTAGCCCATAATAGGGAGCCACTACTATTAATACTTAGTGAAATAAAAGAAAGTGAGGCATCAGCCCGTGTAACCCCTCAACGTGCAGGCAGAGGAACTGAGGCCGCAGATTCAGCAGCACTCTGGGCCTTGCTTGTGAATGGGGATTTTAGTCACTATCAAATGTATTACTGACTTCTACTCACTAATGTCTTTGGTAAATTTTGGAGTTATCTTTTTTCTTTATTTTTTGAAACTGAGTCTTGCTCTGTTGCCCAGGCTGGGGTGCAGTATGTTGATCTTGGCTCACTGCAACCTCCGCCTCCTAGATTCAGGCGATTCTCCTGCCTCAGCCTCTCGAGTACCTGAGATTACAGGCACACACTACCACACCAGGCTAATTTTTGTATTTTTAGTAGAGACAGAGTTTCACCGTGTTGGCCAGGCTGGTCTCGAACTCCTGACCTCAGGTGATCCTCCTGCCTTGGCCTCCTAAAGTGCTGGGATTATGGGCATGAGCCACTGCGCCCGGCCAATTTTGGGGTTATCTTTAATCTCCATTGAGTCCCAGAGGACAAACACATTGCCTTCTTAGAAATTTCAGACATACATTAGATTTCCTGGAATGTAAGAAATACCATCAGAATGGCTGAGAGGGCATTCCTTCTCTCTTTAAGTGCGGGTGCAAGTCCAGACTCCTGGGTATCGTGAGTTTCCATATGACAGTGTCCCTGAAACACGTGGCTCAATGCCCAGGACACCACTCCAGGGTCACCAGATGCAAGTGACTGGCCCATTGTGTCACTTAGGCCCCAGGAGGCCCATTGACTCATCCCAGTGGACACACAGGCCAGGGGCCACATACCTGTCCTAGGCTGCCTCTCAAGTGAGCTACTGAGCTGCCCAGCTCTGCCTGCGTCACTGCCCTGTGGCCCCAGGTGCTGTCCGCTGCCCTCCAGCCCTTCCTGTGTGCTTCCCCTTTACCCTGTTCTCACTGGGGTCCAAACCCCACGCAGCCTGTGCCAATCAGAGGCCAAGCCTGGGCTCCAGGTCACAGTGAGACGGAGCCCACATAAGGGTTCAGGAGGCAGTCACTGATGTGGCTGTGGGGGTCCTCGGGTGAGCAGGACCCCGCCCCAGCCTCCCCAACCTGGGGAGGTCAGAGCTCCTGTCTGGTTGAGGCAAGGGCTGTGGATGCGGGGTGTGGCCAGCAGTGCAGTGATGCTAATGAAGGGATTTTCTAATGAGTTTTGTATAGATTTTCATTTTTAATGAAGGCAGGGAAGGGATAGGGCAGATCAGAAATCAAATCTTATTTACAAGAATCCTCTTAATAGTGATATTTAAAAGATGCAAAAAACAGGGATCACTGACCACCTGGTTTGTCTGTTGTGTTAGCCAGCTCTTTTTTTTTTTCTTTTTGAGATGGAGTCTGGCCCTGTCGCCCAGGCTGGAGTGCAATGGCGCAATCTCAGCTTGCTGCAACCTCCGCTTCCTGGGTTCAAGCGATTCTCCTGCCTCAGCCTCCTGAGTAGCTAGGAGTACAGGTGCCTGTCACCATGCGTGGCTAATTTTGGTATTTTTAGTAGAGACGGGAGTTTCACCATGTTGGCCAGGCTGGTCTCGAACTCCTGGCTTCAAGTGATTGGACGCCTCAGCCTCCCAACATGCTGAGATTACAGGCATGAGCCACTGCACCCAGCCAAATTCTCTTCTTTTGAAGTGGCTTTCTGTGAGGCTCACCAGCTGAAGTAAAATCAGTTTTTGTTCATTCAACAAATCTTTATTGGTTCTTGATGCTCAGGAAGAGGCAGGATGAAAGCCATGAGCAGGCAGGCAAGCCCAGGCCAGCCCTCCTGGCAGCAGTCGAGGGTGTGAGGCCCTGAGGGTCCATAGGGCCCAAAGGAGGGGGTATCAGCTCCCTGAGTGGGTGAGAGGCTCAGAGAGGACTGCAGGGAGAGGCCGACCTCTCCGCAACCATGGGCTGTAGCCAAGCAGGGGTTAAGCAGCCTGCAGCTTCAACAAGGACGTGTTTGGGGTGGTCAGAAGATGGCAGCTTTGATGTTTTCCCATCATGAATCATCTTGACTCTAGGTCTCCACCAAGGCCCGACATTCCTTGGGATCCAGATCTAAATCCACCTAAAACTTTGGATTAGATTAAACCCACATGTCCTTCAGCGTCTTTTGGAGGAATCTGGACACATCCAGTGAAACCTAAAGCAAGTCCCAAGCTGACATTTTCCAGCCCAGCATTTCTCTAACCCCTTCTTTATTTTGCAAATCTCACTGAGAGCCTGCTAGGTGCCAGGCTCCGTTCTGGTGAGTGGGGATCAATCGGTGAACGAAATATGCAAGTCCCCTGGCCTCGTGGAGGCGGCATTCTATAGGGGATGCAGAATGCAAAGAAAGTAATAAGTCCGTCTGATGGTTTGTAGGAAGGCAGGATGTGCCGTGGGGGAAACAGGGAGGCATAGGGGCTTCTGCTCATGGTGGGTTTATAATTTTAGAGCCGTGGGGTTGGCCTCACTGTGCCAGGACCTGAATGGGGCGTGGGCAGTATGGAAAGTGGGAAGAGCATCCCAGGCCGAGGGAACAGCCAGCGCAAGAGCCCAGAGGAGAGGGTGTGTACAGCAAGGCGGCCAGGGTGGCTGGAGTGGAGCCAGCAACGGCCAGTCCCAGGGAGGAAGCACCAGATACAAGGGTAACCAGGTGGCTGAGGGGGCCATGAGATAGAGGCTGGGGTGTTGGGGGTGAGCCTGAGGCAGCTGGACACCCTGAGGTGCCTGGGACACTTGATTGCTTCCACCTTTTGGATGTTGTAAATAATATTGCTGTGAGGCCGGGCGCAGTGGCTCACGCCTATAATCCCACCACTTCGGGAGGCTGAGGCGGGCAGATCACTTGAGGTCAGGCGTTTGAGACCATCCTGGCCAACATGGCAAGATCTCATCTCTACTAAAAATATAAAAAATTAGCTGGGCATGGTGGCAGGTGCCTGTAATCCCAGCTGCCGGTGAGGCTGAGGCAGGAGAATCACTTGAACCCAGGAAGCGGAGGTTGCAGTGAGCCCTGATCGCAACATTGCACTCCAGCCTGGGCGACAGAGCAAGACTCCATCTCAAAAACAAAACAAAACAAAACAAAAAACAACAACAAACTGCTGTGAACATGGGTGTGCAAGTATCTGTTTGAAACCATGCTTCAGTTCTTTGGATATTTACCCAGAAGTGGAATTGCTGGGTCCTATGATTATTCTATTTTTAATTTTGGGAGGAACTGTGCTCCACGGCAGCTGCACCCTTTTCCATTCCCACCAGCAATGCACACGGGTTCCAGCATCTCCACATCCTCACCAACACTTGTGATTTTCTGGCTAGCCAATAGTTTTTGAATGGATGCACGCATGGCTGGTGGCTCGCTCTGGCAGTTTAGTGAAACGCCGTTATTTGCAAATCCACCGAAAGCATGAGTGAAATGTGTGCTAGCTCAGCTCGGTAATTCCATCCTGGAGCCTGAAGGCAGTTTTGAGACACACGGGCAGCCGGGTTCAGACCTCCAGTCCCCCAGGGAAGGTTGGGGGAAGGTGCACTGGCAGCTGCCATTTTTGTGCAGAGGTGGCCTGGCTGGCAGTGCAGGGAAGCTGGGGAGGCCCCCACCCTCTCTCCTGGAGGCACGAGTTGGGTGGCTCTTCCTGCCCTTGCTGGCTTTGGCTGGAGCTGGGGTTATTTTGGGTCTGGTCAGGGGCCACCCGTGACACACTCCTCTCCTGCTCATTGCCTTTGGAGCCCGCCCACGCCAGCCCCTAGCTGTCACAGCCTCATGGTTGTGTTGGAGGAGCTGATTTTGGCAGGTCGAGGACCTCTCCCCAGAGCCCCGGCAGGGCTGGGAGGTGTGGGCTTTGCAGCTAGGTGCCACTGCAGCCACCATCCCTCCCTCTGGGGCCTTGGGCAGGCTACCCAACAGGACTCTCAGAAGCTGTTTGCTCTGAGCCTGGAAGATGGAACGAGCACTGAGAAGAGCTTGACCTGATAAAGGGGTGGAAGGTTGGGCCCAGAGTCAGCCCCCCGCCGCTTTTTGGTTTTCAAATCAGCAGGAACATTGTGCGGGTGAAGCCTAGTGCTCAGAGGAGTGACGCGGCCACTCTGGTGACAAAACTGGGCCTCCTGGCTCTGACTCCAGACACCATACTACATTCTGTCTTTCTTTTTTTAAAAAAAGAGGCCAGGCATGGTAGCTCACGCCTGTAATCCCAGCACTTCGGGAGGCTGAGGCGGGGGGATCACCCGAGCTCAGGAGTTCCAGACCAGCCTGGCCAACACAGTGAAACCCCGTCTCTACAAAAATAGAAAAGTTAGCCAGGTGTGGTGGCGCATGCCTGTAGTCCCAGCTACTGGGGAGGCTGAGGCAGGAGAATCGCTTGAACCCGAGACGCAGAGGCTGCAGTGAGCTGAGATCACACTACTACACTCCAGCCTAACTCCATCTCAAAGAAAGAAAGAAAGAGAGAAAGAGAGAAAGGGAAAGAGAGAGAGAGAGAGAAAGAAAAACAGAGAGAAAGAAAGAAAGAGGAAGAGAAGGAAAGAGAGAAAGGGAGAAAGAGAGAGAGAGAGAGAAAGAGAGAAAGAAAGAAAGAGAGAAAAAGAAAAGAAAAGAAAGAAAGAGGGTCTTACCATGTTGCCCAGACTGGTCTCGAATTCCTGGGCTCAACTGGTCTTCCCACCTCATCCTCTCAATGTGCTGGCATTACTGGTGTGAACCACTGTGCCCGGCCAAGCCTTTCTAACTAAATGCTAATTGAGCTCCTTCTGTATGCCACTGGGGCACTGTGTATTTCTCTCTCTGTGTCTGTGGGAGCAGGGAAGGGGAGGCTCAAAGGTGAGAGCACCCCCACCCCCGAGGATCTCGTGCCCTGGGCCCCCTGCGCACAGAGCCTTGGCCCAGCCCACCCCTCACCCACAGGATGGTGCAGGAGCAGTGCTGCCACAGCCAGCTGGAGGAGCTGCACTGTGCCACGGGCATCAGCCTGGCCAACGAGCAGGACCGCTGTGCCACGCCCCACGGTGACAACGCCAGCCTGGAGGCCACATTTGTGAAGGTGAGAGCCAAAGACCATGTGGGGTCGCTGCCCGTCCCCACTAGTCGGCAGACCCAGGCCCTCCCAGCCAAGCGGCACTGTCTGTCAGCGCTCCCTGCCTCAGGCCACCTTTCTTTGTGAGCAGCTGGGGGTTCCTGGGCCAGGAGGGAGGTGGAAAACCCCACTGTTTCTCCCCCTCCACTGTAGCCGTAAACCCCGGAGGACACCTGGGGCCGAGTCTCCCACGAGGCCGGGGGGTGAAGTGAGCTGGCCTTGCCCTGAGAACCGCCTGTCTCCAGGCATTGGGCAGATGCAGAAGTCAAAGCAGGGCTCCTCCTGGGCTTCCAGAATCTTCTTCTCAATTCAGGGTCGGCACCCTCACCCTACCCAGGAGGCTCTCAGGCTTCTCTACCCACAGACTCGTCAGGGTCCAGAGGTAAAAATGGGCCCTCACTAAGACCTCTGATAAGATCTGACCTCTATAACGACCCTAAAAGAGGAAACTGAGGTTCAGAGAGGCCCAGCCTCCAAAATGGCCTCTCTGCAGTCCTGTCAGGGACCCAGACGGGATCCTGCCCTGAAGGTAAGCTGTGAATAAATGGCATAGTCCTCTTCCCTGAGTGCTCCTAGGACCCTACGTGCTAGCAGGTCACTCAGGACCGCTATGGCCGTGGAAGGGCTGTGTCTTTGCAAGAGGTGGAAAGGTGCCTGACAGCATTGCCTACAGGCAGTAAACCCAAGGTGTCCAGGCCATCCCTCCCTTACCACCCAGCCAGCAAGGAAAACAAGCCCGGCCAGGAGGAACTTGGGCCTGGAGGAGCTCGGGTTTGGAAGCTGGGCTTCTGTTGGAGGTGCCAGATGACGAAAATGCATTCCCTGGAAGAAGCTTCCCGTTCCTTTTAGGAAGGTGATGGAATAATTTTAAGAAACAAGAATCTGAATGAAGTCTGGATTCCAGGAGAGGGTGTGGGAGCTCCTTTGTGGGGATTCTCCACATAGATTGGGCTGTGGAGGGACTCCGTGTGGAGGAGTTGGGGGTCCCGAGTCCCCTGCCCACCTTGGCCTGTGTGGGCTTTCACAGGGCAGGGCTCTGGCCCAGGAGAGAGCTGGGTGGGGTGATGGTGGGGGTGCCTGGGAACCAGGACTTTGGGCGTTTCATGACTGCCCCCGCACCCTCCCACCCAACACCCAATGCAGGGCTGGGCCTTGCAGATGCCGTCGGTCCGGCACACAGCTGTGCCCATGTCCCCAGACTTGAGAGGTGTGGAAAAAGCACAGAACATTCTAGCAGGAGTGGGAACAGATCTCTCTGGCAGATGAGCGACTTGTGTTTCCAGGAAGGATTACTCACACCCCAAAAGATGGATGAGGTGACTGATGCTCCCTACACTTTCTGGCAGCGGAGGGCGTAGAATAAGCAGCCTGGAAGACCCATCAGTGCCACATAACTGAGGCAAAGCTACACCTCCTGGCTCCTGCTGGGGACTGTTTAGAAAGTTCTGTGCTCCTCTTAGGATAACCACTTAATAAAGACTGAAGCAGGGCTTTTCGTGTGTCAGGGCAAATGTTGCTTCTGGGACTCAGGTGTGAGGCCACAGGGACTTGGAAGTAACTATTGGGACCTGGGCCCAGGTGGCAGACAGCCACCCTGTCCTTTGACCTTGCTTGATGACTCGTCTTGAAGTTCCTGTGCTTTCAAATGCACGGTGCAATTCCTGCTGCCAGAACCCCTCTAACTCAAAAACGGAGAGGCAGCATGCATGTGTGTCATTTTTCCGGGCATGGTAGAGAAATCTCAGACCATGCAAAAGGAACAGAACTTTGGAGCTGGTGCATGGTGCTATAAGAAGCTCCCTCTTCCTGGATGTGTGCGAGCAGAGCCGGGTGGTCTCTGGGCGGGGCAGGGATGTTGAGGGGTGCAATTGCATGTTGGGGTGGGGAGGGGAGGTGGATGCCAGGCCCTTTAAGCTTCCTTTCAAAACTGGGACCTAGATGATTTGGAGTAGGGGGATGGCCTTGCTTTGCTATTTGTTGCTGACATTTAGAAGTGGTATCTAAGCCAGACTTGAGTCATCACTCTACAGGTTGTGTGGACAGGGGGCTCAGAGAGGCCTCCCCTGAGGCCTCTCGTGGACCCCGCTGGGCTGTCTGCCCGCTCCTCCATCTGGGATCTCCACCTGTGTTTGCAGAGGTGCTGCCATTGCTGTCTGCTGGGGAGGGCGGCCCAGGCCCAGGGCCAGAGCTGCGAGTACAGCCTCATGGTTGGCTACCAGTGTGGACAGGTCTTCCAGGCATGCTGTGTCAAGAGCCAGGAGACCGGAGATTTGGATGTCGGGGGCCTCCAAGAAACGGGTAACTTTCCCCCTTCCTTCCCTAATGAGCAGTGTATTAAGGTTCTCCGGGATGTGTATATAGAGCGAGAGTGGAGAGAGAGAGATTTTAAGGACTTGGCTCATGTGATCGTGGGGCTGGCAAGTCCAAAATCTGCAGGGCAGGCCTTCAGGCTGGAGCCCCAGGGAAGGAGGGGCATTGCAGCTGGAGTTCAAAGGCAGTGTGCTGGCAGAACGCCGCCTTTCCCGGGGAGGCCAGTCTTTTTTCTCTGAAGGCCTTCTGCTGATTGAGTGAGGCCCACCCATGGTATGAAGATGATCTGCTTTTCTCAGCATCAACAGACTTACATGTTAATCTCTTTTTTTTTTTGAGACAGAATCTCTCTCTGTCACCCAGGCTGGAGTGCAGTGCAGTGGTGTGATCTTGGCTCACGGCAACCTCCGCCTCCCGGGTTCAAGTGATTCTTGTGCCTCAGCCTCCCGAGTAGCTGGGATTACAGGTGTACACTACCACACCTGGCTAATTTTTGTATTTTTAGTAGGGATGGGGTTTCACCATGTTGGCCAGGCTGATCTGGAACTCCTGACCTCAGGTAATCCACCTGCCTCAGCTTCCCAAAGTGCTAGGATTACAGGTGTGAGCCATCGTGCCTGGCCAATATTAATCTCTAAAATATAGCTTCACAGCAACATCCAGGCTAGTGTTTGACTAAATATTTGAGTACCATACCCCAGCCCAATTGACACTTACGATGAACCATTACAGGTAACACGTGCATCCGTGTCACCATTGCCTTAACTCAGCACGGACTAACTCCGGTTGTCGGAGCCATTCATGTTTGTGACCTTATCTGAAAGCCGCTGTCCTGGAGTGACGCTGAGTGCTTGGAGTCTGGGATCGGACAAATCTGTGCTCCCATCCGGGTCCTAATGTGTACCTTGGTCCCCTCATCTGGGAAGTGGGGATAGTTGCAGTCCTACTTCATCAGGTGCTGGGAGGATGGAGTGCGAGATTGGGTGTCAAGGGTTGGGTAGAGCACCTGGCCCCATAAATGTCTGCCCTCACCATCTGCCCTTGTCCCTTCAGCTGCCCGGGGCAGCATGGGTGGCTGGCCTTGCTCCCACTTCTTGGGTGAGGGTCTGATGCTGAAGATCGCACAGCCGACACGTGGAGGAGGGAGAGCCTGGCCTTCCACCTCCTGGCCAGTGCCCTCTCCATCTGGAGCTGACGATGTATGGGCGAGCAGCTGGGGGCCATCGCTGGCTAATAGCTGGCTATGCTCTGTCAAATCATAGACACTTACTCAGCAAAGGGGCATGTGACCCCAAGAGCAGCTTCAAGAGCGCTCTCAGCTGTGTGCCCCCCCGTTCTGTGTCCTCGCCCTGCATTTCTGTGTGGTTCAGTTACAGGGTTCAGGAGACTTTGTGGCTGTCCAGTAGCCTCTTACACTTAGGCCACGGTTTCTTGTGCTGTAACAGAATTAACCTGGAAGAAGGCAGGACTCCGCCTGGGCCAAGCTTGCTGTGTAGTTTTCGGCCTGTTCCCTCCTCTCTCTGAGCTTTGCCCCCACTCTCTTAAAAAATAAAAGAGGTGTGAGCTGGGCACGGTGGCTCACGCCTGTAATCCCAGCACTTTGGGAGGCCGAGGCAGGCGGATCACCTGAGGTCAGGAGTTCGAGACTAGCCTGGCCAACATGGGGAAACCCTGTCTCTACTAAAAATACAAAAATTAGCTGGGCGTGGTGGCGGGCGCCTGTAATCCCAGCTACTTGGGAGGCTGAGGCAGGGAGAATCGCTTGAACCTGGGAGGCGGAGGTTGCAGTGAGCCGAGATGGCGCCATTGCATTCCAGCCTGGGTGACAGAACGAGACTCAGTCTCAAAAAAAATAATAAAATAAATAAAGAGGTGGGGAGGTGCCGGAAGGGGCGAAAGGGAAGAACCCTCAGACCTGTAGTCTCTAAGTCAAGGTAATGGCTGTAGGGTCCTGGGTGACACGGAACCTTTCACTTCTTGTTCTTAGGTTTTCAAGTCCAGGCTGTAGGGCCCCTGGTCACAGAGGACCCGGGTCACCCGGGACTCATCTTTCACTTATTGTTCTTAGTTTTTCAAGTCCAGGGCCCCATGGATGCCACTGAGATGATTTCAGATGTTACAGTCATCAAGAGGGATTGGGGCCGCATTCTGCCTCATTCCTTGGCTTTTGAAATCAGAGACGACATTTTCACTTTAAACAAACCCAAACCATTCCTGCTGGTGGAGGATTTCTCCTGCATCTCGGGGGTGGATTTTCACTGATTTATGTCTGCAGCGTGAGCAGTCTCTGGGCTTTTCTGCAGCTCCAGATGTTAGATGTTTTATCTCTCCGTCTTTTATCTGCTTCAGTCCTTGCCCCAGACTATCCTCGCATGCTCCCTCCTCTGGGAGGGCTTCCTGTCTTCACAGCCGCACCTTCCTCCCACTGCTACCAGTGCCATGGACCCACTGTATGTTTCCTGGGGGCCATGCAGAAGGTCCCCAGACCAGTGCTGGCCTGCGACAAATAAGTACAGAAATGGAGAATAACCCTTTTCAAACACATAATAGCATTTGATAGAATCAATCAGGAGACTCAAGTTTTTACTGCGTGCATTGCTTTAGACTTGGAGGGCGTGTGTTGGTTGTTAGCAAGGCTGTGACTGCATTTGCTGAGATGGTCAAGTAATTTGGACTATGGGAATATCACCCAGCATGAAGTCAATGATTACAGGCCTTTGTGTCTGTGGTCTTTCTGTTATAACTGATCTTTTTTTTTTGAAACGGAGTCTCGCTCTTGTTGCCCAGGCTGGAGTGCAATGGTGTGATCTTGACTCACTGCAACCTCCGACTCCTGAGTTCAAGCGATTATCCTGCCTCAACTTCCTGAGTACCTGAGATTACAGGTGCATGCCGCTACACCTGGCTAATTTTTGTATTTTTAGTAGAGACAGCATTTCACCGTGTTGGCCAGGATGGTCTTGAACTCCTGACCTCAGGTGATCCGCCTGCCTCGGCCTCCCAAAGTGCTGGGATTACAGGTGCCCGCCACCACGCCTGGCCTATAATTGATCAGATATCAATTATACATTTTCAAGTGTAATTCTAGCTTAAAGAGGATAAAGTTAATACTTAGCTGTTTATATAAGATGTTCAAATGGGCATTACTGCCTGATAGTGACAAGAAGAGAGAATGTTGGGAGTTTCTTTTAAGATAAGATGGGTGTTTGGATAAATGTCTGACTTGGTCTTTTTCCCCCTTAGATAAGATCATTGAGGTTGAGGAGGAACAAGAGGACCCATATCTGAATGACCGCTGCCGAGGTGAGACTCGGGCGTCTCCCATCAGTTGGTATTTAAACAAACCCCAAGGGGCCAGCAAGGTGGCTCAGGCCTGTAATCCTAGTACTTTGGGAAGCCAAGGCAGGAGGATTCCTTGAGCCCAGGAGGTTGTGGCTGCAGTGAGCTATGACTGCACCTTTGCACTCTAGCCTGGGCAACAGAGCTGGACCCCGTCTCAAAAACAAAAAAACAAACAAACAAAAAGCAAAACCAAGGAATCTCGGTGCTGATCTCACTGGAAGTTGGAATCCAGGTTTTGCTTTGGTTTACCCTGCAAAGTACCCTTTGGCTGGGAGCCAGCCATGAGCCACTTCCACCCTGAGGAGTCGTGGACTCCCAGCTCCTCCTTCCCTTTCCCCTTCCAGATCTAGGGCTGGCTGGGGAGGGGAAGGGTGGGCTTACCAAGGAGGGGCCCTGGTGAGGCCCTGCTGGGGAGGGTGGCCCAGGCCCAGGGCCAGAGCTGGTGTGGAAAGCCTGCACGTTACCGAGCCCCCAGGCCTTGTGAAGGTGACAGAGGCCTCCCTCAGGCTCTCAGGGGAGAGGAGGGGGCTCAGCGTTCCCTGCCTTTGTGCCCCTGGAGCCCCAGCCACGGTTCTGTCACCATTGGTGATATTCATTTGCCTCACAGGGAGATGTCTGCACATTTAACTAAGGGCCTCGCAGGTTTGTTTTTCATATGATAAAACTGCTTTTCTTTCATGGAACATTCTGGCATGTCTAGACCTGCAGATCTGCCTCACAAGCTCTTTCAGTGGTTCCCCCTGTGGTTAGGGTGTTAATTAGGGGCCAGTTTAATTCTTAAATGATGCAGTCAGTGTACAGTGACAGTTGGTCCAGGGGCGCTGTCCAGGGGCCTGGTGGAGGGAGGAAGGGAGTGACCTAGAGCCCCAGCAAGCCTCAGGGCTATGGGAGGAGCTTTCTGGGGAGGGGAGAGCTGGTCTGCAAGGAGGAGGTGGGATTAGCTGGGAAAATAACCCTGAAACGGTCCTCAGGGAGACCTGAAGCCTTGTAAAGGGCACGGACCCACTGTAGCAGGGTACTGGGAGGCAGTGGGCTGGGGAAGGAGGTGGGGTTACAGGGCCAGAGAGAGGGGCCCTAGAAGCAGGCAGGCTGGCAGCAGTTAGAAGTGTATCTCGTAGAATCTTTCCCTGGTTGAGGCTTATCCTGATGAGATTTGCACTCTGAGCATCACTCTGGCCACCCTGTAGGAAGAACAGGTTGTGGGGTGCTTCTGGGCTATGCAGAAAGACCAGGTAGGAGGCTGTGGCCACAGCCAGGTGGGCAGCTGCAGGAACTGAGGCCATGGTAGTGGGCTTGGAGCAGTGGGACAGCTCGAGAGTTCAGTGAGGAGCAGGTACATGAGGCCTAGTTGGGGCCTGGCCTTCCACGTGGAGCCCACACCCCCATGTCTGTGACCGGCAGTGAGCTCTTCTCTGCTTCGCCCCTTCCAGGTCCACCCCAGCCTACAAAGGGCACCCTGCACACCACCTGATTTTCCAGACGGGGAGGTTGGGACCTGAAGCAGCAGCCCCTGGGGGGTGTCCAGAGCCAGAGCCTGGGGGTCTCCCAGTAGGGCAGCAGGTGGGCTCCAGCCAGGTCAGCCTGCCTTCCTGGGTTCGTCTGCCCAGAGGGCGTTTTCTATGACCCAGCCTGAACGGAGCTAGAAACCAGGCGGTGCCTGGGTGCGTCCATCCCTGGCTCATGCACGCTGTGCTTCCAGGAGGCGGGCCCTGCAAGCAGCAGTGCCGAGACACGGGTGACGAGGTGGTCTGCTCCTGCTTCGTGGGCTACCAGCTGCTGTCTGATGGTGTCTCCTGTGAAGGTAATGTCCCTATCCCAGGTGCCAGCAGGACTGGCCGGTCACTGTGCTTGGGAGCTCTGTGCTGGAGGACTGACCAGGGCCTGCCTTCTACAACCCAGACCCCATTCAGGGGTGGAGAGCAGCCCAGGACGCGCTTTCTCGTGTTCGCTGGAGTTTGCAGCGCAGAGGCCCCTGCCGAGACTTCCCTCCAAGACAATATAAGCACTGGGGTTGGGAAAGAGGATGGAGTTGGGGTCTAACCAGGTTCCGGATCCAGGATCTGCTGAGTGGCCTTGGGCACATCCTTCAGCCTCTCCTGGCCCCCGCGTCTGTGAGATGGGGGAGATGGAGAAGATGCTGCCCCTCCGTGGGGTTCTTGAGGACCACATAACTACAGTCTCAGAAAAAGCAGTAGATATGAACGTTAGCAGGGGAGAGAAATCACTGCTTTCGACTCCGTGCAGTCCACAGCCCGGATGTGCACATGGTGGACCTGAGCTCAGTTTGCGAGGGTGCAGGGAAGCACTTCCACCGTGGCTTTGGCACATTCCTTTCTAGGATGTATTAGGATGGGTCGTTCTTGCTGGTCACCCCCGCACTGCCTCGGTCTCTCCTAGATGTCAATGAATGCATCACGGGCAGCCACAGCTGCCGGCTTGGAGAATCCTGCATCAACACAGTGGGCTCTTTCCGCTGCCAGCGGGACAGCAGCTGCGGGACTGGCTATGAGCTCACAGAGGACAATAGCTGCAAAGGTACAGCATGCGCTCCGAGTCTGCAAACCTGGTCTTCCAGGCGTAGATACGGCGCGGTGGGAAGGGCAGCTCTGGGGTCTGGGCTCCCGCAGTCCTGCGCCCTCTGTGGCTGCCTGGGCGACTGCCTGCTCATCTGCAGGAGGGAGGTGGTTATACCCACCAGGGTGTCTGGACAGGTGGGATGGAAGGTGAAAGTGCTTGCCAATAATGTTCAGAACATTGAAAAAGTTGACAGTAGTGCACCGGTGCCAGCTAGTTCAGCTGTTAGGAAAGATTTACGTTCTTATGGTGCAGAGTAAACGATGGCAGATTTGGGTTTCTAAAAAGGCTCAGTGCATGACTATTTAAAATCAAGACCAGGGATGAATTTCAGGTTCTCACATGTACTTTCTACAAAAAAAAAAAAAAAAAAAAAAAAAAAAGCAAAAACAAAAATCCCACAACTGTTTTTGCACAACAGCTGCCTTCCATCCAAATCCAGGCTTCCTTGAAGTTCAAAGCATATCCCCTTCCACTGCATAAACACATGGCATTTCTGGCTGCCAGCCTTTCCCCGCCAAGCCTTAGGTGTTATTTGGCAGATGGGGAGGCTCTGATGAGGATCGTTTAGAACACAGTTTTGCAGAGGGTTTCAAGCCTTTCAGAAGGACAAATCCACTTGTGTAAAAATGTCACTCACTGTATCATGAGAGTGACTTCAAAGCATGGCACACCCCTTCTGACATCTGAGGGCCACAGAGCAAATTCTGTCCTCCCCACCCCCACACACCAGCTGGGTGGTTTGGACCCCTAGAGCCCAGTGGCCAAGCCAGCTGAGTATACACATTTGACCATTTGACAGCCATGAACTTCAAGGGAAGGGCAGCCCATCACATCCCATCATGACTGTAACCCTTGTTAATATCTGGATTATTGTGAAGACTTCAGAATGGATATGTTTATAGAGACTGTGTTTGTTGCCACTAAGATAATTGCTTTATGATCTAAACTAAACATACACTTAGCCTGAATGAATACTAATATATATATACCTGCCAGGAAAATGCCAGGGTGATTTATTATAACAGACAGTTTGCCTCATAAGAGCCTTGGGAAAAAAAGTCAGCTTTTTAAGTCTTTAGCAACTGGAGCACGATTTGGCTCAGTGAAGTCTTTTTTGTGTATGATTTCTCTATTAGAATGTTTTGGGTTATAGTCTGAGTAATGCGCATTAGAAAAAAGCTTTCTTGTGATTTTAAAGTGTTGTAAGATGCTTCTGGCAGGACTCTTGCTAACAATTTCCTTTTTTTATGATGTACCAGATATTGACGAGTGTGAGAGTGGTATTCATAACTGCCTCCCCGATTTTATCTGTCAGAATACTCTGGGATCCTTCCGCTGCCGACCCAAGCTACAGTGCAAGAGTGGCTTTATACAAGATGCTCTAGGCAACTGTATTGGTAAGAGGTGTGCCGCCAGGATTAGCGGGTTATTCCAGGAGGGGCCAGCGACCTAGCCTTGGGGCAGGCCTCTAGAATCTGCGGGGCCGCATGGTATACAGAACAGGGGTTGGCAAACTTTTTGTGTAAAGGGCTGGACAGCAAATAGAGCAAATACTTTAGCCGTTGTGGGCCATATGGTCTCTGTCATAATAGTCAACTCTGCTGTTATAGTCTAAAGCGGCCAAGGGCCATCTGTAAACAAATGGGTGTGGCTGTGTTCCAATAAAACTTTATTTACAAAAATAGGCAGTAGGCTGGATTTGGCCCAAGGACCACAGTTTGCTGATCTGGGTTTAGATTAAAGAGCTTGGGTTTTGGAGTTAGAGTGACCCAAGAAAATTACTTCTGAGCTTTAATTTTTTCCTCTATAAAATGGGAGTAATCATAATACCTGGCTTAGAGACTTGAGGCCAGGATTAGGCGAGTACTTGCGAAGTACTGGTACACAGGAAGCACTCGGTGAGTGGTGATTCCCTGCCACAGGCATTTAGCCTATTAAAAAATTATTTTAAAAAATACTTGGCTGGGCACAGTGGGTCACGCCTGTAATCCTAGCACTTTGGGAGGCCAAGGCAGGAGGATTGCTTGAGCCCAGGTTTTTGAGGCCAGCCTGGGCAATATAGCGAGACCCCATCACTACAAAAAATTAGCTGGGTGTAGTGGCGCATGCCTACAGTCCCAGCTACTTGGGAGGCTGAGGTGGGAGGATCCCTTGAGCAGGGAGGTCGAGGCTGCAGTGAGCTGTGATCGTGCTACTGCACTCCAGTCTGGGCAACAGAGCAAGACCCTGTCTCAAAAATAAAATAAAATATAAAAATAAAAAACAGTCTGTGTTAGTATTTGAATTCATAGAGACAGAAAGTAGAATGGAAGGTGCCGGGGCTGGGCAGGGTGGGGGATGGGGAGTGAGTGTTTCCTGGGCGCAGAGTTTCAGTTTGAGAAGATGAAAAAGTTCTGGAGATGGATGGGGGTGATGGTGGCACGACAGTGTGAATGCAGTAATGCCCCTGAACCGTCTACTTAAAATGGTTACGATGGCAGATTTTGTGTTACATAAAATTTGTAGTTCACATGTAGTTCACCACAATGAGAAAAGAAACTCTGGCCAGGCACGGTGGCTCACACTTGTAATCCCAGCACTTTGGGAGGCCGAGGAGGGTGGATCACCTGAGGTCAGGAGTTTGAGACCAGCCTGACCAATATAGTGAAACCCCATCTCTACTAAAAATACAAAAATTAGCTGGGCGTAGTGATGGGCGCCTGTAATCCCAGCTGCTTAGGAGGCTGAGGCAGCAGAATCGCTTGAGCCTGGGAGGCAGAGGTTGCAGTGAGCTGAGATCACGCCACTGTACTCCAGCCTGGGTGACAGAGTGAGACTCCATCTCAAAAAAGAAAAAAAAAAAGAAATTGCTGATATCAGAGAAATACTAATATGAAAAGAGAGAATCCCATGTGAACTTAGTATGAATTTAGGAGGCCTGGGCAAGACCGCTCACGCTAGAGGAGCTGTGTGGGGTGCGGCCGGGGAGCTGGCCGGCCTGGGTTACTGGTTCTGGAAAGACAGGAGGTGAGTCCTGCTTTCCCCAGCCGTTGTCAGGTTAACTGCCTGGCTAGGCCGCTGCAGTCAGCGCTTAAGTCCTGATCCACCGGCTCTCCCTCGGCCTCTGCTTGGCAGACGCCCCTGGGTCCTGCCTTTGAGGTCAGAGAGACTTTTTAGGAGAAGAGGTGAGGAATCCGAGCTACAGATCACACTAGTCAGAACCTCCCCACCTGGGGTGGCCCCATCACCTCTCCCCTGCCATGAGCAAGGGGGTATACATTTCCATCTTGCTTCGATTTCAACTTTTCCTTAGCGAAATCTGTATTGATCATTTATTTGAAATAGTGGTTTGGAGAGAGAGCTCTTCCCCCACTGCATTATTTTTAACCACTGAGATATTTAAAGATAAGTGGATGTGGCCGGGCACAGTGACTCACGCCTGTAATTCTGGTACTTTGGGAGGCCAAGGCGGGTGGATCACTTGAGGTCAGGAGTTCGAGACCAGCCTGACCAATATGGTGAAACCCCGTCTCTACTAAAAATACAAAAATTAGCCGGGTGTGGTGGTGGGCACCTTGTAATCCCAGCTACTCAAGATGCTGAGGCAGGAGAATCGCTTGAACCCAGGAGGTGGAGGTTGTAGTGAGCCAAGATCGTGCCACTGCACTCCAGCCTGGACAACAGAGCAAGACTCTGTGTCAAAAAAAAAAAAAAAGATAAAAAGACAAGTGGAACAGTGAGCCCTTAGGACAGGGGCCTCGTCTGAAACCCGCCCCAGCCTTCCTCTGTTACAGCTTCCCTGTCATCCCCTGGGGGAGACTTCTGAGCTGGGGCGCTGTGGCTCAGCTGCCAGTTGGCCCCTCGCCAGTCCCTTGCCAGCAGGGAGGGGTGGTTTTCGCTCAGCGCAGGGGGTGGTGAGCAGGGAAGCCATGGGCTCTCCGGGACCAGCGGGGAGGATAGTCCTGCTCAGACTTGCAGCCTGCTCAAAGGGGGGTCCGGAGGAGGCTGGCGTCGACTGAGGATGGAAACCCTGACTCATGGCAAAATCAGCCCCGATTTCCACAAAGAGGCAATGTTTGCAAGTCTCAACCTAGCCCTGACTTTCCTCTCTACAGGGTGCAGCACTGTGTATGGGCTGAGGCTCGGGAGCCGTCCCCTTACTGTCCTTCCAGGACTGGCAAGCAGGCTGTGGGCTGAAGGCCAGCCTGGCGGCACTGAGCTGTTCCGTGCCATCTCCCTGGGTCCTCAGTGACAGCATCGAAAGCCAAATGTTCAGCTCCCTCAGGGTCCCCTTAGCTTGGGATGCTGGGATGAGGATGGGGTTCCCCTTTTCATGTGCTCTCAATCCTTGCAATCAAGCTCAGGAATCATTGTTTTAAAAGATCTCTATTTATTTCAAAAATTATGTATGTCTTGACTTATAAATCAGCAAACAAAACCTAAGTGTAGGAAGTAAACGCTCCTCCCCTGGCCAATCCTGCCCGCCTCTTGGCAGGGTCCATGAGCCCTTCTGGGCTCTGCTCCCTTGAGACTTTTTGTTTTTTTATGAAAATGGGATCAGACTGTTCTGCCACTTGCTTTTCCCCCCCACTTGACAGGGTATTTAGAAATCATTTCATGTCAGCACCTTTATGTTATCTTTTTAAAAATGACTGCATCAGCAGAAATACGTCTTTCTAAGGAGAAAATACATCAAGATAGAAGGTAGTTTCAGGCCGTCTGGGAGAGGGCTGAAAAGGTTCTATGTCAGGTCCTGGTCCCCCAGCACGCACCCTGGGTCCTCTGCTCCCACACCTCTGCCCATGGTACCCGCTCCCTCACCCAGGAACAGCATGGTCCGTGGTGGGAAGCGTTGATTTCCTTGTGTAGCCAGAATCCATCTTCCTGGAGCTCCTAGAACCATCCTGGGGCCCCAAGAGCCCATCCGAGCCTCCTGCCTGTAGCAGAAGAGCTCTTCCTGCAGAGCTAGTACAAGGGATGGGTCAGGGTCCCAGAAAGTGGAGGTCTCTGCCCCTATCATGCATGGAGAATTTTCTAGAACCTTAAGGTTGGGTCACCGAGGGCTTTGAGACCAGCATGGCTTTGTCGGGTTTTCTTTGCTCTTTTCTTCAAATTCCCTCCTCCTGCTGCTGTATTCCTTTCTCCTTCTCCTCCTCCTCTTCCCCCTCCCATCCTCCCCCTCCCTTCTCCTCTTCCCCTCCCCCTCCCCTCCCACTTCCCTCCTCCCCCTCCTTCCCTTCCCCTTCTCTCCCTCCCCGCCTCCCCCTTTCCCTCCTTCTTTTCTTCTTTTTTTTTTTTTTTTGAGACAGTCTCACTGTCACCCAGGCTGGAGTGCAGTGGTGCAATCTTGGCTCACTGCAACCTCCACCCTGCTGGGTTCAAGCAGTTCTCCTGTCTCAGCCTCCCAAGTAGCTGGGATTACAGGTGCCCACAACCATGCCTGGCTAATTTTTGTATTTTCAGTAGAGATGGGGTTTTGCCGTGTTGGCCAGGTTGGTCTCGAGCTCTTGACCTCAGGTGATCCACCCCTCGGCTTCCCAAAGTGCTGGGATTGCAGGCGTGAGCCACCACGCCCAGCCTCTGCCTTTCTTCTTGAGTGGGGAGGAAGGAATGGGCCAGGGCTTCCCACGTGCCCTGGCTGACCTTGCCTGGGGATGTCGGCAGGTCCTGGGGCAGGAAGGGGTTCCACTGAATCTAGGAAGCACTGGGTGAAGCCAAGTGAACGGGGACCTTGGTAGCTTGGGCTTTTCCCATGTGAATCCCTGAGAGGGAGAGATCGGGTGCCCTGTTCCCAAACTCACCCTATGCTTTACATTGATTTGCTGTCTGTTTATTCATTCCCATTCATTCATTCATTGATAGCCAGGTCTTACCCCTGTGGAGTGCACGATGTTCTGAGGGACACTGTTGTTCTGTGGAACAGAGTTTGGGGAATCTAGTCTGAGTGAGGAACCTGCAGCGCCAGTGGGAAGGCAGCCACCGCTCTGCTAAACGCTGCATTTATTCGTGTTACAGGGCAGGGGCCACCCAGCTGTTTCTCTAAAGGGCTAGATGGTAACTAACAACTTCAGTCTCTGTGGCAACCACTCAACTCTGCCTTTTGCAGTGTAAAAGCACCCCTGAGCAATGCATAACAGAGTGGGCCTGGTTGCACGCTAATAAAACTTTATTTACAAAAGCAGGTGTAAGCCGGGTTTGAACCAAGGGCCATCATTTGCTGGCCACTGATTTAAGGGAGCTGGAAAGCAGGAGACCCTGATTCTAGACCTAGGCCCTGGTTGGCCCCTGACTTCAGCCATGAGCCCAGAGTCATTCAGTCTCCGGACCTTGGTTTCCTGTTTATAAAGTGCAGGCAGTAATGATAGTGATACCGGCCTCACCTCACTTGCAGGCTGGCTGTGGTGCTCGAGAGCGGTCATGGATGTAAAAGCTTTTGTAAACTGTAAATTGCTGCACGGTCAGCGCGAAGGGCTGACTCATTTGACTGAGGAGGGTGGACTTGGCTGGCAGGGAGAGGGGTACAGCTGTCCTCCTTTCTGACTTACGCTCAGGGGTCTTCCACCATCACTCCCTCTCTTTGTTCCCCCATACCAGATGCTTTGTAAGTGTCTGAGCAAGGTTCTCCAAGGTGATGTTTAGATGCTTAGGTCCTTTTCCACTCCCTCTATCAGGAAGTGCAATCTGTGTATTCTTCCTCCGAATTTGAGCAGAAGGAGGGTATCCCTGTGTAGCATGGCCCTCCTGGACCATTCATGGGTTCACACTTGCTCATTGTATGTCATCAAAGGTAAATGCCCCACGGTCCCCATGTCAGAGATGTGTCCACTCAAGGAAGGAGACTGCCGTGCAGTGAGCTCAGGGAGCCATGGCACCTCCCGGGTGGGCCTGGCTCAGCATAGGCCCTGTGAAGCCCAGTCATCGGAGGGGCCTAGAGCCTTGCTGGGAGTCAGAGTTGCTGGCACCACGTGGACAGTCACCTGTCTCCTTAATACCGTGCCCAGTGTGTGGAGTAGATGAATGCAGGAGAAGCCAGGCAGGCAGGTCCCGATTTGGCGCAGCGAACGATGGAGGTGCTGGAGATTTAGGGACAGGAAGAAGGGCCAGAGAGGTGGTGTTTGAGGCGGTATGCAGTGATAAAATTTGGGAGCCAGCTGGGAGGCGGCTGTGTGGTCCAGAGTGAGGGGGTTGAGCCCCTCCATTTGTGGTTTTGCAAAGAGGTGGGAAGGGGAGTTTCTTTGGAGATCCAGTTTTTGGGTTCTGGGACACCCTCCAGGTTTAACCACATGGTCTCTGTCTTTTCCCGCTGTAGATATCAATGAGTGTTTGAGTATCAGTGCCCCGTGCCCTATCGGGCATACATGCATCAACACAGAGGGCTCCTACACGTGCCAGAAGAACGTGCCCAACTGTGGCCGTGGCTACCATCTCAACGAGGAGGGAACGCGCTGTGTTGGTTGGTATTAAGAAAACAAATCTGAAATCCACTTTCCTGTCTGCTTCCAGCATGCACCCTGCCTTCTCTGGAAGCAGAAAGTTGATCCCCAAAGCAAAGCCATTTCTATCAGCCCATCCATCCCACTGTCAGTTCCCAAGCATGGGGCTTCATTGTCTTGCCTGGACTGGTGCACCAGCCCGTCTACTGCCTCAGCCTTGTCTGGCTTGTCCTGAGCCCAAAGCTCTCGCACCCCACCCTGTTTACAGTTCCATCAGCTCCCCGTTGGTGACAAAGGATGGATGCCTCTGCTTACAGTCCAGTCCCCCAGAGCTGGCCCAACTCCACAAACCTTGTAATTCAGGCAATGTGGGTCTGCCACTCCCCACACAAGCACTGTCCTTTCCTCTCTGTGTGGGTGTTTGCTCTCACGTCATTCCCTCTGCCCACCTGCTCCTACGTTCCTTTGGATCCAGGGCACCCAGCCTGCCTAGATCCCGCCAGGGAAGGAGCCTTCCTCGCATAACCCCCAGGACACTTCTTCAGTGTCTCCCTGGGTTCCTGGGCACTTCCTACCTTAATGAGAGTCATTGCTGGCCTGCCAGCCAGGTAGGGCTGCCTCTGGGTCAGCTATCTTCCCAGTCCAGGGCCCGGCACTCAGTAGGTGCTCTGTGAAGTCGTGTTGAAATGGAATGCCTGTTTCCATGTCCATGTGTTCCTTTCTTGCTTTCCTTTCTGATCATCTTGGGGGGAAAAAACCCAAACTAAAGGTTTTCATCATGGCTTTCTTTCTCCTTTGCAAGATGTGGACGAGTGCGCGCCACCTGCTGAGCCCTGTGGGAAGGGACATCGCTGCGTGAACTCTCCCGGCAGTTTCCGCTGCGAATGCAAGACGGGTTACTATTTTGACGGCATCAGCAGGATGTGTGTCGGTGCGTGGGGGGCCCCGCAGGCCTCGGGGGAACCCAGCCACGTGGCACCAGGGACACATTTCTGTGGCACCTCGAGTGATGTGGTCTGATCCTCATCTCAGATAATCCCAAGTGCAGGCAGACCCTGAGAGAAGATCCTGAGTCAGGAGACCCCATTCTAGCCCCAGCTCTGCTACTGCCCAGCCAGGCGGCCACTGGCACCACCCCCCTGTGTGTGAGCCTGCTCCCCATCTGTGGAAAGGGGTTCTGCTTGACCCAGGACCTCCAAGTGCTGATGAGCCAGGTCTACACATGTGGGCAGCATCAGCGATTTCCTGGAGATTCACCGCTGAGCTGTAGATCCCCAGGAGCTAGAGATGTGTGCCTTTAGCCCAGGGCAGCGAGGGGAAAAGTTGACCAGGAGTGGGGTCAGGTCTTGTCCAGCCAGTGCCTGCTGTCACCAAACCTAGGTGCTCAGGGAAGCCTGGCAGCTGCCAACCACTCCCCCAAAGTGGGCACTTTGCTAGATCCTGGCAGACCCTCCTTGTGGGTCCTGGGGAGGAGGACTGGCAGGAGGGCACAAGTTCAGATGTGCTGCCGCAGAAGGAGCACGAGGCTCGCCCACCAGGCAGGCACAGCGCGGCAGTCCCGGCTCTCCCACTGACTTCCCGCATGCTCGGGACAAGTCACTTTGCATTCCTTGTCTGAGAAATGAGGCTGGAGGCCAGGCGCGATGGCTCATGCCTGTAATCCCAGCACTTTGGGAGGCTAAGGCAGGTGAATCACTTGAGGTCAGGAGTTTGAGACCAGCCTGGCCAACATGACGAAACCTCATCTCTACAAAAAATACAAAAATTAGCCGGGCGTGGTGGCACATGCCTGTAATCCCTGTTACTTGGGAGGCTGAGGCAGGAGAATCACTTGAACTGGGAGGCGGAGGTTGCAGTGAGCTGAGATCATGCCACTGCAATCCAGCCTAGGAGACAGAGCGAGACTCCATCTCAAAGATGAAGGAAAAAAAAGAAATGAGGCTGGAGGAGGTGGAGGACAAAGGACATGAGCTGGCCTTACTAGGAGGGTGGAGTGTGGTGCCACTGTGTTGGACATTGCCCTGAGTCAGCCCACCCCTCACTTTCAGATGTCAACGAGTGCCAGCGCTACCCCGGGCGCCTGTGTGGCCACAAGTGCGAGAACACGCTGGGCTCCTACCTCTGCAGCTGTTCCGTGGGCTTCCGGCTCTCTGTGGATGGCAGGTCATGTGAAGGTGAGGCTGGGGCCCCGTCCACTCACCTCCCCCAGGTCACCTTCCTCCTGGGGAAGCCACCCTTCTGCAGACCGGTTTGCAGCAGATCCGCGATGGTTTCCCTGTTAAATGACATGTTAGCAGGGGAAGTGCCTGTAAAATATTGTTCATCAGAGAGGACTGCCCGCCTGCCCACCCGATTTCTCCTGATGACATCCACCCTCCGAGGCCGTGTCGGGGTTCATAGGCTGCGGCAGAGGCCATGCGGGATGTGGCTAGGATTATGGGGCTTGGAGCATGACACCCACGAGTCACAGGGCCTTGGTTATGCCCGACCTCTCCCTGCCTCCGTGTCCTCCCCGGGGAGAGGGGTTGATGTGTGAAACAGCAGCGAAAACTGGACACTTGTTTTGCACAAAGACAGTGTGTGGGTTTTAATCAGATGCTGCCTAGGGGAGACAGGCCTCTGTGTCCATTGATCTCAAGTCACCCAAACAAAAGGAGGGAGGCTTTGTAAATGACGAGCTGTGAGAGGAAGTACTGAGGCCTTTAGGGCGTGGGTCACTGTGCACCTGCCTCTAACTTCTTTTTTTTTTTTTGAGACGGAGTCTCGCTCTGTCACCCAGGCTGGAGTGCAATGCTACGATCTCGGCTCACTGCAACCTCCGCCTCCCGGGTTCAAGCGATTCCCCTGCCTCAGCCTCCCGAATAGCTGGGATTACAGGTGCACACCACCATGCCCAGCTAATTTTTGTATTTTTAGTAGAGACAGGGTTTCCCCATGTTGGCCAGGCTGGTCTTGAACTCCTGACCTCAGATGATCCGCCCACCTCGGCCTCCCAAAGTGCTGGCATTACAGGCGTGAGCCACCGCGCCCGGCCTGCCTCTAACTTCGTGTTGGAGTTAGGCTTTCCCCACCCGCAGAGACAGGGAGAAGCACCCTGGCCTTCCGGATGACGACATTCCCCAGGCATGTCCCCAGCCCTTGAGAAAGACACTCCTTGGTTGCACATCTCAAAGGGACAGAGAAACCGTTTACATTTGCAAGTTTTTCTAAAGTAGATGCTTCTAAGGAACATGGAGGTCAGCGCCTGTAGTCAGGTTTGGGCTGGAACCAAGAGAAAATTCTTTTGGCAGCATTGATCTTTCTCAGACAGGCATGTCAAGGGGGCTGGGTCTACATCCTGGATACCTGGTCTTGGGCCAATGGCAGCCACGCTGAAGTTGGGTCAGGTCTCTTGGTATGTGGGGGTTGGACAGAGTTGTTCCTGCCAACAGTCTTGTGGTTCTCAGATAACACCAACCTCCTGGGCTGATGGGAAGGTCACATGAACTGCATGTCAGCCCAGGGCCTGGCACATACTAGGTGCTTGGCAGATGTCGTGTCTTGTATACGGATTAGGTTCTGAGCTGAGCAGACACTGAGAGCTTTGGATGGCCCTCCACAATCGTCCACATTGCCGATGACACCCTGTTTGGTGCCGTGCACTGGCTCACAGGACGGCTTCTGCAGCCTGACTCAAACATGGCAGGTCCTAACATTTTGCCATGAGAATTTTCCTTCCTGATGAGATGGTCGCAGGGGTTGGATATGCCACAGTGAGCTGTGGTGTGCATGATTCTCAAATCGGAGGACGGACGGTGTGAGGGGTCCTGGGCTTAGTTCACAAGAACGTGTATGGACAAGGAACAAGATTCACGAGTTGAGTCTCTCAGGCTTGTGTTCAAACCTGACTTCTGCCATTTCCATGGCCTTGAAGAAGTAACTCAGTCTTTCCTGGGCCATGGTGTCCTCATCTGTAAAACGGGCATAGTAGGACCAACCCCATAGGGGGTTGTGAGGATGAAACGAGATTAAGCATGTGAAGAGCTTATCACAGGGCCAAGCACAGGATGAAGAGCTGGCGGTGTGGAGGCTGCTGGCTTTATTATTATTTAGTAGAAGTAGTGGGATTCCTGGCTTGTGCTTCCTCTAGTCATTCATAAATTGCTGAAAAGTCGGCATTCATATCCACATTAGTGGACAATATTGTGGATATAGAACCAGAGCCTGGCCAACCTTGCTATGTGACCTTACTAACCATTTGTTAGGGTCCTGCCCCGGGTGTGTAGCAAGAACTCGGTCCTGCACTGGGGAGTGTCTCTAGCGGGGGATGAGAGACCACACTGGACAGGTGGAGGCCAGGCCTGGTGTGTGGGGGCCACAGAGATGAAACACGGGGTGGAAGGCTATTGGACGTTCTGTGACAGCCACATAGTATAGATTTAAGGCTTTTCCAGCCACAATCTCTGTTGCAACCGCTGAACTCTGCTGTGGTAGCAGAGAAGTGGCCAGAGGACCATGGTAAAAGAATGAGTGTGGCAGGGCACAGTGGCTCACACCTGTAATCCCAGCACTTTGGGAGGCTGAGGCAGGTGGATTACTTGAGGTCAGGAGTTCGAGACCAGTATGGCCAACATCGTGAAACCCTGTGTCTACTAAAAATACAAAAATTAGCCGGGCATGGTGGTGCACACCTGTAATCCCCCAGCTACTCAGGAGGCTGAGGCAGGAGAACTGCTTGAATTCATGTCCACATTTAGTGGACAATAGCCTCCCGGAGGTGGAGATTGCAGTGAGCTGAGATTGAGCTACTTGTACTCCAGCCTGGGCGACAGACAAAGACTTTGTCTCAAAAAAAAAAAGAGTGAATGTGGCTGTATTCTTTATTTTATTGTTATTATTATTTTGAGACGGAGTCTCGCTCTGTCGCCCAGGCTGGAGTGCAGTGGTGTGATCTTGGCTCACTGCAACCTCTGCCTCCTTGTTCAAGCAATTCTCCTGCTTCAGCCTCCCGAGAAGTTGTGACTACAGGTGCGTGCCACCATGCCTGGCTAATTCTTGTATTTTTAGTAGAGATGGGTTTCATCATGCTGGCCAGGCTGGTCTCGAACCCCTGACCTCGTGATCCGCCCACCTCGGCCTCCCGAAGTGCTGGAATTACAGGCATGAGCCACCATGCCTTGCCGGGCTGTGTTCTAATAAAACTTTATTTATAAAAACAAGTGTTGGGACAAATTTGGCCCATAGACTATGATTTGCTGACCTCTGCTTTAGGTAAAGGGGACAGTTGAGCAGTAGTTCAGAGTTGCTGAGTGGCCCAGTGAGTTCTGTGCATTGGAGTATGAGGAGTACTGGCGTATGGGCTGGGTGGCCGAGGACTTCCTTGTGTGCCGTCATCTGTTTAGGATGCCATCTTGGAGGTGAAGTGGAGAGCACAGGATCAGATTTCCATTTGAGAACTAGAATGGACTCTGGCAGCCAGGTCGGGGCAGACTTCCAGGGGCCAAGGCTGGAGGCGATCGCTGCCATCCTGGCAGGAGAAGTTGTGGTCGAAGCAGGCAGGAGCAGGGATGGAGGGTCCGGAGCCACCAGCGATGACGCCTCTCCCTCGGCCACACCCCCCGGGACCTCTGTCTCTCCGAGTGTGTTAACCTGAGGGAGGTGGAGAGGAGATTTTCTGTTCACTGACCCTGAGGGCTACTGTGGAGGCAGGGACGTATGATGCTCTGAGCGGTGACCCTCGTTTTGTATTTCAGACATCAATGAGTGCAGCAGCAGCCCCTGTAGCCAGGAGTGTGCCAACGTCTACGGCTCCTACCAGTGTTACTGCCGGCGAGGCTACCAGCTCAGCGATGTGGATGGAGTCACCTGTGAAGGTGCGGACGCCCCTGCCTGCTGAGGGGGAAAGCACCCCCTGGTCTTGCCATGACACAGCAGCACGGCCTCTGACTTTCAAAATCCACAGGGAAGAGCCTGCTGGGATTTCTTCACCTGACAAACCTTCCATGTCCACCCTTGGAGGCAAGCGGGTGGTTTGCTGTTTTCCCTCCAACTGAGGTTTTTTTTTTTTTTTTTTTTTTTTTTTGAGACACGGTCTTGCTCTGTTGCCCAGGCTGGAGTGATATGGTGCAATCACTGCTCACTGCAGCCTCAGCTTCCCAGGCTCAAGTGATCCTCCCACCTCAGCCTCCCAAGTAGTTGGGACCATAGGTGTATACCACCATGCCTGGCTAATTTTTTATTTTTAAAAAATTAGAGACGGGGCCTTGCTGTGTTGCCCAGGCTGGTCTCGAACTCCGTGGCTCAAGTGATCCTCTTGCTTCAGCCTCCCAAATTGCTGGGATTACAGGCATGAGCCACCGTGCCTGGCCCCCAACTGAAATTCTAATATACTTTTCCCATCCTTAAGCGTGAGGGTGGGAAGGCAGCAAACCACTCCTGACTTGTTCTTTAATAAATGTGCACGGCGGTAATTACAACATGCACTGGGACCTTGGGCCGCATATCTCAGGTCTTGGTGGTGGTGCATGGCTGAGAGGTAAGGAGGGGGCTCAGGGACCACCTATATCCCTGACTCAGAGCTCTAACTCTTCATCTGTAACATGATGATTAACTTCAGCCTCACCAGATCATTGGAGGATTAAACTAGATGACAGCAATTACAGGCAATTAAGGGCAATTACGATGATTACCATTTTCATGTAAGGTGTGTGTGTATTTTGTTTGCTTGTTTGTTTTTGAGACAGAGACAGCTCTGTCACCCAGGTTGGAGGGCAGTGGTACAAACACGGCTCACTGCAGCCTCCATCTCCTGGGATCTAGCAATTCTCCCACCTCTGCCTCCTTGAGTAGCTGGGCCCACAGGCATGCACCAGTATGCCTGACTAACTTTTTTGATTTTTTGTAGACACAGGGTCTCACTTTGTTGCCGAGGCTGGTCTCGAACTCCTGGGCTCAAGTAACCCTCCTGCCTCAGCCTCCCATGCCTGGGATTCCAGGCATGAGCCAGTGCACCCAGCTGAGGTGTGTTTCTTATTATTGAACTGTGGTCCATATTTCCCCCTGCCCGCCACATGCATACTTCACACCATGAACTTGCTGTGTGACCCTAGGCTAGTCCCATCGCCTCTCTGAGCACGATGGTCTCTGAGGCTTCCTGTGTTCAGCTTGTCCTGTGCTGCTGCCCTCCCGGGCCCCAGTGCAGCCCCCAGGGCGATGTAGCATGGCCAGCAGCCATGGCCAGGTGCCAGGACACTGAGGCTGAGGTGGGCTTTGCCGTTGCAGACATCGACGAGTGCGCCCTGCCCACCGGGGGCCACATCTGCTCCTACCGCTGCATCAACATCCCTGGAAGCTTCCAGTGCAGCTGCCCCTCGTCTGGCTACAGGCTGGCCCCCAATGGCCGCAACTGCCAAGGTGAGCAGGAGGGATGCCCTGGGGTCCCTCACGCTCTGCTTGGGGCCCTGCAATGTCGTGGGGCTGAGGCTGGGCTCGGGGGCTGTGCTTCCCCAACCCAAGGGCCACAGCACAGATGGAATGCATTCAGGAAAAGGAGGCCCACCCCATCCAAGGGGTGTCCTGGGGTCTGCAGCACCCTGGTCTCCTACACCCAGGCCCCAGCACACTTGTCCTCTGGATTGTCTGAGCCTGTGGCGGCTGCATCCGGCAGGAACACTTCAGCCCTCCTCCCCTCCCCTCAGCAGCCCCGTAAAGGCTGGAACAGAGGCCTTTAGGAAGATGCCCGCCAGGGAGGAAGCAGTCCAGGCCAGGGGATGGCGTGGCCTGGTGTGGGATGGCCCAGGGATACTCATGGCTATGGGTCAGCTCCAGCATCGGCTAAGTAATGGTGGCCAATGGCATTGGTTCTGCATTCAGCCCCCTTTTCTACGAATGCTCTAGGGGGCAGTGTGTGTCCCCCAGAGCCATCTGATAACCATCCATTCAATCACTGACAGCGGGTGCTGAGTAGATGTTTGTGAGCGCGTGATCCTCAGTGTACACACTGCGCCCAGAAGCTGAGTCATGGAGGTGGGGCTGTCCAGCCAGTTCCTCGGGAGCCCCACACAGGACTGTGGATCCTGGGGCTCTGGAAGCCCCCTGGGTCCCACAGATGTAGCTTCTGGTCATGAGGAAGGTGACTTTGATGAAAGGCAGGCAGGAGCTGCGGTGTTTCCTGGGAGGCCCCCTCCGCTTGCCCTGGGCTCTGGATGGAAGGCTGGTTGTGTCTGCATTTCTGACGGAGCAAATGACTTTTCTCCTGGCCAGGCTCCCTCACCACAGCCTGGGGTCCCGCCCAGACTCAGCATAAACACATTCCTGAGCCGGGCCTTTGAGGCTGGGGAGTGTTGTTTTTGCCACCGATGCTCAGGCATTTGGCACCTCTTAATGGATGTCTCCCAGGGTTGGTGACAGCCCCTGAGCCCCACTGTTTGGCTGCTCCAGAGTCTATGGGAGTTGGGCTGCTCCCCCATCTCCAGGGGCCTCTCAGTGTGGTGCCCCAGGCCCCATCCCAGGAGTCCCAGACCTGGTGGTTCCAGTCCACCCTGAACAGCCACCAACCCCAACACACAGGCAAGACGTATGATCCCTCGAAGGCTGTTTTTCTCATTGTTGTGTGGAGCTAGCAGCTCCTGCCCTTTTCTCCTAAGAGGTTGAGTCACACCTAGGGTAAGGGTGCTGAGCCTCGGGAGCCACAGAGAGGCTCTGGTTAGTTAGTGTATGGACTCTGATGCCAGCCTGCCCGGGTTCAAAGCTCAGCTCTGACATTTATAAAATGTGTGACCTCAGGCAGGTCTCTTAAGCTCTGTGAGCTCCTCATAAAATGAGGATCATAACAGTATCTGCCTCATTGAGTTCTTAGGAGGATTCAGTGACTTATCCTTGCGAGGTACTCCCAGGACCCATCATGTAGTGTTTACTTTTACCATCGTCACGCTCCCTCCAGGGATTGCGAATGATAAGTTAACACTCTATAAATGTAAATACCCTATAAATGTAAGAACTGGCACAGGACGCTGCTCTGAAGATCAGCCAGTGGAGGGCAGGGATGGCCTGATCGCCACCCCTAACCCTAGTTGATGGGAGGCCTGGGCTCCTCCGTCTCCAGATGGGTATGGCTCCTGCAGCCTCTGCCTTCACTGTGCTGCTGTGGGGTCTCTTGCAGACATTGATGAGTGTGTGACTGGCATCCACAACTGCTCCATCAACGAGACCTGCTTCAACATCCAGGGCGGCTTCCGCTGCCTGGCCTTCGAGTGCCCTGAGAACTACCGCCGCTCCGCAGCCACGTAAGTCCCTTGGACCATGCCATCGTCGTCTGTCTGTGTTGGCCTTCCTGGTGACCCAGTTCCCGGGTGGGTGGGTTATCAGGCTGTGACCTCGGTGTCCTCCCATGAGGGACTCAGGGCACTCAAAGATCACCTGATCCCTGGCCCTCAAGCCCCTAAATGCTAGTGACACTGGTCTCGGAAAGTCAAGGGGGTAACTGCAAATGAGTCTGGGGTCTATAGTCATGTTTTCAGGCCAAGGCTGTGCACAGAACCAGGAGAAACCACAGCCCTCTTTTTTCCTAGGGTGGAAGCCTTGGGCAAGCTCTCTGGGCCTCAGTTTCCTCATCTGTAACATGCAGATGTCAGAACGTGCTCTGACTGAGATGCATAGGTAGCAATGTCTCCATGTCAGCCCAAAGCCAGGGAGCCGATGTGACCTGTTGGACGTTGTTGTTAGGTGCCCACCTGAAAGCCAGAATTCGTCCAGCCTGGTGACCGTGTGGGAACGGCATCAAAGATTCCAGATCCTAAACGTGGGGCTGCGTGCCCCTATGTCTTTGTAAGCTCACTCACTCCTAGGCCATCACGGCGCCCACTTGAGACCACGGTTCCCACTTCCTATCCCCCTTGCCCCTAATTGTATTCAGAAAGTCTCATTTAGTGCCACAGTCAGTTGCTTCAGGAAAAGCTCCATGCTGGGACCGATCTCAGGACTGTGGACTTGTGACCTCTCCCAGCACTCTGAGTGCACGATGCAGGCAGCCAGCTGTTTCCGAGGCCTTGGCCCCTTGACCTTCAGCCTGCCTTGGGCTCTTGGCCAGCTGCCCCCGCGACCTGAGGGTCAGTGGTAGTGTCCACCTCTTGACCCTAGGGGCAGCTGCCCTGGCTTGTGGCATAGCAAGGCTTCTGGGTACCCGAGCAGCCCCGTTGTCCCTGGCAGCCCTCCATATTCTTCCTGGCTTTGCGATTCTCATTGGCTGGCCCAGCCATTTCCCTGTTTCCCAGCACGGATTTCTGTCTGCTTGAAAACCCAACATCTTGTTTCCTTCCTGAGCTTGGGTTAGGAAAAAGCTGCCCCAAAACTGGGTTTGCAAGTCTGTAGCATCCCGAAGAGCTCATGGTTATGCAACAGCCTGCCCCAGGCAGTGACACTGCTTCTCTGAGCCATTAAGAAAGTTCGATGGCCTTGGCTGCAGGCTGTGCAGCCGTCTGTCATTGTAAGTTCACTCTCTCCCCAGCCTTTGTCAGCGCCTGGGCTTGAGGATTCCAGGAGGCTGGCTGTGGTTGTGACCTCGATTTCTAACTTGCGCACAGTCGTGAAACCACCTTTCGAAGAGGGGGAGGCTGCCCTGCACAGGGGCCCTGGCGCCTCCTAAGCCTGAGGGTGGGCGGGTTGGCCATGTGTGCTGAGGTCATGGCTGAAATCAGGGGAACCCAGCTCCACCCCTCATGTTGGCTGTGGAAGCCTCTGCCACCCCTCAGTGCTGGAGAAAGTCGTTTCTTCCTGGACCTACTGCGTGCAGGCACCTGGGTAGACAGCCCACAGAGGGCTTTGTCCCCGCACAGGCTCCGCCTTCGGCGTGTGTGCTAGGAGGGAGGAGGGGACCCCACCTGGCTGGGCGTGAGGGTGGGCAGGGGGCTGTCTGGAGTGGGCCATGCCTGCATGGAGGTGGAAGGGGGAGCGAATTAGGCAGAAGCGGCGGGAGTATGGACACATGTGCGGTGAAATGGGGAGTTCAGCCTGAAACCTGGGCCCTGTGTGCTGTGCAGTAAGGGATTGAGCTGCTGGGCGCCTGGCTTGTTCCAGCCCTTGGACTCCCGGGACTGATAGTGAGGAGGGGCCACCCCCTCTCAGCACTGCTAACCCCTCAGACTGGAGTTTTGTATTTTACAGCCCCTTTTCCTGCTCATCAAAAATCGAAGCTGCTTAACACGTTTTTTCATCTAAGCTTCAGAAAGCAATTTTTAAAATCTAAAAGAGCCATATTTAGGAGGGACCCATGGCCGGCGCTTCTGTGGTTAACAACTCAGCAAGAGCGCCTCCTTCGGGAGCCTTGACAGACAGGACTGCAGAGTCCGCTGCTGTGCCTTTCTCTCTCTCTCCACTCAGACGGCTTCCATCTGGGGAACATCCCGGCGGCCGAGGGCTGGTAACTGGAGCATGACCCAGGAAGCTGGGCCGCAAACCACAGGGCTCGGCCTTGTGGACAGGACCAGGCTGTTACAGTCCTGCCCACACAATTCCCTTCTGCCCGCAGGAGGAAGTGTGCAAAGCTGTCCCACAGCCTTCATGGGGCCGGACACATCCTCTTTATCCCCTCAGTGGGGCCGGCGCCTGATGACCTGTGGTCTAGAAAGCTGGAGCAAAGCCGGGTGGCCTTGGTTGCCGCTTCCCGGGGATGGGACACGAGTGAACAGCTGTGGGCCTGAGGGTGTAACACGGTGGACGGTGGCAGAGATAGAGCCGTCGATGGCCCCCCTGCCTTGGCCAGTTCCTGGGGCTTGTCTCCCGGACGACGAGCGTGTGAAAGTCAGGAAAATGCCGGCAGGGATATCCACAAGCACCTGGGGTGGCCAGAACTGCCGTGCCTCCCAGGAGAAGGAGGGGGCCTAGAGGGCCTTTTTTCTCTGGTGTGTGGTGGCTTAGGATCATTTCCATAGAGCTTGAGGTGTTAGGGTCAAATGTGTTGAACTGGCAAGTTGGAGCACATTGTCCTCTAACGCATGACATGGCCCAGGATGGGTGGCCTGCTGAGGGGACATGTCTGGAAACCAGGGCCTGCGTGGCAGGGGGGGACGGGGCGGGCTCGCCTATGCCCTGCTCTGTAATACATTCAGTGATGACAACCCGTCCCTGACCTAGACACACTGGCTAAAAGGGATTTTTGGGCCGTTCCCAGTCTGACAGGCAGTTTGCCAGACAGTTATGTTTCTGGTGTTTTAAAAAGTTTGAGTAGAGCGAAGTACGATCATTGAAGCCAGGACTTACCAGGAAAATCAAGGACATGTTTATTTTTGTGCATTAGTCATTTGCAAAGCACATAGCGGGTGCCCCAGGCCCTGCTCTTTGTCCAGAAGGAGCCAGCCCAGAAACTCCTAGTGTAGAGAAGGTTTTGGGGTGCTCTGAGGAATGACTGTGTGGGGTCGGAGGGGGAGCCTCCAGGGGAGGAGTGACCAGTCGCTGTGTGTGATGACGGCGGGAGCTGCACCAGAACACCACGCACACCTCCCATTGCTTTCCTCCGCTTCCCTCTGGCAAAACAAATTCCATCCCTGGTTAGTACCCGCCATGCTGAGAGAAGCGGGAAGCCGAAATCCCACCAGGGCGACTCTAGCGCCACCTGCTGACCAGCCCCATCCAGGCTGGTCCTGAAGTTGCTGGTGTGTGTGCGTGTGCGCGTGCTTGTGTGTGTGCATACATTGTGTGTGTAAAAGCTTTGAAGTAAGACAGGCCGACTTTGAAAGCCAAGCTTGCCCCTTACGACACACCACGGAGCTATCAGCAAGTTCTGCATCCTCAATGGGCGTCTGTCTTCCAGCCAGTAGAGCGGGAGGACGATGGGAGACAGTGGAGGGAGCGAGTGGAAGGAAAGTCTGCTGCTTGCAGCCTGCTCCCTGCACCCGGAAGCGCAGTTCACCTGCACCCGGAAGCACAGCTCATGGGTCCCATGCTCCTCCCCCAGTTCACGGACGCTTTGGTCATAGCTCCTCAGAGGCCCCCCTGGGGGAGAGCTCTCAGATCGCCTGGAGCACTCCCGTTTGGCCTGGACCTGGGCATCTCTGGGGCAGGCCACCGCCAGCAGCACCCGTGCCCACCTTCTTTCCTGCCTCTGTTTTGGGCCCCTCCCAGGCAGGACTCCCCCGTTCAGTGCCCCTGACTCCCAGGCCAGTCCTTTCTAAGAGCTTGGAATGATCACTAGCCAAGTAAATGCAAGGCCTCCTGTCAGTCCTGACAAACCTGGAAAGAGGAGGTAAAAGGAGACCCCAGTCTCGATAAATGCCTCAAGCAAGTCCAAGTAACCCAGCACGAGACATGGAAACTTAAAAAGCCAAAAGGGAGATGTGATAGAAGGCCAGGACGAGAGGATGCTCCTGACCTCAGAATCCAGACACAGCCCAGATGGCAGGGCTTCCTGGAGCACCTGGGCCAGGTCCTCTGGGGCTCCGCACCTGGGCCCTGCTTCCTCAGGCAGCCACCTTCAGAGTATGATGGGCCAGGAGTTCAGTACACAGGAGACGACCCCTGTCCCATCTTGTGACAAGAAATTAGAACTTGTTACTATCCTGTAGCGGAAGATAATACCGATCTCCATCCTGTCACAGGAGGTTAGAATCTGTAACAGGAAGTTGGAATCTGTGCTCATCCTATACAGGAAGTTAGGACCCGTCCCCGTCTCCACCACAGGAAGTTAGGACCCGTCCCCGTCTCCACCGCAGGAGGTTAGGACCCGTCCCCGTCTCCACCGCAGGAGGTTAGGACCCGTCCCCGTCTCCACCGCAGGAGGTTGGGACCCGTCCCCGTCTCCACCCCAGGAGGTTGGGACCCGTCCGTGTCTCCACCGCAGGAGGTTGGGACCCGTCTCTGTCTCCACCACAAGAAGTTTGGACCTGTATTAGGGTTCTCTAGAGGGACAGAACTAATGGAATATACATATATATATATATATAAAATGGAATATATATATATATATATAAAATGGAATATATATATGGAATATATATATAAAGTGGAGTTTATTAAGGATTAACTCACATGATCACAAGGCCCCACAATAGGCCATCTCCAGGCTGAGGAACAAGGAGAGCAGTCTGAGTCCCAAAAATGAAGAAAAAATGAGTCCAATGTTTGAGGGCAGGAAGCATCCAGCACGGGAGAAAGATGTAGGCTGGGAGGCTAGGCCAGTCTCTCTTTTCACGTTTTTCTGCCTGCTTATGCTGTAGCCGTGCTGGCAGCTGATTAGTTGGTGCCCACCCAGATTAAGGATGGATCTGCCTTTCCCAGCCCACTGACTCAAATGTGAATCTTTTTTGGCAACACCCTCACAGACACACCCAGGATCAATACTTTGTATCCTTCAATCCAATCAAGTTGACACTCAGTATTAACCATCACAAGTCCACCCCTTGTCAACTTGAACCCATGCACATCTCCTGAGATCATACATAATCTTCAAATAAAGACAATAATAAGATCATAATTACACCTAACATAACTATACTTCATACGACCAGAAACTCACCAATCCCCAACCCAAATACTATTATATAAAGTTAACGATACTTAAATGCTGATGTGAATTCAATAAATCTTATGTCACTTGATAAAAGAGAAAGGAAATAAAATGAAGTCATTTTTGTTAGTACAAGTGTATACATGCACAAACATTTTTGATTGTTTTTTGTTTGTGTGTTTTTTAAGACAGAGTCTCCCTCTGTTGCCGAGGCTGAAGTGTGGTGGTGTGATTTTGTCTCACCGCAACCTCCACGTCCCGAGTTCAAGTGATTATCCTGCCTCAGCCTCCTGAGTAGCTGAGATTACAGGTGTGCACCACCATACCCAGCTAATTTTTCTATTTTAAGTAGAGATGGGGTTTCACCATGTGGGTCAGGCTGGTCTTGAGCTCCTGACCTCAAGTGATCCTCCCGCCTCGGCCTCCCAAAATGCTGGGATTACAGTCGTGAGCCACAGCACCTGGCCATGTTTTTAAAAGAAGGAGGAAATACTCACGACAATTACAGTCCTCGTTTCTGCAACTGGTCACATGGCTCGTAGCTGGTATTGATGACTGCCTTCTTCTACTACCCATTCTGTATTCCCTTTGCCTTCAGCAAGCACCTTGGCAGATCTTGTTTTTTTTTTTTCCTGGTGGAGTGACCCAAACCTTCATTCCTGAAGGGTCTGGGTCATTTGTAGTCCTGCCTGGATTGGGCTGTTGTAGTTTCCCATTGACCTTAATCACAGGGCATGGTAATACTGAGAGATGCCCTAATGGATCTCCTGTATTCCATGCATACTCTAACTTATCTTCATTTTGGAGTAGTAGACTGATTTCATCTTGATAGTCTGGGTCAGCCACCCCAGCCAACACTGTAACTCCCTTCTTAGCCTGTTGACTTAAAGGTAGGAGGAGCTTCAAGTGTCCAGGTGGCAATCTTAATTTCCAGTTTAATGGAATCCTTGTTCTGTCTCCTGGTGGCGGCGTTCCTCCCTCTGGAACTAAGACCTCTAGGCCAGCAGAACGTAATGTTGCAGGAACAGGAAGCAAAAATTTTGCTAGTGGATCACTAGGGGTGATGGTGAGTGGTGCCACTTCCATTTCCACCCTTGGATGCCTGGACCCGTGAATCCTGGCTATGGGAGAAACAGTGCCATAATATTGGACCCTGATTCAGAGCATACATGGCCTTCTGTAGAACTTTGTCCCAGCCCTGCAAAGTACTGTCACCTAGTTGGCATTGTAATTGTGACTTCAAAAGGCCATTCCACTATCCTATCAATCTACCTGCTTCACGACGATGGGGAACATGGTAAAACCAGTGAATTCCATGAGCATGAGCCCACTGCCACACCTCTTTAGCAGTAAAGTGAGTGCTTTGGTCAGAGGCAATGCTGTGTGGAATACCATGAGGGTGGATAAGGCATTCTGTGAACCCACGGATGGTAGTCTTGGCAGAAGCATCGTGTGCAGGATAGGCAAACCCATATCCAGAGTAAGTGTCTATTCCGGTGAGGACAAACCTCTGCCATTTCCATGATGGAAGAGGTCCAGTATAATCAACCTGCCACCAGGTAGCTGGCTGATCACCCCGAGGCATGGTGCCACATCGAGGGCTCAGTGTTGGTCTCTGCTACTGGCGAATTGGGTACTCAGCAGTGGCCATATCCAGGTCAGCCTTGGTGAGTGGAAGTCCATGTTGCTGAGCCCATGTGTAACCTCCATCCCTGCCACCATGGCCACTTTGTTCATGGGTCCATTGGGCAATGACAGGGGTGGCTGGGGAAAGAGGCCGAGTGGTGTCCACAGAATGAATCATCCTATCCACTTGATTATTAAAATCCTCCTCTGCTGAGCTCTTTTATGTGATATGGTGAGCACTCTCATGTGATACAAATATCTTCACAGTTTTTGACCACTCAGAGAGGTCTATCCACATACCTCTTCCCCAAATTTCATTGTCATCAATTTTCCAATCATGCTTCTTCCAAGTCCCTGACCATCCAGCCAAACCATTGGCCACAGCCCATGAATCAGTATGTAATCGCACATCTGGTCATTTCTCCTTCCATGCAAAGTGCACAACCAGGTGCATTGCTTGAAGTTCTGCCCACTGGGAAGATTTCCCTTTGCCACTGTCCTTCAGGGATGTCCTAGAAAGGGGCAGTAGTGCTGCAGCTGTCCACTTTCGGGTGGTGCCTGCATATCGTGCAGAATGATCTGTGAACCAGGCCCTAGTCTTCTCTTCCTCTGTCAGATGATCGTAGGGAACTCTGCATGAGGCCATCGGTGCAGGCTGGAGAAGAGAAGGCAAGTTGGCAGGAGTGGAGACCACGGGCATTTGAGCCACTTCCTCATGTAACTTAACTTGTGCCTTCAGGACCTGCTCAAGCCCGATCACGTATATACCACTTCCATTTGATGATGGAATGCTGCTGTTCATGACCAACTTTATGGCTAGATGGGTCAGAAAGCACCCAGTTCATGATAGGCAGTTCAGGTCATATGGTGACTTGATGACCCAGAGTCAAACATTCAGTTTCCACCAAAGCCCAGTAACAGGCCAAGAGCTGTCTCTCAAAAGGAGAGTAGTTATCTGCAGAAGATGGCAGGGCCTTGCTCCGAAAGCCTAGAGACCGCCACTGTGATTCACCTATGGGGGCCTGCCAAAGGCTGCAGCCAGCATCCTTATCTGCCACTGACACCTCAAGCAACATTGGATCTGCTGGGTCATATGGCCCAAGTGGCAGAGCAACTTGCACAACAGCCTGGACCTGTCATAGAGCTTTCTCCTGTTCTGGACCCCACTCAAAACTGGCAGCCTTTCAGGTCACTCGATAAATGTGCTGGAGTAACACTCAAACGAGGAATGTGTTGCCTCCAAAATCCAATAGGCCCACTAGGCGTTGTGTCTCTTTCTTGGTTGTAGGTGGGGCCAAATGCAGGCAACTTATCCTTCACCTTGGAATATCTCGACAGGCCCCAAACCACTGGACCCCTAGAAATTTTACTGAGGTAGAAGGTCCCTGAATTTTATTATCAGATTTATTTTCCATCCTCTGGCATGCAAATGTCTCACTAATAAGTCCAGTGTGTTTGCTACTTCTCACTTACTGGATCCAATCAGCATAATGTCACCAATTTAATGGACCAGCGTGATATCTTGCAGAAGCGAAATGCGATCAAGGTCTCTCCGAATAAGATTATGACATGAATAAGATTATGACACAAAGCCGGAGAGTTGATACACCCCTGAGGTATGACAGTGAAGGTATATTGCTGGCCTTGCCAGCTGAAGACAAATTGCTTCTGGTGGGCCTTGGAACAGGAATGGAGAAAAAGGCATTTGTCAAGTCAGTGGCTACATACCAGGTACCAAGAGATATGGTAATTTGCTCAAGCAATGAAACCACATCTGGTACAGCAGCTGCAAATTGGAGTCACCACTTGGTTAAACTTACGATAATCCGCTGCCGTTCACCAAGATCCATCTGTCTTCTGCACAGGCCAAATGGGAGAGTTGAACCGGGATGTGGTGGGAATCACCACCCCGCGTCTCAAGTTTTTGATGGTGACACTAATCTCTGCAATCCCTCCGGGAATACGATATTGTTTTTGATTTACTGTTTTTCTAGGTAGAGGCAGCTCTCATGGCTTCCATTTGGCCTTTCCAACCATAAAAGCCCTCACCCTACCAGTCAGGGAGCCAGTGTGGGGGTTCTGCCAGCTGCTAAGTATGTCTCTGCCAATTCTGCATTCTGGCACTGGGAAAATGACCACAGGATGAGTCCGGGGACCCACTGGACCCACTGTAAGTCAGACCTGAGCTAAAACTCCATTAATTACCTGACCTCCTTAAGCCCCTATTTAACTGGAGGGCCACAATGACGTTTTGGGTCCCCTGGAATCAACCTCAGCTCAGAATCAGTGTCCAATAGTCCCCAAAATGTCTGATCATTTCCCTTTCCCCAATGCAGTTACTCTGGTAAAAGGCCAGAGGTCTCTTTGGGGAAGGATGGGAGAAAGATTCACTGCATAAATTGTCAGTAATGTAGTGGGGTCCTTCCTCAAGAGGACCCGCCTCCCCTTCATTCAAGGGGTTCTGGGTCTGTAAACTGGTTCAAGTCTGGAAATTGATTGAGGGGCCGTGATTCTCTTTTTTTGTAATTCAAATTAGTCTTTTGTCCACTTGATCTAGAAGTTTTCGGCTTATACAAATCAAGTAGGAATGCAGTAGGCTTCCTATCAATTTCACTTCTAGGAACACTGTGATTAATTAGCCAATGCCAGAGCTCTACACGAGACAGACTATTCTGATTGCTGCTTTGCCTCTGCTGTCCATTACAGAAGCTACACCCACCTTGCCTTTGATGGTTGAGTGCTGTCACTTGGCCACTGCCACCTCAGGATCCAATTATTTCCATTGTATTTAAATTTTGTAGTTGAGTGACTGTGGTTCCCACTGTTAGATCTGACATACCAAGACGAGCAATTACAGGGCTCTTCAAAGATGCAGGTGCTGCCCTCACAAATCTGTTTCGAAAGACATTGGTCAAGGGTATATCTTCTGAATCCTCCCAACTTGGTTGAGTAGGTCTAAAGTGACTAATCCACTCCACCATCCCAATCTCCCTAAGTCTTTGGATTCCTTCCTCTACATTAAACCAAGGAAGACCAAGCATTTCCAGCTTGCTCACAGTGGGCCATCTCTTCATCCGTATTTCAGCTAAACCAGCAAATAAACTATTAGAACCTTTTTTAACTCCCCGAGTTGCAACATTAAATGCAGAGTCCCTGCTTAGTGGGCCTAAATCTGTAAATTCAGCCTAATCCAACGCTATGTTCCTTCCACCATTCTCCGACACCCTTAATATCCATTCTCATGCCCGTTCTCCAGATTAGTTTCTATAAATTAGAAAACTCAAGCAGTTCTTTTCGAGTGTAGCTCACTTCCTCATGGGTCACACTCTCAACCTCATCTCTAGGGGCCCGCCAGGACTTTAGTCTAGTTATAGGTCTAGAGGCAAACAGGGGTGTTAGGGGTGGCTCCTGAGGAGAATCAACATTATCTTGCCTGGCAACTGCCTCACAGGAGGCCATCACTGTTGCCTCAGGCAGCGTGGGGTTTATCTCCTTAGACAAAGGTGGAAAGGCTGATGGGTCGGGGCGGGGATGTTGCCACTACTGGGGATGGGGAAGCTGTTAAGCTGTTTCTTCTGGCAAAAAAGATTCATCAGAGTTTATAAACTCAGTGTCCCCAGCTTCATCAGGCTCCTCCCACATGTCCCCATTCCAAGTTGCAGGGTCCCATTCTTTTTCAATCAATGCCCTCACTTTAACAGCAGACACCTGGCGAGGCTGTGCATGCATCTTTCATTGCAGGTCAGCCACTCGCATGATAAGAGCTTGTGTCTGTTTTTCCACAATTTCAGCTCTTCCTCTACAGGAGATAAGACTCTCACTCAGGGCAATCTTAGCAGATTTGAGGCTCAGTATCTGCTTCTGAAGCTGGGAGATGGAATCCCTGAGTTCATAATTTTCTTTCATCACTTTGTCCACTAAACTTAGGAGCAACCAACCAGCTTCATTATGTTCCTTGGTTCTCCACATATGATCAAAGATATTATGTATAGAGTCACTAAACTTGCCTCATGAGCGATGAATCAGGAGTTTCAAATGCGTTTATTTTTCATAACTCTCTAAACAGTTCATGCCAAGGACTATCAGTGTTCTCCATACTATTAGAAGTGGAGTCCTTAGCATTTTTGGATCTAATCGTTAACCAGCCAACCCCAGAAACCCCAAAACCAATGAAAGAACTCCATCTTTAATATTCTCTTCCTCTAGAACCACTCCTGGTACCAAAATCTGTAGTAGTTAGGGTTCTCTAGAGGGACAGAACTAACGGAATACATATGTATAATGGAGAGTTTATTAAGCATTAACTCACACGATCACAAGGTCCCACAATAGGCCATCTGAAGGCTGAGGAGCAAGGAGAGCCAGTCCGAGTCCCAAAACTGAAGAACTTGGAGTCCGATGTTCAAGGGCAGGAAGCATCCAGCACAGGAGAAAGATGTAGGCTGGGAGGCTAGGCCAGTCTCTCCTATCACATTTTTCTGCCTGCTTATAGTCTAGCCGTGCTGGCAGCTGATTAGATTGTGCCCACCCAGATTAAGGGTGGGTCTGCCTTTCCCAGCCCACTGACTCAAATGTGACTCTCTTTTGGCAACACCCTCACAGACACACCCAGGATCAATACTTTGTATCCTTCAATCCAATCAAGTTGACACTATTAACCATCACAGGACCTGTCCCCGTCTCCACTGCAGGAAGTTAGGACCCATCCCTGTCTCCACCCAGGAAGTTAGGACCTGTCTCTGTTTCTATCACAGGAAGTTGGGATCTGGCCCTGTGGACCCAGATGGGTTACTGAGCTTGGAACACGAGGGCTTAGTGACAAGGAACTGGGAACTGACCTCAATGGCTGAGTAGCGATATGGCTCCCTCACTCACTCTGTGACCTTGGGAAGTGGGAAGGCCACATTCTCTCTGAGCCTCAGTGTCCTCATGTGAAAAATATCACCGAAGCCACTGTCATGGGGTGGTGGCAGTGATCACACTAGAGAGTGCATGGTGAGGAAGAGCTGAGCACTTGGTAAACGGCAGCAGCTCTGATTGCTAGTGGCAGAGATAGTCATTTCATGGGTCACCTCCGAGACACAACCAAGAGCCCTGCGTAGCCCTGGCCACTGTCTGGGCAAGGGCCTGGGAAGGGCAGGGTGTGCCTGGGGAGTGCCCCTGGGGTGGGGCTCTGCCAGTGAGCAGGGGACGCACCTCACTCCGGGCACAGCCTTTGGCCCCCGGCCACCCAGCGCCCGAGATGGTGTTGGAAGAGGCTAGTGCCTGAATCAGCAGCCTGGAGGTCCACGGCGCCTCCCGCAGGTGAGTGAGGTGTGCCCTTCGTGTTGGCTGAATCGGCCAGAGGGGCGGCGGGAGGCCCCGCCTGCCAGCCCCGCATCCCCGCGCTCTGCCGTTTCTCCGCTTGCTGGACCGGCCCTAACCCTCTTCTTGTCTCTCTGCCCACTTTTCTTGCAGCCGCTGTGAGCGCTTGCCTTGCCATGAGAATCGGGAGTGCTCCAAGCTGCCTCTGAGAATAACCTACTACCACCTCTCTTTCCCCACCAACATCCAAGCGCCCGCGGTGGTTTTCCGCATGGGCCCCTCCAGTGCTGTCCCCGGGGACAGCATGCAGCTGGCCATCACCGGCGGCAATGAGGAGGGCTTTTTCACCACCCGGAAGGTGAGCCCCCACAGTGGGGTGGTGGCCCTCACCAAGCCTGTCCCCGAGCCCAGGGACTTGCTCCTGACCGTCAAGATGGATCTCTCTCGCCACGGCACCGTCAGCTCCTTTGTGGCCAAGCTTTTCATCTTTGTGTCTGCAGAGCTCTGAGCACTCGCTTCGCGTCGCGGGGTCTCCCTCCTGTTGCTTTCCTAACCCTGCCCTCCGGGGCGTTAATAAAGTCTTAGCAAGCGTCCCACACAGTGAGCCTCGCGTGCCTTGGTTTTATTTGGCATGGTTGGGAGTCTGTGCCGCTTGTTACCCGGGGGTGAGCTGGGCACTGGCCACCGCCTGGTACCCCCGAGGGCTGACTGAGGAGCGCTCCCCACTAGAGGGTGTGTGCTCGGGGGTCCCTGTTCACAGAGCCCACTGTCTGTGCCGACAGGGAGGCCAGGCCGGGTACATCATTTCACATGTGTTAACTTGTCTTCATTTGTGTTGAACCCAAAGAATAAAGGTGGTGGTGGAGAAGGGCCCTCAGATTGCTGAGCACAGTCCCCTCTCGTTTTACAGATGTGGAAACTGAGGCCCAGAGAGAAGGGGAAGGGTTGGCCAGGGTCGTCTGGCCTGCTGTGGCCATGCCAGGTCAAGGAAGCGGGTCTGCTGGCCCCTGCCTGGTTCTTTGCTGTATCCCCGGAGGTGAGCATTTCACTGAGACAAGAAAGCTCTCTCCTGAGATTCAAGCCTCCTCTTCTGTTTGTCTTGATCAGAAGCCCAAATCTGTGGTGCAGAAACACGGGATGCGGTTGCGGCTCCTAGGATGCAGCTCTTGCCTCAGTGAAGTCGTTTTGCCCCCACTGAGGATCCTGGCCCTGTGCCGGGGGGAGGCAAAGGACCACACAATACATGTGATACTCACGGGATCCTTCATAGGCCTTACACCAGTCCTGCCAGGCAGGTGGTCATCCTCATGAAGACTCAGAGAGGGCAAGTGATTTGCCCAAGATCACACAGCTGGTATCCGAGCCCTGGTTTACTGACTCCACAGATCTGGCTGTTGCGTTCTGCCAGAATACCTCCACTGAGGGCCTTAACCCCCTGCCTCCCTCCATCTCCTCCACCATGGTCCAGCCAAGCCAGTCATCTGTCCCCCTCTGCTGCTCCCAGCGTCCATTCACCTCCCCTACAGCTCATTCTTTGCTTAGCAGCTGGAGTGATCTTTTAGCCTCTGCCTAAAACCGTTCCTGGCTTCCTTACCATTTGGGTTAAGGCCTCCAGATCCTCAAGATGTCTGAAGGCCGTGCCTAATTTAGTCCTTGCATGCAATTTCCAGCCTGGCCTCAACTTGTTCTATCCTTGCCCACTTCCCTTGAGCCACGCTGCAAGCTCTGCTGCCTCCGGCCCTTGGTACGTGCTTTGCACCCTTGGCCTGAATGTTGCTTAAACTCCAGCTCATGTGCCTGCCTCAGAGAGGCCTTCCCTGCCACCCCTGGCTTCTGTTTTCTCTGTCCGTCCTTCTCATGACCCCTTTCCTTCATGGTGCTTGTAACAGGCTGCGGTTCCTGTTGACTCGCGTTTCACATTTGTCTTCCGCACCTTCCAGAAGGCTCTGTGAAGGCAGGGACCAGGTCTATCTCATTCAGTGCGGTGTTCCCAGCTCCTTGCAAGACATCTCGCGTGCAGAAGGTGCTCTGTCAATGTCTGTTCAGGGAACAGATGACTCTGCCAGCCCTGGCTTATGTCACTAGCATTTCTGTGGCTGTGACACTGTGCTGACACTGTTTCCAGGCAGAAATCCAAGAAGGGAAGGCAGAACACCCCAGCGGGATCAAGTAAAGAGGACTGCAGGGTTCTTCCATGGAAGCAGGGGTTGGAGGATACCCACCTTGATGCCTAGTGAGGAAGATGGACCTGGACAGACAGTCAGCTCCACACCTTGCGCTGAGCAGCTGTGATTGTGCCACGGGAGCATGAGCCCTTTTCCCCACGGCCCTTGCCACTGTCTCCTGGCCCTCTCTCTGATCATGCCAGGTTTGCACCAGCCTCGAGTCTCCCATGTTGTAGTACATTCTCCAAGATGCAGCCCAGGAGCCTCTCTGAAGGACCAGTCTGGTTACGATGGTCTGAGCTTCCTTAGAACCTTCCATGGTTGTCTTTTCCCAGCAGATGAAGCATAGCCTCCTTGGAATGGCATGGGAGGCCTGGCCTGATCTGGCCTCTGCCCACCCTTTGAGCTGCACCTGCCCCACCCCAGCTCATCCATGTGCTTGTACCCTGGCCCCACGGGGAGGCTTGCCCTTCCCTGAATCTGCCTTCTTGTGGCTTTAGCATGTGCCATGCTGTCCCCCTGCAGACTGCCATTCTCCTTGCAGACTTGGCTCAGAAGTCACCTCCTCAGTGCAGTTAGCCTGAGCTCCCCTGGCCCCAGGTGCCTCCATCAGAGCATTTACCCCATTGTGTTGTGGCTGTTCCTTAACGTCCCCACTAGCCAGGCTCTTTGAGGGCAGGGATTGTGTCTGGTTAATTTCTGTATTCTCTGCAACTTTGCAATGTTTGGCTTGAAGAAGGAGCTCAGTAAACATCTGAATAAACATGCAGGTTGATGGATGGATGGACAGACCAATGGATGGATGGATGGATGGATGGATAGCATTTTTAAGGCTTAGTTCAAATATCGTCTCCTCAGCCAGGTGTGGTGGCTCACGCCTGTAATCCCAGCACTTTGGGAGGCCGAAGCAGGCAGATCAGCTGAGGTCGGGAGTTTGAGACCAGCCTGGCCAACATGGAGAAACCCCGTCTCTACCAAAAATACAAAAATTAGCTGGGTATGGTGGCAGGCACCTGTAATCCCAGCTACTCAGGAGGCTGAGGCAGGAGAGTCGCTTGAGCCCAGGAGGCAGAGATTGCAGTGAGCTGAGATCGGAGTATGGCACACCAGCCTGGGCAAGAAGAGTGAGACTCTGTCTCAAAAAAATAAGTAAAAATTGTCTCCTCTGTTTAGCCAGCAAGCCACAGCAGGGGTTCTTGTCCTATTCAGGCATCCATTTGTCAGGGGCGGGATTACTCAGGCTGGAAGGAACACCTGTGCCTTCATGTGCATAGCAATGTGAAGAGGTGGGGGAAACCTCTCAGGGGCTTTGGAGGCTACCCAGTGACCTTCCACAGCTTGCCAGAAGCTCCTCTGCAACATTCCCACCAAGGGACTCTTCTTTGCTTGTGGAACTCCCTGCCTCCTGAGGGGTCCCGTTGCATTTTGGGATCCCATCGACGTTTGCGTGTGTGCCTGAGTGCACTGTGGGAGTGACAGCTGAGTGACCTGAGTGCTCACCCCTGTCCCGCAGCTCCTTGGGGCTCCTTAGCCATGTTCTCGGCTCATGCTGCTGACAGAGGACACCATGCAGGAAAAGCAAAATAAGAGCAGGAGGTTGAATTTCCTTCTTGCCATTTACTAGTTCTGTGACCCTGGATACATCGTCAGCCTTTCAGAGCCTCAAGGCCCACCTTATGGTTGATTTTGAAGATGGCCTGAAATAGTCCAGCAGGCAGCGCCTGATACAGAGTAAACACTCCATAGGTGTGAGTGTGGGTTTCTTCATTCATTGGAAGGTAACTGGGTGTTCGTGTGGCTTTTCATTGAAATGGGGATGAAGATTCAGAGAGTTTGGAGGGATCCAAGGTCATATGTGGAGCTGACATCACTTTTGATTCAGAACCTGTGCTTTCCTGGTTGTGTCACTAGTAAATCAAGCTCCCAAGGAGAAAAGACAGCAATAAGGGTGATTTTTATTGTAATGATAATAATAACAACTCCAACAGCTAACACATAGAGTGCTGACCATGAGACAGGCGCTGTTCCAAGCATGTAATTCGTTTACTCTTCACAGCAGCCTAGGGAAGCAAGCAGTGCTAATATCCCCATTCCACAGTGAGGACAGGGAGGCACAGAAAGGTGAAGGAACTTGCCCAAAGTTCCACAGCTGGTTTCCAGTGGCACTGGGATTCAGACGCAGGCAGCCTGGGCTGGGATCTGTGCTCTGATCCCCTGTCCTCCACTGCAGCAAATACGGGGGAGAGGCAGCATCCCTGGGATGAATGAGACTGTTGCTCCAGCCCCATCTCACAGAGCCCGCTCTGCCATTCCCAAACTCAAAACAGGATATCTTATTAGCTAAAGGAGGAGGCAGTGTGGTAAGGAGGAAAGGGCTATGAGGCTGGAATGAAATAAGATATGCAAAATGGGCCAGGTGCGGTGGCTCATGCCTGTAATCCCAGCACTTTGGGAGGCCAAGGCAGGCAGACCACTGAAGGTCGGGAGTTCAAGACCAGCCTGGCCAACATGATGAAACCCCGTCTTTACCAAAAATACAACAATTAGCTGGTCGTGGTGGTACACACCTGTAATCTCAGCTGCTCAGGAGGCTGAGGCAGGAGAACTGCTTGAACCTGGAATACAGAGATTCCAGTGAGCCAAGATTGTGCCACCACACTCCAGCCTGGGCGATAGAGTGAGACTTTGTCTCAGAAAAAAGATATGCAAAACGTGTAGCGTAGAGACTGGAAAGGCAGATGCATTATTTCTGAAGCTCTCTAGATCCCAACCAAAAAACACCCAGACAACTAGATAGGAAAAAAAATGTTTCCATGGAAAACATTTACAAACGAAACAAGGTATGGTTGTCTGCAGTTCAGGCCCACCTGCATGACTTTGGCATCTGTGCAGGAAAAAACAGTGGCAGAACCCCAAAATAATCAACAGGTATCCCCAGAAAGTGTACTAGGTGCTTTGGGGGAACAGCAGCTGAAACTGGGAGGCGTTTTCCTCACTCCAGGGGCCAGAGTGTGCACAGAGCCAGTGGGAGGGAGGAAGGGGCTGGCGCAGGCTTGCTCTTGGGAGCTTTTGAAACTTAGCCACCACAGCTCTCCCTAAGGTCAGAGTCTCACACGAGGGAGAGACTGCTGGAAATGGAACAGAAATTGTGTAGAAAAGAGACCATAGAGACTGTGGGAAGAGAAGGTCCGGGTAAATGTGGAAGAATGTCAGGAGGTGAGCTCTGCAAAGTCAGGAAGATAACTGTGAATGATACTCTTTCTCAAATTCCAGGAAAACTAGTTTCCTTTAAGGATGATCAACCCAAAAGCATCAAGGTCAAATTCCATGGATGAGTTTCTATAACAAAGTACCATAGACTGGGTGGCTTAAAATAATAGAAATGTATTACTTCATGGTTCTGGAGGCCAGAAGTCCAAAATCAAGGTGTCAGCAGGGCTGCACTTCCTCTGAAACCTCTAGGGGAATGCCTCTTCTGTAGGGGAGTGCTCTTTCTGTAGGGGAGTGCTCCTTCTGTAGGGGAGTGCTCCTTCTGTAGGGGAGTGCTCCTTCTGTAGGGGAATGCCTCTTCTGTAGGGGAGTGCTCCTTCTGTAGGGGAATGCCTCTTCTGTAGGGGAATGCTCCTTCTGTAGGGCATGCTCCTTCTGTAGGAGAATGCTCCTGTAGGGGAATGCTCCTTCTGTAAGGGAATGCTCCTCCTGTAAGGGAATGCCTCTTCTGTGGGAGAATGCTCCTTCTGTAGGGGAATGCCTCTTCTGTAGGGGAATGCTCCTTCTGTAGGGGAGTGCTCCTTCTGTAGGAGAATGCTCCTGTAGGGGACTTCTGTAGGGGAGTGCTCCTTCTGTAAGGGAATGCTCCTCCTGTAAGGGAATGCCTCTTCTGTAGGGGAATGCTCCTCCTGTAAGGGAATGCCTCTTCTGTGGGAGAATGCTCCTTCTGTAGGAGCATGACTTGTCTCAGCCCCTGGTGGTTTGTTGGTGATCATTGGTGTTCCTTGGCTCGCAGCTACATCGCTGCAATCTCTGCCTTTGTCATCACATGATCTTGTGTGTCTTTGTCGTCACATAGCCCTCTTCTTATAAGGATAACGGTCATCTTGGATCAGGGCCCACCCTACTCCAGTGTGACCTCATCTTAACTGATTACATCTGCAATGACCGTAGTTTCCAGTGACGTCACATTCTGAGGTACTGGGGATGGAACTTTGACATCTTTCTTGGAAGGATGTAATGCAAACCATGACACCCATAGAAAGTGTTAGGGGCTGAATTGTGTCCCCCCCCAAATTCATATGTTGAATTCCTAATCCCTAATACCTCTAAAGTCCCTATCTCCAAATGCAGTCACATTCAACGAGGTAATTAAGGTAAAAGTGAGATCATATGAATGGGCCCTAATCCAATACAGCAGGAGTTCTTATAAGAAGGGATTAGGGACCAGGTGTGGTGGCTCACGCCTGTAATCCCAGCACTTTGGGAGGCCAAGGTGGGCAGATCACAAGGTCAAGAGTTCGAGACCAGCCTGGTCCACATGGTGAAACCACACCTCTACTAAGAATACAAAAATTAGCCGGGTGTGGTGGCATGTGCCTGTAATCTCAGCGACTTGGGAGGCTGAGGCAGGAGAATCGCTTGAACCCAGGAGGCGGAGGTTGCAGTGAGCCGAGATCATGCCACTGTACTCCAGCCTGGGTGACAGGGCAAGACTCTGTCTCAAAAAAGAAGAAGAAGAAGAAGAAGAAGAAGAAGAAGAAGAAGAGATTAGGAAACAGACATGCACAGAGGGAAGACCATGTGAGGAGGACACAGGGAGAAGTCAGACTTCTACAAGCCAAAGAGAGAGGCCTCAGAAAGAACCAAACCTGCCAACACCTTGATCTTGGACTTTCAGCCTTCAGAACCATGAGACAATCCATTTCTCTTGGTTAGGCCACCCAGTCTGTTGTATAGCAAACAAATGCACAGCTATTATAAGCAAAAAAGAGAATAAGAGACAGAATGATATCCCTCTGGGTAATGAAAGCACACCAGAAAGACGTGCCCAGACTAAATGAAAATTCTAATATTCTATCTTGAAAGAAACCAAAAGTGTTAAGAAAATAAACAAAACATAGAAGAAAAATGGGGCCGGGTGCCCTGTAATCCCAGCATTTTGGGAGGCTGAGGCAGGTGGATCACCTGAGGTCAGGAGTTCGAGACCACCCTGGCCAACATGGTGAAACCCCATCTCTACTAAAAATACAAAAATTAGCCAGGCATGGTGGCAGGTGCCTGTAATCCCAGCTACTCAGGAGGCTGAGGCAGGAGAATCACTTGAACCAGGGAGGCAGAGGTTGCAGTGAGCCAAGATTGTGCCATTGCCCTCTGGCCTGGGTGACAGAGCGAGACTCTGTCTCAAAAAAAAAAAAAAAAAAAAGAAAAGAAAAGAAAAGAAAAAAAAAAGAAAAAGAAAAAAAGAAAGAAAGAAAGGAAAATAGAAAAATCGAGTCAGAATTAGAAGAAAACTGAGAAATGAAGTAATAGACCAAAGAAACAAAAAGTTAAAAATTTCAGATGTAAATACTAAACTAGATGGAACACAAAAGTGAATAAACAGATAAATAGAAGTTGAAAAGAACAACAAGTTTTAAAAATCAAGAAAGAAATAACAAGAGATGAAAGGCTTGAAGAAAAAGTGACAAATATTCAAAATCTGTAAGAAGATCTGACATTTAGATAATAGGACTCCCTGCAGAAGAAGCCGAATACATGGGGGAAAGTACTATACATGATCTCAAGAAAACTTTCCATAAATTAAAAAAGAGATTTGAAATTCCACATTGAAATAACACATAGCGTACCTGAGAATATCAACAAGAACAACCAACACCAAGACACATAACACATTCTTGTGAAATTATTGTACTTTAAAGAAAAGGAGGAAGGCCGGGTGTGGTGGCTCATACCTGTAATCACAGCACTTTAGGGGCCAAGGTGGCAGATCACAAGGTCAGGATTTCAAGACCAGCTTGACCAACATGGTGAAACCCCGTATCTACTAAAAATATAAAAAATTAGCATGGTGGTGCACGTCTGTAATCTCAGCTGCTCAGGAGGCTGAGGCAGGAGAATCGCTTAAACTTGGGAGGCGGAGGTTGCAGGGAGCCGAGATCATGCCACTGCATTCCAGCCTGGGAAACAAGAGTCTCAAAAAAAAAAAAAAAAAAAAAAAAAGAAAGAAAGAAAAGGAGGGAAAAACAAACTATGAACATTTAAACAAAAACAGTAAGTGATTTATAAAGGAAAAAAAATGTTCTCATCAGACTCTTTGACAGCAACACTTTATGCTAAAAGAAAATAAATAACATATTAAGGACTCTCAAGAAAAGTTAAGCCCAGAATTTTATACCTAGCAAAACTGACTTTCATGTGCAAAAAGCATAAACTATTATGACCATGCAAGCATTAAACATTCAGTTACTTCTAAAACTACAACTAAATGAGTGTTATAAGGAAAAGAGTATAGTATGAATTACTGGATAGGTCAGACAATGTAGACATAGCACATTTATTTTTAAACTCTGAGCCGAATAGGGAGAGCATATCAAAAATTATTTTCAATAATTATGTTAGTCATGGTAACTTTAGAATTGTTATCCTGAGGCTACTGTGTAGGTAATGTGGGATAATGATGGGATACTGCATGTCCTTGAGGACCAGGATTCTGATGTGGAAGAAAGAATGTGCCTTTGTAATACAGAAGAGATTAATTAAAAAACCATATGGTCCTTCTTTTGAATTGGATATCAGTATGAACTCTTGGTGTATATTAGTTTTTAAATGTTCACTGAAGAGGCCTAGAAACAATGACCAACCCCCTAGCACTGAGCCTCCCTAGTATCCAGACTGGTCTTGATAAGCCATTTCTCACTAAAAAACAAAAACAGGCCAGGCGCGGTGGCTCACACCTATAATCCCAGCACTATGGGAGGCCAAGGCAGGCAGATCACAATGTCAGGAGTTCGAGACTAGCCTGACCAACATGATGAAACCCCATCTCTACTAAAAATACAAAAATTAGCTGGTCGTGGTGGTGCCCGCCTGTAATCCCAGCTACTCAGGAGGCTGAGGCAGGAGAATCACTTGAACCCGGGAGGTGGAGGTTGCAGTGAGCCGATATCGCACCACAGCACTCCAGCCTGGGTGACAGAGCGAGACTCATCTCAAAAAATATATAAAAATAAAAATAAATGAAAAACAAAAACAGAAATACAAATCCAAGACTTCTTGGAGAAATGGTTGATTCCAGGTCTTGGGCAGTAAAAGTGTAAAATGAGGCTGGATCATCTCGTCACATCAGATAGCAAGAAAGCTGTGAAAGACGACAAGGGCTGGGCCAAAAGGACCCAGGAGCCAACTTCATTTTCCCTCTGGCAAGAGATGGGAAAATTTGAGTTTCAACAAAGGATAAAAATTGCAGAGGATCAAACCTCATCGGAGTGGCTTCCATCATGGGTTCATACTGATTTTTTTTTCCCCAAAAATCCTTTGGAGAATGATAGCACACTAGTTAGCTTATTATCCTGAAAATTAGAAAATTCAAGGAAACAACCAAGTATTGATCTGCTATTTCCTGGTAATTAAATCACAAGAGCACATGAAGGGAAGCATCTGTTTACAGGAGTAGTCCAGCTAATAAATGGAAGTGAAGTGGTAGAACCAGACTATCGGCATTTTGCAATCCTTGATGAATCAGTGGGCGTAGGCCTTGAGCATCAGTAGATGCTGTCCTCACAGAGACAGCCAGTCACTGTGTGGCTCTCACTGAAGACACACTACCACCTACCATCTTGCCAAAGGGACCGGGCCTGCATGGGATCAGGCCTCTGGATCTGGCTGCCAATGTCCAAGAAATCCAGTGGACAGAGGACCATGCTGAACTGCACCGTGAGGATGCAATCAGCAAAGTCCAGCCTGTAGGAAACACAACAGCTCAAATTCTTCAGGTTCTTTAATAGATAAGTTGTATGGAAAATAAAGGAGGCCGGGCACGTTGGCTCACGCCTGTAATCCCAACACTTTGGGAGGCCAAGGTGGGTGGGTCACCTGAGGTCAGGAGTTCAAGACCAGCCCGACCAACATGGTGAAGCCCCATCTCTACTAAATACAAAAAATTAGCCAGGCATGATGGTGCATGCCTGTAATCCCAGCTACTTGGGAGGCTGAGGCAGGAGAATTGCTTGAACCCAGGAGGCGGAGGTTGCAGTGAGCTGAGATTGCGCCATTGTACTCCAGCCTGGGTGACGAGCAAAACTCCGTCTCAAATAAATAAATAAATAAATAAATAGAAAAGAAAATAAAGGAACAGAGAAGAAACCTGTAGCTTAAAATGGACTTAAAAGGCAGAGCAAAAACTTGTTGATGGACAAGTCTGAATGATTGTGTCTAGAGACGCACACTGATGTGAGAAAACTATGAAGAAACCCAAGTAGGCCGGGCTCGGTGGCTCAGGCCTGTAATCCCAGCACTTTGGGAGGCTGAGGTGGGCGGATCACAAGGTCAGAAGTTCAAGACCAGCCTGACCAACATGGTAAAACCCTGTCTCTACTAAAAAAAAATACAAAAAAAATTAGCCGGGCATGGTGGCATGCGCCTGTAATCCCAGCTACTCAGGAGGCTGAGGCAGGAGAATCGCTTGAACCTGGGAGGCGGAGGTTGCAGTGAGCTGAGACTGTGCCACTGTACTCCAGTCTGGGTGACAGAGCGAGACTCTGTCTCAAAAAAAAAAAAAAAAAAAAACCCAAGTAGAGCACTGCCGTGGGACTCAGGCTAGGGGTCACTGTTGGGTTGCAGGAGGGGTTGAGTTCTGTCTGGCAGTTGCGGGGCGTTTGGTGGCTGGCCAAGTTCTCTTTCTTGACCTGGGTGGTGATTATAAAGGCGTTTGCCTTGTAATAACTCGTTAAACTATACTTTCATTTTGTGTAATTTTGTATCCGTGTTTTATTTTATGATCAAGAGGTTGTAAAAATCTGTCTAGCACAGTACCTGGAACCCAGACCTCTGAGAGACTGTAGCCTCTTCTGCCTCCCCGTCACCTGGTGATGTGGAATTGACTGCCCTGTGCTGGGCACCGAGCTTGGCGCTTTCTATCTGCTCCTTCGTTTATTACCCTGCTGCCCAGCCTCACTGTGGGCTCTGAGAAGGCGGGACCATGTGTCCCTTGTTCACTTTGCTGTCCCTAGCAGCCGGCGCCTGGCACTCAAAACATATTTGTTGGGCAAGTGAACCTGTGACTCTATTTTGCCATTGTAGCTATTGATGCTCAATTCGTGCAGTTGACAAATGTCCAAGCTGTGCTTATCCGCCAGGGCACATGGAAGCTGGAGGGTGTTGCTGGCATTTAGGTCCCGGTCCAGTTTGCAGGAAGGGCCATGAAGCCTCCCCACAGAGCAGCCAGGCTGCAGAGACCACTGTCGTTCTCTGATGGAGCTGTCTCTGGGACAGATGCCCCTGCCCTGGCCACCTGCTCCTCCTCCCTAGACCTCGGCCCCTGTGGGAGCTGCTGTCCCAGCTTCCCCGTCAGCCTCGTGTGCTGTGGTTCCCCTCAGGCTCCAGCAGGAGAAGACAGACACGGTCCGCTGCATCAAGTCCTGCCGCCCCAACGATGTCACATGCGTGTTCGACCCCGTGCACACCATCTCCCACACCGTCATCTCGCTGCCTACCTTCCGCGAGTTCACCCGCCCTGAAGGTGAGTGGGATGGGTGTGGGGGTCCCAGGGCCCCCTAGGGCCTCCCTCGGCTTCAGCTGAGGGCTTGGCCTACAGGAGTTGTTCCTTGTAAGATGTGGCCCAGGCTTTGAAATGCAGAACTTTCTTTTTTTTTTTTTTTTTTTTTTGAGACGGAGTCTCGCTCTGTCGCCCGGGCTGGAGTGCAGTGGTGCCATCTCGGCTCACTGCAAGCTCCACCTCCCGGGTTCACGCCATTCTCCTGCCTCAGCCTTCCGAGTAGCTGGGACTACAGGCGCCCGCCACCACGCCTGGCTAATCTTTTTGTATTTTTAGTAAAGACGGGGTTTCACCGTGTTCGCCAGGATGGTCTCAATCTCCTGACCTCATGATCCACCCGCCTCAGCCTCCCAAAGTGCTGGGATTACAGGCGTGAGCCACCGCGCCTGGCAACTTGACATGCAGAACTTTCTTTGTGTCTGTGTCCCCCCCACACCCACCTGGCACAGCAGCATTTGGCCCATTCTCAGCTTTCCGTTCAGGTGGTCTTTTCTTATGGGTAACGGTTGTTCTGCAGAGAGCCATTAAGCGCTGATTCTGTGACCAGCACTGGAGAATCAGGGAGGGCCTCCGGGAGGAAGTGATGGCTAGGCTGGGTCCTGAGTGGTGAGGTATTTGAGTGAAAGGGGGAGAAGGGGAGGAGGGTGCCCAGTGGAGCAGGACATGGCCAGAAGGGTCTGGAGGTATGGGGGGGCGGTGTGGGCGTTTGAGAAACTGAGCCAAGGTTTTCTGCTGGAGCGCTAGAGGCTTGGCAAGAGGTGGGCTGGAAGGATAAACAGGAGGCTAAAACTGGAGTTGGGCCTTCAACCCCCAGGCTTTGGGGGAACCATCGGAAGGTTGCAGTGGAGGAGGTTTGCATATAGAAACATCATCCTGTTGATCCAGGGCCAGGTGAACTGGAGGGGCCAGACGGGGAGCAGGAAGCTCAGGTGTAACCCAGTCAGTGCTCCCACACCCCAGCCTGGCTCTCTAGGAAGCTCCTGGCATGCAGTGTAGTCATGTTGTGTAACCTGCCATCACTGCACCGTTTCTCTGGAGCAGGGCCTGGGCTGCGTGCTCCCAAGCCTGGCAGAGGGCTATGGATGGAGCATTGTCCTGTTCACCTCGCTTCCTGGCTGTGCTGCCCGTGTGCCCGGTCCCCAACCACCCCCGCCCTCTAGGGAGTCCCTATCCCTGGCCTGCGGAGAAGCATGCCATGATGAGTTCATTCAGCAGCCGTGGACGGAGCCCCTCTGTGTCAGGCTCTAGGGACATGGTGATAAGAAGGGGTCCTCCCACCCTCTCAGGGGAGGCATGCAACGGAGCCAGCCGCGAGGACACCAGTGTTTACACCATGACACAACCATGCGGGGGGGTGGGGGGAGGAGAGGCTCCCTCAGCACGTGGTTGCCCAAGGAGCCGTCCCCAGTCCCAGTCCCCCTAGGTTTGCTCCTCCCGAAAAGGAATAACGCTGAATCGTCACAGGGTGGCACAGACTTGGGTCAGAGAAAATAACTAACTGGTATTTGCCTTTTGCAAAATGATGGGGTTTCACCAAACCACATACAAATCCTTCCCAAATCCCCAGTGGCTGGTTTTGTGGCCTCTCCGGCCAGCCCCGATCTGAGTGTTGGTTATCGCAGGGAGCCGAGTGCCGTTGGGACACCTGTTAGCATCTTGGGCCCAGGAAATCCACACCCTGACCTTAAGTGCTGAAAGGACCTTTAGTGGGTCTCCGCCGGCTTCCTTCCTCACCTTACAGGTGAGGAAACTGAGGCCCACAGAGAGGACTCCCCCAAGACAGCCCAGAGCTGGGGCTGCCCTGCTTCACTGTCTGATCTGGGAGATGGACACACACCCCCCAGAGAACCCAGGCCACCGCTCAGGGTGGCCCCCCTGACCTGTGGCACTATAGATGGGAGAGGAGCCCACCCCTCTGGCCTTTCTGCTGTCTCCCTCTGTCCCCTCACTCGCTTTCCTCCTCTGGTCCCCACCTTCATGAATATGCACAGTGACTGATGACTTCTCACCAGCCCTTCCTCTGATTAGCTCTGTGTCCCCGAGGAAGATCCAAAATCTCTCCTGACTTCAGTTTCCCCTGCTATAAAACAGGGATGGGCTATGATATAGGAAGGTCCAGACCCCTCCACCCTCCCCACACAGGGGATCTCTGGCTTCATTGATGTTGTCTCATGAAAGGGCCCTGGGTTAGGTCTTCATTCCCCAAGGGTGAGTTCCTGGGGACGAGGCTGGGACTGGGGCTGGGGCCAGGCTGTGCTGAGCCCTTCTCCATTCTGTGCCTCTGCAGAGATCATCTTCCTCCGGGCCATCACGCCACCGCATCCTGCCAGCCAGGCTAACATCATCTTCGACATCACGGAAGGGAACCTGCGGGACTCTTTTGACATCATCAAGCGTTACATGGACGGCATGACCGTGGGTGAGTGGCTGGGAATATCAGCTCTATCCAGGCACCCCTCCCCCTCCACCCCGAAACCCTCTCTGGCCCAGCCCAACTCCCATCTGAGTCCCCTCCCCAAATTCAAGCCCACCCAACCTTCAGGGCCCAGCGCCGAGGCCACCACAGCTCCCAATCGGTCTCGGCCGGAGGAACAGCCAGAGTGGGGGATCCTGCCTGGGATCTGACCCTAGCTGTGCCACCCACTCTCTGGGTGACCCCTCTGGGTCTCGGTCTCCCTGCCTATAACATGGGTGGGTTCCAGAGAGCGCTGCGCCTCACAACCATGAATTTCAAATGATACCACCCAAGTAAAGTGCTTGTCCTGAGGGCTGGCACAGTCCCGCGGTCGGTGGGAGCTAAGGGGATTGTTATTCTTGGGGTGCAATGGGAGGGATAGCAAAGTAGGAATCAGAGGGCCTGAGCTCTGGTCTCTCAGCCTTGGAACTAGCTGGATTCGCCATGTGGCCTTGAGCAGTAGTCGTCCCCTCCCTACGCATCAGTTGGTAAGAGGACCAAGGCCACTCTGTGTGCACAGCCCATCTGAATGGGGAGCTCACTGCTCTTTCTCCCTGGAGATCCGGTGTTTGGGGAGCGTGAAGGGAGGCTGGGGCATGAGGGGACTGTGGAAGTCCTGTTGGTGGGTGCAGGCTGGGGAAGATGTTTACAGGCGGGGGCAGGGCCCTCCCTGGCTAGGAACGGGCTTTAATGACAACCTACTCGTGTGAAAAAATATCCAGGCCCACTCCATTCCGCACGCTTGTTTCTGTCATTCACAGCCCCTCTCCTGAACTGTCACATTTTAAAAGATTTACAGTCATGGGAAATGAAAACGGTGGCATCTGCCATTTTGGACTCGGATTTATACTCTGAACACTTTCAAAGCAGCTGAGCAACGGACGGACAGTCCCTGACCTCCCCTGGGCCTCAGTTTCCCCATTGTGAACTGGGAGGAGTGGGCTTCCTAGTCCCTTAGGCGCTGGAGTCCGGGAGGTCCTAACCAGAACCCACGAGCGTGCAGTGCGCACAGAGCAGAGCGTTTTGGAGCCTGGCCTCCAGGTGGCGCTGTTGGACCTTGGACGCTCAGTCTTTGCGCCTCAAACCCGACGGTTGTTAAAACTGGCAGCTGGAGAAAGGGAATCGTTATTCCCGTCTTGCCAAAGAGCCATTTATAGCACCTTTACAAGCTTTTAAATGGGTTTGCATGTTGTAAACATGACTGAGTCACTGGGGGGCTCCCCACCCCAGCCTCCTCCTGCGCTAGCTGGCAGCAGGAATAATTAGTTAATTACAATTAATGGTGCATTAGCCCTCGCGTGATTCCAAGGGGAAGGCGCATGGTTTGGTTGTCGGCAGTTGTGAAACTTGCTGCTTGCCCTTGAGTCACTCCCCACTCTGGGCCTCAGTTTCCCCCATTGTGAAATGAGAGTTTAGATGAAGACAGCCTTGAGGGTCCTTCAGGCCCCTGTGCAGGAGGGCAGGCAGGGAGGGGGTTGGGTCAGGGCTTTGTCCTGTCCCACTGGGTGGGTGGGGTATGCACCCTGACACTGGCCCACAGCCGCCCCCCGCCCCAAAGGGGCCAGCCCTGTGCTTGATGCTGGGCCTGCAGTTGTGGCTGGGACATGGCCCTCAGGTGATTTCTAGATCTTGGAACATGGGAGTTTGGAATCCTAGGACCTTCTAGTTCACTCACTCATTCTTTCCGTTTCTGAACCCTTCTTGAGCCTCTACCTGTGCCTGACCCTGGGCTAAGCCTTGCAGATACAGAGATGGATAAATGCCACATAGCCCCTGAGGACTTTGCATCTCAGCAGCAGGGAGAAGCCACCCCGTATCAGATCATCAAAATATGATGCCGAAATAGGCATGCACAGAGACAGGCCTTGATGGCCTGTGGAGGCTCTCTTAGGGGAAGTCTCCTGGCAGGTTTTACGTCTTTAGTTCCCACCTACATCCTTCCTGGGGTGACCCAAGCCAAGAGGTTGGGCAGCTGCTGGGCCTAGAACCAGCACCCACCAGCGCCTTTCTCTGGCTGCATCTGCTCCAGACAGAACCAACCTGGGAGTGTCTGTTTCTCAGCTTCCCATCCACTGGGGCAGAAAATCCTGGCATGTCAGAGCCTGGAGGCTCCTAGAGACCATCCCTTCCTTCTTCCGTAGGAGGGGAAACTGAGGCCCGGAAGGGCGAGGGGGCTTGCCAGTCTTCTTACAGTGAATCAGGGACACAGTGGGCAATGGAAAGGAGTCCCAGGGTATGAGAGATGATCACAGGTGCCGTCCCGGCAGCGGGCTTCTGGGAACGGAATGTGGATGAGGCCACAAGGACCCAGCGGCTTCCCCCGGCACAGTTGGTCACGGGTGCCCTGGTCTTTGGAATTCTGGGCTGGGGCTGCGTGGGGGAGGGCCCCAGCCTGGCCCTTGGAATTGTCGTGCCTGTAGCCCTGTGTGCTGGGGAGGCCCCTGCCTCTTCCACGCCTCGGTCTGTGTGCAGGATGCCCCACCTGGCTGGGCTCCTGGAGTTGACCTGGTGCCCATGTCATCTCAGGTGGAAGACTGAGACCAGGGAGGCAAGCCCTGCGTGTTGGGACCTAGGCTGCATTGCTGGCTGGCTCCTGTCTCTGTCCCCACTGCGCTGATCTTATTTCTCTGTCTGAGATCTCCTCCTTGGGCTTCCATATCCCTACTTCCTTCTCCCTCCTCTTCTGCCCAGAATAACTTCCATACATCCTGGGAGCTTCCTGGTCCCTAGGGGCAGCCATCCCGGCACACGGCTCCTGGCCTGTCCACCTGGTAATAGATGGTTCCACCGTTGGACTCGAGCCCAGCCTGAAGCAGCCCTGAAAACGTGGGGTTGAACCCTTGCCGGCTCCTTACCGTTGCTGGGCACCTTCACCCCCGCATTCCCCAGTCCTCACAGACACTGCCAGCGACGGGTCATGATTGTCTCCCTTGGGCAAAGGAGGGAGCTGAGTTAAATGACCGCCTGAGACTGTGCAACTGAAAAACTGCAGGGCCTGGGATGTTTTCCGACTTGTTTTTAGCAGTGCAGTTCTGATTTCAAGCAGTGACTTAGGCAGAAACCCTTCATGGTGGTGGAGAGGAAGAAAGCGGCTTCCAGGGCTGCTGCTCCTGGTGGGGAGCGTGGGAGGCTCTTGAGCCTCCTGGGCAGCCCCGTGCAGCTCTGTGCTGCCTGCAGCACACGGCAGGGAACGCCGCCTACTCACGGTGCTTGCTGAACACCTGTCTGCTCTAGGCCATGCCCTGTGTGGACACTGGGCACCGGATCAGGAGGGCTTCCTGGAGGAGGTGAGGCCCGAGCTGAGTGTCCTTGCATGTGAGGGAGTGACACTTAGTGAGCACCTGTGATGACCAGGAGCCAGGGTTTCATCATCGCCAGGACCCTGTGACACGGTGGGATTATCTCCTCTAACAAAGGAGAGAGCGAGAGCCAGAGAGGGCAAGAGATTTGCCCGAGGCCACTCAGAGCTGGGGCCAGAGCGGGCCTGGAGCCCGGTCTTCCCCAGACACCACACCCGCCCAGAGCCGGAGCCCAGGGTTGACTGCTGCTGTGGTGGGCTAAGTTGCTGTGAGTTTGGATGTCCCAGAAAAACAATCAGCGCACAGGCCCCGGGGCTCGCCGTGTTCAGTCCTCCCAGAGTAACAGAAGAAGAGGGAGAAATGCCCCGAGTCCACTAAGAACCTGCAAGGGCCGGGTCGTCCTCTAATGTAGCCTTGAAAGACCCGTTCTTAGCGGGGATCGAGGAGCCCGCAGCAGGGCCCGCGCCGTCGTCTTTGTAAAGCCCCCTTGCATTCCTCTTTAACCGGCTGTCAAAGAAAAATGAAGAATGCGTTTTCGCCCTGTGCAAAAATGCTCCATTAATGCCCGAGGGATTCTCAGGCCACTACAAAGCTTTCCTTATCTGGCTCTGGATTCATTCTCAGCTCTGCAGCCTGTAATCCGGGGTGCTCTGGGAAGAGATCTTTCAGGTAGTATATCCTGAGTGATGACTAATGGGGGAGCCCTGGCTGCAGCAGGGGCGGGCTGTGTATCATCAGCGTGCGGAAGAGAGAGACAGAAAGGCAACTCGAGGCCACCCGGGCTCCCCGGGCCCCTGGGCTATGGCTGCTGTCTGAGCCTCAGACTTCCCCTCCAGCCTCCAGATCACCACTTCCTTTTAACTCTCAGGCCAGCCACATCTGTGTCTGTCTGGCTCCCTCCACTCAGCCTCAAGACCCAGCATGTGTGTGACCACTTCCAAGAAGCCTCCCCTGACTGCTCCAGGGTCATGGCTGTGTGATAGGAGGGCCTGGCCTGCAAAAACGCCCTCCCTATTTCTCCAGGGAGGGAAATCTGTGTGCTATGAGGCTTGGTTGTGGCCACATTTCTGTTAAAACCCTGCCAATGCCAACAGGAGCTACAGAGCCTGCAGGTGAAGTAATTCTTTGGCCTACGGACGAATTTTGCATGTGGACCTCCTGACCCTTGGGCCTCCCGGGTTGCAGGGAGCTACGGAGTTGTCTTTGTAGTTTTTTGCAGGCCAGCCCCTCCTGTCGCACGGGCATGACCATGGGGCAGTCAGGGGAGGCTTCCTGGAAGAGGTCACACACATTCTGGGTCTTGAGGCTGAGGGGTGAGCCAGACAAGTGGGACACCCAAACTCACAGCCACGTCTGTGGCTGGCCCATGAACAGCGCGATGAGAGGCAGGGAGCCAGGAAGGGAGGGCACAGCCTGCGGTTTGGGGCTGCTGGAGCATCCAGGGTGCAGGGAGGGTCGAGGGGAGGCCGAAAGGGGCTGCAGGGCCAGGCCTTGGTGGATGCTGTCCTGGGGACCACGGGAGCCACGGGAGGTCTGTGCTGCCCATGGAGCTTCCAGATCCCGCTGCTTTATTTAACCCACTGGGCCTCCTGCAGCTTGAGGTTGCGGTTGAGGTTGTACCCACTCAGCAGGTAAGAAGACTGAGGCCGGAAGAGCCAAGTCCCCAGGATCTCCCAGCCAGGAAGTGTTCGAGGATAGGGCTTAGACCTGAACTGCCCAGATCCGGGACTCCCCATCCCCATGGCCTATGTTAAGCCCTGATTATTTTTTCTGGTCTATACTAGCTGGTATCTACACTGGCTGGCATCTGTCAGCCGTGGTTGAGTCTGAGTCCCAGCCGTAGAGGATAAATAGTGAAGCACCTCCTTTCACACAGTCACAGTGCTCCCGGCCATGGGATCTTGGGTCCTGGGCCAGCCCCTGATGAGGAAAGACCTCCCTGTATGTCCAGGCAGTCAAAAGATGAAGTTCAGATGTCACCATGCTGCGGAATGGCGAGGTCCTGGAGGGTCTCTCTCCGGCTCTTTACCTGCCGAGGGCCCACTCATCCTTGGTCACACAGGCGACCCATCATGCTGCTCCCTGGGACCCCCAGACCTGCCTCCTTTCCAGGACCCCTCCCAGCCTCAATGATTCCCCAGTGACAGCCACAGCCGCACCTGGTGCAGATAGATGCTGGGGCTGGCTGCAATTTAGGGAGGATCTTTCTAGGCTGGGGCAGGAGCTTCACGGCTGGGAATGGGCTTTAATGACAACCTACGCATCTTAGAAGACATTCAGACCCACTCCACTCTGCACAGTTGTTTCTGGGCAAGCCCTCTGATATGATTTAGTGCACGTGTGGCTGGGTGTGGAGTGTGTGCGTGTGTGTGGGTGCGTGTGAGTGGTGAGTGCGTATGCACAGGGTTTGATCTCTGAGATGTTTTATACTCTCTGGCTTGGAGAAGGGACAGTCCTGTAGTATCAAGACCAGACCTTGTGTCCCCAGCCCAAGGCTGCCCTGGGCCTAGGGACAGTATTTGGAGACTTCGCTGGCAGTTTTGCGTTGGAATCACCTGGTGCCTCCCTGTACGTCCACCCACCCTGTGCCCAGATCCCCTTCGCAAGCACCATATGCTGTTAGATCCTCGAGCAGCCTTGTGGGACAGCCACCCTGGGGCTGGTATCACCATTTATGTAAGAAAAAAAAGGAAGTGCTGGCCCAGGGTCCCACAGCCAGCAAGTTGGAGCTGCACTGCCCAAGCAGGTCCTTTAGTCAGCTCTCTGTTGTCCCCCAAGCCCCTCAGCCCCCCAGGCAGCTCTAAGGGCTCAGCTGCTGCAGGATTCCTTAGAGAAGCTGAAGGGTTTGGGTCCTCAGCTCCTGGCCGGGGCAAGTCTGGCCAAGCAGCATGGCAGCGATGAAGTCCACATGATCGAAGGGTGGATGCTTACCTTAGACAGCTGCTCACCTTAGACATGGTCACCTATATTACATTTAGGAAGGAAACGCCCTAATTGGAGACTCTGCATCTCATTAATGGAATCAGATGAAACGATGTATGTGAAAGCTCCCAGCAGTGCCTGGCACACAGTGGGTGCACAGGATGTAAATACTGATGGAAACCTAAATGTTCTGTAAATATCAGTTCTTCCTAATTTCGCCTTGCCGTCTCTCTTGAGAGTGGCTATACCTTCTAGGCCTGATCAGGAAGGAAGCTGGGTTTTGGTGTGCCAGTCAGGTGAGACGCAGAGAAGACAGCACAATCAACACAGGAAGTAACAGAAGCAGCTAGTTACTCACAGGTCCTAGAGAGGTGGGGAGCACCCCTTGCAGGGCCAATGGGAAGGGGAAGCGCCTGCAGCATGAGAGAGAGAGAGAATGAGAGAGAGAGACAGAGAGAGACCTGTGGGACCAAAGCCTTTACTGGGGTCCAGGGTGTTATCCAGGCAGGTTTCCCGTGAGGAATTCTAACTGGGGGGCTTGGAGCAGGCAGGAGTTCCCTGAGGTCATGCGGTGGCGGATGGGGGTCACTTCTGCATAGGCCTGCACTATCGATGTAGGTGTGAGGGTCTTTGGGTTGTATCCAGCTGTCCCATAAGGCAGGGGCCCCCAGGAGGTGGTGGTATAAGGCAGTCCTCTGGGTCAACCGCCTTAAGGAACTGGGAGGAGGTGGAGAACTGGAACCCGCAGCAAGGGTGACTGAGCCCTGCTCTGGTGTGGGAGTTAAACGCACATTCAGAATGCGTGCCGAGGCAACATAGGATGAGAAGCCGGCACAACACCCAGGCTTTTCCATGAAAGTGAACTTGACAGCCGCTTTCCCACATTGTCTGTGCTGAGTCGTGGGAGCCTCTGAGTTTTGCCAGTGTGTCAACGCGCTCCTGCAGCACTCTCACCCCCACTTAAAGGGAACTACCACAGTTTATGTTTTGAAATCGCATTTTAAATTCCATCTGTGGGTGTATAAGGATTATTACCCAATTTCAAGTTTACCGTTTGAAAAATAGCAATGGCGTGAGTGGCCCCTTTTAGGCAAAGTGTGATTGGGTCTGTGTGGCCGCGGCAAACTGCTCTGGGCTTGCGGCTTTGTTCTCTGTTTCCAGCTGTGTGACTTTAGGCAAATTTCATAACCTGTCTGAGCCTCAGCTTTCTTCTCAGTAAAATTGCCATAATAATATTTGCCCTGCAGGGTAATAGGGACTGAGGTGTGTGCCTGTTTTAACATAAGAGTGGTCTAGTCTGGAGGATAAATGAGCCGCTGGGAGGAAGAAGTTTGGAAATGGAGGGCTGGTGGGAGCCCGGAGCCTTCTTAGGGGACAACAGGCCAGATCAAGGATGATGGGACAGGGCCAGGACCGTCCAGCCCAAAGTGGCTCCAACTGCCCAGGACCTACTTAATAGGCAGATCTCGCGGCCTGGGCTGGTGAGGCCGGCCTGGCCGGAAGCAAGTCAGCAAGCAGGCCTCTCAAGTCCTATCATCCTTGAATTATCTTATTCATTCAACAAGAACATCCTGGGGTACTTTTCTATGCCAGGCCCTGCACTGGGTACTGCAGAACAAATCTACATCCAAGCTACGCATCCTGCTTTTAAGAAGCTCCCCACCAGCATCCATAGCATCCTGCCAGAGTTCCCACAGCTGAAAGTGCTTGTGGTTTAGGGGTTGGTGTCATCCCAGTTCATGTCTGAGAGAGAGAGAGAAGTGGCGTGTGGCAGGGCTGCTATGTACAGTTGGATGTGTTGTGCACTGCAAAATCTAGGCAGCACCATCCACCGGTGAGTCTATTTGCAGTACACAACCTGCTCAACTGTATGCAGCAGCCCCGGTACAAGGGCTTGTGAATGGAGATATCTACCTAGCTGTACCTCTCCCCCTGGCCAGGCAAGGCCTCAGTCAAGGCTTGAGACCGTCCATTGTCCCAGCCAGCAGGGCCCAGATCACCTCGTTAAAATTATTACCTCTTAAGGGGTTAAATGTGCGCCGCTGACCGCGTCCTGCAGCCCATGTGGAGAGTTTGGCCCGGGATCAGTACACATTACAAATGAGATTCAGAAATTCCACCTAAAAACAACAGCGCGGCCGTCCCTGCCCAACGATGAGTGATTGCCCTGTCCTGGCTTTCACGGCAAATCCCAGGGATGACGCGCTTTCTCTTTTCTGGGAGACACAGCCCTGTCACCCCGGGGGCCACACCCTGGCTGGCAGCCAAGTTCTTTCCCAGGGTGCTGGGCCCGGCCTCCTCTGGGCTGGGATCAGCTGCGGCCTGACTCCATCTTGAGCTGGGGGTGTCACCGAGGGTTCCAGGAGGTGGAGGGCATGGGGACGAGGGTGTCTCAGAGACTGGGAGATGGAAGGAGAACACACACCTTTTCTGCTCCCTATGTCGTGACCCCATGGGGCAGAGATGGGCTCTGAGGCATCAGAGCCTGTGCCCTGTGTGACGGCGCGTAGCCCCCCGAAACAGCTGCTGTTATCCCTCCTTGAGGTTATCAGCCCCCAATTCCCCAGATACCAAAACTCTCAGAAGTCACCCCCGTCACAAAGCTGGTGACCCTCCCTGCAGCAGCTCCTGGGCTCAGGCCAGACCCCTCAGAAGGCTTGGTAGCATTAATGGGGTACAGTCTCTGCTTTTGAGCCTACTTCAGTGAGACACACAGGGGGCCCCAGGGACCAGTCCCGGAAACCTCCCTGCTCAGTGGGTGGCCCCTGGACAGCCTGGGCTGGACCTGCAGTAACGTGGACAGCATTCATTCGGAGCTCAAGGCCTCAGCCCCAGGAGACGCCCTGTCCATGTGAGTGCCGCACTGCACACCCGAGATTGGTTTTCCAGCCCAGGACCTGGCTAGGAAGGGTCGGCGGGGTACAGCCCGCTCAGCACCCCCTGCCGTGGCCGCCTCTGCAGGAGGAGACAGCATGGTGGGGAGAGGGGACTGTCTTGCCCTGCTGAACCCCCAGGGGTCGGCTACACCCCTCTCTACAGGCCTTTTTGGTGTAGCGCAGGTGAGACAATGCAGCCAGAGAGGTTGGGAGATTACACAGCTCCACATCTGCGGTGTCACCGTGGACGGGACCGTCATGGTCCCAGCGGGAGGGTGGAAGGAAGCCAAACTTGAGACGTCTGCCTTGCACAAAGGCAGTGGTGCTCGTCAAGGTTTGGGCTGGAAGACTTAGCACCTGGCGGGCATCTGAAAATTTCCATCTCCCGTGCCTGCTTGGTCCCCACGGACACATGCCTGAGCCATCAGGGACTGCAAATCACAGGGGTGGGAAGACAGGGACGCACACTGAGCAGGTGAAAGGTGGTGGGGGGTAAGCAGGTGTTTCGGAAGGAGTAGAGGAGGGCCCGGAATGGGGCCACGTAGGAAAGGGTCACATCCATTCACCCTGGAGTCAGCCCGAGGGCCCAGGCAGGGTGGGGTCCTAGTGATGCCTGTCGGTGGGTGACATCAGGCCATCCACAGCACCGGGAGCCAGCAGAAAGGGCTGGGCCAGGCCATGTGGACAGGGTCTACGGACAGTACAGGGCCAGAGGTCCCTATTCTGGGACCTTGACATGCTGCCGTTCTCGTGAGCTTCTGGGGGACTCCTGCGAGGCATGTGGGCTGCTTCTCAGACCTGCGGGTACCCCACCTCCCAGATGTTGTCAATGGGATGTGAGGTTCACGAGCACGTCACGGAGCCTCTCCCCTCGTCATGTACGTGCGCATCATGGCAAAATGTGCCTGGCCACTGGTTCCTGACGCTGGAAGGCACGAACCCACTCCCCACACCCACAGCCGGCGTTGCTGTGACTGCAGTGTCTGTGTTCTAAGCCCCACTTTTCACATCCATCCCCGCTGCCCGGCCAGAGAGACGTCCTCAGCCCAGAGCCCCACTTTTCACATCCATCCCCGCTGCCCGGCCAGAGACACGTCCTCAGCCCAGAGCCCCACTTTTCACATCCATCCCCGCTGCCCGGCCAGAGACACGTCCTCAGCCCAGAGCCCCACTTTTCACATCCATCCCCGCTGCCCGGCCAGAGAGACATCCTCAGCCCAGAGCTTCCTATCTCCCTCGCCTGCTCCTACCCTCCAGAATAAAATGTGTACGAGGTAGGGAATCTGTGCTTGTCTGCCAGTTGTGGTCACTGCTGTATCTCTTAGAGTGGGGCTTACCCCTGGGGGCCCAGCGCTCAGGGATGCGTGGGCTCCAGGCTGGAGAGAAGCACCCAGATCTACCAACTGGCCTTCCGGCTCTGCAGAGCCGCTTGCATCTTACTCCTTCCTCTTCCCTCCGCTCTGCTTCAGCCACTCCAGCCCATGCCTCAGACCCCAAATATTCCATGGCCTCTCTCCTCTCCTGGACTGTAGCCGTGACATTCACTTCCTTCTCCTTTTGGTGAACTCCTATTCATCCCTCCAAGCCGATGTCAGCTGTCACCTCCTCTTGGATGCCGTCCACACGCTCCACATGCAGAGTGTGCAGCTCCTTCTTTTGTGCTCCAGTGGCCCCAGATGAGCCCCTTTTGCAACTCTCCTCATACTCATTCTCCCAACGAGTAATGTGTGTATCCCTGGGGGCAGGTCCTGCTCTGAGGAATGCAGCAGTGACTAAGGCAGACATGAACGCCTCTCTCATACACTTTTTATCCCAGAGGGTAGGAGTACACGAGAAACAAGCATAATATATACACGGTCAGATGGTAGTGAGGGCTGTGCAGAGCAGGGGAGGGGAGTGGGAGGCGGGGTGCAGCATGGCGGTACAGCTTTAAATCTGGTGGTCAGTGACATTTGTCAAAGACTCAGGAGCTGAGGAAGTGACCCACACAGAGATCTGGAGGAAGAGGGCTCCAGGCAGAGGGAATGGCAGAGTGCTGGAGTGGCCATGCCTGGGGAACTCCTTCTGGAAAGTCTGTCGTGAACCAGAGCAGATAAATGCTTGTGCTGGGGGGAGGGGTGTCGTGAAAAGGGAAACACCAGGAGTTGTGGCATTGGGAGTTTCTTCGCTTGACTTTCAATTCCACCAAACAATTCCTAGACAGAAGAGCCTCCAGGGGTTTATTCGTGCAAGGCTACCCTCTGTCACCCTGTTTGTCCTTGCTTCTTATACACACACAGAACAGATGCACCCACTGGGGTCACCCCAACCCAGCCCCCAGCAGTTGCCCATAACTGGCCGCAGGATCCCACACACCTGCTGACTTCCAGAGTCACCAAGGGGTTAAAAGGGGCTGGGAACAGCCTCTTAGTCTCCAGAGCCTCCCGCAGGAATGATTTGTGACCCTCTTAGGCTGCTGGTCTGCACCTTCTGAAAAGCCTTTAATATCACCGGGCACATTCATAAATTATTCTTTTTTAAAAATGAAATGTTTTAGCCAAACAGCAGTAGAGGCATGTTGTGCAAAATTAGCAAAAAAAAAAAAAAAGGAATGACGATGATATGAATCTTTTGGCGGCCTCTCCTAACCGTCTTTAAATCTGCGAAAGGATCTCAGTGCCCGCCATTACCTGGCCAGCACCGGGAGGATGTCAGGTGCTTCCAGGCGGACTCTGCTAGGAACATTCCATCTGTGGCCAAGGCTATCACAGTCCTCAAATTAACAGCAAACCCCGCGTGGCCCTTGTGGTGTGCCAGGCACTCTTCTGGGCATATATATGTATTTTTTATATATAAAAATATTTTTTATATATATAAAAAATATATAAAAATATTTTTATATATATAAAAAATATGTAAAAATATATTTTTTATATATAACTTGCTCCTCATAGCAACCCTGTAGATCATTATTCCCATTTTCCAGATGAGGAAACTGAGGCACACAGGAGCTTCCAGGCTCAGGTGACATGAATTAAGAATGCACACATCATGCTGGGACTCTGTGGGGTTCCTGCTGTCATGACTTTCCCCAGCGACCTTGGGGAGGGCAGAGTTCTACTCTTTGAGGCTTGACCCGGTCCTGAAATCTCAGTTGTCACTTCTGCATCCTGACAACATGGAGCACGGTCCATAGCGTAGGTGTATCGTAAATGTTCAGTCCATGGCAGCGCAGACAGTCATCTGCAGATTCGCGAGCCTCTGGGATGATGGCCTGGAAAAGGGACATTGAGGACGTGGCCTTGCTCCAGCCTGGGGGGGCTCTGTGCCATGGCCCTGCAGCAGGGGGCCCCTTTCTGCCCTGAATTGGCTCATTCATGGCGCCTCTCAGGAGTAAAGGAGAAGAAAGTGATGGTTCTCCACCAACTTCACCTGTCCCCTCCTGCTGAACTCCAGCAGCGGCTCCCATGGCTCCAGGAGAGAGAAGGGGCATGACTGGCCTGCCCTCTCATCAGCCTCTCCCCTAGCCCTCCCTCCTTTACTCTCATCTGCTCAGGAAAACTGAGAGCACCAAGCTGCCTCATGTCTCCACCCTCCCCGCAGAGCACCCTCCCCGCAGAGCACCCTCCCATCGCCCTTTTCTTGTTGGGCACCTCGTTCTTCAAAGTCAGTTCAAGGTTAACCCGTTGGGGAAGCTTCCATGACACCAGTTCCCGGTTTGGGGTGTGTATTTCTCCGAAGCTCTCCCAAAGGAGATTTGCTTACCTTTATCAGCCTCTGCTGCCCCAATCCCCTGTGCCTGCTCTCCCAGTGGCTGAGAGCCCCATGAAGAGCCAGACCAGGGCCAGGTGATGTTGGTAACCCCAGCACCCAGCACTGCAGCCACCCACAGCAAGTGCTCTGTGCTTGTCAGATAGAGAAGAGAGGGCTCTGCTCTGACCTGCAGGCCTGGGGCTCAGGACCCCCTCTCTGCACTCAAGGGCTGCCCGCCAGGCCAGCCTCTCTTCCCCCCCATCCCTCCAGACCTTCATTGCATCTGTAGAAAGAGGCAGAGTAGCCTTCACTCCGGAAGGCAGAGGGCAGGACTTGGCCCCTCTGGTGTGCCCACGTCTTTGAGTGAAGTTGGCAAGACTTGAACTCGTCCTGCCCTTCGTGGCCCCCTCACCTTGGGGGATTGCAAGGGGTTCAGTGTGGCTGGGGCAGTGTGCTGAGAGCTGGGCTGGACGGGGCCGTGGGCCTCAGCAAGATGCGTCTCACCTGCTGTGAGCCCGGGTGGGGGTAGGGTGAGAAGAGCCCCCTGCAGAGCCACAGTGGGCCCCCACGGTTGGATTTACCTCCTGGCTCTGAGCACAGTGGGAAGAGGCATGGGAGGGGTGAAAAGGAAGGTGGTACACGTGTTCAGGTAGATGCGACGAGGCCGGAACTGAGGCCAGGTGGGGTTGTGGGGAGAGAAGGGAGGAGAGTCTGGAGACCTTTAGGAATAGAATCCATTGGCCTCAGTGATGGTTTAACCTGAGGGATGGGAGTAAGGGGCCTATCGAGGGCGACTCCAAGTTCCTGGCTTGGGGGTACCTGCCTGGAGAGTGAGGGGTAGGGGAGGAAGGGAAGTGGGTTTAAGGGAGGAGGGTAGGTCAGTGTTTGGCGTGCTTGGATTTGAATTGTCCATCTGGGAGGGGCGTCTGGAGAAATTGGAGTGGACTCCGAGTTTGGGTCGGGGGCCCAGGAGGACCCCACCCAGCAGGTAGGTGGGTGGAGGCTGAGGTCGGCTCAGGAGACACACGGAGGGAGGGGACATGATTTCTTATCCCTCTAGTCTCAGTCACAAGTTCACTTCTCCTAAAAGGAGGTGCCTCAGACAGCAGATCCTTCCAGAACTCTCCCAGACCTTGTCTTCCTTTGGCAAGGCCACAGAGCTTGGTGGAAGGGGCAGTGGCCCAGGGTCTGGGCTCCAGTTCTGGTTTACTGCTTGCTGGCCGTGTGATTGTCAGCAACTCACGTAACCACACAGAGCCAAATTTTCTCCCCGGTGAGCCCCCACTGCCTGCGTTTGCGATGAGAGGAGAGACAGTCGATGTGAGTGAGCTCTGTGATGACGAAGCACTGCAGAAATGTTAGTTCCCACGCCACAGGTGAAGGCTGAAGGGCTTTAGTCCAAAGCTGACATTTCCCTTCATATTTTTCCCCAAGGGGAAAGGTGCACCCTGAAACGAAGAGCTGTCTCTTTCGTTCAGCTACCTTCAGCTGTCCCCTCCAAACTGTCTGATTTAGCTCACGGGAGACCTGCGGAAGGAGCACATTTATAACCATCAAGAAATACGGATGATGAGTTTTGCTGAGACATGTTGACTGACACTTAGTATTTTAAATATGCAGCCCAGACACCTGTCCCCCTTGCTTCCCGGCTTTTATGGCGTTTCTCAGCCAAGCAGAGAAGACCAGGTTTCGGGAGCTCAGTCCCTTCAACTGCACCACCAGCTTCTGATGCGATTCTCTCTAATTGCTTTCTGCTGTTTTTGCCGTGTGTTTATGACTCAGCTAAGGGCAGTACAGTCGGGAAGTGTCCTGCGCGCCATTTTGCAGACAGGAGGGAGGAAGTGTCCTGCGCGCCATTTTGCAGACAGGAGGAAGGAAGTGTCCTGCACGCCATTTTGCAGACAGGAGGGAGGAAGTGTCCTGCGCGCCATTTTGCAGACAGGAGGGAGGAAGTGTCCTGCGCGCCATTTTGCAGACAGGAGGGAGGAAGTGTCCTGCGCGCCATTTTGCAGACAGGAGGGAGGAAGTGTCCTGCGCGCCATTTTGCAGACAGGAGGAAGGAGATGTAGTGGGATGGGAAGATCTGGGCTCTGAGGTCAGTCCCCGCTGGACGGAAACCTGCGGCCCTGTTAGCTCCGTGATCTGGAAGGTGCTACTAGTAGCGCCTCATTTTTCTCCCCAGGAGAAGGAGGGCGACCGTGTCTCATCCCTAACTGCGATGGGGGCTGAATGCGGCTGTGGGCACATAGGGTCTCTCTGTCTCCACCCATGTCTCCTGCTGTGTGGCCTCTTTCCAGCCCATCCACACTCTAGTTGGTGGCTTTGTGAGTGCTGACAATACTTCCATGTGCTTTTTTGTTTTTTCTTTTTTGAGACAGAGTCTCGCTCAGTCACCCAGGCTGGAGTGTGGTGGCGTGATCTCGGCTCACTGCAACCTCTGCCTCCCATGTTCAGGTGATTCTCCCTGCCTCAGCCTCCCGAGTAGCTGGGATTATAGGCGCCTGCCACCATGCCCAGCTAATTTTTGTATTTTTAGTAGAGACAGGGTTTCGACATGTTGGCCAGGCTGGTCTCGAACTCCTGACCTCAGATGATCCACCCACCTTGGCCTCCCAAAGTGCTGGGATGACAGGCGTGAGTCACCACGCCCGGCCGCACATATTCTCAACGTTTCCTCTTTGCCATTGGTCTGTGCTGCTCGTCCTCGCCTGCAGGAACTGTGGAGCCTCTTGGGGTGAATTTACTGAGGCCTGGTGATGGTTTGCTTCTTCCCAGTTGCCTGCGGTGCTTGTGATGGGCAAGCCTGTTTGGGTCTCCTCTGAGCTCCTGGCCTCTCTGTTTCAGCACCTTGTCCACACAGCCCTACACTTCCCTTCCTTTCTGCTCATGGCTGGCCCCACATGGTGGCCACAGTTAATTTCCACTGGTATGAGATATTGTGCAGTCTCTTGATTCATCATCTGGTTTGCTAAAATGCTCTTTGACAGCCCTGCACACTCCATTACACGTTGTCAGCTAGAATCACAAGCCTCACGTTGGAGGCTGCACTTTAGAAGGGAAGATGACGTGCCCAAGGTCACACAGCTGGTCGATGCAGAGCCACCTAGGAACTCGAGGCTGTAACTCTAGGTCTCTTTATAAACCAGTGTCTAGAGTCAGAGACATGAGACTCAGGCAGAGAGACCCCCCCCACCCCCCGCCACTGACTTTCATCATTTGAAACAATGGAGAGACAATCAAGTGCAACATCAAATAGCAGGAGCTGAAAGATGGCTTCGAGATGGGGCCGAGAATGTGGACCACAGAGCCCAAGAGGCAGCGAAGGTCTCCCCACTGCACCCGAGCACTTCGTGTTCAGGATCCTGGATCCCCAGCACATCAGCTGCAACTTACAGAGCAGAGCCAAGACATGAAAGTGAAGCGCCCGAGGGGACCTACATTTTTCAACAGGGAGAAAAAAAGTGCTTAATTATATCTTTAAGAGGCACAGACACGCCAAGGGATACCAGCAGCGTCTGAGACCTGAAGCAGAAATGCCAGGGATGAGGATTTGGAAGATTAACACAATTGAACTCAGCACTGTGGCCTTTTTTTTCTTTCTGGGGCTTCGGAAAGGTAGGAGGCAAACACCCTGGCAGGTAAGACAGACAAGCCAGGTGTGATGGAAATGCACCTCTTTGTCCTGCCTTTTACTGCTGGGGTGGTCCTTCCAAATGAAACTGCTCTCACCCGGAGCCTTCAGTGGCTCCCCTTTCCTTCAGGACAAAGTGTTGTCTTCGTTCCTAGATTGTGAGGCTTCAGGGACTGATTTTCCTTCTTCCTTCTCTCCTTCCTTCACTCTCTTTTCTTCTTCTTCTGCCTTCATCTTACGACGTGTTCATGGCAGAAGGCCTGCCATGGGCCTGCCAGGGCCTGGGTTGGGGATGGTGGGGCAGAAATGAGCTGACACTGTCCCTGAACAAGGAGGCCGACTGTGAGCGTCCCCTGCAATGAGCAGGTGCAGTGTTGCAGTGGAAAGAGACCAGGTGCCAGGTGACATAGGGGGTCCAGGGAAGACTTCTGTGAAGACTTCTATGAAGCATTCCAGCTGGTCCCAGTGTCTGGCACATGAGACATGGCAAATCAGAGTCTGTAGGATCAAGTGGATGGATGGAACCAGGCCCCTGGTGGCAGCTCTCATGTTTGCGATGCTGCATGTGGGCAGCGAGTGTTCCTTGCTACTTCTTCCTCCTTCCCTTGCCTCCCTGTGTTAGAGAAGTTGGTGGTGGTTCTGAAAGAACAGTGGTGTAGAATTCGTGATGGGGAGGCAGCCAGGAAATGACCCAGCTTCTTGGTTCTCTGAGACTGACGAAGTGAGGTCCTGGGGCAGTCCCCACCAGATGAGGCACGTGGCTCAGCCTCATCTGCCTGCCTCTCCCCAAGATTGACACCGTTCCCAGAACCGGCCTGAAACTTCATATTTTTGGGCTTTGCACTTGTCCTTCCTGCTTCCTTGGCTCATATTTATTCCTCAAAACCCAATTTAAAGCTTCCTGTTTAAAGCTCCTCTGTGCAGAGTAGCCTCTAATGGATGGGTGGGTGGATTCATGGGTGGGTAGCATCTAATGGATGGGTGGGTGGATCCATGGGTGGGTGTGTGGGTGGATGGACAGATGGGTTGATTGGTGGGTGAATGGATGGATGGTTGGATCCATGGGTAGGTGAGTGGATGGATTGGTGGATAGATGGATGGATGGATGGATGGATGGATGGATGGATAGATGGATGGGTGAGTGGATAGATGGATGGATGGATGAGCAGATGGTTGGGTTGATGGGTGGGTGAATGGATGGATGGTTGGATCCATGGGTAGGTGAGTTGATGGATTGCTGAGTGGGTGGGTGGATGGATGGATGGACGGATGGATGGATAGATGGATTGGTGAGTGGATGGTTGGGTTGATGGATGGTTATGAAGCTATGAAGAAAAGTGGTATCAGAATCTTGATTCTGCAGGCATTTATTTGGCATCTATTATGTGCCAGGAACTGAGGACCAGCTGAACTGTTAAGGTCCTCTTTCATGAAGTCCTCCCTAGCCACTGGCCTGGGTTCAGTCGAGGTGAGGGCAAGGAGGTGGAAGTCATGCTTGAACTAGCCTGGAGATGGAGGAAACCTGTTCCCCAAACCAGAGCCCAGGAAAATGTGGCTAGGCTGGAGGAGTGTGGGCAGGTCCGCTGACAGGGCATGGCCTGGGAAAGGGGGTCCTGGGTTGAGTGGGGTTGTGCACAGACTGGGAGATGCAGTGTGGACTTCAGGTCAGAGGGGAGGGATAGAGAAGCGGATTTGGAAGGTCAGGAAGGGGTGCACATTCCTTGAGCGCCTGCTGTGTGCAGCCGTACAGTCTGTTGTTCAACCCTCGCAGCATCCCTACTTGTTCTACCTTAATAACTTTTCTTGTTAAATGCAAAGAACCTGAGAAAATCCAGGCCCCGAATCTGACCATCAGTGATTCAGCCTAGCGCCTCCCTTCCCCTTCACAGCACCCTTTTCCCTAGTGTGGTCCTTCCTTTCTAGTTGCTCGTCTCACCACGCAGCTGTTTACAATCAGCTTGGAGCTCTGGTCTTCAGCCATTGTAGAGACCAAACCTCGTGAAGTACTCTGGTGCAATGTATTTAGGGACAATCATTTTCTATATGTTCAGGGCTTTCCTCTCTCATAAATCAGTCCAAGAGAAATACTTAACACCTGCTGTATGTTTCTAAGAATTCAGCCACGCTTTGGCTGGGAGTCAGATCACTTTAAATATTAGAATGCTTTTTGATAGCCAGTGGTCATTTCTCAGTGGAAAGAAAAAGGATGACATCGAGTTTGATTTGTTTCTGATTTTGAAGGTTGCTGGGGTTTTTTTTGTTTTATTTTTGGTTTTGTTTTTTGAGACAGAGTCTTGCTCTGTCGCCCAGGCTAGAGTGCAATGGCGCGATCTCAGCTCACTACAACCTCCGCCTCCTGGATTCAAGTGATTCTCCTGCCTCAGCCTCCTGAGTAGCTGGGACTGCAGGCGTGTCCCACCACGCTCGGCTAATTTTTTGTATTTTTAGTAGAGACGGGGTTTCACCGTGTTAGCCAGGATGGTCTTGATCTCCTGACCTTGTGATCCGCCCGCCTCGGCCTCCCAAAGTGCCGGGATCACAGGCGTGAGCCACTACGCCCGGCCAAAGGTTGCTGTTTTTAATCCCTGTTCATAGAAGAGGAAATTGAGACTCAGGAAGGTCAAATAATCCATCTGGGGGTCCTACCACGGAGCCAGGTCAGTTCGTATCCTGCAGGTCTCAAAGGGCCTACTTAGAACGTCTGTGGCAGGTCCCTGTCCCACATGGAGCTCACTGCATGAGCACTTTCTTCTTTCTTTCTCTGTCCCCAGACTGACCCCTGAGGACAGACCTTCAGTTTCTCTACATTCTTATTTAGCCAGTGCCAGGCACACGTAGCATGCGCAGACCCTCTGTGCATTGGAACTGTTGATAATATTAATGGTCCCACATGCACCAGGAGTGTGTATTTAAATATAGACATTTAAGATAAATATATAAATATATCAACATAAGAATATGATAATTATATATACATATATCAACATAAGAATATGATTACTATATACATATATCAACATAATAATATAATTATATACATATATCAACATAATATAATTATGTACATATAGCAACATAATATGATAATTATATATTTATCATGTTTATATTTTATATATAAATTTTAGAGTAAATGTAAACATTTTATATGAACAAATATGGATATTTATATATAATTATATTTACATATAAATACACTTATGTGTAAATATAATTATATAATAATTATATAAATTTATATGTAAATTTATAAAATACACTTTAAACTATTTAAAATACAGTTATATAAATTTGACATACTTTATAACATATATTTTTAATATATTGTTTTATATGTATAATAGTTATATATCATATATGAAACTATATAATATACAGAAATATAATAATAACAGAAATAGATCTCTTTTTTTTTGGGACAGGATCTTGCTCTGTCACCCAGGCTAGAATGCAGTGGCACAATCTTGGCTCATTGCAACCTTGACCTTCCCGGGCTCAAACAATTCTGCCACCTCAGCCTCCTGAGTAGCTGGGACTATAAGCACACACCACCATGCCTGGCTAATTTTTGTATTTTTTGTAGAGACAGGGTTTTGCCACGTTGCCCACGCTGGTCTCGAACTCATGGGCTTGTGATCTGCCCGCCTAAGCCTCCCAAAGTGCTGGGATTACAAGCGTGAGCCACTGCACCCAGCTGAAACAAAGACATATCTGACTGTTGCTTGTGGAGGTGCCTGCCATTCCTCCCTACAGTGATTCACAGGCTCACCCAGCCTCTCCTTCTCCTTCAAGCCCCAAACCTCTGAATGCCAGGAAGGGTGGTAAGAAGTGTCTCTGCGCCTAGTACCAGTAAAGTTGGCAGGTCACTGTGGCTAGCGGGGGCACCATTGTTGGCCTCGGGCCTGGGGAGAGAAAAATATGACATACAGGGGGCCCACGGGGGTACGTTAGGTTCAGCCCTGTAAGCCCACACTGACCCTGGTGGGCAGACCCAGCCCAGGGAGGGGCAGGCAGGAGTGACCCCGTCATCAGGTTCTGCTGGCGAGCCCAGGGTGGTGACAGGCGCACGTCTTTTGCCGGGAGCTGAAGACGTTCATGGGCTTTCAAGCAGGACAAAGCTTCAATGTCATCACCAGGTAGCAGGCAGAGCAAGGGTGCTGACAGCCTGCAGAAGCCTGTGCTTATCTCTCCATCGGAGCTAAAGCCCATGTTTGCTTAGGGAACAGCCTGAAATTCCACCCCAGCTGCTGGGCCTTTCACTTTTGAAACATAAGCCCAGAGAGCGAAAGGGGGGAACGTTGTGCCCAGATTCTCTTTCTGAGCGTGAACTTGATGTTCCTGACCAGGAACCAGCCACTCGTACCGAAGGCCTTCCTGACCCCTCAGTTCTCCCCTGAGCCTTTGCTGTGTCCTGGGCACCAAGAGGTGGAGATAGGCTGTCACCGTGCACGTTTCCTAAGCCTGCAGAGGAACTGTTCACAGAATCCAGCCTGGAATCAGCCGTTTGTGGCAAACAGTCAGTAGCTATTTCTCAACTTGTGGTTGTGAAGCTGCAGGCTCCATATTCGCTCTTCACAGAGCATCCAAGCAGGTGTCTCAGTGCCAGCTCACACCGTTCACACTGCTCACACCAGCTCTGGAGAGCTGCTTGTACACATCTCTCCACAAGTCCACTTTCAGTGTTGCCACGTGGTACCGGAAATTTGCCATAGAAATTGGCCGATGGTACGACCAGAGAGCCACCTGTTAGATAGTTACCCCACATCCCCACCCTCAACACCACCTTAGACAAATCCTACTGTCAGAACATGTGGAACGGAGAAGGGACCTTGGCGGTTCATTCATAAATGTCAGCACCCATAGGTCTGTGCCTGTTTGGCCGCAGACACTGGGGAGCAGCCTGTAGCCTTGGCTTGTGCAGCTTCCTCTGCAGGAGGGGTGCCTCTTCCAAGAAACCTGTCCTGACTCCCCAGCCCTCCCCACCTCCATTCTCGCCCCCGCTGGACAATGCACACCCTCCATCAGAGCGTGGTGCATACCTTTCATCCTAGATCTCCCACCAGCTTTGAAACCAGCATCCTGTTCATGATGTCTGGAACCCTGGGAACTGTCCCAGCACCTGTTTAGCACATGTGTGCATGCGAAGGGGATCTGCTGAGTGCTCTGCTCTGGTGGGAAGGCCGCTCTGCACAGCTGGAGCTGATGCCTTGGCAGATGCTGGGCATCTGAATCGTGCAGTGCAGGAGCACAGGGGCATGGCACCGTTTGTTGCTGGGGAACCTAGGCCTCAAAAGGGCCTCAGCCTCTCCGCAGTGCAGTGAGGACTGTCCCATACTCTCACTGCGTACAGAGTATGGGAGAGTCTCTGTGAGGCTTTGGGTGCCCTGCAGAGGGAAGGCAGTGCCAGCTGGGCCTGGTCGGGGGCCATGGAGATGGCGGGCCCAGGCTGGGGAGGACTTGTGGCACCCACTCCCTTACCCGCTAACCCGGATCCCCTGGAATCTGCAGAATGCCTGGGGTTGCTCCTCTTCTACCCTGCCGTGGCTGAGCTTTGTCTGTGCCCTGTCCTCTGGCCACGGTCTTTGCCTGATCCCTACCCTGGTACAGGCAGAGCTCCCTGCAACCCCCAGCTGTTTCCCCAGAACTGACACCAGTCTCCCTGCACCACCCATCCTCCTTTTGACTGCCCTGGGGACGCCACTGCTGCTCTGATCCTCTGTCACTCCAGCCACCTCTTGCTTCCCTGTTATCACAAACACTGAACAGTGAGCTCAGGTGTCAGCCTCCACAGAGGCATGCACAGCAAGGGGTCCGGAGGCATGCCCCATGGAGAACTGGGGGTGCTCTGCTTGCAGGAGGATCCAGGGCCCATTGCAGTCCTCAGATGTTCTGGGGGAGAGGATACGCCTGCTTCATTTCTTCTCAGGGGTCAGAACTGGGCACAGGGGGTTGGAAGGAGGGAGAAAGATGTCTATCAGGTACCCACTGCATGCCAGGCCCTCTTCTAGGCTCCCTTAAAACCTTTCAGGTAGGCCAGTCACGGTCGCTCATGCCTGTAATCCCAGCACTTTGGGAGGCCAAAGCGGGTGGATCACCTGAGGTCAGGAGTTTGAGACTAGCCTGATCAACATGGAGAAACCCCGTCTCTACTAAAAATATAAAATGAGCCAGGCATGGTGGCACATGCCTGTAATCCCAGCTACTCGGGAGGCTGAGGCAGGAGAATGGCTTGAACCCGGGAGGTGGACGTTGCAATGAGCCGAGATCACGCCATTGCACTCCAGCCTGGGCAACAAGAGTGAAACTCCGTCGCAAAAACAAAAGACAAACAAAAAACACCTGTCAGGTAAATGGTGGTAGAGCAGAAAACCTGGGCTCAGAAGCTGGCATTGATCCCAGAGCCATCCAGTTTCAAAGCCCACACCCACAACTTTCCTCCAGGTTGGGCAGTGCATGATGGAAAGGCTGTCCCAGCAAGTAGTGAGTTCACTTTCACCAGTCCCTGGAGGCAGGAGCAGAGCCTGAGCTGACCACTTGGAAGGAGATGTTATTCAGGGGACTCGAGCATCTGGCGTAGGATGGGACTCCATGAGGTCTATGCCTCCTTCTAGCTCTGAAACTCCTCAAGGGAAACCATTTCCCAGATCTCTACGTTGCTGCAGTCCCTTCTAACTTCCAGCACACCTTCTGCTCTCTCCGCAGGTGTCGTGCGCCAGGTGCGGCCCATCGTGGGCCCATTTCATGCCGTCCTGAAGCTGGAGATGAACTATGTGGTCGGGGGCGTGGTCTCCCACCGAAATGTTGTCAACGTCCACATCTTCGTCTCTGAGTACTGGTTCTGAGGGCTGGTCTGCCGCACAGCCGCAGGTGCACCTCCAGGCCAAATCATTGCTGCCAGTGACTGTGGTCTGTACTTGTTTATACCCTCAGACTTTTTTAATGTTAGGTATTTGTAGCATTAGGCCAACATGTATTAAGCTGAGCCAGATGAATAAGTCCATCTGATGTATTTTCGGTGTTTAAAAAATGAGCCCAGTTGCTCAACTGTTTGGTTGAAAACCTTGCTCATTTTTTAATGCGAAGGCTAAGTGTCACCCCCTTTCTCTGCCTCTGGCTGGGCCTTGCTAAGGGCCAAGGAAAGAAAGACATTTTTTAGGGGGCAGCCAGTCCAAATGCCAAAAGAAGACCAGTTCTTGCCCTGATTGTATGAAATTTGACATTTTGGCACTTTTTTTTTTTTTTTGGCCAATCAGATTTTCTATGTTCTAAGGACATGGCTGCTGTAGAATAGCACAGACGTGGATGATAAATTATCCCCAGAAGCAGCATGACAGAATGCCTCGGGGAGCACTTGGAAGGGAAATTGCAGTTCTGTTGAAATAGAGGAAAATCCCTTGGTAAAGACACAGCCTGTTAGGCTCGTGTGGGCCTCCAGTATGTTCACCAGGGGAATGGCTGGGATTTCTCGGCACTCTGCATCATCCATCTTTTCTTATAGGTGGGAAAATAAACAACTTTGTGATCCTCCTGATGGCCTGTGCATGAGAGTCTTTCAAGAAGAGGGCTCTCTGCCAGCTCAGGAGTCTTCCGCCAGCTAAGGGACTGGAAATCTCCCCCCGCCGTCCCCCTGCCTCACCCCACCCAAGGTTGTCTCAGTGCTCCTCCTGCCCCTCAAGGTTCTGGGGCGGGGCCCAGCTTGTGTATTGGAAAAGCTTCCTACACACGTCGTTTTCAATGCCATGCCCACCCTCTGAGAAGTGTGGCTCGGGTTTGTTCCCTGCCCCATGTCCAGTGCTGCTAGGAAAGCCCAGGGCTCTGGCTTCTGTGTGACTTGCTTCCAATAGCATCCCTCGTGGCATCCTGATCCTCTCTAGAAATCCCTGGGGGCAAATAATGACCCTTCCGCAGCCATGAGTCCCTGCCAGACACAGGCCTGGGCCAGGCATTTGACATGAGGTGCTTCGCTCATTCCTCCTGGTGGCCCAGTGTGGTGGGTATGATCACACACAATCTTGAGATGGACAAACTGGGCTCAGAGAGAGGAACTTGGCTGCCAAAATTCACACATTTGAGAGACAAAGAGGGAATTCAAATTCCATTTATCTGAATTTAAGCCCTCTCTAAACCCTGTGTCAGCAATAGATATGGACAGACTGAATTTGTTGGGGGACTGACACCCCAATTGGCATCAGTGGCGGGGCCAGGGGCTCCCTGTGCCCCAGGGCCCACTCCGGCCTCCAGGGACTCAGCATCCAGGCTCTGTTTCCACACACGCCTCTCCTCCAAATCCTTCCCTAGGTTGATCCCATCCTCTTAGGTATGGACCCCATTTGTGGCTCAGAACCTCTCTCATCCTATGCCTCATTTCGCAGCCTGGACCCTAGCACTGGGTGAGATCTCAGCCCCACACTCAAGCCAACACCACTCCAACTCTCAAGAACATGGTCTCCACCACCTTTAGGAAGACCTTTCCAAGGTCACTTATTTGGGTCACTGGTCCATCAAAGCCAAGCCTGGGCCAGCCAAGTACAAGGCCTGCTGGAGCCTTGGCCGCTGTAGCTGGTGGGAAACAAGAGGCCAGGTGTGGGGCTGGACAGTCCAAGGAGCCACATCCGGGGACAAAACAAGTGCAGGGGACATCCATGCAGGTCTTGATGCCAGGGAGTTAGGGAATTGGGGTCCTGGCAGGGAAGCAGGGCTGGGAGCTGGCTGCAAGAATGAAAGGAAGACTCAGGGGGAGGGGCAGGAAATAGAAAGGGACATGTAGGGGGAGTGCTGCCGCCCACTTGCAGCCTGGGGGCAAATCTGCCAGAGCCAGGCCGTTCTGGGCTCAGCAAAGCTGGTTTCTGGGAGCCTTCTTCAGTAGGGTGGGGTGGGAAGACCGAGGTGCAGGCTGCTTTGGGAAAAGAGTTTCCCATATTCCTAACGGGAGTTAGGGCAGGCCAGGTGCAGTGCCTCACACCTGTAATCCCAGAACTTTGGCAGGCCAAGGCAGGTAGATCACTTGAGGTCAGGCGTTCCAGACCAGCCTGGCCAACATGGTGAAACCTCGTCTCTATTAAAAATACAAAAATTAGCTGGGCATGGTAGCGGGTGCCTGTATTCCCAGCTATTCGAGATGCTGAGGCAGGAGAATCACATGAACCCAGGAGGTGGAGGTTGCATTGAGCTGAGATCCACTCCAGCCGGGGCAGAGGAATGAGACTGTGTCTCAAAAAAAAAAAAAAAAAAAAAAAAAAAAAGGGCAGCTAACATGGGAAGAGTGAATACAGAGCCAAGCCCCCTGCTGCTGATTGGCTTTTGAATGAGCACATGATCCAAGCTGTCCAATCAGAGTCCTGCCTCAGAGAGCCTGCCGTCTGGAGCAGAAGAGGGCAGGAGGGGCCCGCAAGTAAGCGGTGAGGGCGCCAGGTTGAGGAGCCCAGGGGAATAGAGGGAGTCCTGACCCTATCTGATTCAGAATCAGGGAGGCAAAGGCAGACCTCTCTCGGCAGGGCTAGCAGGGCGAGTCACTGCCATCGTCCGAGCTTCAGTTTCCACATCTGCAAAGTGGAGATTCCCAGATGGCAGTGAGGAGCGCTGGAGAGCATGAGTGCAAGAGGGCTTTGTGCATTGCAAAGTGCTGCATCCGTGTGTGACGGCTTATTATCATTAACCGTTAAAAGCAGCGATGACGGTGATGACGATAATGGTTGCCACTGTCAATCGAGCCACATGAACGCGCTCTGGAAGCTTGGCATCTTTTCAATCCGGCATTTCCTTTTCTTAATCATCCTGGAGAGACTTGGTAGACAGTTGTGTAAATTACCCACCAGCTTAACTCTTCATATTTCATATCATGCTATGGGTTGGGCACCTGATGGACCCATAAGTATCTCATTATACTTGCAAAGTAATTACTGTCAGAGCCTCGCATCAGCGGCATTAAGGGACCAGCTAATGGGAGCTGGAGGTGCCTCTGAGTTCCTCCACAACAGTGATTCCTTCTTAATTGTAGCCTTAGAACAAGATAACTGAGGGACATTGCTAAAGGCAAAGCAGTTTATAAGCAGCATGAGACAGCAAAACACACAGAGACACCAAGTTGAATCCTTCTTGTTGATCTGGTAGAAGAAACTTGGAGGGAAGGTCCCAGAAGGTGTCATAGAGTGGTATTCGACCAGAAAGCTGCCTGTTTTTTTTTTTTATTCCTAAGGGACATCTATTCTACTGTACAGAGGAAGTCTGTGGCATGTGTCAGAAGTGCCTGGGCTGCCCAGGGTCCTAGCAGGACCCGTTTTAACATGCAGGTGGGCATTGAGTGGAGGGTGCCAGGGCCCACCCAGCCAACCCAGCCAAGCCAGCCAACTAGAATTCGAGGAGGTAAGCCAGCTTTTCCAAAGTTCTCAAGTTTGTCCAGGTGAAAAAACACCTGGAAATCAAGGGTTTTTTTCCTAATATTGTAACATGAAAATTTTCAAATATACAGCCGAGTTGAAGGAATTTTACAGTGAATACCAGGGCACCTTCCACCTAGATTCTGCCACTGACATTTTATGAGATTCAGTTGCATTTTGAAGAAATGACAATATGATGAATTAATAAATACAAATAAGAAACTTACAGTTTCTTGTAGGCTTGCGCTCAAATCCAGCCACTTACTAGCTGTGTGTCCTTGGGCACATTGCTTAATGTCTCAGAGCCTTGGTTTTCTCTACAACGAAATGAAAATAAGGACACATACTTCACAGGAGTGATTGTTAGGATGAAAGGGGATGATTACGTAAAACAGTGCAAGAACTGCTACACAGGAGGTCCTCCATAAATAGTACTGTCATGACACACACACCCGAAAGGATAGTCTTTATTCAGTTAGATGCCACATTTTATTAAAGTCTTGTGTGGACAAGAAGTGAAACCTCAGAGGAATTTATGAAGAATAATTGGAGGCACTTCCTTGTGACTTGGCTTCATCCGGACCGGATGACTTCTGGGTGCCAGCAACAGTTCCCCATTTCCATTCACGTTTCCCCACATCGTTCATGCCAAAGAGATGGGTGCCAAGAGGCCATCCGTCTTCATCCTGGACATAGAATGAGACGGGAACTCACTCTTGAAGGACTTTTGAAGTCTCAGAGAAGAAACGGAGCCACCGTAGACCTTTTGAAATACGGCCTGTGAGAAGCACGGTGACAGTCACCATTACTACCAATAATCACATTACTCTTTGTGGGAAAAAAGACCTACTATGTGCCAGGAAGGCTTCGGTAATCATCTCCAACACACACACATTCTCTCACACACACATGTGCGCATGTGTGCACACACACACACACCACACACACACACACACACACTCCGCAGCCCTTCTGCCATGCCCAGCTCAGGGCCATCTTCTCCCACAAGGATGCCGGTCTCATCTCCTGAAATGAGGTTGCAGTGAGCCGAGATTGAGCCACTGCACTCCAGCCTGGGTGACAGAGCGAGACTCCATATAACCTCTGCCTCCTGGGTTCAAGAAACTCTTGTGCCTCAGCCTCCCAAGTAGCTGGGATTACAAGCGCGTACCACCACACCCAGCTAATATTTTTTGTATTTTTTAGTAGAGACAGGGTTTCGTCATGTTGGCCAGGCTGGTCTCGAACTCCCAACCTCAGGTGATCTGCCTGCCTCAGCCTCCCAAAGTGCTGGGATTACAGGCATGAGCCACCGCGCCCGGCCTGATCTCAGTCTTTAAGAGAGCAGCAGCTCATCTGTGGCCACTGCTTCCCAGGGACTTGCCAGAAGGGAGGTGCAGGGCACAGGGAAATAACCCACCTCTATCTGACGGCTTCAATGGTATCGAATGTCCTCAGTGGCAGCACGCAGCACAGAAGCTGAGGTGTGGCTGCATTCCATTTGGAGAATTCCACTGTGATTCATGGTGTCAGCTGCGGGTTCAAGGTGTCACAATTTAATTATTAAACATCATGAGGCATTAGGAGGCTTGGGCACGCACTGATAAGTGATCCATTTCTAACACAGCTGGTTTATTACTGTTTGTGGCAGCTCCTGCACGAATTGGTGTCCGTTAACTAAGCAATGGTATTATAATTACACATTTAAATTATGTATGGGAAGGGTGTCAGTGGTAGAAGTCAGACTGCAGTGATTACTTTCAGTCTTCAGACCTCCTGGATGTAGTCTCTCTGCAGATAGCTGTAACTCTGGCTTGTTTTCTGCTCATTTTCTGCAGACATGTAGAATCCACTGCTAGGGTCCACTGAGCTGTCTTCTGGGTGGTTTTTGGTGCTGCAGGAGATAAACACATGTGTCTTCCTGGTTGGACCCAGTTGATGCACTAACCTAATTCTGTCCTTTGCCTGCCCTGATCTCCATAGCCTGCTTCTTCCTGGAAATTTGCTGCTGCTGCTGCTTCTTTTTTTTTTTTTTTTTTTTGAGACAGGGTCTCGCTCTGTCGCCCAGGCTGGAGTGCAGTGGCGTGATCTCAGCTCACTGCAGTCTCTGCCTCCCGGGGGTTCAAACCATTCTCTCTGCCTCAGCCTCCTGTGTAGTGTGGATTACAGGCACCCCCCACCATGCCCAGCTAATTTTTGTATTTTTAGTAGAGATGGGTTTTCACCGTGTTGGCCAGGCTGGTCTCGAACTCCTGACCTCAGGTGATCCACCCGCCTCGGCCTCCCAAAGTGCTGGGTCTACAGGCGTGAGCCACCGCGCCCGGCCGGAAATGTGCTTCTTTAGAGGAAAGCACCGTTGATCCCACCTCCTTGATCTGGTTTCTAAGACCTCATACAAACTGGGCCCGTTAGTCTTTGCTCCCTGATACTATCTGATACCATCTGGTCTCACTCCTTCCTTCCCATCTTGTTCATTCATTGGTTCACTCATTCATTCACTCACTTCACGCCCTCCCTCTGGTGAATCAGTTCCCCTCTGTCCTCCCCACTCTGTCCAGTCCTCCCCTAGGCTGCCAGGTTACATTTCCAAAACTCCGATCTGATCAGGCCCTCTTGGTCTCAGATCCTCCAAGGGCTTCCTTCAAGGGCTCCTGCACCAACCTCGTGGTGTGGCTGTGTGACATAATAAGAAACATTCACTTCTATTTGGTCTCTTTCCGGGTTCCTGACACAAAGCTCCTAATCCCTTGTCTTTGGTTTAATGAGGTGACTCTCAGTGGCTCCTGGGTGGGGTTGGGGGCTGAGCACCAGAAAGACCCAGATTCGACGAGGAGCCTGGAGCTTTTGGCTCCACCCCCACCCTCCAGGAAAGGGAGAGGGGCTGGAGATTGAGCTAATAATCCATCACGCGTAAGTAATGAAGCCTCCGTAAAAATCCCTGAACTACAGGATCCAGAGAGCTTCTGGGCTGGTGGACACATCCGCATGCTGGGAGGGTGGCGCCCCCCAACTCCACGGGGACAGAAGCTCCTGTGCCCGGGCCCCACCAGAGCTCGCCCTGTGTGCCTCTTCGTCTTCCTGTTCATCTGTATCATCAATAATGTCCTTTACAAGGACATTATTGTCCTTGTGATAATGAATGAGGAAGGAATTATTCCATTCAGGAAGGAATGAGACCAGATGGTATCAGATAGTATCAGGGAGCAAAGACTAATGGGCCCAGTTTGTATAAGGTCTTAGAAACCTATACATGTAACCAAAGTGTTTCCCTGAGTTCTGTGAGCCATTTTAGCCAATTACCAAACCCGAGGAGGGCGTTCTGGGGACCCCTGATGTGTAGCCAAGTCAGACGGAAGTGTGGGTAACCTGAGCGCCCAATCTTTGCAACTGACATCTGAAGTAGGGACGGTCTTGCAGGACGGAGCCCATATCCTCTCGGGCCTGTGCTAACTCTGGGTGGCCAGCGTCAGAATTGAACTGAAGTGTAGGACGCCCAGATGGTGTCTGCAGAGAGCTGGCCGGGCGTGGTGGCTCACGCCTGTAATCCCAGCACTTTGGGAAACCGAGGCGGGCGGATCACCTGAGGTCAGGAGTTGGAGACCAACCTGGCCAACATGGTGAAACCCCATCTCTACTAAAAAAAATACAAAAATTAGCCAGGCGAGATGGTGGGTGCCTGTGATCCCAGCTACTCAGGAGGCTGAGGCAGGAGAATCGCTTGAACCTGAGAGGTGGAGTTTGCAGTGAGCCAAGATCGCGCCATTGCACTCCAGCCTGGGCAACAGAATGAGACTCTGTCTCAAAAAAAAAAAAAAAAAAAAAGCGGGACAGACAGGGGTGGGAAGTTGGGGAGGGGGCTCTGGGAGGGGGAAGATGTGGGTGCCCCATGTGGAGCTAAGAATGGAGGAGTGGCAGGGGGCACAAGGTCACAGAACCAGGCTGAGGAAGAAGAGGTTGCCTGGAGGGTGGGACCCAGAAGCTACTGAAATGTCGCAGCAGAAATGGCCATTGAACGCCCCTTCTAAGGTCCTCGGTGGGAAAGTCAAGTCCTAACATCCTACATGGGGAAATCTACGCAGTTAGCAGAGCCAAATATGACAGCGACATGAGCCAGCCACTTTGGGAAACAGTCAAGTCCTAACATCCTACATGGGGAAATCTACGCAGTTAGCAGAGCCAAATATGACAGCGACATGAGCCAGCCACTTTGGGAAACAGTCAAGTCCTAACATCCTACATGGGGAAATCTACGCAGTTAGCAGAGCCAAATATGACAGCGACATGAGCCAGCCACTTTGAACCTGACGTTTCATCGTCACGTGAGACTGTAGCTCTCTGAGTCCCACACCCTGGTCACCTTGTCCTGGTTCCTGCACCTTTGAGGGTGAGTTATTCAAGTCAGCCGGTGGAGTAGACGGTGCTCCTGATCATTCCTAAAAGGCAACAGCCTTTTCTGCATTTCTTGCAGGAAAAGTCAGACAGATCTGAGAAGAAATCTCCAGATTCCCCAGAAAGCACTCTCTTGAACATCCTTTCCTGTGCATACACAGCAGGTGTTTAATTCTTGCTCTAGGGAGCAGAGCCCGTCCCAGTGTGAAGAGTGGCTTTGCACACAAGAAACTATTTCTCCATTGTCTCCCTAGATTAGAGAGGCCCCCAGTTGAAACTGCTTCCCCTGAGCCTTCGGTATTAGAAACTGGTAAAACCCCTCCAGAAGCATCGCCCTGGAAACTTGAGCACCTCAACCCCCAAACTCAGATCCCAGCAGAGAAAGCCTTTGGCATCCCAGGACCGAATGCTAACGGCGCTGAGGTCGGGTGAATCCGCTCTGGCCTGTGGTGATGGTGACTTGCTGTTGAGAACCTTAGTGTTTTGAGTGAACAAGAAGAAATCTATTCCAGCATGATTATTCCAATTGGGATTTAGGAGGACTGGGCATTCTCCACATTCCAGTCTTCTTCAGTTCCATGGGCTTAAGAGGGGGCTTATTTTTTTCTTTCTGTGCCACAAAAACTTGGCAGCGATGACTAACCTAGGGTAACATGAGAAAGCTTACTAGGTCGGTCTGTGGCTTTCCTGCTAGCTTTCCTGTTTGTCATACGACAGTGAGACCAATGCCAGCTCATCATGGCACAGAGAGCTTTGGGTGATCTTTGCAGCTGGATGTGAGGCCCAGCTTGGTGGGCTAATGCCCTGGAGAATGGGTACCTTGGGTGTTCAGTGAGAGGCACGGTAGGAGTGGGGTAGGGGTGAGAGGAAAGAGGCATGCGGAGCTCAGAGGTAGAAGCACAGCCTGTTTCTAATAGACATTAAAAAGAAAGGACACTTTTGGCCGGGCGCTGTGGCTCACTCCTGTAATCCCAGCATTTTGGGAGGCCGAGGCGGGCGGATCACCTGAGGTCAGGAGTTCGAGACCAGCCTGGCCAACATGGTGAAACCTCACCTCCGCTAAAAATACAAGAATTAGCCAGGCGTGGTGGCACATGCCTGTAGTCCCAACTACTCAGGAGGCTGAGGCAGGAGAATCACTTGAACCTGGGAGGCAGAGGTTGTAGTTAGCCGAGATCATGCTACTGCACTCCAGCCTGGGTGACAGAGTGAGACCCCATCTCAAAAAAAAAAAGAAAAAAGAAAAAAAAGAAAGAAAAAGAAAGGACATTTCTAACTGGACAGGGATGACCTTCGTTAGAGAAACAGCAGCAACTTGGCCTTCACCAGCCCCAAACAACACTGCCAGGTTGAGATCATTACTACCATTTTGCAGAGGACAAATGTGAGCCTCAGAAACGAAGAAACTCCCCCAGAGTAGGACACGGCCAAGCTGTTTCTTACCCTCCGGCCTCCTGTGCTCTTTCCATGACAAGCAGAAAGAAGAGGCTACCTTTGGTTTAAGGTCTCGATAAACTTTGACACTGTGGAACCAATCCTTCCTCCTTGCAAACAACATTCAGTTCAACTTGGTGAATCTCTATTGACCATTTATTATGTGCAAATGCCTGTATGCATGAAATAAAATTAAAAAATAAAATATGCATGAAATTAAAACAACACACAACAATAACCAGGCATGGACACAAGGCCTAGGAAGGGCTTGGCATGAACACACTAAATCAATTTAGCCGAGGAGACCATTCCCAATATTCTGGAGGGGGCAAGTCTGATATTAACTCCCCGGGGAAAAGAGCCCTTTCCTCGCTTACTCCTGGTAGGACCAAACCCAATATCTAGCACTTTTTACCAACTCTTTCAAGATCCTCCCAGAGAGTTTTTTCATCTGTATCAGTTCTCTCATCTGAAAAGTGAGCCTAATAATTACTACCTTGCAGGAGTTTGGGGAGTATGAAGCAAGATGGTGACTACAAAACGTGGGCACGGTGCCTGGTCCGGAAGAGGAGCTCAGAAAATATCTGTTCCAGTTCTTCTCTTCCTTTCCCAGGCACGTGCCTTTGTGAGTTCTCAGTAAATGTCACCTCACTCTCCTTTTTTAAAAAAATAAAAATTTTTCGGCATGTCTCCTATAACTCAGGTACAGGGCTAGGCCCAGAGATACAGTGATGAATGAGACACAGTGGTGGTTACGGGACTTACCAGCAGGATAACGTGAAGGCTGGCACGGGGTCTTTCAGGCCCAGTAAAAGCAAGTTTCTTTCATTGTTTATTGCAAATTTACTGAACTACGTTTTGTTTTCATCATTTGTGTTTTCTTAATTTTCTCTCAATGCACCAAACTGTTTAAGACAAAGCTCGTTTCAATTTCATAAGAGAAATGAATTCTAGAAGCAGGGTCCAATGAAGTTGGCCATTATTTAACTTCACTAACGTGAATAAAAGCAACCTATGCTTTTAGTATACAAATAATTTTGTAAAAGGTAAAGAGTATCATAATAGAAATCACCCTACACGATAGCCAAAAGGCGGAAGCAACCCAATTGTTCACCAATGGACAAACGGATAAACGAAATGTGATCTATGGCCAGGTGCAGTGGCTCATGGCTGTAATCCCAGCATTGTGGGAGGCCAAGGATGGCAGATTTTTTGAGCCCAGGGGTTTGAGCCCAGCCTGGGCAACATGGCAAAATCCTATATCAACCAAAAAAGAAAAAAAAATTAGCTGGATGTGGTGGTGCATGCCTATAGTCCCAGCTACTCAGAAGGCTGAGATGGGAGGACCACTTGAGCCTGGGGGGTGGGAGGTTGCAGTGAGCTGAGATCACGCAGCTGCACTCCAGCCTGGGCAACAGAGCAAGACCCTATTTCAAAAAAACAGAAAACCAGGCCCGGCATGGTGGCTCTTGCCTGTAATCCCGGCACTTTGGGAGGCCGAGGCAGGCAGATCACTTGAGGTCAGGAGTTCAAGACCAGCCTGGGCAACATGGTGAAACCCCATCTCTACTAAAAATATAAAAATTAGCCAGGTGTGGTGGTATGCACCTGTAATTCCAGCTACTTGGGAGGCTGAGGCAGGAGAATCACTTGAATCCCGGGAGGCAGAGGCTGCAATAAGCCGAGATCGCGCCATTGCACTCCAGCCTGGGTGACAGAGTGAGACTCCGTTTCAAAAAAAGAAAAACAAACAAACCCAAAATGTGGTCTGTTCATACAATGGAATATCATTCAGCCCTAAAAAGGAAGGAAATTCGGACACAGACCACAAGATGGATAAATCTTGAGGACATTGTGCTCAGTGAAATAAGAGTCGCAGTCACAAAAGGACGAATACTGTATGATTCCACTCAGATGAGGAATCTAGAGGAGTCAAATTCGTAGAGACAGGAAGCATTCATAGAATGGTGGGTGCCAGGGCCTGGGGCGAGGGGGACAGAGAGCTGGTATTTAATGGGGACTTAGGGAAAATGAGAAAAGTTATGGAGGTGAATGGTGGTGAAGGCTGTACCACGATATGAATGAACTTAGTGCTGCTGAAAATTATACGCTCAAAGATGATTAAAATGGTCAATTTTATCTTATGTATATTTTACCACTTTGAAAAATGTTTAATAAATAAAAATAAATTTTTAAAAAAGGCTGAATGAGGTGGCTTATGCCTGTAATCCTAGCACTTTAGGAGGCCGAGGTAGGAGGATCACCTGAGGTCAGGAGTTCGAGACCAGCCTGGCCAACATGGTGAAACCCAGTCTCCACTAAAACAAAAATTAGCTGGGCGTGGTGGCGGGCGCCTGTAGTCCCAGCTACTCAGGAGGCTGAGGCAGGAGAATCGCTTGAACCCAGGAGGCGGAGGTTGCAGTGAGCCGAGATCACGCCACTGCACGCCAGCCTGGGCAACAGAACAAGACTCTGTCTCAAAAAAAAAAAAAAAAAAGAAAAAAGAAATCACCTGAAAATGAACATTGTAAAACTTCTGTCTTACGGAGAGTTGCCCTAGGCCGATTTCTGCAGTTTCTTTTTCTCAGTAGAGGGCTCCTGTCGCAGCTTCCAGGTTTTCATTTACCTCCCTTCCTACTGAAGTGAGTTGCGCTCCAGGCTTCTCCCAGGAGGCACCCAGAGTGCAAATGCTGCCCAGCTACCAGCTGGAGCTGACACAAGCCTGCTGTAATTTGATGAGCGAGCAAACCCCTGTCCCAGAGCAGGAGTTGAGATCATTCGTGCAACAACAGGACGCAGCCTATTGCTAGCAACTCCTCGTGACCGGCCCCCGCCCCAGCAGCGGCTAGCCCGCAGGCCTCGGTGGAAAGAAATACCGTAAATGTAGCAGCGACTGTCATCGCTGTTTTATTTTCTCTTTGGCCTCTGGGTATTCACACCGCTTCCCCATTATTAGTCATATTATATCATCAGCCACAGTTGTGCTTGTCAACCACTCGGGGAGAGAGCTACCATTAGAATACAGGGGCATGGAAGAAAGAAAAAAGAAGCAATCCTTCTCTGGGGAAGGAGGAAAACAGGAAGGGTGGCTGCTGCATGATGGTGCGCCCGCCGCGTAGCTGTGGCTGGTGACAGACGAGGCAAAGTGGGAGACTTCATCTGGTCAGGACCCCACGGGGACTTGCTGTTGTTTTTCCCGGTCTCAGGGGCCCTCAGAGCCAGAAACAGCACAGTTGTGGACAGAGGTGGACAGAGGCCAGGCCCGCCCGTTGGCTGGTGCCTGACTCGGTGGGTCTGTGGGCTGCTTCCTGAGCGGGAGGTGACTGTGGCCAGCCTGATGCAGGGCAGAGACACCGTTTCCGTGGCAACCGGCTCTAACAATAGTGATGCACATTTCTGGCCAAAGCACAGTGGTGGGAAGAACTCGGACCGGGGAGCCAGAATGGCCTGGATTGGAGTCCAGTTCTGCTACTGACAAGCTGCATGGTGGGGGCGAGCTGTTGAGCCTCTCTGAGACGGATATGGTGGCAGCACCGGTGGAAGTGCCTAGCATGGTACCCGAGACCTAGTAAGGGCTCGGTGATGCTTGGTCACCGTCCACCATCCTCCTCCCCTTCAGCCTATGGTGAAAAATAGTCCTGTCTGTTTCGGTAACAAAACTCCAGACACCATCCTGCCCATTCGGACCGGTTCTGCACTTCCCTCCATTCATGGAGAAAGGAGCCTCGAAGGGACAATGATCACCGTCTCCTTCTGAGAACTGTGCTGGCTGGCATCCTGCAGACACCGAAGGGCCAGTTTCTAAGGACATGGCCTGGGTGTTCTGTCCAGCTGGATGGCAGGCCGTGACCCCAAAATCAGCAGTGATGATAACGAAGCGAGTGAAGCAGTATGGAGATGGCCAGTGATCACAATCCAAGATAACTAAAGGCAAATCTGTGACAAGTAAACTCAGTGACATGTATATGCTTGCCGCAGTGTTCAGTACGCAGTTAGCACATAGCCAATGCCAGTCGCCTGGCTTAACCTCTCCTTTTCTTTTGGAATATGAACAATCCACTTCATGCATAACAACTGTTAAGCACGGCCGTGCGCGGCGGCTCACGCCTGTAATCCCAGCACTTTGGGAGGCCGAGGCGGGCGGATCACTTAAGGTTAGGAGTTTGAGACCAGCCTGGCCAACATGGCGAAACCCTGTCTCTACTAAAAATACAAAAATTAGTCCGGTGTGGTGGCGGGTGCCTCTAATCCCAACTACTTGGGAGGCTGAGGCAGGAGAATTGCTTGAAACTGGAAGGCTGAGATTGCAGTGGGCCAAGATCACGCCACTACACTCCAGCCTGGGCAAAAGAGTGAAACTCCGTCTCAGAAAAAAAAAAACAAAACAAACTGTCAAGCATGAGGCAAGGTGAGGCCAGTGGCTGGCAGAACCAGCAGTACAGGGGCAAATAGTCCTCTTTGGCCTTGGTTTACTGCTTGCTTAGAGACTGAAGGGAAGAGCAGCTGCAGGTGCCAGCTCCCCATGGCCCTTGTGCAGGGCAATGGCACAGACGCCAGGGTATTCCACTGCGCAGGAGCCCATTGAGACTGCAGCTAAGAGGTTTCAGGTCCTCTGGCTATACCCCAAGGGGTGGGGAGACCAGGCAGAAAGTCTCATACCTCCTCTGAATCTGGGAGAAACCAGACATCCAGAGTCTCATGACAACCTCCTTGGTAGAGAGGGAAGCCAATGAGAAACAGTCTTGTCGCAGCTCCTCACAAGCCCCCCAAGTTCTCATGGTCCAGGAGGACCCCAAGACATCCAGCCAAGATTCAGGCCAGCTGTGTTTCAAACCCAGCCCATGTGACCTGGGTTGCACACACGCAGAGGCCAGGACAGAGCTGTTCTCCCACAAGAGTGCATGCAGGAAGCTAAGAAAACACTTGTTCAACCTCATAGAAAGTTTTTTGTTTGTTTTTCTTTGTTTGTTTTTGCTACGAAATTTCTTTAAAAGGTGATTTCTATACTTGGGTCTTAGCTTTAGCGTTTTTGCTGAGACAGCATCTTTTTTTTTTTTTTTTTTTTTGAGACGGAGTCTCGCTCTGTCACCCAGGCTGGAGTGGAGTGGCACGATCTCAGCTCACTGCAACCTCTGCTTCCCGGGTTCAAGTGATTCTTCTACTTCAGCCTTCCAAGTAGCTGGTATTACAGGCACGTGCCACCATGCCTGACTAATTTTTGTATTATTAGTAGAGACAAGGTTTTGCCATGTTGGCCAGGCTGGTCTTGAACTCCTGACCTCAAGTGATCCACCCGCCTTGGCCTCCCAAAGTGCTGAGATTACAGGTGTCAGCCACCACACTGGGCCTGAGACAGCATCTTGCTCTTTCATCCAGGCTGGAGTGCAGTAGCAATGATGCAGGGCAGGTGAGCCCCCAAATTGGGGCTTAGCCCAGGAAGGGTTTTGGTTTTATCCAGGAAAGAGTTCGAGGGTGAGCCGGTGGTGTTAGACAGCAGTTTTGATTGAAGTGGCAGTACACAGCAGCAGCAGAGGTTCTGCCCCTTGCAGAGCAGGGCTACCCCATAGGCAGTGTGCCCAGAGCAGCAGTCAGAGGCAGGTCTGCACTCACATTATACCCACTTTTAATTATATGTACATTGAGGGGTGGTTCACACAGAAATTTGTAGGATAAGGGTGTCAACTTCTGGGTTGTCTGGTCGTTGCCATGGAAAGGGGCAGTAGCTTCTGGGTGTTGCCATGGCAATGGTAAACTAACATGGCACACAGGTGACTGTGTCTTATGGAAAGCTCCTTCTGCCATCCCCTCTCCTTGTTAGTCCTCAATTAGTCACATGTCTAAGCCCCACCTTCAGAGTTGAGTCCCACCTTCTACTTCAGCGGGAGCATGGCTCACTGCAGCCTCAACTTCCCGGGCTCAAACCATCCTCCCACCTCAGCCTCCTGAGTAGCTGGGACTACAGGCGTGCACCACCACGACTGCCTAATTTAAAAAAAATTTTTTGTAGAGATGGATTTCAGCATATTGCCCAGGCTGGTCTTTTTTTCTTTTCCTTTTTTTTTTTTTTTTGAGACAGAGTCTTGCTCTGTTGCCAGGCTGGAGTGCGGTGGCACAATCTCAGCTCACTGCAACCTCTGACTCCCTGGTTCAAGCGATTCTCCTGCCTCAGCCTCCTGAGTAGCTGGGATTGCAGGCATGTGCCACCACACCCAGCTAATTTTTTTATTTTTAGTGGAGACAGGGTTTCACCATGTTGGCCAGAATGGTCTCGATCTCCTGACCTCGTGATCTGCCTGCCTTGGCCTCCCAAAGTGCTGGGATTACAGGCGTGAGCCACCACGCCCGGCCCATTTTTTAAAAAGTGAGGTTTAACATACATACAGTGAAGTGCATACATCTTTTACGTGTATAGCTTAAGGAATGTTTATATTTGTATAGACCTATGTACTCACCTCCCAGATATTGGACATTTCCAGCATCCAAAAGAGTCTCCCATGCCTTTCCCTGCCAGTGCACAGCCCTCTAGAGGCATCCTGACTCCTGTCACCCTTTTGCTTCCTCTTGAACTTCCCATAAATGGAATTATGTAGTGTGTGTTCTTCAGTATCTGGCTTCTTTTGTTCAATATTATGTGTGTGAGATTCCTCCATGGTATTGGGTATAGGAGGAGTCCATTGATTTTTATTGTGGTGTAGTATTCCCTTGCAGGGATAAACCACAATTTATTTACACAGAGCTGCTATGGGTTTCTTTGTCCATGTCTTTTGGTGACTACCCCCTCCCCCCAGTTTCTGTTGGGTATATATTCAGGAGCGGAATTGCAGTGTAGGCCAAAAAGTCTACCAATTTACAACACTCTATGAGAATTTTCTTTACATCCTCACCAACACTGGTGGTGTCATTTTCATTTTAGCCATTCTAGTTGGCTATATGACTGAGTACTTTTTTAGCCTTTTTGAGCAGTGTCTCATTGTGGTTTTAAGTTCCTTTTGTTAAAAGATATGGGCCGGGCACAGTGGCACTCCAGCCTGGGCAACAGAGTGAGACTCTGTCTCAAAAAAATACAATACAATACAATACAATACAATACAATACAATACAATACAATACAATACAATACAATAAAAATATGGCTAATGATATTCAGCTCCATTTATCATACTTTCTGGTCATTTGATATCATCTTTCATTAAGTGCCTGTTTAAGTCTTTTGCCCATTTTTAATCAGTCTGTTTTTTCTTACTGATTTGTAAAGTTTCTTTATATTCTGGATAGGAATCCTTTATTGAATATACAGAATGTAAACATTTCCTCCCAGTCTGCAGCTTGCATTTTCATGCACTCATTGGTTTCTCTTGATAAACAGAAGTTCTTAATTTTGTTTTTATTTTTATGTATTTATTTATTTTTTGAGACAGAGTTTTGCTCTTGTTGCCCAGGCTGGAGTGCAGTGGCACGATCTTGTCTCACTGCAATCTCCGCCTCCCGGATTCAAGTGATTCTCCTGCCTCAGCCTCCTGAGTAGCTGGGATTATAGGTGCCTGCCACCATGCCCAGCTAATTTTTGTATTTTTAGTAGAGATGAGGTTTCACTATGTTGGCCAGGCTGGTCTCGAACTCCTGACCTCAGGTGATCCACCCACCTCAGCCTTCCAAACTGTGGGGATTACAGGCATGAGCCACTGTGCCCAGCCAGAAGTTATTAATTTTGATCAAGTCTAATGTGTCAATCTTAATCATTAATCTTTGGGTTAACGATTTTTGTGTCCTGTTTAATAAATCTTTGCCTATCTCAATATCATGAAGATATTATATTTTTTTCTAGAAGCTTTATTATTTTACCTTTTACATTAATATAGGTCATCTTGAATTAAAATTTGTGCATAATTTGAGGTAGGGACCAAGTTGCATTTTTTTCCACATGGATATCCAATTTGGCATCGTTTTTTGACAAGACCATCCTCTTCTCTACTAACTTGCTCAGGTAACTTTATTGTTAATTACGTAGCCATCTATGTGTGAGTCTGTTTCTGAACGCTCGATTCTATCTTATGGCCTATATGTCCATTTTCATGCAAATATCACACTGTTTAATTACCTTTGCTTAATTAGGGTTGCTTTATAGTAGGTCTTGATATCTGGCAGAATAAGCCTTCCAACTTTGTTCTTCAAAATTTTTCTGTCTATTCTAGGTTCTTTGAGATTCTGTATAAATCTGTTTGTCAATATCCATTACAAAAACACCACCGGGATTGTGACTGAGATGACGTTTGTTGTATTTTCCTCTAATTTGCTTATGAGGCGGCTCCCAGTTTATAGAGTGGCTGTGAACTCTAGCCCTGCCCTGACGGAGCTTGAGGGCAGGTGGCTGTGGGTGTCACAGTGCATCTCTCAGGGATACTTCTTTATCCTGACACACGGTCTGATGCCTCAGTGTCTGACTGTGACCAGCTGTCCCTCTCACAGGAAACTCGTTTACCCTGGCAGACGCCCTTTGGCTCTTGTCTGACCTGTGTCCAGTTTATTCCCACCAAGACCGCCACTCCCTAGGAGAGCCCTGGCCGGCAGAGAGTTAGGTCTGGGTGCGTTGGTCAGGTGGGCCACGGGGGAGACAGCACAACAGAACACATGAAATAACAGAAGCGGTTTATCACTCCCAGGTCCACAGAGAAGAGGGTCCTGCAAGGAACTGCGGGAAGTCTGGAGACGGCAGGGAGCTCAACCAGCAGGTGGTCGGGGGTGGAGAGGGAGAGAGAGAGAGACCTGCGGGACTAAAGCCTTAATTGGAATCCAGGTCGTTATCCAAGCAGGTTTTCCACAGGGTGTTCTAACTGGGAGATTTGGGGGATGCATGAGGGCCAAAGGTCACCGTGTGACTGAGAAAGGGTCACTGCTGCATAGACCAGCCCAGTCCCTGAGAGGGTGGGGTCTTTAAGGCAAGTCAAGTGGGTTGTATCCAACTATACCTTGGGAAGGGAGTCCCCGGGAGGCGATAATGTAAGGCAGACAATCTGGATTGACCATCTTGAAGAAATGGGAGGAGGTGAAGAACAGGAAATGATGTCAAGGATGACTAAGCCCTGTTTCTGGTATGAGAAAGCTAAACCTATATTCAAAATGAATGCTGAGACTGGGTGCAATGGCTCACACCTGTAATCCAATCCCAGCACTTTGGGAGGCCGAGGCAGGCGGATCGCTTGAGCCCAGGAGTTCAAGATCAGCCTGGGCAACATGGCAAAACTCCATCTCTACAAAAAATACAAAAATGAGCCAGGCGTGGTGGAGCGCATGTAGTCCTAGCTACCTAGGAGGCTGAGGCCGGAGGATCGCCTGAGCCCAGGAGGTTGAAACTGCAGTGATCGTGCCACTGCAGCTGGGGGACAGAGTGAGACCCTGTCTCAAAAAAAAAAAAAAAAAAAAAAAGAATGCTGAGGCCATTTACTATAATATTGAATCTATAGATGGATTTAGGAGATTGACATAACAACAGCATTGAGACTTCTAATCCATAAATGTAGTCTATCTCTCCATTTATCTAGGTATTTTTTGAGACAGACTTTTGCTCTGTCACACAGGCTGCAGTGCAGTGGCATGATCTTGGTTCACTGCAACCTCTGCCTCCCAGGCTCAAGCAATTCTTCTGCCTCAGCCCCCTGGGACTACAGGCACCCACCACCACGCCCAGCTAATTTTTGTATTTTTAGTAGAGACAGGATTTTACCATATTGGCCAGGCTGGTCTCAAACCCCTGACCTCATGATCCGCCCACCTTGGCTTTGAAAGTGCTGGGATTACAGGCATGAGCCACCATGCCCGGCTTTTTTTTTTTTTTTTTTTTAGAGACAGAGTCTTACTCTGTTGCCTAGGATGGAGTACAGGGGTGTGATCACGGCTCACTGTAATTTCAAACTCCTGAGCTTGGGCAATCATCCCAACTTAGCCTCCTGAGTAGCTATGAGTGTAGCTATGTACCACAATGTTTGGCTAGTTTTTTAGTTTTTTGTAGATTTGGACTCTCTCTATGTTGCCCAGGCTGGTCTCAAACTCCTGGCCTCAAGTGATCCTCCCACCTTGGCCTCTTAAAGCACTAGGATTACAGGTATGAGCCACTGCTCCTGACCTTATCTAGGTCTTCTTTAATCTCTCTTAGAAATGTTTTGTGGTTTTTAGTGGAGGTCTTACATATCTTTCAGAAGATTTATTGCTAGCTATTTATATTTTCTTGCTACTGTAAGTTGTCTTTGTTTTCTAGTTGTTTGTTGCTAGTATATAGAAATAAACTTAACTTTGTATGTTGACATTTTGTCTAGTGGCCTTGCTAAATTTATTAATTCTAATAGCTTGTAGATTTTTTTGGATTTCCTATTTATACAGTTTTGTCATCAGAAAGCAAAAACAGTTTTACCTTTCCAATCTTCATGCCTTTTTCTTTTTCTTGCCTTATTGCACGGGGCAGGACCTCCAGTACCAGGTTGAGCCAAAGTGGTGATCATGGCTGACAAGAAGAAAGTGCTCAATAGTTGCATTTATGTTAACAGTAGGGTTTTAAAAAATATATAGTCCTTATCAGATTAAAGAAGTTCCTTTAAAAATGTATTCTTAATTGTTGGAGAGTTTTTATCATGAATAAGTGTTGAATTTTATCAAATGTTTTTCTGCATCAAAGGGCATGATTGTGTGATATTTCTCCTTTATTCTGTTATTATGGAAAATTACATTGATTGATTTTTTTTCAAATGTTAAATCCACTTTGTATTTCTGGAATAAGTTCTACTTGGTCTTGAGGTATCATCTTTTTAATATATCTCTGGATTTGATTTACTAACATTTTACTTAGAATTTTTCATCTATATTCATGACAGATATAAGTCTGTGTATTAGTCCATTCTAACACTGCTATAAAGACACTACCTGAGACTGGGTAATTTATAAAGGAAAGAGGTTTAATTGACTTACAGTTCAGCATGGCTGAGGAGGCTTCAGGAAACTTAAAATCATGGCAGAAGGCAAAGGAGAAGCATGTACCTTCTTTACAAGGTGGCAGGAGAGAGAGCGAAGGGGGAAGTGCCAGACACTCATCAAACAACCAGATCTCATGAGAACTCGCTTACTATCACGAGAACTGCATGGGGGAAAACCCCCTCATTATCCAATCACCTCCCACCAGGTCCCTTCCTTGACACATGGAGATTACAATTTGGATTACAATTTGAGATGAGATTTGGATGGGGACACAGCCAAACCATATCAGTCTGTAAATATCTCTTATGTAAGATTTGTGCCTAGCTGTAATATCAGAATTTTTCTGGCCTCATAAAATGAGTTGGGGGGGGATGTTCCTTTTTTATTTCCTGTGTTCTGTTTCTGAGTTTGCATAAGATAAGTATTATTTCTTAAATGTTTGGAAAATTACCAGTGAAACCACCTGAGTCTGGAGTTTTCTTTGTGAGAAGGGTTTAAATTACAGATTTAATTGTTTTTAACAGTAGATGATTCTTTGGATTTTCTACTTAATCTTGTATCAGTTTTGCTAAATTGTAGGGGTTTTTTGTTTGTTTGTTTGTTTTGAGACGGAACTTTGCTCTTGTCGCCCAGGCTGGAGTGCAATGGCACGATCTTGGCTCACAACAACCTCCAACCTCCACCTCCCGGTTTCAAACGATTCTCTTGCCTCAGCTTCCTGGGTAGCTGGGATTACAGGCATGCGCCATCACACCTGGCTAATTTTGTATTTTTAGTCGAGACGGGGTTTCTCCATGTTGGTCAGGCTGGTCTCTAACTCCCGACTTCAGGTGATCCGCCCGTCTCGACCTCTCAAAGTGCTGGGATTACAGGCTTGAGCCATCATGCCCAGCCGCTAAATTGTAGTTTTTAAAGAATGTGTCCATTTCATCTAGGTTTTCACTTTTATTGGCACAAAATTGTTTGTAATATCCTCTTGTTACATTTACAATATCATTAGCCTCTACCACAGTGAGGGCCTCGTTTTATATCTGATATTAGAATTTTAAAAACGTGAGTTTTTCCTATTTTTTTCCCTCTTGGTCATTATTGATGGAATTGTCTATTTTATTGTATTTTATTTTTGAGACAAAAGTCTTGCTCTGTCACCCAGGCTGCCGTGCAGTGGTGTCGATAGCGGCTGCTGCCACCATGCCAGCTATAGCAGGGGGCACGGCTGGGGCTGCACACTCCATGGAGCCAGTGGAGGCCCTGCCCCTTCTGAGTTGGGACGGGAGCTCCCCAGGTGCTTCTGCAGCCACCCTCCCAGGTGCAGGACCTGGATGTCTCTGCAGCCTACACCCTCGAGGGCCCAGGAGAGGCCCTCACCCCATCCCTGCTGGCTCCAGAATGTCTGCTCTCACTGTCTGGCCTCTCTCTGCTCCAGTACCCGCTCTGATCTTGGAATGGGGTTGGGGCCAAGCCTTGGGACTATGAATGGCAGTGGGAGGCAGACAGATTAGTGGGTAGAAGCAGGTGGGTCCCCAGTAAGGCCCCACCCTCAGGCTGAGGAGAGCCCGAAGGCTGGAGGCCAGGCTGTCAGTCCCACAGACCAGAATGGGGACTTGGGTGCCTCTTCTGGGCCCATCCATGGCCATCCATTGACCAGTCGGCATGAACTTCCTCCCCTCTGAAGTCCATAAAAGCCCTGGGCTCTGCCAGAACAGGGTAGAGGATGGTCAGAGGACGAAGAGGGCAGAGAGACAACACGTTGGCCAGCTGCAGAGAAGAGCTACCCTTTGGAGATGATGGAACAACCAGCTCCAGAGAGGAACTACCCTCTCTGCTGAGAGCTACAGAGATGGCCTGCTGGCAGAGAGGAGCCAGCCTTTCCAGGGCCTCCTCTCTGCTGAGAGCTGCAGACATCAGGATGACCAGTTACAGAGAGGAGTACCCTCTCCAGGGCCTCCTCTCTGCTGCGAATGGAACACTCAATGACCTGCCTACAGAGAGGAGCTACCCACTGTGGGCCTGAGCTGTTATAACACTCAGTAAAGCTCATCTTTATCTTATTCATCCTTCATTTGTCTGTGTACCTCATTCTTTCTGGATGCAGGACAAGAGCTCAGGCAAAGGTGCCATGACCACAGAGGTTTCCGGCCAGAAAATTAACACCCCAAAGGTCCCATAACAGTGTGATCACTGCTCACTGCAGCCTCAACCTCCTGGGCTCAAGTTATCCTCCCATCTAAGCCTCCCAAGTTGCTGGGAATACAGGCATCCACCACCATGCCCAGCTATTTTTTTTAAAATTTTTGTAGAGTTGGAGTCTCATTATGTTGCCCAGGCTGATGTCAAACTCCTTGGGTCAAGTGATCCTCCTACCTTGGCCTCCCAGAGTGTTGGGATTACAGGCATGAGCCACTGCACCTGAGCCTGTCCATTTTACTAATCTTTTATTAATCTTTTCAAACACCTACCTGGGTTTTATTTTCTCTATTGCTCCCAATTAATTCATTAATTTCTACTCCTGTCTTGATTACATTCTTCCTTTCACTTTCTTTCTTTCTTTTTTTATTATACTCTAAGTTCTAGGGTACATGTGCACAATGTGCAGGTTCGATACATAGGTATACATGTGCCATGTTGGTTTGCTGCAACCATCAACTCATCATTTACATTAGGTATTTCTCCTAATGCTCTCCCCCACCAGCCCCCCACCCCCTGACAGGCCCCGGTGTTTGATGCTCCCCGCCCTGTGTCCAAGTGATCTCATTGTTCAATTCCCACCTATGAGTGAGAACATGCAGTGTTTGGTTTTCAGTCCTTGTGATAGTTTGCTGAGAATGATGGTTTCCAGCTTCATCCATGTCCCTGCAAAGGACATGAACTCATCCTTTTTTATGGCTGCATAGTATTCCATGGTGTATATGTGCCACATTTTCTTAATCCAGTCTATCATTGATGAACATTAGGGTTGGTTCCAAGTCTTTGTTACCTTTCACTTTCTTTAGGCTTAATTTACTCGGTTTTGGGGTTTTTGTTTTTTTAGTTTTAGGAGACAGAAACTTAGATCATTGATTTTCATCCTTCTTATTTCCTAATACATGCATTTTAAGCTAAAAGTCTCCACTTAAGCATTTTTTTAGCCACTTCCCACAAGTTTCAATGTTTATTTTCATCATCACTCAGTTCAAAGTATTTCCTAATTTCCACTGTGATTTCTTCTCTGACCCAGAGGTTATTGAGAAGTATGTTGCTTAATTTCCAAACACTTGGGGATTCTCCAATTATCTTTCTGTTATTAATTTCTTGTTTAATTGCACTGTGGTCAGAGAACACACTCTTATGTGATTTCAGCCCTTTGAAATCTGTTGAGACTTGCTCTAGGGCCCAGCATATGGTCTATTTTGGTAAATGTTCTGGTTCCATTGTTCCTCTCCCGCCCTGGCACCACTGATAGACGTTTTAGCATTGACTCGTTTATTTTTACCTTACGTAGCTAACATTTTTGTATATTCACCCAATATTTCCCCTTTTCTGTGTTTTTCATTCCTTCCTGCATTTTGATGCTTCCACTGGGGTCCCTTTCCTTCAGCCCAAAGAACTTGCTCTGGGGTTTCTTGGAGGTGGAGCTGCTGGTGATGAATTTTCTTAGCTTTTGTTTGGAGATATTTTTGTTTATGCTTCATTTCTGAAGACTATCTCCTCCAAAAGGTTGGCCAGTTTGTTTGGCTTTTTTCTTTCAGCAGTTTAAAGATGTCACTCTATCATCTTCTGGATTCCAAAAATGTGAAATGTTTCACCAATTTGCATGTCACTCTTGGGGGCCGTGCCGCCTTCCATGTGTCATTCCAATTTTAGGATACATGCTGCCCAAACAAGCATATAGCATCATTTCTAAAGCATTTACACATGTCCTTAAAAATACCTTTCTTTCCAGTTTCTCTGTTCGGTCCCTCCCCTTGATGAGGAGCAGAAGGGAGAGGCCACACACCCTGTGCTTGTTTTCTTGGTGTGGGTTTCCAAAAGGTCCTAAAAAAATAATACCCTCTTCCCTCACCCAGGTTCTGAGCAAGCTGAGAAGCACCGCAGGGAGAGGCAGGTGCAGCTCTGCCCCTTTCATCGTGGACACAGGGGCCCCAAGTTGAGAGTGGGAGTGGCATCTGGAACAAGGACAGCAGCTCCCATTTAATGAGAGCCTGCCCTGTGCCCGACACCACAATGGGCACATCCATTCTCCACTCCACCTTTTCTCACTCCACCCAGAGCCCTATCCTCTGAGGCAAGTGCTGCCAGCTCCACTGGACAGGCAGGGGACCGAAGTTCTAAGAATTAAGCAACATTCTCGTAGCAGCCAGGTCAGGATTCAAATCCAAGTCAGTCTCAATTGAGCAAGGTTTTTTTTGTTTTTGTTTTTGTTTTGTTTTGGGACAGAGTCTTACTCTCTCCCCTAGGCTGGAGCACAGTGGTGTGATCTTGGTTCACTGCAACCTCCACCTCCCAGGTTCAAGCGATTCTCCTGCTTCAGCCCCACCGGGTAGCTGGGATTGCAGGCACGCACCATCATGCCCAGCTAATTTTTGTATTTCTAGTAGAGACGGGGTTTCACCATGTTGGCCAGGCTGGTCTCAAACTCCTGACCTTGTGATCCACCCGCCTCAGACTCCCAAAGCGCTAGGATTACAAGCGTGAGCCACTGTGCCCAGCCTCGAGCAAAGTTTTAAAAGTGGAATGGGTTTCCCGTTCCCAACGTAGGCTCCCCACATGGCAGCTTTATTAAACGGAGTAGATTTTATCTTTATGTATATGAAATAATAGCATCAAGCCACTCTCCCCCTTGCTCACAATATTTTAGCTAAGTTGGCCCCTTTTCCATTTCTAAGACACTGCAAACTCTTTCCCACATTGGAGTCCTCTATGCTGTTCCTTCGGCTGAGATGCTTGTCCTTGCCCTCTTCACCGGCCAGGTCCCGCTCCTGCAAGTCTCAGTGTAAATGCTCCTGTTAAAGTTGTCCATCTTGACCCCTCCCCAATTTAAATCAGGTCCTCTTGATAACCTTTTATCATTCCTGCTCATTTGTTTTCTTTCTAGAACTTACCATACTTTATTTATTATTTTTCGAGATGGAGTTTTGCTCTTTTTGCCCAGGTGGAGAGCAATGACCTGCCCTCACCTCACCAAAACCTCTGCCTCCCGGGTTCGGGATTATCCTGCCGCAGGCTCCCAAGTAGCTGAGATTACAGGAGCCTGCCACCACGCCTGGCTAATTTTTTTGTATTTTTAGTAGAGACGGGGTTTCACCATGTTGGCCAGGCTGGTCTCGAACTCCTGACCTCAGGTGATCCGACTGCCTCAGCCTCCCAAAATGCTGAGATTACAGGCGCGAGCCACCGCGCCAGGCCTATGCTTTGTAATCACATAACGTGTCTTGTTATTTTTGTAACCTGTGTTGCCCTCCTTTACGAAGGCACAGGCACATCTGTTTAGTTCCTGGCCACGTGGGCACCTGGCGCTGAGTACTTACTTGTCCGTGCTGATTGATGTCCTCCCCCAGCCCCCATCTTCTTTTCAGAAGTTTCCTCTTTCTGCTCCGAGAGGGGCTGAGCCAGCCGTGGCTCCCTTCCATCCCGATTCCAGTGGAGACAAGCCGGGGAAGTTTCTGGGAGCTGCGCGGGTGAGCAGAGCTGAGACCCGGCATGGCTGTACTGGCCGGGTCACTGCAGGGTGACTGGCGGCTCGGCTTGATAACACGTTTACCTGAGTCATCTTTGGCAAAGGTTACCAGGCTCCAGGATGGAACACGCATGGGGGAAATGCCTCTTCCGTGACACGCCCACCTCGCTCTAAAGTGAGACGAGGGAGGGAGGGCGCGGCTGCCAGGTAATGAAGTCTAGAGTTTACTAGAGTTGAGGGATTGATGTGTTGCGTATGGGCTGGGTCTCATTTCCAGGAAGCTCAGGACAAAACCCTGTTCATGTTAGAGGGCTTTGGCCAAATTCTGTCCTGTGTGTTTGGGTGAAGTCCTGTCTTCACAAGTGGTTTTAGTTCCTTCAGAGTAAGAATTATTTGTATTTTATTTATTTATATTATTTATTTATTTATTCATTTGAGATGGAGTCTCACTCTGTCTACCAGGCTGGAGTACAGTGGTGCAATCTCGGCTCACTGCGAACTCCACCTCCCGGGTTCAACTGATTCTCCTAGCTCAGCCTCCCAAGTAGCTGAGATCACAGGCATGTGCCACCACATCCAGCTAATTTTTGTATTTTTAGTAGAGACAGGGTTTTGCCGTGTTGGCCAGGCTGGTCTCGAACACCTGACCTCAGGTGATCTGCCCGCCTTGGCCTACCAAAGTGCTGGGATTACAGGCGTGAGCCACCGCGCCCGGCCTGTTTTTTAAAATTTCTATTTGACAGATGAGGAAATGGAGGCCCAGGCCTCGCTGCACTAAGAAGAGGGCTCTGGATCCTGACCCAGGTCTGGGTGAAGCTCAGGCCTCTTGACTTAGGGTGGAGGTATAAACAGGGTAAACAGGTAAAAACAAGCGAAACAAACAAAAAAAAAGCATAATCACTAATGCCATTGAAAAGAATTACTTAAGACTTTGAGGCCAGGTGCGGTGGCTCACGCCTGTAATCTCAGCACTTTGGGAGGCCGAGGCAGGCGGATCATGAGGTCAGGAGATCGAGACCATCCTGGCTAACACATTGAAACCCTGTCTCTACTAAAAACACACAAAAAATTAGCTGGTGTGGTGGCACACGCCTGTAGTCCCAGCTACTTGGGAGGCTGAAGCAGGAGGATCACTTGAACCCAGGAGGTGGAGGTTACAGTGAGCCGAGATTGTGCCACTGCACTCCAGCCTGGGCGAGAGAGCAAGAGTCCATCTCAAAAAAAAGAAAAAAAAAGATTTTGAAATGTAAAGCTGTAAAATCCTGTACCCTTCTCTACAGCCCCAGGCTTGCTGACAGGCAGAGGTCAAGGCCACGTCTGTGCTGTGTTTTTCCACTTCTGTGAGCTCCCCTGCCACGGCTCACTTATCTGCAGCTCACGGGCCACGTGGATTTCAACGCAAGGGGGTGGCACCGGTCTTTGCTTATGCTGGGTGGGTGTCACTCTGGAATTCCTTTCCTGGGACTGCATAAAACAAACAAACCCCCAAACCTCTAATGAAATGGGGTATAACAAATCAGTGAAGGTTCTGCAGAGAGGCGGATGATCGCGTCTGTAAAATATTTCCAGAAACCCTGGCAGTTCCTGATGCACGTGATGGGAACACTGCCTCGGTGGGTGACCGTCCCTTTGCCGCCTCACCAGAATGAACCTCCGAGTGCCCCAGGAGCCACTCGAGGACGATGAGAAGGTAAACTGACTCACTTCAGCGAAACAGATTTGTGGCAATCATGTTGCGGCAGTAATTACAGTTTATGGCAGGAGATACACACTTAGCAAAAATAAATACAAATAGCACGACTCATGTGGTGGCAGCCTTCACTCTGGGGCTGGCTTTTGTTTGTTTGTTTATTTGTTTTTGTTTTTTTTTTTTGACAGAGTCTTTCTCTGTCGCCCAGACTGGTCTCGGCTCACTGCAACCTCCACCTCCCGGGCTCAAGTGATTCTCCTCCTGCCTCAGCCTCTTCAGTAGCTGGGATTACAGGCATGCGCCACCACGCCCGGTTAATTTTTGTATTTTTAGTAGAGTTGGGGGTTTCACCGTGTTGGTCAGGCTGGTCTTGAACTCCTGACCTCGTGATCCACCTGCCTCAGGCTCCCAAAGTGCTGGGATTACAGGCATGAGCCACCACGCCAGGCCTTTTCTTTTTTCTTTTTTTTTTTTCTTTTGTGATGCTAGTATAGCTGTTAGAGGCACATTGAATAAAATTCACAACATCTCTTTAGGGAGAGGCAGCACGTGTCCTTTGCAAATAGCTCCAAGTCGGTAACCTATCAAAGCAGGGAGGAGATAAACCTGAGCTCAGGCAGCCACTGGCTTGATAGCCACGTGGGTTTGGACAGGTCACTTTAACTCTCTGAGTCTATTTCCTGGTAGATAAAGTGGAACTAATAATGCCTGCCTCACACCATGGTTATTATGTGAATTAGAGAAACCATGTGACAGTCCCCAGCCTGGCACGGGGTAGGGGCTTTGAAAATGCAAGCTGGGGCTGGGCGCGCTGGCTCACACCTGTAATCCCAGCACTTTGGGAGGCCGAGGCAGGTGGATCACTTGAGGTCAGGAGTTTGAGACCAGCCTTGCCAACATGGTGAAACCCCGTCTCTACCAAAAATACAAAAATTAGCCGGGCGTGGTGGCACGCGCTTGGAGGCTGAGGCAGGAGAATCACTTGAACCCAGGAGGTGGAGGTTGCAGTGAGCCAAGATCATGCCACTGCACTCCAGCCTGGACGACAGAGCAAGACTGTAAAAAAAAGAAAGAAAGGAAGGAAGGAAGGAAGAGAGGTAGGAAATGCAAGCCAGCTATCTCTGTGTGCAATCACAACCATTGCTATAATTTACTGTGCTCTCTCCATTTTAACTATTGGTGTGGGTCTGCACCATAATTTCTACTGAGAACCTCCTAGATTCTGGGCAAGAGGCAAGCAAATGACATCTTAGGGAGGTTAAGGGACTTGACCAAGGTCACAAAGCTGGTAAGAAGCTGAGCTGGAATTAAAAGAGTTTCTTTTTCTCCCTCGGTTCCTCCCTTGCTCTGTCCTTTCCTCACTCCCTCCCTTCCCTCTTCCCTCCCTTCCTTCCTTGTTTAAATACCCCTCCCAAAGTGTTCATGACGTCAGCTTTTTGAAGGGCCACCTTTCAAGGTAGCAGTTGTCAAGTAAACCATTATTGTAAGGGCTGTCCTCTCTGCCCGCCCTCTGCTGTCCCCGCCCCCTCCCTGCCACCTCCTGCCATCACCCTCTCTCTCCCCAGAAGTCAGGGGCCATGCAGATATTCTGGGGAAGCCCCCGAGGCCACTGTCAGGCAGCCTACACTAGCTCGGCTAGCCAGGAAATGTGACCTCACAGCAGCAGTCCCCTTGTGAATTATCTCCTTCCCCGACCATGCACTGTTAATCTCACCGCCTATCCACACCACCTCTGAAGGGTCTGCGGGGAAAATTGAGCCATGTGGGCTACTTAGTAGCTACAGGGAGAAGCGCGGCCCTGAGCAGCTGGAGGATTATGTATGGGCTTGTTGACTTTGCTTTGTCCTTGCCCTTGCTCGCCGGTTGTCCCCATTAAGCTGTGAACTAGGCGGTAGGATGTGAACGTGGTGAGGGCCTCACATCCCTCCATTGGCTCATCCAGCAGCGTGTGTCAGCAGCCAAGCAAGGGCTCTCATGAGCCATAGTTTAATGGATACACCTGAGGTTCCCATTTTAAAAATGTTTTCAGCTGGGTGCAGTGGCTCACACCTGTCATCCTAGCACTTTGGGAGGCCGAAGCAGGCGGAGCAGTTGAGGTCAGGAGTTAGAAACCAGCCTGGCCAACATGGTGAAACCCTGTCTCTACTAAGAATACAAAAAAATTAGCCAGGCATGGTGGCGGGAGCCTGTAATCCCAGCTACTTGGGAGGCTGAGGGAGGAGAATTGCTTGAACCCGGGAGGTGGAGGTTGCACTGAGCTGAGATCATGCCATTGTGCTCCAGCCTGGGCGACAGAGCAAGACTCCATCTCAAAAATAAATAAATTGATTAATTACATTAAATAAAAATGTTTTCGAGAGAGGAAGCAGGGGGATGAAGTGGGAGAACGCGCTGGCGGTCGCCAGGGAAATGGTGCTGGCGGCTGGAAGAAGAGAGGCAAGGGGGAGAAGTGAGCTGAGCCACCACCCAAGGCAGGTGCAATCAACAAAGCGGGCCATCCAACAAGTGCGGATTGTGAGTATCAGGACCCGAGACTCCCATGTGGGCCGGGTGGAGTGCCGGACAGGTGACTGCTATAACCACGACTGGGAATTAAGAGAGGCGCACACATCATCTCTTTCAGTGTCACAAGAACCCCAGAGGTGGCCCAGCTGAGGGGGGCAGTATTGATAAGAATGGGGTTTGGCTGGGTGCGGTAGCTCACGCCTGTAATCCTGGCACTTTGGGAGGCCGAGGCAGGTGGATCAGTTGAAGTCAGGAGTTAGAAACCAGCCTGACCAACATGGAGAAACCCCGTCTCTACTAAAAATACAAAGAATCAGCCAGGCATGGTGGTGCATGCCTGTAATCCCAGCTATTCAGGAGGCTGAGGCAGGAGAATCACTTGAACCCGGGAGGTGGAATTTGCAGTGAGCCAAGATCATGCCATTGCACTCCAGCCTAGGCAACAAGAGCGAAACTCTGTCTCAAGAAAAAAAAAAAAGAGAGAGAGATAATGGGGTTCACCGTGTCAGAGGAGGGATGCACAAGCCCGAGTCGACCAGGAGAATCCAAGTGAGTCTGGGGGTTGCAAAGATCACCAGGACCCCGAGAGAAGCCGACAAAATGAGCAGAGGAAACTGCAGATTGTTTACCCTCTGGGGGTGCCGAGGGATGCTGTGGTCTCCCAGACAGCCAAGGAAGGAGGGAGCCCGCCCTGCTCTCAGTTGCCCTGGCAACGCAGCCAGCCTTGGTTCAGGGAATTAGAATGAAAAAGCTGCATGCAAATGAGGTAAATTGCAATTAGGGGGGAAGAGCAAACACTTGGCCTGTTCTTGAGGCCGCACTAGGGAGGTGTCCAGGAGGTATTTGTGCAGCAAAGAATGAGGCCGCAAAAAGAAGAACTCACATTGCATAAAAGCCTACACCAGGCCCAGGGTGCCCAGGGGTCCCTTGGGTCCTGGTGGATCCCCCGCTTAATGTTGGTGGTGGTCAGATGTCTGGTGAACGTCAGGAGTCCCACGGCTGCCCCTGACCAGTATAATGCCTGCTGCAGAGACCAGAGGGAGCAGGATCAGCTGTCAGCACTACCAGAATTATCTCCTTCTTACAGATGAGAAAGCAGAGGCTTGGAAAGAGTGCACAACTCACCCAAGCTCACACAGCTGGTGATAAATTCAAAAGTCAGATTCCAGACCCCTCAACCATTCACTCACTAAGAACCCCAGGGGACTGGGCATCTGCCCTCATACCAAAAACAAACAATTCTCTAAAGATGAACCCCCCATATTCTGACAAGTATTCTGCTACCCACCTCGTTGCTCCAAACTGAAACCCACCAATGCAGCCCTGCCCACCTGTATCGTTAATGACTTTATAAAACATGAGGGAGGGCCAGGGACCATGACGCACGCCTGTAAACCCAGCACTTTGGGAGGCTAAGGCAGGAGGATCAATGGAGAACAGCCTGGGCAACACAGCGAGACCCCATCTCTATAAATAAACAAAGTAAACATAAAATAAAATGTGAGGGACAACCAAGGAGCATTGGACTTTGAGGAATGCCTCTGACATTCAAGGTGAAAGTAAAGAGCTGGGCGCAGCGGCTCACACCTGTAATCCCAGCACTTTGGGAGGCTGAGGTGGGGAGACTGCTTGAGCCCTAGAGTTCAAGATCAGCCTGGGCAACATGGTGAAACCCTGTCTCTTCAAAAAACAAAAAAGTTAGCCGGACGTCGTGGCATGTGCCAGTAGTCTCAGCTGCTTGGGAGGCTGAGGTAGGAGGATCACTTGAGCCTGGGAGGTCGAGGCTGTGGTGAGCTGTGATTGTACCACCGCACTCCAACCTGGGCAAAAGAGTGAGACCCACACACAAAAAACAGAATAAACAAACAGAAAAAAAAATTCCCTAAAGTAACAGAGAATTAAGGAAATGCATGAGAACTTCAAAAACAACCACCACAAAGACCTCTAATCAGGATCCTTAGAAAGACTGGAGAAGATGCTGTATTCGTAAACCAAGAACTGACTACTCTGAGAAAGGAACGTTCTGAAAACAGGAGAGAGATCCTGTCTCCAGTGATCGGCAGAGCAAGAAATAAAGGAATACGTATATTGCCAAAAGAGAAGGAGGCACAACAAGAGGACAAGAAAAGGTGTGGGGAGACGGAAACTCCCAGCAGAGGAAGGCGCAGGAGCCGGGATTTTTGGGCAGTGCATGCGGTCCCTGGTGATTGAGCGGCCAGTCCTGCAGCAGCGGCTCACCTGCCCCACCCCCATGCCACCCCTGCCGGAGGAGTGCCCAATCTGTCCTTTCCCCATGGGTCAAGAGGCAAGTTGTCTATTGTTCCTCTGGCTAACCCTACCTTGAAAGTGATTCCTTATCCCCCAGAGCAGGCAATGGAAAAAGAGAAGTATTGTGCTCTGGTCCGAAGCCTGCATTCCCTTCTGTGGGGGCGGGGGAGACAGGGTTGGGGGGGTGCCAGTGTTTATTTTCCTAACCGACAGATAGCCCGGGATTATGACCTAACTTCAAACCACCCAAGCAAGAATGTGCTTCTATTGTTTTGTCTTCAGAAGCCACCTTAGTGTGTAGTGCAGGGTCGACCCTGGAAAATAGAAATCATGGAAACTAAGACGTGATGAGGGACTGGGCTGATAAATAGCTCGGAGCCGGGCAGGAGCCAGCTAATCACTGCTGCAGAGAAGCAACAGCTCTGATTCCCCTAAGTTAACCCAAGCTGGAGGAATGCTGACAGTACGATCTGCCTGGCCTGGGACGGGGATACCAGGTCACTGGGATGAAGACAGGCAGGGCTGGGCAGTCAAAATCCTACAACACAGATAGCCCCCAAGTGCAGAGAACTCTAGAGGCCACGCCTGCAGATACAAACAGGATGGAGCCACACTGGTGGACCAAGATGCTGTCCTGTGACCCTGAGACCCTGAAGCCGGAAGGATTGTCTTAGATTCCCAAAGGGCAGCTGCTTCTCAAAGGGTTACTACTGTCATCCGCCCTTGGTCAAGGGCATCCTTAGTGAGGGTGGGAATTTTAAGAAGCAGTCACATTTTGTGTATTTGTGTTTGTCTTTCTCATCCTTATGTCACAGAGCATCCACTGAGCTGAAAGTGAAAAAACAATCGTGTATGCTTTGAAGTCACAGAGACTTGGGTAAAATTCCTGCTTCTGCCACATACTGGCTGTGTGATCCGGGATCAATCCCTGAGGCTTGCTGAGCTCCAGTTTCCTTGTCTGCAAATGGGAGAAGTTACTTTTTTTTTTTTAGACAGAATCTCGCTCTGTCGCCCAGGCTGGAGTGCAGTGGTGCTATCTCCGCTCACTGCAACCTCCGCCTCCCGGGTTCAAGCCTCCCGAGTCGCTGGGACTACAGTCGTGTGCCACCATGCCCAGCTAATTTTTGTATGTTTAGTGGAGATGGGGTTTTGTCATGTTGGTCAGGCTGGTCTCAAACTCCTGACCTCAGGTGATCTACCCGCCTCAGCCTCCCAAAGTGCTGGGATTACAGGCGTGAGCCACCACACCTGGCCGGGAAGTAATTTTTACACTGAGGTGAGGCTCAAGCAAGTCTCCCCTCCTCAAGGGAAGGCTCTGTTCTTGATGGGTCCCTGTTCTTATACCCTTAATGCCTAACGGAAGCACTCCTTCAAGACACAGTTTAATCTTCCTAACTTGGTGGACCAAGATGCTGTCCTGTGACCCTGACACCCTGAAGCCGGAAGGATTGTCTTAGATTCCCAAAGGGCAGCTGCTTCTCAAAGGGTTACTACTGTCATCCGCCCTTGGTCAAGGGCATCCTTAGTGAGGGTGGGAATTTGAAGAAGCAGTCACATTTTGTGTATTTGTGTTTGTATTTCTCATCCTTATGTCACAGAGCATCCTTGTGTGGTGCCAACACCCTTGTGTGGTGGGTATCATGGGCGATACCACTGCCAGGTGCTTTAAAGGCAGCAGCTCGTTCGATACTGACACAGCCCTCTCAGCTAGGATTTCTTTGCATCATCTCCTTTTGCTGATGGGGAAACTGAGGCTCAGAGAGGTTGTGTAATGGAGCCAAGGTCACATGTCAGCAACAGCAGCAGAAATTGCTGGCAGAGAACTATGTTCAGACTCCCTTCCCTTCACCTCTGTGCTCTAGGGCCTCAGAATATGTTTTTTTGTTTGTTTGTTTTTGTTTTTTTGAGACAGGGTCTCGCTCTGTCACCCAAGCTGGAGTGCAGTGGTGCAATCTTGGCTCATTGCAGCATCCAAGTCCTAGACTCAAGTGATCCTCTACCTCAGCCTCCTGAGCAGCTGGGACTACAGATGCACACCACCATACCTGGCTAATTTTTGTATTTTTTTTGTAGAGACAGGGTCCTGCTAGATTGCACAGGCTGGTCTCTAACTTCTGGCCTCAAGTGATATTCCCACCTTGGCATCCCAAAGTACTGGGAAGAATACTTTTGAAAATGAATCTTCTGCCGGGTGTTGTGGCTCACGCCAATAATCCCAGCACTTTGGGAGGCTGAGGCAGGAGGATCACTTGAGGCCAGGAGTTAGAGGCCAGCCTGGCCAACATGGTGAAACCCCATCTCTACTAAAAATACAAACGTTAGCCGGGTGTCGTGGCTCACACCTGTAGTCCCAGCTACTTGGGAGCCTGAGGCAGGAGAATTGCTTGAGCCTGGGAGGCGGAGGTTGAGGTGAACAGAGATCGTGCCATTGCACTCCAGCATGGACAACAAGAGCAAAACTCCATTTCAAAAAAAAACAAAAAAACAACGAAGTCCACTTAAAGTATTAGTAACTGGATTATTAAGAAAAAAAGAGAAGGAAAGAAAGAGAGAAAGCCACAGGTAAATAAATGACTTTGGAACTCATCCTGGGGGATAGGGGCTCAGCAAAGATCTCCAAGCCAGGCTCCCATTGTGCTCACAAGAAAACTCTGTAGTTAGGTCTCCAGTAGGTACTGATTGCAATGCAAACAATTACAAGCTGTAAACGGCCTCTGCTCAGGGGAGAGGTCCAGGGATCCCCCCATGCATGCATGCATCACTAGGAGCTATGTAGAAATGTTTCAGATCCCTTCTCTACATGAACTTAACCCAGTCAGATGAAGAGCAGCAAGGCCAGGAGCATTCCATTTACTGAGTGAGTTTAAGGTTTTGGGTTGTTTTTTCTTTGAGACAAGGTCTGGCTCTGTCACCCAGGCTGGAGTGCAGTGGCACAATCTCGGCTCACTGCAACCTCTACCTCCCAGACTCAAGCGATCCTCCCACCTCAGCCTCTTGAGTAGCCAGGACTACAGGCGCACATCACCATGCCTGGCTAATTTTTGTATATTTTGTACAGATGGGATTTTGCCATGTTTCCCAGGCTGGCCTCAAACTCCTGAGCTCAAGTGATCCACCCGCCTTGGCCTCCCAAAGTGCTGGGATTACAGGTGTGAGCCACCACACCCGGCTGGATTCTTCTTTATAAGCCCTTCGGAATAGGATCAAACCAATCCAGCCATTGGAGTCTTTCAAAGATGACACAGATGTGAGGTGAGTTTCGTAGAATCACAGCCTCGGTTTAGAAGCTGAGGCTGTGGTTGACTCTAGGAGCTTCTAAGGCCTTATTTATTTGTTTAGTGGCTGGAAGGTCAGATGGGGATGGGGAGAACCCTGGGTGATGTTTTCCGGAGAGGTGGACAGCTGTATTTCAGTCCCGCCCACCTCTAGCCAGCTATTATTCCCTGCTCATTTGCCAGGAACCTAGCTGCATATAGGCTGTCCTGCTGGGGGAACAGTTTTACTGGAAAAAAAGTGCCCGTCACATTTTTTACTGGAAAAGTTGAGAGGGTGGGAGGCAAGACTGGCTGGTTTCAGGTTCCCATCCATGCACTCAAGGCAAGCTGGGCTCACAAAAGCACCGCTCCCTCAAAACCCAGGGCAGGTTTTAGACCAACAACAGCCGAGTTTGGTTAAAAACGGTGGAAAATATTGGTGCTTTCTCATGGTTTTGGCCCCCGATCGAGTTGATGCCACTCCAGAGGTTCTAGCATTCCCAGTCTACAACTGCAGATTCTCAGTTTCTTCCAGAAAACAAGACGCCTCTCAACCAGCAAAATTGGTCATTTTCAATCTCGGTTTCCTTCTTGCCATTGCGTAAGTCCAATCTTGTTAAACCTACGAAGAGTGAGGGTCAGAGCCGTGTACCCCTAATTATATTCCCAACACTTACAATCAGCCGGCTGATGTGTAGTTAAGAAGCACAATCTTCATTGGCTTTTACAATTATCAGGAGAGGAGCAGATGGAAGTCACGGGGCAGGGCAGTTTTCTGAGTCTGGTGAATTTTGCTGATATGAGAAGGAAAGTGATAGTTTTAGAATCAGAAATTTGCCATAGAACAATGTCTTCTCTCCTGACCTCTGCACCTGCCAAGGCCCTGCTCCACCTCTGTCTTCTGTGTCCTGAGGAAGCCTTTCCAACCCCTTTCAGGATGAATGAACCCCCTCTTCTGTGCTCTCATCTCTTTTCTAGACCCCCAACTCATTGCTGCCTGAATAGCTCCATCCCACTAGACCAGAGACTTCCTGAGGCCAAGAGCTGTCCTACCCGCCGAGGACACCCTCATTTGCTTGAATGAATAAGCAAACGGCTCCTTCCTCCAGCCATCCCAGCCACTAAGTTTCACCTTGACCATGACTGGTGCTTCTCAGACCCAAACAAAGTAGCTACTGCAGGAAAGGGAGCCCCTGTAAAAATGAAAAGATGTTCATTAACATGGGGGAACACCTGTTTGACCTCCCAGTTTTCTGCTTGTTGGAAAATATTCTAATTTTTCCTCAGCAAGTAGATTTCCCTTCCTACGCCTTCGCCTTCAATTTCTTTTCTTTTCTTTTCTTTTTTTTTTCTTTTTTTTTTTTTTTTTTTTTTTTTTTTTGGAGACAGGGTCTCACTCTGTCGCCCAGGCTGGAGTGCAGTGGTGCAATCTTGGCTCACTACAACCTCCGCCTCCCGGGTTCAAGCGATTCTCCTGCCTCAGTCTCCTAAGTAGCTGGGATTACAGGCGCGCGCCACCACGCCCAGCTAATTTTTGTATTTTTAGTAGATACGGGGTTTCTCCATGTCGGCCAGGCTGATCTCAGGTGATCTGCTGGCCTCAGCCTCCCAAAGTGCCGGGGTTACAGGTGTGAGCCACCTCGCCCAGCCCAATTTCTTTTATAATCTGTCCCCAAAAAGGAAACTTACAAAATCCTCTTTAAAGAATATTCTCCACAGCAGCAGCAGATGAAAGAAAATGTTATTGAGTTGGGCGTGCCTTAATCACCATTCACTCTACTCTTAGCCATCTATATTTGTCTGTCTGCCCGATTCCCTTGTAAGTATTTGTACTAAGGAAATTTGACTTGCTGCCACTTGAGGTATTGTGGATAAGTGGCCTTTTTAGTTGGCAAATCCAGAACTTTCTATCGTCATCAACCCACACTTTGTGAGCTCCTATTAAGGAGTAATCTCCTTGCTCTACTATGGTCTTGTACATGAGCAAGGAGATTACTAAAGTTTTTAAAGTCAGCTAAGAAAATAAATCAACATTTTTGTTTGTCAGTAAGAGGTTGATGGCATATATATTTACTGTATATATATGTGTGTGTGCACATACACATATGTACATAAATGACACACATGGTGAAAGCAATGTTATTTGGTTAAGACTAAAGGCATTGTTGGGAAGGGAGGTGGGGAATTAGATGTTGATACAGTAGGTGTTTCAAATGTCGGATTTCAATGGTAATGGGAAGGAAAAGAAAGAAGAAAAATGGCTCCTTAGAATATATCAATTCATCATTTCCCATTTGCAAACATTGAAAAAAAAAATGAGAGAAGCTGTATGTCTTTCCTTGAGAGCTGCCTTTTAGCTCCCAGAGAGATGGAGTTTGGCTGATGTCAGGGTTTCTAAGGAAACGATGTATGCTTATGAATAGCAAAGCAAATAGACATATAAAACGCAAGTAAATCATTAATTGATTAATATTATTATTGATGGGATCTGGAGAGACTTACATATTCCTTCTTTATTCCAAGCTCTCAAAAGTTTTCTTTCATCGCAAAGCAAACACTCAGAAGGCCACTTTATGGATAATTATTCCCTCTTTGCTCCACACTCTAGAGACGAGGAAGGGCTCACTCTTGGATTTTAATGGATCAAAGAAAATGGTAAGCCAGGCAAGAGAAGTGTGCTTCATGTTTTCTGTCTTTTTTTAAAACTGATGGCTGTGGTTTTTGAAGAGAATGGAAAATGCATTAGGGATAGTTTGACTTAAACACGAAGCACCTTTTGGTTTGACAAACAGATTTGAGTAGAGGCTGAGTCACATCTTCTGACCCATGATTATGTCTGTTTCAATGGTGCCTTTCTCAGTGGCTGGATTCCATGGCGGACGGGTAGGGCCAGGAGGAGGTGCTGAGTGGTGCCAGGTGCAGGGTGGCGCAGTGTGGGGACGGCAAAAGGTGAGGGAATCCAGTATGCGCTGATGGAAAGCAGAGGGGGACGCCAGCCCAGTGGCCAGATGAGGCCGACGCACCCCCGGGAGGCCACGGTTGCAACACGAGGGTGTGTCCCAGCTTCCTATTAGTGAGTCAGCATTTCCTCCTCTGGTGCCCAACAGCCCTGGGGTCGCTGTGGAGGTTAGGGAGAGGTGAACCGTCCCGTCTGGATGATCCTTGTTTGCCTCTGGCCCTCCTTGTCAATCCAGACCACGACCAAGAAACCTTCCCTTCACATTGCGTCCTCCTCCCCTTGGCACTGCAAGTGCCCAACCTGAAATGTGTCCATGATCACTGCTATCCAGGAAGTGTGCAGTTGGAGACCAGCCCTCTCCCGAGGCCACACCTGGAGTAGCAGAGAGGGCAGACAGAGAACATGCCCTGTGCAGAGACCTCTTGGAGTTGCACCTGCCTTGCTGTGTGACCTCAGCCAGCCACTTAACCTTTCTGTGCCCTGGCCACCAATCCCCTCACAGCACCCCCCTCAAAGGGCTGCTGAGGGCATGCCTTTGCGTGCACCGCTCCTATTCTCACAGTGAGGGAAGCAAGGGCCAGGGAGACAGCGTCTTGGTTGGCAACAGGTCCAGCTTCTGGCCCCAGCTCTAGATACTGTGGGTGCCCTCAGAGCCTCCACAGGACTTTCAATGAGAGGGGTGCCTCATCCAGCCCACCCCTACATGTAGGCCAAGGGGATAAACTATCTCACATCCCCCACGTGGCGGCCCCTTTCCTCCACGGAGCTTGCTCAGGGAGGGACTCAGTGCCCGTTTGTTGATTGGATAAGGTTGGTCTGCGCAGGGAGGTGCTGTGCTGCAGGAAGGTGAGAAAAACCACAGCCTGAGAGCTGTGAGCCCCAGGGGCCTGGAGCAGGAGGCGGGAGCAGAGGAGAGGGCAGTTAATTCTGTTGGGGGTCGAGGGACAGGAACCCAGGACAGCTTCCTGGAGGTGGCTTTTGAGGTGGGTCTTGAAGAATGCACAGAAGCTTGGCAGAGGCTCAGAAAGCCAAGAGGGCAAAGCCATGGAAGTGTGGGGAGGCAGAGGGTGCCAGGGGTGCCGGCTGTCCCAGGACAGCAGCGAGGAAGGGGGTCTCTACTCCTTTCTCCTCCTCCTGGTGGACGATCTCAGACCCTGTAGGTCCCAGGAGGGGAGGGAGAAGCTTGATTCTCTGAGCCTGAGGTCTCTGAGGGCAGACCCTGTGCTACCCTCCTCACACCCTAGGAGCAGGTGCCAGTCTGGGAAGCTCTGAGGGCTTTTCCTTTTCAGAATGGGTGGGGGTGGCTATGTCTCAGCCTTCACAGTTGATCAGTGACACAGACCCTAGGCCTGTGGTCCCTGGTCAGGAAGTTGTGCTGGGGGCAGGGAGGGGCCTGCCCTCAGGTGCTGGTTGGCCTTGGTGGAGAGTGGGGAGTGCTAGGGGCTGGGAAGACTCCCCTGGGTCCCAGAGGGAAGGGCTGTGGAGGTGCTTGACTTTCCCACCTCATTGTGATGCGTCCAGGTGTGAGATACACGCACCTAACTACCCCTTTGAAGGGATAGGGCTGGCAACTCGCAGGCCTCAGAATGAGGGCACACAGTAGCCCTAGGGTCAGCTGGGCCCTTTGTCTTTGTGGCAGCTACACTCAGCCTGAAGGGCAGCCAAGCATTCACATCTGCCAAGAACCTGGGACTGAATCCTGGAACACAGTCTACACGTCTCCCATCCCAGGTCTAAAATGGGAAGGTGGACAGGGGAGGAAGCCGAGAGAGGGTCACCCCCGCCCTCCCCTTCCACCCTGGAAGAGGCAAAGGGGTGCTCCCTTACCCACGTTTTGTTGATTGGACAGTTGAATTCAGAGAGGTTGCCCGATGGACCAGAAGAAACACAGCCAGGAAGAAGCCGTGGTAGCCCAGAGCAGGAGCCCCTGAGGCCCGTGCTCCTCCCTCAGGCTTGTGGGGCTCAGTCCAGTCCCGCGCCCTCCTCTCCAGGGAGCAGCCAGGCTGGGTTCACAGCGCTCTTGCTCCAGTCCACAGTCTCTGCTGGGTTTGGGCGAGTGCAAGGCACAGTAGCCCAGAATCCCAGCTCCCAAATCCCATGAGCTTTGCCACGGCTCAAGCTTCTGGGCCCATCTGGAAACGATGCTGCCGGCCTTACGGGGTGCCTGTGGGGTTCATGGGCCGGCGTTTGAAGAGGCAGTGGTGGTAGGGGCCCGGAGAGCAGGGCTGGGGCTGGTCCCTGTGGGACGGTCACCCCCAGAGGAAAGGTGTGGAAGGCACAGGTGGACTCTCATGGGGCTCTCAAATCACCCGAGATGAAGGTTCAGTGCAGTCCCCAGGCACAGACCCCAGAGATCCTGACTGGGAGGTCTGGCGTGGGGCCCCAAAAGGTGTAATTTTCCCCAGCACTGCAGGTGTGGGGTCCGAAGCAGGTGGTCCGTGCACGGCACTCAAGGCCTTGGTCCAGCGTCAGTGCGGGGTTCGTGCAGCAGCCACATGGGCTGACTGCCGCTGGCCCTGGGAAGACAGGGCAGGATGAGGCTGGGCATCCCCCTGGGCTTGGGACACAGAGGGAACACACGGATGTAGGGTGTGAGCCTACAGTGCATCCTCTGCTCCCCAAAGTGTGCCACCATTCAACATAAAGCCCGTTGCATTTGCTGTCCACGCAGCCTTCAGTGAACCTGTCTATGGGCACACTCTCAGAATCAACAAATTACGGGGCTCGAAATCAAAATCCGCCTCTTCCCCCTATACCAGAAAGGCCTGTCTGTGCCCAAATGTTGAGGGAAATGGATCTGCCTTGACCCTTTCCTTTGGCGCGATCTCAGCTCACTGCAACCTCTGCCTCCAGGTTCAAGTGATTCTCTTGCCTCAGCCTCCTGAGGAGCTGGGACCACAGGTGCGCACCACCACACCCAGCTAATTTTTGTATTTTTAGTAGAGACGGGATTTCGTCTTGTTGGCCAGGCTGGTCTCGAACTCCTGGCCTCATGTGATCCACATGCCTCCGTCTCCCAAAGTGCTGGGATTACAGGCATGAGCCACCGCGCCTGGCCACCCTCTCCTTTCAATGAAACGCTTTTACCTTGGTTTACAGACTCAGATGAGATACTTCCCATCTGTTCATAAAGGGAACAGATTCTGACTTGTGTTCTAATCTTGAGTACCAAAAACTCCCCTAGAAGGGAGCTCTGCATTTTCAGAGGCTCACCCACGTGCCCATGTAGGGTCTGAGAAAGGTCCTGCATGGGTGAGTGATTTAGGGACAGGCGGTAAACTGAGGAAGTGACACAAAGCCTCCTGCACAGAGATCCCACATTCTACCTGGTATTACTCCCATTCTCTGCACTGCTGACAGCTCTCAAACAGATTCTTTCCACGAGGAATTAGCCCGCACACAACATGAATGGGCTCGTTTTATATCAGAAGGCTGAATTTTAACTGACAAATTGGACAGGTTCCCTAAGGCAAGGGTTGCTAAGCTTTGTCATTCTCGCTAAAAATGTGATTTATAATATATTTCTATTTGCTAGACACTCCTTTTCCCAGGAATGAAGACCCAGCCCAGAAACAGGAGGTCTGCTCAGTATCTTGACCCCATATAAAAATATGCTCCTCAAAAGTTTTCATTAGCATATAAACAGATATGCATCAATCAATCTGCAGCATGGCCACGTCAGCTTTATTTCATTATGTTTTAATGATATTTTAAGCAGCCAAACTCTTAGAATTCAGGACAGGGCAAGAGTAACCCACAATTTACTTTAGAATTTTATGTTTTAAAGGAAAGATCTAAGGGTCTGATGAAAGGAGTTGTATTTCCTCGGATCTTTTCTTCCACTTTATAAAATAAAAACCATTTTTGTTGCTTCTTAAGTACTCTGGTATTTACAAATGCAGAATATGTCAGATATTAGAGATCAACCCACACCTTCAGCCAAGTTTCCTCAGAGATCCTTTGTAAAAAAAAAAACCACACACACAAAAAGTGGGTGAAACCGTCTGACTTCTTAGAAGTCTGAGTTAAAAGTTGCAAACTCATTTTGCCCAAGATAACCAGAAATGCTCTAAGCTAAGTGGGCAGAAACAGATTTGATCTCTGTATCTGATTGCTGGCAGAAGTCAAGCAGCCAATTTTTCAACAATGTCTCCATATCATGAAACTTCCTAAAAATCTTCAAGGGAGTAACCTGAGCTTGTGAAAAATGATCCCGAATGTCAATAGGACAAAGCTTCCCTTCCAAGATATAATTAGGGGAGCTTGGAGCAGGCCTTTCATATTTGAGTTGACAAGCATCTTTTTTCCTTTGTTCAGTCTGTTCTGGAGGGCTTTAGGAGGGCTTCGCCATTTCTTTGTTAAGAGGAATGGTTGAAACAAAATTTGTATAAGAGGAATCATTTAAAATTGAATCCATCCAATAGGAATGTTTATTTTACCCAACGTTTTTCTGTGTGAGAATAATACCTGTTTTTTCTAGGTAATATATGTCTTTTATTTAATCACATGCATATTTAAGCCTCTAAGTTCTCTGTTCAAAACACTGATTTTTTTTTTTTTTTTTTTTTTTTTTTTTGAGACAGGTCTCGCTCTGTCGCCCAGGCTGGAGTGCAGTGGCGCTATCATGACTCACTGCGACCTTGACCTCCCAGGCTCAAGCGATCCTCCCACCTTAGCCGCCCAAGTAGCTGGGACTACAGGTGTACATCACCATGCCCAGCTAATTTTTCATAGAGATGGGGTTTCACCATGTTGTGCAAGCTGCTCTTGAACTCCTGGGCTCAAGCAATCTGCCCACCTTGGCCTCCTAAAATGTTAGGATTCCAGGCATGAGCCACCGCACCTGGCCCGTAACACTGATTAAAGACATACAGATCGGCCGGGCGCGGTGGCTCACGCCTGTAATCCCAGCACTTTGGGAGGCCGAGGAGGGGGCAGATCACGAGGTCAGGAGTTTGAGACCAGCCTGGCCAGCATGGTGAAACCTTGTCTCTACTAAAAATACAAAAAATTAGCCAGGCATGGAGGGATGCGCCTGTAATCCTAGCTACTCGGGAGGCTGAGGCAGGAGAATCACTTGAACCTGGGAAGCAAAGGTTGCAGTGAGCTGAGATCCCGCCACTGCACTCTAGCCTGGGTGACAGAGTGAGACTCCATCTCGGAAAAAAAAAAAAAAGATATACTGATCATATGAGCAAAGCATTGCTAAGAAGGCTGATGTAATTGTTAGGCTCCACTGAGAGACGCCTGGTGTCTAGAACTTACGATGTCCAGGCTGGTGGGAGCTGGCCTGGAGTTGGTACCCCGTGGCGATAGAAACATGAATGCATGAAGAGTATCTACAGAAGGGACCAGAACCTTGAGAAGACTCAGAACTCTCAAGCAGAGGCCGGTTGCGATGGCTCAAGCCTGTAATCCCAGCGCTTTGGGAGGCCGAGGTGGGCAGATCACTTGAGCCCAGGAGTTCGAGACCAGCCTGGCCAACATGGTGAAACCCCCACTCTACTAAAAATACAAAAATTAGCCGGGGGTGGTGGCGCATGCCCGTAATCCCAGCTGCTCGGGAGGCCGAGACAGGAGAATTGCCTGAACCTGGGAGGCACAGGTTGCAGTGAGCTGAGATTGCACCACTGCACTCCGGCCTGGGTGATAGAGCGAGATTCCGTCTCAAAAACAAACAAAAAAACCAAAAAAACCTCAGAACTCTCAAGCAGGACTTCTCAACCTCAGCACTGTTGACTTTTGGGTGGGACAATTCTTTGTTGTGCGTGTGGCGGGATGGAGGTGCTACGCCATGTACCTTAGGATGCTTAGCAGCACGGGGGCCTCTCCCCACCAGACGCCAGGAGTGGTCTCCCTCCTCCGGGTAGATCACCAAAAGTTCTCCAGACATTGCCAAATGTCCCCTGCAGGGCAAAATCGTCCTCGGTTGAAATTGTCCACTGCTCTAAAGAATGCAGGAAGTTGGGCACACTTAGCTCGGAATGAATATTTACAGGGAACATTAAAGCTGTTTGTAGGCATCGTACGAAAAAAGTTATTCTGATTGTTTCAGAAGGCTGAGCAAGAACAAACGGGGCAAACCTGTATTTTGACTAAGGAACAAGGAGACCTTTCTAGAAGAACCGCTCAGCTCCCAGTCCCCAAAGTGTGTATGTTTAGACCGGGCGAGGATCCTGAATCAAGGTCCGGGCCTCTTTCCTCGGAAGAACAGACCGACCGATGGTCTTCTGGGCACCCAGAGGAGCAGTCAAGCGCGGTGCTTGCTGAGAGCTTGGCCTCCGTGGGTGCCATTTAATCTGCGGTTGGGAGAGGTATTCAGAGCTTTGCAGATGGGCCTCTGCCGTTCCTCAGGGCCCACTCCAGTGCCCAGGGAGGGTGGGCAGAGCAGCGGAGGCAGGGGGCTTGCGGTGGGGCTGGGGCCGGCAGAGGAACAAACGGACTCACAGGACGTGCGGCAGGCAGGAGAGCCCTCTCCCGACCTGACCGTCACGGAAGCCTCTCAGCCGGTGTCTGAGCTGGGACTGGGACCCAGAGTCCTCAGTCAGGCTCTTCCCTCCGAGGTGGGGAGGCGAGCCCGGGGATCCGCACCTGCCCAGGTGGACTCCGCTGCTGCGTGGCGCCTGCCCTGGGACCCACGTGCGGCTAGGCGGCACCTCCCCGGGCGCCCAGCAGGTGGCGGTGCGCGGCCTCGAATGGCGGCTGGCAGGGCCGGGACGCGGCGGCTCCTCGCCGGGCGCGTTTCCTCCTCCAGCACTGTCTCACCCTGCTCCATGCTAACCTGCTGAACGGCCCCTGGCCTCTTTCCGCCCCGCCCCCGCCTCCGCAATGCGCCCCCCTTCCCTTCTGCGGTCCCCTGCCTGTCGCCCTCTCACGCTCCAGGTTGTGAGCGAGTATCTCCCCACTTTAACACCCTACACCACACCGCGCCCGGCCACAAGACAGCTTTACAACATACACAACCCTGACGAGGAAACGTGTTCAAAACCAATCACTGCGCTCATCATAAAGGTAAAGAAAGCAAGGAGGTGTGTGTCCACGCACAGGGTAAATGTGGGCTGGGTGTGGGGTTCTAACTTGGAGAGGGCCTGAGGGCAGTGGCAACTCGCATTGCATTGGAGGGAGGCCTTGGCAGGGCCCACGGGGAGAGGCTAGAGAGCCTCCCAGGTGCGGGGCAAGGCATGGGCTATGCTTGGGGGCAGAAACAGACATCTGGGGAGCAATGAGAGGCTTTTGGCTGCAGAGGGGCAGCCGGGAGACCTGCCCCAACCCTCTTCAAGCCCTTGGTCTTGTTTCCTGACATCCCAGGTCGTGTACAAATGTCTCCTCTCCTAGAAGCCGAGGTTGAAAAATGGTCAAACCATTAATTACTCAACAGTTTGTTTGGGCAGTAGTGTCTGCAGCAGTGGGGTTTTTATACAGCACAAAAATAACAAAACAAAGTTGGAAAGCGAGGGCCATTCTGGATGAACGTCCACCCTTGGCTCATGGTCCAGGCCATCGAGATGTGTGACCATCCTGAGAGAGCAGATGACAGAGGTGCTTGTGCCTTTGGTTGGTGGGGAGTGGGTGGAATGTGGCCATTTTTTGGTAGTGGGGTGAACTTGTGAACAGTGTGATCATAATAATGGCTAACAGGTTTTTTTATTCTTTTTTTTGAGATGGCGTCTCACTCTGTAACCCAGGCTGGAGTGCAATGGTGTGATATTGGCTGACTGCAACCTCCGCCTCCTGGGTTCAAGGGATTCTCCTGCCTCAGCCTCCCAAGTAGCTGGGATTACAGGTGCCCACCACCACACCTGGCTAATTTTTGTATTTTTAGTAGAGACGAGGTTTCACCATGTTGGCCAGGCTGGTCTCGAACTCCTGACCTCAGGTGATCCACCCGCCTTGGCCTCCCAAAGTGCTGGGATTACAGGCGTGAGCCACCGTGCCCGGCCGGCTAACGGTTTATGAGCACTTACCAGCCACTGTCCTATGCCCTCTCGTTGAATGCTCACAATGACCCAATGGGATGACCCTGTCACCATCGTCCATCCCATCTTTCAGAAGTGGACGCTGAGTCATGCTGAAGTTATATAATGCACTCAGCTCACATGGCTGGTAGCACTTGAGGCAGGGATCTGGACACAGACGGCTTGACTCCGGAGCTCCTCTCAACCACAAGCCAATGTCAACAAGCCTCCACCATGAAGGTCCTGAATGATATGAATAAAATAGCATTCGCGGCAGAGTGATCTCCTTGGATCTCCTGAGTGGCCCATTTGGCAGTGGGTATGGCTGGGACAACTATTTGCTAGCTTACTAGAATGTCATCATTCGTGAAGTATCTTCATATACATAATCATATTTGATTCTCCCAGCAGCTCTGTGTGCTGGGCAAAGCAGATATTAGAAACCCCATTTTATAGATGAGGAAAGTGAGTCTTGGAGGCTGTTGAGTGGCTGGCCTGGAAGCTGGCAGTTTCCTGGCAGCTTTGGAAGCTGCAGTCAGGGAGTGGGATTTCAGAGTGCAGTTGGAACCTTCGAGAGATGACAAAGGCCCAGGGTATGGGTGGCCACGGTGGAACGGAGGTAAAGGTCACCATCCAGGAGGTATGGAAAGGGCTGTGCAGTGCTGGCAGTCCCCCGGACGCCTTGTGCACCTGAGCTGGGGCTGGACTGGGAACCAGCAGAATCAGGCACCTGCTGCGGGTCAAGCCTGTCGGTAGCTTATTTCAACCACTCTTCACGATTTATCTCGGTTTATCTCCCTCTCCTCAGCCATGCTTTCCAACTTTGTTTTCTGTTATTTTCCTCTGCTTACTGAGGCTGAGTGCTGTGACTTGTGCGAAAGCGTGACTGGCAGAACCCACAACTGTCTGCCTACGATGTTGTTATTTCTGTCCTCTCCAAGGGCCTCTTCTCGGCTTATGTCCTCTGCACACTTGCGCACCGTGGAATCCAGCCCGCTTCTCAAGCCTCACTGTTTAGATTTGGGACGCCAGTTCCTGGGCATGGTTTTAGCTCTGAAATTGGAAAGAAGGACACTTAGCTTAGAAATGTTATGGACAAAATAATTCATGAGGATTTGTAATAGACTGGGGGTGGGGAGGAGCCAAACCAGCGAAGAAGAGGAGGAAATGAGTGACATAAAAATTGGGGGCTTGGGAAGACAATGATAGGGTGGTTAAAAAAGGGAAGGATTTGGTATAAAGAAAATAAGTCCTGTTCAGCAATGTTTGGTGGTGGTGAGACGCTGCTCACAGGGTAGACAGAAGCAGGAAGTGAGGGTGAGAACTAAGGGCCACAGAAGCACACCTGTGAGTCATCGGGGGACGCATGGAACCCAGGAACCATGCACGCAAAGCCTCGGGGGGCTGCCAGTGCTGGGCTGCCCTTCCCACACCTGCTGGGCAGTGACCTTCACCTCCGCTCACTGTGGCCACCCACGCCCTGGGCCCTGTCATCACTTGAAGGTTCCAACTGCACTCCGAGATCCCGCTCCCTGACCACTTCCGACGCCGCCAGGCCTCTCACGCCTCCGTCCCACCACACCCCCTGACCTCGTCCTGATCTCAGCTCCCTGCACTTTCCTGTGGACACCAGCCACCCCGGGTCCCCATCTCTGGGCCTCCGGACCACAGGGGACATCATCCCAGCCACACTCTTGCCAGCGCCCTCACATGCCTGGCCCTTTTGTCCTTCCGCCCTGCTCATCCGCAGCACTCAAGCCAGGGATTTACACAGCACCTGTCTCCGCCATCCCATGCTAGCCTCCACACTCTGGTGGGAGAGAGCCCACACCAAGGATGTTTGGTGCCTGCAAAGCCATGGTACTCAGAGGCAGCTGCTCACCCCATGCTCTCAGCCTCCTCCTCTTCCCAGCATGTATTCCAAATGGGTGACATCTTTTCTGGCAGATGGCTCTGCCTTGTAGTTCACAAAGGAACAGGGCAGGGCGCAGGCATGGACGCCCAGAGCGCTGTGCTCCCCTACCTAGAAATGCATTTTCTTTCTTTTCTTTTCTTTCTTTCTTTCTTTTCTTTCTTTCTTTCTTTCTTTCTTTCTTTCTTTCTTTCTTTCTTTCTTTCTTTCTTTCTTTCTCTTTCTTTCTTTTTCTTTCTTTCTCTCTCTCTTTCTTTCTTTCTTTCTTCCTTCTTTCCTTCCTTCCTTCTTTCTTCTTTTTTTTTGAGCTCTGTTGCTCAGGCTGGGGTGCAGTGCCACAATCTTGGCTCACTGCAACCTCTGCTTCCCAGGTTCAAGCGATTCTCCTGCCTCAGCCTCCTGAGTAGCTGGGACTACAGGCACGTGCTACCAGGCCTGGCTAATTTTTGTGTTTTTAGTAGAGACAGGGTTTCACCATGTTGGCCAGGCTGGTCTTGAACTCCTGGCCTTGTGATCCGCCTGCCTCAGCCTCCCAAAGTGCTGGAATTACAGGTGTGAGCCACCACACTCGGCCTGGAAATGCATTTTCTATGTGTGACCACTGTGCCAAGTGCTTTGTGGCTGTGTTATCTCATTCATCCTTGTGCCAACACCCCTTTATTCTCATTTTGCAGGTGAGGAACTTGGGGCTCAGTGAGATGGAGTGACTTTGACCTGCCTGATGTTCCACAGCCAGCAGGTAGGAAAACGAGGGGTTTCACATGTGTGCCCTGAGTCCACACAGCCAGGTACCAGGCTTGGTGCCAAGAATAGAACCACAAGCTGGACAGACAACGTTCGTACCCTCATGAAGCATATGTTTTAGGACAGACAGGCAACAAACAAGGAAATAAGTGACTCCACTGAATAATTACAGACTGTGTAGGTGTCAGCAAAGGGAGACACAGAGTTCAATGACCCAGAACGCAGAGCACTCTGGCTTAGGTGGGAGGTCAGCGGAGACCCCAGCAGGAGAGTCACGTCCTCTCTCGCTAGCCACCTGTCCCTTGCTATCCACCTCCACCTGTTCAAGGGCTGCCCACTCATCTGTGCTCGGGATGCCAGCATTAGCAAAGCATCTCAGCTTCATTGTGGGCAAGTAGCCTTGGTATAGATGATGAGCTCAGGGGACTGAGGCCTAGAGGTAGAGAGGTTGTAGGGGTATTTGTGGGGTCAGTCATCTAGGGACGAAATGGGTCCTTAAAGAGAAAACCAGGGGATGGGCGCAGTGGCTCATGCCTGTAATCCCAACACTTTGGAAGGCCAAGGTAGGCAGATTGCCTGAGGTCAGGAGTTCGAGACCAGCCTGGCCGACATGGTGAAACCCCATCTCTACTAAAAATACAAAAATTAGCTGGGGGTGGTGGCGGGTGCCTGTAATCCCAGCTACTCGGGAGGCTGAGGTGGGAAAATCACTTGAATCTGGGAGATAGAGGTTGCAGTGAGCCAAGATGGTGCCACTGCACTCCAGCCTGGGCAACAGAGTGAGACTCCATCTCAAAAAAAAGAAAAAGAGAAAACCATGGTTTGGGTCACCAGCCTTGGATGGGTGCCTCAGGTGGGTCCCTCCCTCTTTGGAAGATGGCCTGGGCCACAATGGAGGCAGGTTAGTTCAATTCCTGTCAACAAATAGTCGGTGAGCATCTTGTCCCAGCTGGGACTCCCTAGGACGTGGAGGATAGAGAATTTGGGTGTAGGAAGTTTACTGGGAAGTTCTCTCGGTATCACAGTGGAGAGTAAAGGAAGCGGGATTGGGCAGGGGGAGAAGCTGAATGTTTGATGGTGACAGTGGGTGGATCAGTCTTAATGAGTGGCTGTCCATGCCAGCGGGCTCATGCACGGCTTCAATCCTTGCCACTGTAGCCAATCGATTCATGAGAACATTGTATCTGCTCCCTGGGGGCCAAGGACAAAGGCTGGTGGCTAACGCCATTGTTGGTTGTTGAATGCCTCTTCTGTGTTGGACACTCCCCGGCGCGCATGAACCTGTGACGTAAAGATATTTTTTTCTTGTTGCCCATTCTCTTTGTTCATTCACACCTTCTTTCTCCTCAAGATCTGATTCCCAATCTTCAGGCTTCCGACCACGCTATCTGCCACTGTTCATGAATCTCTATATACTCCAACCTTGGGCCACCTCTCTTTCCTTGTGAGATAGATGACCAGCTCAACCCTTAAAACTCTGTCCCTTAAGATTTCAACTTATTGCTGCTTTCAAAGCCATCCCTGGATGGGGCTGCAATCCAGCCACATTCCACTTTTGGCTTGTGCCTGCAGACCGAGTGTGGTCGTCAGAACAGTCTCCCAAAGAGGTCCCTATCCTAAGAGCTGGCACCTGTGAATATGTCAAATTACAAGGTAGGGGGTGGATTCAGGTTGCTCATCAGCTGATCTTGAAGTGGGAGATTATCTTAAGTTATCTGGGTGGGCCCAATGTAATCACAGGGATCTTATAAAAAAAAGAAGGAGGAAGGAGAGTTCATGTTAGAGATAGAAAGGAGGTGTGATAATGAAAGCAAAGAACCAGAAGGATGGCATTGTGAGAAAGACTCAGCCCTTCAGCCCTGTGTGGCTGGCTTTGAAACTGGAGGAAGAAGCCATGAGCCAAGGAGTGTGGACGCCTCTAAAAGTAGAAAAGACAGGGAAACATTCTCCCCTAGAGTCTCCAGAAGGAGCTGATGGGCTGGGTGAGGTGGCTCACACCTGTAATCCCAGCACTTTGGGAGGCCGAGGTGGGTGGTTCACCTGAGGTCGGGAGTTTGAGACCAGTCTAGCCAACATGGCGAAACCCAGTCTCTACTAAAAATACAAAAATTAGCCGGGCATGGTGGCATGAGCCTGTAGTCCCAGCTACTCGGGAAGCTGAGGCAGAAGAATCGCTTGAACTTGGGAGGTGGCGGCTGCAGTGAGCCAAGGTCACACCATTGCACTCCAGCCTGGGCGACAGAGTGAGACTCCATCTCAAGAAAAAAAAAAAAAAAAAAAGGAGCTGATGGACACCTTGATTTTAGCTCAGTGAGACCCATTTCGGTCTTCTGAACCCCAGGACAGTAAGATATTAAATGTGTGTTGTTTCAAGCCACTAAATTTGTGAGTATTTGTTACTGCAGCCGCCAGGAACTAGTACACCAAGCAATTCCATCTGTGAACCAAGCCTGCCCTTTTTCCTTCTTCCTGTGATCCTAAGGCACTCCCACCTGGTGGCCACAGGTGAGCTTAGGGACACGTACCAGTGCAACGGAGGTAGATGACGTGATTTTGGGCCACTGGCTTGTGTGACTTGCTTCTGCCCTCTGGCCTTGCCAGTTCTCAGTCCCGGATGTGCCACTTCCGTGCTCTGGTGAACTGCTGCAGCACCTGGAAAGTTGTGATAGAATCCAGCTTGTCATGCGCAGTACTGGCCACGTGGACCCTTGACATCATGGTCAGGGTCTCCATATCTACCAGGGCTTGGTTAGCATGACAGGAGCTTGTTTTCTTTAAAAGTTTGCTGACTGGGGCTAGCACAGTGGCTCACGTCTGTAATCCCAGCACTTTGGGAGGCCGAGGCAGGTGGATCACTTGAGGTCAGGAGTTTGAGACAAGCTGGCCAACATGGTGAAATCCCGTCTCTACTAAAAACACAAAAAGTAGCCCGGCACGGTGGCACATGCCTGTAATCCCAGCCACCCCAGAGGCTGAGGCGGGAGAATCGCTTGAACTCGGGAGGCAGAGGCTGCAGTGAGCCGAGATCATACCACTGCACTCCAGCCTGGGCGACAGAGCGAGACTCTTGTCTCAAAAACAAAAGAAGTTTGCTGACTGTTGGTAAACGTACTCAGTGGCACGATCAAGGAGTTCTGGAGCACTTCCGTCACCCCTAGTATTTCCATTTGTGGTCTATTTGCAGTGTGTCCTGTGGTCATTTGCCAAATATCCCTGTTCCTACTCCCAGCTCTAGGCAAATACAAATCTACTGCTTGCCCGTATCGTTTTTGGTCTTTTCTAGGGATTTCATATAAATGTAATCATATGCTATGTAGTCTTTTTTGTCTGCTGTCTTTCCTTTATCGTAATGCTTTCTAGGTATATCCATGTCACAAGCATCTCTCCACTCTGACAATCAGAACTCCAATGTCTCCTAGCCCTGTGTGAGCCCCGGGAATTGTGAAGGTTACAGTTCCCTGACAGTTGTTCTTTGTCTTGTTCTGTGGACTCTCCCCCAGCGCACGCACAGTTTAATATTTAGTCCGAGACCCAAGCAGATGCCTATCTGATTTCTGGAGTTCATTCTCTGCAAAGCTTCCACCTCCGGAAATTCCAGCCACTTCGATTTGCAATCTGTGATCTCTGCCTCCCTAATTCATTGAGATTGTCTTGCTATCCTGGGCCCCTGCTTTCTGTGCTGTGATGTGGAATGTGAGTCCAGGCAGAAAGGCTGGGCGATCATAAAGATCACCTCGTTTATTTCTTTCTCTCAGGGATCCCAGTCCTATTCTTCCTGTTAATCAACGTCTGAGAAAGGGTTCTGTTTCCCGTATATTTTGCTCAGTTTTTTAGTTGTTTGAGGCAAGAGGGCAAGTCTGCCACTAGTTATCCTTCATGACCATTATTGTTGTTGGATTTTTTTTTTTTTTTTTGACAGAGTCTCGCTCTGTCGCCAGGCTGGAGTGCTGTGGCACGATCTCGGCTCACTGCAACCTCCGACTCCCTGGTTAGAGCGATTCTCCTGCCTCAGCCTCCCGAGCAGCTGGGATTACAGACGTGCGCCACCACGCCCAGCTAATTTTTGTATTTTTAGTAGAGACGGGGTTTCACCATGTTGGCCAGGATGGTCTCGATCTCCTGACCTCGTGATCTGCCCGCCTCAGCCTCCCAAAGTGCTGGGATTACAGGTGTGAGCCACCGTGCCCAGCCCTGGATTTTTTTTTTCATGATCTATTATTCGTACACAATCAAATTCACCTTTTATTTTTTGTTAAATTAATTAATTAATTATTTTTTGAGATAGGGTCTCGCTCTGTCATCCAGGCTGGAGTAGTGGCACGATCACAGCTCACTGCAGCCTTGATCTCCTGGGCTCAAGCAATCCTCCTGCCTCAACCTCCCAACTAGCTGAGACTACAGGCATGTGCCACCATGCCCAGCTAATTTTTAAATTTTTTCTGGAGACAGGGTCTCACTATGTTGCCAAGGCTGGTCTCAAACTCCTGGCCTCAAGCTGTCCTTCCATCTCAGCCTCCCAAAGTGCTGGATTACAAATGTGAGCCACCAGCATGTATGTGCCCAGAGGGTAACTGTATACAGGTAACCACCATCACCATCATGAGAGAGAACAATTCCCTTCCCCTGGCCAGTTTCCTCCTGTTCCTTCACACTCCATCCTCTTCCCCTCTCCAACCCCATGCAACTACTTATCTGTTATCACTATAATTTTTTTGTTTGTTTGTGTGTTTTTTTTTTTGTTTGTTTGTTTCATTTTTTTGAGACAGAGTCTCCCTCTGTTGCCCAGGCTGGAGTGCAGTGGTGCAATCTTGGCTCACCGAAACCTCTGCCTCCCAGGTTTAAGTGATTCTCCTGCCTTAGCCTCCCAAGTAGCTGGGATTATAGGTGCCCGCCACAATGCCTGGCTAATTTTTTGTATTTTTAGTAGAGATAGGGTTTCACCATGTTGGCCAGGCTGGTCTCGAACTCCTGACCTCAAGTGATCCACCCACCTTGGTCTTCCATGTTATCACTATAGTTTTGTCTTTTCTATAATTCCATATAAATGAAGTTATACAGTACACAGTCTCTTGTGCTTGATGTCCTTCATTCAGCATGATGTTTTTGAGACTCACCCACATTTTTGCATGTGTTAGCATTTTGTTTCTTTTTATTGCTGAGCAGCATTTTATTATATGGCTATATCACAATTTGCTTGCCCATTCACCGGGTGATGGACATTTGGGTTGCTTCTGTTTTGGGCTATTATGAATAATGTTACTATAAGGATTCACGTACATGTTTTGTGTAGACATACGTGGAAATGAGGGGACATGTTGTAAATGTATGTTTAGCTTTTGGTTTTTTTTGAGACAAGGTCTCCAGGCTGGAGTGCAGTGGTGCCATCATAACTCACTATAACCTCAAACTCCTGGGCTCAAGCAATTCTATTGCCCCAGCTTCCTGAATAGCTGGGACTACAGGTGTGCACTACCACGCCCAGCTAATTTTTTAATTTTTTTGTAGAGACAGGATCTCCCTATGTTGCCCAGGCTGGTCTTGAACTCCTGGGCTCAAATAATCCTCCTGTCTTGGCCTCCCAAAGTGCTGGGATTACAGGTGTGAGTCACTGTGCCTGGAAATGTTTAGTTTTTAAAGGTATTGCCATACTGTTTTGCAAAGTGGCCATACCAATTTGCACTCCAACTAGCAATGTGTAAGAGTTCCAGTTACTCTAGGCCTGGCGTGGTGGCTCACGCGTGTCATCCCAGCACTTTGGGAGGCCGAGGTGGGTGGATCATCTGAGGTCAGGAGTTGGAGACCAGCCTGCCTAACATGGTGAAACCCTGTCTCTACTAAAAATACAAAAATTAGCCATGTGTGGTGGCAGGCGCCTGTAGTCCCAGCTACTTGGAAGGCTGAAACAGGAGAATCACTTGAACCCGGGAGGTGGAGGTTGCAGTGAGCCGAGATCGTGCTACTGCACTCCAGCCTAGGCGACACAGTGAGACTCTGTCTTAAAAAAAAAAAAAAGTTCCAGTTACTCTAATCCTCGGTGACACTCATAAACTTTATTTTTTCTAATTGGTGTGTATTGATAGCTTATTGATTTCCTATTTGAATTAACTTTGCATTTCGGTCAAACCCATATTTCTGGTAAGACTATCAAAATGTCAGGTATATTCCACTACCTGACGGGCCATTTAAATAAATATGGACAGATTTCATTCAAATGTCATCCTCAGTGCCTGTTTTCTGGTTGTAGAAAAGCTTTCCCATGCAAGAGGGCTGATGATATGACGGTGGCTCATTATGCTGCAGTGTATTTTCTCCAGGTAAAGAAAGCTTTTCGTGGTTCACTGACTGAGGAAAATCAACCCCTCCACAATCTAGAACCTGAAGACTGGATCTTCTGGGAACATCAGAAATAGACTGCCTTTGCCATCCACACTACAGCAAAACTCTGGGACCTTGAACTTTGGGTTCATAATCTCACAACCCAAAAGGTTCCCTCCACACTCCTGGAACTGTACACCCTTTGGAAACTTTAAGGTAACACTAACCAGGGAAGTGTCTCCCCAGAAGATGACATTCTTGATGTGAACAGCTTTTCCCCAAGATCATGAATCAAGATTCCTCTACTATCAGGAGACTCTCAATCTTTCAAATTTTTCCCCCTTGCTTATGCCTCCATGAGCAATAGAGGTGAAGTCGGGGTCAGTTGTGTGTACTCATGGGGTATACTTTTATTTGTGAAGGATTTTGCAGCCAGCCTTGTACATGGATAACCTTATGGTTTGACAGATGGAAGATGAAGGCCCAATGTAGGTGAGAAATTTGAATGGTATATTATGTTCCCTTATAATCAGTCAGAAGGACAACATGGATCTACTCCTGTTTACCCACCTCATGGGTTAAAGAAAACATTGCCAGGAGGTCTTCACTCTTCTAGAAGGGCATCATTTGTTAGGTCCTTTTTGCATGGTTTGGAGTAAATGAGGCAATGATTAGAAATGTATCCCTCATGAGAGGCCCCACAGCAGATTCTACCATAAAGCCTGTGGTTACGCAACGGACTTTAAATTCTTTTGGGAAAGTTATGCTAAATAATAGAATTTCTCTAGATTTCTTACTGGCTAAACAGAAGTATCTATAGAGCTCCTGGCACTTGTTGCCCATGGAAAAATACATAACATCTGGTGTTATAGAGATTCAGTTGTAGGGGATTAACAAAGAGAGTGCTCAGTTAAAGTGAGTAGACTCTTTAGCTCATTCTTTGATCCTTTGATCTATTTGGTTTTAGCTTGTTTGGTTTATGGGGACCTTGGCTAAGGAGCATACTCCAAACTCTTGGTATTATCTTTCTGATATTCATAATCATCGTTTCCCTGGTGTGCTGTCTTCTCTTAAAAGTTTTAAATGTCTGCATGCAGCCATCTCTAGAATGTCAAATGGTCTCTCTTCAGGTGGAATGACAAGAGCTGAAAGAAATGTGTGGCCATGAGGGCACCATAACCTATGAATGACGTGCTGAGACCAGAAGCCCAAAATGATGGTAAATGAGAGTGGCAGTAAGGCCCTACGTTTTGGTCACACTCTCACCTAAGTGAGAACGTGACCAAAAGGGGAGAATTTTAAAAGAAAATTATGGGAGGCCATTGTTTTGGACTGAGCTCCTGCACTAAGCCCCAATAGACCAGAACAAACCAAAATGGAGTTACTCATGCTAAATGTGATATAATCAAACTAAGACTTTCATGAAACACATAGATCCTAGAAAAGACCTGATTTTATCTTTTTCCTGTGAACAGGACATTCCAGGATGTACCCTCTACTCTAACCTTTACAAAAAAGTAACCTGAAGTCCTTGTTCCCAACTTACAAAACCCACTGTTTTGCTGTTTCCCAGTGGGTTCCAAGACTAACTAAGTACGTTTATGATGGTGATAGTAACAGCAATGACAAAGTTTTGGTCAATCTCTCAAAATTGAGAGGATGATCAAAAGAGGGGAATTGTTAAGTTTAATCTAAAGCTACCTCCTTACATATTTTAAGTTCGGCCTAAGGGTTTCTCTGTACATCGTCAACTAAAACCTAAGTAGAGTTGTGTGCCTAGTAATGTGCCAATCACTGAGTTTTAACCAATCAAAGGCAGCCAACTGTTCAAACCATGTCCAAATAAGGCAAACGCTGAGCTGTAACCAGTCCAGCTGTTTCTGTCCCTCACTTCCATTTTCTGTCACTTTTCTTTGTCTGTCCATAAATCTTCTTCCACCATGTGGCTATGCTGGTGCCTTTGAGCCTACTGTGGCTCAGGAGGCTCTTCAATTCACGAATCATTCTTTGCTCAATTCAATTCAATTTAATTCAGCTAAAGTTTTGCTTTTAACACTTTGTTAGTGTGTGTTTATTTCTGGGCTCTGTATTCTGTTCTCTCGATCTACATGACAATTTCACACTATCTTGATAACTGTAGTTTTATAGTATCTTGAAATCAAATAGTTTAAGGCCTTCACCTTTGTTCTTTTTCAAAATTGTTTTGGATATTCTGGGTCCTTTGCCTTTTTGTATAAATTTAAGATCAGATTTTCAAAATCTTTTCACAAAGCATGTTAAAATTTTAATTGGAATTATACCAAATGGATAGGTCAACTTGAAGAGGACTTACATCTTAACAATATTGAGTATTCCAACTCACAAACATGATGTATCTTTCCATTGAAATAGGTCTTTTTCAACTTCATTTTGTAATTGTTTGTGTTTCTCACTGCACAGGTCTTGTATATCTTTCATGAAATATAGTGCTGGATATTTTTCATATATTAACCTGTATCTTGCAAACTTGCTACATTCACTTATTAGTTTTAATAGTGTTTTTATAAATTCATTAGGACTGCCTATATACACTTTTTTCCCCCCAATTTGTTTGTCTATTATTTCTTTTTCCAGCCTTGGCTAGGACCTTCAGTAAAATACCGAAGATAGTGATGGCAGACATCTTTGCCTTGTTCTTGATCTTATTTGAAAGCTGAGTCCTTCACCATTGAGTATGATATGAGGTGTAAATTTTGGTTTGTTTTTGTTTTGTAGAAGCTCTCAATCGGGTTGTGAAAGTTCCCTTCTATTTCTAATTTTCTGGAAGTTTTTATTGAGAGGGTATTGAATTTTATCAAATGCTTTTCCCCATATCTATTGAAACGATCATACACTTTTCTTTTTTATTCTATTAATATGGTGAATCATATTGATTCACCAACTTTTAAATCATTTTAGAAGTTAAACTAATCTTGAATTCCCCAAATACACCCCACCTGGTCTGGATGCCTTATTCTTTCTATAGATGGTTTGATTTAATTTGCTAATATTTTGTTAAGGATTTTTGTGTCTATGATAGTTAGGAATATTGGTCTGCAGAGATTTTTTTTTTTTTTTTTTGAGATGGAGTCTTGCTCTGTTGCCCAGGCTAGAGTGCAGTGGCATGATCTTGGCTCACTGCAACTTCTGCCTCCCAGGTTCAAGAGGTTCTCCTGCCTCACCCTCCCGAGTAGCTGGGATTACAGGTGCCCACTACCATGCCCAGCTAATTTTTGTATTTTTAGTAGAGATGGGGTTGCACCATCTTGGCCAGGCTAGTCTCGAACTCCTGACCTCATGATCCACCGACCTTGGCCTCCCGAAGTGTTGTGATTACAGGGGTGAGCCACCGCGCCCGGCCTGTCTGCAGGGATTGTGTGTGTCTATGTGTGTGTGTGTGTATATATGTGTGTGTGTGTAAAGCTTTTGACTGTTTTTAGAATCAGAGTAATAATAGCCTTGTATAAAATAAGTTAGGAAGTGTTCCCTCTCTCTTTTCTGAAAGAGTTTGTGTAGAATTGGTGTTGTTTTTTCCTTAAATGAGGGATAGTATTTATCATTGAAGCCATGTCAACTTGGGGTTGCTTTATGGGAAGGTTTTTATTTATAAGTTCAATTTATTTAATTGATTATCAGACTGTTTAAGTTTTGTATTTTTTCTTGAATGAGTTGGTAATTTGTGTCTTTTAGGGAATTTGACCATTTCACATAGGTTTTGTGAAACTTTATTATTATAAAGTTGTTCACAATATGCCCTTTTTATTATTTTCTGTTTGTTTTTGTTTTCAAGATGCAGTCTTGCTCTGTTGCCCAGGTTGGAGTGCAGTGGTGCAATCTCGGCTCACTGCGACCTCTGCCTTCCAGGTTCAGGCTATTCTCCTGCCTCAGTCTCCCAAGTAGCTGGGATTACAGATGTGCACCACCACGCACAAATAATTTTTGTATTTTTAGTAGAGACAGGGTTTCGTCATGTTGGGCCAGGCTGGTCTTGAATTCCTGACCTCAAGTGATCCACCCACCTCGGCCTCCCAAAGTGCTGGGATTACAGGCATGAGCCACCGAGCCTGGCCCTTTTATTTTTAAATTGAGATACGGTCTTGCTCTGTCACCTAGGCTGGAGTGCGGTGGTGCGATCACAGCTCATTGCAGCCTTGACCTCTTGGGCTTAAGCAATCCTCCCACCGCAGCCTCCTGAGTAGCTGGGACTACAGGTGTGCACCACCACAACCAGCAAATTTTTTTTTTTTAACTTTTTAGCAGAGACAGGGTCTTGCCACATTGCCCAGGCTGGTCTCAAACTCCTGAGCTCAAGCAATCTTCCCGCCTTGGCTTCCCAAAGTGCTGGGATTGCAAGTGTGAGCCACCACACCCAGCCTATTATTTATTTATTTATTTTTTGAGATGAAGTCTGGCTCTGTCCAGGCTGGGGGGCAGTGGCTCAATCTCGGCTGACTGCAACCTCTGCCTCCCAGGTTCAAGCAATTCTCCTGCCTCAGCCTCCCGAGTAGCTGGGATTACAGGCATCCGCCACCATGCCTGGCTAAGTTTTGTATTTTTAGTAGAGACAGGGTTTCACCGTGTTGGCCAGGCTGGTCTTGAACTCCTGACATCAGGTGATCCACCTGCCTTGGCCTCCCAAAATGCTGGGATTACAGGCATGAGCCACTGCGCCTGGCTGATAATATCTAATATTTAATCAGTGTTTATTCCATTATACTTTATTGTAATTATTGATATGATTGGGCTGGGTCTATCATTTTATTTATATTTATGTATTTATTTAGAGACAGGGTCTCACTCTGTTATGCAGGCTGGAGTGCAGTGGCACAATCACAGCTTACTGCAGTCTTGCCCTCCAAGCAAGGGATCCCCCAACTTCAGCCTCCCAAGTAGCTGGGACTAAGGCCTGCACCACCATACCTGGCTAAGTTTTTAAAAAAATTTTTTTAGAGATGGGGTCTCACAATGTTGCCCAGGATGGTCTTGAACTCCTGAGCTCAAGTGATCCTCTTGCCTTGGGCTCCCAAAGTGCTGGGATTACAGGTATGAGCCACCACACCTGGCCTTTGTTTTCTGTTTGTCTTCTCTGTATTCCCCCTTTCAGTTCCTCCTTTTCTTTTTTATTTTCTCACTTGAATGCTTTTCAGAATTACATTTTGATTTTCCCATTAGCCTCTTAGCTACAATTCCTTACATTTTTTAATGGCTACCCTAAGGAATGTAATATACAATGAACTTACAGGTCAGTATCCCCCTCTGTTCTTTGTTATTGTTGTTACATGTAATACATCTACATACATTATACACCTCACATGAATATGCTTAATTTTTGCTATGAACCATTATATGGTTTATAAAACAATTGAGAGGAAAAATGCAAATGGGAAAAATTATTTGTATTTACCCAGCTATTTACCATGTCTAATACTTGTCAGCTTTTCTGAGGATTTGAGTTTCCATCTGATATAATTTCCCTCAGCATGAAGAAGTTCCTTTAGCATTTCTCGTGGTACAGTTCTGTTGGTGAGGCCATCTCTTAGTTTTATTTTATCTGAACATGTCTTTAATATTGTTTTTATTCTAGAATAATATTTTTTCTGGATGTAGAATTCCTGATTGATAGTTTTTTTTTTTCCTTCAGGAGGTTACAAATGTTCCACTATCTTCTGGACTCCATGGTTTCTGATAAGAAGCAGTCATGAATCAATAATTGTTTTTCTGTATATGTCATTTTTATGTTGATGCTATCAAGATGTTTGTTTGCTCTCTTTCTTTGACTTTCACTGGTGTGATGTGTCTTAGCATAGGCTTCTTTATGTTGATTTTGTTTGATGTTAGTTTAGCATCTTAAATTTGCAAGATTCCACCTTTCACCAAATTTGGAAAATTTTGGCTATTATTTCTTCACATACTTTTTTTTGGGGGGTCCTGTTTTCTCTTTCCTGTCCTTCTAGCCTTGCAATTACACTAATATTTGAAAATCTGATATCCTCTAACAGGTCCCTGATATTCTTTCTCTTTGTTGTTTAAAAAATATATATTTTTTCAGCCAGGTGCTCATAATTGAACTCCTGGCCTCAAGTGATCTGCCCGCCTTGGCCTCCCAAAGTGTTGGGATTACAGGCGTGAGCCATCATGTCCAGCCCTTTTTAATCATTTCTATTTCTCTGCTGAGATTGATCATTTTCTCTCTTGAGGTTTTTATTCACTGAAGTCATGTTTTGTTTTACCTCATTTAATTTAGTTATAATCATTGCTTTAAAATCTGTCAGTTCTCACATCTAGTTCATCTCATGGACAGATTTGATTTTCTTTTCTCTTGAGAATGTTCTCTAATTTCATATTTGTATTTCAGGTAACTTTTGGATTGTATTTTGATACTATTAATAGTAAGCTGTGGGGATTCTGGATTCTGTTATTTTCCTCTGTGGAGTGTTGTTTCCTTTGTTTTCATAGACAATTTTCTTATGTGGGCTTGGGCTGAAAACTCTATTTCTTCAGGGGCAGTTCCAGTTTTGCGTCAGATCTTTTGTATTTAGTTGAGCTGCTTTGGGTCTACACCACATGATAAGGTTTATTAAGTGGGCAGTCAGCTATACGGATATAATTAATTTGGGGATCCCCTCTATCTTGGTCCATTTCCTGCTGCTTATAACAGAATATCTGAAACTGGGTAACTTATAAAGAAAAGAAATTTATTTCTTACAGTTATGGAGGCTGAAAAGTCCAAAATTGAGGGGCTGCATTTGGCGAGAGGCTTCTTGCTGAAGGGGACTCTCTCCAGAGTCCCAAGGCAGTGCAGGGCATCACATAGTGAGGGGGCTGAGGGTACTAGCTCAGGTCTCTCTTCCTCTTCTTATAGAGCCACCAGACCCACTCCCAAGATAACCAATTAATCCATTATTCTATGAATAGATTAATCCATTCATGAGGACAGCTCTCATGAACCAGTCACTCCTTAAAGGCCCTACCTGTCAATACTGCCACATTGGGGATTAAAATCTCAACATGAGTTTTGGACAGGAGAAACATTCAAAGCATAGCACCCTCTCTGGCTCTTTCCCTTTTGGGATTTTTCCCATTCTCTTCAGTGTTCAATTTTCATACATTTACTTTTATGTTTCCCCAGGCCAGAAAGAATGCAGAGTTTTGCACATGTGCCCCCAACCATTGCTGTGCACATCCACGTGCTACAATTAGTCCCAGGCTAAAAGCTACAGAGATGTGAACCTACTTGTATAGCTCCCCATCTCCCTTCCTCCAAGTGAGGAGGTACTCCTCATCAGAGTCTGCGTCTGTTCACTCTCAAGCCCTTCAGGTGGTTGTTTTTTGTAGTATATCTAGGTTTTATGATTATTTACTATGGGGTACATAAGTGTGGGGGTCACCAAGTAGGGTCTTCGTCCATCTTACCCAGAAGTGGAAGTTTGTCATGAATTGGTCCGCAGAGCACTTTGAATAGTCCTGGCCTAAACCACTGTCTCAATGATGGCCCCATTCAGAATGGCATTTGCAAGTTTCTCTTCCATAGTTTTCTACCAGATGTTTATAAGTGAGGTTCAATACCAGATAATGTCAAAACTAATAGAGGAATTCCCAGTTCAGGCAGAGGGAGCACAAAGTGCCAATAATATCCAAATATTGTTTGGTACTGATTGACTTGACAAAGCTCATTTCACAAAAAACCGTTCTGGCTTTTACAGACTGTTCTCAATGGATTTCCCTTCTTTCCTGTCAATGGATTTTCTTTCTTTGCTGGCCTTTGACTTTCTGTGATCTTGGCTGCTGGGAAGTATAAGGCAGAGGAAGTCCTTAGGCAGGAGATAAACCTGGGCCTGTTCCTACAGAGGTGGTCTTTTGAGAGTCCTGGGGTCACTAGTTGGGACAGCAGAAGGCAAAAGTCCCAGGTAGTGTTATGATGGTTTGGAGCAGAGCCATGTCATGAATATTTTAATTTTTTATTTTAAACCCTATGAGACATTGTTGCTTTATGATTGTTTTGTACTTTGGATGTTCATTTAGATGAAGCGGATGGTAAATACCATTCTCAGTCTTCTTTATTCCTTTCTGTGTCTCTCATCTTCCATCTGGGATTGTTTTTGTCTCTAATTCACACTCTTTTGTATTTCCTTTACCATGGATCTGTTGGCAGTTATTTTTATTTTTCAGCACATCCAAGATAGCATTCCACTATTTTGGTTTCCAGTGTTTCTGTGGAGGATACAGCTTACTGAATCCTCACTCCTTTAAAAATAAACTGTCTTTTTATTCCCCTGTGGCTTCTTATCAGATTTTGTCTTTGTCTTTTTGCATAACTTCACTAGATGTGAATATATGGTGTGTTTATATTTAGATGTCTTTTCGTGTATTCTGCTTTCTATTCATTGAGCTTCTTGAATCTGTGGTTTGGAATCTTTCATCAGTTTTGGCAGATTCTCAGCTATTCTCCTAGGTATTGCCTCTGTTACAATTACATGTGTTAGACTTTCTCAACTTATTTTCTGCATCTCTTAGCTCTTCTGTATTTTTTGTATTTTAATTTCTTCATTCTGGATAGTTTCTTTCTAAATCTTCCAGTTCATTTATTCTCTCTTTAGGTCTCTCTAACCTGTTTTAATCCCATCAATTGAGTTGTTACTGTGTTATTTCTAATTTCAGTTCCAGAATTTCTATTTATTTATTATATAAATACACTATTTCACTTTTTATAGTTCAATACCTTGCTTGGACTTTTGAACTATTTCTTTTTTCTTTTTTGAGATGGAGTCTCACTCTGTTGCCCAGGCTAGAGTGCAGTGGCGTGGTCTCGGCTCACTGCAACCTCTGCCTCCTGGGTTCAAGTAATTCTCCTGCCTCAGCCTCCCAAGTAGCTGGGATTACAGGTGCATGCCACCGCGCCCGGCTAATTTTTTGTATTTTTAGTAGGGACGGGGTTTCACCATGTTGGCCAGGCTGGTCTCAAATTCCTGACCTCATGATCTGCCCACCTCAGCCTCCCAAAGTGCTGGGATTACAGGCGTGAGCCACTGCGCCTGGCCGAATTATTTCTTTGAACATAGTAAACCTGTTGTGTCATTGCCATGTTCCATTCCAATAGCTTAAGTTTTTGTGGATCAGTTTCTGTTGTATGTTGCTTCTGCTGGTTCTTATAATTTCTGGTTTCCCTGTAGAGTGAGTTATTTTTGTGTTGTTCACTCTATTTGAGAAGTATTTGTAGAAATAATTTGATGCTTAGGATGGCACATTCTTCCAAAGATGGTTTTCATTTGCTTCTGTCATGTGTCTAAATGTGCCACCATTCTGGGTCTGTCTTAATCCCAATTCAGGTGTTTTGGTTCCTTGGATCAACCAGGTGACAAAGAGGTTTTTGAAATATTTCATTTGGGTTTAAAATAAAAGTTTTTCTCATTCAGAGGATAGCTTTAAATAACTTGGCGTGACATTACCAGAAGTGAAGCTTTTTCTGTTTTATGAAGCTTCTTGTATAAGGCAGGGATTACATCTTTTCTCCATGTTTGGTAGAACCATATATAAAGTCAGCTGGTTTGAGGCTATATTTTGGTGCTTCATTTTCTGGAATGTATTTCCACCTTTGTTTGTCTAGTGCTCATACAATTATTTAAGATTCAGCTTACATGGTTTCTCTAGTTGTATTTCTTCATCTCTCCAGCTTCTTAGCTCTTTATACATCTTTTTTCTGACATGATTTATTATGCTATCTTATCAGTATATATTTCTGTTTTCCTTTAATAGACTCAGAGGTTATTCATGACTAAGGTATTATATTATTCATCTTCATAAGACTAGGTTCTAATATAGTCCATGATAGATGCTCAAATCTTCTGGTTAAATTGAAATATGAAAAATAAAATGTAAAATGGATTGGTAACAATCATAAGGAATAGCTTAATAACTTTACAAATTACATAAAAATAATTGATCCCCACAAGGCAACTATTACTAACATCAGAATCATCACCTCAAATACCGGTAGTCTATTGTCAGTCACTTATTACCAATTATATCTTGACCGTACTCACGATTTCCTACGTGTTTCCTACTGTTTCTCATTTGCCCAACTACCTAACAGCTTTTGATCTCCTTGCCCACTTCGTTCTTTCTACTTTCTCACTTTTACACCACACAGTTCGCTGTTAACACGTATTGAACTAAGCTAAATATATGACAGACTCTGAATTGACTATCATCAAATCTTCCCAACAATTTAATTAAATAGGTGCTATTACTATTCCATTTTACAAATGAAAAAAAAAAGGCTTAAAGAGATGGTTACTTGTCCAAGTTCAGGTGCTAAGAGATAAAAGAGGGATTCACATCACCCAGGTCTGTCTGACTCCAGAGCTCATGTTCTTTACCAGAAGTTGGCAAACCTTTTCTAAAAAGAACCATATAGTTAATATTTTAGGCTTTGGAGGCCATACAGTCTCTGTAGCAACAAGTCAATTCTGCCACTTTAGTGCCAAAATAGCCACAGAGAATATGTAAATGAATGACTATGACAGTTTCTAACACAATTTTATTTACGAAAATAGGTGGCGGGAAGAGTTTGGCTCATAGGTGATAGTGTGCCAATCCCTGCTCTGAACAAGTACACTACTCTGTTATTTTTTTCTCCTTTTTCTCAATCTCCAGAGTTTTCCATTCAACAGATATTGATAGCATTGCTTCTAAGCACAGGGCTGGGATGAAGATGAGAAAATCCCTGCCTTGAGGGACCTCAGATGTGGAAGAGGAGGGCATAAACACACATCTATAGCACAGGCTGACTATGGAAAGTCAGTGCCAAAAGAGAGGCACAGGCTGACCAGAGATTCTTCTGAAGAACACATGAGATCTTGTGGAGTTGGTGATATATGACAAAAGCTTTCTAGCAAGAGCATCGTAGGCAGAGATGCTAAGAAGGATGTTTCCAACAGAAAAGCCAGCAGAAGCACACATTTTTCTATCCACTTGTCACTTATCTTCTACTCAGTCTCTCTTTTTTTTTTTTTTTTTTTGAGACAGAGTCTCGCTCTGTTGTCCAGGCTGGAGTGCAGTGGTGTGATCTCAGCTCACTGCAAGCTCCGCCTCCCAGGTACACACCGTTCTCCTGCCTCAGCCTCCCGAGTAGCTGGGACTACAGGTGCCCACCACCATGCCTGGCTAATTTTTTGTATTTTTAGTAAAGACGGGTTTCACCTTGTTAGCCAGGATGGTCTCGATCTCCTGACCTCATGATCCACCCGCCCTGGCCTCCGAAAGTGCTGGGATTACAGGTGTGAGCCACCGCACCCGGCCTCATCTTCTATTCTCTTTACCAGTATTCACTTACTTCCTCTTTCTTTTCCTTGCCAAAATCATATGCACTTTGGTCCAAATCTGTTTTTGCCTTGCACCTCATCTACTTTCTTCTCTGATTTTCTTTTTTGCCTTCCTTCCTTTTCTTTTCTTTGTATTTACTTCCTTCTTGATTACTGAGTCATTGCTGATTCAATTCTTCTGCAGTGGGCTCAAGGTACAAATTTATATCACAAATTTCATTTGAAGTCGAATTCACGTACATCAACATGGTGGCATGTTCATCTGGTTTGTCTAAGTCAAACAGCTATATAACATTAACAATGTCATTTAGCCCTAGTGAAATATTAACTTGGTTCTGTCAATTCAGTCAAGGTTGAAATCCTCTAGTCGATTTTGGGCAGTCAATAACATCCACTGTTTGACCAGTTTAATTTCCTTTCGTTTCTCTTATGCGTATTTCTACTTTTTGTCTGTCCTGTTAATCTCTCTGTTTTAATCTTTTCCCTTATAATTTTTCTTCTTTTTCCATCAGCCTCCTTTTCTGTACTTTTTGGATTATTGCACTTCTTCTAGAGGCATGCTATCTCCTTTCTCCTTTCTGCAGATATATATATATATATATATATATATGTATATTTATTTATTTATTTATTTAGAGATGGAGTCTTGCTCTGTCACCCAGGCTGGAGTGTAATGGCGTGCTCTCAGCTCACTGCAACCTCTGCCTCCCAGGCTCAAGTGATTCTCCTGCCTCAGCGTCCTGAGTAGCTGGGATTACAGGTGCCTGCCACCATGCCTGGCTAATTTTTTTCTGTATTTTTAGTAGAGATGGGGGTTTCACCATGTTGGCCAGGCTGGTCTCAAACTGCTGACCTCAGGCGATCTGCCTGCCTCCGCCTCCCAAAGTGCTGGGATTACAACCGTAAGCAGGCATGAGCCACCGCGTCCGGCCTCTGCTGATATAGTTAAAAAGATTCTTTGTTCATTAATTCAACTTTTATTGAGCAATTACCACATAGTAGGTCTTTTTCTAGGTGCTGGGCTGGAGATACAAAAATAACCAAAAGAGACAAAAATCTCTACCCTTGTAGAGCTTACATTCTAGTAGTAAGTGAAATAGATAAGCAACAATAAACAAAATAGAAAAGTAAGTTATATATCAAGTATTAAGTGCTATGCGGAAAATTCCTGGGGATCAGGAATTTGGGTAGCCTGTTACAATTTTAAATAGATTGATCAGGAAGGTTGTTAAAAGATCATTTGAACAGGTAGTTGAAGGAAATAAGGAAGCAAGTCATGGAGATGTTTGTGAGGAGTTGTTCTATACAAAAACAAAAACAAAAACACCAGCATATACAAACTCCTAAGGCAGGAGAGTTCTTTTCCTGGTGGAGTTATGGGATTTAAAAAAAAAAAAGGAAAAACAAAACTTTATCTGAGGAATATGATCTCCTTTAAATGATCGGGCCTAGAGAAGCATTGGAATGAAACACCAATCATGTCTCTCCTCCTTGAGCTGAATACTTACCTCTTTTCAAAAGGAATTATTACTATTTTTTAAAGACAGGGTCTCTCTCTATTACCCAGGCTGGACTGCAGTGGTGTGGTAATAGCTCACTGAGGCCTTCAACTCCTAGGCTCAATGAATCCTCCCATTTCAGCCTCTGGAGTAGCTGGGACTATTGCCATGTACCACCATGCCTAATTTTTTAAAAATTTTTTCGTAGAGATGGGGGGTCTCACACTATGTTGTGCAGGCTGGTCTCAGACTCCTGGGCTCAAGCAATCCTCCTGCCTCAGCCACCCAAAGCACTGAGACTACAGGCATGAGCCACCATGCCTGGCCTAATTACCTCTTGAAGCCACATTCTATTTGGCCTCTAGACGAACTGATGTCAACTAGCTACACAATGGCATACAATCTATAGTTCAACATTGTACAGCCAATCATTAACCAACATTATTTCTTAAACCAATGAGAATTCATGACAAACAACCTTTTAAATCACCCTCTCTCCTGATTCGTCCTTTTTTCTTTAAAAAGTTGAGCTTCTCTTTCGTTCTCCAGAGCACTCCCCAAGGCAACTTGGATGTGTGTCCTGGACTGCAATGCTCACGTTGGCCCAAATAAACTCTTTATATTGATTTTACCTCAGCTTATTCCTTTTAAATAGACAGAGGACAATAAGGAGGTCAGTATGGCTGAAGCACAATGGAAGAGGAAGAGGCTAGTAGATGTGATTAGAGCCCACAGGGGCTGGAGGTGATGGCGAAGGAGGAGGCAGGTCATTTAGGGGCTTTTCTATTGGAAGAACTTGGCTTTTACTCTGAGTGAAATGGAAATCCCTTAGAGGGTTTTGGGCAGAGTTAAATGTTGAAATATTTTTTAAACGATCTAAAACGTAAGGAAGCAAGAGCAGAGGCCAAAAGACCAATCAGGAATATATTACAATATTCCAGGCAAGAAGTATGAATATTATAGGGAATGTTTTTCTGGGAATGTTACATTTGAGAATAAGAAAACTAAAGGCCAGGTTTTTTTGTTTGTTTGTTTGAGACAGAGTCTCCCTCTGTTGCCCAGGCTGGAATGCAGTGGTATGATCTCAGCTCAGTGCAACGTGTGCCTTCCAGGTTCAAGCAATTCCCTTGTCTCAGCCTCCCAAATGGCTGGGACTACAGGCACCCGCCACCATGCCTGGCTAATTTTTAGTAGAAAGGGGGTTTTGCCATGTTGGCCAGACTGATCTTGAACTCCTGACCTCAAGTGATCTGCCCGCCTCGGCCTCCCAAAGTGCTGGGATTACAGGCATGAGCCACCGTGTCTGGCCTAAAGATCAGGATTTTGGTGCATAACAAGTACATTTTACTATCCTGTGCTCCTCAAGGGAAAATTAAGAGATTTTTGCCCTGTTAGCTTAAGGAGTGTTAAACATTTTGCATTGTCTTGAGCACTGCTACTAATAAGTGATCTAATACCTGGCACATAGTACACCGCAATATTCGTGGAATGAATAAATACATACTCAATTAAATGGGTAAACTGAATGACAATATCAAGTAACTTGCTTGTGCAGCAGCATTCATTTCCCTCCCTCCTTTTTTTTTTTTTTTTTTTTTTTTTTTGATACAGGGTATCATTCTGCCACCCAGGCTGGAGTGCAGTGGTGTGATCACAGCTCACTGCAGCCTCGACCTCCTGGGCTCAAGTAATCCTCCTGCCTTGGCCACCCAAAGTGCTGGGATTACAGGCATGAGCCACCATGCCCCACCAGGATTCACTTTTTCTGCATACTCTGGTGGTGTTTATTGTTATCTTTACATTTTATTTAGCAAAGAATGTTAAAAGCGCCATGTTATAAGCACACTCCTACCCTCCAAGCAGAATGTAAAGGGTATGTATTTATATATTTTAAGTGGTCCCACAGCAATTTGTACAGTTATAGCAGTTCACAACTATACTCAGTTATGTTTGCTTCTCTCCTTCTCAATAGTCTGTGAGGTTCCTTCAGGTTTGGAACTGTCTTTTATTAATCTTTACATCTCCAGCACCTAGCGCAGGGCTTAGCAACAATTTTTGTTGAAAGTATATACACTGTAATAAAGGGCAGTGGAAAGAAAATATGTGAGTTATCAACACCAGCTAGAGAAGCCTTGTCTGATTCCTGTGAAATATATTCATTTCCCTTAGGAAAAAAAACAATTCTAACCCTATTGCTGTGTAACTTAGCTTCTTGACTTCGAACGGTATTTTAAGGCTTTGAGGAGCTGGAGCAATGTATACTCACTAGAGGCAAAGTGCCTGGTAAGTGGTCTGGTATTGATCAGCAATGATCAGTAAGTACTGGGAAGTGCGTTTTCAGGGCCTGAGACTTGCAAGCTAGTGACAGACCGCTCCAGCTTCCAGTGGACCCGGGCGGGGGCACTGATCAACCCACTTGAGCAGTGGGATCAAGGTCTTCAGCCTTAGCAGTGGGAGCCTCTGCCCGGCCCCCTTCGTTCCCGAGACCCTCAGTCAGCGTCTCCTCCCAAGAGGGTCCCCTCCACCCAGAATGTCCTCCCCTGGGGGAGACCACTCTGTCTGCGGGCCCCCTCCCACAGGAGGGCCCCTCTTCCTCAAGGTGAACCTCTGTCCCCGATACCCGCTCCCAAGACCGAGACCTTGTTACGGCCCCACCCTCCACAGGCCCCTTACCCCCCGGATCCCCTCCCCTGGGGGAGACCCCTCTGTCCGCGGGCACCCTCCTATAGGACGCGCCCCTCTTTCTCAGGGTGAACCTCTGGTTCCCGATACCCGCTCCCAAGACCGAGACCCTGTTACGGCCACATCAACACAGGTCCCCCTCCCCCCGGCGTCCCCTCCCCTCGGAGGAGCCCCGTCTGCGACGCTTCCCAGTCAATCACCCCCAGCATCCCTCCCCGCTCTCACCCAGAACTTCCGCCGCGCCCCCTCCCCTCAGGCGGGACTTCCGCCGGCGCCCCCTCCCCCGCGGCGCCGTCTCCTCCTCCCGCCTGAGGCGAGTCTGGGCTCAGCCTAGAGCTCTCCGGCGGCGGCGCAGCTTCAGGGCAGCGCGGGCTGCAGCGGCGGCGGCGGTTAGGGCTGTGTAGGGCGAGGCCTCCCCCTTCCTCCTCGCCATCCTACTCCTCCCTCCTCGTCATCCTCCCCCTTCGTCCTCCTCGCCTTCCTCCTCCTCGTCAGGCTCGACCCAGCTGTGAGCGGCAAGATGGCGGCGCCCAGGCCGCCGCCTGCCAGGCTGTCGGGCGTCATGGTGCCGGCGCCCATCCAAGACCTGGAGGCCCTGCGCGCGCTCACGGCGCTCTTCAAAGAGCAGCGGAACCGGTAACGGGTCCGGCCGGGGGGCTGCCCCGGGCAGGGGAGGGCGGCCGGGACTCCCGCGGCGGCCCCGGCCTGGACCCAGGCGCCGCCCCCGCCTCGCTGGAGACGCGGAGGGCGAGGCCTGCGCGGGCTGCCTGAGCGCCACCCAGGCCTCCCGACTCCCAGGCACCGCCTCGTGCTCGTGGGTCCCCGCGGGGCCTGGGGCGGGCGCCCCGCTCCCCCACCGCAGCCAGTCCGGGTGCGAAGCCGCGATCCCGGGAGCCCTTGCCGCGGCGTGCCGGTGATGTTGACCCAACACACGGTTAGGCCTCCCCTGTCATGTGCGAGGGCTGCGCCAGGCCCTGGCTGCAAGACCCACGCGGCCCCCAGAGTCATAAAGCGTGTGTTTTAGCGGGAGAGACCCGTGTTACGGACGCGGGAATTGGGCAGTTGCGGGGATGGCAGTCTCTAGGCATGGAGTGGGACTGGCACTCCTTTCTCCTCGGCGTTAGAGCCCAGGCTGCACCATCTGCCCTGGGGGCAGCGCTCTGTGCAGTGTGGAAGAGCACGGGCCTGGAGAGACCAGTCCAGTCCTGATGCCACTGAGGGGCAAGATAGCCAGGCAAAAAGAGAAGGTGCCCAGGAGTCGACAGTTGTGGATTTGGTTCCTGGCCTTGCAAGCTGCGTGTTACTGTGCAGTTTCTCCAGGCCTTAGAATTCTTGTCTAAAAATGGGACTATAATACACAGCTTAGTTGCTGGATTGTACAGAGGAATAAATGAAATAAAGTACGTGAAAATATAAAATGTGCGAAGCCCTCAGTCAATGCTTGTTTGATCTTGTTCTGTCCTCTGGGCCTCAGTTTTCTTGTCTATTTAATGGGAGTAAAGTTGAACAGTACCTCCCTGGTGATAGTGTCATAAGGAGTAAATGAGATATAATGCATATTAAATCCTTAGGACATACCTGTACATAGCACTAAATGTAGCTGATATTATCACTTAACACATTGATTGGTAGTTACCCATGTATCAGCTATTGTGCTAGGTGATGGGGTAGGAAAATGGAAAGTCCTTGCTCTCTCCTGTACTAGTATGTACAAGATAACACAGCTGTGGGGGTATGTATGTACAAAGCAGAGGGAACATTGAAGAAAGAAATACTGAGACTTGGGTCAGCCTAGGTGATCACTAGAGGACTTCCTCTCTTTAAACTAGACACCTGGTCTGAGCACTTCCTTTACCTCACATCACTTTGGGAAATGTGGAGCTGCTGAAGGAATGCTATTAATAAAAGTCCCTGGTACTGCTCTATGGGCCTTTGGGGGAGATGTATTTATTGATTTAATGCTTAGGCATTTCTGTATCATGATGGACCCTCCTTTTAGTTAATAACCCAGTCATCAACCATTTATTGAGCACCTACTATGAAACAGATTTTTTTGTTGGGGTCTGAGGGTACAGAGAGGAATGATGTGAGTGATCCCTTTTATCAGGCATATTTGGGAAATAGCTAAATAAACACATTGTAATGGAAATCTATACAAGAGGTGGTGGCACAGGGGAGCATGTGGATATGTTGGAAGATTGGCGAGCCAGGAGAGGCTTTTTAAGGTTATTTCAGGTGCTCGGTTATAGATGAGAGGACTAGAGGGAACAGTGTCTGCAAAGGGGCCATATGTTAATTTTGCAAAACCGATGAGACAATTAAGTAACATAGATAAGGTTTCTCGTACAGAAGAGACATTTAGTCAGACATCAGTTCCCTTTTTATAACTTGGAGAAAATCCAAGCCCCTGAGCCAGTTTAGAAGGCCCTTCTTGACTCTATCTCTTGTGAGGGAAGAAGTTACAGAGAACCATTGATGGTTTTTGTCAAGGGAGTGGCGCGATAAGATCTGCCTGTTAGATCTTCCTGGCCGCCTCCGCCTCCATTGTGGGGAATAAATGAGAGGACGAAGCTAGAGACAGGGGGGACCTTTAAGGAGTGGTAGCGGAAGCCCATGTGAAAGAGAAAAGTGCCTAAATTAGGACATTGTGGGGATGAGTAGAATAAATACTGAGAGATACAAGGTTGAATGGACAGGACTCGGACCAGTTGGATTGTGGGGGGGAGAATGAGGAAATGAGGATGCTTCCCAGATTTCATCTGAGTTCTGGGACAGTGTCCTTGTTCCAGGCAGAGATTGGAGACCAGGAAAGGTGAACTGATGTGCAGGTCCTGGCATGGAAAGACACAGTTGTGTGGTGGTGCAGAGAACTCATGATCAGGGTTTATAAGGACAGGCTTCTGGTCCTGGTTCTGTCACTGCTTCTCTTTGTCTTTGGACAAATTATAAGGGTCTTGTGGGGCTGGGCCCAGACTCCTGCTCCTCTGAGAGGATCCCTCCAGTTCTGATGCTCAGGGAGCCAGTGTTTGTCCTTGGGGGTCTCCTCTTCAGAGAGGACATAGGGCTGTTGTCTAGTATGAACAGGAACACAGATGGATCCAGGGGGAGGATGGGCCAAGGTGTTAGAAGGTGGACGAGACAAAAAGCCAGGCAAAATGAGTCCTCAGTGTAGCAAATAGAAAACAGCAGACAAAAAGCAAAAACAGTGAGGAAAGTAATTAAGAGATTCTTCTCTTTTGGTGGAATACATTATTTCTCTAGGATTCCATTTTATATTTGAAGAATCATAGACATAATGTAGTTGGTGGTCCTTCTGAGCTCTTCCATGCTACAAAACAAACTTCTGTCAGTGGTAGCTTGAGTAATAGAAGTGTCATGCAGTGGGAAGAGCAGTGGCTTTGGAACCATGGAGACCTGGATGTGAATCCTGGTTTAGTTTGTGAGGCTTCTTGTTTCTTTCCTTGAAAACGGGATGATGGTAGCCACTTTGACAGATTATTTTGAGGATCTGTAATATTATATGTGTAGCATAGTGGTTTATGCATAGTAAATGCCATTTATTTAGGACCTGTTATTAAAATATAACAAGGTTGTAAGTGACCAAGAATCCATTTGTGTTGAATCTCCTGTCTTATCAGAAACAAAAATTGCAGCTATTTCAGGAAGACAGTTCTAATTTTGGGGTTTCCGGAGAAGGGGATCTCAGGATCTCATTACAATTTTAGCAGCCCCCAAGTGAAAAGAAATTCTTACATCCCATTGTGGGAATTTTAAATATGTCCACAAATTCTTTGATACTCTGACCTTCTCAAGAGGAGGAGGTTAATTCTTTTCTCCTTGAGTGTGGGCTGAACTTAGTGACTTGCTCCTGAAGAGTAGAATATGGTAGAAGTGACAGTGTGCGACTTCTCAGACTAGGTCATAAAAAGCATCGTAGTTTCCTCTTTGCTAGCTCTTTCTTGAATCACCCACTCTGACAAAGCCAGCTGCCATGTCATGAGGACACTCAAGCATCCATATGCAGAGAGCTGTGTGGTGAGGAGCTGAGGCCTCCTTTGAACAGCCATGTGATGAACTACCTTGGAAGCAGGTCCTCTGAGCTCCAGTCACATCCTCAGCCACGTGTGCAACCTCATGAGACACCCTAAGCCTCTCAGATCTGTGTGAGATCATAAATGTTATTGTTTTAAAATGCTAAATTTTGGGCTAATTTGCTATGTAGCAATACATCATTAATACACCAGTCTTAATTCTCCATGCTGTGTATTAAATGCATTCTGTAACCCACTTCTTAAACAGTGTCTTGGTCACTAAAATAATTTAAACATATTGCTTATGGTCATATAATATCAGTATTGAGATATTCCTCAGCTGTTTCTTCTCTGTGTAAGATAATTCTTTTTTCTCACATTTGTTTTATACTTTTTGTTTAATGTAGATATCACCGTATTTCACATTTGTTTAACAAGTGATTTATCTTGCTGTGAGTCTTTGCAAGTCATGTTAAATTCTTTCTGAACAAGTAAGACAAACATTTAAAATTCTATTTTAGTTGCTCCTTTAATTATTTTTCTTTTTTTTTTCCGAGACAGGGCCTCACTTTGTCATCCAGGTTGGAGTGCATTTTTTCTAGAGAAGGGGGTCTCACTATGTTGCCCAGGCTGGTCTCGAACTCCTGGCCTCAAGTGATCCTCCTGCCTCGGCCTCCCAAAGTGTTGGGATTACAGGCATGAGCCACCGTACCTGGCTAGTTGCCTTTATGATGCATCCATGAGGCATCTCCAGACCCCACAAAGTGTAGAGCCAGGTGAGATGGGTTGTCATACTCCATCTGTGCTGTTCATTAAGTAGCCACTAGCTACATGTAGCTACTTAATTAATTGAAAATAAGTAAAATTAATGTTTCATTTCCTTAGTTGCATTAGCCATATTTTTTAATTTGTTTTTTTTTTTTTGAGACAGTTTCACTCTTGTTGCCCAGGTTGGAGTGCAGTGGTGTGATCTTGGCTCACTGCAACCTTCGCCTCCCGGGTTCAAGCGATTCACCTGCCTCAGCTTCCCGAGTAGTTGGAATTACAGGCATACGCCACCACACCTGGCTAATTTTGTATTTTTAATAGAGACGGGGTTTCTCCACGTTGGTCAGGTTGGTCTTGAACTCCCGACCTCAGGTGATCCGCCTGCCTTGGCCTCCCAAAGTGCTGGGATTACAGGCATGAGCCACCGTGCCCTGCCCTTTATTACTATTTTTTTAGAGACAGGGTCTCACTCTGTTGCCCAAGCTGGAGTGCAGTGGCACGATCATAGTTCACTGCATCCTCGACTTCCTGGGCTCAAGCAATCCTCCTGCCTCCTTCCCCAGTAGCTGGGACTACAGGTGTACACCACCATGCCCAGATAATTTTTTTGTTTATTTTTTGTAGAGATGGGGTCTCGCCATGTTGCCCAGGCTGGCATTAGCCATATTTTAAGTGCTCATTGGCCACATGTGATGTGACAGCACAGATATAGAATATTTCCATCATCACAGAAAGTTCTGGAAATAGTGCTCTTCTGTAGTAAGTTTTCTATAGGGGAGATTGTATTTTGACTCTTGAGTATTCTTGAAATAATGGAACATTTGGATGCTGCTTTCTATAAATTCATCTCATACTTAAACTGATACCTCATTGGTCTTCCACCTGATGAGCTTCTTGAATGAAGTGGGCACATCACATTCACTGTATGCCTGGCATCTAGCATAGAGTTGATAGTGGCAGATGCTTATCAGTTTCTTGTGGAGTTGCTGCTATTTCTATAACTTATTACTCATTGCACTTGCTTGGTCTTTTTCTTAGTCGTGTAGACAGTAATTTTTTTTTTCAGCTTCTATCAGTATAGCTCATTTTTTCTCTTCAATCTGCTTAGACAAAATGAGGTTTTCGTTGGTGTTTAATTTAAAAATTAAAAAAAAATTCAGGCCAAAAGGTCTTAAAAAAAAAAAAAAGAAAAGGCAAGTCCTGGACTTAGAGAAGTATTTAAAATATATATGATAAAGAAGTTGTTTCAGAATATATGAAGTACTCCTACCTACAACTCAATAAAAAAGACTCCTACAACTCAATTTAAAAATTGGGCAAAATCTGTGCTTTACAAAGAAAAATAAAGGCCAATAAGCGTATGATAAAGTGCTCCAAATCACTAGTTATTAGGGAAATGCAGTTAAAACTTCAGTGAGAGACTACTGCATGCCGTTTAGGATGGCTATTATCCAAAAAATGGAAAAGAACAAGTATCGTTGAGGATGTGGGGAAATGGGAACCCTTGTGTGTTGCTAGTGGACATGTAAAGTGGTGCTGCTACTATGGAAAATAATTTGGTGGGTCCTCAAAAAGCTAAACATGGAATATGACCAAGCAGTTTTACTCTTAGGTATGTGCCCGAAGAAAATGAAAAAGGACAAATTCTGTATGATTCTGCTTTTATGAAGTACCTAGAACAGACAAACTTGTAGAGACAGAAAGTAGATTAGAGGTTACTAGGATTTGGAGAGAGGGGAAATTGGGAGTTACTGCTTCATGTTTACAGAGTTTCTATTTGGGTGTTAAAAAAAATTTTGGAAGTAGAGGTGATAGTTGTACAACATTGTGAATATAATTAAAGCCATTGAACTGTAGACTTAAAATGAACAACATGGCAAATTTTATGTTATATATATGTATTTTACCACAGTTAAAAAAATTAATAATACAATGTACCAAAATCCATTTAATTGTACGCTTTAAGTGGGTGACTTTAGTGTGCCACGTGAACCCTATCTCAATAGTGCTGTTATAAACAAATCCATAGTAAGGTGCCTCTGCATCCCTATTAGAATGGCTATAATGAAAATGAGTGACACTGAATTTTGGTGGGCATGTGAAGCTATATATTTATGATTTTTAAAAAGTCACATTGTTTGGAGTAGAGGGGATGTGTTTAAAATGTGAACTCCTCCCTCACTGCTATTTTTGTTTCATAATAAAATAGCCTTTTATGTATCTTTTTCCCTACTCAGTAGTGCCTTTCTTGAAGGGAGGGACTTTATGGTGTTTCTTAGCAGGGTGCCTGGCCCATTTTGGGTACTCTGTAAATGTTGAACTGAACTGAATAGAGCAATGAAGAGCCAGTAGCTCCAGTGAGCCAATCAGTAATTACTCAAATTGCTAAAATGCTATTGATTAGTTTACCATGTAATTCATTCATTGACTCACACCACACATGATACATGTAAGATCTGTGCTTAGTGCTGCAGCTGTGATTGATAGGATAAAATTAACTATGTGTAGCTTACTTTGAACTACTGACATAGGAGTAGCTCACATGCTATTAAATTATTAAATTTAATACATTTGTAATTTGCTAAAAATGTATATTTGTAATTTATATTTACAAAATAAATTTGTAAATTTGTAAATATAAATGTCTTAAGCCTTCATTCCTTTGCTTATACACACTCTTCATTTTCCCTCAAGGTTGAGTTACCATTTCACTTCCTTTTGAAAGCCGTTTCTGACCTTCAGGTGCTTTTGCCCTGTATTCCCTTGGCACTCTGTGCTTACCTCTTTCAAAGAACTTCACATAATCACTTAATTACCTACCAGTCTCACTAGAGTGAGAGCAGCCCGAGGCCAGGACTCTTATTTACCTCTGTTTTCAGTACCAACTTTCAGGCCTACCACATAATGAGCATCCAATAGTATTTTTATTATTTTCTTGAACACCTGATTTTCTTGAGCCATGAGAGAGAAAATGAGAGCATACAAGAAAGACTTTAATTAGGAGGGGACAGGAAACGTTAAATATGACAGATGACTGATTTCAAGGGGTAAAAAATGACTTGGTATTGTTACTTGGTTGTATAAATATGTTGACTAACCTTCATAAAGAAAGTGAATAGATTAAGCACTTTAGAGGTCAACATACCACAGAGGTAAAAAATAAACCTATCCATCTGTGTATACACACGCACATGGATTTTCCCCGGACATTACTGAGCCTCTGGGCAGCAAGTGTCTTTAACTACACCAAAACACACAAAAACCCAAAAAACAAAAACCCACACGAGTCGTCAGCTTGGCTGAGGACGCCATATGGCGTTTTGACTCAACCATGATTCAGCTCAACTTTGTTGAGAGAGAACATCAATTAAGTTACACTATAAAAAGCATATTTTAGAGTGTGCTGGCAATTTCCTTTATTTTTACCTATGCCATGAGCTGGAATGCTACATGGAATTGTTTGGTAAGGTGTTCTGACTCAGCTTCAAAATACAGAAGTGGTCAGTGTGAGCCACCTCATACATTCAATTATCTTAAATGCATGAAGTAGACAGGAAAGAGTTTGAGCCAGCCGAAATAAATAAAACCAATCGAAATAAATAAGGTTAGGATTGTGACCACCAGTACCCTCAGAGCAGAGTTTCTCAGCTCTTTCATTCTTCCAGTCTTTTGTAGTGGTCACTGGACCCAAGGGCTTGGTCACTGGACTGTGGGCAATGACACTCAAAAGCAAAGGAACTGTGGGACTACCAGTAGGGTGAGCTGGGCCCTGTGATGGCCACAAGCTTAGAGAAGTTATTAGAGTTAACGAGATGATCCATAAGTGGGGGATGCTCTTTCATTATAGCTATTGAGGAGTTTGTGTACTGCTTAGAACAGTGTCTGGCACCTAATAGACACAGTTTAAGTGTTAGCGTTTTCGTTGTTGGTGTCATTGTCATCATCATCATCAATGAGAATATTATAAAACTATCAAAAGACATTTAAAAAGACTTAAGTGGTAAGATACACCATTGTATTATAGGAAACCTCAATAACAAAGACATCAATACCTCCCAAATTGACCTGTGGATTCAATGCCATTCATAATAAAATTGCAGCAGGGTTTTTGCTAGAAATTCACACAGATTTTCTAAGTTATATGAGAAACTCCTAGGTTTTCTCTTACTCTCTGAACTGTCATCCCTTTAAGGCTTTTTTGTTTTTTTGAGATAGGGTCTCACTGTGTCACCTAGGCTGGAGTGCAGTGGTGCCATCACAGCGCCACCATGCCCCGCTAATTAAAAATTTTTTTTTTTTTTGGTAGAGATTAGCTCTCACTATGTTTCCCAGGCTGGTCTTGAACTCCTGGGCTCAAGTGATCCTCCTGCCTCAGCCTCCCATAGTATTGCGATTACAGGTGTGAGCCACTGTTCCTGGAACCCTTTAAGGTTTTTTTACATGAATCCTCTTCTGACTCCCCAGTTCTTAAGATCCTTCTCTATGCCCTCAGCAAAATTCCCTGTATCCTGAACTTCTGTAAACATCCATTCATCTTCTTGATCTAAATGAAATATGGCTCTGAGGACATGCCTTTCCCAGGGTTCTTGAAAGTGGGAGGCTGTTTTCTCTCCTGCACTCAGTACAATGCTTGGCTCAAAGGTGTGGTAGTTCTCCTTGATTGTCATTGCTGCTTTCAGACCTTTTTCCTCCATAGACCACTCCAACTTTTAATCTCATGACATCAGAGTATCCCTTGTTTAATCACTTTTGTGGTTAAAAGAGACCTTTGGGTCAGTCTGCCTCATTCCTTGAAGAGTTTAGCCCTGGCTCACTTTTCACTCTATTTCTTCTCCTGTCTTAAATCTTCGTTATTTCATTGTTTATATAGATTTTCCTTTCATTATCCTGACCTCGAATTTCTTTGACTTTCTCTCCCTTAGTGAGCTTGACCTCCATCCCATCTCAGACACACATTGCCATACCTTACTTAGACTTTATCCATAACTGTAGCTGCCTTCCCCCACAATCTCGAGTCCCAATCCCTGTTTTATCTTCTCTTTAGGGCCCTTGCTTCATCAAGTCTTTAACCTCACCAGGACCTACAGTCTTTTGACCCTATTTCCTATTTACTACCCCTTTTGTTTTTCATTCCCCTTCTTAATGTTCACATTCCCATCTTGATCTGGCTTAGATCCATGGATGAGTAATAAGAGCATTTTTTAATGTACATCCTCAACTCCACTGCCTCCTCTCTAAACTTTGTTATGTTTGCCTGGTAAAACTCCAGCTCTGGTCAAATCCAACTTGTTACCTTTGCGACAGTACCCAAATAGCTGAACAAGGCTAGAGAAAAACATACAGCCGTGCAGACTGCTCTCACTTTAACTTGCTGATCACTAACTAACGTGGCCCTTAATGCTACCTGTCAGTCCCGCTGTTTGCCCTGGTCCCTTGACTCTCCTGCTCCCCGAGTCAGGTATTTCATGCTCCACCCTCTTCAAACCTCCATCCCATCTCCCTCATCCTCACTCTCAGCTCTCTGAAAATAGGAGCAACTAGAAGATAATTTCCAGGAACTCTCATCACCCTCTCTGCCCACCTACTTGTATCTGTGCCCGTAGCCTGCCTTTGCTTCTGGTCTGTGGATTAGCGATCTTGCTCTGAATATGAGCTCCCCTTAAGTTTGCACTAAATTCCATTGCCTTTTGCACACATTGCTCCAGCAGTCTTCTTCTCTCCCCCCTTAAAAATCATCAGTTTTACCCTTTCTATTGGATTGCACTCATCAGTTTATAGATCTGCTGTAATTTTTCCATACTAAGAAAAATCTCTCCCTCCATTTCCCTGAGTGATAATCCTTCCCGGATCTCAGAACTCAGTCCTCAGACCTCTTCTCTTTTCTGCCTATATTTACTTTCAGAGTATTCTCACTCAATCTTGTGGCTTTAATAACTTCCGTTTGCTGGTGACTAACATTTTTCTTTAGCTGGACTTCTTTGTTTTTTTTTTTGAGACAGGGTCTCGCTCTGTCACCCAGGCTGGAGTGCAGGGGCACGATCTGCAGCCCTGACCTCCCAGGCATAAGCAGTTCTTCCACCCCAGCCTCCCTTGTAGCTGAGACTACAGGCATCCACCACCACACCCGGCTATTTTTTAAATTTTTTTTGTAGAGACAGGGTCTTACCATGTTGCCCAGTCTGGTCTTGAACTCCTGGCCTCAGGTGATCCACCCACCTTGGCCTCCCAAAGTGCTGGGATTACAGGCATGAGCCACTGCACCTGGCTTAGCTAGATTTTTCTCCTGAATGCTAGACTTGTTTATTCACCTGACTACTTCACATTCTACTTGTATTTCTACTGATCCTCTCATCCACCAGATATCCTCAGAGTACTCTTGTTTCTGTAAACAATAAATACATCTTTCAATTTATGGCTCAGGCTAAAGTTTTGATGTCATCCTTCACTCCCCTTTTTTAGACACCCTCATAAGAATCCATCATCAAGTCCTATTGGCTCTATCTTTAAAATATCCAGAATTTGATTTCTGTTTACCGTATCTGCTGCTTTCCCTCTGCTCCAAAAACAGCCCCCTAACTGGTCTCCTGCTGTCGTCTCTTTCTCCCTTTAAGATTGATTCTTTACAAAGCAGCCAAAGAGATCCTTTTAACATGTAAGTCAGATGATGTCACCCCTCTGCTCAGAACCTTCCATGGGCCGGGCACGGTGGCTCACGCCTGTCATCCCAGCACTTTGGGAGGCCAAGGCAGGTGGATCACCTGAGGCCAGGAGTTTGAGACCAGCCTGGCCAACATGGTGAAACCCCATCTCTACTAAAAATACAAAAATTTGTTGGGCATGGTGGCACATGCCTGAAATTCTACCTACTTGGGAGGCTGAGGCATGAGAATTGCTTGAACTTGGGAGGCGGGGGTTGCAGTGAGCTGAGATCCTGCCTCTGCACTCCAGCCTGGGCAACAGAGCAAAACTCTGTCTCAAAAACAAAACGAAAAAAAGAACCTTCCATGGCTTCACATCAGGATAAAAGCCAGCGTCCTTCCGTGGCCTACTGTGCCTGTCCAGGGTGGCTCTGTCTTGTCTCTCTGAGTCGCACTTCTCTTTTCTCACTGGGGTTCATTGAAGCCAGCCCTGACTTCCCTGTGACGTGCTCTGTATGCCTTTGCCTCTAGTCCAAGCTCTTCTCCCAGCAAGATGCATAGTTGGCTCCCTCACCTTCTTTGGATCTGTGCTTAAATACTACTTTTAAAATAAGGTTTAAATAATATCTTATGTACAAAATCTTTCTCTAAGCATGTAAAGACATTCTCCTTATATTTTCTTCCAAAGCCTTGCAATTTTGTCTTCCATGTAATTCCTAAATCCACCTGGAGTTACTTTTTGGGTAGTGTAAGTAAGGATCCAATTCAGTTTTTTTCTTTTTAGATTAACAGTTGTTACAGCACCTCTTCGAGCACAGTCCATCTTCCCCAGGTCTTTAATGCTATTGATAGATGCCATTTACCAAGTTACCATGTATACACAGTTCTGCTCTTGGGCTGTCTTTTCCAGTGGTTGACTTTCTGCCTCTGTGCTAATTTCACCTTTTCTTAGCTTCTCTTTCATTTTCTTCTCTTTTCATGTTTTCTTAGAGACAAGGTCTCGCTGTGTCACCCAGGCCTGAGTGCAGTGTTGTGATCATAGCTCACCATAGCCTTGAACTCCTGGGTTCAAGCAGTCCTTCTGCATCAGGCTCCCAAGTAGCTGGGACTACGAGGCACAGACCATCAAGCCCAGCTAATTAAAACAAGTTTTTTTGTTTTTTTTTTTTTTGTAGAGATAGGGTCTTGCTATGTTAGGCAGGTCTTGAACTCTCCTGGCTTCTGCCTCTCAAAGCACTGGAATTATAGGCATATGAACCACTGCGCCTGGCCGCCTTAGTTCCTTTCATTTAGCACAGTGCGTTTGTTCTGATGAAAGATGAATTTTCAATGTGATGAGGACAGTGGGAAAGAGGAAGTGTGTGGTTTTTGGGGAGTGGGGAGAGGACTGGTATGTTTGGAGCCCTTTAAAGCAGGGGTTGCCAGACCATGGCCAGATCTGGCCTACTACCTGTTTTTTTTATGACCCATGAGTTAAGAATGGTTTTTTACGTTTCTAAATGGTTGGGGAGATGATAAAGTTTCATGACACATGAAAATTATATGAATTTAAATTTTAGTTTCCACAAACAGTTTCATTAGAGCCCAGCCATGTTCACTTGTTTAGGTGTTTCCTGTGGCTGCGTTTGTGCACTGGGGGAGTTGAGAGTGTGACAGAGGCTGTTTGGCCATCAGAGCTGGAAATATTCACTCTCTGACCCTTTACAGAAAAAGTTTGTGACCCTGCAAAATGGATTGGTCTGGGTTGTCAGGACGGCTTCGGAATCCTGGATGTGACAGAAGAGGAGAGAAGAGTGTGAAAAGAAGTTTTGAGTTCTGCGCAGATTTCAAAATTTTACCCTAGGCTGTTTGTGGCAGGAGATACAGATGTTTTTATTTTCTGTTTTTGTTCAATCCTGCCCAGTCAAATCAGCAAGATTATGGTTTTAGATAACAACCAGTGATTGTTGTTTTAATCTGTGAACTTGTGTGGATTTTAATAGTTTTTCTCACTGGCAGTTGTTAAACTACTCTAAACCACATATGCCAGTTTTTAAGTAAATCTAAGGTATTAGAATAAATCTTTTAACAAGTATGAAGGTCTTAGTTGTAGCATTACAATGACTAGCATGTAGCTTTTTTTTTTTTTTCAGTAGGAGGTCCCACCTGATGATTGAACTGTAAAATGTGTGTGCATACAGTATATTAGACCTATCTAACCTGTTACATATAATCACAGGTAGTTTTCTTTAATTTTACTCAAACAGAACTTGCCAAGATTAAACCCTACAGATCTGTTCAAACTTGAGGGAAATGAAATTCTACCTTTTGTATAATTCAAAGGATTTTTTTGGTTCTGTAATGTAACATTTCATTTATACATTGTCTTCAGGGTATGCATTCCTTTGTAATAGGAATGTCTAACGGTTGAATTTTAATTGTCCTTGTAAGTACTTTCCGCCTTCTGTGAATGAAGTAGCTAAGCTTTTTAAAGTCGCTGTACATTTTTTGTTAGTTTGGTTAAAGCAGAAATGACAGCAGTTATTATTAATAACTTTTGTAATATTGGAGTGATTGATCTTTACTATTTCATTGTCGTTAATCATTACACATATTTAGCTGCATTGTCTTGACAGTGAACGTAGATTTTGCAGACAAGAGTATACTAGGACTATTCTGGATCTGTAATGCCAAATAGTTTTCTTTCAAGGCTGTAGAGAAGGTAAAGATGTATAGAAGAGTTAAATGCTTTCATAGTATTTACTGTTACTGAATAAAAGCTTCTTTGTCCTCATCTGATGAAAGTTGTTGACATATTATATTGTATAAAAATATGGTGAATAGAAGCTATAGATATTTATTATATGACTCTAGAGGAAGAGTTTTACTGACACCATTTATAAAAGGAAACACATCTAAAACATGTTCTTTGCTCTTAAGAAATTTAAAATACAGTTAATTGGGTTATAACTCCTCCCAGACCCTCAAGCTTATCCACTGTATCATTTAATGGGAAAGGAGAAATTCGATGTTTGCTTAACAGCAGTCATAAAATATCTATATGATATTCACATCTTAAAATCTGACACGTTTTTAAGTTTCTGAGTAGAGATTATATGGATTTCTTAATGGGAAAGGGAGGGTTGAGCTGATGCCTCACTTTCCCCTTTCTGTTGCTGACTCAAAGGGTACTGATTTCACTGCCTATGTCAGGCTTGATTCCTGGCTCTGAGCACAAGCTCTGTAAGTGCTTGGATTACATAGCAAGGCTGTGATGCAGTCAGGGGCCACTTTTGAGTGTGCAAACAGTCTCATCACTGTTTAAAACTTGAACAAATTCAATTAATGGGTGCCAATTCTGGGCCCTAGAGATACAGAAAAGAATAAGATAGTCTCCATTTTTCAAGGACTTAACAGTCTAGCCGGGGAGATAGGTTATATAAATCTTATCTGATGTGGACAAGTTATTCCAGTCTTATGAACAGATCTCCAGGGCTTCATAGAGGGAGTCTGTTTGTCTGGAAAAGTGGAGGAGTTTCTCCAGGTCTGAGTTTCCCAAAGGTTTGAAAGGAGATGCAGGCCAGGCGCAGTGGCTCACGCATGTAATCCCAACACTCTGGGAGGCCGAGGCGGGCAGATCACGAGGTCAGGAGACCGAGACCAGCCTGACCAAAATGGTGAAACCCTGTCTCTACTAAAATACAAAAAAATTAGCCGGGCGTGGTGGCATGCACCTGTAGTCCCAGCTACTCAGGAGGCTGAGGCAGAAGAATCACTTGAACCCAGGAGGTGGAGGTTGCAGTGAGCTGAGATCACGCTACTGCACTCCAGCCTGGGCAACAGAGCAAGACTCCATCTCAAAAAAAAAAAAAAAAAGGAGATGTAAGTTTCTCCCAGGCAGAGGATTGGGAGATTTGGAGAGGACTTTCTTCTGGTGGTGAGATATGTTTGAGCAAAGACAGAAGATTGGCGAAATCGGGGGTTTTCAGGAATCCATGGTTTACAACCTGGGGAGAGCATATGACAGTGATCACAGCTCCACATTATTTTTTCTTTATACTGCAAACGCGAATTATTGTGTGCCAAATAGATGCTGTCATGATTACTCTTTAGTCGCTATTAATAGTTATTTGGATTTCAGGAATGTTTTGGTTGGCCTTAGCTCAGTTAAATGCTTTTCATTTGGTTAAAATTATTATAAGGGCATGGTGCATATATAACAAATTACCATGTAGCATTGGGAATTATTCACAACATAGTTCATGAACTTAGTATTTATTCTATGGTCGGGAAATCATTTTTCCCATTTTCTTTAAGAATATTGCTTTTCTTCTGTCTTGTTTAGTCTGTACCATAGTTTGATTCCAAAGCTTTTGCTGTGCTAGATACCAATTTTGAGTAAAACAGATGTTACGATTGCAAGGAATGACTTCAGGGAAGACCATTCACGGGGGAAAGGTGGTTCCCATATAAGAGGCAGACGGCAAAGGATCAGGTGAAAGAAATAATTCTCGCTGCTTTCTTACAGCTGTAAATACACATTCTTAGTCATCTCAGTAGGAAAAGAGAGGCGTTATTGAAGCTTATTCAAGTTGCAGAGCTCTACTTTTACTTGACTATAGCATTAAATAATAAATGGCTTCAAAACTTCATGCAGATGGGGCAAATAGAGGTGATTAGTTTTGTTCTTTGTCCTAGAAATTGTGATCAGCCTTAGCATTCTTCATAGTGTTTTAAACTCCTGGTTATTTTCTTAGCTGATGAGTGTCTACAATATATTTGGTACTCCTTAAAGCTACCTTAAGAATGTTAGTGAATCGGCCAGGTGCAGTGGCTCACACCTGTAATCCCAGCACTTTGGGAGGCCGAGGTAGGCAGATCACGAGATCGGGAGTTCGAGACCAGCCTGGCTAATGGTGAAACCCTGTCTCTACTAAAAATACAAAAATTAGCCGGGCGTGGTGGCGTGTGCCTGTAGTCCCAGCTACTCGGGAGGCTGAGGCAGAAGAATTGCTTGAACCCAGGAGGCAGAGGTTGCAGTGAGCCAAGATTGCACCACTGCAACTCCAGCCTGGGCGACAGAGCAAAACTCCGTCTCAAAAAAAAGAGTGTTAGTGAGTATTCTTCCATTCTTCTTACGGCAATGCTGTCACTAAAAAATGGCTTATGTACTTGTTTCATACAGTTTATTGAGGCAAGATTAGTGCTGTACCCTTGAATTTTCATTTCTTAATTTGGTCACTCAGTTGCCGAGACACTGAGTCAAAGTTTCATTATTTACACTCAGGGCTGACTGGGGGAGACATAGACAAATTATTTTATGTGCAGTTTCCCAGTTTTTAATTAATTTATACTCTGCCTCTTTCAAAACCAAGTTTGAGATACCTTAAAAAATAAATACGAGAAAAAGATAAGGGGGGAAATTAGGGGTAGTGGAAAAGCCAGATAGAAAAAGTAAGGATTCATGTTGTTTGGGTCATAAATTTGACTCCAGACTTAAGAAAGGCCCCGACAGAGAGAAAACATAATAAATAATGTGAGTTCTATTGTCTGTTCGTAAGATAAAAACACACATCACTTGGTGTATAAGAAGCCATGGTACTGAAGTTCAAGGAAAGACGTGTTTCCTCTGCCCCCGGAAAAGGGGCTTCCATAGGTGTCTTCTGCGGCAACTGAGCAGCTCTGTAACCTGGGCAGCTCAGTGTCCAGAGTTCTGAATGAACATGTGGCTCCCTGCTGGTCTGGCTCAATCCAAGGGTGAAAGGTAGGGCACTGTGAATCTACAGCGAGAGCAGAAGGAGAAAATTCATATGGTCTGAATCATTTGGCATTTATAGAATCTCTTAAATTGTCCAATGTGGCAACTTTCCTTCTAACGTTAAAAGAGATTTGCTGTTTCTTTAGGGGATTTATGGAATGAGGAAGTTGGCTTGCATTTAGGTGCAATGTTGCACAAAAAATTCTTATCTTTAGAGCTCTGGAATGATAGCCAGTGCAGGCAGTACTCCTGGCATGAGAGGCACGCAGAGACTGAGATGCCCAGAGGGTACAACCACAGGTTCATCTTTCTCCCTGGGCATACATTCTTGGTGGAAGAACAGGCACACTTTACATTCTCCCCCTCTCCTTTCTCTCCCATCTATGTAGTTGACTGTAGAAGTTTGGTGTGTGTGTTGTCAGCCTCACTGTGTCTACAGAGTAGATAGTATCCTTGTCCTACAGGAATATTGTTTCTTATAACTGAACTTAGCTACATATTGGGTGACAGAGGACCAGAATATATTCTCTGTCTAGAACATTAAATAAAGATACTCTGTTCTGATTCAGGGTAGATCCATAAGCATGAGCAGTCACTGGAACTGGGATTTGGGTTGTCATGGGTAGTGGAAGTGCTCAGGCCAGAGTGCTTCACTTGGCCTTGTGTCTCTGCCAGTTACTGGCTGAGTGATTTGTGCAAGTTACTTACCATCTCTACTTCACTTACCTTATCTGTAAATGGAGAGGACAGTGTTGGCCTCATAAGGCTGTTGCAGAGACTGAGATAATACATGAGAAGTGACAAGAACAGTGTCTGGTGCATAGTAAGTGCTCAATATGTGTAGATCTTTTATTTGGTGTTGTAAATTAAGGAGCTAAAGCAGATAAACGTAGCGTACCTCCCCACAATAGTAGATAAAAGCAGTTTTCTGAATAGGACATTTGGAAATCATAATCTTTTTTTTCTGATTCGTGATAATTTTATCCTTTTTCAGAGAAACAGCACCCAGGACTATCTTCCAAAGAGTTCTGGATATCCTAAAGAAATCTTCTCATGCTGTTGAGCTTGCCTGCAGAGATCCATCCCAAGTGGAAAACCTGGCTTCCAGTCTGCAGTTAATAACAGAATGCTTCAGGTGTCTTCGCAATGCTTGCATAGAGTGTTCTGTGAACCAGAATTCAATCAGGTAGTTACACACGTACCTTGGATTCTGTTTCTTTGTATATGTGCATGCTGGTTCTGTCATTTGGTTTATCTGTTAGAAGTTGTTTTGGGCTGGGTAAGGTGGCTCATGCCTGTAATCCCAGCATTTTGGGAGGCTGAGGCAGGAGGATTGCTTGAGTCCAGGAGTTCAAGACCGGCCTGGGCAACATGGTGAGACCCTGTCTCTACAAAAAAAATACAAAAAATTAGCTGGACATGGTGGCGCACACCTGTAGTCCCAACTGCTCAGGAGACTGAGGTGGGAGGATTGCTTGGGCCAGGGAGAGGCAGAGGTTGCAGTAATCTGAGATGATGCCATTGCTGCAGGCTGGGCCACATTGTGAGACCCTGTCTCAGGGAAAAAAAAAAAAAAAAAGTTGTTCTGGCATGATAGTATCACCCACTGTTATTGCAGGATTGCCCTTTACATCTGCTGGGAGAGGCCCTCTACAGGCCTTGCCATTGGAGTCTCTCTGACTAGTGTATAAAATAATGGAGTGTGTTTAACATTAGGGGTTAGATTTCTTGTTTGTTTTTATCACATGTTTTGAGGTATTTGGTTCTTCATAGTGTTTTGAAGCTGATTTTGAGTCTTTGTTCCTAGATTTTACCTGCCTAAGTTTATATGCAGTTCTTGACCTCAGGTTGTAAATGTTTTAATTACTTTTAATGTTTTAATTTGTTACTCTTGTGTTTGGACAAGAAGCATATTTTGTAAATTTACAAGATGACCTGTCTTTCCTAAAGATCATGTAAAGTTCCAAGCTCTGCTTCCACCTATTTTATGATGCGCACATTTTTAAAAGTAGTTAAAACATGAGCAGGCGAGCTGTCCAGTGCTCTTCTTTGCTTTTACGTGTTACCGTCTCCTCCCAGAACACAGCATCTTTCTTCTTTGATTTTGTGGAACCTGCTTTTTATTAAAAATTTTTACTTGAAGTCAGAAGCCACAAACAGGATGCTCACTTTCCTTCCTGGACTTGGATGTAGACAGAGCCTCCAGGCTTCCCTGTCACCACTGTGACGGGTAAGCTTGGGCTGGTCCAGAAGCCACTTGAGGGACTCCCTTCGGTTAGACACATATACCCGAGGCTTTGATATGATTAATGAGATTTTTAAGATCAAAGGAGAGAGGGTAAAAAGTGAGTCGTGTAACTTCAATACTAAACCAAACCTGCCATCCATTTGAGGATAAATGGATAGAAACAACAATAATCTTGATAATAATAGTCTACATTCTAAAACATAACTAGTTATATGCTAGAAGCATCTGGCCAGAAGGCTAGTTTCTTTTGTCCTTTTCCAGTCACAAGGTGCTCTAGTGTGATGGGGAAGGAAAGGAGAGCCGTAGAACTAACTTTTGACTGTGGCTGGCAGATACACCTTTGTGCTTGGCTAATCTTGGTGGGGAAGGGAGTGAGCATTCGTTGAGCCTGCCTTCGGCATTGGGCTTTGTCCCAAGGGTTTTGCTTGTAGTATCTTCTTTAATTCTTAGAACAAACTCAAGAAATTTTTTCATTTTTACAAAAGATGAAACTGTAACTTGGAGAGGTTAAATAACTTGTCTGAGAGTCACTTGTTAAGTGAGAGAGGCTGGGAACATTCTCTCCATATCCAGACATCTGACTCTAAAGCTTAAGCTTAACAAGCAGTCTGCCCTTACTGTTCTGAGCTTAAGCTCAAAAGCAGTCTGGGCCAGGCGCGGTGGCTCACGCCTGTAATCCCAACACTTTGGGAGGCCGAGGCGGGTGAATCATGAGGTCAGGAGTTCGAGACCAGCCTGGCCAGCATGGTGAAACCCTGTCTCTACTAAAAATAAAAAATTAGCTGGGTGTGGTGGCACACACCTGTAGTCCCAGCTACTCTGGAGGCTGAGGCAGGAGAATCACTTGAACGGGGAAAGCGGAGGTTGCAGTGAGCCAAGATTGGGCTACTGCACTTCAGCCTGGGCAACAGAGTGAGACTCCGTCTCAAAAAAAAAAATGCAGTCTACCCTTGCTGTCCTGAGCCTTACACACTGGTCTTGTTGTGGATGACTGCTCCATCTTGACCCTGGACAGGTGACTTGGTCTTCCTGAGTATCAGTTTTGTCCTCTGTAAAACTAGGTAAGCAATGTCTTCCAAACAGGCTGGTTATGGGGTGTAAATGAGATTACTTATGTAAATGCCTAATGCACATTGTGTGCTCAGTAAACATTAAATGTTTCTGCCTCTGCCTCAGGAATGAATGTACAACACAAGTTTATGTTAATACTTTCTTTCAAAGCAGTCAATTTTTATTTTCTTTTTTGAGTAATATATGCAAACTATAAAAATTCTAACATTACAAAAATAAATACTATGACAAGTAAGTTATCGGTGGTCTTTTGGTAGGGCCAGCAAAGCAAGGGCTGTGCTGTTTGTGATATCTTTTTATTGCATGCAACTTATGGTTGGGCGGAAATGAAAATGAACATTTAAGGGTGTTAATTTTTCTGCCTCTTCCCTTCTAGGATTGTATTATTATTCACTGTTGATTTTTAAAGGAAAATTTCAACCATTTAGGGCAGCAATTTTCAGAAAAGAATTTTCTAGTTAGAAATACTACAAAGATTCTAGTAAAGACTTTGTGGCCAAGCTTAACTAAGGCCAGTATTTCTGAGCCAGTCAAGATTCAGATTGCAACTAGTACATATTTTTCTGATGTTTTACTTTAAGTCGTTAAAGAGTTCATCAAAAGGTGTGATGCTATTAAAGCCTAGATCTTTTTACATCTTTTGCACTTTGTGTGGACTGGGACTGTTTTTGCCAAGAATGCATGGAATGGGGTAAAATACAATAAAGCAAAGAATCTGAGTCATGGGAAACTTCAGGAAGTACTCAAAGAAAGCTGTTGGAAGCAGTTAGCTCTGCATGTAAATATAACCTCTACTGCTAGGGTTGCTATATTTTTCCTGTAAAGAGCCAGATAATAAATAATTTAGGCTTTGTAATCTCTGTCAGATTTCTCAGCTCTCCCATTGTAGTGCAAAAACAGCCATAGACAATATATGAATGAATGAACATGTCTAATTTTGTCTTTTTTAAAAAACCCAGGAACTTGGATACGATTGGTGTTGCTGTTGATTTGATTCTTCTGTTTCGTGAACTGCGAGTGGAACAGGAATCTCTGTTGACAGGTAGCATGCAATATAATTCATGGATTATTTATATCTTTATAAAGGGTTCAAAACCAGTACTTTGAGTATTAACATCATTCATTGAAACACATGTTCTGTATTTCATGAGATAGGGAAACTTTAATAGTGAATTATTAAAGAATTATAAAGTTGTATCAACTTCCCTTCCTGAATGGCTGAATTTTGTTCCTTTCACATTTGTATGTTGAAGTCTGTCTGTTCCAGTTGCTATAACAAAATGCCTTAGGCTGGGTAGTTTATAAACAACAGAAATGTATTGCTTACAGTTCTGGAGGCTGGAAAGTCCAAGATTAAGGTACCAGCAGATTGGGTGTTTTGCGGGGGCTGCTCTCGTCTTCATAGATGGTGCCTCTTGCTTTGTTCTCCTGTGGTGGAAGGTGGAAGGCAGAAGGCATAAACAAGCTCTCTGGGCCCCTTTTATAAGGGCACTAATCCCATTCACGAGGGCTGCACCATCATGACCTAGTCACTTCCCAAAGGCCCCATCTTATACTAGCAAGTTGGGGATTAGATTTCAGCATAGGAATTTCGGAGGGGCACAGATATTCAGATCATAGCATGGTCCTAACCCCCAATACCCAGAATGTGACTGAATTTGGAGATAGGATCTTTAAAGAGGTAATTAAGGTAAAATGAGGGTATATGACTGGTATCCTTATAGGAAGAGGAAATTAGGACATGGCCATGCTCAGAGTAGAGACCATGTGAAGACACAGGGAGAAGATGACCATCTACAGGCCAAGGAGCGAGACCTCAGAAGAAATCAGCCCTCTCGACACCTTGATCTTGGACCTCCAGCCACCAGAACTGTGTAAAAATAAATGTCTGTTGTTTAAGCCATTCAGTCTGTGGTAAGACTTTTAATATTTATGAATGTGACAGGCCCTGGTCCAGGTTTTGGGTGTGATTCAAACAGTGACCAAAACAGACAAAAAGTGTCTGTCCTTAGAGAACTCACATTCCGTTGAGGGGAACCACATGTTAAGTGTCTAAGTCAAGTATCTAGTGTGATGAAAATGGAACTTAGCTCTGATTGTTAACGGTTGTTGACTTGGGATTAAGAGAAACACCACACTTCTTTAGACTCATTAGTAGAATGGTTTTGGTCTTTGTTCTTCTAGCATCAACATCTTTCCTTTGGACAGTGGTTATTATCTTAACATAATGTTTAAAAAAAAAACGTAGATTTTTAATTTATGATCTCTTTGTGCCAGGAATTGAAATACTTTATGGGTAAACCTAAATTATTTGATAAAAAAATCTTAATGTAGGCTGGGTGCCGTGGCTCATGCCTGTAATTCTAGCACTTGGAGAGGCCAAGGTGGACAGATTGCTTGAGCTCAGGTGTTTGAGACCAGCCTGGGTAACATGGTGAAACCCCGTTTCCAAAAAAATACAAAGGCTGGGTGCAGTGGCTCAAGCCTGTAATCCCAGCACTTTGGGAGGCTGAGGCGGGCGGATCATTTGAGGTCAGGAGTTCAAGACCAGCCTGGCCAACATGGTGAAACCCCCTCTCTACTAAAAATACAAAAATTAGCTGGGTGTGATGGCGCATGCTTGTGATCCCAGCTACTCAGGAGGCTGAGGCAGGAGAGTTGATTGAACCTAGGAGATGGAGGTTGTAGTGAGCCGAGATCGTGCCATTGCACTCCAGCCTGGGTGACAAGAGTGAAATTCTGTCTCGAAAAAAAAAAGAACCGGGCATGGTGGCACACGCCTGTAGTCGCAGCTACTTGGAGGCTGAGGTAGGAAGATTGCTTGAGCCTGGGAGGTGGAAGTTGCAGTGAGCTGAGATCACGCCGCTGCACTCCAGCCTGGGTGACAGAGCAAGACTCTGTCTCAAAAAAAAAAAAAAAAAAAAAAAAAACAAAACCCCAGAAAATTTTAATGTAAATTTCCAGGTGGATAAGTTAGATGTACTAAATTATAGGTTAAATTTTGTTGTTGTTGGCTGGGCGCAGTGGCTCACGCCTGTAATCCCAGCACTTTGGGAGGCTGAAGTGGGCGGATCACGAGGTCAGGAGATCTACCTGGCTAACACGGTGAAACCCCGTCTCTAGTAAAAATACAAAAAATTAGCCGGGCATGGTGGTGGGCACCTGTAGTCCCAGCTACTGGGGAGGCTGAGGCAGGAGAATGGCATGCACCCAGGAGGCAGAGCTTGCAGTGAGCCGAGATTGCCGCCACTGAACTCCAGCCTGGGCGACAGAGCGAGACTCCACCTCAAAAAAAAAAAAAAAAATTGTCATTGTAATAACGTCTTTACCTTATAATTCAATGAATATAACCTTTAAATGAGAAGTCTCCAGTTGCATTTAAAATATTATTTGACTTACAAATTGTTTTATATACAGTTTTAATGCCTGTACTTTGCATATAACATGAGGCATATTTCTTTTTTTTTTTTTGAGATGGAGTCTTACTCTGTCGCCCAGGCTGGAGTGCAGTGGTGCGATATTGGCTCGCTGCAACCACCGCCTTCCCGCCGGGTTCAAGCGATTCTCCTGCCTCAGCCTCCCGAGTAGCTGGGATTACAGGCGCCTGCCGCCGCACTCGGCTGATTTTTTGTATTTTTTTATTAGAGATGGGGTTTCACCTTGGCCAGGCAGGTCTTGAACTCCTGACCTCATAATCTACCCACCTCGGCCTCTCAAAGTGCTGGGATTACAGGCATGAACCACCGCACCTGGCCACGTGAGGCATATTTCTATTGATGTTAATATGTGTGCTTCTCTTGGTAGATAGACAAGAACTAGAGGTGATGGTCTTTTTTCACAGGTGAAATAGGCTAAATTAGCGTGTTAGAGCACTGCCTGGTTTGGTTTAATTTCTGTGATTTCCTAGTGTTTTCATTTTAAACTCAGTTTGCTAGAAATTCTTGGATCTTGCTATTTGATTTTGAAGTATTCCTTTAGGAAATGGTAATTAAAAATTAATTACTTCCTTTAAGAATTTACAGACAAAGTGCATCACCATGTTTTTTTGAGCATCAGTTTTTAAAATAATCTCAAGAAATTGAAAGGATGTAGGATTTAGTTGTGAAATGTTTTTACGATATTATATATTTAAAGATACTTCTGTAGCTCTATTTTATAATAAAAGGGAAGCATCAGTACTCAAAATTGGGGAATTATAAATTAGCAGTAAAGTCCGTGTTTCACAGTGTCACTTGGAAGGGCAGCTATTTTGAGGTCTCTGTGTGGTATAGTAATTGAGAAAGAAAGTTGAGAATGTACTGTGTTTTATAATTGGTGATCCTGATGGGGCGGGCAGTGTGGCGCTCCAGAGCTGCTGTGCTGTGGTGGGCGGAAGGAGGTTTCTCTTTTAATGATATATGCTAAATAAAGAAGCAAAGGGGAAGTGCTGTACAAATGCTGTGATTAAATAACTATTAGAATGGAGCCAGCCCCTCCACCATGTGCTGGATTTCATCGCCACTTGCCCACGCAGAAGCTTTTCTCCTGAAATTATCCCCTTGCTCTCAGGCAGCCTCTGTTTTTTTCCTCTTTACTCCATCATTTTCATCAGCAAGTAATATGCCCTCCCATTTTTCATTTAAAAATATCTTCTTTTGACTCCATGTCCCCGTCAGTCCAGTATCTCGTTTTTCTGCTCTATCCCAAATGTGCTACAAAAGATGTATTTAGTTTTTACAATATATGGTAAAAGATTATTTCATCCTTCACAGGATTACTTTCCACTGAAGCAGGTAGATGACCTAAGAAAAAATTTAACGGAGCAGATATCTGAAACTACTTTTATGAACCAGTTTGTCATTGAGGAGTAAATTGGTTATTTGGTTGTTAGCTTGGCTATTCACTCATATTCACTAGGCAGAGAGGGCAGATTCTTACAGACCTGTTACATGTTAGCTGTATTAAATGTTGTTCTTAATTTAGGTAGTTGCATTTGTATGAGTTTAATTGTTTTTTATTGATGTGAGATTCACATATTGTTAACTATTTTAAAGTGAACAATCGAGTGGCATTTAGTACATCCACAGTATTATGCAACTACCATCTCTACCTAATTAAAAAAAAAATTTTTTTTTTTGAGACGGAGTTTGCTCTCGTTGCCCAGGCTGGAGTGCAGTGGCACAATCTCGGCTCACTACAGTCTCCGCCTCCCAGGTTCAAGCAATTCTCCTGCCTCAGCCTCTTGAGTAGTTGGGATTACAGGCACCCACCACCACGCCTGGCTAATTTTTGTATTTTTAGTAGAGATGGAGTTTCACCACATTGGCCAGGCTGGTCTCGAACTCCTGACTTCAGGTGAACCACCCACCTCGGCCTCCGAAAGTGCTGGAATTACAGGCGTGAGCCGCTGCGTCCGGCCTAAAAATCACCCTAAAAGGATACCGTTTTCATTGAGCAGCTGCTCTCTTTCCGCCTCCCTGTAGCCCCTGGCAACCACTACTTAGCATTCTGTCTCTGTAGATCTACCTACTCTGGATACTTCATATAAATGGAATCATAGAATTAATTATGTGACCTTTGGTGTCTTACTCCTTTCACTTAGCATAATGTTTTTATTTATTTATTTATTTTTTTGAGACAGAGTCTCGCTGTCGCCCAGGCTGGAGTGCAGTGGGGCGATCTCGGCTCACTGCAGGCTCCGCCCCCTGGGGTTCACGCCATTCTCCTGCCTCAGCCTCCCGCACAGCTGGGACTACAGGCGCCCGCCACCACGCCCAGCTAATTTTTTGTATTTTTAGTAGAGACGGGGTTTCACCGTGTTAGCCAGGATGGTCTCGATCTCCTGACCTTGTGATCCGCCCGCCTCGGCCTCCCAAAGTGTTGGGATTACAGGCGTGAGCCACCGCTCCTGGCCTTTAGCATAATGTTTTTAAGGTTCATCCACCTTGTAGTGTGTATCATTACTTCGTTCCTCTTTATGGTGGAATAATACTCCGTTGTTTTGATATATCACATTTTGTTTATCCATTCATTGTTTGTTGGACATTTAGGTTGTTTCCACCTTTTGTCTATCATGAGTCATGCTGTTGTGAACATGCTGGTACATCCAATTGTTTATCTGTTTTTATTTCTTTTGGGTGTATACCTAGGAATAGAATTGCTGGGTCATATGGTAACTCTGCTTACCATTTGAGGAGCTGTCAGACTTTTCCATAGCAGCTGAATCATATGACTTTTCACCGACACCATACGAATGTTCCCATTTCTTGCATCCTTGCTGACTCTTTCTTTCTGTGTTGTAGTCATCCTGGTGGGTGTGAAGTGGGGGTACTTCATTGTGGTTTTGATTTGCATTTCCTAAATGATCACGTACTTATTGGCCGTTTGTAAATCTTCTTTGGAGAAATGTCTATTTGAGTCCTTTGTCCAGTTTTCAATTGGGCTGTTTGTGTCTATTTCTTGTAGAGTTGTAAAGGTTTTCTATACATTGTAGATACTTGGGATAATATTGAATCTATAGATCAATTGGGGAAGAATTGCCATCTTAACACTATTGAGTTTTCAAGTTCATGAATATGGAACATCTCTCTATTTATTCAGGACTTATTTAATTTTTCAGTTGTGTTCCTATTTAGTAGATAGCTTGTGTTTCGCCACAGATGTTATTGGAAGGATATTATTGAGGCAGGAAGGAAAATGGAAAGGAAGTAATATTTCTCATCACCTTGAAAACGGCAGCTAGTGAAATGACCGAATTTTAGTTGGAATTCAGCAATGAAATTTGGATTCAACAGTGAAACTTAGAAAAAATTTTATGGTGTGTTAGTTCAAACCTAATACAAATAATCTTTTAAAAAGTATTCTGGTTCCTAACAAAGCGCCTGTACTTTTTTGACTCTTTCTCTGTGAGAACTTTATTCTAGGTAGATTTTTTAGCAGGGTATGTGTGCCAGTTTTTTGTTACCACACTTGAGGTAAGAACTGTAATTACATTGTCAAAATAATATTTAGAGTATTATTTTCAGGGAATAATTGCAGTGGTATGACGAATATATTATGCCCATCAAATTTTATGTAAACACAAGCATGAGTTATTTTAATTGAGTTATTGGTGTTGTTTTTGGCCTTTATTCTTTCTTACTCTGTAAAAATAATGTTGGGATTTTTGAGGGTCTTCATAACATTTGCAGTATTTACATAAAGATCAGTTGATAAGCTGTTTGGTAAAGTAAACTGTCATTTGTACCTGTCTGGAGTTTTCTTTTCTTGTGTCTGGGACATCTTTAAGCCTTTTCCTTTTCAGAATTGTGTTCTGATCCTGAGCATTAATCTTATGTGCCTGATGAGTTGTTGGATCAGTTGGTTTTCAGATCAACCTATACTGTTGGCTTTTTGCATGTTCAGTTTTATACAGATCTGAGTGTTAATATTCTAAAATATTCAGTAGAAATCTTTTTTTTTTTCTTTTTCTTTCCTTTTTTTTTTTTTTTTTTTGAGACAGGGTCTGGGTCTGTCTCCCCGGCTGGATGCAGTGGCTTAATCTTGGCTCACTGGAACCTCCACCTCCTGGGTTCAAGCAATTCTCCCTGCCTCAGCCTCCTAAGTAGCTGGGATTACAGACGCCTTCCACCACGCCTGGCTAATTTTTGTGTTTTCAGTAGTGACGGGGTTTCATCACGTTGGCCAGGCTGGTCTCGAACTCCTGACCTCAGGTGATCCGCACCCCCCTCGTCTTCCCAGAGTGCTGGGATTACGGGTGTGAGCCACTGCACCCAGGCAATAAGTTAATTAATTTTGTATGTAGAGTATATTGTTTTGGTAAGGCATATTAATTTTTTTTTTTTTTTTTGAGACAGAGTCTCACTCTGTCTCCCAGGCTGGAGTGCAGTGGCGTGATCTTGGCCCACTGCAACCTCTGCCTCCCAGGTTCAAGCAATTCTCATGCCCCAGCCTCCCAAGTAATTTTTTTTACTTTTAGTAGAGATGGGGTTTTGACATATTGGCCAGGCTGGTCTTGAACTCCTGGCCTCAAGTGATCCACCCGCCTTGGCCTCCCAAAGTGCTGGGATTACAGGCGTGAGCCGCCGCTCCCAGCCATGGCATATTCATGTTATTCCCAAAGTGAACTTGTGGAGACAGACTTTAATTTTTAAAAGAAGCAAGCAGAAACTTTCTGTTTAATAACATGGAGAATATTTCTTAAGATGCATTTATTTATTGTGTTTAATCATTTATTTATTTATTTATAACTTTTATATATTCTTAGCTTTTCGCTGTGGCCTGCAGTTTTTAGGCAACATTGCCTCACGGAATGAAGATTCCCAGTCTATTGTTTGGGTGCATGCTTTCCCAGAACTGTTTTTGTGAGTATATTGATAAGCATTTTTCTAACTTGTGAGAAGATTGTGGCTATATTTTTCCATTTTATATAAAGTTCGAAAACAGGAAAAAGTAACCCACTGTAATAGAGTTCAGGATAGTAGTTGTTCTTGGTGGGTGGGTACCAGCTGGGAGAGGGCACTAGGGAAACACCTGGGTCCTGGAAGTGTTCGTCTATATCTTGACCTTGGTGGTGGTTACATGGATGTATACATATCCAAACTTTGTTCATTGAGCTGTATGTACACTTAAGATTTATGCCCTTGATTGTATATCAGTTTACTTTTACAAAAATAAAGTCATGGATAAAGTAAGTAATATTGTTAAGGACACTGAAATTTATAAGAAACACAATTAAAATAGAGCATCAAAGTATGGGCAATGAATTAAAATTGTTTATGTATTGAATACTGATATGCTGAGCACAATGCTGTATGTTTTGGAAGATAAGAAGAAGATGTGGATAAACAATCAGTTTATCCATGTAAGAAGTGAGTAACCAGTCCATTTATCAGTGTAAGATGTGGGTAACCATTCCATTTGTCTCGATTGGATCCTGGTACTTTTTCTGGTGATTCTACTTCTTAAAAACCAGCTCTGTTCATAAGAAATTGAGCATTGAGGTAAAAGGTGAGCAGGGAATAGAGTCAGTATACCTAGTAGGAAAGGCACAGTCTGGGAGTGGGAGACCTGGCTTTGAATCTAGGCTTTGGTGCCAATGAATGGGGTGACTTTGATGGTTGCAACAGTATAAGCAGCACAGCAGGGTAGCAGCTGTTGTGTACATACCCTGAACTGGGCATTATCCGTATATTTTTTCTGTTCTCACAATAGCCTGCAGAGTAAGTGTTACTGTCTCCCCATTTGGACAGATGAGAGACCTGAAGCTCATCACTGGTAAATGGCAGAGGTAGAGTGTAAACCCATTGCTGCCATCTGGATCTAAAGCCTATCTATGCTCATTGTAAATACTGTGCTGCTTAAATTCCGTAATGCCCTTCCTTGTTGTACAGCTTTCCTGGGCTCCTCTGTGAAGTATAGCGTTAAGATGGGATAAACTCTAATTCACCTGTAGCTCATGGAATTTCTCAAATTCCTGCAAATAATTAAGAGTTGAAGGTGTATATATATTAATGTTACATATATTAATGATATTTGAGCTTAGGTGGAAGAAGAGAATTACGAAATTCAAGCTACAGAAATAGGCATTGCTTATTTTTGAGAATTCATTCCCTTAAAACGTTTTGGATACCTAATATCTGCCAGGTTTTGGGATAGATGATTAGAATGTGGTGGTAACTTATATATTCGTTATTCCTGAAGGATTTCATTCTTTGGTTGGGGAAGTAAAGGAACAGGCACATAGGTTGTGATGTAAGAACTAAGGTAATTAGGGCAAATCCAGGGTGTAATAGAAAAACAAGGGAGAGGCTTAAGTGTAGGTCAGTCAGAGAAGTCTTAACAGTTTACATGTTGCTTTTAGATGATCTCATTTGATCGTCATTAAAAACCCTGTGAAATAGAGGTTTTGTTATTGTATTTTATTTTTTATACCAGAAAACATATTAAGAGAGGTTCTTTGCCTTCACTTTTTATGCATTTATGGGACAGATATAACCAAATTTGAATTCCAGTTTTGTCAGGTGCTGGCTTTGTGCTATTGGCCAAGTGAAGCTAACAAATTCTTTATCTGAAATAGATGAATAATACCTCCTTCAGAAGAGTATTATGAAGTTTAAATGAAAAAAAATCCTGCCATATTGCATAACCCATGATATAATTGACAATCAATATGTCAGTGACCTTCCCCAGGTCACCTGGCTGATAGCTAGAGGAGCTAGGAGTTATAGCGAGGCTCCTGACTCCAAATTCTATTTCTTGCCCCACTATACCATCTCTCCTGTAGGCATCTTGTCCCTAAGGACTATTAAAGCAGTGCCAGCAGTCATTGAGGTATCATTTTGTACCTGTCGATTTTTTCTTTCTAACAAGAATGAACATTTTAATGTTTTATAAATGTAATCATTCTAATCTTTTTCTCTAATGGTAAGTTATTTGCCTTTTGCCTTCTGAGTTCTATGTCAACTTCAACTTTAATATTTTGGATACTTTTTATTGTGACTAAGTTTATATTTACTATTTTTACAGTAAATAATCTACTTATTTTAAAGTGCTATAATTCTAAATCCTCAAAAGTATTAGCATGTAGTGAATTTGACAATGGTATTACTGTTATTTTTGTGTTTTATCATGTTACTAAATTGGGCTAACAATCTCATTTCCTTGTTTGGAAGGTCTTGCTTAAATCATCCGGACAAAAAAATTGTTGCCTACTCTTCAATGATTTTGTTTACATCCCTTAATCATGAAAGAATGAAAGAACTGGAGGAGAACCTCAATATTGCAATTGATGTCATAGATGCTTACCAAAAACATCCTGAATCAGAATGGCCGTAAGTATCTTGTTAGAAATTTGATTGCTTTGGGGCATCCTGACAGATCACTTTCCTTGCAGAGGTTTTAAGTAAAAATTTGGACATTGTGATAATTGAACGATAAGTTAAAACTTAACATGTGTTGACAGAATTAGAGAAGATTTTGAGCAGAATCTAGAGAACTTGTGAATGAGGTGAATAAAGTGAGGCTTGAATTGAGCCTTTAAGGACAAAGAGAATTCTTTAAGGTGGTGAGGAGCGGGAAAGACATTCTTGGTGTATGAAAAAACAGTGTGAAATGCCCAGGCACCTTTGGAGTGCACAGATAAGACTGTTGTGGCTGCAGTAGCTAGTTCATTAGATCAGAGGTTGGTGCGAGCCTTGTAAGCATCTGTGCAGATGAGATAGAGACTGCCATTCAAATTGCCCCCCGATACATAATGTACTGCCACCCTTCATACATAATGTGTTATTTCTCTGTGATTGCTTTTAAGATTTTTCTTTGTCTTTTCAGAGGTTAATTATGGTATTGGCATAGATTTCTTTGGGTTTACTCTTTTTGGGGTTTCCTCAACTTCTTGAATCAGTAGATTTATGTCTTTTGCCAAATTGGGGAAGTTAATTTGGAAAATTTTCGCTGTTATTTGTTTGAATACTTTTTTTCAGGCCCTTGTTCTCTCTCCACTTCTTCTGGGACTCCATGTTTTAGGCGCACACACAGTCCAAGGCAGGGCCAAGGCTGTGGCTCAACTGATGGGACTGTGAAAATAATACAAGTTACAACAATCTACTTTTAGGTTTAGACAGTTTGTTACTTATATAGACAGAGAAAAGAAGAAGCCAAAGGGGCCAGCTCCTCCTGATCCTTGTCCCAGACACCACAAAGACCTGGATGATTAGGATATGAATTGTGAGGTATCCCACTCCTGAGGAGGCCTTCTTGACTGTTTAAAGAGGCATTATATGCTAAGAGGGGCAAGGCAGAAAGCTCTGTACCTCATTAGCACCAAACTCATTAGAACCTGTCCCATGACAGCCTCCCCTAGGAGACAGAAGAGCAAAAAGGATACAGCCTCAGAAGCCTCAGGCCCCTCCCATCTCGGGTTCCAGGAGGATCACAAGCTATTCAGCAGGCAAGACTCAGATTAGCCGCTGTTCAAGCTCTGGCATGCATGGTATATATGGATACATCCAAGGTCACCAGGGCACTATGTGGAGCTGTTCCCCTAGACTCTGAAGATACAAGTGTTAGTCTTCTGTTGTTGTTTTGTAAGTGCCTGAGGCTCTGTTCAGTGCTTTTTTTTTTTTTTTCCAGTCCATTTTCTCTCTTTGCCAGTACTACAGTGTCTTGATTACCGTAATTTTATAGTAAATTTTGAAATCAGGAAGTGTGAGTTTTCCAACTTTGTTCTTTTTCAGTTTTGTTGTCCTGGGTCCCTTCTGTTTCCATATTAATTTTAGGATCAACTTTTCAATTTGTTAAAAAAAAAAAACAGCTGGAATTTTGATAAGAATTACATGAATCTGTAGACCACCTTGGGGGAATATTGCCATCTTACCTAGATTAAGTGTTCCAATCCATGAATAGAGGATATTCATTTATTTATTTAGGCCTTTTAAATTTTCGTCAGTTATGTTTTGTAGTTTTTAGTCTATGAGTTTTGGGTGTCGTTAGTTCAGTTTATTCTAAGTATTTTATTCTTTTTGATGGTATTGCAAATGGAAGTCTTTCATTTTTGGATTGTTCATTGCTAATGTGTAGAAATACAACTGATTTTTGTATATTAATCTTATATCCTGCAATCTTTCTTCCTGAACTTATTTATAGTTTTAGTAGATTTTTTTGTGTACGTGATTCTTAGGATTTTTTCTGTACAGGACCGTGCCATCTGCAAGTAGGTAATATTTTTTTCTTTCCAGTTGGGTTGCCTTTTCTTTCTTTTCCTTGCCTAGTTGCCCTGACTGGAAATTCCAATACAATGTTGAGTAGAATTGGTGAGAGCAGACATATGTTTCTTATTTAAGATCTTAGTGGGGCAGTCTTTCAGTGTGCTGTTGCCTGTGGGGTTTTCTAAGAAGCCCTTGCTCAGGATGATAAACTTTTCTTCTACTTCTACTGATTTTCTTTTACTTGTTGAATGTTTTTATTATGAAAGTCTATTTTATCAAATATATTTTGTGTCTGTTGAGATAGTCATATGGCTTTGTCTTTTAGTCTATTAATACTTTGTCTAACAGTGATTTTTATACTTTAAATCAACTTTGGATTCCTGAGATAAATCCTACTTGTTCATAGTGTATAATCCTTTTTATATGTTGCTGGATTCGGTTCATATTTTGTTGGGGATTTTTGAATCTATATTCATAAGGCATATTGGTTTGTAGCTTTTTTTTCTTTTTGTGATTTCTTTTTCTGGTTTTGGTATCAGGTAAATACTGACTTTACAGAATGAGGTCTTGTTTTGTTTTGTTTTTGGAAGACTGTAAAGGATCGGTATTCATCTTTAAATATGTGGTAGAATTCACTGGTGAAGCCATCTGGTCTTGGGCTTTTTATCATGGGAAGGGTTTTGGTTACTAATTCAAACCTGTTACTTGTTACAGGTCTTGGTTTTTTTTTTTGAGACGGAGTCTCACTCTGTTGCCCAGGCTGGAGTGCAGTGGTGCGATCTCGGCTCACTGCAACCTCCGCCTCTTGGGTTCAAGCAATTCTCTGCCTCAGTCTCCTGAATAGCTGGGATTGCAGGTGCCCGCCACCACACCCGGCTAATTTTTTTTGTATTTTTAGTAGAGACGGGGTTTCACCATCTTGGCCAGGTTGGTATTGAACTCCTAATCTCATGAGCCACCTGCCTCAGCCTCCCAAAGTGCTGGGATTACAGGCGTGAGCCACCGCGCCCGGCCTCCACTTGTTACGGGTCTATTCAGATTGTTGTCTTCTTGGGTTGGTTTTGGTAGTTTGTGTCTTTCTAGGAATTTGCCTGTTTGGTCTAGGCCGGGGGTCCTCCAGCCCCCGACCTGTGGACTGGTACCTGTCCATGGCCTGTTAGGAACAGGACCACATAGCACAAGATAAGCAGCAGGCAAGCAAGCATTCCTGCCTGAGCGCCACTTCTTGTCAGATCATCAGCCACATTCGATTCTCTTAGGAGCACAAACCCTGTTGTGAACTGCGCATGCGAGGGATCTAGGTCTCACACTCCTTATGAGAATCTATTACAACTAATGCCTGTTGATCTGAGGTAGAACAGTTTCTTCCTGAAACCGTCCCCCCACCCCTGTCTATGGAAAAATTGTCTTTCATGAAACCAGTCCCTGGTGCCAAAAAGGTTGGGGACCACTGGTCTAGGCTGTCTAATTTGTTGGCACAAATTGTTAATAGACCCTTAGAATTTTTTTATTTTTGTAAGATTGGTAGGAATGTCCCCTCTTCATTCCTGATTTTAGTAATTTGAGTCTTCTCTTTTTTCTTGTTCACTATAGCTAAAGGTTTGTTAGAGTTTTTGCTCTTTTCGGAGAACCAACTTTTGGTTTTGTTGATTTTCTTTACAGTTATTCTCTATTTCATTTCTTTTTGCTGTAATCTTTATTATATTCTTTCTTCTGCGTGCTTTGGGTTTGGTTTGCTCTTCTTTTTCTAGTTTCTCAAGATGGAAGGTTAGGTTACTGATATGAGATCTTCTGTCTTTTTTACATAGGCATTTACATCTACAAATTTCCTGGTAGGAACTACTTTAGCATCCCATAATTTAGGATTCTGTAAATTTTGGTGTTTGTGCTTTTACTTTCATTTATTTCAAATTATAGTCCAATTTCCTTTGTGACCTATTGGTTATTTGGGAGTTTGTTGTTTAATTTCCACATATTTGTTTCTAATTTTATTCCATGTGGCCAGAGAACCCACTTTATATGATTTCATTCTTTTTGACATTACCTAGGCTTCTTTTATGGCCTGACATGTGGTCTGTCATAGAGAATGTTCCATGTACACTTGAATAGAATGTGTATGCTGCTGGTTTTGGTGGCATGTTCTGTAGATATCTATTAGGTCTGGTTGGCTAGATGGTTGATAGTGTTGTTTAAATCTTCTGTTTTCTTGCTGATCTTCTGTTCTAGTTCTTTTCATTATTGAAAGTGAATTATTGTGCATTTTTTCCTTCAGTTCTGTCAGTTTTTGCTTCCCTTATTTTCATGCTCTGTTAAGTACACACACACATGTTTATATTTATTATTGTTATACCTTCTTGATGCATTGACCCTTTCTCATTATAAAATTTATCACAAATTTTGTTGTTTATGTTTTAACAATATCCTGTTTTTTAAAAAATCTATTTTTCCATATCTTTTGCACATAGTAGTCAGTGTGTGATTAGGCCACAGATTTTCTCCAGGGAGTAAGCCTTGAGCACCTGTAATCCCACTTGCATTCACAGGTGAGGTATGAGCTTTTTCAATTTTGGCTTCTTGCAGTGTAATCTTTTATCATTCTATTGAAATTATACCTAATTTTGAAATTATTTCTTTTTCTGAATATTCATTTGTATTTCAATTAAGATTTACAAACAAACAGAAGTTGGTACATACAATAATATGATGTGTTTAACTTAGAAAACTTCCCTTTGTATGCAAATGTAACATGACAGGATCAATCATTAGAGTCAACTTACTTAGAGAAATTTTCTGTAGCTGAGTTCTGTTTTATTTGTTGAGTACCTTGGGTCTGTATTTTAATCATCTGCAGTTTTTTTTTAGCAGCTTGGAATAAAGGGCAAAAGGTCATAAAGGGCAAAATATAAAATCTGTTTAATATAATATAATATGATATAATATAATATAATATATAAATAGCTCAAGTTAAAGGTATTAGAGACCACTAGAAGGAATTCAGAAAGGAACAAAGGATGGATCTAGTAGTGGTTAAATGATCACTTCTGCAGTCCAGGTGCGGAATACTTTGATTTATGTGAGAGGAACTCTACATTTGGTAACAAACAATGAGATCACAGAATATCCAGAGGCTTCTGACGAAATTGTTGTTTTTGCTGTTAAATATAAACTCATCCCTGGAAATTGGAGAAAACCCACTTTCTGCCTTTTTTCTTCCCTACATTTTAGGAGATAGGTGGCAAATAATACAAAACTACATGGTCTTAGAATTCATGGTTTCATTATGTTTTCTTTTCTTCCTTTGCTTGTTTCTTAGAAAAGGGCAAATGTGATTCCAATAACTTTGGGTTTTTTTATTTGAGTATACTAGAGACACAGGAAAGTGTAGGCGAGAAAGTCTTTGGCACTACTTGGTTTGAATTATTGGGATAATGTCTTTCTAAAAATGTCTGTTCTTTTGTTTGTAGGTGTGAAAGATGTTTTCATGCTCTTAGATAACCCTAGATGAATCCAGGGATTCTATTTTGAGTTCATCTAAATCTGAAAGTCCAGTAAATGTGCACTGGTAGGTTAGGTCAGTCAGTGCAGAATTACACAGTAGAGGAAGAGGTAGGACTGCCTCGTGCTGATCCTGTGATGTGTTGGTTGCTTTGTCTGTGTAATCTCATTTTCACATTGCTGCCATCCTGTGAATTGTATTTTGCTACTATGTACCTATGAAAGTTAAGCAGAGTAAACCAGTCTGACAAAGGTCACACAACTAGCATATAGCAGAGGCAGCATTGCAAGTGATGCCAAACTCGAGGGCCTATCCCATTTTTATTAATACCATGTCATGTGTTATGAAAATTACCGATTTTCAGAGAGGAGGTCTGCATTTCAAAGGTGAGGCATGAACTCTTTTCAGTTTTAGCCTCTTTTGGTGTAAACTTTTTCTTTTTGAGACAGAGTCTCACTCTGTTGCCCAGGCTGGAGTGCAGTGGTGTGATCTTGACTCACTGCAACCTCTGCCTCCCGGGTTCAAGTGATTCTCCCATCTCAGCCCCCTGAGTAGCCAGGACTACAGGCGTGCGCCACCACGCCTGGCTAATTTTTTGTATTTTTGGTAGAGATGGGGTTTCATCATGTCAGCCAGCCTGGTCTTGAACTCCTGACCTCAGGTGATCTCCCCGCCTGTCTCCCAAAGTGCTGGGATTACAGGCATGAGCCACCGTGCCCACCTAAACTTTTATTAATCCATTGAACTTTTTACCCAGTTTCACTACAAAAATGAAGTTATAACTGGGAGCAAAGCATTCTTTTTTGTTAGTATTTGGGTTATCTAGTTGATTTATTTTGTATTCTCTAGGGATGTGTCTTGCCTTATGCATGTACATTTTATTATCAGCTTAAGTGTAACAATATTAGGAAGATAAACATAATTGTCCATCCTCTTGCAGTCTGAATCTGTTGCCCCTCTTCTGTTCGCGCACAACAGCCATGCATTCCACTTTCATGGCACTTAGCGCATTTAATTGTCCATTAGACTGTGAGCTCCCTGTAAGGCAGGATTTAGTGTTGTTTGTTATTGGATCTTTAACAAGATAATATCTGGCATGTGATAAGCATTATTTTAGTCATGATTCTTCTGAATCTAAGTGACTGAAGTCCACTTCAGATGGTTTATGCACATAAAGGGATTTATTGGCTTATGCAACTGAAAAATTCCAGGGTCATTGGGTGAAGGCACGGTGAATCCAGGGCTGAAAGATGTCATCAGTATCTGTCTCATCTTTGTCTCATTTTTCTCCTGTGCTGGCTTTGTTGTAAGGCACATTTCCTGCTTCCTGTGTTGGCTCCTGTTCTTGCCTACTCAGGGTTGGCATGGCCCACGGCTGGTCCTCAGACCACTCTTCTCCATTATTGCTCATTCTCTGGGTGACCTCATCTCATACCACAGCTTTAAATACCTCTTCTAAATTGATGATTTCCACATTTATGTTTCTGGCCTTGATCTCTTGCTGAAGCTCTAGGTTTACATATACAGCTTCCTATTATGTGCTTCTAATTGGCATCTGAAATGTATGAAGGCTGCGTCCAAACTTTTGATTTCCCCCACACATAACACCTCCTGTTACTCTACCAATGTTTATCCTTCAGTAACTGGTACCACCATTTACTCGTTTGCTGAGGCCTGGAACCTGAGTCCTGATTTTCTTTCACTCTCACCCACTTATACTCATTAGCCCTATCTTCAAAAGGTGTTCCACATTCACCTACTTCATGCCTCCTCTGCCATAGACATCTTTCATTGCTACTGCCAGAACTTTCTTACTCATCTTTCTGTCTCTCCTTTTGCCCTCTGAATCATCACACAGTAGCCAGAGTGACCTTTTAAAAATTACTGTAGCTGTTGTCACTCCTTGCTTAAATAAACCATTCAGTGCCTTCTTATTGCAACCTAGAAGCAAATCCAAAGTACTTGTCATGTCCTGGCGTCTGACTGACCACCTCATCTTATTTCTTACTACTTTTACTCCTGCTCCTTAGTTCCATCTGGTCTTACTGTTTTTCTTTGAATACTCCAAGTTTGTTCTGTCCTGAATCTTTACATCCGCTGTCTTTCTGCATGGAACCTTCCTTTAGATCTTCCCATGGCTAGCTCTTTTAGGTCTCTGTTCAAATATCTATCATTTCGACTGAGAGACCTTCCCAGCACTTTATGTTCAGTAGTGTTTCCTGTAAACCCGTATCGCTTTACTCTCTTTTATTCATTTGTTTAATAGCACTTACCACTATCGAACATTATACAAATCTTATTTGCTTTCTTGTTTATTGTTGGTTGCTAGAATGTAGGACTAGCTCCATAAGGCCCTGGAGTTTGTCCTGGTCATCATTCTATCCAAAGCACCTAGAACATGTGTTGACAAACTATGGCCCATGGTCTGAATCCGGCCCACTGCTTCTTTTTATAAATAAAGTTTTATTGGAACACAGCCAAGCTTGTTTATCTATTGTCTACGGCTGCTTTCATGTAACAGTGGCAGAGTTGAGTAGTTGTGACAGAGACCATTTGGCCTGCAAAGCTTAAAGTATTTCCTGTCTGGCCCTTTATGGAAAAGTTTGCCAACCCCATCCATTGAAGGGTTTTTGGTAGTAGTATTTGTTGAATAAGTCTGGTGATTGGTGGCATCGTTGTCCTTCAGTCACTTCAGGCTTATCTGAAGCAGATAAGCCTGGTTCTCCTGAACCAGATAAGACTTTGGTGAGAGACCCCCAAAGGGTCTGTATCGTTGTTCTCTAGAACTCTATACAGGCTTCTTCATTTTACATCAGCAATCTATTCCTGAAAATCAGACATTCTGTGCAAAAAAGTGACTGAGAGCCTACTTCCTTCTTAAAAATGGGGACATTATAAAATGTTACATGTCTACCCAAAACCCCAGTCAGTGTCTTAAAATAGAATCAAACTAAAATACTATTCAGCAATAAAAAGGAACAAGTGTTGGTACAAGCCATAACTTGGGAAGATCTCATGGTAATTATAGCAGAGTGAAAAAAAAAAGCCAATGAATCCCCAAAGGTTAAATAATGTATCATTCCATTTACATGACATTCTTGAAATGACAAAATTACAGAAATGGAGAACGGATTAGTGGTTGTCGGGGATTGAGGAAGGATGCTGGAGTTATAGGCGGGTGAACCTGCAAAAGGGGTGCCGAACCGTTCTGGCTCTCACCTGTGAGAGGGGATCTGTGACCCTGCATTATTAAGTTACAGAGAGCTAAAGACATGCACACAGCTACTCCTGAGTAAAGGCACAAGTTAACCTGGGAAACCTGAGTAAGATCCGCACATCGTGTCACTGTCAGCATCTGGGTTGTCACATACTATAGTTTTACAGATGTTACCATTGGGGAAAACTGGGTAAGGGTACACAGAATCTCTCTTGTGTTTTGTAAAACTGCGTGTGCATCTACAATGATCTCAAAATAAAAATATTTAATTAAAAAAAACCCAAACTCGGTAAAGCACCTGTGTATATAACAGACTATCATGTTAGGATGTGCACTGCTTAAAACATTTCTTTCTGATTGCCATAGAATTAGTATAGTTGTCAGCAGACAGTTGGCTTTGTATGCGGGAACATGGAGCCTCTTAATGCCACCATTATGCCAGAAGTGCTTCTTAAATGTCTGTACACAGTTCTGACTTTTTACCAACAGTGTATGGAATGCATCTTGTGATTTTGTGTATACGTGTATATCTTTTTGTGAAATGTTGTATGGAATACTTTAGAATATAAAAAAAAGTTTCTTCTGTAAACATTGACTGGCAAGGGTATTGAGAAGTTTGGGAATTAGAAACAAAGAGGTAATAACCAGATGGATGTTTTTGAGGCATGCAAGTGGCTCTTTTTGGGTCACATTGTCATCCCTGGGGCAGTGCTGTTTGTTAGGGTGTGCAGTCAGGTGACCTCCCCTGGGGGCACAGGCTGTCAGGTTTGGGCCCACTCTTGAAGGAAAAAGCTACCAGGTTTGGGCTCATTCTTGAAGGAAAAAGAATTCTTGTTATCCAAGGAAGGAAAAAAGGGGATGCTGAACAGGGGAAAAAGTGGCAGATATCCACAAGGACTGTCAGTGTTTGGCGAATGCATGTCCTTTTCATTATCTGCTTTTGCTTCAGGAGGGAAACATAGTTTAATTTCTTTGATTTTTGTTGGAGTTGAATTCTGATACATTATTACTGGAAACAGGAGAAGCAGAATACCTTGATACTGAAGGGTAGACAGCGTAGCCAGTGTCACACTGCCAGTGAGTGTTGGGCTGAGACTCAAACCCAGCTCTTTCTGAGACCAAAATTTGTGCTCTTAATCTGTACACCCACTGCCTCCCTTAGAGGACGACATTAAAGGAAGGGTGGCTGGGATGTGCGTGTGTGTAATACGTTTCCCCCAGTGCCTGGCACATGTAGATTCAGGAAATCTATTTATATATTTTTCAGATTATAACTCATTTTCTTCTAGTAGAGGAAGCATCGCCATTGAATCAGTGGACTGTTATTTTTCTAGTTTAATGCTACTCACGTTTAACCCGTTGGAAATGTTATTTAACTCTTTTAACAGGAGAAGGGAGGTTATTTTCTAGACCAGCTTTGTAAGCTTTGTCCAAATTGCTGTGTTAAGCAACTGTGGGTTAGATTTCCCAGATCTCACAACAAAGGAGAGTGGCATTTATTTTCCATAGCACATTTAAATCAAAATTTGTTTATGAGGTATAAAAACATTTTCTAGGTTTTTGAACTGATTGAAATCTATTTTACTCATGTTGTGAGTATAGCATCGCCATTGTATGCATGTATGGATATGGATAATAGATGACCTTCATTAAAAAAAAAATTTCCCTGAAACCCCCCGTCTTTAGGACTGTCTCTGTTTACTGGTGAGGAGTTCGCCTTTCGCTGTCTGTTGGCATGTGCTCCTCGATGCCCACACAGGTGACCTTTACTACCTTCTATTTTGTATATCAGTATTGTAATGCAGATGCTGATTCATCTGCCTGCAACTGTTCACGTACTTTAAAATCAATCATAAATGAGAAAGATTGAGAGAAGGAAAAAGATGAGAAGAGAGACCTTCATGCATTTTGTTTTTTGGCAAGTGTGGAAAATGATGTAAAGTGTAGTTAGTGCTTTGGCATCAACAATGTGATTTGTGAATGTTAGCTTTTCTGTGATGACATTTAAATGATGAATTTCAAGATTAAACTGAGGAGTTCCTTAGGCGAACTTACAGAGTTCTCCTATATGACCGTTCCTCGTCCTTAAAGCCTGAGGAGCCAGGTTCATCTGAATGGTACTTCCACCAAGATGCAGAAATACTGTCACTCTTTAGCAGAATGGTTATTAAGTAGAACGAAGTGTGAGCTTACTTTGCCTGTATATATTGCTTACATTACATACTGAATTATTTGATAGACTATATGTGGTTCAGATATCAAAATGCATAGTTTACCCCCAGCCGTTTACCTAGTTCTTCCAACCACAACCCCTACTTCTCCCCACACTGTTGGGCTTTTTGCTTTTTTCACTAAATAGTACATTTCTGAGATCTTTCCATATTCCTATATAAAGACTTTCCTCAGTTAAAGATCTTTCATTGTATGAATATACCAGGATTTATTTCATCAGTCTCTTCTCTATGGGCATTCTGATTGTTTCCGTTTTTTCACGACTAGAAGCTACTGCCATGAATAGCCTTGGTTGCACATGTCATATCGCATGTGGACAAGTAATGATTGTAGAATAAATTCATAAGTGCAATTCTGGGTCAAAAGGAATGTACTGTTATAATTTTGACAAACACTTCAGGTTGTCCTTCATCGCTATTGTGCCAGTGTCAACTCCCCTGTCCCACATCATTGCTAACAGTGTTAGCAAGATTTGGATTTGCCAGTTCTGCCAAGGTGTAAACCGGCCTTCTTGCACAGTTTTATTTCGTATTTTTCTTATGAGTTGGAGAACCTTTTTTTTCTTTTATGTGTATTCTAATTTTCTTTACCTATTTTTCTATTGGGGTATTGATCTTTATCAGTGTATAGGAGTATTTTCTAGATTAGGGATATCACCCATCATATAAAATAAAATACATGTATTTTTCTGTTTTTGTATTTTGACTTTGTTCGTGGTATTTTATTTTTTATTTTTTTGAGACAGCGTCTCTGTCACTCAGGCTGGAGTGCAGTGGTGCAATCATGGCTCACTGCAGCCTCAATCTCCCAGGCTCAAGTAATCTTCCCTCCTCAGCCCACTGAGAAGCTGGGATCGCAGGTGCATACCACCGCACCTGGCTGATTAATTTTTTATTTTGTAGAGATGGGGTCTCACTATGTTGCCCAGGCTGGTCTTGAAGTCCTGGCCTTAAGCAGTCCTTCCACCTTGGCCTCCCAAAGTGCTGGGAATACAGGTGTGAGCCACTGTGTCCAGCCATATGATACTTTTTTATGTAAAAGTTTTTGATTTTTTTAGTAGATGAATTAATCAGTCTTTTAAAAAAATGTGTTCCGTAGTTTTGATAATAGCTATAAAGGCCTTTCCTCTACCAAGGCTTTCTTCTAGTATATCATTTCAATTTTGTTGTTTAAGTATTTGATTTACTTGGAATTTATGTTGGTTTAAAGGTTGCAGTGTGGATTCACTCTCATTTTTGTTTCTGATGATGCTGGTGGTCCCGGCAACAGAGCACTGTCATGGCTGAGACCTGTCTTCCCTTCTCCTCCGTCCTTGCCCTAGTCCCTATACCCTTACTGCTCCATCCATGGACAACTTTTTTACTTCAACTTTTGCTTCCTAACCACGCATTCCAGCATGCAGAACTCAGTCCTTCCTTTACGATGTCTCAGTTCTACTATTTTAAGTCCTTGAGGATTTTATGAACATATTGATCAAATCACATTTATTGAACATTTGTTAGGAGATTTTTGGTTTTTCAAGAAGAAAATTTCCAAAGTGAAGCAGACCCAGTCTGTTGCCCACTGTTTAAAAACTGTTTATATATATTGTCTGGTTTTATGTTGTTTAAGGTAGGGGGTAAATTGTTATTCCATTATGCCCAGAAGCAGAAGCGATAGTTGGAGATTTTAACACCTGCTTTTCAGCCATGGGCAGGACTCATAGACAAATATCAGTATAGACTGATGTTTTATACATTATATAAACATGATGATATGGATCAAGTTTGTCCAACCTGCAGGCCGCATGCAGCCCAGGATGGCTTTGAATGCTACCTAACACAAATTTGTGAACTTTCTTATAACATGAGTTGTTTTTGTTATTTGCTGTTGTTGTTGTTGTTAAGCTCATTAGCTATTCTTAGTATATTTTATCTGTGCCCCAAGACAATTCTTCTTCCAGTGTGGCCCAGGGAAGCCAAAAGATTGGACACCGCTGATACAGATGATCTTGGTAGTACTGTCGTAGGTAGCCACCTTCACCTGAGTGATATTTATAGACCTTCCCTTAGTACTTCCAAACTCCACTTTCTTTTCACCTGCATGTGTCATGTTCACTAAGGTAGACCATAGGCTGGCCTGTACAAAAGTTTCAGTAAATGTGTAAGGGATTGAAATCATAGAGCACATTCTCTTACTCATAAGATGATTTCTAGAAAAATTCCAAACTTTTGGAAATTAACACATCTGATTGATTTGTCAAAAAAGAAATCACAGGCAAATTAGAAAATATTTTGACCTGAAGTACCAAGTTTTGTGGGATAAAGCAAAAGCAGCCAAGTGTGGTGGCTCATGCCTGTAATCCCAGCACTTTGGGAGTCTGAGAAGGGAGGATAGCTTGAGGCCAGGAGTTCAAGACCAGCCAGAGCAACATAGTAAGACACTGTCTCTGCCAAAAAAATAAAAATAAAAAAAGCTGCGTATGGTGGCACATGCGTGTAGTTCTATCTACTTGAGAGACTGAGGTGGGAAAATTATTCGAACCTAGAAGTTTGAGGGTGCAGTGAGCTATGATCGCACAACTGCACTCCAGCTAGGTGACAGAGCGAGACCCCATGTCTTAAAAAGACAACAAAAACGAAAGCGGCGCTTAGAGGAGAGCTTATTGCTTTGAGTGCTTCCTTTTTTTTTTTTTTTTTTGGAGATAGAGTCTTGCTCTGTCGCCCATGCTGGAGTGCATGGAGTGCAGTGGCATGATCTTGGCTCACTGCAACCTCTGCCTCCTGTGTTCAAGTGATTCTCATACCTCTGCCTCCCGAGTAGTTGGGATTACAGGCATGCACCACCACATCCAACTATTTTTTTTGTGTGTTTTTGGTAGCGATGGGGTTTCACTATGCTGTGTTGGCCAGGCTGGTCTCAAACTCTTGACCTCAAGTAATCCACCCACCTCAGTCTCCCAAGTGCTGGGATTACAAGGTGTGAGCCACGGCCTGGAATGTTTCTATTAATAAAGAAAGGTCTGAAATCAGTGACCCACAGTTCTACTTTGAGAGGATAGAAAAAGAAGAGCATAGTAAGTCCTGAGTAAGTAAGAAAGAAAGAAATAAAAGATGACAGAAATCAATGAAACATAAGACAAAAACAATAGAAAAAATTCACAAAGGCAAAAGTTGATCTTTGACCAACAAAATTGATCAAGAAAAAAGAAAGAGAGCACTAATTACCAACACTATGAAAGAATGTGTAGTTATCACATCAGTCTTCAATAAACTCAAACCTTGGTTGAGGCAACTTTCTTCACCTGAGACACTCTGAAGACCCACGCTTTTGGGTCCTGACTTCCTTTTGAAGCCCTAATAGTATTTTGTTGCTTGTAGTTCCCCAGACACACTGCTGTTCTTTCCTTCTTGCTGTTTTTCTAAGTCCTTTTTTTCCCCTCCTAATTTAAATGCTATCTTCTTTTCCTTCTTCTAGGGATTGGCGAAATACCTCCTCTAGCCTGTTTGATCTTCTTGCCCCCTGTCTGTCACCCCTCTTGCCCCCAGCCTATTGGTTAGATACATTTGTTTCTATTATATAATCCTTAATGTGTATCTGTCAGCACTTAACATGTTCTTCTGTAAATTATCTGACTAAATATGGGTCTTTATTGTTTGGAGAATATATTTGGCAATATGGCTTGTGACTTGGAATATTGCGTTTTTGCTATTCTTATGGGAAAATGCTTTAAATTCTAAGTACCTGAATTATGAATGAGCTTTAAGATCTCAATTTAGTTTGTGTATCCATCTGGGATTGCATAGATTTCTATTGACCTGCCCAGATTGATAGGAATACTGTTTGAGAATTTCAAATATTATCCATTATTTTTAGGAATATTTTACATCAGAGTGTTGATCAGCTATTTTAAATGCTGTAGAGGAAATAGAATATGTATTTGGATTTCGCTTTTATGTGAAGTGACAGTGTATTGTAGTAGTTAATATGCTTCATTTGGTTATCAGACTGAATATAGTTTTATTGTATTTTTGTATTGTTAAGTGATTAAACTATGTGTCAATATATTTAATGCTTGCAGTCAATTTTTATTACTATAACCTGGTTATAATCAGTATATTCCTTAGTTCTTAAGTCTTTTCCTCAGATGCCCTCTGGTAAATATAATTCATAATTAATTAATAATAGTGTTGAATCTTTTTAGTTGTCACAGGGGTACTTTGAAGAACTATGCCTATAATCTTTGCCTTGGGGTTTCCATAAGTTGATCTCTTAAGTTTAGATGAGTGCATTGCTTGACAATGAGGATGTTTTCTTGGTAACTTGAGAATTCTTAAAGAGTGAATAATCAAGCCAGTAATGGAAGTGTGACAAGTCTTTCTCTGGTTCATTATAGCAGTTAGCTTCTGACTAAACCAATTTAATATGTTTTTTGTTTATACCTGATCTTGTTGCTAAATGAAGAATTTTTCTTTCTCAACTTAGATAACAGCTATAGTAGCCCTGTCTTCCCGTTGAATCAATTTAAATTATTTCCATAAAGCTTTCAGAAGTAAAATTGGAGAAAAATATTTTTAGGATTTTTTTTCCTTTTAGCTGCTGATAGATTAATAGTATGTGAACCTTTTAAGACATTTAAGATTACAGCAAATCAAAAATTCACTGAAAAGAAATGCTTTTGTGTGTAAGTGGTGCCTATAAAGTAGATAAGGGCATGTCTCTTTTACTATGTTTCAAGTAACCAAACTTTCCTCCTCTTTTTTCCCTAGGTTCTTGATTATTACAGACCTCTTTCTGAAAAGCCCGGAATTGGTACAAGCCATGTTTCCCAAACTGAACAATCAAGAAAGGTAACCCCCCAACCAGCGTGGTCTGGAGTATTTAGCATTCCATATAGGGTATTCGATGCACGTGACTGAAAAGCTGTGTGGTTTCTGAGTTGGCACAGAATCTCTAAATACATGTTTCTGTGTTGGTAATGGTTTTAAATTGGTTGGTTAACATTACAGCTTAGCCACAGTAGGCAGTGATTTATGGAGGGTAGCAGGATCCAGGTTGGTGCCATTATTCAGTAAATGCATATTAAGAAAAACATTAAGAACAAAATATTATGCATATGCCTGGATTTTAGAATAGTAATTTATGTAACTGTGTATTACAGTTGAATATTTGAGGTGTACTCATTTGTTTAGGTCATGGGTGTTATTATTTGTGATACACTCTGCTAGGTTTGTAGGTTTCTAATGGATAATTTGGACTAAAATAAAATTGACGCCCGTCCACAATGTCACAGTTACTGTAGTAGGAAAAACAGTGACCTAGGAGTTCTAAGACACTGGCCCTGTGCTTTGCTGTGATTATAGTTCTTTATGTGACCTTGTTGGGATTCAGGTTCGTGTGTGTGTGTATTTTTTTTTTTTTTCCTAAACCTCTATGGTAAGGTACAAGGGATTCAGTTTCTTGACCTGTAAATTAAGGAGATTGAATAAATAATTTGCAGTACACTTCATTTCAATAGAATATATTTTTCCTAACCTTATTAGAAATGTTGCCTTAGGAAAATAACAAAATATATTCAGAAACTACAGATCTAGTGATGAAAATCTCTTAAAGTTGTTAATCTTTTGATTGTAGTCACGAGTTTTAGTGGTTTTGGACTTTTTACTTTGTATTTAGGTTTCAGTAGTTAAGCTTTGTGTACTTTTGTAGTCTTTTATTAATTAGGTCATTTTTCTTCTTTAATATCTCAAACAGGAAAAGCTTATGCTTTTAAAGTCATATGAAATACCAGGTTTATAAGTCCAATTCCAGTGCTTCTTTCCCTATATGTATACCCCCATTACAGATAGAGAAGTATTTGTAGTTTTTTGACCTAAAAGAGATAATACGACATACAGTGCTAAAAATTAGTATTTTTTTTTTTTTGCAGTAAGGAACACCTGAATACAGGAAGAATGCACAGTTTAATTGTATTTTAATATTCAAGCTGATATTTTCCATAGTCTATCAAAATTATCTATTTTTAAATGGTTTATTACATAACTACATGGTGATGGTAGACTAAAAATGTTTTATTTTTATTGATAAAGTTGTATCAGGTGCATCCTTACTTCATTCAAGGTTCTGCTCAGTTGTCACCTCCTCTTGCCCCTGCTTTATTTTTCTTCTGGAGGAGATGAGCTGTCATTTCATCACATCATTCATTCATCGTGTTGTGTCACATACCTGCTTGTTATTGTAGCACATTTCCATTAGATTGTTGGCACCCTGAGGGCAAGGATTCATCCCTTCTTATTCTTCATTCCACATTTCCAGTCAGTGGTTGGCACACAGCAGGTGCTCAAAAAGAAAAAAAAATAGTTTTTCAGTGAAAGCATGAGTGAATGAATGAATATTCTTACTCAATAAAGTGTTCCTCTAGTATATTGATTAATGTAATCTTATCTTCTAAGTTGGAAGCCTCAAGGTTATACTCAGCTTCTCCACTTTACCTTTTCAGTTCATACTGGTCAGTAAACCTTATCAGTTATACTATCCCAAGGTCTTATGTATTTATTCTCTTTTTTGTCACAGCCCTAGTTTACCCTATGGAATCTTTGACTAGATTTTGACAATAGCCTTTGTCAAAAAATTGTGGTAAATCACACATAATATAAAGTTTACTATTGTAACCTTTTTTTTTTTTTTGGAAAAGGTATAAGACAGGGTCTTGCTGTGTGTTGCCCAACCTAGAGTGCAGTGGCTGCTCTCAAGTGTGATCGTAGTGCACTACAGCCCCAAGCTCCTGGCCTCAAACAATCCTCCCACCTCAGCCTCCCCAGTTGCTGGGAGTACGGGTGTGGGTCACCATGCCAGACTACCATTGTAACCATTTTTTAATGTACGGTTCAGGGGGTGTGAAGGATGTTCACATTGCTGTGCAGTGAACCTCTGGAACTTTTTCATCTTGTGTATCAGAAACTCTGTACCCATTAACAATAAACTACAATGAGGTACCACTTGATACCCATTAGGATGGCTACTATCAACAAACTGAAAAGAGGAAGTTTGGGCAAGGATATGGAGAAATTGGAACCCTTGTGCACTGTTTATTTCCTACTGGTGGGAATGTAAATGGTGCATCTACTGTCTTAATCTGTTTTCTGCTGCCATAACAGAGTCCTGGAGAGTGGGTAATTTATAAAGAAAAGAAATTTATTTCTAACAGTCTGAGGCTGGGAAGTCCAAGAACATGGCACTGGCATTTGGTGAGGGCTCTCTTGCTGTGTTATCCCATGGTGGGAGGTGAGAGGGCAAGTGAGTGCATGTGAGCATTACAGAGACACAGTCCCTGCCCTTACTGTGAGGGTAATAACCATGTGTTGTTATGTACAAGAATGACAGTGCTGTGTAAATTCTTAAGCTTTTTTCTTGTGCTAGTTCTTTTCATTGTTGTCAAAATTAGTTGACTTCTTCACCCAGAGGCTGGTAGTCTATTCATGCAGATTACTCGGTGGGGAAATTTTGGATATAGACTCATCATCAATTCACGTGGCATGATTCAGCAAAAATGAGAGCCTACATTTACATACTTGTCTGGTCTCCTTTCCAGGTGAATTGGAGTGAATATTAACAAATTGGACTAGCTGCTCGTGGTAAACAGCTTGTGTAGTTTTCAGGTTTATGATCTCTGTGTACGGCATAGTAGTTAAGGACAGATGCTAGTGCTGCCGCTTACTACTTTGGATAGGTTAATGAGAATAATAGTAGCTACCCCATGAAATTGTTATGATAACTGATTGAAATGTGTATAAAACTCTCAGTGCCTGGCATGTAATGGTCACCCCCGTAAACGTGTTGCAGGGAAGAAGATAATTGACTTTGGCATCAGAAAGAGTTCAAATACCACCTCAGTACCTCTGTAACCCAGGGCAAATACCTTAATCTATAACCTGAGCTATTGCTATTTCTGCTTCCATGCTCTTACTACTATTACTGCAACTACAAGTCTAACAACTACTGCTACTATGCTGATGACCTTGCCGTTTTCTCCAGGTAGCATCACCGTTATGTATAGAAGGCACCATGTAGCCCTTGTCATTTAATCCTCACAGACTCTGTGAAATAGGTATTATTCTTGACATTTTCCAAATTGGAGTTCTGAGGCCTGTAGTTCCAGCTACTCGGGAGGCTAAGCCAGGAGAATCACTTTAACTTGGGAGGTGGAGGTTGCAGTGAGCCAAGATTGCTTCACTGCACTCCAGCCTGGGCAACAGAGCGAGACTCTGTCACATGAAAAAACAAAACAAAACAAAACAAAACAGGAATCGTAATTTTAAGGCAGACTATGTAAGTACTGTATTTAATCAGGGGAGAATTAGAAATAGAATGCTAATGACAGCCAGTGATTGAGAGACAAAATTATGGCAGCATGGCTCTGTTTGGAGAGGTGTGTCTGGTGAACTCAGAGCAGCCTGAGTGATGATTTCTGGGTTAAGGGAGCAAGACTTTCACACCAATGTGTAATAATTCTAGACGGCTGTAGCCTCTAACCCCTTTAGCTGGGTCTTTCCTACTTTTGCATCCTTCACACCACAGTGAATAAGTCAATGAGTAACTAGCATTTGTCAGACCACTTGTATTCTTTTATATTTTCAAGGAAGAGATAGAGGGTTGGGTGGAGTGTCTGGTAGGGAGACCCGTATACCAGACTAAAGAGCTTTTAGACTCATTCCTTAACAGTGGGAACCATTAGAAGGTTTAAATGGCAGATGACTTAATGTAAGTAGGATCATTTAATGAAGGATAGTCTATTCTGAGGTGATAGTCAAACTTAGTTTGTACTTTTATATTTTAAAGATTCATTTCTGACTTTGACTGCTTCTTTCCTTTGAAATCACTCAGTACCCACATCGTTAGCTCTCTCATCTTGTAACCATATAATAAAGCTGCATTATACAGGCGGCATCTGCTGGGCCAGGGAGAAGTTGAGCCAGAGGAGGCTGGCCTGTGTGTCATTGTGTAAGGAAGGCAGTGTGTGCTTCTACTCCCTTTAGCACTTGCAGATCTCCCTGCACCTCATCCGCTTGGACCCCCGGAGTCTCCTGTTGCTGCTGAACAACTTTGATTTCCACCACCTTGGGGCCCACCCTTCCTGTCCTCACCTCAGGACTGCCCATTTGGGATCTGCCCCTGATTCAGGATCTGCACTATTGTTCGTTTTTTTTCTTCAGTTGTAATCCATCTGTTTTCTTTCTCATTTCTCCACATCCCTATCTGTGGATACCTTAACACTCACAAATCTGATAAAATTATTTTCTTCTATTTCATTACCTATTCAAGAAATAGTGAACTAGGTGCCAAATTCCCTGAAGCCAGGGATCCTGACTTCTTATACTTAGCAATAACTGTTACATTATGTAATCCAATTTAAAAGGAATATATTTAGAGTACGCATTTGGGCCACGTGGAATAGGTGGCCTCTTAGCATTCCTTGAAAGTCATATGTGTGTGTGTGTTTATATATATATATGTGTGTGTGTGTATATATATATATGTAGATAGATCCACTTATGATAGAGATATATATAGATAGGTATATCTATATTTTATATAGACATAAAATTTCAGTAGCTTTTGGGGTACAAGTGGTTTTGGTCACATGGATGGGTTGTATAGTGGTGTGGTTTTGGTCACATGGGTGGGTTGTATAGTGGTGTGATTTTTGGTCACATGGATGGGTTGTATAGTGGTGTGGTTTTGGCTACATGGATGGGTTGTATAGTGGTGTGGTTTTGGTCACATGGATGGGTTGTATAGTGGTGAAGTCGGCGATTTTAGTGCACCTGTCACCTGAGCAGTGTATATTATACCTGATATGTAGTTTTTATTCCTTACCCTCCTCCTAACTTCCCGCCTGCTGAGTCTCCAGTGTCCATTATACTACTCTGTGTGCCTTTGGGTACCCATAGCTTAACTCCCACTTGTAAGTGAGAACATATGGTATTTGATTTTTCCATTTCTGAGTTCTTCACTTAGAATAATGGCCTCCAACTGGGCATGGTGGCTCACACCTGTAATCCCAGCACTTTGGGAGGTGGAGGAAGTCAGATCACTTGAGACCAGGAGTTTGAGACTAGCCTGGCCAGCATGGAGAAACCCCGTCTCTACTAAAAATACAAAAATTAGCCAGGCGTGGTGGCGCTTGCCTGTTATCCCAGCTACTCGGGGAGGTTGAGGCATGAGAATTGCTTGAACCTGGGAGACGGAGGTTGCAGTGAGATCACACTACTGCACTCCAGCCTAGGTGATAGAGTGAGACCCTGTCTCAAAAAAAAAAAAAATAAAAGGCTTCCAGCTCCATCCAAGTTGCTGCATAAGACATTATTTCATTCTTTTTTATGGTTGAGTAGTATTCCATTGTGTATATATATATATATCACGTTTTCTTTGTTCATTCCTCAGTTGATGGGTACTTACATTGGTTCTATATCTTTGCAATTGTGAATTGTTCTGTGATAAACATACGCGTGCAGGTGTCTTTTCCTTTGGGTAGATACCCAGTAGTGGGATTGCTGGATTGAATGGTAGGTCTACTTTTAGTTCTTTGAGAAGTCCCCATACTATTTTCCATGAAGGTTTTACTATTTTACTTTCCCCCCAGCATTGTATATGCGTTCCTTTTTCACTACATCCATGGCAACATCTGTTGTTTTTTTTGACTTTTTAATAATGGCCACTCTGACAGGTTAAGGTGGCATCTCATTGTGGTTTTAATTTGCATTTCCCTGATGACTAGTGATGGTGAGCATTTTTTCATGTTTGTTGGCCATTTGTAGATCTTCTTTTGGGAAATGTCTATTCATGTCATTTGCCCACTTTTTGATGGAATTATTTGTTTTTTTCTCACTGATTTGTTTGAGTTCCTTGTAGATTCTGGATATTAGTTCTTTGTCAGATGCATAGTTGCAAATGTTTTCTCCCATTCTGTTGGTTGTCTGTTTACTCTGATGATTATTTCTTCCGCTGTGCAGATGCATTTTAGTTTAACTAGGTCCCATTTATTTAGTTTTTGTTCCATTTGCTTTTGGGATCTTAGTCATAAATGCTTTGCCTTTGACAATGTCATAAAGTTTTTCCTAGGTTTTCTCCTAGAATTTTTATGGTTTCTGGTCTAGATTTAAATCTTTGATCCATCTCAAGTTGATTTTTGTGTATGGTGAGAGATCTAGTTTCATTTTTCTACCTGTGGCTATCCAGTTTTCCCAGAACCATTTATTGAATAGGAGGTTCTTTCCCCAGTTTATGTTTTTGTATGCTTTTATGGAAGGTTAGTTGATTGTAAGTATTTGGCCTTATTTCTGGTGTTTTTATTCTGTTGTATTGGTCTGTATATCTAGCTTTATATCAGTACAATCCTGTTTTGGTTACTATAGACTTGTAGTATAATTTGAAGTTGGAGTAATGTGATGCCTTAGAATTGTTCTTTTTGCTTAAGATTGCTTTGGATATTTGGGCTCTTTTTTGGTTCCATATGAATTTTAGGATTATTTTTTCTAATTGTATGAAAAATGATGTTGGTATTTTGATAGGAATTGCATTGAATCTATATATTGCTTTGGGCATATGATCATTTTAATAGTATTGATTCTTCTAATCCATGAGCATGGGATGTATTTCCATTAGTTTGTGTCATCTGTGATTTCTTTCAGCCATGTTTTATAGTTTTCCTTGTAGAGATCTTTCACCTTCTTGGTTAAATATATTTCCAGGCATTTGATTTTTTTTTTTTTTTTTTGCAGCTATTTTAAAAGGGACTGTGTTCTTGATTTGTTTCTCAGCTTAGTTATTGTTGATGTATACCAGTGCTACTGATTTGTGTACATTGATTTTGTTACCTGAGACTTTACTGAATTCATTGATCAAATCTAGGAGTCTTTCGGTAAAGTCTTTAGGGTTTTCTAGGTATATGATCGTATCATTGGCAAACAGAGATAGTTTGCCTTCCTTTTTTCCAATTTGGATGCCCTTTGTTTATTTCTCTTCCCTGATTGTTCTGGCTAGACCTTCCAGTGTTATACTGAATAGAAGTGGTGAAAGTGGACATCCTTGTCTTGTTCCAGTTCTTAGGGGCAATGCTTTCATCTTTTTCCCCATTAAGTATGAGGTTGGCTATGGGTTTGTCATGTGTGGCTTTTACTATTTTGAGATATGTTCCTTCTATGCCCAGATTTTTATCATAAAGGGATGCTGGATTTTGTTGAACGTTTTTTCTGCGTCTATTGGGATGATCATATTTTTTTTGTTTTTAATTCTGTTTATGTGATGAGTCACATTTACTTGGGTATGTTGAACCATCCCTACATCCTAAGATGAAACCCACTTGATTATGGTGAATTATCTTTTTGCTGTGCCGATGGATTCAGTTTTCTAGTATTTTGTTGAGGATTTTTGCATCTGATGTTCATCAGGGATATTGGTCTGTGGTTTTCTTTTTTTGTTATGTCCTTTACTGCTTTTGGTATCAGAGTGATACTGGCTTCATAGAGTGAATTAGGTTAGAGTTAGGTAGGATTCTCTCTTTCTCAACCTTTTGGAATAGTTTCAGTATGATTGGTGCCAATTCTTTGAATGTCTGGTGGAATTTGGCCATGTATCCGTCTGGCCCTGGGTTTTTTGTTTTTTTGGCAATTTTTGTTATTGATTCAATCTCACTGGTTGTTACTGGTCTGTTCAGACCTCCTATTTCTTTCTGATTCAAGCTAGGAGGGTTGTACGTTTCCAGAGATTTGTTCATTTCCTCTAAATTTTCTTGTTTGTTTGCACAAAGGTATTCATAGTGTCCTTAAATGGTCTTTTGTATTTCTGTGGTGCCAGCCATAATGTCTCCATTTCCGTTTCTATTTGAGCTAATTTGAATTTTCTCTCTTCTTGGTTAATCTAGCTAATGGTCTATCGATTTTATTTATTTTTTCAAAGAACCAACTTTTATATTTTGATCTTTTGTTTCGATTTCATTTAGTTCTGCTCTGATCTTTGTTATTTCTTTTCTTTTGCTAGCTTTGGGTTTGGCTTGTTCTTCTTGAGACAGGGTCGTGCTGTGTCACCTAGGCTGGTGTGCAGTGGCACGATCACTGCAGCCTTGACCTTCCTGGGCTGAAGTGATCCTCCCATCTCAGCCTCCCAAGTAGCTGGGACTACAGGCATGCACCACCATGCCTGACTAATTTTTTAATATTTTGTAGAGACAGTATTTCACCGTGTCGCCCGGGCTGGTCTCAAACTTTTGGGCTAAGCAATCCTCCTGCCTTTGCCTCCCAAAGTGTTGGGATTACAGTTGTAAGCCACCACACCTGGCCTAGTTGGTTCTGTTTCTCTAGTTCTTTGAGGTATGATGTTAGATTGTCAACTTGTGGTCTTTCAGACTTTTCGATGTAGGCATTTAGCACTGTAAACTTTCCTTTTAGCACTGCTTTTGCTGTATCCCAGAAGTTTTGATAAATTATATCTCTGTTATCATTTATTTTGAATAACTTTTAAATGTCCGTCTTGATTTCATTGTTAACCCCCAAATCATGCAGGAGCAGCTTGTTTAATTTCCGTGTATTTATGTAGTTTTGAGGGTTCCTTTTGGAATTGATTTCTAGTTTTATTCTATTGTGGTCTGAGAAGATACTTGATATAGTTCTGTCTGTCTGTCTATCTATCTATATCTATCTATCTATCTATCTATCTATCTATCTATCTATCTATCTGAGACTGAGTCTCGCTCTGTTGCCCAGGCTGGGGTGCAGTGGCACGATCTTGGCTTACTGTAACCTCTGCCTCCTGGGTTCAAGTGATTCTTCCGCCTCAGCCTCCTGAGTAGCTGGATTACAGGCCCCTGCCACCACGGCTGGCTAGTTGTTTTTGTATTTTTAGTAGAGATGGGGTTTCACCATGTTGGCCAGGCTGGTCTCGAATGCCCGATCTCAGGTGATCCCCCATCCTCGGCCTCCCAAAGTACTGGGATTTCAGGTGTGAGCCACCACACCCAGCCAATATATTTTGATTTTTAAAAAAATAAATTGAGACTTGCTTTGTGGCCTGCCATGTGGTCTGTCTTTTCTTAGGTCTAGTAACTGTTTTGTGAATCTGGGAGCTTCAGAGTTAGGTGCATATATATTTAGGATTATAATATCTTCCTGTTGGATCGATCCTTTTATCATCATATAATGACCTTCTTTGTCTTTTTTTTACTGTTGTTGCTTTAAAGTCTATTTTATCTGACATAAGAGCTGTTCTGCTTGCTTTCGGTTTCCATTTGCATGAAATATCTTTTTCCACCCCCTTTACTTTGATTCTGTAAGATTCCTTATGTTTTAGGTGAGTCTCTTGAAGACAGCAGGTATTTGGTTTGTGATTTTTTTTTTTAATCCATTCTGCCAATCTGTATCTTTTAAGTGGAGCATTTAGATGATTTATATTCAATGTTAATACTGAGATGTGAGGTACTATCCCAGCCATCATGTTGATTGTTACCTGGATATTTTGTGTTCTCCATTGTGTTACTGTTTTATAGGTGCTGTGCATTTTGTGCTTTCAAGAGGTTCCATGCTGGTGCCTGTCGACCTTTTATTTCAAGCTTTAGAACTTTTAGCCTCAATTTATTTTTAAAGATTATATATAAATAAGGGAAAACAGAAATTCTCTAATACTGTGCTCAACTGAGTGGACCGTGTATTAGTTTTATTTTGGATTAATTATTGTCACAAGAAATCTGACGTTTTAGGAGTTTTGAGAATTGCTAAGGTCTGTAGGTGATTTTTCCAGACTGATGATATTTCCCATCATTTGGCCACAGTACAGGAAGCGTTTGCTATAGTTTTATTTCTTACTTGAAGCAGTAAATAATTTAAATTTTTTTCTTGGTAAGAAATGTTCCATGCCTAATTTGAGTGTATTTACCCTTATTTGCTAATAAGCAGTTTAGATGTTCGTACCCTGTCTTCTATAGAAATTAGAATTATACGTATAATCCCAAATCAAAATGTAATTTTGAGCAAATGTGCTAATTGATTTATGCTAGACAGATTGACCTATGTGTGATTCATTTTTCCTAGGAGAAGGAAAGAGATGGTTGAAAAGAAATATTTATTTGGTAACTTATATATTGATGTAAAAATGGCACAGTCTTGGTCTTCAGATTTGTGTTTGTGTAAACTAAAATAAATAGTAAAGTTTCACAGTAAAGACTACCAAATGAGTGGTTAAAGCACCTGGCTCAGGGCACAGATTGAATCCTAGCTTAGACTCTCAGTGGTTTTGTGACACTGGACAAGTTAATTAACCTCACCAAGCCTTATTTACCCACCTTTAATGTGAAACTAATGGCAGTACCTGCCTCATGGAGTTTTTGTGAGGATTAAGTGATACAATGTGTGTAACATGCTTAGCTCCGTAGAAAATGGTGAATGAATGTTAGCCCGTTTCACTTTGCTGTTGCTAGTGTCGTCGATGTGTTCATACAAAAAACTGAGCATGTCTAAAATGTCCAATTATTTTAATGTTGAAAGTAATGGACATAAAAGGTGCATTAAGCAATTCTAGTTTCTGTGGCCAAGACACATCAAAGAAATGAAGAATTTAAAAAATAGGTGATTGATGAAGATTAACTTTATTCATGTTTTTCCTAGCTAGACATTAGAAGCAAGGTAAGGAATTTAAAATAATAATATTCCCTTAAAGTTGCTTTCCTAGGTATTTTTAGCATTGTATAATTTAAGTATTATAGATTCATGCAGAAATCCTTTATGTTTTACAGAGTTACACTGTTAGACCTTATGATAGCCAAGATAACGAGTGATGAGCCACTCACCAAGGATGACATCCCTGTGTTTTTGCGGCATGCTGAGTTGATTGCAAGCACCTTTGTGGATCAGTGCAAGACTGTGCTCAAGCTGGCCTCTGAGGAGCCTCCTGATGATGAGGTAAGGGAGGCAGATTTCCCAATCTCGGGTAAAAGAGAATGGACAGATTTTCTAACTCAGCCAAGTCCTGTATGAGAATTCTTTTTTAAAAGCTTTAAAAAATATTATGTAAGTAATGTATCCATATATGAGAATAGTTGGAAAATTTAGATAAGGGAAAACAGTGTCCTTATTCCTACCATCCAGAGTCAATGACTTAGGCAAATTCTGGTTAATTTTCTAGACAGATGACATCAGATACATGCACACAGACGTAGACATGTGCACATATGTATCTATTAAAAGTGGAGCCTTTCTGTGCCTTCTGTTTGCAGGTTCCCATTTTTTCTTCGGAATGTAAGCTCTAGGAGGGCAGAAATTTTGACTGTTGTGTCCATAGTACTATGTATATGGTAGGCACTGAACAAGTATTTGCTGAATGAATAAATAAATAATACATTGTAAATGTCTTTTTAAATAAATGCCAACATAGGCTGGGCACGGTGCCTCACACCTGTAACCCCACTTCTTTGGGAGGCCAAGGCGGGAGGATCGCTTGAGCCCAGGAATTCCAGATCACCCTGGGCAACATGGTGAAACCCCATCTCTGTAAAAAATACAAAAATTAACTGGACATGGTGGCACATGCCTATAGACCCAGCTACTTGGGAGGCTGAGGTGGGAGGGTCACTTGAGCCCAGGAGGTTGAGGCTGCGGTGAGCCATGATTGCCCCACTGCCCTCCAGCTCGGGTGATGCAGTGAGACCCTTGTCTCAAAAAAAAAAAAAAAAAAAGCCAACATAACATTTCAAGTAAAGAATTTCCTATTTATTTGTCCAAATCCCTGTAGTTGGACATTTAGGTTGTTTGTTTGTTTGTTTTGAGACAAAGCCTTGCTCTGTCGCCCAAGCTGGAGCACAGTGGCACAATCTTGACTCACTGCAACCTCTGCCTCCTGGGTTCAGTCAATTCTCCTGTCTTGGCTACCCAAATAACTGGGATTATAGGTGCACACCACCACCATGCCCAGATAATTTTTGTATTTTTGGTAGAGACGGGGTTTCGGCATATTGGCCAGGCTGGTCTTGAACTCCTGACTTCATGTGATCTGCCTGCCTCGGCCTGCCAAGGTGCTGGGATTACTGGCATAAGCCACCACATCTGGCAGTAGGTTGTTCTTATTTCTACTTATTTTAGATAATACTGTAGTACATGCCTTTATAGTTACATCTTTGCACATTTCCACAGCTGTTATCCTAGGACATAATCTTAGAAGTGAAATTGCTATGTATAAGGATATCACATGTTTAAAGCTCTTGATACATACTTCCAAACTGCTTTCTAGACAGTTTGCTTCTTCTCTTCTTTATAGGAGATTCCTAGTGGTATACTGTCCTGGTTAATTATTTAAACTATTTTTTATTCTCCTTAAGCCTACCTTAGATCATTCAGGTCTTGTTTTATCAGGGCGTGGAAGGGAGCTTATGTTAATTCTCTATCCCTTGTCTTTACTTCAGAACTTCCTGTTTTTATCTATTCTCCCTTTCTTCTGTCATAAAGTTAGAATTGTTCTTTCTCTGGACCACTCAGCTGTAAAAAGGGATGCACTTGTGATACAACAGGGAAGAATCTCAGAAGTGCTGAGGGAGAGAAGCCAGACAGACTAGAAAACATGCTGGCTGATTCCATTTCCGTGGGATTCTGTAGCAGGCCAGATATATCGGTCATGACAGAAAATAGATCAGATGTCACCTGGGTCTGGAAATGAATGAGTGGAATTGATTGCAGGGGAACACGAGGGAACTTTCTGGATAGTAGAATGTGGCACTTAGCTGTATACCTTGACACAACTTTGTACTGTATGCTTAAGATGGGTGTATTTCATTGCATGTATATTATACCTCAATAAAGCTGATTTAAACAATAAAAGATGATAGAGAGTTCCTTTGTATGCTGATATGAATGGTCAGGTAGAGAGGGAGTAATTGATGCTGGAATCACTGTTGGCAAATGGGCAACACTGGAGGAGAGGGATTGGAATCCAGAGTGGATACTCATCCACTGTCCACAGGCGGGAATGTAGAGAATGTGATCCGATACTGTGAAACTGTTAACTCCTGTTGTAAATGCAGCTCATGGCTATGACTGCTCGCCCACGAGAGTGTATTTCCTTTTTTGTGAATATACTTTCGTTCAGGACCATTTTGATATTGATTTTCTGTGCTTTGTCATATAGACCATGTTAGATCTTACTAATCATTTCGTTAACTTTAGTTCTCATTTTCTGTGATAGGAAAGAAAGGTCTTTATTCAGGGGCTTGCGTTTACTTTCTGGAGATAGATTTGCCTTTGTTTCCAGCAGGAGGAGCAGTGAGTCATGCTTAAGAAAAGTTTTAAAAATTCTCTAAGAGACAGAGAAAAGACAGATCACAGCTTTAAACTTTTCAGGGCACTTCTGTTTAAAATATAGGTGATTTCAGTATTGTAGTGAGAAATTCCTGGTGTAACTTTTCATATTTAGGAAAACTTCTATTTTTCCTTTGGACTTTTTTCTCTAAGATGGGAAGTATTTTTATATATTAATGGAATGGAAAGTTGTAGACTGGGAACAGTGGCTCATGCCCGTAATCCCAATACTTTGGGACGCCAAGGCGTGGGAGGATTGCTTAAGCCCAGGAGTTGGAGACCAGCCTGGGCAACATAAGGAGACTCCATCTGTACAAAAAAAAAACACAAAGAATTAGCTGGGTGTGGTGGTGTGTGCCTGTGTTCCTAGCCACCGGTGAGGCTGAGGTGGGAGGCTTGCCTAAGCCCAGAAGATTGAGGCTGCAGTGAGCTGTGATTGCGCTACTGCATTCCAGCCTGGGGAAGAGTGAGATCCTGTCTCCAAAAAAAAAGAAAAAATTGTAGGCAGTTTTCTTTTGCAAAGCCAAATTAATTTACTTTTGGAAGTTTATTGAGCTATACATTTATGACTTGTGCGTATTAATGCACATATGTCATACTTTTTTTTTTTTTTTAAAAGAGGACCACTTTGCCAGTATTTAAATATGCCAAAGACCAAGTGCTATACTGGAGCTGGCCTGTGGTGACTTCTAAGAGTTGATTATTAAGTGCTTAGAAATTTGTGAGCTGATTGTTAAATTGTTGGTACCTTGAAATCATCCATGGTGGAAGTAGTTGTGCCATGGAAACCAGCAAATGCTACAAATCAGGGTTTTCCACCTGCCTCTTCCACCCCAGCCATTCTTCTGCCAAACCACTGCATTTACTCATTGGTGATCTTTTTAGGACAAGATAGATATTCAGTAAAGTTCTCAATGCTATGACTGAAAAGTGAGAATGGAAACAGTTGTATTTATAGCATGTGTTTTTTAATTTATGTAATTGTTTGGCTTTAAAATCCCAAGGTTTTCTTCATACGTTTCTTTATAAAAATAGTTTTGGGTTCTCATGTTAATGTACTTATTCCTGTCTTTTGATATATTTTGTATACTTGTTTCCAGTTTTTGATATATTTTTGTCAGTTCAGAATCTTGTTCACTTGTAGCAAGCCTTGCCTTTTCTCTGAAAGCTCAAAAAACATTCCTTTTAGCTTTGTATTTTCTGATATCCATATATTACAATAATTGTTGCCAGGTTGTGGGATTTGCATTCTGTTTTAATCTTTGCAACCCCAGGTTAGGCCATACTGTAGTACCTGTTATGCAGTAGGTATTACATATTTAATTACATAATACATATTTAATACATATTCTACAATAAATAGTGTATTTTTTCCACATATTAAGGGCTTAAATTTTTGTATTACGCAAATAATGCTTGCTTTGTTGTTAAAAATTATTTAAGCTGAAGTCAGTGAAACATAAAGTTACAAAGTTTCAGCCAGGCGTGGTGGCTCATACCTGTAATCCCAGCACTTTAGGAGGTCGAGGTGGGCAGATTGCCTGAGGTCAGGAGTTTGAGACCAGCCTGACTAACATGGTGAGACCCCCGTCTCTACTAAAAATACAAAAATTAGCCGGGTGTGGTGGCGGATGCCTGTAATCCCAGCTACTCGGGAGGCTGTCCCAGCTACTCGGGAGGCGGAGGCAGAGAATCACGTGAACCCGGGAGGCGGAGGTTGCTGTGAACTGAGATTGTGCCATTGCACTTCAGCCTGGGCGACAGAGCAAGACTCCCATCTTAAAAAAAAAAAAAAGTTACAAAGTTTTCCCCTTTTTGCCCAGCCTCCATTTGTTTTCTATAGATCTGCATATCCTTTTTTTTTTGTTTTCTTTTCAAAGGTCTTTTTTTGTATATACACACCTATATGTTTTTTGTTTTCATTTTTTGCACTATTCTTCAACTTGCTGTTTTTACTTATGATGTAACTTGTACATCTTTGCACTTTAGCATGTGTATATTCATTGTATGTTTTTAATAGTTGAATAATATTTAACTATATAGACTCATCATAATTTTTTCATTTGTTCCCTATAGACTTTCCAGCTGCTTTCAGGTTGCTTTTTTTTTCTTTTAACCTTTACAAATAATGTTATAGTGAACATCCTTGTACAAATTTCGGTTAAGTAAATCAAATCCAGGTTATAAATTCCTGGAGTTGAATTGCTGGGTTGAAGAATTATGTGTATTTAAAAACTTTAGAGAGATTTCTAAGTTGCACATCAGTGCAACACAAGATTGCACGAGTTGCCTTTTGCAGATCTGATTTAATTACTATTTCTCGTTAATGTTTTTCAGTGACCATTATGTTTGTTTTTGCATATTAGGTTACTCTTTAAAATGCATTTATTAAAAAGCATTTTCTGGAAATTAGTCTTTCTGTCATACATACAGTAAACTATTGTTTACGTAATTTTTGTTTGAATTTATTTCTGATGTTCTGTTAGCCTTGTAGTCGTTTTTTGTTTGTGTTTAATCTAGTTGAGGTTATCAATTTTATCCTTCTGGCCTCTGGATTTTTTTTTTTTTTTTTGACAACTGACAGCCAAGAAGATTTTTGTTTGTTTGTTTGTTTTTTAAGTAAATTCTCCACTTAGATTGTGGAAATACAAACCTACATAGTCTAGTTCTTTCAGTACTTAGTTCTCATTTTTTATTTATCTAGAATTTATTTTTGAGTAAGGAGTGAGTTATGGATCCAAATGAATTATTTATGTCTTTTGACTATCCAAGATTATAAAATCTTTTGGTGTGAGACTGACTGGGTTTGAATCTTGATTTCTTCTGTTACAGGCATATGATCTTGGAAAAGTTACTTAGCCTCTCTCTGCCCTTCTTTTTCTTGAAATGGGTTATATTATTATTATTATTATTATTATTATTATTTTGAGATAGAGTCTTGCTCTGTTGCCCAGGCTGGAATGCAGAGGTGTGGTCTTGGCTCACTGCAACCTCCGTCTCCCAGGTTCAAGCGATTCTCCTGCCTCAGCCTCCTGTGTAGCTGCAGGCACCCACCACCATGTCCGGCTAATTTTTGTATTTTTAGTAGAGATGGGGTTTCGCCTTGTTGGCCAGGCTGGTCTTGAACTCCCGACTTTGGGTGATCCACCCGCCTCGGGCTCCCAAAGTGCTAGGATTATAGGCATGGGCCACCGTGCCCGGCCAGGTTGTATTTTAATATAAACATTTAATATACAGATTGGTACATAGTTAATGTTCCCTAAATGTTATCTGTTATTATTTCAGTACCATTTAGTGAATAATCTTATCCTTTCCACTAATTTTTTTTTTTTAATTGAGACAGGGTCTCGCCCTGTTCCCCAGGCTGGAGCGTAGTGGTGCAGTCGTAGCTTGCTATATTCTCCAACTCCTGGGCTTGAGGATCCTCCCACCTACCTATATCATATCCTAAATTCTTTTATTTATTTGGATCAATTACTGGTTCCCTCCAAACAAATTGGAGGGAACCAGTAAGATGTTAACAACTGGAGAAGGGAGAATTCAGAGAGGTATGTGTTTATATGCCATAAAGGAACACTGAAATGAACACACAAAAAAATGCAGAAACTGATCTATCAACAAAGTAGTTGCAGTCCAGGCAGATATAACTAATTTGCATTTTAATGGACAGGAATAATTCTGTATTAATATAAGTTTTCTGTAACTTACAAAGCTGTAAAATTGCTCAAAGATACGAAATGACAGTGTTAACTGAGACAGGTGAGCTAGACAGGAGACTAATCTTTTTTTTTTTGCTCACTTCAAAATCTTTCACGATGTTCCCTTCATTTGCTTGTCTTTTTTTTTTTTTTTTTTTTTTTGCCCTAGTGCCTGATTTAATTAATATTAGTTTCATAAGACTTTTAAATATCTGGAAGGGCATTTTACTCATTAATCTTATTTTTTAAGACAGTAATTTTTCCTGGCTGTTCTTTCGTTACTAATTTCCAGATGCTCATTAGAAACACTTTCTTAATAAAATGATTTTAATGAGTAAAATTGTGAATGTGTTAGGTGGGGATAGATTAATTTTCTTTTAGGTTTATTTTAGTTAATATCATAGAATTTAAGAGCTGGAAGGAGACTTCCAGTTCATCTCTTCCAACCTCTAATTTTATTTCTGTCATTTTAACGTGGAAAATTTCAAACATAGACTAAGAAGAAAGTGTACTTATACTCCATATGCCATCCCCTGGCTTCAGCAGCTTCCCCTTCATCACCATTCTTCTTTCCTCCACAGTTCCACTCATTCTTATGCCAGTTGCCGTGGACTGAATCAAAGCTCCAACATATTTCATCAGTTACTCTAAAAGATAAGGAGTTTTCAGACACAAGTATAATATGAAGAAAACATCTAAAATAACTAATAATAACATTTATTATCAAATAAATAGTATTCAGATTTCCCCCATTGTCTAATAATCTTTTTCAAGTTTATTTTGTTGAAACACCTTACAGATAAGGGCCACCTTATCTGTAACACCTTACAGATAAGGGCAAGTGATTGACATAACTTTACTCCAGTGTATAGGTTCCCCTTTCCTCTTCTTTTTTTCCTCTTTGCTACTTATTTGTTGGAGAAACTGGGTTGTTTTTCCTGTAGACTTTTCTAGATTTTAGATTTTGATGAGTATGTCTTCAGGGTGGCACTTAACATATTCTTCTTTACCTTGCATTTCCTGTGAATGAAAATTCGTTCCAGAGGCATATTCAGATTTGGGTTAGTTTTTTTTGTTTATTTTTTGCAGTAGTGTTTCGCTGTTGATGATACTACTTTCGTCAAGAAGCACATGAGGCTTGGTTGTCTCTGTGATATTAGCAGTCATTAATGATCACCTAGATCCATGAATTCTTTAGGGGTTGCAAAATGGTGGCATTTTAACATTATTGTTCATTTTTTGTTTATTAGCAGGAATATTTTTTAAAGAGAAACTTTCCCTAACCAATTCTTAGGTTCTGTGAGGTACACTGGATGAAGAAAGGCAGGATAAGTGCTCGATTGTTTTCCCTCTTGATTACCAATCTTCAGAATAATGAGTTGGTTTTGTGGCATCATTCAAAGATGACCAGTGAGTTGGTTTGTTTTGTTTTATTTTCATTATGAAGCCATAGCTGTAAAACCGCTTGATTTGTTTTCAGTCCGTTACCGTTGTAATTCTTTCTGATGTTTAATGTGCCACTGCTGGCCGGTGGGAGCCTCATCAAGTTGTTTCTGATTCCGAATTTCTGACATGACCCTAGTAGCCTGTAATAGCGTCTTTGTTGTCTGCTATGACAAGATGTCCAGGGTTACCTTTTGCATGGGCTGTCCCAGGTCTGTTCTTGAAGGAGCAGTGGTATCTCACGATAACAATCTGGGCAGCTACACCTTTAACAAAAGAGGTTGATGAAGCTTTGTGAAATTGATGGAGTTGGTCAAGACTCGTTTTAACATGGTACTACTAATCTAGACTTCTAATCTAGATTTTCCCACTTAACTCTTTAGCAAAAGAAGGCTATGATATAAAATTAAAGATCCAAGACATTAAAAATATGAGTTGTTTTTTGCTATTTATTTTGAGATTTCAGAATACTATATTAATGTATTACCTTTAAATCTCTTAATTAGAAAACAGTAAATACACATTTAGAACTAACAAGGAAGTAATTTGTCTTTCTTTTGAAGAATGTTATCTCTTTTTTTTTTTTTTTTTTTTTTGTTTGAGGCAGAGTCTTGCTCTGTTGCCCAGGCTACAGTCCAGTGGCGTGATCTTGGCTCACTGCAACCTCTGCCTCCTAGGTTGAAACGATTCTACTGCCTCAGCCTCCCTAGTAGCTGGGATTACAGGCACCCACCACCAAGCGTGGCTAATTTTTATATTTTTTTTTACTAGAGACGGGATTTCACCATATTGACCAGGCTGATCTTGAGCTCTTGACCTCAAGTGATCTTCTGGCCTCGGCCTCCCAATGTGAAGAATGTTATCTTTATGGACTAACTTTATAATCTCTGCCACATTTTGTCAAATGATGGGTACTTTAAAAATGGGGTTCAAAATCTATACAAAAGTTACATTTAAAATTTTTGTATAGACTACTTAATGCTATGCAGTTGGTACTGGGTAGTTTCTTGGTCATGCAGTGTATTTGATAAATTATTTAGTAGCTATGTGAAGTAGCATTTTCAAACAGTACTGTCTTTCTAATCTACCAAGATATTGCATAGAAGTTCATATTTACCCAGAAATTATGCAAGTTCTTAAAGCCAGAGTTTTTTCAACCACAGCATTTTACAGGATTTCTGTGGACAAGAAATTAATGTATTTTATGGGATATTTGTATCTTTAAAGTGGAATTTGCATGCTGGGAATGCTTTAAAAAGAAAGTATTTGCATAAATGTCATGTACATAGCTAGTAATTTTGAACATTTATTCCACTGTTGGAATGTCTTTTTGCTTGAATAAGAACTTTTCTGACTCTTTGCTCCAAGAAGACACATAATGACACATAATCTTGCATTCTTGATGGCAGATGTCTGCTGTTAGTGAAAATGATGAGTCGTGTACATATTTCATACTTCTGTTTTGTTCTTCATAGTTTTGTTTTTCTCTTTGACTTATTACAAGCACAGACTCTTTAAATTTATTGAAATATTTTATTCTCTTACAGTTATTTATAACAGTTAAATAATTTCTCTTAAAATATGCTAAAAAGTTATGTTTTCTTTTCTTTCTAGGAGGCACTGGCTACAATTAGGCTTCTCGACGTCCTGTGCGAAATGACTGTGAATACTGAGCTGCTCGGCTATCTGCAGGTTTTCCCTGGCTTGCTGGAAAGAGTGATTGGTGAGTGAAATATCACACATTGTATTTTTAGCTAAGAAATCTTTGGCTTGTCATACTGTAATATAAATCCAAATACAAATCCTTAATTTTCAGTGTACTTTGGGAATTTTGTGAATATATTTTTTTGAGAGGAATCACAGTGTTGTAACAGTTCAGGCAGGCCAGATAAACCTGAGCCCATGTGTTTGTTCAGCCACTTCCCTTCTGTTAACTGAAGATTCCTTCTCAGTAATGTGAGGATAACAATGCCTGTTATGCATATAGTAGATGTTTCATCAATATAGGATGTGATGAAGAAGGTGGGGCAGGCAGGTTTGCGATGATGATTGTGGTTTTATATTACTATAGCTTTGTAAAATGTGGCAGTAAATTTTTCCCATTTACATTTAGTGAACACATAGAATGGTGTTTTATACATATTATATATACAAATCTTATGAGAAAAAGGTTTTAAACAAGAAACCATTGTTAAAAGTATTACCAACCTTGCTAAAAAGCTGTTTGCAAAATAATTCAAGTAGAACCTGTTCCTTGTGGCTAGCCATGCTTAGGTTTGCTGTTCATTATTTGCAATTTTTTCCTTTAAAAAGATGATACTTACTCTGGAGACCAGTGTCCTGAGAAAGATGACTTTGTGTCTAGCAGTATAGATGAGCTAGCAGTCAGCTGTAGAGGAAGATCCTTAGAATTCCTCATCAGTGTTGTATTTTGAGTACATTGCTTTTAGTGATAATTTAAATAAAACACCACAAACCTAGCACACTTGAGTGATTATGGAAGGAGCCTGAGTTTGGAGCCAGGGTCGATGTGGGTTGCCATCCCAGCTCTGCCAGGTGCCAACTTTTCTGAGCCTGTTGTTTTCTTCATTATAAAATTGGGAAAGTGATACCTTCCTGTATAGGTTTGTTGAGAGGGTTAAATGAGATAATGTGGAAACACTGAAATGCAGTTCCTGGAAGATTGTCTGTTTTCATTGGCTGCCTGGAGGTGCTCATAGAGTAGAGCAGTGGTAAGTTCTTTCTCCTGAATGTAGCTGGAGTGAAGTATAGAGAACATATGCTGGCTTCTGATGATTTGGCCAGTTGGATGAGGGAAAAATAAGCACTCTTCTTGGTTTCTGTCATATGCATCATTATGGATAGATATTGTGTTTTAGACTTCATTGACTGAAGTTATTAGAAAAGTTCTTTCATAAAGAAGTTGAGATTGGAAACCTTTTTGTAAGAAGGATGCTAGCAAACTTTTAGCTAACTTTTTTTGTAGATAAATAGAAACTCTGAGTTGGGGTAGTCATTATGGCTTATCTCCCCAAAACTAGAGTCAAAAAATTTAAAGCAAAGGCAGAAGAGCCTTCTAATCATTTTTTGAAGCAAAGGCAGAAGAGCCTTGTAATCATTATTTAAATAAAGCTTTCTGTGCTCTACCTTTAGCCTATTACAATAAATTAGATTTGTCTATGGAAAACTATTAGTACAACATACTAAAAGTTACTTTTCTGTGGAAAATGAAGTTTACTCTTTTGGTTATAGATCTTTTGCGGGTGATTCATGTAGCTGGAAAAGAAACCACAAACATCTTCAGTAATTGTGGTTGCGTGAGAGCAGAAGGTGACATCTCCAATGTGGCCAATGGGTTTAAGTCTCATCTCATTCGTCTGATTGGAAATCTGTGTTACAAGAATAAAGATAACCAAGACAAGGTAAGAGGATTTCTTAGTATGTATTATACATGTATGGCTTCATTTAGAATATAGTCCTTGGAAGACATTCACTCTTTTGGAGTGAAAGCTTGAGGTGCTTAGAAAGTAGCTTGGATAGAGAGATATATATTTTATATGAATACACACACACACACACACACACACACACACACACACACACATATATATACACACACACACGTGTGTGTGTGTGTGTATATATATATATGTATATGTTAATATATAGGCTCTTTGGAGCCTAGACAAATTTCTAACACACAGTAGATATTTAATAAACACTAGTTATTATTGCCTATTATCTTAAAAAACAAAGCTTAGATCTATATCCTATGTTTATGGACGATAGCATCATAAGCCTTTTCTTCTAGATGTTTTAAAATGGATATAAAAGGAATATAATATTTAAGTATGAAGTCTTTGAGGACCTAGTAGGCTGCTTTTAGAAACCTCTTATGTGCAGAAGAGCTTAAAGGTAGTTATATTGAGAATGTGAGAGAATGGTAAGAAAGATCTCAGGGCAGTTGGACCACATGCTTCAGATTGATCTCGCCTTTCTGTATTTTTCTGGAGTTTTACTTCGGGTGGCATTTGATTTGCTTAGTTAAATATTAATTAAATTTCTGCCAGATTATATTTTTCTAAGATGGTGGCAGAATGTCTTGCATTGTACATGTGTGTCTGCAGTATGACTTTGCCACTCCCCTGTCGAGGGTTGGCATCTATTTCTCCATCCACTTGAATCTGGGCAGGCCCTGTGGCTGCTGTGAGCAATCAAATATGTGATCCTATACCATTTGTAGCATAGCCCTTAACTGGTCTAGCTGATTCTATTTCTGGCTTCTTAGAAGCCCGTCACTATGTAAGAAGTATAGATTCCCAGAGATCACCTTGCTGCGAGTTGCTGAATACACATGGAAAAGCCCTGGAAGATAAGATACAATGAGGAGAGAGGAAAGGTCTGGTGAAGGAACATCAAGGCATGAGATGTGTGCGAGAAACCATCTTGGGAGTAGATCCATCCTCAGTTTCTTACTTGCCCAGCTGATGCCACATAGATCAGGGCCCCCCTACTGGGCATAGTCCTTCCTGAATTTATGACCCATAGTATTATGAGAAAAAGTAAAAAATAGAAAAAAAAAATAAGGGATATAGGTCCTGCTTCAGTTAGTAGCCCAGTCAGTTACTGTTGGACTGATCCTTCTTCAAATAGCAATTATAAACTTTGGACAAAAAATAGCCATGTGAAGACACTCGAATTTGACACAAACGGGCAGATTCTGGAGTGAAATTGATGCTTGGAAGAAGGGAATGACACAGTGTGTGGCATGCAGGGCAGTGAAAAGTCAGTTACAAAATCTTCCGTCTTTCTAGCTTGAAGAATCAAAGAACAGTTTGAGGGCAACCATGGCATTGGAAAGTGAGGGGGGAATTGTGGAAAGTAGAAAACAGACCCCAAACTCTGGGTGTCAGCTACCTAAATCTCTGCTAATGGCTGAATCACACGTGTGGGGCAGGCTCCAGGCAGCTAAGCTAAGGATGAAGTCATTGTATTGAGATTTGAGCTCCCACCCTAGAGTTTATAGTATTAAGTCCAACTTACACTGTAGATAATTAATAATTGCCCTCTAAAAAAAAAAATCAACACTCTTTAGAGGAATATAATATAATCCAGAATTGCCACAGCATAATGTATCCTGTAATGTCCAGGATACAGTTTACAATTGCTTGACGTTCAGGAAAATGTGACCTGTTCTCAATTGAAAAGATGATCAGCGGAGACTGACTGTGAGAGGACACAGATACTGGGCTTAGCAGACAAGGATTTTAAAGTACCAAATGTAACCGTGCTCAAGGATGTAAAGGAGATACGCTTCATAAGAGTGAAAAGGTGGGATATCTCAGCAGAGAAATAGAAACTATAAAAAAGAACCAAATGGAAATCCTAGAACTGAAAAATACAGTATCTAAAATAAAAAAAAAAAAATACCGAATGTGCTTAACCTCAAGAAAGATCACAGAGGAAAGAGCCAGTACACTTTAAGATACATCAGTAGAAATCATCTAGTCTGAAAAACAAAAGCGGGGAGAAAGATTGAAAATAAAACGGCCGCTTTAGGATGCTAAATGTTAGGGTAATTTGTTATGTAGCCGTTGATAGCTGGAATAATTCCTGTGAGACATGGCGCAGAACCAAACGCTAGACAACTTGCACTTTTAGTATATGGGCGCACCATTTTGGCAATCCTCATCTTCAGGAGAGTGAGACTACTGATTCCCCCCTTGGGAAATTACTGGACTGATTTTTGCAAAAGAAAGTTGATAGCGAATAAAGCACTTTACCTTTTTAATGACCAGGACTGCCTTTCTTGAGCACAAAAGAGGTGGTTTTTCTTGTGTTTAACTATTCTTTTGTTGCTAATTTGGACTGGCCTCTTATAGGAACAAAATGCAGTAACCCTTAAAAGGCTTGCGAAATAACTCACTGAAGTCAGGATCAGATTGCACCATAAGTAAATATGGAGTGTGCCCAAGTGCTGCTGTGCAGAGGTCACTGGGGCGCACAGGAAGTCGATGGTGTGTCCTGTCACTTGTGCAGTTGCTAATAGCACTGCTGATTTCTCAGCAAACAGTTTAGAGGGTATGAAGGAGTTCATTCTTTGAGTATCAACTCAAATGCCCTCTGTTTCTCTCAGTTTCTTACGTGTGTCAACAAAAGGCCTGAACCTGAAAGCATTACCTCTGGGATTTTTTTCCTCCTTCCAAAGACCGACACAACGCCGAAATCTTGTTCTGGATGTGCTAGAGTGTTCTTTATTCTTGTAGCCAAATCCTTGTTCCAGCTGGGTGTTACAGATATTTGCCTTGCTCATTGTTGCCTCAAGGGATGGAATTCACTCGCACTCAGATGACTTTGGTTATAGTTTTGGGAAAATGGAATGGATGGTTATGTAGCAGGTCTTTATCACGGGACCAGTAATTCTCAGTGTTTTGTCTTGATGGATTGTCTCACTTCTAACCCAGCTAGGGCTTTAAGGGAAATTTGGCTCTGTCTCTGCTCCAAGACTAAAGATCTGAGTTGGGAGGGATTTCGTATCATCTAGCCTAATTTGGGTTCCTCCTTTGCCCAGAAGACAAAAGGGACTGATGATTTATTGTTTAGTGTTTACTATGTCCTTGCATTGTGCTTAGTGAATTACATATATTATCAACTTTAATCTTTGCATCAGCCTTGCAAAGCAGGTTCTGGTAACCACATTTTAAGGAGAGGCCATCCAGTTAGGTGCAGAGCCCAGGGTAGAATTTGGATTTGTTTGCCTATTGAGTTCCCAGGCCTGTGCTCACTTCCTGCCCCATGGTGAGAACTTGCCAAAAGGTTGGAGAAAAGGGTTTAAAATAGACTTCCTGCAGGACTTCAGGCTGGAGGCTGGTCAGTCTGCGTCTCCTAGGCCAGCCAGGCCCCTTAGACTCCCTCCTGGTTGAAGTTGGGAGCTCTTGGGGGTCCTCTTATCCTTGTTTCTGATTCACCCATTCATCAAATACGAATGTTTGCTGGCTTGGGGATCCTTTGACGGGTAATTCAGGCAAGGTATTAATATCTTCTGTGGAGCTTCCATTCTGGCATCATCTGGGGACCATGCTTGCCTCTTTGAATCAGAATCTCAAAACTACTCATGACACAGATTTTCCTAAAATCTTTGTGTACTGCCTGATTCCTCTGAATTTTGAGCAAGACTCTTTCAAGCCCAACTGTGTCTGTGTTGTCTGTGTAACTTCATCCATTGCAGTGAGTATGGTGCCCACCTGCTGGATGGCCCTCTTACACTTGTGTGGCACTTTCCATTTTCCAGAGCTCTTTTCATCTGCTTTAGTTTGTTGGAGCCTTATGATACCTCTGTGGAAAGGGCTGAAAAGATATTTCCACCATCATTTTCTAAATGAAGAAACCAAGGCCCCGAGACCAAGTGTGATTTAACTCAGCTAGCACTTGCTGAGTGAGAATTGCCGTGTGCTGCATGCTCTGGAGAAGACAGTCGCTTTAGTGGTGGAATGACACATGTCCACTAGGAGCTGTAGCAAAAGTCCGTGTGGTGAGGCCTGTCAGAAAGGAACAGGGGGGTGATGTGTCCTCTGGGCTGGCTGTGCCAGGAGCATTTCTCTCTAAGGACAGGCACTGGACTGCCAGGAGCATGGTATCAACTGGAAGGATGGTCATCTTTCTTTGAGATACTTGTCTTTGGGCAAGATTTAAGAGAATCAAGGTACGTTGCCTCAGATTGAAAATCTGCACAGAAATGTATTTTATCCCAAATTCTCATGAGTCTTTAATGCTTAAGTCTGTACACGTGATAGATGTAGTGTTTCCTGAATTGTAAAGGAATTGCTAGACTTCCCTTTACCTCGTCATGGTAGGGAGGTGTCAAATCCTTACTGACTTCTATTCTTACCTTGTTTTTTTGTTCTCGACTTGTGTAGTATTTCCTTGCTACAACTGTAGTGATTAGTTTACTTCTAAACTTTTGTGGACCTAAATGGAGATTCTGTTTTGGTTTCTATTGTAAGAAGCACAAAGATACTAATGCTATAAACATGAAGAAAGCATTCTTCAGCTTCTTCTTTGTTAGAATAAGGAATGTATGGTTTACCTTTTTCTTCCCTATTCTTCTTCTTTTCACTATTGTCATAACCTCTTTAAGTGAATCTTTATTAGAAGAAAAACCAAACGTTTATTTCATAAAGCTAAGTGCATTTTTCAAATCGGACAGACAGATGATCTAGTTTATCTACCTTCCGCCCGCCAAGGAAATTGTATTGACTAGGATGGGCCATATATCCGTTCTGCTAAAGGTTATGGAACTGCTATTCAGTTTCTTCTCCTCCTCCTTCCTCCTCCCTGATTTAAAATATTCCCAGCAGTCACATACTTGATGATCCCATGTCAAATATATGTGCCTATAAATCTTTTACTATAAGCATACCTTAATTTTAAAGTAAGTCTGTACTGTATGAAAAAGTTCAACATGTAAAGACAAACTTTATTTGGCCCCTTCAGTTCTCAATTTTGAAGGCAGGTTCATTTATATACATAAAATAATCTTTGTAATACATTTTTCGTTAACTTTGTGTTGCTCATCATGTTACTCCCAGCATCTAAATTGTACCTGGCACATAGTAGGCATTCAGTAAATTTTTCTAATTTTTCTTGAATGACAATTTATTTGTAAAATAAATTGAATGTTGAATGTTTACTACATATCAAGTGCACTTTTAGGTTCTGAAGATACACAGCAAGTAAGACAGTTCTTTTCAAGGAGTGTAAATATTACTATACAATTTTCTGACTAAATTTACAAAGACTAGTAAAAATAGATAACTTTTCAAATGAAAATTAATGTTCCTTTAAATTCTGAGTTCTGTATTTTTGAAAGTCTTTTTTTATGTTTGAATATATTCTAATTTACTGTAATTTGCCATCGTTTTATTTGATCCAAATCATATATATTTTAGATTATAAGAACATCTGTATTGTATAATATTTGCAAGTAATTAAAAAATATTTTTTAAATCCTAGGTTTAGGCTTCGTAGATCTGAATGCGGTTTTTTCATTAATCTTAAATAAAATTTAAGACTGAATTTACAGTTGTTAAACATTCATAACATGATCAATTTTTAGTGGGTTTTTTGGTGGGGTGTACTATTTTCCACCCTTTTTGTATCTAGTTGCAAGGAGCCAAGAACAGGCAAATTATTAACTCCTTTATTATTTCCTCCTGTCTGAAATGTTTTCAAGCAGCGTATTTGTCTGTTAAATCATGAAAAACTGAAAAAAAAAGTCTATGGCTATTTCCTAATGATTTTATTTAGGTTGTTGCTCTTAATGAGGATTAGTACCTGTTTTGTACATCAGTACTGGCTGACTTGTCAGTTACTCGGATAATTGATCGAGTGATTGCTCTGCAGAGAAATAAATAAATGCTTAACTAATATGTGTTAGTGTTTTTCTTTTTGCAACTGTAAAATAGGCCGGGGTGGCATGGCCCTTGGTGCTCAGGCAGGGCCAGCTTCTATATTCTCAGCCTATACTAGCACTGTGTGGACTTCCCAACCTTCATACTTTCCCTGAGTGACCTTAACTTGGCCTTCAGAACTCAAGGTCACAGGTACCCTGTTGACCTGTGCAGAAACACTTTCTCTTCTACGCTCCTCACTATACTCTTCTGCCCTCTGCTCACCCCCTGACTTACACTCTACCTATAATCAGTTTCTGTGGGTAAATAGGTTATGGGTTGTTGATTCTGATGCATATTTCAGTATACGTGTGCTGTTGTTTTTGGTTTTACTTAATAAGTGTTTAGTGTGATACACATACGTAAACTGATCACCAGCAGAACTGTGACATATGAAACACTTTATTTGGGTATCACTCAATTTTACTGTAGCAGCCTCCATCCCTTCTTAGTTATACCACCGTTACCACCACTTTTGTCCTTGCTCCTCCCTTGATGTTTTGTCTTTCATGAAACCCATCTCCCAAGGTCTTTCTGGATGATAATGGCTTAATTCACTCTCTTTCCCAGATACATGTTTTTCCTTCTTTATAGGAACCTAACTCTGCCTGTCTAATTGGGGAATTCCAGGCAGGGTATTGAAAATGTCTGGGGGGCCGGGTGCAGTGGCTCAAGCTTGTAAACCCAGCAAGCACATTGGAAGGCTGAGGCGGGAGATTGTTTGAGCTCAGAAGTTGGAGACCAGCCAGACAACATAATAAGACTCCATCCCTACAAAATATTTAAAAATTAGCTGAGTATGTTGATGCATGTTTGTAGTCCCAGCTGTTTGGGAGACTAAGGTAGGAGGATTGCTTGAGCCCAGGAGGTCGAGGCTGCAGTGCACCGTGATTGTGCCACTGTGTTCTAGCCTCGGTGAGGGTGTGAGACCCTGTTTAAAAAAAAAGAAACAGAAAATGTCTGAGCAGTGGGTTCTCCTGTCACTGACTTTTCTGTCATTGCTTGGCTTGTAACATTGGATCCACGTGTGTGCTGTTTATAGAGGAACCTTACAACAGGCAGAGAGCTTATGAGACTTTAGAGTTCAGTAAACTCAGAGTTGCCTCTTAGTTGACCATCTATTAACTGTTTAAATTTGGACAAGTGTCTCAACCTTTCTGAATCTCAGCTTCTTCATGTATAAAATAGGGGCAGTTACACCTCCTTGTGGGGTTGGGAGGATTAAATGTGATCATGTATAGGAAGTATCTCATGTCTGTAATCCTAGTACTTTCGGAAGCCGAGGCAGGAGGATCACTTGAGCCCAGGAGTTTGAGAGCAGCCTGGGCAACATAGTAAGACCTCCCATCTCTAAAAAAATAAAATAAATAGCCGGTATTTCCAGTTACTTGGTGGGGCCAAGGCAGGAGGATCGCTTGAGCCCAGGAGTTTGAGACCAGCCTGGGCAACGTAATAAGACCGTTTCTCTAAAAAAATTAAAAAATTAGCCAGTGCTCCCAGGTGCTTGGGGGGCTGAGGTGGGACGGTTGATTGAGCTCAGTAGGTCGAGGCTACAGGGAGCCGTGATCGTGCCACTGCACTCTAGCCTGGGCAACAGAGCGAGACTCTGTCTTTAAAAAAAAAAAAAAGTATATAATGGATTGCCTTATGTCTCTAACTATAATACTTCCGTGTCCCTCCTCTTACCCTCCCTACCAGTCCCTTTGGAATTGAAAAGATCTAGTTCATTCCAGTGTCTCCCCATTATATGTATTTACATAGAAATTTGTAGACAACATTTCACAAGGATTTGCAAAGTTCAAAGTAAACCTCATATTCTGCATTCTGTGTGTATTACTTTTTCTAATAGATGGGGCTTTATGGAGGAAGTAAAATGAAAACAAATATGAGAACTTTCTTTAGGATGAGAGTAATTTTGATTCTTGTCATAAATGTTTTCTGACTTGAATTTCTCTTATGTTATTATCTAGTAAAGAGCTGAAGTGTTTTCCGCGTGAATTCCAAAATCTGTTCTAGCTCAATTCTGAAAGTATGTTAAGGAACTTTTAAATTACAGGGCATATGTCTTACCTCAATTGGATTGTGCGTTTTTCCTGTGTTTTTCCTCTTGTCAGAAGCAAGTTGCACCAAATCTCAGCTTATTGATTTGAAGATTGAATGTATAGGCAAGATCTGGCTTGCTTAGAATTCCACTTCTTTGTAATGTAATCCCAGATCAAGAAATATGTCAAAATTCATAAATCAAACTGTCACCATTAGTTCCCTGAACTTACAGTTCCTGTAACAGTAAATGAAATTAAAATTCCTATCTAGAGGAAACCTATCATGGTTTAGGTTGTTGCAGCTGTAAAATTTTTTTTAAAAGACTAAAGGATGGTCTACCATTTGACTCCAAAAACCCCTTTTCTATGTCTTGTTCTACAATAATTGACTTATTCTCTTCCAGGAAATGCATAACATTATTTAAAAAGAAGAATGATACTAATTATATAATTGCAATGTAACAGCGTACTATTGTCGATAACCATTACTATTGCAAACTAACTAGGCTCCAGGCCCTTGACCTGTGCTTCATCGTGGAATTCCTACCACTGCATATTCCTCCCTAGGCTTTAAGCGTGAAGGCAGACACATCATATTTGGCTTAACACCTGCCGTAACACTGGGTACATAGTGTAGTGAAATTAATGGACGCTGGATGACTTTGCTTGCTTTACTGGTGAGTCAAGCGTAGAGTAGTTACTTGCTTGGAGCGATAGCAGGCCAAATTCTGACTCCAGAGCCCATACTTTTCCTGTTACCATCCACTGCTTCCACCGTCACCACAAAAGAAGATGTTTGAGACTGGTCCTTTGAAATCTATGACCAAATTTGTGTGACTCTTTGAGGTGGCAGGACATTGTATTACAGCTTTTTCCACAATTCTTACTGAACTTTTTTCATTATCATCTAATGTCTAGTGTTTTAGTAAATGTAGTTTCTTTTTTCTTTCCCTTTCTTTTTTTCTTTTTTAAGAGGTGGGGTCTTGCTCTGTTGCTCAGGCTGGAGTGCAGTGGTGTGATTATAGCTCATTTTAGCCTTGAGCTCATGGGCTCAGGCAGTTCTCCTACCTCAGCCTCCCACATAACTGGGACTGCAGGCATGTGCCACCATGCCCGACTACTAAAAATTTTTTTTTGGTAGAAAAACAGGGTCTTACTGTGTTGCCCAGGCTGGTCTCAAACTCCTGGCCTCAGGCAGTCCTCCTTCCTTGACCTCCCAAAGTGCTCGGATTACAGGTTTGAGTCACCTTACCTGGCCTGAATATGGTTTCTTTAAGGTTCATGTTGAGGGCTACATTTCAGGCACATGCGTATTTCCGAGAAGCATAATTTACCCCATACTGTAGACACAGAAAGGGAGACATTGGGGAAGTAATGTGCTGCCCATGATGATTCCGCAGTTTGTAAAAGTCATGAATCCAGTTTTCCTAACTGCTACTCAGTTTTCTTTACTTACGCCATATGATCAATTTTTAGATAACAGACGTTTTAATTTAATTTAATTTTATTTTTGAGACAGGGTCTTGCTTTTGTCACCCAGGCTGGAGTGCAGTGGTGTGATCACAGCTCACCGCAGTTCTGTGCTCAAGTGATCCTCCCGCCTCAGCCACCCAAGTAGCTGGTACTAGAGGTATGTCACCACACCTGGCAAATTTTTGTATTTTTTTTTGTAGAGGTGGGATTTTCCCATGTTCCCCAGGCTGGTCTTGAACTCCTGAGCTTGAGCAGTCTGTCCACCTTGGCCTCCCAAAGTGCTAGGATTACAGGTGTGAGTCACCACGCCCGGCCGACAACAGTGATTTTAAATGGATTTGTGTTTAACAGTAAAAAACAATTATTTCACAGTATCCAAAAAGAAGAATATCTGAGACTTGGGTGAGGGGAAAACCAGCTGTATAAACTGAGAGCTGTACCTTGTTCCTGTATGGAAGTATGGAATATGGGAAAGATATTAGTTATTTTTAAACTGATTTTTATTACTAGACCAATTAAAATCCCACTGTGAAAAATAAGCCATAATTTTGACTATAAAATGAAAATAATTGAGGAATTGTCATATCAATATTAAAATATACTTTAAGGCTAAAATAATCAAAACAATTTACAAAAGTTTATAGGTTAGTGGAGGCAGACATAGTTTCCAAACAGACCCAGGAGAAGTTATACGAATTTACCATGTGATAAGGATAATCCAGCAACCCGGGGAGAAAAGGAAAGCTTATTACAAAAGCTTGTAAAAAAGCTTATGTAAAGAGTTTTTCTCCATGATAAGAAGAGAACATGCTCCGTTCATTAGTGATTGTAGTAATTCTTTCTTTCTTCTACTTTCCTGTTTTTTTTTGAGACAGAGTCTTGCTTTGTTGCCCAGGCTGGAGTGCAGTGGTGTGATCTCAGCTCACTGCAACCTCTGCCTCCTGAGTTTGAGTGATTCTCCTGCCTCAGCCTCCTGAGTAGCTGGGATTACAGGCATGTGCCACCATGCCTGGCTAATTATTGTATTTTTAGTAGAGACGGGGTTTCACCATGTTGCCCAGGCTGGTCTTGAATTCCTGACCTCAAGTGATCTGCCTGCAGCGGCCTCCCAAAGTGCTGGGATTACAGGTGTGAGCCACCATGCCCAGCCTCTTTGTTCTTCTTTTATACTTTGTACACCTCTTAACCCTTCTTTGGCCAAGATCTGGGGGCTTTAGCAATGACAATTTCAATTATACTTTCAGTTGAAAGATTTTTAAAAGTAAAACGTTAGCATTGGATCTGGAGAATTTTGCTAACTGAGATAATTAATAGCTGGGCTGGTGGTGATAGGGTTTGTGTGTTTTTGAGAGAGAGAGAGAGAGAGAGAGGAAGAGACAGACAGAGATGGAAATATAAAGATCATTCTTCCACTGTTATATGTGTTTTTTCCCCTTTAAAGGAATAGGCATTTGAATTTCCTCTCTGTTGTCAGGTGTTCTGACTTGGGTACATCAGCTCTTACTGAGTGCTTGAATGTTCAGGATTTCTATGACATATCTCAATCTAATGAAAATCTGACTGTGAAATGTCTATATATCTCCCCAGGCTTCGTTTTCTTGGTTAAATGAGAAAAGTGCTCTTATTTCAAATGTTGGAAAGTAGCTCTACCTTTTTCTGGAAAAAAAAAAAAAATAAAAAAAAAATAATAATAATAATAATAATAATAAGATGGGAAATGTCTGTCCCACATCTAAAGCAGTTTTGATCTTTAGCATATTTAGTTTTTTTTTTTTTTTTTTTCCTGGCAGCAGCTGAAAATTAAGAGGATCAAAGTTATGTTCCTATAAAAGACTTTTTTCCTGTCAGTGCTTGAAGGCATTGTCTGACTCCCCCCACCCCCACGTTTTAAAAGCTGATTGCTTATCTTATTCAGGTAGAATTTAATTTCATGCCCATCATATTCTAATAGAACAAAAATGATACTTAGTTTCAGACTGTGGATTTTAGTTTGAATTCAAACCTACTGCTATATTGCAGTTAAAGTTGGGAATATTTTTTACTCCAAATAGAAATGAACGTGCTATTTTGGCATAGTGGTAAGAGCTTGTAGTTCAATTCAACAAGTATGTGTTTGCCATATGCTGTGTACCAGCCAGTATTCTAGACACTGGGAATGCAGAAATGGATTTGGCCTACTGTTCTCTCGAGGAATTCACAGTGTAAAGAAGGAGACAGATGTAGAAACTATCATCTCAGTATCATAGAATAAGTGGTGTGTGACAGGATTGAGAGCCAGTAGAAAAGTACCTAAGTGCTTGGTATAAATGGCTCTACTTGGAACTTCAGGAAGAACCTCCTGGATCCAGGCCTTGAAGGATGAATGAGAAAGAGTTAGGCAGTTAGAGGAGTAGGTCAGCCTTGCAGGCAGTGGGTGAGCAGGTGTGTGGGACAGTGCAGGACCCAGTGGCACCTGAGGGGTTGGGGTTGGGGTTGGGGTTGGGGTTGGGGCTGGGGCTGGGGCTGGGGCTGGGGCTGTGCCAGAGAGCTGGCCCCTTGGCTGCACGATGGGCTCTGCACTCACTGTGGGAACTAAGGGTTAGGCCATTTTCAGCGTTAGTAGATTCCTTATTGTAGCTCTCATTTCTGAGGATTATTTTGTGGTTCTTTTTCAGATCCACTTCTTTTTTTTTTTTGAGACGGAGTTTTGCTCTTGTTGCCAAGGCTGGAGTGCAATGGTGCGATCTCGACGCAACCTCCGCCTCCCAGGTTCAAGTGATTCTCCTGCGTCAGCCTCCCGAGTAGCTGGGATTACAGGCATGCGCCACCATGCCCAGCTAATTTTTGTATTTTTAGTAGAGGTGGGGTTTTCCCATGTTGGTCAGGGTGGTCTTGAACTCCCGACCTCAGGTAATCTGCCCACCTCGGCCTCCCAAAGTGCTGGGATTACAGGCGTAAGCTACCGTGCCCGGCTGATCAACTTATTTTTTATTGTGTTGTCCATCTTCGTCTTGAGTCATTTAAGACACTTATTTTCTCTTGGAGATTGTTTTTATTTCTAGTTTTTAGGGTATGGTTTTTCTCATTTGTTCTCTCTCATTTCCCTCTTCCCTTAACCCCTCCCCTCCTCCTCTCCACCCGCGGTTTCTTTTCCCAGTGATTTTTTTTTTCTGTCTTTTAACTTGATCTCATCTTCTTAGGAGAAACCTTTTTCGGCAGAAGTCCCATAGGTCCTGGCTGTGGACTTGTATTCACAGAGCGATTTGCTTTTGTTTTCATCTCCTCGGGTCCTAGAGGGTCCACTCACCTCTTACCAGCTTTTTTTTTTTTTTTTTTTTTTTTTTTTTTTTTTTTTTTTTTTTTTTTGAGACAGAGTCTCGCTCTTGCCCAGGCTGGAGTGCTATGGTGTGATCTGAGCTCACTGCAACCTCCGCCTCCCGGGATTAAGCGATTCTCTTGCCTCCGCCTTCCTAGTAGCTGGGATTACAGGTGTGCACCACCATGCCCAGCTAATTCTTTGTATTTTTAGTAGAGATGCGGTTTCACTATGTTGGCCAGGCTGGTCTCGAACTCCTGACTTCAGGCAATCCACCCGCCCCAGCCTCCCAAAGTGCTGGGATTACAGGTGTGAGCCACTGCGCCCATCTCAGTTTTTATATTAATATAATTTCTTGACTTGGGATTCTAGTACCACACTGACAATGTGACTCTGGATGCAGTAGCTGCCTGTGATAATGGTCTTCCCTGGTCCCCCACTGAGATGTCGAAGCAACCCAAAACCTTTTTAACTGCTACACAGAGATTTTGATGATGTGGCAGCCTGTGATGGGGTCCCATCCTAGACTAGAGTTTTTCATTCTTTGTCTCTGCCCTTTGTAAGCCAAAAGCCACCTACTTGTTTGCAGTCCTGAAAACTCTAGCCTCCAGGAACCTTGTCCTAGTTGGATCCTGCATGCCTCCACTCTTGTCTGCCTCTCTGGGTTTTATTTCTGGCCTCTGAGAATGATGCTCACACTGCCCAGTGGCAGGACGCAACCTGGGTTCCTGAGCCTTATGGGGTTAAGTGCAAAAGTGAGTCCTGTCAGCTAAGCAGGAGCTGCTGAGAGACGACCCACGGAGGTGGGCTCCAGCAGCTTGGCACGTGTACCTTCGTGGTGCATGGGAAATTTTGATTCAGGTGAAAAAACAGTTTAAATTCTAGGATATTCTTGCTTTCTACCCAGGCAACACCTCACATGTTGACTTAACTTGTGAGTCTCCCTTTCTTCATCTGTAAAGTAGAGATGATTTTACTTCCCTCATACATTTATTGTGAGGATTAAATTACTATTGATGACAGCAGTCACAGTGACCTTCCATGAATGCCTCCTGCATGTGCTTGAGTGGGATGTTTCAGAGGTGTGTTTTGTTTTATCTCATCCTCTTCAGAGCCTGTGCTTACTGTGTCATTCTGCCTCTCTAAGTTAAATGTGCAGGAAAGGCTTCCTCAAAGCCACTCAGTGGTGGGAGTGCTGTCTCAGTAGTCCCGCAAGCCTGTAATCCCAGCACTTTGGGAGGCCGAGGCCAGCGGATCACCTGAGGTCAGGAGTTCGAGACCAGTCTGACCAACATGGTGAAACCCCGACTCTACTAAAAATACAAAAAAATTAGCCAGATATGGTGGCTCATGCCTGTAGTCCCAGCTACTTGGGAGGCTGAGGCAGGAGGATCGCTTGAACTCTGGAGGCAGAGGTTGCAGTGAGCTGAGATCGTGCCACTGCACTCCAGCCTGGGCAACAGAGTGAGACTCTGTCTCAAAAAATGTCTTGGCCCTCCTTGCAACAGGCTCTTGGGCAGGCAGCCACCATGAAGGGGTGCCAAGAGTATGAGAAGCATGAGGTCCATGCCTGTTCCTTCTCTGCCTGTGAGCTGCGAGACCGTCCCTCAACACACAGGACTGACTGGCTGTCTCTCACAAGCCAGCATCCTGGTGCTCAGGAAAGCCAGGTGGCAGGGCATGGGGAAGGAGTACCACCTGTGGCCCTGTGCTGGTCACATGTGTGGCCCTCAGAGGAAATCTCCAACCCTCCAAACGCTTGTTCAGGACTTCCTGTGCCTGCACAGTGCTTGTAAATCCTGCAGCAGTGGCCCATTCAGATAGTCAGAGGTGTGGCCTGATTTCTCCATGACCCTCTATCCTTCCGATATTTTCATCGTGATAGGAATTCCACTTTTAACTTTTCATTTCCTTTAGTTCAGATCTATGTCAAAATGCAAACACACCTTGGAGGGGAAATGTTTTAAGCCCTCATCCTTCTTTTACATACTTGTATGGATGTATTTCTAATCATAACAAACTCTGATTAGGGGGCCTCAAGAGACCAAGGAGGAGCAAGAAGAGGTGTGAAGGTTCTCTGGCCGTTCTGCCTTCTCACTGCCTCCCAGGCTCTGCTCCTTTCCCCTTCCCTCCTCCTGGCCGCACTAAGTTCTGGGGTTGGTTACTGTCATCAATATCTTGTTGGTGTTTTTCATGCTACTAATAGTAATAATTTGTGTATATTTGGAAGTACCCCTGTGTCTTTTGGGGGAAAGGTATTATTAACTTGGTTTCTTCTATAGATTGGAAAAATAAAATTTTGAACCTTATTCAAGACCCTGAAAAAGTAAACTGTTTCCAAAATGAATAATAATGACCAGAGTCAACAGTAGTGCAGGGGAGCATTTTATAGTGCTCACTGTGTGTCAGGTACTCTTCTGAGCCCTTAAATATATCAGTGCGTTCATCCTCATGATATTTCCTAGATGGGAACATATTATCCCCATCATAGAAATCTGTGAACTGAGCCACATCAGGGTTCAATAGCTTGCCTGAGGTCACACACAGCCAATCAAGGGTGCAACCGCATAAGAACCCAGGTGGCCTGGCCCCAGACCCATGCTCTGCACCACTACATAGCCACCCACCCACCTCCTCCTTCTGCCATGTTTGGCACAGACTTGGCCTTGGCCAAGTCTCTGAGAGAGGTGACCACTGGGCATGCCATTAGCCAGAGTTTTCCATGTTATCGTAAATTAAGTTTAAAATGGAATTCTCTTTGTTTACCTAGACTTTTTTTTTTTTTAAAGAGACAAGGTTGTGCTTTCTCACCCAGGCTGGAGTGCAGTGGTGTGAACGGGCTCACTGTAGCCTTAAACTCCTGGGCTCAAGGGATCCTCCCACCTCAATCTCCTGAGTAGCTTGGACTACAGGTGTCCACCACCATGCCTGGCTAATGTTTAAATTTTTTGTAGAGATGAGGTCTTGCTGTGTTGCCTAGGCTAATCTCGAGCCCCTGGGCTCGAGTGATCTTCCTGCCTTGCCTCCCAAAGCATTGGAATTATAGGCATGAGCCACCACACTCGGCCCCAGACCCTTTTTAAGTAATCAATATTCTGTGTACAGGCTTGAAAGACTGACATTTCCAAAAAGATATATTTATTAGAGGAAATTGTGTACCAACTTTAAGCAAGAGAATATGTATGCTTTAATCATTTGAGAAAAATGAACTATTGCTTGAAAAGAAAAGAGCTAAATATGTTGAACTTTTCCCAGTCCAGCTGAAACTGCCCTTCAGAGTTTACTGTGGGGTGGGGATGGGGGTTGTGATTGTCCTTTTCAGGTTGAACTTTTTGTATTATTGTACATCTTATGTTACAAATCCTTCTACAAGCTGCACTTAGCTCATATTACTCTCAGACATTGAATAATTGGTTTAATGTGAGACTACTTTCTGGGAATGATTCATTGGTATTTATTTGACATGTTTTAGTGATAATATTGAATATATCCACTGGAAAAATCCAAGAGGAACCTTTAAATGAAATCATTTCCATGGCAGAGTTGGGGGCAAGAGAGGGAGTTGGAGTTGATTTCTCATCGTGTGAATCCCACTCCATCAGCACGTGGAAACTGAGGAAGAGGGAAGGAGTGGAGAAGAACCAGACGAGAGACACGGTTCCAGATGCTTTCCCAAGTGGCTGTGCCCTCCTCCTATTTGCGGAGGAATGGCTTTGGTCTGCACCTGCAGCTCTGGACGGACTGCCTGGGGCTGGGGCTGTGGAGGCGGACGACTGGGGAGTCTGATGGGGAGGTGGGTGGCGGGGGTGTTGACAGGAAAAATCCGACTGGCGGCCTTGGAGCAGTTCGAAGAGAGGGCGTGTCCTTTGCCTGTTGGAATTCCAACCCTGGCGACTTTCAGCTACACCCTCCTCCCTCCCCTAGCCCCACACAAAACAAAAATGCCTCAGAGCTTCAGTGTAACTGGAGCAATACCAGCTGATTCTAACAGTGTGGCCCAGCAGCGCCTGCTGGCTGGGAGCAGGGACAGAAAATGCCTGAGGCTCCGAGGTGGGAGCCCAGGCTGGGATTCAGGATTTCGCTGCTCCCCGTTCAAGGCCTCTGGAGAATGTTCCAAAGGGAGGTGTGGATGTTTCATTCAGTACTTTGGAGGGAGAAAGAAATGGGTTCTTTCTCTGTATTCTCTAAGATAGATTTGTTCTTAATCTTGAAAAATCATTTCTAGCCATTTTAGAAAAAAAAAAACATTAGTACAGTATTAGTAAATATGGATGGGATAAAATTTTTTTTACATACACATAGGATTCAATACATTTTTCATATGCTGACCTTATAAGTCATATTGTTTTGAAATTATATTTATTAAAAATGTGATTAGAGTTATATTCATTCATGTTTGATTCTCTTTTAAGAATTATTCTCTATTAGTACTTTTCTTACATGATTCAACTTGGACTTATTAGAGAAATAAACTCTGGCACACTTTCTCCAGTCATATTCGTTGAGCCTGTATTTATAAAATTGGCATTTATTGGACCTCTGCTGTGGATACTATTTACTTCTTTTGAAATTTGTAAAAGAAGAAAAAAAGTTGAGCTTTTGTGATGACACACAAATTCAAACTAAATTTGATGCTTCCAAAGTATATGGCAGAGACGGATGCAACTATTCGTTACCAGAACAGTGGCGTCAGGAAGCCCCGTGCAGTGGGTAGGGGACACCTGGTGCTGCCTCCACACCCTGCCCCTGCCAGCCCCTGTTGTCCTGAGCTTCCGCAGCTCCCGCCTGACGTTTGGCTCAGAGTCGTCCACACTGCTCGTGTCCCTCGGCTGTGGAGCAGGGCCACAGTCTCCCTGCAGGGTTGTTTGGAGTTAGCTGAGCCAGCGTGTGGAAAGCATAGGTACTTGACAGACCACCAGTGCCTCCATGGAGCACCACCATTGTTAACTGCAGGCTTCTCTAGCCATTTAGAATACATATGAAGACTCAGAAAAACCAGTTTTACTTTTAGGAAATTACATATTCATGGCTTGAGCTATAGCCACTGACTTTGTGCTTGGAACAAAATACATAATTCTTTTTGGTTCAAAAGATTAGATTCAAATTATTGGTCATCAGAAACTGAAGTTTCCTAAGGCATATCACACGTAATTCAAGGTTGCTTTGATGTGTTATTCTGCTAATCCACAACCATGGAAGTTCCTGGTTAGTGCAATGTTTCATGCTCTGACAGCTATCTTTAAGATGTTGTTTTTGGGTTGCCAGGTGTTCATTTAAACACACTGGCCATGTGTTTGCACACGCACATGTGCATACACATAGCCACTGCGGAGCGCCAGGAGCTGTAACTGAACGTGGACTTGATAGAGCAGTATGCGATGTTTTTGTCTTCAGGGCAAGCTCTTGATGCATAGCTTCATGTGACATCTCGTTTATAACAGCCTGAGGCATCAGTAATCTTTATAGCAAGAATTCTAGTGCTGTGTTATGCATACCAAGCTTACCGTTTATTCTGCCCAGTAAATACATGGCTTTTATGGAGTCATAAATCATGACAGTAGGAGTCATACCTCTCCAAAAAAGAAGAGATTTAAATCTTTAGAGTTAACAAGATTTAATGTAATTTAGACATTATTCTTACTTAGAAGTACCATTCTTATTTAAAGGCAGTATATCTCATATCTTTAAAGATAACTTTAGAAACTTACTGCCAGAGAAACAAATATTGATTAAGAGCACACTGTGTGCCAAGCATTATGCGAGGTGCTGGAGAGAAGGAAGGGGAAGAAAAGGTCCTCACCCTCAAGTAACTTGAAGCTTAGAGGGACAATGATAAATAGTAAAAGATTCTAGAGTCCGGGCATGGTGGTTCACACCTGTAATCCCAACACTTTGGGAGGCTGAGGTGGGCGGATCACCTGAGGTCAGGAGTTCAAGACCAGCCTGGCTAACATGGTGAAACCCTGTCTCTACTAAAAATACAAAAAGTAGCCGGGCGTGGTGGCGCATGCCTGTAATCCCAGCTACTCGGGAGGCTGAGGCGGGAGAATCACCTGAACTCGGGAGGCAGAGGTTGCAGTGAGCCGAGATAGCATCACTGCACTCCAGCCTGGGCAGAGCAAGACTCCGTGTCAAACAAACAAACAAAAAAGATTCTAGAGCAGTCTGATCAGGGTGAGGGTTCCGTACTCTTCTTGTGCCATGAAGCAGGAGGAAAGGCCTCCTGAGGGAGCTGAGGCTGCACGAGGATGAGCAAGGTTTCATAATGTCCTCCAGAGGCCAGTTTACCAAGCTGCATCAGCTCCTCCCTCCCAGCCACCCTGCCCTTCATAAAGCTCTAGTTTTGTAGGGGATGGGGTGGGATGGGGTCACACCTCAGCTGCCGGCATGAGCTAAGGGACCATATAACAGTCAGCACTGTCCATCGCTTGCTTCTCTCTCTTTCTAATTTACATACAGCTAAACACAGATTTTTAATGAATGGCTGATAAGTTTTGACAGATGTCTGCACCTGTGTAATTATCACCCCAGTCAAGGTACAGAGAGCACCTCTATCCCCTCAGAAAGTTTTTTCCATGCTGGCTGTTGTGTGCCAGTGTGCCAGGAGAGCATGGGGCAGGGGAATGATGGCCCTAAGAAAGGAAGGAGGAACAGGGGGAATCTTGAATTACATTCTTTCCCCACGTGGAGATAGATTTGTGCTAATTCCACAACGTGGAACATCCTCCTTCGTTTGCTTAGACTTCCCTGGGAGCAGTAGCCCATGTACTGGTGGCCTAGCTCAACTGTGGCTTGGTTCTGGGCCTGTAAAGCCATCTTTCCCACCTACAGATGACATTCCCTATCTTCATCATGTGCTTTTAGTCAGGTTTCCTGCGGGCCAGATGCATCTGAGAGTGTGCCCTCATTAATATGGGACTCTGTGTATGTCCAGCACATGTGGGGTTTATTCACGTACCAGTGATTATTATTCAACATCGTTCCCTTTAGTGCAGCAAGCACTTTCTGAGTGCTTACCATGTGCCACTTTCTGTGAACCTCTGCAGTTCAACAGTGGAGTCAGAGGCAGTCCTTGTTCTCAAGTAGCTCATGATCTACTGTGGGAGACAGATGGCTAGATGATAGGGTGTAGTCATATCCCATTATTTCTGATACCCCAAATCTTGATCAGAAGCCTTGATCAGAAGCTAGGAAGGCTTCTGATCAAGATTTGTGGTGTCAAGAATAACAACGATTACAGCAATAGTAGTTGCTTATTGAGTGTGTCCTGTGTCCTAGGCACAGTTCTGAGTATTCGTCTCTTACCTCATTTAATGATGATACCTCTCCCATGTTGCAGATGAGGAGACTGAGGGCCAGAATGGTTCAGTAGTGTACCCAAGGCCACACAGCTGTTAAGTGGCATGAGAAAGAAAGAAACTTTCATTTTAAGCCTCTTAGATTTTTGTGGATTGTTTGTTACTGCAGCACGAACCAGCCCATCCTCACTGATAAGAGCCCCAGTGTGCGGAGTGGATTCCTGAGCCAGTTAAAAGGTTGCTACAGCAGTGGAGGCCTGGTTGGAGGGTGGTGATAAGCCTGGAAATAAAAGGACATATGTGAGAGACAGTAATTTGATAAAGAGTAATGAAAGAGGAAGCTTTCTTTCAGGTAGCTTATTCTGTTTCATTATTGTTGTTTTCCTTTTGGGAAAGAAGTTGAATTTTCATTGTTGGCTTATGTTTTCAAGGGTGACCTCAGTATTTTATTTTATTTTATTTTTTTGAGACGGAGTCTTGCTCTGTCGCCAGGTTGGAATGCAGTGGCGTGATTTCGGCTCACTGCAACCTCCACCTCCCAGGTTCAGGCGATTCCCCAGCCTCAGCCTCCCAAGTAGCTGGGACTTTAATGTTTTTATATTGGTGATTTTGAGCAGAGACTGTATTACCATCTAAAACACTACAAGCCTAGCATGTAAGCTCCATGTCTGTTTGCTCCTCATTCTCTCCAGGGCCCCTGGCACAGTTCCGGGCCCACAGTGAGTGCTCTGTAAACTTTTAGGGATGAACAAATGAATATTTTTAAATCTGTTCATTGTTTTCACAGTTAAACTTTTCTAAGCACTTATGTAATACTGTGTTTACTTAATTTTCATTTCTCACCAACCTTTATGGAAGACTAGGTGATAACTGGTTAAATTGTAATACAGTATCATAGGTATAATCTCGAAAAGGTAAAAATCAAATGTAACGAAGCATTATAATCCAGTGACTGGAACATTTTATGCAAGCCTTTGCTCTTTATTTATCTATTTTTTTATCATACACTTCTTCCCAGTTTTTGCTTAGTCCTTGTTAGCAGTTACATTAAAATCTGTTTTAAGTTCCACCTCAGGGAATATCAAAAGTTGGTTACTTTTCTAAATGGGCCTTTAATTAAAATTTTAAAAAATTAGACCATTGTGTTAGATTTTTTAAAATGTTGGCTAAAACAGAAAAGGTTGATTTCAGTGCAGTTGGGCTGAAACTATACTTAAATAGATTAAAGTATAATCTGGCTTTTAAAAAAAACACATCTGACTGGGATGAAGTAGTTGTGGTCTTAACTGAAGCAGGTGAATGGACCATATTCGCCTTTAAGAGCCTTCTGACTCCCAGGTTTTCTGATTTTTAAAAACTTCCTATTTAGTCATATGTTTTTACTTCACTTTATGGTTTAAGTGAGCCAACCAACAAAAGTTACTCATAAAAGATAGTATTTTACTTGTAACAATTGCAGAAAAAGTGAAAAGCTTGACATTACAGGTAGAAAGGAAGTCAGTCTCTGTCCCCTGTGCGTTTCCGAGACTGTGTTTCTATTTATTTGCCCTTTGTCTGTTTCCCCTGACCAGCGTGCGTTTCTTTCTGGAGGCGCAGGGACCTCGGCTTATTTTTCTCTGTCTTTGCATTGCTTGACAGAGGGCCTGACCCAGGGTAGGCACTCCCGCTTCATGACTACATCTCATTTTTTATTTATCTTTGTTATGATAGATAGCAGATAAAGCAGTTGATTTCAGTCAGAAGCAGACCACAGCAGCAGGATTCTTTCCACGGTGCATGTTCTGGCTGAGTGTTGGTGGGCTCCACCCTAGCCGAACCTGTGTCTGCACACCTGTTGTGTCTTCCTGGGAGGCTCCCAGGCATGCTCCTGTCTGGCCAGGGTGCTTCCTCCTCGCTCTCCAGCTGGCTGAAGGGAAGCTGGGCAAGAGTGTATGTGTTTAGGCCACAGGGAGAGCACAGACTCCCAGAGCATGAACCAAGGGGCTTCCAGGCCTCAGGGACTGCCTCCTGGTCCCCCAGAGGCCACCTCACTCTTACTCCTGTCTCCAGGCTGGTGACCTCACATGGCCCCAGCCATCTCTCCACATCCTCCCCTCCCTGCTGTGGAGCCCCCACTGACAGATGCCTTCCCCCTGTGTTTTGGCTCCAAATTCCAAGTGAGAGTAATTGCGTGGCTTCCCTTGGGTCTGTCTCCATCCCTGTTGTAGTCCCTCACAGCCCAGACTGTGGACTGCAGAGGCATCACCTAGGGGCTTGTCTGAGATGCAGAGTCTCAGGCTCTACCCCAGCATCCGGAATCAGACCATCCTCAGGGGATTGGAATGCACAGAAGCATTTAAGAAGCGCTTTGTAAAGCCATGGCCTCTCCTGCGCAAAGAACTGCGTGGTCCCTTTTCCTGGAGTAGGAGGCTGTGGCTACAGCATTTTCATCTGGAAGGAGGCCTAGGAAATGATGTTTCTGTGGCCTTCCTACCCCCTCTCCCTCACCCTGGTGACTCTCAGTTGGGGAGGGCTGCCGGGCAGTGTTCTGGGGGCAGGGAGGTGGTGGGAGAATCTGGAGAGCTGGAGAGAGTGAGGTGGTGAGGTGGGCCTGGCGTGTTCAAGGCAGAGAAGGAAGGAACGAGGGAACTGGCTGGAGAGACTTGGAGGGCTCCTCAGAGATGAGGCTGAGTGGGAGTGAAGGTTTCGTCAAGGTTACGAAAGGCCTTTGAGTTCAAGCTGAGGCCTTTGGACTTGGCCCCTCGCTCGCTTTGCCAGGAGACAGGCGGCTCCTTGCCTGAGCCTCTGTGCTTGCGCTCCTCTCCCCAGCCCCAGGTCTGCAGAGTGTGTGGCTGCTGCACCCTCAGGTGTTTGCTCATCTCCTCACAGGTCTTTCCTGCCCCCTACCTGTTAAAAGTCGGACCCCACCACGCCCCCCACCTCTCTGTCCCTGCTCTTTGGGCCCTTCCTTTTCCCCAGGTTGGGCTCTTGCCTTTTTCTCTGTTCCTTCACTGCCACAGGTCAGACTGTCTTCATATGCATGCATTTACAGGCACATTTGTGGTTGGTTTTGTCTGCTCTGCTCTTCGCAACCCTAGAATGTAAGTACAAGGAGGATAGGCAGGGACCATTTGTCTCTTCACCATTCTGGTGCTGGGAACAGCATAGCATGGTGGTGGAGTGGGCTCACTGAGTGAGCTGGTGAGCATGGGCTGTCTTGAGGTGCCGGCTGTGTTAGGCTCTTACCCCCACCTCCCCCAGTGTCTTCCAGGCCCCCTTCTTATCTAAGGCTGCTACGTGTTATTGGAGAAAATTATAATACCTGACTTGTGAGTTCCATTCCAGAATTCGGCCAGCCAGTTTCTCCCCGGCCTCTCCGGCAGCCTCTCTGCTTCTCCCTGATCCTGCAGCGTGTGCTTGAAATCCTTCCTCACGGTGCACACTCATCTTCAATACTGCAGCATCTGACCCTGACTTCATACGCTTGCTTGCTAAGTCCACATTCTCTGCAGGAATCATCTTCTCCCTCCCCCATCGCAGGGGAGTTCCCTCTCTGCAGGGTTAGATCCACCGCTACCCCCCAGCCCCCACCCCCACTCCCACTCAGGCAAGCCTTGTTGCCCCAGGCCCAGACCTCTCAGATTCCCTCCTGTCACACTGCCTTCCTGCTCAGCATTACCAGGGCTCCTGGTAAGTTTCCGTGGAAGGGTTTCCCTTAGCAAGGCTTCTGTTCTATAAAATGTTTACAACTCCCCTCCCTTCCCCATGAGTTTGAGTCTCAACTCTCAAAAGACATCTCCCTTGCGTCTGGCTAATCCGGGTTTGTTTGGCCTCATCCTTTCAGACTTCAGAATCCAACTCGCTCTTCATGAGCCTTTGTCTTTTACCAGTGGTAGTTTCGTTGACTTTTTACCCCATCATCCTTTGTGGGTAGATTGAAGCTAAGATAGAGTTTTCTCTTTTTTGGTATCAAACCCTTGCATGCTTTGGTGAAGTGGAGCAAAGCAAAATTTGAACACCCAAAGAATTTATTCAGAACGGTGTAAAATGAGACTCTCTGGATGGAACAAATAACAACATTCGTAAACCACGTGTATATTTAGTAAGCTGCGGAGTTATTGGAAATTCACAGGCGCTTCTGCTCCACACACATTCTGTTGAATTCTCAGCATCAGACAGCTAGGATGTCAGTGCTGTCTGCTAGTGTCCTTGTGACTGTGGGGACATTTGTCTGTTTTAAATTGTTGTGAGGTTTTTATTCTGAACCTTTTCACATCTTCAGTATATGCTCTTCATTTTTCAATCAGTTAATTCCCAACAGTCATTGTCACCAGTAATCTTATATTTTACAGTTTAAAGGATTATATGATAAACTTTCCATTTTATAAATGGTAAAAATCCCTTTCAGGATTTCTGGTGAAGCACGTTTGAAGAAACATACTGGTTGGAAAGCAGCGTGAAGTATGCCCCTGTGGAAACACTACCGGGAGCCAAGGAGATTGCCCTCTCATCGCGGGGCCAGTCCTAGAAGCCACTTCTTCCCCAAGGCAATGGCAGGAGGAAAGATTTGACTTAGTGTGGGGATGATAAAGATCAGGAGGTTGCAGCACATCATCATAGGAAGATACAGAGAGGCTGTGAGGAGCAAGACAAGTCTGAAAGCCACCAAGAGGGAGACAGTACTAGGGAGACTTGGCAGGGTTTGTAGTAAAGCGAAACTTTGCCAGTCATTAGAAATTAGTTTAGAGGCATTAAAATGCTGCCCAAATCTTGGAAGATAAACTTGTGCTCTGGTGAATTATTCCTCTCTCTCTCCCTAATTCCTAATTGCAAGAAGTTGCTCTAGAATCAGCTGGGACTGAGGGGTTGATTGTGGTGGATTTGCTCCCCTCCTCCACCTGCACCTTGGCATTACCTAAGTTCCCCCTTATTGGGTGCTCATATCTTTAGTGCAAATATTTTAAAAGCCCCTCCATGTCATAAATCACTCCTCAAATATAAAGTACTTCCTGAAAATTGCAAATCTTACTCTTGCTGTTCAAAATATTGGTTGTTCTCATGAAGACCCTACTGAGATGGAAGCAGCCTACCTGAAAATTGTCCCTATTCGTACCATGTGCTTAGGTAAAAAGACTCAATTTCATTCAGATGGCATTTCTCCTTACATTAATTTACAAATTTAATATGATCCCAGTAATACCCTCAGGTTTTTTTTGAGCTAGATTGATTCTAAATTTATTTAGATAAATAAATGAGCAGTAATAGCCAGGAAATTCCCTGAAAAAGAAAAATAACAGCTAGTTCTACCAGATACTAAAAATGTTATACAGCTTCCACTGTTCAAAACAACCTGGCATTGGCACGTGAAGGGGCTGACAGGCTAATGGGGCACAGTAGAAAAATGCAGAAATAGATTCAAATGTTTTTGGAAATGTAGTGTATGATAAAGCTGGCATCTCAGATCACTGGGAGGAAAAGAAGGAATATTTAATAAAAAGTATGGGGACAAGGATATCCGCTACCTTTAGATCAGGGGTTCCCCAATCCCTGGTCCGTGGACTGGTACTGGTCCATGGCCTGTTAGGAACCAGGCCACACAGCTGAGCTCTGCCTCTAGTCAGGTCAGAGGTGGCATTAGAGTCTCACAGGAGCGTGAATACTGTTGTGAACTGTGCATGCGAGGGATCTAGGTTGCAAGCTGTCTATGAGAATCTAATGCCTAATGATCTGAGGTGGAACAGTTTCATCCTGAAGTCTTCCCCGCAACCCCTCTTCCCCCGAGTCTGTGGAAAAATTGCCTTCCATGAAATCAGTCCCTGGTGCCAAAAAGGTTGGGAACTCCTCCTTTAGATAAAACTGGATACATCCCTTATAACATAGACATCAGTTTGAATAAACTGTAAATGGCACAGGTGTAAATGTAACAGCACCTGAACCCATGCAAGTATTAGGAGAAAACATGAATGAGTTCCGTTATATAACCTCCGAGTCTGGAAGCAATAAGAGAAAAGGTTGATAAATTTAAGTACATTTTTAAAAAGTTGGATGACAAGAAGCAAATAAGCACATAAAATGATAAAGAAAAAATAGTGGAAAAGATTTGCAACTTAAATCACAAACAGAAAGCCTAATATCCATAATACAAAGAGTTTCCAAAAATAAAGGAAAAAACCAATAGCCCTACAGAAAAATGGATAAAAGATATGAATAGACAGTTTACAGAAAAACGCAAAGGTGAAACAGTGCTCAACTTTGCTCATAAAAAGAAAAATGCACATTAAACTACTCACTGAGATACCATTTTTCACCTGTGTGATATCAAATGTAGTTGGCAAGACCATAGGGCAACAAATATTCTCTTGCTGTGGTGGAAATGCAAAATGGAGCCGTCTTCGTAGATAGGAATTTGGTAGTTCTGGTAAAATTCATATGCATTTGCTTTTTGACTCAGCAGTCTTGCTTTTAGGACTCTATACTAGAAACTAGTTCAAGACCATTAATTGCAACATTATTTCTTATTCCAAGGAGTTAGAAACAAACCAGGTGTCCATCAGGAGGGGATTTCTGGTATGTCCATGTAATGAAATACAATGCATTGTAAAAATGAATGAAGTAGACCTGTATATATTCTGCAGAGTGATCTGAGTGATGTATTATTATGTGGAAATAGCAATCGCAAAACATTTTTATAGTATACTATATCTTTTATGTAATACAGAGGGAGAAATATGAATATATGTACATATTCATATATTTATATACACATATGTATATAAATATACATACACACACACACACACACCACACATTTTTTCTATATAATTTAAAAAAGAAACCATGGAAGAATAAACTAAAAACTCATTTTAAACATGGTTAGCTTTAAGAGGAGAGGCCAGGGTGGAATAGACAGGGATAGAAACTAAAATTCTTTGAGTGTGCCTGTTTTATAGAATTACTTTGAAATCAGGTATATGTTTTACTTAATTAAAAATTAAAAAGGAAATACAAATACAATCTCTTGAAAGAAAGAAAAAAAAGGGAGAGGGTTGGAGGAAGGAAGAAGGAGAAAAGGAAGGAAGGAATCTATGTATATCTCACAGAGAGGATATTTGAACTGATTTTAAAACATCGTATTTTGACAATGTAATTCTAGTGGGGTATAGCCTAGGAACAGAAGAGCCACAGAGAAATTATAAACTGCATTCTGTTAGTAGCAACGTTGGTATTGTTACTCTGAAATACTTACACTGTGTGTATGTGTACACACTGTTTTATATGTGTGTGCTACATACTTTATTTTAGAATAGAGAAAACTGATTATGTTAAAGCTGTTAGACAGCAAGAATTTCAGCATAATAGAGATACAAAGATAAAAGCAAAGAGGTGAAGTTTAAAACCCTTAAAGTTTGAGTTGGAAATAGCAGTATGAAATCATGGTTAGTATTTTTCTTTCCAGAAAGTGCCTATTTCCTACCCTTATTCACTGAAAAGAACTAAAATCGTTGAGCCCTGGTATCATCCAAATTGTGCTTTCTTAATACCATTTTTCTCTATAAGGAACCAGGGCTCCTTGGAGATATGGCTGGTTTTAGGTGGGGCAGGAAATGGGGAAGGTGGACCTCGGACATATAGATGTACAAGAAAGTTGCCAAAGTCCCCCTGCAGCTATGTCACAAGGACACAAGACCCTTAAAGTGTTGTCCATTGTCCAAAGCAGGGATGGTTTGAGGATGAAAAAAAAAAATGCAGTGGATTGAAACACATAGAAAACACAACTGGTTTGTGTAAAAAACACAAAAATCCCATAGTTCGTAATGATGCTAAGAATGTATGCAGTAAGTATAATACCACGTGTGAAGTTTTCTTGCTAAAACAAATTAATTGCAACCAAATCAAACCTCTAGATCTAACTGTCAGTTTAGAGAAAATACAGGCATGAGAGAGAAGGGCATGTTAAAGAAAACGTAGTCACCAAATCCAGAGGGCATTAAAAAGAATTTACAAGACAAACAGCCAGCTTGCTCAGTGACAGATGGCTTGAAAGGAGTGGGGAGGAACATACCTTTACAGATTAAAACTATTTAGGAGGCACAGCAAGCAGATGCTCTGTGTTGACTTTGTTGGAGTGCTGATTTGAACAAACCAGTTGTAAAGGACATTTTTGAGATGTTCATGGAGAGATGTCCATGGATATTTGAACGTGGACTGGCTCTTAGGTAATATTAAGAAATTGTAATTAATCTTTCTAGGCAAAACAATGGCAATCTGGTTATTTTTGTTAAGGTGCTGTCTGTTAGAAATACCAAGGTATTAGCTGGTGAAATGAGTTGCTGAGATTTATTTTAAATACTCTTGGTGGGAAAAAGTGTGGGAAGAAGACAGATGAAACAAGTTGACAACATGGTGGTTTCTGAAGCCGAATGTTGGGTGTGTGAGTATGTATTATACCTCCCTCTCTCTGTACTTTGTGGTGTGTTTGGAAATTTTCATTTAAAAAAATGGTTAAAAATTTTTAAAGAGTTGTTATTGTTGTTGACCCGAGGTTGAGAGCTCTTGGTGGGTAGGGGACTCATCATGGAATCTGAAAGGCAGCTTTATCAAAAGAGTAACGTGTGCAGATGGGCGCCGTTCATCCCCTCTCCCCCATACAGACACATTTTTGTTGTTATATTCATAGACACAACAGACATTTCTACAGGATCTGCTTGGTACAGGGCACTGTGCTAGGTAGATGGGAGAATCAAGCATGAAATGGGTAGAATCCTGCCCGATGAGGGCACAGAAGGCCCCCAATGCCACAGTATAGGGGGAATGGAGATGGCTTGGAAAAGAGGTCACCGTGGAGTTGGGCCTTGAGGAATGGTGGGTAGCAGTTATGTGGCGATGAAGAGACTATTTCAAAGGAATGAATTACACCAGCAGAGGTACAGAGGAAGAAAGGTAAAGGGTCAGTATAGGTTTGGCTGAAGCTAGAGAGAATCTCAAATAGACTTGGTCAAGAAAAGAAGACCAAGGCCGATTCCCTAGGACCTTGAAGCCAGCCTTGGGCATCTTCCTGGCCAGGAGCCAGGCCTCTTTTCTCTTGCCTTCTCGAGTAGCCTGACAAGATGTCTGCCAGGTGCTCAGAAAATATCTGATGAATGAATTTACTCTGTATGCAGTAGAGTGTGATCTGAACAAAAACTCTTAAGAGTGTCAGGAAGTTAAAAAATATAAAAAATTTTCTGATGAAATGTAAGTTATAAACATGTTGGTTGAATAAAAATTAAATGTTACCACAAGTATTTTGTCACTCTATAAATACAGTTCTAAATAAAGGTTCTCAGATGCAGTTTCACAGAGCAGGCTGTGGCCCAGATGGCAAGACTAAGAGCTGAAGAAGGGCGGCTTAGGGTTTCTAGACCAGTAATGGCTACTGTTTCTTGAGAAATGATTATGTGTCAAGCTCTGTGCTTTCTGTATGCCATTTACCTAGGAGAGGTGTTACTCCTGTCTTACACATGAGGACATGAGGAACCAAAGTCAAAAGTAATTTGCCCAAACAATTTACAGCAAATATGATTGAAACCCATATCTATTTAAATCCCATCTTAAGCAGAGTTTTTAAAAATGTGGGTTGCATCCCAATAACGAGATACGAAATGAATTCTTTGGTCATAGTGAGAATTTTTTTAAAATGAGACAGGATGAGGACACATTGTAATAAGTACTGTCGCTGGTTGGGACAGGTGATGTGAAAAAGAGGGGGGTATGTGATGAATATACACACTAATGGGACACACACGTGTGTTTCTGTGTCTGTGAATGTGTGTTGCAACATTAGGTTGCAATGCATATGTGTTTCTTACGATCAGATAAATTCAAAGAAAGTTTAACATTGCAGAGGGGGCTCTGAATGAGCTGGATGATAGGCAGACCTGGACTCTGGAGTCCTCCCAGAATGGACCAGACCTGAGGGCTTCACAGAGAGCCACGTCCACATATGCGAGAGCCACTGATGGTTCTCGGCCTGTCTGAGGCAACAAACTTGTAAGCATGATAGCTCACTGCAGCTGGGCTCAGCCCAGGATCTGAAGAGGGCTTCTCAAAGAAAGGGGAGCTAAGGGCAGGATCCAGCCACGTCACATTCTCCATGCCTTGCTGGGACCCTTTAGCCAGTGAATTGTTTCATTTGGTCCCATGGCCTGGGAATACCCCCAAATTCCCTCCCTGATCCCTGAGTAGCTTTTCAGGAAGTGCTCACTTGGAGAGAGAGGACAGAGCCACAGAGCCTTCTCAGAGAGAAGAACCCAGATCCATCCTGGGAGCACTCGAGGCCAGCCCTTTTGGCTCTCTGCGGCTGCCTTCTTCCCTCCAATGCAAAATGGTACAGCCACTACACCCTGGCAGCTTCCTATAAAATTAAACATACTGTCACAAAACCCTGCAGTCGCATTCCTAAGTATTTACCCTGGAAAAGTGAAAAGAGGTTCACACAAAAACCTCTACACACAAATGTTCACAGAAGCTTTATTTATGGTAGCCAAAAGCTGAAAACAACCCAAATGTTCTTTAATGGTTAAATGCATAAACAATGGTACATCCATACAATGGAATACAACTCTGCACATCCTCGTCAGCTCTTGGTATTGTCAGTATTTTTAATTTAACCATTCTAATAAGTGTGTAGTGGTATCTCATTTTGTTGTAGTTTTTATTGCCCTAATAATGGCTAATGATGTTGGACGTTTTTTCATATGTTTAATTTGCCATGCTTGAGTCTTTTTTTTTTTTTTTTTTCTTGAGATGGAGTCTTGCTCTGTTGCCCAGGCTGGAGTGCAATGATGTGATCTTGGCTCACTACAACCTCTGCCTCCCGGGTTGAAGTGATTTTCCTGCCTCAGCCTCCCGAGTAGCTGGGATTACAGGCACGCACCACCACACCCAGCAAAGTTTTGTATTTTTAGTAGAGACAAGATTTCACCATGTTGGCCCGGCTGGTCTCGAACTCCTGACCTCAAGTGATCCACCCACCTCGAGCTCCCAAAGTGTTGGGATTACAGGGGTGAGCCACTGTGCCCGGCCTGAGTCTTTGGTGACGTATCTGTTCCAGTCTTTTCCTTATTTTGAAATTGGGTTGTTTTCTTTCTGTCTTAATTTTTATTTTTTTAAAAGAGAAGGGGCCTCTGCTGTGTTGTCCAGACTGACCTCAAATTCCTTGGGCTCAAGCCATCCTCCTGCTTTGGCCTCCTGAGGAGCTGAGCCTACAGGTGCTTGCCACTGTGCCCAGCTGGATTGTTTTGTTATTGTAGAATTTTGAGCATTCTTTGTGTATTCTGGTCACAAGTTCTTTGTCAGAGATGTGATCCACAGTATTTTCTTTAGTCAGTAGCCCACATTTTCATTCTCTTAGCAGTGTGTTTGGCAGAGCAAGAGTTAAAATTTTTGAAGTTCACTTTATCAATTTTTTTCTTTTATGAATCATACTTTTTGTGTCATTTCAAGAACTCTGTCCCTAATTCAGAATCACAAGAATTTTCTCATAGTTTTTCTTCCTAAAATTTTGTAGTTTTATGTTTTGTGTTTAGATCTAGGATCCATTTGAGTTAGTCTCTCTATAAGGTGTGAGGGTTAGGTCAAGGTTCATTGTTTTGCAAATGGATGATGAATTATTCTAGCAGCATTTGTTAAAAAGACTATCCTTTTTTGTTCATTGAATTGCTTTTGCACCTTTGTCAAAGATCAAATGGCCCAATTTGTGTGGGTCTGTTTCCAGATATGCTATTTTGTTCGTCGATATTTGTGCCTGTCTCTTCACCATTACAACATTGTCTTTATTACTGTCAATTTACAGTAAATCTTAAAATTGGGTAGTGTGATTCATCCAACTTTATTTTAGTGATTTAATCTTCTTTACCCTTCCATGTAAATTTTAGAATAGCTTTTTCATAACTCTACAAAACTCTGCTGTGATTGTGATTGGAATTGCGTTAAATATACAGCTCTCTTTGGGGGGAATCAATGTCTTACTGTGTTGAGTCTTCCAATCCGTGAACCAGGAATGTCTTTCTATTTAGATCTTCTCTGATGTCTTTCATCAGTGTTTTCTCATTTTCAGCATGTAGATCCTGTGTATGCTTTGTTAGATTTATTTTTAGCACAGTGGTTGCTTGGTACCCATGGGGTATTCATTCCAGGACCCCTGTGGCTACCAAAAATAGATGTTGAAGTCCCTGATACAAAATGGTATGGTATTTGCATATCACCTATGTACATCCTCCCGTATACTTCAAACCATCTGTAGACTTCTTATAATACCTAATACATGTAAATGCTGTGTGCATAGTTGCTATACTGTATTTTTAAAGTCTTTTTCCCCCAAGATATTTTTGATCTGCAGTTGAATTAGTCTGACGCTGTGGAACCCAGAGACACAAGGGCTGACTGTGTATAACATGTGGTGGGGGAGCTACTGTACATGTTACTTTTTAAAAATAGCCAGTTCCTGGTTGTTCGTCTCGCATGTGGAAATATGGTTAACTTTTGCATTGACCTTGTGTCGTATGGGCTTGCTCAACTCATTCATTCTAGGAGATTTGAAAAATAGATTCTCTGGGATTCTCTACATAAACAATCATATCCTGTGAATAAGGATGAAGTTTTATTTCTTCTTTTCCAATTTGTATGCCTTTTATTGCCATTTTATGTCTCATTGAGTCACAAGCCTTATTTGATCATGCTGTGATGTCCCTGCCTGCCTTCTTCTCTGTGGGGGTTAAATGGGAACAGAACCTACTTTTTACTGAATGAAGAATTATTTATTTATTTATTTATTTATTTATTTGAGATAGGTGTCTCGCTCTGTCACCCAGGCTGGAGTGCAGTGGTGCAATCTCGGCTCACTGCAACCTCCACCTCCCAGGTTCAAGCGATTCTCCTGCCTCAGCCTCCTGAGTAACTGGGATTACAGGCTGCACCATCATGCCTGGCTAATTTTTGTATTTTTAGTAGAGATGGGGTTTCACCATGCTGGCCAGGCTGGTCTCGAACTCCTGACCTCTGGTGATCTACCCACCTCGGCCTCCCAAAATGCTGGGATTACAGGTGTGAGCCACTGCACCTGGCCTGAATGAAGAATTATTAAACCTGAAGAAACAGTAAAAAATAATCACAAGAAAAACAAAACCACAGAAAGAAAAAAGAAATGAACTGATGTTTGTTTGTTTGTTTGTTTTAAAAGACTCAACCATTGGAAGAACAAGAGAAGGATGGGTTTATCCACAGGTGTATTTCTATGTAATGATTTCCCATTAGTGGGATACTATGTAGATTTCTCATTGCAGTCCTGTCTGGGTAGAGAGAATGGCCTGTAGAAACAAATTGTAAGAAACATGAAGCCATCAAAACAGCCCCTCTTCAGGTCTTGCAGACAGAAAGAACCATTTGATGCCATGTGCTTCAGCCAGCACCATTTCAGCATGTGCATGTGTGCGCTGGCACTCTGGGAAGTACTGTGACAGCCTGCTAATGTCTGGGGGTGGCCCTGCCTTAGTAGGCATGGTGGGGCACCTGCCTCCTACTTGGCATTTCTGCTGGGGGAGTTTTTGGCCTCCATAACTCTGTGACTGTTGACCATGGCCATCTGTCCAGTAGAGTGAGAGCAGGAGCTGCACCTGTCTGGAATGGCAGCCTGTCCCTACCAGTCCCTGCATCGCTATTTTGGAGTGAGACAGATAATGCAGACACAGTGTGCGAGCAAGCAGTCCTGTGGGAGAGCTCCAGGTCTCCTGTTCCTTATGTTGGAAATGAAGTCTGCCTTACAGGCAGAGGGGAACTACTACTTTGATGTAAGAGGAGATCGCTATTAGGAAATTCCAGATGTCCACCTGACACCTCCCTGCCTCTCCAGTCCTGACCAGTGTTGTACAGCAAAGGATCCCAACTCTAGGAAATCTTCCATGTCAGGTTCCTGAAAAAGAGAAAGGATGTTTAATGTTTTTTACAAAATAAAGGCAGGGGGGCTGGACGCGGTGGCTCACGCTTATAATCCTAGCACTTTGGGAGGCTGAGGTGAGCGGATCACTTGAGGCCAGGAGTTTGAGACCAGCCTGACCACCATGGTGAAACCCTGTCTCTACTAAAAATACAAAAATTAGCTGAGTGTGGTGGCACGCGCCTGTAATCCCAGTTACTGGGGAGGCTGAGGCAGGAGAATCACTTAAACCTGGGAGGTGGAGGTGGCAGGCTGCAGTGAGCCAAGATCACGCCAGTGCACGCCAGCCTGGGTGACAGAGTGAGACTCTGTCTCAAAACAAACAAATAAATAAATAAAGGCAGGGGTCGGAGAAACACTAAAGTTTTTTGTTTGTTTGTTTTGCCTTTTCCCCATCCCTTTTTCTGGTAGTTTGTAAAACTTTAGTGTTGTATTACCAGAAGCACTTATCCACTCTGCAGATTTTAGGACTCCACCATTTCTAGAGGTGGGAATTTTGGTCTGGGGCCTTCTTTGAGAAACACTGGCCCTCAGTCCTTACCACTCCTAGAGAAGGAGGGGATGGCAGTGGGCAGGGGACAGATGTGTGCACATGGAGGACTGGGAGGGCTGGACATAACAGGAGGCTACTGGTCCTGGGCATGGGGCTGTGTCCCTGTCCCTGTGTTCACATCTGGACCTCAACATAGGGCCTGTTAGCTGAGGTGCACCCTCTCTTAAGTGGCTTCATGGAGATTTTGTAAGAAATTGAGACAAGTTGGAAAACACAAACATTGTGAGGGTTTGTAGAACGGGTGGGTGCTTGCTGAAAGTTTATATTCATTCCATATTTAGTTGTCTTTATTCTGTTCAAACATTTTCTTGTTTACTTGTTGAAGCAGGTTCAGAAATAGTTATTCTGTAGTGTCTCAGTTTTATTAAAATGCAGTTAATATTGGAAAATATGGTTAGAATTAGGTGACTGCCAAACATGGCTTTCGTCAGTGTTAGCCTGTGTAATGACACTGTTTTTCTCCTTCGTGTGACTATTTATAATAAAAATGTGACTTGCAGTATTGTTATTGAGAGAGATTTAGTGAAAAACAGCGGTTGAGTAGTTTCCATGCTTCAAGTTTTACTTCCTCATTAGTGCCTCATGTCATGACCTGGGTCTCCGATTTATTTAGCACGGTAGCACCAATAATAAATATTCTACAGCCTCTAACCTGATAGATCATTCCGCCCCTCACAGCCAGCCGGGAGGTAACATTAACATCCGTTTGCTGGTGTTTGAAACCTGGAGCTCCCGGAGATTAAGTGGAGCCACCATGGGCACCGACATCTGTGGCCACTCCACAGCCCATTGGTTCCGTCCTTGACCCACACTTGACCTGTCTGCTGGAGGGGGACCCAATTCAGGGAACCCAGGGCTGTGCATCACCACCCTTGAGCATGTCCTGTTACCTTTCTGAACTTTAGTTTTCATGTCCTCGAAATCAAGATGGTGATATACTCTGTAAGCCTACGGTTAACCAGAGGTAGTAGTTTGCAGAATAAAAAAACACCCGTTGTGTAAAGGCTTCAGTGATTGTTTCCATTTCTTTCTGTCTAAAACTTAATGTGGACCATGGTTTACCTTAATCATAAACCACCCACTTGTTGCTTTGTTAATAACAACCAATCTTTTGATAGCACTTTCCATTCTATAAAGCACTTTCATAAGCATGTCACTGAAGAAGGTGTTTAAAACGAAGATGATCATGTCTGCAGGTGTGATGCGTGACATGGATATTTTGTCTGACCACCTTTCATTTTTTACCCCTTAAAATTTTCCCCTCTCAGGAAAGTTCACACACCCACAGCCATATGAAGTTTTTCATATAATTTGCACTCCCTGATACCTTTTTTTTTTTTTAATGTCAAAGTTGGAACCCTGCTTTAAGGCAATTAAACTGATATGGAAGAGAAGTTTCTACTTGAAGGCCAAGCAGCCTGGTTTGGAAGCCTGCATGGCTCAGCTGCCCACTAGTTGTGTGATCTGGGGCAAGAGTAATTGAGCCCTAGCTTTCTCAATAGAGAAAATGAAAATCATGCATTATGTCTTGCTGCATTGCTATAAACACAAACGATAATATATGTAAAGTATATCACGTGATGCTTGGTATATGAATATCACCCAAAATACTAACTGCTGCTGCCAGTTTTTTTAAGCATTGGTATTCTAATTAAATTATGTTTTTGCCAGTGATTCTGAGACAAGAGTTTTTAAAAGTTTCTTCATGGAAGGATCTGTACCGTTTTCAGCTTTTTATTCCTATGCATCATTTTTGCACATAATTTCTCAATAAATGTATCAAGTTGAACTTTTTGAGGCAAATAATATTTATGTCATTTGAATAGTGGACAACGATGAACTTGAATGACTTTATGTATGCATGAGCATTAATTTTAAATAAACCAGAAAGCTACTTTTATATTTCGAAAAATAATTCATTTGGGTTTTCCTGTTCAAACTTTGCCATGTTACTCCTAAGTGATACCTTACTTACTGAGATGGATCAGCCTTAGGGAGAGGTTTGTCATACTTTGTTACACACTGAATAGCCTATAATTATCAAGATTATATCCAGTTAGCATAAAGTGCTGTTTAGTTTCTGTTATGTCGTTGTTACCATAGCTGGAGTCGGGTGGGTGTTTAAACCTTTGTGAACTCAAAATTCTTTAATGATGATGGAATATTTCATGTTTTAGTATTCTCTTGATCTAGAGTATATGTTCAAATGTTTTACCAGGTATGTGTTTTTTACAGGTTCATATAATATATAAAATGCATTTCTGTTCCAAGAAAAATACAAGTGGTAAACAGTTGGGAGAGAGCTTGCATATTTTCCTTTATTGTCCTGTCTGATGATTAATGCATTCAGCTATGTTCAGCCTCACGTTTAACCAGGTTAGTGTTTAGTTTGGTTAGGCTGTTTTCCTTATGAGAACAGAAATGGCCAATCCTGTGCCCTGCCTGTCTTCCAGATGGAGTCTTTGCATTGTTTCCAGATCACAGTGCTTAATGTAAGGTCAGATTTTCTTGTGAAAACAGATTTTGGATTAACTATGTCTGTGCACTTGCACGCACCCCTCCGCACCTGCCTGTTCACTTAAGCTCTAGCTGCCTGCTGGAGTCATGGTTCTGATTTCAAGATGCAAATGAGAATTGAGATTCTGCTTTATAGCCTAAAAATGCAAAAGCAAATTCCTACTGCATGAATGGTCTGCAAGTCTCCCTTTCATAGAGACCATGAGGTGTAGTGGAAAGAGCTTGATTCTTATGAGGATTTAATGTAGGGGTGAGCAGACTATGCTGTGGGCCTCTATTTGTAAATAAAGTTTTATTGGGACATAGTTGTGTTCATTTCTTTAATATTGCCTATGGCCATTCTCACACTACAACAACACAGTTGAGTAGTTGCAGTGGAGACCGTATGGTTTGCAGAGTCTTAACTATTTATTTTCTAGCCCTTTACAGAAAAAGTTTGCTGGCCCCTGACTTAATGCAATAAAAAACTCAGTAGTTTGAATCCCAGCTGTGTTATGCAATAGCTGTATGACATTGATCATGTTCTGTAACCTCTTTGTACCTTAATTTTTCCCCTATTAATGTCATTTATCCATTTACTCAGTGAGTATATATTATGAACTTACTATGTGCCAGGCCCTGCTCCAAGCTCAGGAAATACAGCAGTGAACGAATACTGGCCTTTATGGAGCTTGCGTCTCAGTGAAACTTATCTTCATGAGGATAATTGTACATGCCTCCTAGGGAGGATGAGATGAATTAATATATGATACCTGTAAAGCATAAGTAGAGTACATGCTCAGTGTGTTCGTTATTATGCTAACTATAGGGTTGTTAATGTGTAAAACAAAGTAGAACCTCTGTTCAGAGTTGGAACCCTTATAAGTCCGCGTTTACTATTCTTGAGGTTTTTACTGAAATAACGAATGATTAGAAGTAATTGGGCATATATCTGGTACAATTAGCCTAAAAAAGAGAGAGAGGAGCTTGTATGAAATTAGGATTCTCCATTAAGTGAATAAAATCGTGTCACTGAGTTCCCAGCTAAGAGCAGTCTGAGATTGACAAGATTGTTCTTGGTACACAGGATGGCTCACATGGAAAAGATGAGAATGGGAAAAGTAAACATTTGATTAATATATGAAATTAATACTAGTTTCTTTGTATACATTCAATTTTGATAATTAATTAATTTGATATTTGTACAAAAAGGTCCTAGGATGTGAGCACTCTCCATCTTGGCACTCAGGCATGTCTGGTGAGTGGAATGGATACAGAGTATCAGAGGATCTAGAAGCTCCTGATTATATGAGTTGGGGAAAATAATTTTGCTGTGTTCCTCGTTTGTAAAGTAAGGAGACTGGACTGAGTTTTTCCAGGCTCTTTTCAGCTCTTGAGTATGAGATTTATGAATTTTCTCTGTGACCAGATTCCCCAAAATAAAGCTTTGCATCGTTCTTCTCTCCTGCAAGAAGCCACCACTTCTTCCCTTTCATAATGAAGCAACACCTCTATTTCTTCATGTTTCTAAGTACAGAATGCATAATATTGGAGTAACAGGACCCTACTCATCTCGAGAAATTATCAATTTCTTCAACTTCTTAATGAGGATAATTTTCTTTCTTGGGCCTCGTATGTAAGTGGAAGTATGATTTTTGTTGGACCACATAGTCACTGAAGGCACTTTCCAGTTCTGGCATTCTGAGACTCCAGAATATAATTCAGAAGACTATAATTCAGAAGACTAAAGACGGACTGGAAGGAAGAGGGTTATGTTGGGCTTTTGTTGTTGTTGTTGTTCTTTTAAGGAGAGAAACTTCACAGCTGGGAGCGAGACTAGACTTGCTGTTGGGGTGAGTGGCCGTCTTGCAGTACGCAACCACTGGTAGTGATTTCAGGCCTCAGTAGGCATCTTTGTCATTTTTATGTGGTGTTTATGTAGTATCCTTTTTCCTCTAATGCTCTTCCTTTGGTACATAACCTTGTAGGAAAAGTTTAGATCTGAAAGCACAGATGCTGTGAAAGGACCAATTCTATATTGCCTTGCATGGTTACAGACAAGAAAGCGAAGACTTGAAATCTGTAGTTTGTGGTTTGTGATCTAGCAGAGATGAAATAGAATTCGTACATACTTTTTGAGAGTACAAAGAAAAAGAATCATTCGTACTTTATTTGGAAACATGCCATTCTTCTGGGGCTTTCATTTTTAAAATATTTAGGAATTAATAATGTGTTTCTGAAAAAAAAATCTCTGATTGATAAAGAAGTGGAAAAGTATACTCCAATGATTTTACCAATCAGGAGTCCTTGCCCTTAAACATTTGAAGTTAATGTTTTTAATATCTAAGTATTCTACATTCGTGAAATTCCAAATAAAAACGCTTATACAAACAAAAAGGCAGACTGCATCATCTTTTTTTTTTTTTTTGAGACGGAGTCTCGTTGTGTCACCCAGGCTGGAGTGCAGTGGCACGATCTTGGTTCACTGCAACCTCCACCTCCCAGGTTCAAGCGATTACCCTGCTTCAGCCTCCTGAGTAGCTGGGATTACAGGCGTGTGCCACCACGCCCAGCTAATTTTTGTATTTTTAGTAGAGATAGGGTTTCACCATGGTGGCCAGGCTGGTCTTGAACTCCTGACCTCAAATGATCCACCCGCTTCAGCCTCCCAAATTGCTGGGATTACAGGCATGAGCCACTGTGCCCGTCGGACTGTTTGCTCTCATGAGAGCAGGGTGTGAAAGCCCCCTTGTTGCCTGTTTCAGAATTTATGCAGTGTGGTGGGAGGAGGTCTGGCTCTGGAGTCAGGCAGACCTAGGTTCAACCCTGGCCCTGCTGTGGAGTGGATGTGAACCTGTGCCAGCCTGTTTCCCCCTCTGTAGAATGGGATAACAGGAAGTCCTGCCTCAGAGGCTCATAGGGAGGATTAGGTCAGATACTACATGTAACGTGAACAGTGCTGGCCAATGCTTAGTACATATTAACTGCCTTTATTTTTGTTTGCACAAATATATCCTAATCTTCTGAAATTTAAACCTGGATCAGTGACTTGTGTCTTCATTTGCTAATGGAAGTCCTTTGGCACCTTAAAAACAATACGTTGGCAATTGGACTTGGGATTCTGGATTAAGGTGGTGCAGATGCACTTCCCGGTATCTCTCCAGCTAAATACATCCAGAACCCTGTCATCATATATGAAACAATCATGGAAACACGTGACAGGTGGGGAGAAGACGGCATACTAGCAAGGGGCCTTGAGACTCAGAAACGATAAGGTGGCAAGTTCCCTGGGTTTTCTCAGACTGATTAATGTTAGAGAAGCTGTCAACCCAGAAACACCAATGGGTGCAGACCAGAAAGCCCTGAGGAAAGCTCACTCTTTCTCCCTAAAGGACCAAGAAGGGGACAACTTAAGACAGAAAACTTTTAGACAGTAAGTGCCCTATTTCAGCCAAACACCACGGAAAAGAATGTGGCCCCAGCCCACCAACAATGGCTGAATGGGGAGCCGAAACAGAAACCTTCCCCTGGTTATAATGAGGCACCCCTCACCCCTGCTAGGTGGTGTCAGAGAAGATGGAGCTGGGAGCCAGGTTTTTATCCCCACTGGGCAGTAATGAGGCATCCCCCAACCCCTGCCCAGCTGTACTGTCAGCAGAGACCGAGTAGGGAGCATGAACAACCAGCTCTGCCCAGCAGTAGTGAGGCACCCCTCTCTCCCCGGGTGTCAAAGGAGGTTGAGTGAGGGACCTAGATCTTCACCACAACCTGGCAGTAGTGAGCTGCTCTGCCTTCCACGTGCTGTTGTTGAACGAGCTCTGCTAAAATAGGAGACTTAAACTTAAGATTCAGTCTTCTCATACCACTACACCCAAATGTTTAGAGTACAATTTAAAATCATGGGTTACACTAAGGACCAGGAAAATCTTAGCTTAAGTGAGCAAAGGCAGTCAACAGATGCCAATACCAAGATGATGACATGGATGTTGGAATAATCTGATGAGGATTTCAAAGCATCCATCATAGAAATGCTTCTGTAAGCAATTATGACCACACTGGAAACAAATGAAAAAATCTCAGCAAAGAAATGGAAGATACAAAGAAAAGCCACGTGGAAATTTTAGGACTAAAAAAACAGCAACCTGAAATAAAAAGCCAAAACTCAGTGATTGGGTTCAGTGGCAGAATGGAGATGCTGGAAGAAAAAAATCAGTGAACTGGAGGATGGAATAAAAATTATCCAGTCTGAACAACAGAAAGAAAATAGACTGTACAAAAAAGTTAACCAAGCTTCAGGGATATGTGGGACTTTAATAAAAGGCCGAAAAAGTATTCAAAAGAATAATTTCCTCAATTTGGCAAAAACCATAAACCTACAAATTCAAGAGGGTCAAGAGTGGATCGAGTTTCCTTGGTATAGCTTTTGAATAGCAAGTGACTCAACTCTCTGGAAATTTTCATGATCCTATTAACCCATCATTCCTGTTAAAACAAGAAAGGATCTCTTCTCAGTCTTTTATTCTTCATGACTCGGGCCTATTGGCCTTAGTCCAGGATACATCAACCAGCATTTTCAACAAAAGTGATGGTGTTTTTGCTAAATATATTGTTTTGCTAAACCAGCTATTATATTGGTATATATCCCGTAGAAATGAGTGCTCGTGTCCACCAAAAGCCATGAACACAAACGTTCATGGCAGCCTAATTTATAATAGCCAAAGACTGGAAACAACCCAAGTGTCTATCACTAATCGAGTGGATAAATACATTATGGTATTCATTCAGCGGAATATTACATAGTGGTGACAGAGGGAGCTTCTGGGAGGTGCAGCAGCTGGGCACAAGAGAGTGCCTACTGTATGACTCCATTGATCCAAAATCCCAGAAGTGGCCAAAGTAATGTAGGGTGATAGAGGTCAGAATACTAACCTCTAGTAGGGGTTATCAACTGGGAGAGGACACAAGGGAGTCTCTGGTGCTGGAATGTTCTTTACCACTATATGAGTGGTGGTTACACATCTGCCTACATATATAAAACTTGTATAAGCGATACACGTAAGATTTGTGCACTTTACCGTAATAAATTAAATGTTAAAGAAATGTATACAGTCATCTCTTCTTATCCATGGGGGATATGTTCCAAGACTCCCAGTAGATGTTGAAACCGAGGATAGTACCAAACCCTATGTATGTGAGGTTTTGTCCTATGCATATGTACCTGTGATAAAGTTTAATTTATAAATTAGGCACAGTAAGAGATTAACAACGATAACTAATGGTAAACTAGAACAATTACAACAACAATAGATTGCTTACAATTTCACAGACAGAAGATTGGTTCATACTATTGATCTTAGCAACCTCAGCATACAGTTTTTTTCTTAAGTCTAGAACTCTGACCTTTTCACTTAAAGGAAGCACTTTATGGCTTCTCTTTGGCATATTCAAATTGGCAGCATCACTACTCTTGTACTTTGAGGTCATTGTTAAGTAAGATAAGGGTTCCATGAACACGAGCACTGTGATACCATGGCAGAATGGCTGGGGAGCATAAATAGTGTGGGTGTGCTGGACAAGGGAGGATTCAAGCCCTGGGAGGGATGGTGAGAGATTTTCTCATGCTCCTCAGCATGGTGCACAACTTAAAAAACAGGAATTGTTTATTTTAGGAATTTTCCACTTAATAGTTTCAGACCACGGGTAACTGAAAATTGCAAAACGTGAATCCTTGAATGAGGGTACAACTCTCTGTTCTTTTCTGAAGCACCAGTCTCTGTAAATTCTTTCTGTTGCTTTCAGGACAAAGTTAAAACTGGTAAGCTTGGCCTTCAGGGCTGCCCCTGATTGGACCTGCCTGGCCGGCTCAGGTGTCCTCTTCTGTATTCCTGCAGCCCTTCGTGTTTCCCTCCAGTGCTGGATGTGAATGGTGCTTTTTGCTTGTCTGTGGGGCCTTCTCTCTCCCTTATCCCCACCCACATCCTGACATTGGTAAGAGCAGTACCTGTTTCTGATTTACCTTTTAGTCCCCAATACAAGGTCTATCACAAAGTAGCTTTCTTTTAAATGTTTATCAAATAAATAAATAGAAGATTAAAAGAGGTGCCAGGTGTTAGCACACAGAGAAATAGGTCTTGGAAAAAGGACCTGAAAGTGCTGTTGTCATGTTTGTGTCATGCTGATGGCACGATTCCCGAGGGCACCGAGGAAATGGTCAGACTTCTTTCCTGTAGGTCAAGGCTGGTGAGAGTTTGGCACTTGAGATGTCTTCCTAGGTCTGCTGAGGCTGGCGGCCCACTACCCGCATTTGTCCCTGACTGCTTTGCAGGCCGTCCCCTGTCCTACAGCAGGCCAGGTCTGTGTCACTGGCCCTCCCTCTCCCCTTCTTAATCCTCATCACTCTTCATTTGCACACTTTGAGGTTTTCCAGCACATTTAATATTATTTCAGCCATTCTCTCTTTTCTGAAAACCAGAAATAGTTACCTGCAATTTGTGTGGTACAATTTTTAAAAAAAAATGTACATTTTTAAATTAGGCAGATCTGGGCTTTGCCACTCATTAAGCTCCATGACTGTGAACAAATTAACCCTTACAGATTTCATTTTCTTTATCTGTCATCTTGGAACATTATTTTCTACCTTGCAAAACCATTAGGAATACCAAATATTTGCATGGAAGAGATTTGTAATATAGTAGGATACTTGGCACGTTTCCTTTCCCTCGCCTATTTCCCATTTTCAAGCAGAGCTAACACAGCTTCTAAGACATATGATCTTGATTCGTAAGACATAGTCCCCTAATTGTAATCTGCACCCCGAGTGTCACATTGCACAGTCTGCCTCAGGTAACAGTGGGGCTTCCACATGTCTTGCCTTGGAGGTCTGTGCTAGGCTGTCAGGAGGTGTGGATGGCAGGCACGGGAGAAGGGACAGGAGGCTGGCTTCCTGTGGGCTCGCCTGTCGACCCCCTCCCTGTGCCCAGAGGACACACAGCTTAGAGCAGGGCCCAAATTGACCTCATGGCTATTCTTACACATTCCAGATAGTCATTCTGAGGGCTGCTGTGTGGCAGATTCCCAGCACGGGCTGGACACTTGAGCTCCCAGCAAGCCTTTATTTTTTTATTTTTTAAACACCGTGGGCAAGCTGATCAACAGTTTCCAGGGCATTATTTATTGATGGCAAGGAGCTTATCATAATACAACAAGCAATTGAGATTCTGTCCATGAGTTAAAAATTAAAGACTGAATGTGTTCATGACAGAATTCTGTTTGTTCAGGCACTGAAGTATGACATTGTAGATGATGCATTATGGGTGGGGATTGCACCCCAAGTAGCAGAGGCAGAATGCATATTTTTAAAAACTTGCTGTATGGGTTATTTTTGTTCTAAATGTAGCTGTGCGTGTTAGCACAGATGTGCCGAAACAGCTTTTCAGAGCTGCTTTGTTTTCTCTGCTGCTGCCATGGTTTACCCATCCCTTTCTGGTATTGTTGCTCTCTCAAGTCATGTCTTGTGGTACTTTCGGGAGGCTACTAAATGGAGTGGAGTTTTAAGTAATGTGCACTCAAGTACATTAGAGATAAATTCACTTCTTGATTCATATTTTCTCCTGCTTCTGCTTAAAAATGGGGATCTTTCATCTAGCTCTTTAAATACTTCACTGGCCAGCTTTTGACATTTTGCCTAATTAAACTGTCTTAAAGAAATGACAGTAATGGAAAACTAACACTGTGCTTCTACTTTTTTTCTTATGATTCAGCTAGTTTAAAGTTCTTTATAAAGAATGCAACAAAAATGCCCTAAGTAGAAGTACAAATAAAAGATGATATTAAATTCTCGCATTTTATTGAGCACTTTCTAGAAGCCAGGTATTGTGTAAGACGTTCTGTTTTCTTACCGTTTACTAGAATGACACCTTCTGTTTGCAGTAGAGCTTTTTGGCCTGTTTTTCATGAGGCCAGAATGACTCACCTAAGTTCACATGGCTGAGCAGGTGGCAGCGCCAGGCTTAACTCAGTGCTCCTGGGTCCTGTCCCTGCCTTCTTGCCATTACCTCTTGTTCTGTGGAAGTCTGAGGAAGCCGCGAGGCTGAGAGTCAGAGACAGTCCTGTGCAAAGGGGTCTGCACCGTCCTGCAGGAGGGGTATACTTGGCAGCCTCTGAGCCACGTCCTCCTGGACCAAACGTGGGAAGATATTTTGCATTCCAAATCAGTTGAAAATACCTTTCTGACATCTAGCTCTAAGGTTTCTGGTTGTTTTGGACAAAGCAGACAAATTTTGTAGCTATGCAGTGATTCAACATTCATTCACCAAATTTTTTTTTCATCTTGTAATCAGAAATATAGCTAGCTTCTTAAAAATCAGCTAATTTCATTCATTATTTAAACAAAGATTTTATCTGCTAGTTGAATAATTCATGAGAAAATTGCACTAAATTCAGATGTGAATGTTTGCTAAAGAAAAGATAGTTGCTAATTTTTCTGGAATTTGGTAGTTGAACTCAGAGAATATTTGTATTAATCACATTGTGTTTTGTACTTCCGGGTACTTTAAGAGCCTCTGCCATTACTATTCTTGAAAAGCATCTTTATTTTGTCACAAAAGCTTGGAGAATGCTACTCACTACTTTACCCTATTGAGTTTTGCCATAGAACTGTAGTATCATTCTCTCTGGATTCCTTTCTTTTTGGAGGTGTCATGGGGAGCAGGGTTAGTTTATGGGATGCAGTCTCTGACATTCTCGGCCTCACTGTGTTCCCGTGTGGCCACTGAGGCCCCGTGCAGTGGTGCAGTCCTTGTGTGCGAAGCTGGGCGCCAGTGCAGCCCGCACTTTATCACCCTTCCTGCCAGGGCATTGCTCCCTGGTCGGAAGGATTGTTGGTTCTTCCTTACTTAGGTCTCGTACCCACTCCAAGTGCAATGCTGCGGGCACATCTCAGCTGGTCAGCAAAACTTGTACTATTAAATGCCTTTATCTCATAAAATCTTAATTTATAAAATGTAGGCAGCTGGAGGAATGCTCAGCCTTCCTTTATGGCAAAGGAAAGCCCCAAAGAACATTTTTTACCTATCAAAAAAGCAACTTTAAAAATCTGCAGCATCAGTAATTAAAAGGGAAGCACGGACAGTTCTAGGGGTGGTATGAATTGGGAGAACCCTCCTGGGAGGCATTTTAACAGTATGTCTCAAAGACACTCAAAGATGGTTTTGTTTTGTTTTTGTCCAGTAATTCTTTTCGGAATTTCTCCAAAGGAAATAATCAGTGATGAGGTTAAAAAAAATTGTCTATATGGATGCTCATTGCATTGTTGGTGAAAATTTAGTCATGATGCAAATGTCCTGAAATGTTCAGTAAATTATGGTAGGTTATAGTGACTGAATAGAATATACTATTAGAAAATCACATTTTCAAATAATTTTTATTGTATGGAAAGATCTAAAATACTGTATATATAAAGATGATCTTCATTTTTTAACAAATTAAGTATAAGTATTTAATATATGTGCATTGAAAAACACAGAGAATTTTCATGGATAGGATCTGTCCCCATCTCAGGGTTGGGGCTTGGCTCCTGAAAGAAGGGTCAGACCCTAGAGTGTTCAGCTGGGCTGCAGTGAGATTTGAGGGTGACGATCCTCTAGCTGAAATGGACTCTAATTCTCATTGACTCCAAAACTGGAGTTCGGACCTTTTTCCGTCTACCGCTGTGTCTTGATCTGCCTCCTGGCCCCTTTTCCCTCAAGGCACTAGGGAGACAGGAGGGCCCAGGAAATGCCGAGTGCCCTGGCAGTTTCCTTCCCACCTTCTAGCCTCCAGTTCCCAAGCCTGGCATTTGCTTCTTTTGACCTTCGGTACTCAGTAGACTTACTGTATGGGAAGGAATGCTGTCCAGTCGTCTTGAGTTGAACGTTCTCATCAATACTTTGGTGGCTCTTCCCATATCCCAGCTTTGGACAGAATAGTCAGTTGGAATTAAAATAATTTAATTCAGTTTAGTGAGGTCTATATGTTTGTCTGTGTGTTATTCCTGTATAATTTTAACAGAACACAGTAGGACATTTGCATATTTCACAGCCCGCAGTTTGGAAATACATTTCTGAAAGAAGTTACCCTGAAAAACAATCAGCGGGCAAATAATTTGATGATCACTGTAACTTTTAAAGAAAATCTTGTGCAATTTCAGTTACTGATGATCTTTTTCCAGGAACAAAAATATTCATATCATTTACAAATTAATCTATCAGGAATGAGTGTTTACATTTGCCTACAATATTTAGTGTGGGATTACTCAAATCTTTTGGTTGAGTAATACTTGGTGCTGATCCCAAGGTTATACAAGGAGCACCAGGATTTCTCTCCTGAGACCTTTATGTCCTGAGCCCTTTGCTGTCTCCATCTACCCGCTTTAGGAGATTTCCAGTGCCCAAGATTTAAGGGCCATTTGTATGCAGATGACAGCAGAATGCCTGTTGAGCCCAGACATGTCCCTGGGGCTCCACACTAGGGGACATAACTGCTCACATTTTCAATGTATAAGAGATGGATAATATATAACTGGTAATGTTTACTTAGGTGTCTCGTCTCTAAGTGCCTCCCGCGAAATATGCCCAAACTGTGCCCTTGAGTCCCGCATCCCCAGATCTTTTCTTTGCCCTCCCAGTAAATGATCCCACCACACATCCATTTCAACCAGACTCTTAGAATCTTCCAGTTGTTTCTTTCTCTTACCACAGTCCTAGAGAGCAGTTAGTGTCTGATCTACCTTTACCATGTATCTCGTATCCACCTGCATCTTTCTGTCCCCACTGCTGTCGCAGGCTTCAGGCCTGCATCACCTTTCATTCAGCGTCTGCAGCAGCTTCCTCACTGGGCTTCTTCGTGCCGCTCTTGCTCCTTCTCACACAAATCTAAAATTTTTTTCCTGATTTCCAAGACTTTATATTCCACCCTTCTGTGAATCTGAGTCACCTAGGGAGCTTTTAGTTCATTAGTTAATGAAAGACAGGGTCTCCCTCTGCTGCCCAGGCTGCAGTGCAGTGGCACAGTCAAAGCTCCCTGGAACTTTGAACTCCTGAGCGATCCTCCCACCTCAGCCTCCCTGGTAGCTGGGACTACAGGCTCACACACCACACCCAGCTAATTTTTAATTTTTTGTAGAGATGAGGTCTCGCCGTGTTGTTCAGACTGGTCTCGAATTTGTGACCTCAAATGATCCTCCCACCTCACCCTCCGAAAGCACTAGGATTACAGGCATGAGCCACCATGCCCAGCCAGGAGCTTTTAAACTATGTATCTGTGCCAGGACCGTCACCCCCAAGATACAGATTAAGTTGGCATGAGGTGGGGCCAAGACATGGGTAGTTTTAAAAGCTCCCCAGGAGATGCAGATTGACAGTAAGGATGGAAAGTCACTGCTCTGTATCAGTGCTTCTTCAGACTGTATCAGCACATCTTCATGAGCTGAAAGGCTCACCTGACCACCCCTCTAAAACAGTCTTTGGCCACTCTCAATCTCTAGTAGATCATCTTAATTATTTATTTTATAGGAATTACCATAATTTGTAAATGTATTTTTAGTTATTAATTTACTCACCTGCCTCCCCCTGGCTAAGTTTCATTCAGTACGTATCTGTTGGTTATATTTGGACCCTGCAAGGGTGGAAGGTGAGCTTTTGCTTCTCACGCGCATATATTTTTTTTCCGCAAATCATTGTTAAGTATCTCGGGACCGGGCAAGGGATGCAAGGATGAGTGGAAACATGGCTCTTGTCATTGAAAGCCCCAGAGTCTAATGAAAGAGTGAGACAAGCAAACAAATAGCTGCTCTGTATACCATGGACGCTATACAGCTCAACTCAAAGAGGGATTCAATTGTCACCGCCCTGGGAAGGCGCCAGTGAAGGGCCTGGAAAAGTTAGGGGTTAGTATGTTAATACAGCTCTCTCCACGACAAGAAGAAGAGAGGGAGAGCCTTCTAACCCATCCAGCCCCTTTGTGGTGGTGGTGGTGGTGCACTGATGTGTTGGGCTTTAGCTTTGGCCGTTAGGGATGTAGGAGTGTGTCCTTCCTTTGGAGAGAAGCTCAGTTTGTCAGGATTGTCCTGCTCCCACCTTCATGAGGCTGCTTTGCCAACTACACTCCTTTTTTTCCTCTTGGACCGCTGGTGAGGAGTGGATATTTTACCCCCAGAAGACTCTTAAGTGGGTCAGAACAACACATGAATCTAATTAACTGCAAAATCACTTTGACCTCAAGGTGGAAAATTCATTCCATATTAAGATACTCCAATGAAAGGCCTACATTCATTGTAATAATAGAATGCCCATAAGAGACACTCCATATTTGAATATTAATTCTATCTCATTATCAGATTTCCAGAGAGATATTAAAATCCAAAGATAACATTGCATTTTAAATTAAAGTCCAAAGGCATTAAAGTCCAATTCTCTTGCCCATGTGTGTTCAAATAAATTGAAATTCAAAATATATTCTCCCTGATTTCTTATTCTGCACAATCCCAGTTAGAGGGGCTCTTAATGCCTGTATAGGGTCAGGATTTTTTTGTAACAGCTGCAGTCTGGACTGTCTCTTGCCGGAATGTGTGTGGTTCTTTCAGGAACACCCAATACCAAACCTCTGATATGCCTCACTTCTTAAAATTAAAAAAGTTAACAGGACACGAGATTATCAAAACATTGCCCCCCCGCCGCCCCACACATACACCAGAGTTAGAAAACAAGCCAATTCCTGGTCTTCTAATAGTTACCCCAAGCAAAAGTATGTCTCCAGAAACCAATACTTCTTACTTGTTGCCAACTAGCAGACCATAGCAGAAAGTCTGTGATATCTGAGGGAAAGATGGAGAAAGTCTTCATTTCTGCTTCAGCAGATTTCAGTTAGTCTCTGACAGTTGGGGGGCTACACATTTGGGAGCAATCTCCTCAGTAATTTCTTGGATCTTGCTGTCAGTAATTCCAGTGAGTCAAGACCATGCCTTGCTTCTCTCATGGGTTTTGTAGGACCCAATCACAGTTTCTGTTCAAATAGCCACTGAAACATCTACTCTTTTCTACACTTCACTGTAAGTGTGTTAGAACACAGTGCGTTTTCATTCCTCTTTATATCTTTTTATCCTGACCTTCTAGATCTTATTTCCCATTTCATTTATTTTTATTGTTTATTTTTCAAGACAGAGCCTCTCTCTCCCTCTCTCTGTCGCCCAATCTGCAGTGCAGTGGCACAGACATAGCTTACTGTACTCTCGAACTCCTGGGCTCAACCCATCTTCATGCCTCAGCCTCCCCAGTAGCTGGGACTACAGTTACACACTGTCACACCCAGCTAATTTTTTAAAAAATTATTTGTTGAGATGGGGTCTCTCTATGTTGCCCAGGCTGGTCTCAAACTCCTGGCCTCAAGCCAGCCTCCCTCTTTGGCCTCCCAAAGTGCTCTTACTCCAAAAAACATTACTGTTTTCCAGCTAAATCAGCCTTATTGCTTTAGTTTGTTTTTATTCTTTTGTTGTTTCTGTTCTGATAGTAAGACTGAAATACTTTTTACATCATTCTAGTTCCTCTTTGATTTTCTGAACATCCTTGATTTCTAGAGATAGAACATTTTAAACAAAGACCTTTTAAAATTATAGTATTTTATTGAATTTATTTTTCTATATCAGTGCCAGGAGACAGTATCCTTGTGTTTTTTTTCTGGTCTTAGCATCTATGTAAACTTTCCTTTACCTATGACATTTACTATGGGTTTCTGACACATAGCCTTTTTGAAGTTAAAAAAGTTCTCTAGTTTTCTGATAATCAAAAAAAATCATAAATAGGGGCTAAGCATGGTCGGGTACTTTTTCTGTGATGGTTGATATTATTATGAGTACATTAATGAGGTTCATTGTAGATTTTCTGATCCACTTGAATCTATTCTTGCATTTTTGAGAAAAGTCTGCCTGAACATGATGTATTATTGTAGCATCTTTGATTTAGTTATGCTAATATTATTTCTAGAATATTTTAGGGGAAGGGGATCTATTTTCATAAGTTAAAAAGGCCTTTAATTTCTTTACAGTGGTCTGTCTTTCCTGGTTTTGGAACAAAGTCATACTAGCCTTGTAAAATGAGTTGGAAATCTTTCCTTATTTTTCTGTTGTTTTGGAACAACTTGTATACAAAATACATGTTCTGTTTCTTGAAAATTGGGTGGAACTCGCTTGAGAGCTATTTGCGTCTTTGTGTTTGTTAGTGAGTCTTGGTCATTTTAGTATCTTTAAAAATTTTTGTTCTTTTAATATTTTTTCTTATTTTCTTCCCAGGCACAGTTTATTTTGGAATTCAGATAAGAACTGACACTTATAAGCATTCCAAATGTTAATAAACATTTTTTCTTCAAGGCAATTACCTTTTCTTAAGCTCAATCTTAGCACTATCCTTTGCAAAAACAAAAATTTTAAAAAAGTCTAAATAGATTAAAATAGAAGTCAATTCTACCCTTCTCATAGAAATTATTCTGAAAGAATTAGAAGATTCAATGATATAAATTAGATTAAGAGGAGGTAGACTTAAATTTAGTACCTAAAATATAATTATATTTCACTAAATAAGACCGTTATTCTTCTAAAGAGGTCCTCTAAGCTGGCTTTTATTCTGCTGTAGTTTCATCTCACTAAGAGGGAGGACAGTAAATCAACTGGTCTTACCAAAAAGTTTCCACTTTTTAGTAGTGAGCTCTCTAGCTTCAGATAACTTAGAAGTTTATCTTTTCCCCCTTGGTAACCACTTTTTCTCCACCGTTCTTGTAGTTGTTGTAATAGAGCCCTGGTTTCTTTTCCCCCAAGAAATGTCCCCTTTTCTGGTGTCATGCCCACTGAACAGGAACTGTAGGAAGGGACCACAGCTGCCTTTCCTTTAGGGGATGGTGCTCTCCTTGGCTCTTCAGTAGTTCACGTATGTGAGAAGTCACGGCAAGTTCCCTAAAGTCCCTGAGAAAGTCTTGGTAGGGTTTCAGTGGCTCTGAACTATCTATTGCTTTAATTCAGTCTTTTTTATTTTTAACTATAAACAAGCCAAGGTTTTTCTCTTCTTTTGAAATCGTCAACCTCCAATCCAATTTTGTGACATCATTCTGTACTTTGAATAATGAGGCCAAAAGAGTCATTGGCTTTGGTGAAAAACCTTCGACATTTTTACTGACTTTGTTAAATTCTTCTAAACTTGCATTGGCTGTTATACCTACATAGGGAGCCACATGAAGATCATAGATAAGGTGAATCAAATGATTTACATGTTTACTGACAAGAGCTTTTTTAGTTCCACCCAAATGCTTTCTCCTAATAGCCCAGCCAGGCCTTTTGCAGGCTCTGCAGTTGCTTCTCAGGACCGTGGTCACCAGGTTTGTCTACAGTTCTCCCACAAAACCTGACATATCTTAAAATTCAAAAACAATTGTATTGTACTCTGTTGATGTCCAACAGACTTTTCTTATTTTAAAAAATCTCCATAACCATTAAATTAGATAAAGTACCATCAAAACCCAAAGACATAGAATTGTTTGCTAGAGAGCTTTGTGTTCAGCATCTCCTAGTCAGTTGTGAATTTGTCCTCAGCATGTCTTCCATCAGTGACAACATCAGTCCAGAGTGTAGTAATTTAAAAATTGTCTTCACGAAGCCTGGCAGTAATTGTTCTGTGCTTTTCTGCTGTCCATCATCCAAATACCAGCTGACGGAAACATCTACTGCATTTCAATAAGGGTAACAATGGTAGCAGAGTCCACATCTTGAGGTCTTATTCCATTTAATAAATCTCTCACTGCTCCTTCTGCTATTCTGAATTCACGATTCTCTTTAACAAATAATTCTGTCAAGCTCTTCAATCTTTCTGTGACAAATGACTAGAATTCTGGAGCCTGCACCTTCATTTTAGGCAGCTATTGCTTCAGAAGTCACAGTCTGTTCCACCAGCCTTTGCCAAGGATGCAGGTGCCACAGCATCTCAAGAGAAGTCACCAATCACACAGCTCCATGCTGAGGCCCTCTTGCCTGCTACTGAGGAGCTCTTGCCACCCCCGATTCCTGCCTTTCCCCAGTGATGCAGGACAGGTAAGCCCCCAAATTGGGACTTAGCCTGGGAAGGTTCTTGGCTTTGCCCGGGAAATAATTCAAGGGTGAGCTGGTGGTGGTAAACAGCAACTTTGATTGAAGCAGCAGTGTATAGCAGCAGCAGAGGTGCTGCTCCTTGCAGAGCAGGGCTGCCCTATAGGCAGTGTGCCCAGAATAGCAGCTCAGAGACAGGTCTGCACTCATATTTATACCCACTTTTAACTATATGCGAATTAAGGGGCAGTTTATGCAGAAATTTCTAGGAAAAGGGTGGCAACTCTTAAGTCATCAGGTTGTTGCTGTGGAAAGGGGCGGTAACTTCTGGGTGTTGCCATGGCAATGGTAAACTGACATGACATATTGGTGGGTATGTCTTATAGAAAATGGCTTCCACCCCTGACCTACCTGTTTTAGTTAGTCCTCAATTTGGTCAGGTGTCTGAGCCCTGCCTCCTACCTCTCCAGGACATGGGCAGTAGCCTGGCTGGGCACTTTAAAAAGGACAGTTGTATCCAAGCCTTTGATTTTTTTCTGTCAATTTTAACATTTTCTGTCTCAGAAATATCTATTTCATCTAGATTTTCACATTTTTTTCATAAAATTGTTCATATTTTAATATTTTATCTAGGTTGTCTAAAACCTGTTTCTCCCTTTTAATTCTATTCTTTCTTAAAAAAAAAAAAAGGATGTCTCTTTTTTCCTTCCTCAGTCTTTCTGGAATTTTCCATTCTATTAATGTTTACAAATAACCAGCTTTTGGTTTTGGCTAATCTTCTCTGTAGTGTTGTTGTTCTAATTCACTGACTTTCTTGCCTGTCAGTTTATAAGAACAAAGATAAAAATGATAACAGGCTTTCCTTCAGAAATGATGCAAGACAGGAATCAATGGAATGACATCTTAAAAATACTAAAGGAAAACTGTTAATCTAGAATTATGTATCCAGCCAAAATATCCTTCAAAAATGAAGGTCAAAAAAAAGAAGGTAAAATGTCCTGTAAGAAATGTTAAATGAAGTTCAACAAGGTGAAAGTAAATGATAGCACATGGAAACCTGACCTATACAAATATATACAAAGGATCAGAATCCCTGGAAAAGTTAAATATATGGGTAAAAAGAAAAGATTTCTATTCTCACTTTTAATTTTCTTTGAAATGTAATTGGCTCTTTAAAGTAATCATAATGGCAGTATATTAGGGGATTTTTAATGTGTATATAGAAGAAAAATATATGAGAGTAATTGCCCAAAGATTAAACAGAGTATACAGTTACAACATTCTTATATTGTATGTGGGGTAGTATGGTATTATTTGTAGATAGACTGCAACAAGGTAAAGATGTATACTCTAAACTCCAGTGCAACCACTTTTAGAAAAAGAGAGAGACAGTTAACAAGCCAGTATTGGAGAAATAAGTGGAATATTTAAAAATGCTCAGTCTCAAAAGAGTCTGGAAAATAAGAACAAAGAATAGTGAAGACAAATAGAAAACAGATGGCAGAATGATAAACTCAATCATGTTGATAAATATATTAAATGTAAATGGCTTAAATATCCAACTAAAAGACTACTAGAATGGATTCTATTCTATTCTATTCTATTCTATTCTATTCTATTCTATTCTATTCTATTCTATTCTATTCTATTCTTTTTGAGATGAAGTCTCTCTATGTTGCCCAGGCTGGAGTGCAGTGGCGCGATCTCAGCTCACTGCAACCTCTGCCTACCAGGTTCAAGCAATTCTCCTGCCTCAGCCTCCCAAGTAGCTGAGATTACAGGTTCACCACCACACCCAGCTAATTTTTGTATTTTTAGTAGAGACGGTGTTTCGGGAAGTCAGGGACCCTGAACGGAGGGACTGGCTGAAGCCATGGCAGAAGAACATAAATTGTTAAGATTTCATGGACATTTATTAGTTCCCCAAATTAATACTTTTATAATGTCTTACACCTGTCTTTACTGCAGTCTCTGAACATAAATTGTGAAGATTTCATGGACATTTATCACTTCCCTAATCAACACTCTTATAATTTCCTATGCCTGTCTTGTCTTTAATATCTTAATCTCGTCATCTTCATAAGCTGAGGATGTATGTCACCTCAGGATCCCGTGATGATCACGTTATCTGCACAAATTGTTTGTAAAGCATGTGTGTTTGAACAATATGAAATTTGGGCACCTTGAAAAAGAACTGGGTAACAGCGATTTTCAAGGAACAAGGGAGATAACCATAAGGCCTGACTGCCTGCAGGGCCGGGCAGAACAGAGTCATATTTCTCTTCTTTCAGAAAGTGACTAGGAGAAATATCGCTGAATTCTTTTCTCAGCAAGGAATAACCCTGGGAAACGAATGCATTCCCAGGGGGAGGTCTCTAAAATGGCCGCTCAGGGAGTGTCTGTCTTATGCAGTTGTAGATAAGGGATGAAATACTCCCTGGTCTCCTGCAGCGCCCTCAGGCTTGCTAGGATTAGGAAATTCCAGCCTGGCGAATTCTAGTCAGACCGGTTGACTGCTCTCGAACCCTATTTCCTGTTAAGATGTTTATCAATGACAGTGTGTGCCCAGCAGGACATGGACCTTCATCAGTAATTCTAGTTTCGCCCTGGCCTTGTGATCTCACTCTGCCTCTCTGCCCTTGTGATATTTCATTGCCTTTGAAGCATGTGATCTCTGTGACCCACACCCTGTTTGTACACCCCTCCCCTTTTGAAACCCCTAATAAAAAGTTACTGCTTTTGTGGCTCAAGGGGCATCACGGAACCTGCCAACATGTGATATCGCTCCCAGAGACCCAGCTGTAAAATTTCTCTCCTTTGTACTCTTTCTCTTTATTTCTCAGACCGGCCGACACTTAAGGAAAATAGAAAAGAACCTACGTTGAAATATTGGGGGCTGGTTCCCCCGATAGATGGGGTTTCACCGTGTTGGTCAGACTGGTCTCGAACTCCTGACCTCAAATTATCCTCCCACCTTCCGCCTCCCAAAGCATTGAGATTACAGGCGTGAGCCACTGTGCCTGGCCTATACTGGATTTTGAAAGGCAAGACTCAATTATATGCTATGATAAGAAATATACTTTGAATATAAAGGTGAAGATACCTTAAGAGTGAAAGAATGATATACCATGTAAACACTTATAAGAAAGCTGGAGTGGCTATATTAATATTAGACAAAATAGACCTAAGGACAAAGAATTTCCCTAGATGTAAAAGAGTGATATTTCATAATGATTAAAGGGTCAGTTCATCAAGAAGACATAATAGCCTAAACATACATTGCTAATAGCAGAATTTCAAATAACTGAAACCAAAACTGACACCTGAAAGAAAAAATCGATCTGCAGTCATAATCGGAGATATCAGCGTTCTTATCTTTATAAATTACAGAACAAGCTGAAAGAAAAGCAGGAGGAATATGGAAAACTGGAATACCATCAGCCACCTTGATCAGGTGAAATTTAGTGAACACTGCACCAATAACAGCATGTATGTTCTTTCCAGTACACATAGAACATTCACCAAGACAGACCATATGCTGGGGCCATAACAGTGCTCAATAAATGTAGAAGAACTGAAAACATAGACTATATTCTGTCTCTACAGCAGAATTATAAGTTAAAACTATAAAATATCTCTAATATCCCAAGATATTTGAAAATTAAACAGTACACTTCTAAATAACCCACATGTCATAGACACAACCATATCGAAATTAGAAAATATTTTGAACTGAATAAAAATGAAAAATGGCATACCTAAATTGTAAGATGGGGATAAAGTAGTGTTTAGGAAATTTAAAATACATGAGAAAACAAGACAGATTTAAGATCAGTCATCTTAGTTTCCAACTTAAGAAGGTAATAAAACCAAGAGTAGATTAAACCAATGTAAGTAGAAGAAAAGAATTAACAAAGATAAGAATGGAAATCTTTGAAGTAGAAAATAAAATAGACATAGAGTGGAGAAAGTCCATGTAATCAGAAGCTGGATGCATATTTAAAAAGATTGATCAATCTTTCCAGATAAATCTGTCTACCTGTCAAGAAAATGACACAAAATATAAATGACCTCTATCAGCAGTGAAAGAGGAGACATCATTATAGATATTACAGACATTAAAAAGATAATAAGAGAATAGCATAAACAACTTGATGCCAAAAAATTTTGACAAAATAGATGATATGAACAGTTTTCTTGAAAGAAACAAAATAAAAACTGAATAAAGGATAAATATTTTTAAAAATTAAATGTGTAGTTTAAAATGTTTCTACAACAAAATCTCCAGGCACACATAGTTTCAGCAGTGAATTCTGTCAAGCATTTAAGAAGGAAAGCATATACCCAATCTTTCTCTTTCATAAAATAGAGGAGGGAACACTTCTCAACTTATTTTATGAAGCCACCATTACTCTGTTCCCAAATCCGGACAAAAACCTTAAAAGGGAACAAACAAAGTAACTACAGAGCAGTGTCTCTCATGGTCAGAAACATAAAAACACTTTTCAAAATATCAGCAAAGTGGATCTTGTAATACAGAAAGTGATAATGTATCATGAACCTATGATGGTTTATCTCAGCCGTGCACTGTTGGTTTGATGTTAGAAAAGCAGACACTTTAATTCTCCCATATTAACAGAATAAGAGGGAGGAAACAATATGATTATCTCAATAGAGGAAAAGCATTCGGAACAAAATTTACACTCATTCACGTCAAAATTTGCCACAAACTAACAGTATAAAGGAACTTTCTCATCCTGAAAAAGGCATCTATGAAAAAAAAATTCAACAGCTAGTTTCATACTTTATGATGAAACACTGCTCTCTCTCTGACATCAGGAACAAGGCAAGAATTTCTGCTCTCACCACTCCAGTAAACAACGTGCTGAAGGTCCAGAGCAACTCACTAAGCCAAGAAAAATCAGATGCATGCAGGTTGGAAAGAAGTAAAACTGGCTTTATTCATAAATGAGGTGATCGTGTGTGTTAAGGAACTGATAAAGTTATGAGAAGTGAATTTTGAATGGTTACAAGATATGTAAATGAAAATTAATTATATAAAACTAGCAAATAATAATAAGAAAAAATTTAAATGCCACATACAATAGCATCATAAAACATGAAATATTTAGGAATAAACTTTAACGAAATATGTGCAAGACCTATACTCTGAAAACCATAAAACATTGCTGAGAGAAGTTAAAATTTAACAGACAGCTCAATATTGTTAAGTGTTAGATCTCCCCAAGTTGACCTCTATAGAGTGAATGCTATACCAGTCAGAATGCCAGGAGACATTTGTGTTTTGTTTTTTGTTTTTCTTTTGAGACAGAGTTTCACTCTTGTTACTCAGGCTGGTGTGATCTCAGCTCACTGCAACCCCCGCCTCCCGGGTTCAAGAGATTCTCCTGCCTCAGCCTCCCGAGTAGTTGGGATTACAGGCGCCTGCCACCACGCCCGTCCCAGGAAACATTTTTTATAAAAATTGATGAGCTGGTTTTAAAATTTGAAAATGCAAAAGACCTAGAATAGCTGTTATGGGTTGAATTGTATCCCCCAAAATTCATATGTTGAATTGCTAAACCCCAATACCTTACAACGTGACCTTATTTGGAAACAGTGTCATTGCCAATGTAATTACTTAAGACGAGATCATACTGGAGGAGGATGGGCCCCTAATCCAGTATGAGTGGTGTCCTTATAAAAAGGGGAAATTGGGCACAGATGACACACAGAATGAGAATGTCATGTGAAAATACAGACAGAGATCTAAAAACCAAGGACACCAAAGTTTGCCAGCAAACTATCAGTAGCTAAAGAGAGACCTAGAACAAATTCTCCTTCATAGTCCTCAGAAAGAACCACCCTTGCCAACATCTTGATCTTGGACTTCTACCATCCAGAAGTGTAAAACAATAAATTCCTGTCTTTTATACCATTTGGTTTGTGGTACTTTGTTAAGGCAGCCCTACCAAACTAATACAATTGCCAAAACAATTTTGAAAACAAAACAAAGAGGATTATATTACTTCTTTCATGACTTACTATAAAGCTAATTAAGATAGTATGGTATTTATGTAAATATAGATGTATATACCAGTGGAACAGAATAGAGTCCAGACTCAGTGGAGAAAAGATATATTTTTCAACAATGGCACTGGAATGATTTTATATCCTTATGGAGTAAAAAAGAACCTAGACTCTTAATTTATACCAAACAAAAATTGATTTAAAATAGCCACATAAAAGCTGGGAATACAAAACTTGTAGAAGAAAACATTATGGATATATTGAAGTAGGCCAGGACTTTTTAGAATATAAAAAATACCATGAAAAAATGTTTTGGTAAATTGTATCTCATCTATATTAAAAAGTCAATGCTCTTTGAAACGTATTATTAAAAAATTGAAAAAACAAGCCATGGTATACGAGAAAATATTTGCAATACATATATCCGACACAGGACTTACTCATATGCAGAATATGTAAAGAACCTCTTACAACTCGATGAGAAGAAAACAACCCAGTTAATAAAATGAGCAAAATATTTGAATAACATTTCACTAACGAAACAGAAATGTCCCATAAGTACCTGAAGATACTTTACATTATTAGCCATCAGGGAAATGTAAATTAAGACCACAGTGTGATGCTGCCTAAAACGGCTGACAACATATCAAGTGTTGATAAGGATCTAGAGTAACTCCAATACATTGTAGGGGAGAATGTAAAATGGTACAACTACTTTGGAAAAATACTGTGGCAGTTCTTAATAAAGTTGAACATATACTTCATATGACCCAGCAATTTCATTCGTAGGTATCCACCCAAAAAATGAAAACATGCACCCATGAAAAGATACAGATGCATGTGTTCATAGCATCTCCATTCATTGCGGATAAAACTGGTATCAACCCAGTGGCCATCAACACATGAGTGGATAAATAAATGGTAGTATATTCATAATTAGAAATAAACAAAAATCAATGATACATGTAACAACGTGGATGAATCTCGAAAACATTGGAAAACACTTTTCATTAAACCCATTTGTGTTATAGAACGGACAAAATTTACCTGTAATGACAGAAACAGATGCCTAAGAGGAGATGGGGCAGGGGCGAGGTGAGCTGCAGTGATTGCAGAGCTGCGCAAGGAGCTTTTGGGGGTGATGGAAACATCCCATGTCTTGATTTGTTTGTGGCTGTGCAGATGCACTTGGCAGTTTCTGTAAATTATACCTCAATAAAATGCCTTTTAGAAGTAAAGAAAACGAAGCACCAAAGGGGATAGTGTGTGGAGGGCAGTGCGTTAGGTTTCAGGCGTTTCTTCTGAGCAGGTCTTACAGGTTGGCTTGGTGGGTGCTGTTTGGCTTTGGGGAGATCAGGCGTTTTCACCTTGGCTGTATGTTAGAGTCACCTGGAGAGTTTGTCTAAAACACTGATGCGCAGAAATGCAGATTCATTTGTTCTGGGGTTGGGACCACAGCACTGGCACTTTTTAAAACCTCCCCCAAGTGATTCTAAGTTGTAGCCTAGGCTGAGGAGCACTGGCCAGACTTTGGCTCTGAGTTTTCTCTCTAGAGAGTGTCTGCAATGCCCAAGCCACTTCTTTTTTACTTCTGCTTGAGTCACACCATATGTTGCTGCCCAGGCATTGTGGACAAAAGCAGCAGCTCAGGCCTGAAATGCCCACTGCTAAGTGGCACAAAACACCATGGAAACAAATGCAACACAAAGATCAATGGTACTATATTTTTGTGAGACTTAGAATTGCTGTGTAAGGCTAAAGCCAGCAAAAGAGTATGGATGGAAATTACAAATCCAGACATACACCCAGTTAATGAGACAGTCAAGAACAACATTACACTAACTTAGAATAACCCCATATCTACCAAATTTCTTATGATTGTAGAAGTAGATCTTTCCATATTCAAACTTTGCTGAAGGACAGCTAGTGGTTGGTGAAGGATTACCATATCCAGCTCTTTTCAAATGTGGATGGTAAAGGAAACCTTTAGAATCTCAGAGCCAAATGAAAATAATATTACAAATCATTGCCATTTCCTGTGGTCTCATGATGTGCTGGGCACCATGCTGGATGCTTTCCCATACAGTCCTCACTGTACACCTGGGAGGTGGGTATGGCCCTCTTGTTTCATGTAAGAAAATTTAGACTTAATGAAGTTCAGAAACCTCCCCAAGGTCACACAGCTAACAGGCTCTGTTTTCTGTCAACCTAGTAGGTTTTCCCAAAGGAGCTTGGTTATTAGAGTTGGGCCTGTACCCTTAGCGGAGTGCCTACTCTGGCATTATTGGCTAATGTGGGAAAGAACAGTTCCCAAATCTATTTGTTGTCCTCTGTTTACACTTCATTTCCAGAGGCTAAATGTTAATTTGTTTAAGCCAGGCTTATTGTCTCCTGGAGATGCACTACCACGGGAAAGTGTTGACTGAGCTTGGCTCCTCAGTGTGAACTGTAACTTGTGACTCATTAATTACGGGCCTACAATCAACTCCCAACATGTTAGTAAAGAAACAAACAACTTTCTTGTTTAATGAAGTGCTGACAGAAGAAAACTTAATTGTTTCTCTCCTGCCCCAACATTAGCTTGACACTTGTAGTTATAGCAGTAAACTTGGACTTTGTAAAAACAAAATTGTATCGTCAGTCACCCTTCCTGAAGGTGCTGTATTGGTGTCTGCTTTTCCCAGTGACCTTAACCTGTGTTCATTCTTAAGTATGTAATTGTGTATTTGTCATAATGCCGCTGTCATCCTTGTCCAGAATAGGTCATTTATGTTGTAAACGTTTAATGAACTTCTATAAATGGTTCCCTTGTATCCTTTCCTAATGCAGCTGTATGAATAAGAAATATTTATCCAGGAACGCATACCCTCAGTTGACACACAACTCCAGTGGAACCATGATTTTTAAGAACTCTTTAGTTCACCTTTATTGCCTGCTTAAATTTCAGTTTTTAATGTGTGATTTCATTTCCTTCAAAGAACATCTTACCCATTTAGCATATCTCAAGAGTTCTACTTTTTTTTTGTAGAAAGTGAGGTGTTTTCCATGCATTGAATAATAAATCCCGAATACTTTTATTTCTCACTAATCAAAAAAAACCTGGTTTTTGAAAATAAATTTGAAACTTTGCCTAATGCAGAGAAGAAGTGTAAATTCAGCCCTGTTGAAGTAATTATTCAGTTTCGTCATGCATTTAGGAGCTACTGCCCAACCCCTTGTTCCTAAATGAACTAATTGCATTTAACAGTGTGAATGTCACCAACTACTGCTATCACTCCCAGTGCTCTTTATTGAGTATTTACTGTGTGCTAAACACACTCACAGTTACTCTTTGAAGAAGGCACTATCATCCCCATTTTACAGAGGAGGAAACCAAGTCTTAGGGGTTTCTTGACTTGCCCAAGGCCAACAGATCTCATAGCCAGGCTTTGACCCCAGCAGCCTGGCTCCACAGTGGCCACTCTTAATCCCTATGCCGCACTGCCTCCCAGTTCCATGAGCTTCATGTTTCATCTTATCTTCCAGCTTTTGCACATACTCTTCCCCCTGCCCAAAACACTCCCACAGTCCCCTTTGCCTTATTTAATTCCTGTTCATTCTTCTCATCTTAAGCTAAATGCCACTTCTTTAGGGAGGCCTTCTCTTGTGAGCCCCATGCTATATGTTCTTCTAGCCAAACAAACTATGAGCGTGAAAACCAACCTCAATCTGGCGTGGAGATGCACCTATGTTCCAGAAGGGTTTGGATCACACATTTATGGAGAGCTGGTGAGGACGAGCTGGATTCTTTCCTCTCAGTGACACTTATAGGGCCCTTGCTTCTTTTCTGGATTTCTCCTTATCTTCATCCCAATATCGGTCAGCACAAGGCAAAGGCATTTGGCATCTCTTCTTTCCCATTTGCAGACTTTACTGTACGTACTTTACTTTACGTACAGGATGCGTACGTACCCCATCCTGCTGGTAGACGTGGGGCAGGTTATCAGAGGAGAAGTGGGGGTGTGAGGGCATCCTTGGGAAGCTTTGGATACAGTCTCAGGTGGGGTCATTACCAACTTGGCCATAAAACTCTCTCTGTGCTTCTCAAACACATGATCCCCCCTCCAAGACCCACTCTCTATAGTGGTCGAACCCTCCATGCCAGTGCTTCCTAAACTAGCTGTGGTGAAGAGCCACTTATCTTTCCCTCAAACCATCCTGGACCTACATTTGGATAGGATATAGTATAAAATGAATGACTAGAAAAATAAATCTAAAAAAAGGCATAAGAATTCAAGCCCAAATTTCATCGTAAGATTCAGCAGACACCGCATGGCTGTCATATTGTCGGCAGTTTCTCAGCTCCCTCCCTTCAGTGTCTGTTCCTACAAACTGACAGTGGTCTCCAGACCTCACCTTGAATAGCACTTATTAGGTCAGTGACCACAGGAAGGGGACTTCTGAGCCTCACTTTTTTATCTGTAAAAGGGAACCAATAATACTTACTCTAGCATTTCAGAATTAAACGAAGTCATTAAAGCATCTGATTGCCTAGTATATGCCAGGTGTCTACTAAATAGTAGTTCATTTCCCATCACACCTTCAGTGCCTGGAAAAAATTACAGAAATTAGATGGTTACCAACTAATTTTTTCTCTTCTTCCTGGCCTTTGTAAAATAAGGATCGTTAATAGATTCCTAGCAAGCCTGTGTGTTAGAATCAGCTGGAGATCTGGTTTCTTTCAGCGGGACATGGCGTTTGGAATAGTTCATGTTCAGATGACTGAATGCAGTTTAAACACTTCTATGCGGTTCTGTATCATCTTAGGTTATGTATATCTCACTAGGGATGTAAAGTCAAAATACTGTTTAATTCTGAAAAGAACTTTATTTTATATTTCATTAGATTAATTTGTATGTTTTCAATTTTTATAACTTTAAATTTAATTTTTTAAAAGTAGATAAAACACAGAGGATTCCAAAGTCAAAATTATACAAGGCACATTCACAGAGTCTCCATTCCTGTTTCCTCCACCCCATTCTCTTCTTTACCCTGTGGATAACCATTATTTGTTTTTGGTTTAACCTTCCATTGTTTCTTGTTCAGAGTATTTAAAAATACTCCTTTATCACACACAAGATTCTCATATAAGGCTATTAACATGTTGTAATCTGGCTACATCTCCTGGCGATCCTCCCGCAGCAGTCCATCAGCAATCTTCTCCACTCACATTCACAGCCATATAGCAGTCTACTGTGTTTGTACCGTAGTTTATGTAAGCAACCCCCATTCGTGGAGACTTGAGTTGTTTCATAATAAGTTGTGCTGCACCCAGTATCATTAGTCATCAGAAATGCGCATCAAAACCACAATGGCATACCACTTCACTTACACTAGAATGCCTACTACAAAAGACAGACAATAGCAAGTGTTTATGAGATTGTGGAGATGCTGGAACCCTCATAAATTGCTGGGTGAAAATGTAAAATACTGTAAACACTGTGAAAACAGTCTGGCTGTTCCTCAAATGTTTATAACTCATATGATCTAGCAGTTTGACTCCTAGGTATATACCCAAGAACAATGAATACTTATATCCACTCAAAAACATGTACATGCACATTCAGAGCAGCATTATCATGATAACCTAGAGGTGGAAATAACACAAATGTCCATTAGTGGGTGAATGGAAAAATGCAATGTGGCATATCCGTACAATGCACTGTTCACGTTACTCAGCCGTGAAAAGAAATGAAGCGCTGACATGCCACAACATGGGTGAACCTTGAGTGAAAGAAGCCAGGTTCAAAAGGCTACATGTCGTTCAGATTTTCTGACTCCGTTATAGGAAATGTCCAGAATAGGCAAATCCAGAGAGACAGGAAGTAGAAGGATAGTTGCCAAGGACTGGGGGGAGGGAAGAATAAGGAGTGACTGCCAGTGGGTGTGGAGTTTCTTTTAGGGGTGAGGAAAATGTTGGAAAATTGGATCATGCTAATGGTTATATAACTCTGTGAATATACTGAAAACCACCAAATTGCACACTTTAAAAGTGTGAATTTTATAGTTTGTGATGATGTCTCAGCAAAAAATGAACTGGGCCAGGCACAGTCACTCATGCCGATAATCCCAGTGCTTTGGGAGACCAAGGCAGGAGGATCACTTGAGGCTGGGAGTTTGAGACCAGCCTGGGCAACATAGTGAGACCTCATCTTTACAAAAAAATAAAATAACAAAATAAACTATGCTGTAGTGAATAACCTTGTGTCACACATTATTTCATGGGGTAGTGTGCTTTTGATCTGTAATTTTAGAAATGGGGTTACTGGGTTATGTGTCATTTTGCTGCTTACACCCAGTTCCCTTTCATGGGAGTTGTACCATTTTCCCTCCAGCAGTGTATGAGAGTGTCTGTTTCCTTGTGGCCTTACCAATAGCATTTGTTGTCAGACTTGGTTATTTGTTAGTCTGGCAGGTAAGAAATGTGTATAATTATAATTTGCTTCCCTCTTATGAGCACGTTTGAACATATTCTGATGTCTTTTTAGTTTATTTGTATTTTCGGTGCCATGTATGTTTCATGTATCTCACCTGTTTTTCTATTGTATTGTTGGTGGTGTTTAAATTTTTACAAGTTCTTTATATATTAAAATATTAATCCTTTGCAAATATCTTCCAAATCCGTGATACCTTACAAATAATTTTCCCAGTTCTCATTTGCCTTGAAAAACAAATAGTCAAATTTTAAAACCTTTCCCCTGTTGCTTCCGGATTGAATCATAGTTAGGAAAGCTTTTCCTATTCCCAGCTTAGAAGAGGAATTCACCCATGTTTTTTTCTAGTACTGATTTTCTTTATTATTTAAGTTTAGATCTCATATCTATCTGGAGTTTATCCTGGTGAACAATGTTAGGAAGTGATCTACTTAGATTCTTTTTTATATGGCTACCTACTTGCCCCAATATTTTTTTTTGAAGTCCAGTGAAAATAAAATAAAATATCACTTTTTGTTTACATGTCTGTTTTATGTAGTTCTGGGTTGATATAGATATTTCAGATAATAGTGCAAACAATATTATAACATTGAGTAAGAAAACACAAAAGGAACAAGTCATCTGTAATCTCTGACTATAGCCATGCTGTTTTCAGTGTATAAACTTATCTTCTTTCTCTCTAGGTAAATGAGCTGGATGGTATCCCGTTGATCCTGGACAACTGCAACATCAGTGACAGTAACCCCTGTATCCTTGCATGTGAATTACCATGCACAAGTTTACAGCCGGGGCCCTTAGCAAAACAAGTCCCTTGCCTCATGTTCATTCAGTATGTAGCTGGCTGCCTTGCTTGCTTGTTTACTTGTTCCTGAGAACCAAATCATTTTCTCAGAGTTATGGTGCTAGAATATCATTTCTGTAACCTTTGTAGTATGGTAAGCTAGTTTTTTCATGGTGAATAAGACATTCCAAATGAGCATGTGGCCAAAAAGCACTTTAAAACCTGGGGCACAGGCAGCCCATGCAAGGCACTGTGCTGCGCATCACCGGTGTCACCTTTCCAGTGTGTGTGTGGTCTCTAGAGTAGACACGAACTATGGCATATTGTTTTGCTATAGAGATTCTGAGTACCCAGTCTTTTGGAAGTACTGTTTTAACAAGGGTTTGGCAACGTAGAAACATGAGGAGCACTCTGGCTCCCTAGCAAGAGGAAGGAGCATCTCAGTGGTGCTGAATTCTCATCTTCGGAGGGTTTGTCCTGCAGCCCTCTGCGGCAGAAGCTGAGAGCACTGGCTCTTGCCCTGGCTTGGGTTGGCCACCCTTGCTGGAGGGTGTTCTGCAGGGACCCTGCTTTTTTCCTACCAGTTCAACTAGTTGTACTATACAAAACTGTACAGTGGTGACTAACCAGGGACCGGATACAGCTTGTTTAGATTTGAGATAAAACCTACTGTTTAATTTCACGAACTTCCCTGGTGAAAGCCAAACTTAGCTGTGTCCCTTGTCCTGGTCACTGCTTGGCTGGTGGTGGGGCAGGGGTGAATAAGGCTACTGCAAGGACTGGGAGCGTAGCCTGCGGGAGGCAGTGAGGAGCCTAGCCTAGCATTGAGGAGACTGAGGAGGGGGGCATTTTAAAAATAAAACTATGGCTTCTGCCAAGAAGAGAAAAGCAGCTGATGAAAATCATGTGTTTCAAAGTAAGTAGACTGAGCGATGCTTATTATTTGTGCTGAAGATACTGTCATTTGTCTGATTAGCAATAGAAAACAATCTTATTTTAAAGAGCACAGTAGCTTGTAAGTTCAGTCAGGAAAAGACAAATACACAGCCTCAGAAGACTCCTCTGCAGGGTAAAGCAAATTTGGTTTAGTGCGTGGCATTATCATGAGTCCCTGAAGGCTGTGCTCATTAAAGAGTGTTGACATTTTTTTAGCCCCCCAAAAAGGAAAGAAAAAAGAAGAAAGCTTCTAGTCATGGGAAAGCAGTACGAGAATGTTCAGGTACAATTGCAGATGTTGCATTTCCCAATGAAAACGATGATTTATTATGAAAAAAGAAATTCACTCACAGTTTACTTTTACATTCCCTGAATTGACCTTCCAGTGAAGCAGGGTGTTCATTGCGTCTTTGGCTTTTAGCAAAGACCAGAAAATAAAAAGACTGTTGTACACGAGCACATTGTAGGCCTACAGATGCTCGCAGCACCTTCCACCTTGGTGTCCTCCTTGCCAGATGGCCATCCGTTCATTCAGTTCTTCCTTCAGGAAACATTCATTCAGTCCCTCTTGTGTGTTTACACCCATTGCCTTATTGAACCCTGACAACACCATGAAGCAGATACTATGATTATCATCCGTATGTTGTAGATGATGAAATAAAACTGAGTCTCTAGCTTGCCCAGAGGTCAGAACCAGATTTTATACATGTGAGTGCCTGACCTTAGCCACTTCCCCACACTGCCTTCTTAAAAGTCACCGGGAGGAGACAGAGCACATGCAGAGAACCACATAAACATATTCATGTAGTGGAGAAATGGTTCAAAGTTACACATGGAAAAATTTATATGGATAGCTATATCTTTAGCTGGATAACTGGCTTTTAGAATGATAATCAGTGAAATATTGCAAGATCACGGAATCTCCTGAATCATTAAGAAAAGATAAAATATCACAAGCATCTTTAGTGTTATGTGTATTCAGTAATTCTTTGGAGTTGTATTTATTAAGCTTACCAGATTTTAAAGGCATATAAAATGTGGTAAGATATGAGACACATACTGAAATATCAGTGCAAAGGGAGAATGGTAGTTGAATGGTCAGAAACGAAAAAGCCTTACAGCCTAGAGATTCAGTTTTTAGATCTGAGCTATAAATTAAAATCTGGCCTTCGTAGTACTAAAGTAAATAAGGACATGATACAATTTCAAAATTCACCTTATTCCCTAGGTAAAACCACACTGATGCTTCTTCCAGGCCATTCCCAAAGAATTATCTAATGACTCCTACTTTACTCCTCGCTTCCCATTCACTCTTTCCCCCCCTTTCTTGTGCATTTTTTCCTTTATTTTTTTAATTCATGAAAATAATACACCTATATGGGGATTTTTAAATTCCAAAAGGCATTCAATAAGGGAACAATATCTCTAGCTCCACTTTTTACACTTTTTAATTCACTCTCTTAGCTATTTCTTCTAGTAGGTACTTTTGTATATCTAAATAATATGCTTTATTGCTGTTTCTTGATATATCAAGTTTTGGTGTGACCTGTTTATTTTATGACATGAACATTCAGCTCCTGTACACCACCTCCTCCCCTCCCTCCCTTGTGCTTCCCCTGGAGTTAGGACTGCACATCCCGTTCCCTGTTGCCCACGCTGTAAATGAGGCTTGGCATCTTCTGAAGTGTTTGCTATTTGAGGTGTGTGTGAGTGTGTGTACGTGCATATGTGTGTATACATTACAATGTCCTTGGTCAAACCTTTTGCCCATTGGGATATTTTTCTTTATTATTTGTTAACACATCTTTATATATTCTAGATTGAAGTTCTTTGTCAGCTACATGTGTTGCTAGTATTTTCTCTTTCCTGTTCTGTGATTACCTTGTCATTTTCTTTATAGTTTCTTTTGAATAACAGAAATTCTTTACTTTTAGTCAAATTCATCTCTTTTCCTTTATAGTTAAGGTTTTTTGCACGTGTATCTTGTTTTAAGAAGTATTTCTTTACCCTGAGGTTATGATGATAATAATATATTATCTTTTGAATGCTTTATAGTTTTACCTTTTATATATATATGTCAAATTCATTTAGAGTCAGCTTTGGTGTACGGAGTGTGTTAGGATCTATTTCTATTCTCTCCAGATGGCACACAATTGTCTTGGCCCTAGTTACTGAAAAGAACATGTGTTTGTTCACTGTAGCGCCACCTTTATCAGAAGAATTGATACAAGTTTTGAGTCTGTTTGTGGACTCTGCTTTCTTTTCCATTCATCTTTTTGTCTATCCCTGCATCAGTATGATGGTCTTAATTACTATAGCTTTCCAATATGTCTTGATAAAGGATAAGTCAGTTCTTCCAATTTGTCTCTTCTTTTGTAACAGTGTTAGGACCATTTTTGGTCATTTGTATTGTTGCATAAAAGTTTTAGAATCAGTATAAATTCTACACATTTGGTCGTGTGCACATGCACATACATGTATATACCTGTACACACACAGAAAACCTCGTTTACCACTAACAAAAACAATTTAAAGCCCCCACATACTGAGTTATTCATTGAAATTGCATTGACTGAAATGAATTTGATGAGAATTGACATACAGTACTTAGTTTCCAACCCAAGAACATCTTATATCTGTCCGCTTATTTAGGATTATTAATTTTCAGTTTTACTCTTTTCTGTGTACTTCTTGAACTCCATTGCATGGATTTTTGTATGTATTACTTTGTTGCCATTCATTTAAAAGTGTTTTTCAATTTTTATTATAACTTCTTTTTTGACTCGTGGATTATTAGAAATTCATTTCCAAACAGTTGAGAATTGTTCAGTTATCTTTTGGAGCTTGATTTCTAGTATAAATGCATTGTGATCAAATAGCACCTACTTGATATCCTCTGTCTTATGAAATTTATTGAGACTTGATTTATGACCTAGTAATATGGTCAGTTTTTGCAAATATTCTATGTGAGCATGAAAAGCATGTCTGTTTTCCAGTAGTGGGGTATAGTAATGTTTATACATACATTAGGTCAAGTTTGTAAATGGTGGTATTTAAAACTTTTATGTTTTTACTGATATTTTTGTCTACTTTGATTTATCAGAGAGGTATTTTAAAATGTCAACCTTTGATTATGGATTCATCTAATTTTCTTTTTCATTACATAAATTTTCCCTTTATATGTTTTGAGGTAAGGTTTTTAAGTAAAGGTGTATGATAGGTCCTGAGAAATAGTCCTGTTATCATTATGAAGTGACCCTCTTTATCTCTAAAAATGATTTTCTGCCTAATATTAATATAGCTATCCTAGCTTGCTTTGGATTGGTATTTACATGGTACAATTTTATCAGTCCTTTTATTCTCAACCTTTCTGTCTGAGATGTGTTTCTTGTATAAAGTATATACAGTCATGTGCTACATAGTAATGTTTTGGTCAACACAGACCCATATTCAACCTTGGTCCCATAAGGCTGTAATACTGTATTTTTACTGTACCTCTTCTATGTTTAGATACACAGATACTTATCATTGTATTATAGGCACCTACAGTATTAAGTACAGTTACATGCTATACAGTTCTATAGTCTAGAAGCAGTAGGGTATACCATACCGCCTGGGTGTGTAGTAGGTTACTAGGTAATATAGCCTAGAATGTGAGTACATTCTGTGATGTTCACACAATGATGATATTGTCTCTATCCCCAGTGCCACCATCCAGTCCACACTTGCATCATTGCTGGCCCTGAACTTCGGCAGTGACTTCCTAACTCATCTTTCAGTTTCTGCTCCTGCTGGGTCCAGGTGATTTTTGATTCCCCATTCATTCAGTGTCATGATCTTTGAAAACCAAAACTGGATCATTCCTCTCTGATTCTCCCACTCCCCACACCACCTTGCATAAGCATGCCCCTGTTCACAGAGCCTCCTAGACGGCCCATCATCCTCAGAATAAGCCTAGTCTATCACATTCTAAAAGGTCCTCTTCATTTGTATCCAGTGCTGTTCTCCCCTTCTTCAGCATTCCCCAGGCACACCTACGTTTTTGTTTCCGAGAAGGATCTCAGTTCCTGCGTGAAGGCAGTTGTCCAAGCACATCTCTGCTTGTGCTCCTCCTGGGCTTGGTCATCCTCATGCTTCACACCCAGCGTTCTGTGTCTTTTCTCTCAAGTCCCAGCTGAGATAGGCCACCCGCTCCGATCCCTGCCAAAACTTGTTCTGTTCCTTCAGCTCATCACAGGTTATTGTTAAATATGTGTGCATTTATGTCTGGATTACCCGCTGGATTGCTTCCTAAGGGCAGGGATCAAGTTTTCTGTGTTTCACCTCAATATAAATATACCATTGTCTTGCATGTAGTAGATAACCAAAAAATATTTCTTAGATAGATACCTGAATGGGAAAAGGAATGAACAAATAAATGAGCAAAGAGCAGCTTGGTGAAATATGTGTATGTGTGCGTGTGCATGTGTGTGTATTTATTTATCTGGGGGGAGAGGGTGGTTCTAAGCTCAAGAGAAATGTCTCCCATGAGTTCTTTGACTCGGGTAAATTAAGTATTCTTGGTTTGTCAGTCATATTATTTAAAATTTGGTTTAACCCATTTTTCTAGTAATTAGCACCATCCAAGTTTTATTGAATTTAATTTTAGTATTTTGTGTTAAAAAGCAATAGATATTTTGGGCATGCTGAGACTAGGAATTAGTGCTGGTGTCGAATATCCACTAATAACACCACCACTCTTCTCTGAGCACTCTGGATAATGTCCTTCTTGGGACAGGAGTGAGGCCTGGGATGCCTTTGGATAGGAGTCTACCCGTGCCCCATGGGACATCTGCAGTCAGGACTGTATAGAACATTCCACTTTTGTCGGCCACCCTACGGGTTAGGAAATCCAAACTGGCCTGTCAGAGCAGATTAGAAGCAAAAACTGCCCCACAGTAGGGGATGGGGCTGGAAGGGTTCCTTTTCCGTTTCTTGGAGGTAGCTTTTAGAGACCACCAGGGATTTCCAAATCCAGGGAAAAGGCACCAGCTACAAGGGGAAGCTTAACTCTGAAGGACCGCCCTGACTGCTGCCTCCTCAGGGACACGAGCCCAACTAGTGCCCAGCTGTTCACTCGCCCAACTCACTTTTGGGTCACCCACAGTAATGACACAGTAGCCAATGCCATCGGAAAATTCCAGCTCCGCTACCACAGAGGCAATTTCTTATTTGTCAGTTTATTGTGGGATTTTTTGTTGTTGTTGTTTCCAAATAGAAACAGCTGAACTTTATTTGAAGTGTTTTTTCTTTCATTCTTTTTTGATCTGTGTTTTGATCGGTTGTCCTTGATGTGGGTTTGTTTTTTTTTTTTCATATTGTTTTTACTGGGGGGAGGGTGTGGGGACAGGGATAGAATGAGAGTCCAGACTGGGTTGTTTTGGGTTTTTTTGTTTTTTTCTTTTTTCTTCCTTTCTTCATTTCTTTTTTTTTTTTTAATGGAAACACCTAATTTGTAAGAAAACAAAATTCACTTCTGTACAGAAATGTAAGAGTTTATAGGAATAATCACTGAACAGTAGTTTTCCCGGTAATCCTATGTTGAGGAAGAATGGCACAGTGGCAAGGGCATCAGTCCTGTGGCCAGGCAGACCCACACTCAAGTTCTGCCACCCCTTAATTTCCGAGCATTGCACTCTATCTCTCTAAGTTTTAGCTTTGTCTGTAGAATGGGACCTACCCCAACAGGGTTATAGTGAGTGTGAAATGTTATCATGCCTATAAAGTGCCCAGAAATAGTTTCTCAACAAATAAGTGTTTTTGTACAAATATCCTATGTAGCTATTCATTCCTATAAGAAAGGTAAATTTTCGTCTGTGATTGCACTGTGGGTCAGTGGTGAAACTCAAATAATATCACCGAACAGAATAGAATCCAGAAACAGATTCACCCACAGTCAACAAAGGCCTCACTGAAGTTCACTGAGAAAAGGATGGTTTTTCTCATAAATGGTGCTGGACCAATTTAATGTCCATAGTGGGGAAAACATGACCTGGGAATCCTAACTCACACCATTCAGAAATGTCAATTCTAGTTGAATTTATAGACCTCAGTGTGAATGGTAAAACAAAAGAGCTTCTAGAAGAATCACAGATGACTTTGGTTATTATCTTGGATTGGGCAAGCGTTTCTTAAGGCACACAAAGGCTAACTTAAAAACACTAACTGTAAGAGAAAGACTTTGAAACGATGTTTGCGTTACATATATCTGACAGAGGATAAGGACTTCTACAAAACAACAAGGAAAAGAAACAATTCAGTTTTTAAAAATGACTCAAGACTTGCATGCCACTTCACAAGAGAAGAAATCCAAATGGTTAGTAAGCATATGGAATGAATTCAGCATCAGTAGTCATCAGGGAAATGCAAATTTAATCCACAACAAGTAACCACTAGACCCCACCAGAATGGCTAATTTAAAAGCCCCAACAATACTCAGTGATGGCAAGGATATGAAGCAGCCTGAACTAATACATGATGGTGGGATGTAAATAGGAAGAATTGCTTTGGAAAGCTTTTTGGTTGGGAATGTCTGCTAACATTAAACATACAGCTATCCTGTGAATCAGCAGTTCCACTCTAGTATATCCCCAAAGAGAAATGCAGATACATGTTTATTAGAAGAGGAGTCCTCATCCCCTCAGCCGCAGACCTGGTACTGGGCAGCACAGCTGGAGGTGAGCAAGCATCAATCACCACCTGAGCTCCGTCTCCGGTGAGATCAGCAGGAGGTGAGTGAGCATCAGTCACCACCTGAGCTCCGTCTCCCGTCAGATCAGTGGCGGCATTAGATTCTCATAGGAGCGTGAACCCTATTGTGAGCTGCACATGTGAGGGATCTAGGTTGCATGCTCCTTATGAGAATCTAGCTAATGCCTGATGATTTGAGGTGGAACAGTTTCATCTGAAACCACACACCCCCATCCGTCCTGGAAAAATTGTCTTCCATGAAACAAGTCCCTGGTGCCAAAAAGGTTGGGGACTGCTGCATTAGGAGACACGTGCAAGAATGCTCACAGCAGCCTTATTCTTCAGAGCCCCAAAGTAGAAATAACCCAGATGTGCAGTAGTGGAATAGGTAGTTAAATTGTGGTGTGTTCATGTCATGGAATACCATACGGCAGTAAAGAGGAGTGAACTGCTATGTGTAACACATGGATGAATCTCACTAGCATGATACTGAGTGAAAGAAGCCAGATTCAAAAAGACCATGTACTGTACAGTTCATCTACCTGAAGTTCAGGAACAGGCAGGATTCATCTATGGTAATAGAAGTCAGAATAATAGTTACGTGGGGTAGAAGGGTAGGGATTGGCAGGGGAGGAGGATGCTGGACATGTTTTCAGTCTTCCTGTGGTGGGGAGTCACATGGAAGTACACGTGAAAGAACTTACCTAAGATGAGCAGTGCAGGTAGGACATTCTGCTGCACTCGTATTAAAATTGTTTAAATCATTTATTGAGTGCTTTTGGTATGCCAAATCCTGTGCTACATTTTCAGAACAGTTCTCTTTGGGTTTTTCTGTTTTGTTTTCACTTTTTTCCTTTCCCTCCCTCCCTCCCTCCTTCCCTGCCTTCCTTCCTTCCTTTTTCATGGTGTCACTGGAAGAGTCCTCTTTGTTGGAAAAAATTGTTTCCATTTTACAAGTGAGAAAACTAAAGCTCTTGAGAGTTAAAGTAGCTGGTCCAAGCTCTCCTGGCTTGTGATGGGACCAGGGTGTAAACCCAGCTTTCTCTCACTCCAAGGCTTTGGTCCTAATTCAGACGTTTAAACTCCACACAGGTCCTTCATCCATGTAAAGGATGAATGTCAGTGTTTCTTTCCATTGTAATTCCTTGAGGGACAGGTGACTATACATCTGTGTTGGATACAAAATCTTTCATTAATCCTACTGAGCATCTAGCACGTAGTAACCACTCAATAAAATTCACTGTCTGGCCAGGCGCGGTGGCTCCTGCCTGTAATCCTAGCACTTTGGGAGGCTGAGGTGTGTGCATCACTTGAGGTCAGGAGTTTGAGACCAGCCTAGTCAACATGGTGAAACTGTCTCTCCTAAAAATACAAAAAAAAAATTCGCTAGGCGTGGTGGCACGCACCCTTAGTCCCAGCTACTCGGGAGGCTGAGGCAGGAGAATCGCTTGAACCTGCAAGGCGCAGGTTGTAGTGAGCTGAGATTGTGTCATTGGCACGCCAGCCTGGGTGTTGCAGCAAGACTCTATCTAAAAAATAAAAATAAATAAATAAAAATTCACTGCCCTATTTTGATCTTAGATCATAATCAGGAGAAAGTGCTGAGCACTGAGATAGTAGCTCCTTGGGAAACAGATACCTCTCCCGTTTCCTCTCTTTCCTCCTTTTAGACTTCGGTCATGTATGTCTTCCTCTCAGAGTTCTTTCTAGATCCCTTCAGTGAGCTGAGTGCCTCCATTTGGCGTGTTATAGTTGGGTTGGGTGGCTGTGCCTCTCCCTGAACATGACACACCAGAATACCCAGATATGTAACCTTTCCCCCAAGGAAAGTTTATCCCAGGTGGGAACTATGTCATCTTGTTCCTGTACCCTGAGTGCATTCCCAACATTGGACCCTGTGAACCCAGGGGACTGTTTCCAAAATGTGCTCCAAAGCATATTTTGTCTATAGTATCTTAATAGGTAATATACGGGAGAAGCCTTCTTTTAATAAAATGTGAGAAAGCCTGTGTGAAGCAGATGTTCTGGCTTGCAGAACCTCGTGGAGTCTTTATTAGTCACATGTGCATTTTGGAGCTTCCATTTGGGAAATTCTGAACTGTAGTGCCACATCTTTGGGAATGCAGGAATCTTAGAATAAATGTAGGAACATGTTCTGTTCTGTACTCTTCTTGGTGGAGAATCTAGCGTGGTATCAGGCCTGCCAAACAGCAGCCGGAAGGAGGCTCCTCAGGGAAGTGTCTTAAACACCTCGAGATGGCGCAGCTGGCTAGGCTCGGTGTGGTTTGTAAAAGATAGCAATGAATTTCCATGCCAGGAGCGCCTGCTCTGTGTTCACAAAGCAGTGTGTGTCTGCTTTAATATCTCATTTTGGCCATCCTGACGTTTGTTTGATGCAGTGAATGACTAGGACATCTTCCTGCCAAAGCCAGCCTTTCTTCCTCTGGAGGGGCGGCCTCTCTTCCGCTGATTTCTACATTCTCAGGATTAAACAGCTTATAAGCACTATGTGTTAATTGTTCAGTTATTGAAAACCCATTAGTGCTGTTTTGCTTTTAAGAGAGAATCTTTTTGGTATGGCTTCCCATTGATTTAACTTTTTTTTTTTTTTTTTTTTTTTTAAGACAGAGTCTCACTTTGTCGCCCAGGCTGGAGTGCAATGGCGCGATCTCTGCTCACTGCAACCTGCGCCTCCTGAGTTCAAGTGATTCTTGTGCTTCACCCTCTCTAGTAGCGGGAATTACAGGCCCATGCCACGACGCCTGGCTAATTTTTGTATTTTCAGTAGAGACGGGGTTTCACCACGTTGGCCAGACTGGTCTTGAACTCCTGACCTCAAGTGATCCCCCTGCCTTGGCCTCCCAAAGTGCTGGGATTACAGGCGTGAGCCACCCTGCCCAGCCTTAATTTTTTTTTTTTTAAGTTGTATAGTAATTCTCCCACCCTCAGCTAGTGTGATTTATCTGCGTAAACCAGATCAATGAAGACAAACAAGTGCACACACAGAAGGTGATTTCACAGGTGAGCAGAGGCCTCCCAGGGCCCTGTATGAGTGAAGGGAGCTGATTGCCGGGTGCAGGACTGTGAGATGAATTGGTGATGCTCCCAGCCCAGACCAGTAAGAGCAGCCCACCGCCACCAACTGCCTCCACTACACAGATGCAGGAGTCACCATTCAAACAGACTCATCCCTAGTGAAAGAGTGAGGGGGACCTGCTTTAGCCAGCTCTCCTAGTACCTTAGCAACGGGCTCCCAGGGTGAGAAGCTGGAAGTTGGAGAAAGACATGCTGGAATGCATAAGCTTTCAGAAAAGAGACTTCCTTTCCTCGCTCAGGTATCTTGGCAGGTAGTCAAACTGTTTTAAAATGAGACTGTACAAGTAAATATTCCAAGTTGTGCTCCTTCAGGTTTTGTCTACTCAGCTTTTGGTTTTGTGCCTCTCATTTTCTTACACCTCCAGAATCACAGAGGCTAGAAGCTAAAGCTGTGTCAGCACACTGGGAGTTTTACAGTGTACGGATTGGCAGACAGCCTGGCTTCTTTCCAGGGCATTAACAGTTATGCACTTGTGTGTCTTTAGAGCCATGGTCACTGCGTCCCTCTCTCTGCCTCAGGCCTCTGTGTTCCTGCAGGCCAGTGCCTTGCGTTTGTCCTGCCAAGCCTGGTTGCTCAGCTCTCCCTGGCTCTCAGGAGTCAAAGCGCATCTGGTTCTGCTTGTCTGGTTTACCTGTGTTAAAAGCAAGACTCTGCATGCTTATTCTCACATCAGTCAGAAGACGCCAGCCTGTTGTTTTTCAGAGCGAGGTTCTCAGTGTGAGCCATGTGGGCGGTCCTTTTTGGTTTGAAGGTGACCACCCTCGCTTTCAGCGGACCGGGGCAGGGATCAGGGATCAACAGCCTGGGGCAGGGATCAGGGATCAGGGGGCAGGGATCATCACGCAGGAAGCTGTGTGAAAGAGGTGTGGGAAGCTGCTTCCCTGGACTTGCTCTCGGTTACTTCAGCTGCCTGTCTGCTGCGTTTTCCCAAGCGTGCTTCTCAGTGGTTGCTGTTAATGTTCTAAGGGCCACCATGTAACATTTATTTGAAAACAGAAACAAAACTGTATGTGGACACTGATTGCCTGTTCCTAAGGACCTGCTCCTTAGAGCCAAGCCCCGTGACTGATGCAGGCTGATGGCAGCATCCTGGGGCCTGACCTTGGTGCACTGTGTCTCTGGCTTCTTTGCATGCCTAAAACTTGCGTAGTCTGACACGTAGGGAAAACATGAGAAATCCATGCCTAAATAATTTCACCTTAATCGTCACTATTCTAGACCAGTTGTAAGCTTACTAGCTTAAGAAAGTATTTTAAATTTAGAAGCTACATGCAATACTTGTTTTTCAAAATTGTTTACTCAAACAGTACATTTAACAGAGTAGCCATCCTGCATTCCTCCTGGTTTCTCTGTAGTATGAAGAATAGAATAGAAAATAGAATAGAATAGAATAGAATAGAATAGAATAGAATAGAATAGAATAGAATAGAATAGGCTTTTATAATTCTTAACTTTGTATTTTAGAAATTTTGTATCTGATGTATAAGATCAGATCATAAGCCTAAAGTAGCCTAAAGTATCAGCTCAAAATCCACATGCCTGATGGTTTCCTTCAAATGCTGCCTCTGTGGGTAGGAAGCACACTCTGATTCCACTGAGCCTGTCTCTGCACGGAACGAACACAAAGTTCGGTAGTCACAGGACACCCTTGCCGTGCTGCATAATGATGTCTCACTCTGTCCCCAGGTGGCTTTACCAAGCCACATCACTGACGTATTCATTGTAGTTGACTCAGAACCACTAGGGCACTTCTGTGATCACAGCAGTCCCATGCAGGAAGCTTTACCTTCAGGAAAGCTGCTGGATTGAGACTGGAGGGAAGTGTGACTGCCTGTGCATGAAGTGCTGAGATGAGTTCTTGGCCTGTGGTCTGTGCTTGTATACATTATTATTATCATTTAATGTATGTATTTTCTTATGAAGTTAATTATTTGCCAATTTTTCTTTTTGCATTAGATTAATTAAAAACAGCAGTGACTTTTGGATACGTTGAGAAAGTTAATACCTTTTTAAATTGCGAAACTTAAATACCATTGCCACACAGATTATATATTTTGTGAGACACTTGAGAGACTGGGTAGCCAAAGTTTGGCATAAAGGAACATGTTCCAGTAACCCTGATAATTGTCAGGATTTTTGTCTAAAAAGACCTTAGTCACATTTAGCAGTGACCAAGGGCCTGGTCAAAACGTGAGTGTGTCACAGCCATTCAGCACTGTTGGACTGTAACTCCTGGGCTGTTTTATTTTGAGATGATCATTTCTATCAGGATCAGGAAGTGTTCTATTCTCTGTACCAGTTATTCTAGGACCAATACATTAAAAAGCAAAAACGTATTGGGCCTGTTGGATTCTGTGAAGGGTTCTTCGAAGGAAAATCTCTAATGGGACTTATAAGCAGGCACTCATTTCCTTATCCAGGAAATGAAAAGGCCGTGTGCTACGGTGGGACCACCAACCTAAGGAAGATGCAAGCTCTGATCACCGTCTAGTTGGAGAAACAGGCCATTGTGATAATACAGGACAGAACGCTAAGGGGTGGTAGAAGAAAGGATGGCCTACTCAGAGGCTCTGACCCAACCTGCACATCTCTCATTTGTGTTTCTTCTAATGATAAGTGACTTGGACTCTGAGCAACTTGGAGGGAATTCAGAGGTCTGCTTTTCTGCCTGGAGTTGACTGCTTCTTATGGAGTGAGATGGGGTGGCTGGAGGAAAAGGGAAGCCTCTGGCTGCTTTGGGCTTTCTGATCCTTGTGGTTTTGTAGATCCACATTATCCCTTCATTGGAGAAAGTATAAAAATAAAGCTAACTTTTAGATGTGCTCACCTTTTCAACTCTTACCATTCTTTAGTCTTAAAATCTTCATTGAGGTCAAGAGAAAAGATGTTGGACCCCGTGGCCGCAGGCATTGCCAGGGTGGTTTGCTTACCCCGGCCATCCCAACAATGGTGGTTGGTTTTTGTGAGCTGCCGGGAAAGTCGTCTTGGGGAATGGACAGACCTTTTCTTCAGGGTTAACTGAGCACAGCCGAAAACAGGCCCTGTGCTGTGAAAGAGCCTCAGTGGTGGACAGAAGCCAGGGAAAAGCACGAATAGAAATGGTTCGAGTTTCTATGAGAAGGACCCAGCCTTGCCTTTAAGATTTTTCACCTGAATATGACGAGACTTAACTTTTACAAGAGAGTCTTGCCTTCGTCTTTGGAAAATGACCTAACTTTAACATTCTCCAAGAAGCTCAGAGAATGATGACTCTGTCAGATTCAGATAGAGATGTGCACTTTCTGACTGAAGATAGGAAAAGCCTGTAGAAAAGTCAAAATATTTTCCCAGTTTTTTGAGAGAAGCCAAAGTGTATCAGAATCAAAACTACTTCCTTTGTGTTTCTCTCCTAAAGCACTTGTAGAAACGAGTACAATTACCAGGCATAGTGGCTCACGCCTCCCAGCTATTCAGGAGGCTGAGGCAGGAGGATCGCTTGAGCCTGGGAGTTTGAGAGCAGCCTGGGCAACTTAGTGAGACCCGTCTCTTTAAAAAAAAAAAAAAAAAAAACGAACCTAGCACAGTTTCCTCCAGGCATAATTAGGAAGCACCAGGAAATCCTAATGGGTTTTCAAGAAGAAAATGATGATTGTGAAAGACCCCAACCTCCTCTCCCTGCTAGGTTTCTGATGCAGAAAAAGCAAGTCAGGCATCTGAGCTGGGAAGGCACTGCACATCATGGTGACATTTGTGAGTCTATATCCAGGATAAAAATTATTTGTTCAGTTATATGTGTTGAAATAGTCTCTCTCATCCATCTTAGTACCTCATGGTGTCTTATTTCATTGAGGTATAACTTACATATAGTAAACTGCAAGTTTTAAGTATACATCTTGACATTTAGGGGCTGTATTTCTTGGTGCTGTCTACCTGATGCAACCTGTGAACTGCATTTGGCAGATCCCCCTCACACTTCAGGTCTCACTTCAGTCATCCTAGTTTTTTTAAAACTTCTTGTTTTTATTTTGAAATGTAACGTGCATACTGAAAAGTGAAGCCAATATATATGTATACACTTGGCAAATAATTATAAAGCAGACATCCACATACCAACACTCAGGTCGAGAGGCAAAAACACTGCCAGCCTTCCCTGAGGAATCCATCTAGTCCTCCGCTGGCCTGACCAGCACCAGGCCTTCCCTGCTCTTCCCCATCATCAGCTCCAGAGTGTGTCTAAACCATGTCTGGTAGATTGGCCGTCTTTGAAGTTCATATAAACGGAATCATAGCCTGCATTCTTTTGTTTCCTGTCATTCAAAATCATGACTCTGAGATTCACCAAAATTGTGTTTGGTCTATTTTATAGCATTTCATTGCAAGAAATTTTAACATTTTTGCATTCTACTGTTGGTGGATATTTGTCATATTTCCACTTTGGGGCTATTACAGTTATTGTTGTGAGCATCTTGGTACATACAGTGCATGTGTCCTGCTACACATATGTGTGGGTGTTTTTCTAGGCATGGGATTTCTGGGCTTCAGGGCATGTATATCTTTATCTTAGATGATGCCAAACTCTTCAGAGTAGTGGTACCTGTTTTCCATCAGCAGTATATGAAAGCTCCTTTCACTCTGCCTTCTTGCCAACACTTGATGCAGTCAGACCTCGTAATATTTGCCATTCTGAGGAATATAATATGTTGTGATTTTATTTGAATTTCTCCAATTTTTTTTTTTTTTTTTTTTTTTTTGAGATGGAGTCTTGCTCTGTCACCCAGGCTGGAGTGCAGTGGCACGATCTCGGCTCACTGCAACCTCCATCTCCTGGGTTCAAGTGATTCTCCTGCCTGAGCCCCATGAGTAGCTGGGATTACAGGTGCCCGCCACCACACCTGGCTAATTTTTGTAGAGATGGGGTTTCATCATGTTGGTCAGGTTGGTCTTGAACTCCTGACCTCAGGTGATCCGTCTGCCTTGGCCTCCCAAAGTGTTGGGATTACAGATGTGAGCCACGGTGCCCAGCTGAATTTCTCTAATATTAATAAACACAGTTCTGTGATTTTTGGCTATTTGGATTTCTTGTGTCATGAAGAGTTTGTTCAGATTTTTTGCCCATAGTTAGGTGTTTTAAAAACTGATTTTTAAGAACTTTTTTCTATATCCAGGATAAAAATTATTTGTTCAGTTGTATGTGTTGAAATAGTCTTTCCCATCCATCTTTGTTCTTACTTTCCTCATGGTGTCTTATTATTTCATTGAGGTATAACTTAAATAGAGTAAACTGCAAAATTTTTAAGTATACATCTTGACATAAGTACAGATGTATGTACGCATCACCCAGATGGAAATACAGAACATGCCCATCTCCCTAGGCGGCTTCTTGAGTGTCCCGTCTCCCTCACTGCCAATCCCCAGATGTAACTTCTGTTCTGACTTCTATGATGTTTTAATGAATAAAAATTCCCAATTTTAATGTAAAATTTATCAGTCTTTCCTTCTATGTTTAGTGATTTTTGTGTCTCTGAGGTCTGAGGTCATAAAAGTATGCTAAAGGCTTTACAGTTTTGCCTTCTATCTGGATTTGTAATCTATCAGAATTGTAATTATTTATGATGTACAGTAGGGATTCTGTCTTTTTTTAATTTCCCCTGCGATTATGCAGTTGTTTCCGTTTCAGTATTTAAAAACCTTCATTTCACCCTTGGCTCTGCAGGACCGCCTTGTCATAAATCATTGTCCTACAGGCATGATTCTGTTTCCTGTGCTGTATTCTCTGTCCCTGGCCTGATACTATACTCTTGTAATCATCGTGACTTTATGATCTTGGTATCCGGTAGGGCCAATTTTGAATGTTAACCAACTTTTCATATATTATCCTTCTTATATGTTGCTGGATTCAGTCAGTTGCTGTATCATTATGTTCATGGATTTATTCGGCAGGTGTTTATTGAGTAGCTGGCATGTTATGTGCTGCACACTGTTCTAGCTGCCAGGGATACAATGGTTGATCAAAAAAGAGACACTGTGTGCTCCCATGAAGGTTTCAGTATGGTAGGTGGGCACACCCCCTGCTAGGCTTGGGGGCAGGCACTCAGGTCACCTGGGAGACTCTGTGCCCTCAGCATCTTGTGACGTGCCCTTGCTGGGTCTGTCGCTTGTACTTTTTTGTGAGCTCCTTGAGAGCAAAGCACATCATGTTTACTTCTTCGTTTTTTGTTTGTTTGTTTGTTTTGGTAGTCCCTGGCACATGGTGGTACAGTGGGTATGCAGTAAGTTCTGGAGCAGGGACTTACCTTCCTACCTTCCTTTGCCTTCCCCACGCTCTTACCTGCTGAGTGTAGTCAGCCCGTCCTGTTTTCCCTTCCGGCACTCTGGCCACCCTCTTCTAATATCCCACACTGCCCCTGCAGCTCACAGAGACCTGCACATACTGTTCCTCTCACTGGAGTTCTCCCCTTTCTACATTTGGCCAACTCCTACTCACCTTTGAGTTTGATTTAAATATTATTTATTTAAGATAAGTCTTTCATGATCCCAACTCAAATTTAAGGCCCCCTTTTTATTGTTTCACCTTATCCTGTAATTTAACATTGTAGCTTTTATAGTACTTTGTAATTATGTGTTTATTTCTCTGCATCTAACTCTCCTCAAGGCACTAAATTGATATTTAGAGTAAACATAGGCACCATCTCTGCTGTGTCCCCCTTCCATAGTGATTGTCTTTACTTTCCATCCCTTAGTTGAAAATTGGTAAAGGGAAAATGAGGAAACTCTAAGAATCGTGTCATATTTAATGAAATCTTCAAGTGGCATCAGATGCTAGTTGGGAACAATGACTTACAAAGTGCAGTAAACACATCACATATCCATGGGTATATGGTGGCAGCTAGAAAACAAATTTGTATTGATAACTGAATTGATAGAGGTTTTTATCTATGGACCGAGGTGATGTGATCTAGCTTTTTCTGTGATACCCAGAATCTATAACCTGTCTTTGTTGACCTCAAGATAAAGACCTTGTAACAACAACAGTAATAACAGATTTGTGTGGGAGAGGGTTCAGGGAAATTCATGGGTAGGAGGTCCCAGGAATCTCCTAGACAACATTTGTACTGAATCTGATGTAACTGTTTTGGTACGCTGAAGTCCACTGAAGTCTTGCAATGTCCACAAGAAGGCTTGAATGGTAAAGTGGAGTTAACTTCTGTCAATTTCAGCTCTAGCTCAGTAGCAGCTATTCCTCCTCCATCCCCAGTCCTATGGCAGACAGCTGCTGTACACTGTTCCTAGAGCATCTTGCAAGCAGCTTGTGGGAGCCAGGTAGGGTGGGCCAAAAAGACCCTGACATGCAAATATCTGGGGTCAGTGCTCTGATTACTGATTTCAGCTTTTGATCACAGAGGTACAGACAAAGGAGTGGAGACCATTATTGTTGCATCTGCCCCCATTGTTGTAAGTCCTTCCACCTCTGGCTGAAGTGGCTTTCTGGGTATTTAAAAGGCCAGCACCCTTTTTCCCTCTTCCCTTTATTTTTCTTTTGCATCTTTTGGGAACCAGGCATTAAATACTAGGACATTGAAAAATAACTGTATATACAGGGAAAATTAGAAAGTCACCGTAGATTCCCAGGGAATAGCATAGGCTCGGAGAAGACCTGAGAAGATCTTAAATTTACACCTCAGGCTTATCCTTGGCACAGAGACAGCCTGCAACAATCCAGAAATAATAATAATAATGAACAGTAACAAAAGTAGCAAACACTTTGTCTTAGAATCTGAATTCTAGAGTTACCACATTATTAGAGTCAGATGTCCCATTTAAAAAACAATCATAAGGCATACATAAGAAACAGGAAAGTAGGCCCATTCAAGGGGGAAAAAATGAAACAAACAGAAACCATTCTTGGATTCATCTACTATATTTTAAAACAAGGGTCTTACTGAAGATGCTCAAGGAACTAAAGGAACGTGTGGAAAATCAATAAAACAATATATGGACAAGCCCAGGTGCAGTGGCTGACACCAGTAATCCCAGCACCTACCAGGGCAGATGGCTTGAGCTCAGGAGTTTGAGACCAGCCTGGTAACATGGCAAAACCCCATCTCTACAAAAATTAGCCCCAGGCGTGGTGGTGTGCACCTGTAGTCCCAGCTACTTGGGAGGCTGAGGTGGGAGGATGTCTTGAGCCCAGGAGGTGGAGGTTGCAATGAGCTGAGATTGTGCCACTGTGCTGTAGCCTGGGGAACAGAGCCAGGCCCTGTCTCTAAATCAAAACAAAACAAAAAGCCCAATATGGACAAAATGAAATGTCAGCAAAGAGATAGAAGACCTGAAGATAAATCAAAGAGAAATTCTGGAGCTGAAAGTACAATACCTGAAATAAATTTACTAGAAGGATTCGAAGACAGATTTGAGCAGGGAGAAGGAAGCTAGGACAATGGAAAATATTAAGTCCAACAAGCAGAAAGAAAAAAGGTTGTAGAAAAGTGAACAGAGCCTAAGGGATATGTGGAACACCATCAAGCCAACCAACATACGCATTGTGGGAAACAAGGAAAAAGAGAAAAGGGCAGAGAGAATATCTGAAGAAATAAGGACTGAAAATTTTCCACATTTGATGGAAGTCACGAATATATACAACCAGGAAACTCGGTGAGCTCCAAGTTAAGATGAACTCAAGGAGACATATTATAGTCAGAGTTTTGAAAGACAGAGATAAAGAGAATCTTAAAAGCAGCAAGGAAGAAGCAGCCCATCACATGCAAGAGATAATCCATAGGATTACCAGCAGTTTTCTTATTAGAAACTTTGGAGGCCAGAAGGCAGTGGGCCAAAATGTTCAAAGTGCAAAAAGAAAAAACTGTCAACTAAGAATCGTTTGTCTGTCCAAACTGTCCTTCAAACATGAGGGATAAATTAAGGCATTCACAGACGAACAAAAGCTGATGGAGTTTGTTACCACTAGACCTGCCTTGTAAGAAATGCTCAAGGTAATCCTGCAGGATGAAATGAGAAGACAACAGACAGTAACTTGATGCTATATGAAGAAATAAAGATCTCAATAGAGATAAATTCATGAGCAATATACAAGCTAGTTTATAACTTCACATTTTGTTTTCTACATATTTTAAGAGACTAATGTGTCTGAAAGGATTACTAGTTTATTTTTGGGGTACACAGCATATAAGGTTTTAATTTTTTTTATGTTAACCGAAAGGAGTAAACAGAGCTTTAAAGGAGCAGCATTTTTGGATGTTACTGAAGTAAAACTGGCATAAATTAGAATTAGAGTATTATAACTTTCGAATGTTAAATGTAATCCCCATGGTAACCACACACACACACACACACACACACACACACACACACACACACGGCTATAGAATATACACAAAAGGAAATGAAAAAGGAACTTAAACATTTCAGTACAAAAAATAAAAAGAAGACAATAATGTAAGAAATAAGTTATAAGACATATGGGAAACAAATAGCAAAATGACATAAATAAGCCCTTATCGGTAATTATTTAAATGTAAATGGATCAAGCTGTGTAATCAAAAGACAGAGATTAACAGAATGGATAAAAACACTTGATCTAACTGTACTGTCTACAAGAGATTCAGTTTAGATCCAAAGACACAAATAGGTTGAAAATAAGAGGATAGAAAAAGATAGTATAAGGAAGTGGTAAGAGAGAGCAGACGTGACTAATATCAGACAAAATGATTTTAAATCAAATAAAGGTTGCAAGAGACAAAGAAGAACATAATATATTAAAGTTTCAATACAGTAAGAAGATACAACAGATATAAACATTTGCACAGACCGATAACAGGCCAAAATATATGAAGCAAAAACTGAAGGAAGAAATAGTTCTACAGTAATAGTTGGAAACTTCATTACCCTACTCTCAATAATGGATAGAAGAACCAGACAGAAGGTAAGTAAGGAAACAGAGGACTTAATAAACAAACTAGATCTAACAGACATACACAGAACACTCTATCCTACAACAAGAGCATATACATTCTTCTCAAGTGCACAGAAGACATTTTCCAGGATAGAGTGTATATTAGGTAACAAATTAAGTTTCCATAGATTTTTAAAGATATCATACAGAGTATCTTTTCTGACTACAACTGGATAATGTTAGATATCAGAAATAGAACTAAAACTGGACTATTCACAAATTTATGGAAATTAAAAAACATACTGTTAACCAGTAGATCAAAGAAGAAATCACAAGGGAAATTAGAAAATACTTAGAGGTCAGCTGGGTGCAGTGGCTCATACCTGTAATCCCAGCAGTTTGGGAGGCCAAAGTAGGAGGATTGCTGGAGGCCAGGAGTTCAGGACCTGCCTGGGCAACATGGTGAAGCCCCATCTCTATTAAAAACTTTAAAAAAGAAAAAAAAAAGAAGAAAAAAATATTTAGAGACAAATGAAAATGAAAAGACAACATAACAGAACTTATGGGACACAGCAAAAATAATGCTAAGGGGGAAATTTTATAGCTATAAATGCTTACATTAAAAAATAAGAAAGTTCAAAGAACTAGATAAGGACATAGAAAAAGTAAACCCAAAGCTAGCAAAAGGAAGATAATAAATATTAGGGCAGAGATAAAACAAACTAGAGAATAGAAAAATAATAGAGAAAATTATGAAAACAGAAGTTGCTTTTTTAAAGATCAACAAAAGTTGACCAACTTTTAGCTAGGTGGACTAAGGTAAAAAGACTCAAATTATCAGAAATGAAAGTGGGGACATTACTACTGATTCTACAGAAATAAAAAGGGTTGCAAGAGAGCACTGTGAACAATTGTACACCATCAGTTTGGATAATGTAAATGAAATGGACAAATTCCTAGAAACTCAAAACCTATTATAAAATATGGATAGACCTAGTTATAGTAAGTACTATAGTAAGTACTATAAGTTACTAGTTATAGTAAGACAATTAAATCAGCAATGAAAAATCTCACAAAGAAAAGCCCTAAACCTGATGCCTTCACTGGTGAATTCTAGCAAACATTTCAAGGGGAACTAATACCAATCCTTCTCAAACTTTTCCAAAAAAATTGAGGAGAAGAGAACACTTCCTAACTCATTTTATGAAGCCAGCATTTCCCTGGTACAAAAGCTAGACAGAGACACTACAAGAAAACTAAAGACCAACATCCTTTATGAACATGAATTTAACAGCATACTAAAAGAATTACACACCATGACCAAATGGAATTTATTCCTGGAATGCGGGGGTGGTTCAACATACTGAAATTGATCAGTGTAATACACCACATTAATAGAATGAAGGGAAAGAAACACATGATCAATTCAGTTGATGCAGAAAAAGCATTTGACAAAATTCAACATCTCTTCATGATAAAAAACACTCAACAAACTAGGAATATAATGAAACTGCCTCAACATAATAAAAGCCAGGAAAACCCAACAAGTGAAAAATCAACAGCAAACATAACTCCACGATGAAAGACTGAAAGCTTTTTCTCTAAGATCGGGAACAAGGCAAGGACGTCCACTTTCATCACTTTTATTCAATATCTTACTAGAAGTTCTAACCAAACCAATTAAGCATGAAAAAGAAAAGGCATCCAAATTAGAGGAAGAAGTAAAATTATCTTTTCACAGATTATATGATCTATGGGAAACCCTAAAGATTCCATCCCCCTCATACACAAAAACCATTAAAACTCATGTTTTAATGAATTCAGTAAAGTAGAACTATATAAAGTCAACACACAAAAATCAGTTGCATTCTATTTACTAATACTGACGGAATGGAAATTACAAAAGCAATTCCTTTTATAATAGCATCAAAAATAATAAAATACTTAGGAATTAACTTACTCAAGGAGGTGAAAGACTTGTACCATGAAAACTATAAAACATTGCTGAAAGAAATTAAAGGAGACATAAACGGGAACACATCGCATGTTCATGTGTTGAAAAACAATATTGTTAAGATGTCAGTACTGCTCAGAGCAATTACAGATTTAATGCAAGTCATGTCAATATCCCAATGAAATTTTTTGCAGATATAGAAAAACCCATTCCAAACTTCATATGGAATCCCAAGGGACATTGAATAGCCAAAACAATGTATAAGAAGAACAGAGCTGGAAGACTCACACTTCCTGATTTTGAAACTTATAATAAAGCTACAATAATCAAAACAATGTGGTACTGACATGAAGACAGACATCTGGACTAGTGGGACAGAATAGAGAATCCAGAGATAAATCTCCACAAATGTAGTCAAATGATTGCTGAAAAGGATGACAACACCATTCAGTGGAGAAAGCGCAGTCTTTTCAATAGATGGTGCTAAGGAAACTAGATATCCAGGTGCAAAAGAATGAAACTGAACCCTTACTTAACGTCATATACAAAAATTAACTCAAAGTGGATTAAATGTAAGACTCTTAGATGAAAATACAGAGCAGAAGCTTCACATGACATTGGATTTGGCAGTTATTTATTGGATGTGATACCAAAGGCACAGACAGCAAAAGGAAAAATGATAAATTGGACTACATGAAAATTTTAAAATATTTTGCATCATTCAACAGAGTGAAAGAATCATTCAACAGAGTGAAAATGTAATCCACAGAATGGGAGAATATATTTGCAAATTATTTATTTGATAAGGGATAGATATCTAGAATATATAGAGAATTCATAAAACTTAACAATAAAACAACCTCATTCAAAAATGGACAAAAGACTTGAGTACACATTTCTCCAGTAAGATATACAAATGGCCAAGAAGCACATGAAAATATACTCAGCATCACTAATCATGAGGAAAATGCAAATCAAAACCACAATGAGATACCACCTCACATCCATGAGGATAGCCACTATACAAAACAAGAAAAAAAAAAAAAACAAGTCTTGGCATGAATGTGGAGAAATCAGAACTCCCATGCATTACTGATGGGAATGTAAAATGGTGCAGCCATTGTGGAAAACGGTTTGGCAAGTCCCCAAAAAGTTAAAGATAGAATTACTATATATATGATTTAGCAATTCCACTTCTGGGTATATACCCGAAAGAATTGAGAGTAGTGTCTCAAAGAAGTATTTGTACACCATGTTCCTAGCAGCATTATGTGCAGTAGCCAAAAGGTAGAAGCAACCCAGGTGTCCACCAAAGGATGAGTGGATAAACAAAATGTGGCCTCTACATTTACTGAAATATGAGTCAGCTTTAAAAGGAAGGCAGTTCTGACACACACTACAACATGGATGAACCCTGAGGACCTTACACTTAGTGAAATAAGCCAGTCATACCGTGTCAGCTTATTTATAAGAGGTACTTAGAGTAGTCAAAATCACAGAGACAGAAAGTAGAGTGCTTGCCAGTGGTTGAGGGGAGAGAAGAAAGGGAATTACTGTTTAATGGGGACTGAGTTTCAGTTTACAAGACGAGTTGCGGAGATGGATGGTGGTGATAGACACACAACGTTGTGAATGCGTTTAACACTACCAATGTGTACTCTTTAGTATAGTTAGGATGCGAAATTTTATGTTACGTGTACCTTACCACAGTAAAAAAAAAAAATTTTGGAGAAAAATAAATGTAGGCAGCAACTGTACCTCAGACTTTTCCTGTATGTCTCAGATCCTCATCAGGGGCCTGAGCACAAAATAGTTTTCTAATTAATCATTCTTCAGGGTCAAAAAAAAGCAAACAGTTCTGTCTGTTTAACAGTAATATCTGACATTGAGTGCCTCTTTTCATGCCAGGCATTGTGATCTTATTTCATCTTTGCATCCATCCTATGAAACAATATTTTTATCTTCATTTTATAGAGGAGGGAATTTAGGCAAATGGTTTTATAACTGGCTAGGGCCACCAGCTGTTCGGCAGTGGAACAGCAATGCAATTTGAACCTCAACTTTCTGCCCACAAGGCCCAAGAACATAATCACTTTTCTGTACTATCGTTTGACATATTGAGAGATCATTTTGTCTCCCCCTCATTGGCGAAAGGATGTGAAGTCACGTGCCTGATAGAGGAGCGTGGTGGCCTTTAAGCCCACCCAGAGCCTGTGCTGGAGCTCCACTGTACCCATGGCTCTCAGGTGCACTGAGTGTGTTGTGCACATGGCAAACACCCCCTTCCGTCACCTGTACCCACCACCTGTCCAAGTTCATAGGTGGAACAACTGCCTTGGTAAAGTTGTGTAAATTGCCCAAAGCCGTGCGGCTTGTAAAGTGGCAGAGCCAGAATTGAACCCAAGTCTGTATTATTCCAAAATTTTATTCTCACCATTATGGACTCCTGCTCCCTTGTTCCACTCTCCACGCAGCTGCCCACAAGAGCTTCTTAATTTTTCTACTTCAGCTCTTTCGATGAGTTCTCATTGTGTTAGAATGCAGTACAGCAAGCTCCTTACCATAGCCTAAGAATCCCTGAAGGAGCTGGCCTTGACTGACCTCTGCTTCTTTTTATCCACTCTCCCTCACTCATTCTTCCCAGCCATACAAGTTTTTCTCATCAGTGTTCCTCCATGTGGAGGCGCTGTGTGGCCTGCTCCCATCTGCACCCTCCTCCTCAGCTCTCCAGGGGTCTGGCTTCTTTTCATCCTTTGAGTTTCAGCTCTGATGTTAATTCCTCAGAGAGGCCTTCCCTAACTCCCCTCTTTCCCCAAGTTGTCCTCTTGTAATTATGCTCTGTCACCCCTTTCAGACTTTGTTTTTTGGTTTAGGGCCTGCCTCTGCAAGTGCTAGAATGTAAACGCCCCAAGGGCAGGGACTGGACTATCCTGTTAGCTGTTGTCTTACCAGTATTGAGCATTTTGCCTTCGTATTTATTAAATGAATGAATAGATCATGATTAAATTTTTGAGAGACATTCAGATGTAAGATTAACAGTTTGAATTTTTGTTCATATCTAAATCCCTTGCTCCAACGCCAGTCTAAATATCAAGAGGTGTGTTGTTCATAGAAAAGAGGAAAACAGTGTTAAAGTATTAAGTTTCTGTAATTCAATGAATTTTCTCCCCAAAATGAAATATTCAGTACTTCAGAAATTTTTTAGAGAGATACGCGTCAAGGGAGAGTTTTAGAACTAAGTGTCACCAGCATGACCACTTGGCTTTTAAATAGTCTAAAGTGTTATAGTGAATGTTGGAGTTATTTATGTATTATACCTTTCTGCTGAAGGTTGTCCTGACTTTAAATGGATATAGTAGTGCTCTTCCCCTGATGAGGACAAATTAGAATTAGAGATCTCCTTGTTGAAAGAAATCAATCAGACTGCAGGTAACTCTTGAGTCACCTATTACTGTTAGAAGTGAAAGCAGACAGCATGAAATGAGAACCTCTCTCCTGTGCTGACTTTGCAGCATCATAGAGTCCTTGGGAAGCGCACGCATCTGGTATCTGTCCCTGTTCACCCTGCAAGCCCTCCCCACCCTTGACCACCGACTTCCTGGGAGCTGCTGAAGGCGTCGGGGGAGGTGGGGTGAGGAGGCAGGTCAGGATGGCCATGGTAACTAATGCCATTGGAGCAAGTGCTACCAGATGCCCAGACACTGGTGTGTACAGCATAAGAGCGCTCCTTGACTCCTCAGGGCCTGCTGGGTCTTGTCTGTTCTAAATCGCCAGAAGCTCCACCCTGTTCATGTTCTTCATTTAATCCTTTCTAACTTAGAACTATTTTTGATCCTTGGCTGTACTTCATTAATTTTGAAATATCAACAGTGCTAGACGAACACTAATGTCTTATAACTTAGGTGGGTTTACTTTTTCTGCTCCAAATTTTTATTTCACTTTGAATTGTTAGCTTATTAGCTAGTTCTAAAGGTATTTTGCAGAGATAGTTACTCTGACTGGTATCTGCAAGTTTATCACTTGGGATTTCTTTGAAGAGAAAGGGATGTATTTCATGTATCACAAAACCTACCGTTCCTTGTACTGGTTTGTAGGCATAGCTCAGAAACGTGCAGTCATAGCAACCCGGAAGAAGAACTGCTCTGCCCTCCAGAGGTCTCTCTGGATGGACTGGTCGCGAGAGCACACTTAGCAGCGATACGGCATCGCGATCAGGGGAGCGGATGCCAGAGCCTGACTGCCTACTTCCAAATCCACCTTGAACACATCCAGTTGCGGGACCTTGGCCATGTTCGCCTCTGTGTCTAAGTTTTCTCATCAGTAGAATGAGGATAGTAACGAACATCTACCGCATAGAGAGTTTGTGAGGATTGAATGCTTTCACACTTAGAACAGCCCCTGGCACATCCTGTGTCCTGGAATGTGACAACTGATGCTGTTACCTTTATTAGTTTTACTCGTGTTACTATTTTATGAAGGTAAACTGACAATCTCATTTTCAGTCTTGGCTTATGTGAGAGACACTTAATTGTACAAAGCTTTGCTTGCATTGAGAGTGGCAGTGTGTTCCAGGAACAGAAATTCAGTGGGGCCAGCTTATTATCTGGCCACTGATCCCAAAGATCACCAGGTACTTGGTAAACAGCCTCTTTACCTGGCAGGTGAGGCCTGACACTTCCCCGGTTTCTACTGGGTTTCCATTGACTCCCATTCATAAATCCCCTATCGTTAGGACCTCCCCTGCCACCATCTGGGCAGTGAAGCTCTGCCGGTGTGCTACTGGCAGTGTCCCGGGTTGTGTGTGGAGACACTGAGCACTGTTGTTTACTTTAGAAGTTTATTGTCCCCAGAATGCTGCTCCCCCACAACTGTCTCCTGCAGCATGAAGGCTGACATTGTATCGTGGCTGTGTATCCACATGCATTTATTAAATCACACCTCCCTTTCAGCCCAGATCTGACAGAACTCTGGGAGCTACCGCCTCATAAGTAGATCAAATCCAGGCACCAATGGGCAAATATTTTAAACACTCATACTGTAGCCAGGAGCTACAAGGACCAGTAAGATAGGAGTCTGAGCACATGGTGAGCACACATTCTCTGGAGTCAGAGCTCGTGCACCGTGGCCTGAATGTCTGCGGTGTGCATGGGTGTGCCAGGCACTCTGCTAACCATGCTGCATACAGTGGCTCCTTCCGAGTCTCAGATGTGACATTGGAGTGCTGCCCCAAATCCAACTGGAACTACTTCATGGCCCCAAAACCCTTTCGTGTGGTTTAAGTTAGAAGTGGTATTGGTTGTTTCTGACCCTGAAACCTGTGTGTGATGGGGCTGCCAGACTGTGACTGCTTCGTACCACGCTTTGCTTTGAAGTGGTCAGTAAAATGATTCCAGAGCATGTCATGTACAAAATTAGTTTCATTGCCACAGGATCCTTCACCGCCAAAACCCCGTGAATGTGAGGTACCTGTGAGCGCGGCCCTCCATCGGCCACAGAAGCTTTTGGAGTGGGCAGGGCACAGGTCATCTTCCCATGACTTCACTGCCAGATGGACGGGCTCATGGGTCCTGCTTTGCCTGGCGTGGGCTCATGGGTCCTGCTTTGCCTGGCGCGGGCGCTTGAGCTTTCACATCTGGGACTGGTGAGGGATGGAGAGTACACGCCCAGCAAGGCCTGGACAGCGCACTGGTGCCACAGCCCTTCGCTCGGGCCCACGGGGTGCAGTGGAGGAAGTGTGAGCCTTGTACAGAGAGAGGTTTCAGGCTTCAGAGAGGAGGCCTGTGAAGTCAGGAACATCTCCCCTCTCCCTTTGCAATTTATGGAAAGTACATTGTGCCAAGCAAGGACAGTGAATGGGCCTTCGTTTCAGCATCTTTAATAAAGTACTGATTTGGGTTATGCACAGATATAAAATCTCTAGTGGACAGAGGTGTGAAATGTAGTTCTGTCAAACTCAGCAGTGTTTTATGGGGCCTATGTACCACTTCCCTTACGGCCTAGAAGCCGATTAGCAGCCTCAGCTTTCAGTGCAGGGGTGTTGCTGAGATGGCTTTTTCCCTCCGGAAAGACTGAAACTGCTCTTTCTTATAGTGTGTATTAAATGCAAATCTTACTCTATATTCTTCAGATTGTAACCTATAATTTCCAAATCTGACAATTATTTCTCTGCCTTCTTTTAGTATTTTTTTTAACACTTTCAGTATTAGCAATTAGCCATTAATTGGTAAATTGGAGGGTATACATACTCATGATTTTAGCTTTTATTTTTAAATGCTATTAAGGCATAACAGGCTACGAAACATAGAACAGTACATACAGCATTGCATGGAAACCTTTGAAGCACAGATGTTCTGTCGTATTAAAATATAAAAACTCAGAGGGAAATTAGATACCAGATAGACCAACAATTTAGGGAAGGAAGAGGGAGCCAAAATGGGTGGTTTGTGGTGGGTATTGAACACATAGTTTCCAGCGTCATGCAGGGAGACCCTGTGTAGAATCTGCACCATAAATTAGACTTGTACTTTAATTTTCTGAATGAGAAGAGTATGCAGTGGGACCACTGACATAAATGAGAGTTGAGAACAAAAGATCATCATAGCAGATGAAGGTGGAAGTAAAGTGAACTTTAGAAAGCAATGAAAATATCTCTTGACATTCGAGTTTATTCTGAAAAACTTGTGACCCCTTGCAAAAGTAAGGGGATCTTCAGATGTCCTGTCCCAGGACCTCCATCTTGCCTGGCCCCCTCCCTGTCTCCTGCCTCCTGCCTTGCTCTCCAGCACCCTGCGAGCGGGAGCTCTTCTTTTTGGAGGTGGTCCCAACAGGTAGCACAAGTCCCATGAAACTCCAGGAAGCCCAGGGCTCCCTGGGCAGCACTTTGGGAAGTGTCTTTTTTCCTCTCAGTAAGAAAGTTCTTAGAGAACAGGGCCAAGGTCAATGAGGACTCCCCCCTGGGGATGCACTGGGGTGAGATGGGGTGAGGAGGTTGCCTTTTCAGGGCCACACTCTTGGCATGTTTTCTTCTTTGGCTGACAGAAATTGGCATATTTTAAAGTATTTTGGTTTGTGCAATATAACGCATTTTGAGAGCAATTTTTAAACTGAACTACTACTTTGCACTCTAAAAAACTCTACATTTTACCATGGTCCGAGAAGATATTTGTTTAGATGTGACAAGGGATTTGTGAAGCATCTTCATCTAGGAAAACCTTTTTCTAACAGGGCAGATAATTACACAGGTTTGTAGAAGCCTGGGTGGAGGAGGCTTGCCCGTGCTGACCATGCTATGTGCAGGCCCCCTCTGGGAGAGGTTCTAATTGTGCGCCCCTCCCTGCTCCACAGCGTACTTTGGAAAGCCCTGCAGCACACAAATCCCTTGCCTTCATGGGTTTGTTATCTAAAAAGAGTTTTAAAATATATGTCCTGGATGCGAAAACAATGCAGATATTACATATAATATATGTATCTGTTATACAGATATTATAAATAAAGTCCATATATATCAGAACATTATGAAAAGTCTTTTAACACATTTAAATCATTTTAATTTACATAATGCATATTTTTTCAGTGCCAGTACTTTTTAAGGTTGGTTTGTTTATTTACTTATTTTTGAGACAGAGTCTTGCTCTGTCGCCCAGGCTGCAGTGCAGTGGCGCAATCTCGGCTCACTGCAGCCTCTGCCTCCCGGGTTTAAGCGATTTCTCCTGCCTCAGCCTCCCGAGTAGCTGGGACTGCAGGCGGCTCACCAGCACGCCCAGCTGATTTTTTTGTATATTTAGTAGAGATGGGGTTTTACCATGTTGGCCAGGCTGGTCTCATACTCCTGACCTCGTGATCCGCCTGCCTCAGCCTCCCAAAGTGTTGGGATTACAGGCGTGAGCCACTATGCCCGGCCTATTTATTTATTAATTCAACAAATATCCATTAGTGCTTCCCATGTTCTAGGCCGGAAGTTGGCACACCTTTTCTGTGAAGGGCCACATAGTAAATATTTTGGCTTTGTAGGCCTTGCTGTCTCTTGGCAGCTCCTCCACCCTGCCCTTGCAGTGTGACAGCAGCCGCCAACACAGGCAAGTGATGGGCATGGCTGTGTGCCGTAGAACCTTGTTTACGGATACGGACATTTGAATTTCAAATTTTCATGTGCCAGAAATCAGTATTCTTTAGATTTTTTTCCAATCATCTAAATATATTAAAACTGTTTTTAGTTTGCTGTCATAAAAAGCACAGGCCATCATTTGCTGACCCCTGTTCTTAGCAGTCTTCTAAACACCGACAGAGCAGTGACCAGAACAGAGTTCCTGTCGCCCTGGAGTCTACATTTAATGATGTAGAGGACTTTAAGTAGCACTGATTTTGATAGCTGGAAGAATAGTTTAGCTTGATGCAATCTGTCTCATCAGACAATTCCAGTTTTAACATTTCAGCTTACCTGACTGTACTTTAAAAGTGAGCTTGGCACATCAATCTGCTGGTTATTAATACCCTTACTGTGGATTGTTTTTCTGTATCATGCTGTTTCCCAGCCTTTGGTCTTCTCCCCTGCTAATATCTTATCACCTTGCTGGTACAAGGCCACCCAGTTTAGTGTTAGGCCCTGTGTTGAACCAGCTGAGGCCCAGTGCAGTGCTGCCTCGGCCATTGAGCAGTACAAGGTGCTTTACTGACGCTGTGGTCTTGGTGGCCTGGGTCAAGACCCCAGAGCCCCCTGCTGAAGAGCTGGCCAGCACTATCAAGTCCCGCTCTAGTGCTGATTGCAGGGTTCTTTCAAGGCAGTTTTGCAACAAACAGGCTCATGCCTTCTATTTGTAGTAGCTATGGAAACGTTAGAAGCTCTCTTTCTAAAGCTAAGCATACAATAAAGCACTTCAGATGTTGGTGGGATTAGAGACTTTAGAAGATGTTTAATTTTCTCCCCTACTCTTTCTTTCTCTCTGTCCCTTTAGAGAGGGAACAAGAGGGCAATGTGAATATTAACTGAGACTTGCTTTAATCTCTCTCGTGACACTTCAGACTGTCTAGGTCTGCACAGGCTGCACTCTAACAAGGAGTGGCATGCATATTCATGACCCAGGGCTGTGGACCAGACACGCTTCCTAGGGCTATATTTTACAGTGTTTTTATTTTCTACTCAAATTTCTTGAAAGAAACAACTATGAAAAATTGATTTTGTGATTATGATTAAGTCTAGAACCCAAGACAGCAGTGCTAAAATGTTCTCACTGGAAATAGGAACAGATTAGAGGAGGTTTGTGTAGTATTTGATTTACAGATAGACAACACAAACCCCAAAATGTTGGTGCTCACTTAGAGGGGGCAGTGGAGCAAACTTCACATCTGCCTAAGAAGAATGCATAAGGGTTCTACCTTCGTGAAGTCCTCCTTAAACCGGAAGGAAAGATGAATTTCACTTAAAATATGTAAGAGTATTAAATGTATATTTAAATGAAAAGTGTGGAGGTTTACTATTATTGGCTTGGTTGTTATTTCTGATTCTCAAGGCCGTGAAAGGGAGTTGACTCCAGAGTGGTCTTGTGGCCTTATTTCTTGTCAGCCTTCCACACTTCCTTGACTTACATCTTTTTGCACTTTGGATACTAATTTTGGAAGAAGACAAAAATGCCTTTTCTGCTTTGGGCTTCAGTGTTTCTTCTATTAGGTTGTCAGGTCCGTGGCTGCGCCAAGAACCTGCTCCGTGTGAAATACTTGACTATCATATTTTGTTCCTGAAGTAGTATGCCTGAAGCCTGGGGCTGCAGGGGGCTGAGCAGGACCCATCACCCCAGCTGCAACCAGTGTCCCTGTTTGAGGGAGACACCTGGCAGCCCTTCATCTCCGAGAGGGCTTTTCTTCAGTCTCATTCTTTCTGTGCTCCACTTGCCGTATATATAAAGCGGGCATTGTGTAAGTTTGCATTCTACAGAAATTAGCTACCAAACACTTGAAGGGTGAGTTGCTATTAAAATACCGTGGTAACAGTATTTTCACAAAACGTGATAGAAATGTTGCCCTCCAACCCCAAGATGAACATGATGAAAATCCACTCTTTGATCCCATCCACATGGGAATTCTGGTGTTTTGTTGTCATGGACCTTTTATTTATGCAGTCCAGCCTCCTTGCCTGGGTTGCATTTATATCGGTTTACTTTCATCTAATCTCTCAAACCCTAAAAAGCCCTGGGTCGGGAAACCACACCAACAACAGGAGGCAAAAACACAGCCTGTGGGTCGCTGCAGTGCCGCCATGGCCCCACCCACGTGGTGAATGAGAGATAGCATGCTTACATTTGTTCATTTAGCAAACATTTCCCAGCACCACGCTAGGGACAGAGCACAGAGAAGTGAGTACTATTGGTCTTGTTGTGAGGAGTTCACAGTGCATTAGAGTATACAGAAATACAAACAAACAGTCATAGCTTACATAATTTCAATAAGGCCAGACACGGTGGCTGTAGTCCCAGCTATTCGGGAGGCTGAGGCAAGAGGATCACTTGAGCCTAGGCTTTCAAGACACAATTTCAATAAATATGTATTGAACATCCACTTTGTGCTGGGAACGAGACTCGGTGCTAGGATATCGAAGTCAATTAGATGGGGCTCCTGCCCTCGAGGAACTCACAGACTCATAAGCAGATGAGTACAATGCAGTGTGATGAGAACTGTTAAAAAAGAGAGAGAGAATGCATTGGAAACAGACAGCAGGTGCACCTAATCTAAGCAGGTGCCGAGGGGTAGCTAAGACAGGGAAGGCTTCCGGGAGACTGTGATACTTGCTGAGTCTCGAAGGCTAAGTGTGCCCCATGAGAAAGGAAGCAGCAGTGAGGGAAGCACATCCCAGGTCAGGGATTCGTGTGTGCAGAGACAGAGGGGAGGCCAGCGTTGCAACATTGTCAGAGGCTGAGAGATGAGGGCGCCTGGCAGGAGAGGTGGGTAGGGGCCGTCTGGCAGGGTCTCACGTGCCCTGGAGTGGAGCAGTTTGATAGTCCCTTTCCTCCAGAGACATCCTGCGTTTGCTGCTGGCAGTGACGGTGCTGGCACCAGACTCTTCAGTTTCTGAGCCAACCACCCCTCTGATCTCAGGAGCTCTGAATGCATTATTGGGAATTTCAGCTTTCCTACTTTAATTATATTTAAGTGAATAACCAGGACGTTTCAGAAAGGAGTGTTATGCTTCTTTCATTTACCATTAGAGAGTTATACTCATGAACAAAAATTCCCCAGTCTTACATTTCTTGCTCCTTGAGTCAGTTCTTTTCATAATCACTGACTCCTCCTTTTCCTACAAAAGGTGAGAAAATGAGTTTGTGTATCGACAGTGACATCCTGGGTGTGAAACTCAAATAATTCATTGTTGAGAAGTTGACGGATATGTTGGAAGTGCTTGATACCGGGGCTCGTTATCTTTATTCTCTATACTGGCACAAAGTGGGGGTTCAGTGATCATGGAAAAGAGGCGGATATTCAAATTTAGGTTTAATGCCTTTGAATATTTGAATAGATTCTGTCTCCAGAAAGGAAATGCAGCCATATAAAGGACCTGGACTTTGTCACGAGAGAATGACAGATAAATGACACAATAAGAACTTTTTCCCCACCATAGACAGATGACTGATTATAGAACCAGCATTAGCTGGGCACTGACAGTCCTTTTCTCTGCCATCTGGAAAAGGTCAGTCATTTATACCCACCAGTGGTTTTGATGCTAAACCTCCAAAGACCAGCAGGTCATTCACTCAGCACATGTTGGTTGGTCCTTTGCTTTGTGCCAGGCTCCATGTTGAGGCCCAAGGCCCCAGGAACACACGACCACAGCTGTGGAGGAGCTGGGAGACACAGGCCAGGAGCTTAAGTGCTGTGAGTAGGGAAGCAGAGAGGACCCTGGGCCAGCTCACCCGGTGTGTATTGGAGGGACTAAGATGGAGCAACCTTTTTAAAGCCCCAAAAACACTTCCTGAGCATACAGCTGACTGTGTTTAGTACGTTTCAGTTGTCTGACTTAATTGGACAGTCATTTTTACTATTTTCTTTTGAGGCTGTTGAATTAGGGAGAGAAACTGTTGGACTCATTTTCTTTCCCAAATACTACAGGAAAGAGCACCAGCTTTGTGAATGTTGAAGTTTTCTCTGTGTTCTCATGCCATGTTGGGGGAGCTAGAAATGTCTCAGAACTGGTCCACAGCGTTGCACAGGGGTGTTCAGGACAAGATCAGAAGACTTGGCTCTTTAGCTCTAGGGTTTGATACCTTGTGGGGACACTGACTCCCTGGTTCTGGCATTGGCAGTGCCCGAGTGGGAAGCATCTGATAATCATCAGGGGACAGGACTTGTTTGTCTTGCTGCCTTTATCTGCTCGTGGGCAGGGAGGTCTCTTTCTTTGGATAGGTATTTGTTCTACCCTAGGTTCTTTGTTGTTCTCCCTGGATCAGGGTGCCAGGCCCAGTAGGGACACAGCCTCTCTTGGCAGTCTCTTACATATGTCCCTGGATCCAACCACTGAAGACTGGTCCCTGCAGTAGTTTTTGTACAGTCCTTTATAGAACTACATATAATAGCTTAATGTTTGCATGAGGTTTACATGGCTCTTGGTGATTAAATCAAATGCCCTACTCAGTGATGTGGCGATGCTATCCCAGTCTTCGTAGGTTGTCTCTGGTCTCCTGCCAAGCGGAACGTGCCAGGTGAACACTTGGGCACAGTGAGCCCCGATGCTTTCAGGAGCCTGAGTATTCAAACTAAACACAGCAAATCCTTCAAAGCCCTTCCAGCTTCATCTTTAGAATACTGAATGCGGGAAATTCCACAGTGACTCCTAGGAAACAATTCTTATTTCTAACTGGGCTCCCATTAAAACAAGATGATTTTCCTGATTCTAACCTGACGTCTTTGTGACTGATTCTTTAGTGCTCTTCTTATTCTTTCCCTAGTGAGTCAGTAACATAATTATTCAACAAAGGAATGTGTGTGTGTGCACGCACACACGTTTGCCTGTGTGTGTGTTCTTGGGTTCATAAACTTCAGTTTGAGCTACTCTAAGTCTTTGCTTCCTTGTTCATTCATTCAACAAATACTGAGTAAATCTCTCTGGGTGCCCGTGGCTGGACATCACACACACATGCTGGATGTACATGTGCATATGCCTGCGTTGCCTCTTTTTAATGTGTTTGCACTTGAGATGCATATTCAGAGAATGCATCCTCAAGAAAACTTGTGGATTGATACTGGATGTTCCGTGTTTCTGTGCTCCTCTACTCCTTTTCTGATAATTCTTATGTGAAGTTATCAAACAGGAAAGTACGTTGTCACATTCCTTCACTCTGGCTCCAGTTCTGACCCAGTGGGTGATATATGCCATCCGAAACCTTACCGAAGACAACAGCCAAAACCAAGATTTGATTGCAAAGATGGAGGAACAGGGGCTGGCAGATGCATCCCTACTTAAAAAAGTGGGTTTTGAAGTTGAAAAGAAAGGCGAAAAGCTGATCCTGAAATCTACTAGAGACACCCCTAAGCCAGTAAGTACCCTCGAGGGAACTGTCCTTCCCTTTGGTTTGTAGAAAGCTGTTTCCACTTCCCCATTGCTTCAAGCACGAGGCTCTTTGTAAGAATATGGATGGGAGAATTGTGCCCTCTATAGTGGTTTACCGAGGAAAGCCCTAAAGATAGCTGCAAACGGTTTTTTTGTTCCGGCTTTATGCTGCCATTTTCTTAAAAGAGGGACAATTTCAAACTCATTCTGGGTGAGAAATACAAAAGGCATATCAAAAGTTATACATGGTCTAAAAGTAAGTTACTCATAGGAATTAGATTTTCTTTAAAAGATAGTTAATGTTCACTATAGTTTAAAAAACAGAACTCCTTGAATAATATTGCATGAATTGTTTTAGGTTTCTCTAAGTTATTTGTCACCACTGACCAAAGTTCTGGGTTTTTTCCCCTTTTGTCTGATGAATCTTGTGAACAGATTTGCTACATCTGCAATTTTGTTTCTTTCTTCTTCTTTAGTGAATGAACTACATCCAAATACCTGAATTTTTGGAATCTGTTTCATGGATTTTTCATCTTCTACCGTATGTGAAATTGCAAGTGTTTGAAGATTTATAAGTACAAATTTGGGAACATACAAATCTTTTAGGTAGTAGAGTTTAACGTGTATAAGCTAAAAGTGAAAGTAACTGAGTGTTCTCTTGTTTCTTTGCATTAATGTAACTGTGTGGTTTGCCTTTGTCCCCCTGGATAGAACGTGCATTTAAAGAATATATTGTACTTACTGTGACAGCAGATAATAAACCAGTCTCTTGGAGGGCACAACCCTTATTTGACAAAACTTGGATGTTGGCTTGACTGTGTTTGTCCCTTCAGATGGCAAGTCAGCATCATTCTTTATATTCCTCTTCTCATTGGGTTTTCTGAACTCTGGCAGGCGGTTGAAGTAGTTTCTCACTGTGATTAATTCTAGCAATCTCTTTTCACCCCTCTGCCTTTCCAAAACATTGACAAGACTCATTTCCAGTTAATTAATTCGAGAACCCTCCCTCTTCATTTTGGGTACTGGGCTGTCTTGTCACTGAGCCCTATCCCTTTGGAATGTGGCAGGGAGTGAGGTTGGTGAGAGAACATGTGGGCACTTAACTCTTCATGTTCCAGTTCATCCCAGAAGTAGACATCCCAGGACCCATTCTGTGTCAAGGTGAATGCCTGTGTCCTCCCCAGCTTCATGCCTCTGTCATGGGGGAAGGAATAGCTTATGTTCTGCTCTGGTGCAGTGCCGTAGATTAAAGGTACATTTCTATCTTCTTTGATTTAAAAAGCACCAGTCTCATAAAGGTGCCACTCAGTTTTAGCCATGTCTTCACTGAAATTGCAAAAGTACTTTTAGGGAGCAGGAGTTTATTTGACATCTAGTTATCTGTCTGTCTGTTCATCTATCTATCTGTCTGCTGTATGAGAGGTAGGACTGGATTAAATGACCACTGAACTCACTGAATCCAGATCATTCATATCATCAACAAAAGCTCTAGGGGGAGGTCACGTTGTGAATGCTTAAAACATATTATTTTCTTCAACAACCATATCGCTAAACTAATATATCCAGAGATTTTGCACAATTCGTGTTGAACCTTCCAAAACAAAAATAAAGACCTGTCCAAAAGTTTTGACAAAAATACTGATTGCTCCCAAATAAAGTGCTTCTAAGCTTTGTGTAGACATAGTTTAACTGATTTGTAAAAATAGCTTAAGCATGTTGAGAATGAAGTAAAAGTTTTCCCATGTGCTGTCTAATGTACTCTGTGTAACTCTGAAGACACATCAGCTTCTAGGATTGCAGCAATCTATGAATAACATTTTTTCTCTCATTTATGACTTTCCATCAGTAAAGAAGCCATTGCAGAATTTAAAATTACACAAAGGAGTCATTCTCTCCTGGGACATAAAGAGTTAAAGCTCTGTCCTCTAAATAGAAGCCTGGCCAAAGGGAGAAAACAGTGGGAGTCCCTTTTCCCTTTTAACAAGTTTGCAATAGACACTTCTTTTTTTCCTGTCTCAATGGATGTGTGCACACCAGTGGAATCGCACAAACTTGTCGGTATGAGCTATATAATAACAAACACAAATAAATAAAAGGGAGCCTTGTGAGAATACAGAATGGGGTAATGGTTATGTGTTTTCTAAGTAGGAAGTGTGGGGCTTGCATAGTGAAAACATGCTGATGACTGCATTGTGGCTGCCTTTGATTCCCTCGGATGGATTAATTCTTGAGCACAACAGCTTCCCTGTCCTCTACCGTGGAGGACTCGGAGCTCCTGAGAACCTTGTTTTACATGCTATAGAGGATTAATCATCACCTCAATCAGTCATTTAGAAGGAAGAAAAAAGCAGGCCAGCCTTACAAAATTTGTAAAGAGACAGAATGGTCACAGCAAGTTTTGTGACCATATTATTGCTTTCAAGAGCGAGCTGACAAAGCTTTTAGCTGGCTTCACTTTAAAAGATAGAGGGGAAGGCTTCTCAGCTTGATACTGAGTCCAAGTATTTGCAGAGTGATTATTTTTTAATACCTTAACAATGGATGTGAAGATTTCAAAAATACTTATTTTTGCAATCTTAAAACAGTCGGCTCTCTGTATCCACAGATTGAACCAACTGGGGATTGAAAATACTCAGGAAAAATAAAATAGTAGTACAACAACAAAAAATAATACAAATTTTAAAATACAAGGTAACAACTATTTCCATAGCATTTACATTTTATTAGGTGTTACAAGTAATCTGGAGATGATTTAAAGTATGTGGGAGAATGCGGGTAGTTTATATGCAAATACTGTGAAGGCTCATATCAGAGACTTGAGCATCCATAGATTTTGGCATCCAAGCGGGGGTTCCTGAAACCAATACTCCACAGATTTCAAGGGCCAACTTACTAAACTGTTAGGATTTGTTAATATTTGTTCATTGTCCTCCTGCCCCAGCCGTGTAAGACATGCCTGCTTCCTCTTCTGCCATGATCCTAAGTTTCCTGAGGCCTCCCGAGCCATCCTTCCTGTATAGCCTGCAGAGCCATGAGCCAATTAAACCTCTTTTCTTTATAAATTATCTAGTCTCAAGGAGTTCTGTGTAGCAATATGAGAACGCACTAATACAACGTCCTGATTTTGTGGTTCTGTTCTTGTTTTTGTTTTTAGGAGCTAACATTGAGATGCATTTTTTTGTTGTTGTTCAGTAACTTCACAATCTAAGCATAGGGCTTTGGAAACTGCTAAAACATGTCATTTGCAAAATAGGATATAGAAAAAATGATTGAGATGATTTGGGCTACCAATTAATACGTCTTTAAATCAAATTTTTTTGTGTGCATCTTACATCCATTCTCTCTTGAAGTCATTCATGTGCTGCCCTGATAACACATGGCATTTAAGTGTTATTTAAATGATTTTTTTTTTTCGAGATGGAGTCTTGCTCTGTCACCCAAGCTGGAGTGCAGTGGCACAATCTCAGTTCACTGCAACCTCTGCTTCCCAGGTTCAAGCAGTTCTCCTGCCTCAGCCTCCTGAGTAGCTGGGATTATAATTTTTGTATTTTTAGTACAGATGGGGTTTCACCATGTTGCCAGGCTGGTCTCAAACTCCTAACCTCATGATCCGCCCTCCTTGGCCTCCCAAAATGCTGGGATTACAAGCATGAGCCACTGCGCCTGGTCTTAAAATGATTTTTTTACTGTCCTTTAGTTTCTGTCCTTGAATGAATAAACAAAGATGTTAGAACAAAAATTCCAGTCTTTGCAGGAAGAAAACTTTTTAAAAAATCTTTCATCATCAGTAAGTTCTACACATAAGTGCTTCACATGTGAAGCAGTAGAATTGAGGCGGAATTTTTAAATGCAGAAAAGTTGAGGAAGAACCTTAACATTTAAGATCTAATATAAAACCAAGCCTGTGGGGTGGGGGGGAACCAAAAAAACAACAACAAAAAAACACCCTCTCGGTGCTGTCCAAGGTTCTGATCGTTTCAGCCATATTGGCTTGTCCACATAAAATCAATTAAAAACCTTGTTTTCAAACTTCAGATTTTTTTTCTTGTGTTTGTATGACACAATATCTGTTTCCTCTTTCCTACACACTTTATATATTTATTTATATTTTGAGGTCAAATATTATGTGATACTTTGCAATATGAATTTCATATACCATCCACAATATAAATGAATTTGTAAGCTTTTGCTGTAAACATAGTGGTTATGGTATTAACTCATCCATCAGACTTTCCTCATCTCAACCAGAGACATTCCTGTCAGTGGAAATTAATTTTCACAGTTTTCCATAATTATTTATTCTTGCTTAAATTAGAAACATTATATTAAATGTTTCTTTTTGTTTAAACAACGTCATATACATTATTCATTTACTCACAAATTTCTATGCTTATTTCACATCATTGAAGCAAGGGCTTAGGCAATTTTTATCATACGGATTTAATTTTTCCACCACTTTGTAAAGTGTATTGGCCAAGAATATCAGCTCTGAAGCTAGAATTCCTGGGTTTCAGTCCCTGCTCTTTCTCCTGCTTAACCCATGGGCAGGTTCTATAAGTTCTGGGTGTCCCCATTTTCTCATTGTCAGCCCCACTGAAAATGCGGCTCATAATACCACCTGCCTGATGAGAGCACATGAGAGCACAAGCAAGTGGTTGTGTGTGAAGTGCTTAGTCCTGGTATTAATCCCATTATATGAATGAGGAAGTTGAGTCACAGAGAAGTTATGCCCAAGGACACACAGCAGTTAATGCTTAGTGATTAATTGCTATAGTTAATTGGAAGAGAATGAGTGAGAAAAAAATAGATAGCTTCTTTTCCCAGAATCGTGGAAAATTAATATAGCAGAAATGCCTGGACTATGGCTTTGGACGTTGTGTTAGTGCATTCTCGCATTGCTATACAGAACTCCCTGAGACTGGGTAATTTATAAAGAAAAGAGGTTTAATTGGCTCACGGCTCTGCAGGCTATACAGGAAGTATGGCTGGGGAGGCCTCAGGAAACTTAGGATCATGGCAGAAGGGGAAGCAGGCACGTCTTACATGGCTGGAGCAGGAGGAAGAGAGTGAGGGTGGTGGAGAAGTGCTACACACTTTTAACCAGATGTTGTGAGAACTCACTATCATGATAACAGCAAGGGTGAAATCCACCCACATGATCCAGTCACCTCCTATCAGGACATTGGGGATTACAGTTGAACATGAAAATTGGGCAGGGACACAAATCCAAACCATATCAGATGTAGAGCAAGGAGAGTGCTATGGGAAGAACATACGCTTGCAATTAGAAAAACTCAAGTTCAAATCTCAACTTCACTTGCCAGCTGTGTGGCCTTGAGCAAGTTACTTAACCACTCTGAGCCTACGTTTCCCCCTCGAGGACTGTACCATGCACTAGGGATACAACAGTGAACAAGACAGACATGGCCTCTGCTCTCATAAGGATTATCTTCTGGTGAGGGTGACAGAAAGTTATTAATAAGTGAACAAATATGTAAAACGAGAGCATTGCATATTGTAGTAAGTGCCATGAAGAAAATAGGCAAGTTGATGGTAACTGGGGTGTTCTTTTTGAGTAAAAGCCAGAAGAAGGTTGAAAAGGTGCCAGCTGTGCAAAGAATCAGAGAGAAGTGTTCTGGAAGAGGGAGCAGCAAGTGCAGAGGCCCCAAAATTGGAAAAGCTTCACCTGTTCAGGGACCAGGTGGGTGGCCAGTGGGCCCAGTGCCTGGTGGCCAGGGGAGAACATCATAAGACCAAGTCAGAGGGGTCAGCAGGAATCAGATCATGCAGGGTCTTCAAGGCCATGGGAGGAATTTGAATTTTGCTTGAAGTACACTGGGAAGCTATTGAGCCATTTTTAGCAGAGGAATGCCAAGATTCTGCTTGCACTTTTAAATGACTACTCTTGCTGCAGTGTGGAAAATGGAGAGGAGAAAGAATGAAAGTAGAGAAATTGCGTATGGGGCTGTTGATGACAGTGATCTAGACAAGCATGGTGGCAGTGGAAATGGAGAGAGAGACTTGAGTTGGAACTGTGTGTCTGAGGGAGGATCCGTAGGACAAGCTGAGGGTGGAGTGCATGAAGTCCACAAGAGTAGCTCCTGAGATCTGTCGAACAGCTGGGTGGATGATTGTCCATTCACTGGGGTGGAAAAGTTGAATGTGAAGATTGGTTCTTGTGTATGTTTTATTTGTGGCAAAGAGAATCCAGAATTCTATTTTGGGCAAATGAAGTTTGAGATGCTTTTGAGACATCCAAGTGGTGATGATTTTAAAAAGTAATTGGACCTATAAACTAGGGCTCAGAAGACAGATCAGTATTGGAAATAGATATTTGGAATGATTGGTTTTATGTATAGATGATATGAAGCCATGGAAATCAATGAGATTATCTAGGGTGAGGTTGTAGAAAGACTAGTGAAGCAGGCCTGCTGTCAACGTGTGGCCCACAGTCTAAACTTGCTCTCAACATTAGAGCATGAGGCTCCTCAGTATGCTAGAGACCCCTCAAAAAAATTGTAATGGCTTTATCACAAAAATGTACCATAATGGACTTGAGCATTCCCTTCTTTTTTAAATATATTTATGTATTGGTGGGGAGGGGGTCTTGCTCTATCACACAGGCTGAAATTCAATGCCACAACCATGGTTCCCTGCAGCCTTGAACTCCTGGGCTCAATTGATCCTCCCACTTCAGCCTCCTGAGTAGCTGGGTCTACAGGTGTGAGCCAGTGCACCCGGCTACCATTCCCTTCTTGTTAGACATTTTATTTTCTGCTTCTTATCATTAGAAATGCTGCAGTCAACATCTTAGGGCTTAAAGCCTTATCTTTGTTTTAGGTTGCATACTGTGGGAGGTCAAGGAAGGAAGATAAGGGGTTAGAGAAGATTTGTCTCAGAGAAGTAATCATATTAGAAAAGAAAAGGCACTTCCCAACTAGGTAGTTCTGACCAAACCCCTCTGAAGGCAACTGAAACACAGGTCAGAATAGTTTCAGCTACTGTTTAAAGGTACCTGGGAGCTAGCAAGACACAGCAAGGAATTACAGGGCCAGGGTCTGGGAGTGAAAAGAGGCCCAGGAAGATAAGTGTATTTGGGTTGCTGTTTCCTCTGAAAGTATTTTTCACTTCAGAGGAGGAGGCAGAGTGGCTAAGAGGCCAAAGAGTGCTTATGAGAGTCCTGGGAGCCAAGGTGGTGGGATGCTGTCCCGGTGAACCTCCATTGCTACAGGCAGGGGACCCAGTGGGCTGAATCAGAAGAGTCGCAGTGAACCGGAAGTAGTTCCTCCCAGAGACCACACTCAGTTTCCAACCATTTGCACCCCAGAAACTGAACTAAAGTTCCCCTTGTGTGCTATGACGTGTGATGTCAGTGATGCACTACATCCTGGAGTGCTGCTCACTCAGGCGTCTAGCAACAGAAATCTCAGGAAAACGGCTCTACCCTTGGTCTTGCATTATTTGTATAGTTTTTCATACGTTGTCTCAATCAAAAATAGGAGGTGACGAGACAACACGATATGAAAGTCAAAAGAAGCGATAACAAATAGAAACAAACTTAGAGGGGCTCCTGATAGTGGAGTCTTCAGGCAGGAATTTCAAATAACTTTATTCGATGTGTTTAAAGAGACAAAGGACAATATTGGAAACGTCAGCAAAAGAAGGGACACACTGTGACAGGGGGACCAAATGAAAATTCTTGAACTGGAAAAATATAACTAAAATTAAGAAATCAATGGATGAGTTTAGCCACAAAAAAGATAAATAGCAAATGGAAGGAAAATAGCTCAGTCGAAAACATCCAGAAGGGATCGCTGAGAGACCAAATGATGAAAAATATAGATGATAGAGTAAAAGACATATAGGATACAGTGAAAGGTTAAGTTCTGATATCCCTATTTAGGGTCTAAGAAGAGAGGAAAAAATGGGTGCTTTAGTTTTTAGTAATAATACCCAAAAGTCACCACCAAACCTTGGGGTTTGAATATTACCAAGAAAGCAGAGTATTGAGAGAAAATTCACACGAGCATCACTTAGCCTAGAGAGGTGATTCTTTTCGTTCCTTCAATAAGCCAAGCAGTAATTGTGAGCAAGCAGAAGACAGGGCCACCATTTCCCGAGGTTGGTCAGTCTTTTCTCTCTCTCTTTTTGCCTTAGTCTCACTTGCACGTTTCTTGCCCCAGCCAGCGTGTCTAGTGACCACCACTTAGAAACTTCTCATCCCAGTCTGCATAAGGGGCTGGAGTCAATATGTGGTTGGCACGTAGTGCTCTCAGCCAGCTCGTTGCACTCTAAAGAGACTCAGGTGGTCAGCACTCACTCAATCCTCCACGTGCTCTGACAGGCTGGGCTTTGACTGGGTATCTGGGCACTTAGTGTGCTTCTTTTCCTATAAGCTCACAATTGCATTGTTCTGACTGGTTACGCCCACACTAACCTCCTCCGTTACATCATGGGTTAAGGGAGTTATTTACAGCTTACGAGTATAGCAGGGATTTATGTCTTTGGGTAAAGTAACTATGTTTTATCTCAACACACACAACTTCTCACAAACAACATATGCTTATCCCAACAGGGCACACATTTACGATTTTGGCAGGTTTTTGAGTAGTAACATGATTTTCACCTCTTCTAAAAAAATTCTGTAGTGCATTTGAAGGGAAACACGATTACAAGCAAAAGGACATTTTGGTGGGTGTTATGGGCTGAATTGTGTACCCCCAAAATTCATATAATAAAGTCCTAACCTCAGAATGTGACCATATTTGGAGCCAAGGTTTTTAAAGAACTAAGTTAAAATAAAGTCATTAGGGTGGACCCTAATCCAGTATAACTGCTGTTCTTTTACAAAAAGAGGAAGTTTGGACACAGATACAGAGGGAAGACCACGAGAAGACACAGGGAGAAGACAATAATCTATAAGCCGGGGAGTGAGGCCTCAGAAGAGAGAATAAATTTCTGTTGTTTAAGCTGCTCAGTGTGTGGTACTTTGTATGGCAGCCCTGGCAAACTAATAAATGGTAGGAACCTTGTTTGCCAGTTTGTTTGAAACACAGCAAATATACCTAATGTCCTTTGTAATGGAGGATAAGGCACGCGCCACAAAGATTTGTTTCGCACATCACAATGGGGCAGAAGCACTTTTGGAGAGATGCTAGCTAAGAATCTTCCAAGACTGAGACAGACATCAAGCCACAGATTCAAGAATCCTAGTGAACCCCAAGAAGGATAAATCATAGAAAACAACACATTGTAAAACCACTGAAAATTTGTCACTGAGTGACAAATATTTAATCTGTAAAGCAGCTTGGAAAATGGGGGCAGCAACTTCTGAGATGACTCCTATGATTCTACCTGATGCCTTCTGTGATCGTCTCCTCTTGAGCATGGGCTGGACCTACTAAATTGCCTCTAATAGAATATGGTAAGAGTAATGGATGTCACTTGCATGATTAGATTTTTAAAAACTGGAACTTCCATCTTATTGGCACTCTTGCCCTCTCACTTGCTCACTCTAATGAAGTGAACTGCCATGTTGTGAGATGCTCACGTGGCAAGGAATTGAGGGAGGCCTCCAGCCACCATCTTATAAGGAACAGCCACCTGAGTGGTCCAGGAGGCCAGACCCTGCCCAGCCAGCCCTTCAGATGACCACATCCTTATGCAAGACCCAGAGCTGGAGAAACCAGCTAAGCTGCATCTGTTTTCTTGCTTCACGGGAACTGACAGATGTTCTTATTGTAGGCCCTTGAGTTTTGGGATAATTTGTTATACAGCAGTAGTTAATTTACACAAGAAATAACACAGATTACCTTCAGAGGAGTAAATATTGGACTGACAGCTGACTTACCAACAGAAATATGTAAGCCAGAAGGAAATAGAATGCTATCTTTGAAGGGTTGAAAGTAAATAATTGCCAACCTAGAATTCTATATCCCTGCCCTGCCCCCTCGCAAAAAGAAAAATGAAAAGGGAATAAAGATACTTTAGATAAACTCTAGTGAATCATTGCCAGCAGACTTTCACTAACAGAAATACTAACGGGTATTCTTGAGACAGGAAAAAAATGTCAGGGAAGATGTAGTTTCGGAAAAGAATAGAGAGCAAGATAAGGGTGATTATATCAGTATGGAGCATAGCCTTAAAGTATATTAAGCAAAAGCTGACAGAACTAAGAGGAAAAGTAGAGAAATCCACAATCACAGTGGAAATTTTTAATAAATTTCTCCTAGTACTAGAATAAGCAGACAAAAATAATATCTAAGGATATTAAGTATTTGAACAATGCAGTTAGGGTTAGCCTTAGTAGACATATTGAACCCTGAACCCAATAACTTTGAAAGCATGGAAAAGCCAACCTCATGCATTAACATAAATCCAAAGACCCTAAACATGATATTAACAAACTATATATTTTAGGGATGTAAGATTGGTACAACATTTTTTAAAAGCTGGGCACAGTGGTACATGCCTATAGTATCAGCTACTCCGGAGGCTATGGTGGGAGGATCACTTGAGCCCAGGAGTAAAAGACCAGCCTGGGCAAAATAGTGAGATCATGTCTTTAAAAATTAAATTTAAAAATTAAAAGAAAGGCCGGGCGCGGTGGCTCACGCCTGTAATCCCAGCACTTTGGGAGGCTGAGGCGGGTGGATCATGAGGTCAGGAGATCGAGACCATCCTGGCTAACAAGGTGAAACCCCGTCTCTACTAAAAATACAAAAAATTAGCCGGGCGCGGTGGCGGGCGCCTGTAGTCCCAGCTACTCGGGAGGCTGAGGCAGGAGAATGGCGTGAACCCGGGAAGCGGAGCTTGCAGTGAGCCGAGATTGTGCCACTGCAGTCCGCAGTCCGGCCTGGGCGACAGAGCGAGAGTCCGTCTCAAAAAAAAAAAAAAAAAAAAATGTTAAGTCAATTAGAAAACCACCATATTAATAAAATCATTATCAACTAGTACAGGGAAAAAAGTATAATAAAATTCAGCATTCAATTGTGATAGTAAAAATAAACAGCAAATTTGGAGTAGAAGAGAACTTTCTTATTCTGAAGAATACCTACAAAAACCCCTATAGCAAACATTGGACTGGTTGAAGAAATGTTGAAGATTTTCTTTTTGCTATTAAGAACAAGGCAAAAGTCAATCACAATTCACTGCTTACATTTATCCTTATGTTGGAAAGGTGAAATAGCCCATGAAATACAGGGGGGAAAAGGGAGGTGGAGGGGTAATCAAGGGGAAAGAACTAAGACAGTAGGATTGTTTATATAGCTAATGCAAAAAAAAGTCTGCATAAGTTGTTAGAATGAATAAATGAATACAGCAAGGTTGCTGGATACAAGTTTAATATACAAAGGTTCATTGAATTTCTACATACTAGCAACAGAGAGTTGGGAAATAAATTTTTTAAATAAATTCTAAAGTGTATAACGAAATGCAATGACAACAAAACCAAGAATAGCCAAGATATTCTGAATGAAGAACCAAGTGGAGAAGTTGCTCTAGTAAATATCAAAACTATTAAAAGCAAGCTTAGTAAAAGAATATTGTTACTAGCACCCAGGTAGATAAGTAGATCACAGAATAGTGTCCAGAAACAGACACATATGTGGGCACAATATGTTTTAAAAGGTAGCACTGCAGAGCATGGGGTGGCGGGCAAAGGGGAAGGTGGTCGTTTCAACAAATCACGCTGGGACCACTGAATATTGGGGGCTTGGAGCAAGGATAAGTGACCCTTCCCTTATACCATATAAAAATATCAACTCCTAGATGGATTGTAGATCTGACAAAATGCTAAATGACATTCAGCAAAATGCTAAAACTTAAAGAAAATAGAGTCTCATGACTATATAGGGTAAAATTTTTTAAGTATGTTACAAAAGCCCCTAAAATGGACTTCATAAAAAAATTACAAGAAACACCATTAAGAGAGTGATTTCTCCAGAGAAGTCAATAGGAATATATGTAAAATAAGGAACTGGCTCACAAACCGTGTAGACCGAAGTCCCACAATATGCTGTCTGCAAACTGAGGACCAGGAAAGCAGTGGTGTAAATTCCAGTTTGGGTACAAAGGCAGAGAACCAGGAGAGCCAGTGGTGTAAGTCCCAGTCCACGGGCAGAAGACCAATGTTTCAGTTCAAGCAGCAGGCAGAGACAGCATTTAACATTCCTCTGCCTTGTTCTTTTCAGGCCCTCAGCAGATGGGATGATGCCCACCTACCCTGGGGTGGACTGTCTGTGTTATTCCGTCCAGATGCCAAACTGTTCTGGAAACACCCTCACCGAGACACCCAGAAATAATGTGTAACCAGATATCTGGGCATCCTATGGTCCAGTCACGTTGACACGTAAAATTAACCATCACAAGTCCACCCTTTGTCAGCTTGGCACCTATACCTGTCTCCGTAAACCACACTTCTCCAAATGAAGACAATAACAAAGTCATAATTCTGCCTAAATGATACACATATCCCAAGTACAACTGAAAATGCACTAACCCCTTCACCCGAAGAGGAAGTAGAGTCCTTAAGTGTTTATTCGTCTCCTTGATATCCTATGACTTAAATACTGTGATGTAAAATTAACAATACTTAAAATACTATACTGTAAAGTCAGTACACCTCATGTTGCATGGTAAAGGAATAATCTAGGAAAGAAAATGAAGATACTTGCTATGCTTTATAGATATACACCCACAAACATATTCATCATTAGATTGGTCATGTGGTTGTAGCTGGTATTTATAACTACCTTCTGCTACTGCATTGCATGTAGGGAAGGCAATTGTACCCAGAGTGTCTGTTTCAGTAAAGACAAAATGCTATTCCTTCTGTGATGGGAGCAGTCCTTGTCATCTGCCTGCTACCAGGTAGCTGGTCAATCATCCTGGGGAGTGGTGCCATATTGGGGCTCAATGTTGGTCTCTACTCCTGGCCGACTGGATGCCCGGTGGTATTCAGGCAGCCTTGGTGGGTGGAATTCCATGTTGCTGAGCCCATGCATAGCCTTCATCACTGCCACCATGGCCACTTTGTTCATGAGCCCATTGGACAGTGACAGGAGTGGCTGGGAAAACAGGCTGCCTGTCATTCCCACAATGGGCTATTCTCTCCACCAGATTTTTTTAAATCCTGCTTTGCTGAGGTCATCTTTTGGTGGGCATTCTCATGGAAAAACGTCTTCACATTTATTTTCCCACTCAGGTCTCCCTACATACCTCTTCCTAAGACATCCTTGTCACCAGCTTTTCAGTCATGCTCCTTCCAAGTCCCTGGCCACCCAGCCAGACCTTTGGCCACAGCTCATGAATTGGTAGATAATCACATATCTGGTCATCTCTCCTTCAAGGCACAGCGCACAACCAGGTGCATTGCTTGAAGTTCTGCCCACTGGGAAGATTTCCCTTCACCAGTCTCCTTCAGGGGTGTCCTAGAACGGGGCTGTCATGCTACAGCTGTCCCACTTCAGGTGGTGCCTGCGAATCATGCAGAACCATCTGAGAACCAGGCCCAAGTCCTCTCTTCTGACAGCTGGTCACAGGGAACTCTCTGAAGCCGTCATGCAGGCTTCAACACTTCTCTCTCTGGGAGAGAGAGGGCAAGGTAGCAGGAGTGGGGACCATGGGCATTTGGGCCACTTCTTCGTGTAATTTGTGCCTTCAGGGTTTGCTCAGACCCAGTCACATACACACCACTTCCAGTTGATGATGGAGCGCTGCTGTGCACGCCCAACCTTGTGGCTTGGTGGGTCAGATAACACCCAGGTCATGATGGGCAGCTCAGGTCACATGGTGACTTGATGGCCCCTGGTTAAGTGTTCTTCTGTCTGTGCTAAGGCCCGGCAGTAGGCCAAGGGCTGTTTCTCGAAAGGAGAGCAGGCATCTGTGGAAGGTGGTGGAGCCCTGCTCCCAAATCCCAAGAGCCTGTGCTGTGATTTACCTGTGGGGCCTGCCACAGGCTCCATGCAGCGTCCCTGTCTGCCACTGACACCTCAGCACCACTGGATCTGCTGGGTCTTATGGCCCGAGTGGCAGAGAGCCTGCTGTAGAGCCTCCTCCTGCTCTGGGCCCCACTCAGAGCCAGCAGCTTTTTTGGTTACTTGGTAAAAGGGCTAATACCCTCAGATGAGGACTATGTTGTCTCCAAAATCCAAAGAGGTCCACTAGGCATTGTGCCTCCTTTTTGGTTATAGGAGGGCCTGATTTCACAATTTATCCTTCACTTTAGAAGTGCTATCTTGACATGCCCCCACACAACTGGACCACTAGAAATCTCATTGAGGTAGAAGTCCCCTGAATTTTAGTTGGATTTCCTTCGCACCCCCTGACACACAAATGTCTGACTAGTAGGTCTACTGCTTTGCTACTTCCTGCTCACTAGGTTCAGTCAGCATCATGTCATCAGTGTGGATTCGTGTGATACCTGGTGGAAGGGAAAGGCAACCCGGATCCTTGTGAACTAAATTATGATGTAGATGGGAGGGTTGCTGTGTCCCTGAGGTAGGGCTGTGAGAGTGTATCATTGACCTTGCCAAGTGAAAGCACACCGCTCGCTCCCAGTGGTCTTCACTAATAGATGTCAGACAAGAACACTTGCTAGATGAGTAGCTGCCTGAAGGAGATGTGTTAATTTGCTCAAGCAGTGAAACCCTTTCTGGTAAAGCAGCTGCAATAGGAGTCACCGCCTGCTTGAGTTTATGATAATCCACTGTCATTTTCTAAGACCCATCTAGTCTCTGCACAGGCAAATAGGTAAGTTGAATCAATGAGGGTTTGGTGGGAGTCACCACCCGTGCCTCCTTCGGATCCTTTAATGGTGGCACTCATCTCGGCAGTCCCTCCAGAAATGCAGTATTCCTTTCAGTTTACTGTTTTCCCAGGTAGAGGCAATTCTAGTGGCCTCCACTTGGCCTTTTCCACCGTAATAGCCCTCATTCCACAGGTCAAGAAACCAGTATGGGGATTCTGCCAGCTGCTGGGTCAAACTATTCCAATTTTGCATCTGGAATTGGGAAGATAACCACAGGATGGGTTCAGGGACCTGCTGGGCCCACTGTGAGATGCACCTGACCTAAAATTCCATTGATCACCTGACCTCCATAAGCCCTGACTCTGACTAGTGGACCATGGTGACATTTTGGGTCTCCTGGAATCAGGGTCAGTTCAGAGCCAGTGTCCAGCAGGGTCCACAAAAGGTCTGATTATTTCCTTTTCCTCAGTGCACAGTTACACTGGTAAAAAGCCCTGGGAGAATTTTTTTTTTTTTTTTTGAGGCCAGGTTTTGCTCTGTTGCCCAGGTGGCATCATCTCAGCTCACTGCAACCTCCACCTCCCAGGCTCAAGCTATCCTCCCACCTTAGCCTCCTGAGTAGCTGGGATTCCAGACATGAGTCATTGTGCCCAGCCGAGAAATACTAATTGTATAAAATGTTGGTAGGGTGCTGGGGTCCTTCCTCAAGGGGACCCGGCCTTCCTTTCACTCTAGGGGTGCTGGGTCTGTCAACTGGCTCAGGTGTAGAAATTGAGGGGCATGGCCCTTGTTTTTATGATTCAGGTTAGACCTTTGTTCACTTGACCTAGAACGTTTCTGTTTATGCACGTATCCAGGAAGAATTGAGTAGCTTCTCTATCTATTGCCCTTGTAGGAACACCATGATCAACTAGCCCATGTCACAGCTCTGTGTGAGTCAGACCCCCTCACTGTCTGGGGTCTGCTGTCCGTTACAGTGGCTGTGCCTGCCCTGCCTTTGGTGGGTGAGGGCTGCTACTTGGCCCCTGGCACCCTGGCATTCAGTGGCACCCACTGCATTTACATTTCCCAGCTCAGTGGCCACAGTTCCCACTGCGAGTCTGACCTGCAGAGAAGAGCAATCACAGAGCTCTTCAAGGAGCCCGGGCCCCTCAAAACCGTGCTGCTCAGTCGGGGAGACAGATGTGTCTTCCAGACCCTCCCACGGTGAGCAAGTGGATCTTCAATGACAAATCCACTCTTGCATTCCAGTCTCCCTGCACCTTTGAATCTCCTTTGATTCTCTCTGGGCTCCTACCGACCACCTCACTCTGCAGGTGCCCCAGCAGGACAGCGGCCGTTTGCTCAGCATCTTCTAAGAGCAAGGCACCTTATAGAAAGCACTGGATGGAATCCGCCCCTCAATTCGGGTTTGCTGGAGAAGATGTAGACCTTGGTGCTCAGAGACGCTGAATCGCTGGGCTCACCCAGGCGGGTGCGGAGCCCCAGTCTGCCCCTTCCACTCGGCCAGGCTGCCTCCCGCCTCTGCCCTGCAGTGCCAGCTTTGTGTTGCCCAATTCATCTGCAGCCACTAGAGGTATCTTCCTTGAGAATCTCCTGTTGGAGGCTCCCGCTGCCCTCAGGACATGGCCCAGACTCCTTAGAGAGGCACATGAGGTGCGTCCCGAGCCCTCCTCCAGCCCTCCCTCTCTGGCAGGTGACCATGCAGCAGCCGCAAAGCACTTGGCGGTCTCTTCTGGCTCGAGGCTGACGCCCACGCGAGCCCCCACCTAGAACCTCCCCAACCTGTGTCCACCGGGTGTGCCCCCAGAAATCTTCTCCAGGAAGACTTCCTGAACAGCCCTCTGCTCCTGTGACGGCTCTGGGCCCTTTCACATTTGCCTCCCTGCATTGCACTGAGCTAACCCAGGGCTGGGGCGAAAGCGCTTATTGATTCAACCTTCAGCAAACACTGAGCACTAACTATGCACTTGTATTAGTCAGCTCAGGCTGCCGTCACAAAATACCACTGACTGGTGACTAGGCAATAGAAATGAATTTTCTCACAGTCTGGGTGCTGGAAGTCCCAGGTCCAGGTGTCGACAGGGCTGGTTTCTTCCGGGGCCTGTCTCCTTGGCTTGCGACCTCCTCACTTGGTTGTCCTTCTGTGCCCCTGGGGTCTCCTTGTGTGTCCACATCCCCTTTTCTTACAAGGACACCAGTCAGGTTGGGTTAGGGTCCACCCTAATGCCCCATTTTAATTTAATGACCTCTGTAAAGGTCCTGTCTGCAAATGTAGTCACATTCTGAGGTCCTGTAACGCATGAATTGTAGGGGGTGGGTGGGGGACACCATTCAGCCCACGACAGTAGTAAACATGCCCAGGCGTCATAGGACAGGCCCAGTCCCTACTCTCACCGGAGCTAGCCCGGTGGGGTGCAGACTTTGAACGTGCAGTTCACGTGGGGCCCAGGTGAGCCAGTGCCAGGCCTGAGTCGCTTCCCTGGTGACCAGCTGCAGCCTCCTGTCCATCCTGCGCCCTCCTCCTTTCCATCCTCCCTGCTGAGACTTGCCTGCACGTGAGGCCCGCCCGCGTCAGTGCCCCTTTGTGAGATTCGCCCATGCCAGTGCTCCCGCATGAGAAGGTACGCGCACATCACCCCTGCATTCTCACGGGACATAGGGTGTGATGGTTCATTTTATGTGTCAACTTGACCAGGCCATAGGGTGCCCAGATATTTGTTCAGGTATTATTTTGGGCTCATGAGGGTGTCTCTAGATGAGATTAACATTTGAATTGAATTTGAATTGGTAGACCCCATAAAGCAGAGGGCCCTCCCCAACGGGGGCGGGCCCCATCCAATACATTGAAGGCCTGAACATCACTAAAGGCAGACCATCCCTCCAGCAAACCAGAATCGAGGTCAGGATTCCATCCGGTGGTTTCCAGAGGGTACCTTGCTCTTAGAAGATGCTGAGCAGGGAGGGGGGAGGAATAGCATCGGGAGATATACCTAATGCTAGATGACGAGTTAGTGGGTGCAGCGCAGCAGCATGGCACATGTATACATATGTAACTAACCAGCACAATGTGCACATGTACCCTAAAACTTAAAGTATAATAAAAAAAAATAAAAAAAACAAGACCATTTCATAATATTGTTTAAAACAAAACAAAACAAACAAAAAAAAGAAGATGCTGAGCAAATGGCAGCCGCCGTGCTGGGGCTCCTGCAGAGTGGGGTGGGGGGCGGGGTGGAGTGCACAGAGAATCCTGCTGCAGCAGAGGATGGCAGAGCCCCACCTGCTTCCATTGGCAGGATCTGTGTGGGTCCTTATTCTGGGCTTTTATTCACATTGTTCTCCCCCACCAAAAACCTGCTCTTTCTTTAAAGCCCGGCCACAGTGCCCTCCCCCTGTCAGGAAACCTTCCAAGGACTTGGGTCCGCCTCGATCTGCACCTTCCACTAACCCCTGGGACGTGTTCCCACTGCCGTAGATGGTTTCATGCATTATGACGACTCACTCAGAGCAGGCACTGGGAGAGAGATGAATGGTACGCCTGTGGGAAGCAGGCAGCAGGTCACTGCAGTCTTAGGCCTGGTCATGACAGCCCAACCTGGCTTTCTCACAGCTGTGCTTTGATGATGCCTGGGCTCACGTGTCCAGCAATCTATCCCTTCAACAAATACCAAGCACCAGACCCTGGGCTGGGCACTGGGAAAAGACAGTGGCTCTCCAACTGAGGCACTAAAGAAGCGCAGCTTCAATTGTGACAGGGGCTGCAAGAGTGTCGAACAGTCTCCTTTCATAGCGCGTGCATCATGCCTTCAGCACCCTTGAGCTCCGCAGGGGCTACTGAAAACCTGAATTCTGCCCAAACATCTGGCCCCCCATCTCCTCTCACCTCCTACTTCACCAGGACCTTCAGACAGGAACTCCCTCAATTTCTCACCCTCAATCCTTCCAGCCTGCACCTGCACCCACCTGCTCCTGTCTCCCTCCTGGACAGTGAAAGAAGCCCATCTCCTTCCAAGGCCAGCCCTCCACCTGTGAGCGACGCTGCCCATTCCACTTCCACAGGGACCTCACGCTCAGGCAATCCTCAGTCTCCTGCATCTTCCACCTCTCCCTCCCTGCCACCTCCTTTCCCGTAGGCTCAAGCCTGACCCATCCTAAAAGAAAAAGAAAATGCCCGAATTCCAGATACCTTGTTATTCATTATTCAGCTAAGTTATCTTCAAACATTTTGTTCACATCTCCCCAAAGAACACGGAAAAAAATCTGTATCAAACTATCAAGTTGATTTCTAAATTTTTTCATCTTAAGTATTTACAGATGCAAATAATATAATTTTCAACAAATAGCTGAGATGCTTTAAAATAGAACAATTACATCACTCCTTCAATGATCTTAATAGAATTCAAATACAGAAAAATGTAGTACCCACCATTATCCATTTTGAAGTGGAACATGCTTTCTTTTAATGTTCGGAAATACAGCTGGCCCTCAAACAACACGAGTTTGAACTGCAAGGAGCCACTTATAAAATGGGTTTTTTTCAACCAAACATAGACTAAAAATGCAGTGTTTGTGGGATACTCCCAAATATACTGAGAGAAAGCTATATTCTTACTACTTCTTCTAAAACCTGCATTTTCATGTCCCTTCACTCAGAATGTTATCCTAAGGTAGTATGTTTATGCTTGAAATTCTAGAGAATAACTATGATTTCACATACAGAACTAAATTAAAATATATAACAAAAAGATGCCTGGAAAAATCTGAATATTTGGAAATTGAAAAGCATTTTTATGAATAACTTGTAGGTCAAAGAAGACATTAAAAAGCAAATTGGAAATACGTTGAGCTGAATAATATGGAAAATACAATATCTGGAAATTTTTTAGATGCAGCTAAAGCAGTGCTTGAGGGAAATGCAGAGCTTTATGCTGTGTTAGAAAAGAAGGGAGATTGAAAACTGATGATCTAAGTTCCCAACATAAGAAACTAGAAAAACAAGAGCAAGTGAAATACAAAGTAAGAAGAAAACAATACCAGGAAAAGCAGAATGAATGGAATCGAAAATTGTCAAACAATAGAGAAAATCAATAAAACCAAAAGCTGGATCTTTGAAAACATCCATAAAATTGCTCAATCTCCAGCTAGAAAAAACCCCACACTTTAAGGATAACAGCAGTGACAGATAGGACATCACTACAAGTCCTACAAAGGGAGATAAAGAAAAATTATGAATAATTTTATACCAAAAATGTTGACAGCTTAGATGAAATTATTTCCATGAAAGACATGAATTATTAAAATGGACATAAGAAGAAATAGAAAATCCTAATAGCCCTATATCTATTAAAGTCGAGGCCGAGCTCAGCAGTTCACACCTGTAATCCCAGCACTTTGGGAGGCTGAGATAGGAGGATTCCTTGAACCTAGGAGTTCGAGACCAGCCTGGGCAACAGAGCAAGACCCCATCTCTACAAAAAATAGAACAATTAGCCAAGGTGGTAGCTCATACCTGTAGTCCCAGCTACCCAGGAGGCTGAGGTGAGAGGATTGCCTGACCCCAGGAGGTTGAGGCTGTACTGCGCCATGATTGTGCACTGCACTTCAGCCTGGGCAACAGAGCTAGGTCCTGTCTCTTAAAAAAAAAAGAAAATAAAAGAAATTGTCTTCCACAAAGAAAATTCCAGGCCTCAATCATCAATCTTATCTTTCTCTAAAGCATGATTCACCCGGCAGCCAAAGTGATCTTTCTGGAGTGCAGCTCTGTCCTGCCATTCCCCTACCTGAAATTCTTCAGGGGCTTCCTCCCCAAGATGGCATTCGAAGCAACTGATGAGCCAGCTGGTGCCTCTTGACACCCTCATCTCTAACCACCATCCTTCCCCACTCTGTGCCCCCTCACACCCACACATCACACACTACTGCAAATTCAAGGCAGTAAGTTTGTTGAGCATTTGTTCAGAAAAGTTATAAGAAATAACATTTAAGCAGAGCCTCAAACGCTGAGTTGGGTGAGCCAGATGGAGAAGAGGTGGAAGAGCTCCCGGCAGAGCCAACTACACGTCTAACCTCCTTCCAGAGGTGAGAAAATCCCCACACATCCAATTATCCACCCCAGCAGCTCTCTGGCGGCAGTACCCCCTCCCCCCACCAGGGGGCATTTTGGACTATGTGGGAGCGTGAGTTGTCAGTCACTAGGGGATGTCACTGACATTTAGTGGGCCCAAGTGTCTGACATCCAGCAGTGCCCGGAACAGGCCCCACAGTGAAGTGCCTGTTCTCTCGGGTTTGCCTCTGGAAGGAGGTAACTTGTGCAGTTAGCTCTGCCGGTAGCTTCTCCACCTCTCCTCCACCTACCAGCGTTTGAGGCTCTGCTTTTCTCGGAAACCTTTCTGAACAAATGCCCAAGAAACTTACTGCATTGAATTTGCCTCCCCCACCCCCACCTTTTCTTAAATAGAAGTCAAGTTAAATTCCATGAGGAGAGACTTTTAACTTGAATATACTCTGAAAAACATTAAGGAGGGGAGAGGAAATGGTAATGTTTACTCTGTAACCATGGCGTCCTCCCCACTCCTGAGAGAGGCTTTCGCCTGCTCTTGGTATTCTTGAGCTGTAAGTGGTTTCCCTGGAGCTGCTGGCTCACACCTGGGCCTGCACAGTTGCAGCAGCTTCCCGACGCCCGCTCGCCTCTCCCCTTGCCGCCTCCTGCTTCCTCATCCCCATTCATCTTTGCCTTTCATTATATTAGTCCATCTTTCCGTCGGAAGCACCAGCACTCGCCAGGCTCTCCCCCTCCCTGCTCCCAGTCTGGGAGCCCATCTACCTGGGGACCCCCGGCCCTGCTCCCCAGGAAGGTCCTTGGGAAGAAAGGTGAGACCGTTCTTTAACCAAGGGAAGGGCAGGAAGTGTCCTGGAGTTTGCCCCATCTGGTTTGCCAGGACACACAGCAAAGAAGCACTTAGCTTCCGTCTTGGTATCTTTTTTTTTTTTTTTTTAATTTTGCATTAGTAATTATGGGCTGTGGTGTTACTGAAATCTGAAAAACTCAAGGAAGAAGTCTGCCTGCGCCGTGGTCATTGATTCTTTGCTTCTTTAAATGTATAGCTGAGTCTAAAGACTTGTCAGTCAAGGCAGGAAGATTAGCCTCACCCATGTGAAAGGAAGATGGGGAAGAAAAAAAAAAGCCTTGTCTGAACTTGAAAATAAAAATGCTGATGTGGTTTTTATTCCAAAAACATATCTTACTGATTAGGAGCATGGAGCACCACTGGATCGTGGGTGGGCCAGCTGTACTTGGCCTCCCCACTCTGCTGGGCCAGGCTGTCCGCCCGCAGGATGTCAGAGGCAGGGGCCCAGTGGGATCTTTGCTGATGGGTGTGGCGTGTGCACACGTGCACACAGGCACTGAGACGGTGCCCTCGGTCAGCACATTCACCTTCAGGCAGGAGACAGAAGGCGAGTCCCTGTGGAAGCAGCATGGACCCGGAGTCAGATGGGGCTGGGTTTGAACCTAGAGCTGTCATTTACTAACTGAGTAACCCTGGGCAGGTGACAAATGCTTTGAGCCTTTGTTTCATTGTCTGTAAGACAGGGATCGTGGCACCTACTTTGTTGAGGTTGATGGGGTAATGCATGCACAGCCCATGGCCCCGCCGACACAGGATAGACGCTCCATGAAAGGCCACCATGCCAGGGACTAGTGCGGTGCATGGCCATACTGCGGCCCTCTCCACCGCCCCCTACCCACCACCGCCCCCTGCCATCTGAGGCAGGCTTTGCCCAGGCAGCCTTTCCCTCTCTGGGTTTTCTCCCGAGGGTTTGGGCTGAAGGACAGGCCTTAGCCTTGGTGGGCCTCAGTGTCCATGACTGTGAAATGGAGCCGACACCTCTGCAGCTTCGACCACACAGGGCTTGTGGCTTGGCATGGCCGCAGACGCACTGCCAGGCCGGCAGCCTTCGCCAAGAACTGGATTCCTCCCGGCCTGGCCCGGCTCGGCTGGCATTCTCGCCAGTTTCATTGGGTTGAGTTCCAGAGCGATGGCAGCGATTGATAATGCTGTAATTGGAGTGACTTGGGTATTTTCTGAGGTGTTGCCACGATGACTCATACTAGGGCAAGTTGAGGGCCCGCACTGTCCAGCCGGAGTCGGTTAGAGACCCTCAGGAGGCTCACAGGCTCCAGGGCCTGGATGTTAGGATGTGAGGCCTGGGGTTACCGAGATCCCACACCCAGGAGATGCTCGCGTGGAGCCTTCGCTCACAGCGGCCTGCGCGAATGGGGCTTGCTCCGAGAGGTTCAGCTGGCACCGAGAGCTGGCACCGAGAGCGTTTCCAGCTGCAATCTGTTCCCAGCAATTAATAACTGTAAATAACAAGTCCGCTCCTCCGCCTGGCTCCGCGCTACTCTCCGCTTCCCTCCCAGCCCCTCAGCTGCTCCCCTTCCCGTGCCCACCCTCCCTCTCCTCCCCTCTTTCCTTCCATGTCGTCGAGAGGTCCCTGCCGTCCCTTCCCCGGGTCCCTCTGAGAACACCCAGCTCCCTTCCCGTAGGCCATGGGGGAAGGGACGAGCTCTGGCGCGGGGCAGGCGGGTGCTGGGGAGGTGGAGACAGCGCGCTCCCGAGCCCTGGACCACTCCCTCTGCCCCGCGCGGGGCCGAGCTCCACGGCACGTGCTTTGGCTTGGACCGGGAAGGCCCGCAGTCCCACAGTGCCCGGGGAGGACGGTCCGCGCCTTCCACGACTTCGCGCCGCCCGCGTGGCTGCAGCGCCGTGGCCCGGGGACGCGAGGCCACAGCCCGGGAGCGAGGAGCGCGGGAGGACCGGCCTGCCTGTGCCCGGCAAAGGGGGCCCTTCCGAGGCGGGCTCCCTTCCCCGCCGCTCCCGTAAGCGCGGGAGCCAGAGGACCCCAGACCCGCCGCGGCCCACCCCAAGCCCCGATCAAGTCCTGCAGCGCGGGAGGGACCCCTGCAGGCGCGGGGCCAGACGGGCGACAAAGCGGCGGACTGCGAGGGCCCTGAGGAAGCCGGCGGCGCGGGGTCAGGAGCAACCTGCTATTCGTAGGGTCAGGAGCCCACGCGTCCCCACTGCGGAGGGCGGGGTCGCAGCCAGGCCTCCCCGTTTCTAGCTGTGCGGCCTGGGGCGAGGTGCTTGACCTCTCGGGGCCTCAGTTTCCTTCTCTATGAAGCGGAGCTGATCGGCCGCGTCCCGGGGCTGCTGTGACAGTCCAAGGCGAGAACAGCAGCTCCGCGCCGCCCCTGGTGCTGGAGAACCGCTGGGGCCTCGGGAGAGGGCGCGGCGCGGCGGAGCGGCCCTGGCAGCCGGAGGGCGCGTGTGGCCAGGGCCGATCCTGCACTGCCCTCTGCGGGATGGCCCGGCCCAGTCCTCGACCCCCAGCACCTCCGCCGCCCGGCCTGGCCACCACCTCCGCTCCACGCGCCCAGGCCGCTCCCGTCGCGGGTCTCGGAGATTCTCCCGCGCCCAGGGGTGTCCCGCAGCCCCGGGCCTCAGCACCCAGCGCTCCCTTCTCCACGACGACAATGAGGCGGACCCTCCCCAGCGCCCTCCAGAGCTGTCGCATCCCGGGAGGTCAGGGCGAGTGTTGTTTGCATTTCACAGAGCAGGAAGCTTAGGCACAGACAGCGGCTCCCCGACCCTCGCTCGGCCTCTGCTGAGCAGGGAACGGCCTGAACGCGTCCGGCCAAGCGCCGCCTCCGGCCTCTGCCCGCGGCCCGGCGCGCCCTCCTCCCCAGCGCGCCCCTATCCTGCACGCATCCGCGGCCCCGGGCCCTTTCCGCAGCCCCACGCGGTCTCCTCCCGGGTTAAATCTATCCACTCGCGCGTTCCTTGGCAGCCGTGATCACAGGCGTGACCACGGTCCCCAAGCCCTCGCGCCTCCGTCCACGCTATTGCGGCCGCCCCTGCGCGCCTGTCCCCTCCCTGTCCCCTCCTTCCAGCTCTGGAAACAGCAGCACCGGAAGCCCCCTGCCCCAGACTCACTGCCCACCCCCGGCCGAGCTGGCTGCCAGCCGAGCCCCTTGGATCTCTGCGCCCCCCCGGGCCCCCCACCACTCCACAGCCCTGCGTGTCTCTGCTCTTTCTCAAAGTAAAGCCCTTCAAGTGCCATCCACTTGCGTCTCCCATTGGGATCCCCCTTCTCCCACCCCACAGCCCCTCCTCTGAAGCCTTTCATGTCCCTCAGTCTGGCTGCGACTCCTCCTTCTCCTGCCCTCCTGCTGGGTTCCCTGCCTTCCCCACTGGCGGCTTCTCCCCTGTGCTCTCCACCGGGTTTCTCTCTTCTACATTCCCTGGAAACCCATCCAGTTCTTCAGACACAATAATTCTCCTATGACCCCCAAATATGTGCAGCCTGGACGGTGCCCTGAGCTCCAGACTCCTACATCCAACTCCAGGCCAAGCCGGATGCCTCGCCTGGCACCCGCCCCAGCCCAGACCTGTCCCCGCCCGCAACTTCCCAAACTCAGAAAATGACAACTCCTTTCCTCCCTTTTCTCCCCACGCAAACTTTACACTTGTCCCTGACTCCCCTCTTTCTCTCCAGTCTCACGTTTATTCCGTCAGAAAATCCCATGGCTCTCCCTTCCAGACATGGCCAGAACCCGGCCTCCCGGGCTAAGCCAAGGCAAGCTGCCTTTGCTCTTCCTGATGGTCACGGCTGCACCTTCCCTGGGCTCCCTGCCCCTGGTGTGGCCACCATAAGTCCCCACCCATCATCCTTTCTGAACCTAAGTCAAATCACATCATTCTTCTGCCAAAACCCTCCAAAGACTCTCAGCTTGCTCAGCGCACAGCCCGGTGCTCCTGGAGCCCACAGAAGGGGCACTGCCCTGGCTTCCCCTTCTGCCGCCGCGGCCGCTGAGGTGCTCCTCACTCAGACAAAGCTTCCTCCTGCTTCAGGCCCAAGGCACCAGAAGCTTCCTTCACCCGGACGCTCCTCCCTCAGACATCTGCCACCTCATTCCCACACCTCCTCCCAGTCTGCTAAAATGTCACCTTCTCCATGAAATTGCACCTGCAGCCTCCTTCCTGCAGTGGCCTGTCTCCCCTGCCCTGCCTCCCGGTTGTCTTGGACTTGCAGCCATCTGGCTGGCCCAGGGTCTATTAAATGCACTATCTGGCTCACAAGGGTAGTATGTGGGTCCCTTTGCTCACCACTGCATCCCTGTGCCTTGGGCAGCCCTGGCACATGCCAGGTGCCTGGCAAGCAGCTGCTGAGTGAATAGCACATGGACGGCCCCGTGCTCCGTTCTCAGAAGCAGGAGTTGCAACAAGGTGGTCCCAGGGGCGAGTCTTCGTCAGTCCCAGGGCACTCCAGCCTTCCACTCCCACTGCATTTCATCCAGGGCCGGAGCGGGTGGTCCTGACCTCAGCGCCCTGGATGGCCAGAGGGTCAGCATCAAAGCCGGATTAGCTCCCCAGCTTAGCCCTGGCTGCCACATTCTTGTGACAGTTGTAGAACTGGAGAGCATCGGCGGGCCCAGTCTCAGCCTTGGACTCGGAGCTCTGGGAGTCCCTGCTACCACACATGCTCACACTCACACGTGCACACTTGCGCGCGCACACACACACACACACACACTTGCTAGTGCTGCCACCGGTTATGGAGCCGGGGTCCTCAACTTTGCTAACAACTCCTTGCAGCCCAACAGGAGACTGAACCCTGGGCGGACCCTTCCTGTCAAGACCCTCTTGTGTAGCATCTCATTTGCAGGAAGGAGGACCTTGCCTGCCCAGAGGGCAACACGGCTTGCAGCCCCTGCTGCTGCCCACCCCAAGGGCAGGGCTGGCTCCACTGTGCCTGCTCAGCCATGGTGAGGGAGAGTTCCTCCTCCCAGACAAGCACCAGCCTCTCCCAAATAGAAAGGCTACAAGCGACCCTACTGGTCACCATGTAGACCAAACAAGGTAACCCTGGGAATGCTCAGAGCATAGTGGCTCTCAGGGACCAGGGTGGTAATGACCATGGCTGTAGTTAGCATAATTCCAAGCTTGGCTTGATGCAGCTTGAATCACAATCAACCCCTCAACTGGCTCTTATTTTGTTTTGCCCTCACCTGGGGAAATTTGTTCTCCCCCTTCTTCCTGGCGCGTGGCACCTTTGTCAGTCTCTTTCTCCAGTTCAAAGGGAAACTGCTCTCTGAACAGCAATCAGAACCACAAGCCAGGGGTTCCAGGCTCTCTCAGCCTTGGCATCGCAGAGATGGGGAACACCAGGCTTTTCGTCTGCATGAACAAAGCCGTGGGCATCCCACCAGGAGGTTGCGTCTGGCTTGCTTGCCTCTGTCCAGGGAACCTGGCCAGCCCTGGTACCTAGTAACCTGTGTCAAATCACATTTTATTCTCTTTCTGTAAGAATTATTGTCTGCAGTTTTCCCCATCACTACCACCACCAATCCATTATCCCTTCGGTGGAGTTGTAGTCAGGAGAGGGCTGACATTTGTCTGGCTTTGTGTGGCGGTCACGCGCCTTGCAAGTAGGAGGTGGCCAATCCTTGATTTAAAACGAGAGAGCACTTCTGCTTCTGGCCAAAATGGAGTAACAGGCTTCTTTACCACACCTGCAGCAACTGAAATAATCAGACAGAATACATGAGACAGTGGCTTCCAAGACCCCGACATCAGGCAAAATTAAATGCAGTGATCCCAGAGAGAAAGGAAACAAGCAAGGTGAGCCCCTCTAATTGCCCCACATTTCTGCCTTGAGAGAGGGAGATTTCTCCCCCGGCCATGGTGCAGGCAGGGGGAAGCCAGACAGATCCCAGAAGACTCCCAAGTTCCAGAGGTGGGGCTGGGAGTCCAGGAAGATCAAGGCAGCTGGAGTTCACTGGACAGAGTTTCAGAGAAAAGAGAGTTATGCAGGGAGGGAAGTGAGAGACGTGCAGGGGTGCCTTTCCAGTGTCCCCCAGAATACAGATCACTGCAAATATGGGAGGAAAATAATTGAGGCTTGTGGAGAGAATCATCCTAAAGGATTAAAAAGAACAGGCCGGGCACAGTGGCTCACGCCAGTTATCCCAACATTTTGGGAGGCTGAGGCAGGCAGATCACGAGGTCAGGAGATTGAGACCATCCTGGCCAACATGGTGAAACCCCATCTCTACTAAAAGTACAGGCCGGGCGTGGTGGCTCATGCCTGTAATCCCAGCACTTTGGGAGGCCGAGGCGGGAGGATCACGAGGTCAGGAGATCAAGGCCATCCTGGCTAACATGGTGAAACCCCGTCTCTACTAAAAATACAAAAAATTAGCTGGGCATGGTGGTGGGCACCTGTAGTTCCAGCTACTCGAGAGGCTGAGGCAGAAGGATGGCGTGAACCTGGGAGACAGAGCTTGCAGTGAGCCGAGATCACACCACCGCACTCCAGCCTGGGCGACAGAGCAAGACTCTGTCTCAAAAAAAAAAAAAAAGGTATAAAAAATTAGCCGGGCATGGTGGCAGGCGCCTATAGTCCCAGCTACTCGGGAGGCTGAGGCAGGAGAATCACTTGAACCCAGGAGGTGGAGGTTGCAGTGAGCTGAGATTGTGCCACTGCACTCCAGTCTGGCGACAGAGCGAAACTCCATCTCAAAAAAAAAAAAAAAAAAAAAAAAAAAAGTACCTGGTGCTCACACGGGCCCAGGAATAATGTTTATTTCCACCAGCCAGACTGGAATAATCCATAATTCTGGTGGGGCATTTGGCATATTTGTGTCTGGGGTTGGGGAGGGGAAGGTTGAGTAAGAAAGATCTTGCCTCAGTAGTGGAGAAAAAAATCCTAGACTGACTACTTATCCAGACCTTTCTAATAAATATATTATGAAGAATTAAACTAATTCCAAGTAACTTAACCGCATCCCAGAACAAAGCATATTTACTGGAATGCAAAGATATCTACTGTTTTACCAAATGTCAAATATCCAATCAGAGATTATGAGACATACAAAGAAGCAGGAAATATTATTAATACTGACATAATGAGGAAATGATTAAGCAATCAAAAGTGACCCATGATTAACACAGATGTTACAATTAGCAAAGAAGTACATTAAAATAGTTATCGCTGGGCGTGGTGGTTCACGCCTGTAATCCCAGCACTTTGGGAGACCGAGGCAGGCAGATCACTTGAGGTCAGGAGTTTGAGACCGGCCTGGCCAACATGGTGAAACCCTGTCTCTACTAAAAAAATACAAAAATAAACCAGGCGTGGTGGTGTGCACCTGTAATCCCAGCTACTCTGGAGGCTGAGGCAGGATAATTGCTTGAGCCCTGGAGGTGGAGGTTGCAGTGAGCGGAGATCATGCCACTGTACTCCCGCCTGGGTGACACAGCAAGACTCTGTCTCAAAAAAAAAAAAATATATATATATATATATATATATAATTATCATAATTGTATTCCACAAGATCGCACAATAGAAACATGTAGAATTTAAAAATATATGTGTACCCCATTCAGGCCAGGCACAGTGACTCATGCTTGTAATCCCAGCATGCTTGAAGACATAGCAGTAGGGACTATCGACAAAGAAACACACAGAGGGAAAAAGAATTCCACATTTGGGAGGCTGACGCATGAGGATCACCTGAGGTCAGAAGTTCAAGACAAGCCTGGGTAACATGGTAAAACCCCGTCTCCACTAAAAATACAAAAATTAGCTGGGCATGGTGGCCTGGGGCTGCAATCTCAACTACTTGGGAGGCTGAGGCATGAGAACCTCTTGAACCCAGGAGGTGGAGGTTGCAGTGAGCAGAGGTCATGCTACTCTCAAGCCTGGGCAACAGAGCAAGACCCTGTCTCAAAAATAAATAAAATAAAATAGCCCAATCAAGCTTCATTGAAAACTGTAATGCATGATATGAAAAATGCATTAGATGTAATCAATAGAAAATTAGACATTGCAGAAGAAAAGATTAGTGAACTTGAAGACATAGCAATAGAAACTATCCACAAAGAAACATACAGAGGGAAAAGAATTCCACAAAATAGAGGACATCAATGAGCTGTAGGTCAACTTCAAGCAGCTTAATAATTGGAACCTCTGAAGGAGAGGAGGTAGGAAATGGAAAAAAATTTCGAAAAAATAATGATCAAAATTTTTCCAAAACAATGAAAGCTATAAACCCACAGATCTAAGGAGTCTACAAACTCCAAACACAAGAACCATGAAGAAAACACCAAGGTACATCATACTAGAATCGCTCAAAAACAGTAATAAAGACAACATCTTAAAAGCAGCCAGAGGGGGGAAAGACGTATTACATAGAAAGGAAGAAAATAAGAATGGCAACAGACTTCTTATCAGAAACAATGCAAGTGGGAAGACAGTGAAGCAACATCTTTAAAGTACTGGGATCAAAAACTGTCAACCAATACCCGTATGTAAAGCAAAAATATATTTCAAAAGATATTTTCAACAAAAATATACTCAGTGAAATATCTTTCAAAACCAAAGGTTAAATAATGACATTTTAAAACACAAAAGTAGGGGAAAAAACATATTGGCAACACATTTGCTCTGTAAAAAAAATGTTAAAGAAAGTCCTCCTTGCAGAGGAAAAATAACAGATGGGAATGTAGATCTACACAAACGAATGAAGAACACTGAAAATGGCACCTCCATGGGTACGTATGCAAGATTTTCAAAATTGTTTAATTCTCCTTAGAAGATAATTGAAAAGAATGCTTAAATAAATGAACAGATATCCCATATTCATGGGTTGGAAGACTTAATATTGTTAACATGGCAATACCGCATAAAGTAATCATAGATTCAATGCAGTAGCTATCAAAATTTCAAGGGCCTTTTTGCAGAAATAGAAAAAGCCAATCCTCAAATTCATATGGAATGGTAAGGGGTCCCAAATAGCCAAGAAATCTTGAAAAAGAACAAAGTTGGAGGTCATACTTCCTGATTTTATAACTAACTACAAGATGATAGACTTAAACCTAACTATATTAATAATCACATTAAATGCAAATAGTCCAAACACCCCTGTCTTAGAACCTTCAGGATGCTATAACAAAATATGTTAGACTGAGTAATTTATAACCAACAGAATGTATTGCTCACTGTTCTGGAGGCTGGGAAGTCCAAGATCGAGATGCTAGCAGATTGGGTGTCTGGTGAGGGCTGCTCTCTGTTTCAAAGATGGCACCTTCTAGCCGTGTTCTCACATGGTGGAAGGGACAAACACCATGAGGTTAAAAGTAAAAGGATAGAAAAAGACACACCATAATAACAGTTGTCAAAAGAAAGCTGGAATAGCTACAGCATTGAAGTAAATTTCAGAGGAAAGAATATTACCAGGCATAAAGAAGGCCACCTAATAATTATAAAGGTGTCAATTAATCAAGAAGACAGAACAATCTTAAATAGCTATCTACTTAATAACAGCATTTCAAAATGCATGCACAAACTGATGGAACTGAAGGAAGAAAGAAATCACAATCATGGCCAGAGATTCCAATATCCCTCTCTCAGACATTGATAGAACAAGTAGACAATCGGTAAGGATATAATAGAAGATCTGAGCAACATTATCTGCCAGCTTGACCGAATTATAATTTATGGAATGCTGTACTCAATCATAGCAAAATAAACCTTCTTTTTAAGTGTACATAGAACATTTACCAAGATAGACCATATTCTGGTCCATAAAATGTAAAAGGATTCAACTTATACAAAATTATACAAAATATGTTCTCTGGCCGTAATGGAAATCAAAAACATAATGATTAACGATAACTTGACAATCCCCAAATATTTGGAAACCAAATAACTTATACTCCACTAGTCAAAGAAGATACCAAAGGTAAAATTAGAAAGTAGTATAACCTGAATGAAAATGGAAATATAGCACAGAATTTGTGAGAAAGTCCTAAGGCAGAGCTGAGCTTAGCTTCAGATGCTGCCAAATGCCTAATTAGAAAAGATGAAAGAGCTCAAATCAGTGACCTCAGCTCCACCTTAAGAAACTAGAAATAGAGCAAATTAAAGTAAGCGAAAGAAAGGACTCCCGGCACTTTGGGAGGTCGAGGTGGGTGGACCACCTGAGGTCAGGAGTTCAAGACCAGCCTGGCCAACATGGTGAACCCTCGTCTCTACTAGAAATACAAAATGAGCTGGGCATGGTGGTGCATACCTGTAGTCCCAGCTACTTGGGAAACTGAGGCAAGCAGTCACTTGAACCCAGGAGGCGGAGGTTTCAGTGAGCAAAGTTCACGCCACTGCACTCCAACCTGGGCAATAGAGCGAGACTTCGTCTCAAAAAAAAAACAACACTCATATAATCATCTCAATACATGCAGAAAAGGCATCTGACAAAATCTAACATCTATTCCTTATAAAAACTCTCACCAAACCAGAAATAGAAGGGAACTTCCTCAACCTGACAACAGACATCTACAAAAACCCTGCAGATAAAATCACACTTAATGGTGAAAGACTGAATGTTTTCCCCCTGAGATCAGGAATAAGAGAACGATGTTCAGTCTCGCCACTTCTATTCAACATTGTACTGGAAGTTCTAGCCAGGGAAATGGGTCAAGAAAAATAAATAAAGGAAATTCAGACTGGAAAGGAGGACACAAAACTGTCTTTATTTGCAGATGACATGATCATCTATGTAGAAAGTCCAGTGAAGCTACAAAAAGCTACTAGAACTAATCACTGAATTTAATAAGGCTGCAGGAACAAAATCTATACACATAAATCAATTGTATTTCTATACACTAGCAACCAGCAATTGAAAATTAAGAAATACTTAAGGATAAATCTGACGCAAATGTGAAAAACCTGTACATTAAAAATACACAGCTGAGATAAATGAGATCTACATTAATGGAGAGGTATACTACATTCATAGGCTGGAAGACTCCAAATTGTTAAGATGCCATTTTCCTCTCAAATTGATCTATAGAGTCAATGTAATTGCAATAAAGATTCCAGCAGGCTTTTGTTGTAGAAGCTGACAAACTGACTCTAAAATTCATATGGAAATGTGTGGAAAATGGAAGAACCAAAACAACTTTGTTTATTTATTCATTCATTTATTTATTTTTTTGAGACAGAGTTTCGCTCTTGTTGCCCAGGCTGGAGTGCAATGGTGTGATCTCAGCTCACTGCAACCTCCACCCCGCAGGTTCAAGCAATTCTCCTGCCTCAGCCCCCCAAGTAGCTGGGATTACGGGCGCCCACCACCACACCTGGCTAATTTTGTAGTATTAGTAGAGACAGGGTTTCTGCATGTTGGTCAGATTGTTCTTGAACTCCTGACCTCAGGTGATCCACCCGCCTCGGCCTCCCTAAGTGCTGGGATTACAGGCGTTAGCCACCGCGCCCGGCTGACTATGGTTTTTAAAAGTAAAATCCTTCAGACCTTCCTGGGGGCAAATAATAAATGCCAAGATGTGGTGACCCAGAAGACAGGCCTGTCCCTCGGTCACCGCAGGATCCCTTCTCTGGACATTGAGGCTCCTTGGAGGAGAGCAGGTGTCTGGTCCGCAGGCAGATGTCTGATGCGAGGGACCCACGGTAACTCCACCCTGCAGACCGGGCCACAGAGGCAGCTTCTCCGGGGCCGCTTGGCTCTGAGGTGAGTTTCTAATGGGAAAAGAGGTCTTGTCTGTGGGTTGGAGAAATAAGCCCAAATCCCCTTTCTGGGACCTGATGTTCAGCTTTCGTGTCAATGCACACATCCCAGAAACAGGGGCCAGCCAGAGACTCCAGGAAGTGGGCTCCCCCTCAGGGTCTCCCCAGGTCCGGCATGGGCTCTGGCTCTTCGAGGATCTTCCTAGAGAAAGGCACCGTGCTCAGGCCAGTGGCCCGAGGGGACAGGCTCAGGAACCCGCTCCTAGCTGGCTGCACGGGGGAAGGGGTTGGGGGAAGAGGGGCAGGCCCTTACTCCTCACTCCCACCCCTGCCCCGCCCCAGTCTACGCATTTGGGAAGCAAGGCTGGAAGAGACCCAGCCGCCTGGCCTGCAGCCCACATCCATCCCCATGGGACCAGAGAACCCACAGAGGGTCGTCCAGAACACCTGGGACACAGAGGCAGTTTTGTGGGTAGAGCCAGGCACACATCCAGCGGCAGAGGCCCTAGGAGCAGGGCTCAGGGTAGAGACTGAGTGCCCTGAGGCAGCTTCTGGGGGTCTTCAAAAGAGGACCCATCTCCTGGACACACAGAACCCACTTTGCCCATGCAAAGCCCGGGGCCCAGTCCTGATGACTTAGGAGCAAAGAGACTTGGGAGTTATGGTAAAATTGGGGATACTAACAGCTTCCTTGCAGACCTGTCAGGAGGACTGGATTAGAATGGGCACCCCTAAGCATCTTCCCATGTGTGGAGGGGGCGCTCAGAGCCCTGATGTCCTTTTCCTATTTGTTCCCCGCAGGAGTGGGGTGACCAGAAGATTCTGGGTCTACTGGATTTTGAAAAAAGGCAGACAGCAGAGTGAGACGGAGACAGTCTGGAGAGCCAGCCAGCAGAACTCTGCACAGCTGTATTCTCCACCTCCCACCTTGCGCCCTGCTGTCCCCGGGGTCGTGGACCAGCAGAGGGTGGGCAGGAGACCGCATTCACAGTGTGGCTCCTCACTGTCATCCCAGAGTCTCCCCTCACGAGCACCCCGGCTGCAGGGTGTAACCTGAGGCCCTAGCAGGGCCCATGGAGCTTCTGCTGCTTTTCCCCGGGGGCCCTGATGTGACATTTCTCGTCCAGGAAGAGGATGGAAGGTGAGGTCCCTCTCCACACTGCACCTGCCACCCTGGGGCTCCCCACCCACCTGCGCAGGAGGGAGGAGCAGGGGACACCCTTGGGAGGGCGTTTCCTTTAAAAACATCAGACCACGAACCAGGGCCCAATGGGGCGGCCCAGAGGCAGTGGAAGGGAAAGCGGAGCTCGATCTGGGTTTCGGCCCCAGCAAGTCCCCTCCCCCGGTTGACCCAAATTTCCCACTATAAAGTGAAGGCGGGAGCTGGACTCCAGCTCGCGGAGGAAATCCGGCCGCCGCGCAGCGGGCTGAGGTGGAAGGTGTCATCGGTCATCCTCGTCATCTTGATATTCACCTGGGACCCTTGTGGGAACCTCTTTCCCTAGTTTGCCACCAGCTCTGCCTCTCCCTCACCCACCTGTGACCCAAGCACATTCTCGTGACCTCTCTGAGCCTCAGTTTCCTTATCTGTCAAGTCGAGATCACAGCACTGACCTCCAGGGCTCACTGGGAAGCGGGGATGAGGTGGTGCGCATTGCAGTGACTGGCACCGGCTGTGAGCTCAGAACACGGCGGCTGGAGCTATCCGCCAGCAACTCTTAAGCCAAAGCCCTCACCGGGCTGCCTGCCAGCTGTCAGAGACCAAGCTCCAGGTGACCCCTCCACCGAGAGCAGTTCCCCCTTCCCCCTTCTGAGCGCCAGGCAGGTCCACAGCCGCCCTGCTCCGGAGTGGGTCCCAGGTGGCAGGCGGGGGTAGAGAGGATTCAGGGTGCTGCCTTCTGTCCTTCACACCCTGCAAGGGGCCCCTTCCAATCAGAAGCTGTTTCCATGGCAACCCTGCTGGGCCCCATCCTCCCCTTTGCAGCCAAAGACTCCACCTCGGGCCGGCCTCGCCACTGTCCCTCCTTGAAGGCATGATTGGTCTCTTCTCCCCTGTGAGTATGTCCAACACGTTTGAACAGAGTCGCTTCTCACAGCCCATCCTCAAAGCCAGCACCGGGGCCCAACACCCCGCCCCCCACACGCCGCCCCTCTCTCAGCTGTGGCCCCGCCTGCCCAGCAGGGCAGATTGCCTGGCAAGCAGTCAGCTTGTAATTAGCACTCATTAGCGCTCCAGCAATCTGCAGACAAGTCACCTGTGGCCAAGTCCCTTCTGAACGATTGCAATGATTCCTGTGGGTTTCAAACATCAAAGGATGCGGAGCTGAGCGAGAGGCAGGCAGCGCCCTTTGTGCTTATTTCTGCCCCTTCCCGCTCTTGCACCCCAGAAAGTTCTCATCTGTGGAATGGGCCGGGGCAGGGAGGGTGGCTGAGGTAGCACTCGCAGCGGGCCTGGGGAGCTGAATGGGGCTGGGTCCTGGCCTCCCAGCCAGCTGCCCTTCCTGAGAAAGCATCTCTGCAAACACGGTGTGTCCACGAGGTCCCTGCAGGAGGATACTCACATCCAGCCAGAAGATGAGGCTGCTGTGTCGGTGGCCAAGGCCTTCCAGTGCCGGGGCTGGAGCGCCTGCAGGTGGTGTAAGCAGAGGGGGCGTCGTCCTCGGGGAGCTCACAGCCTGGGGAGAGGCAGAGGGGTCGTGGGGTAGACCCAGGGCCCAGCACTTCTAGAAGAGAGAGCAGAGGGGCTGGGGAGATGGCCCGTGGTCCCCACACAGGGAGAGAAGAGCATGTGCAAAGTCCCAAAGCAGAGGGCATCTGGGCCATGACGACCACTAGCCAGTCAGACAGGGTGGCCTCCCCACAGCTGACACCCTCCGGCCTTCCCTCCCTCCTTCCCACACACTCCCTCCCTCCTTCCCTCCCCCTTCCCTCCCTCCTTCCCTCCCTCCCCCTTCCCTCCCTGCTTCCCTCCCTCCTCCCTACACACTTCTGCCCTTCCTTCCTTCCTTCCTTCTTTCCTCCCTCCTTCCCTCCCTCCCTTCCTCCCTCCCTCCCTTCCCCCCTCCCTCCCTCCCTCCCTCCCTCCCTTCCCTCCCTTCCCCCCCTTCCTCCCTCCCTCCCTCCTTGCTATCATCTAGTGGGCAAAAAATAGACTCTACTTTAGAGTCAAAGACTCTTAGACCTCAAATGCTCTGGTCCTGGGCCCAACTGGCCCAGTTCCCAAATGGAAGAACTCAGCAACAGGGATTTGCATGAATCGTGCTGCGCCCGACGGAACCGTGGCCAAGGCCCAGACCCCTGGACCCCTGCTCTGTGACCTTCCCATGACACAAAGCTGCTGTGGCCTCCACCCCGGCCAGGGTCAGAGAGTGCTCTAAAAAAAAAAAAAAGCCTGCCACATTTCTCTTCTGGTTTCAAATTGATGATCCGAGAATAATTGGCTCTATAGGCAGAGTAGGTCCCTGTACACAATGCAACCTTCAGAGATAGGACAGGACGTGTTGGCAAATCCTCCATCCTCTTCTGAAGGATGCTCGGGGCAGAGGAGAGGCTCGGACATCAGGACAGGCTCTGGGAAGGCTCTTGGTGTCTCCCTGTTGGGGGACCTCTGCTGTGACTTGGGGGACATGTGCAGCCATATAAGGAGGGAAGGTCAGCTGCCTCCACCGCGACCACCTCCTGACCGTGCAGTGACTGCTTAAGAGTGACAGCTCCTCAGGCCCTGGGAACAGCAGGGAGGGGGCTGGTGACAGAGGCTTTGGGGAAAGCAGGCCCCATGGCCTCCAGCCTGCCTGGACTCAGCCACCTGCGGTGACCTCCTAGTGTCCAGGCCCCAGGCCACCCAGGGGCTGCTCCTGGCAGCTCTGGGCAGTGGTCAAGTCCTTGAGGAAAAGCAGAAAAGGTGGCCGGGCTGAGGGCTCCCAGGACTGTGGGGCGGCTGAACCCTGCCCAGGGTCCGTCTGCTGGCCAGCCGCCTCCGAGGATGGTCTGGCTTTCCCATCACGGTTTGTCAGGAATGGGGTCGGGGCTGGGGCGCATGTATTCGTATTCCTCAGATATCCCTGTTGCCCGGTCTGCCTTGGTGCGGGAGAAGACGTTCCGGCTGCACCCCATGAGTTCCGGGGGGGGAAGGAAGGAGAACGCACGGGAACCATCGATCCCATTGATTTGCCGGGGTTGTGGGAAGACGCTTCTCTCCTGCGGGATTTTTTAAAGCGCAGTTTGGCTGGGCTTGGGTTTCTTCTTCACTAATTGAATTCCATTTGTGCCGGAGAGAACAGAAAAAATACTGTTTGCCTCCGCCCGGCCCCTCCCCCTGCGGCGAGGAGGAGAAGGGCAAGTGCGGATAGAGGGGACGCCTTTCAGGCCGTGTGAACGAGCCCCAGCCGAGGTGACCCGAGCGGCCACGGCTCGGCACAGGGCAGGTGTCCCCGGGACAATACCCCCCGGCCCCCCGGGCAGCCTTCAGGGGCAGTGGCAGGCACTGGGGATGGGAGGGCCAGGGACCACCCCGGGGAGAGAATGCTGGAGCCAGCCGGGGTCCTGGGGGCAGGGCCTGAAGGAAGTCCCCGGGCACCCGGGCCCTGATGAATGCAGCCGCGGTTGAGAATCGCCCGCGTGAATCCCTATTCAGAGCGGAGCCCTTGTTCTCGCCGAGTCTGCTGCCTGGGCAGCCGCAGATGTCCCAGAGCAGAGTGGACGATTCTGCAGACACAAAGGCGCTTGTGGGGAGCTGGTGCTGCGTTTTGTTTGGGTTTGGGTTTTTCGTGCCTAAGCCAGTGAAGCGAGCGAGGCCTTCGCTTAAACTTGACCTCCTGGTGGCTCCCAGCACCCCGCTGGCCAGCCGGTCCCAGGAGGGCTGCAGTAAGTCAGTGAGTCCGGGCCACTTGGATGCCACCCGGCCCCAGCGCCCCCGTGGCAGCTGTTCCCCGGAGAGCAGTGGTGACCATGGGAATGATCGTGACAGTGACAGTGCCCTCCCTGCTCACGGGGTGTCTTCTCATTTCCATGTTAAAGATGAAGAAACTGAGGCCGGGAGGCTAAGCGGCTTGCATCTATGTTCACACAGCCCCACAATGTCCGGAGTGGGTGCTTCCCGCCCAGGCTGTCTCTTGGACGTCCCTGTGCCCAGCCCTGTCCTGGTGTTCCTTGAGGGGAGGAGGCTGGGGCTACCCAGCTTCTGGGGCTCAGGGCCTTTCCATCCTTGGGGACCGCCTGTGGCTGGCAGACACCTCCCATCTCAGGGTCAGACCTCCCTGCTGTCTATCACGCCTTATGGGGGATATGCCCATTGAAGACTTTTTTTTTTTTTGGAGACGGAGTCTCACTCTGTCACCCAGGCTGGAGTACAGTGGGATGATCTCAACTCACTGCAACCTCTGCCACCTGGGCTCAAGCAAGTCTCCTGCCTCAGCCTCCTGAGTAGCTGGGATTACAGGCACCTGCCACTGCGCCTGGCTAATTTTGTAGTTTCTAGTAGAGATGGGGTTTCACCATCTTGGCCATGCTGGTCTTGAACTCCTGACCTCGTGATCCACCCACCTCGGCCTCCCAAAGTGCTGGGATTACAGGCGTGAGTCACCGCGCCCGGCCCCATTGAAGACTTTATCTGTGACCGACATCGTTGAGGATGGGAGGTTGAACCCCAGTGGACAGTCACTTCCACCCTGGCTCTTACGGCTGCACGAGCCAGGCTGAGAATTCTGCAGGTGCCGTTGTCTGTGGTCTGACTGTGACCTGAACCTGGCGGCTGGCAAGCTCCGTGTGTCTCTGAGGCGTCTTGGCTCTGCTGCACCCAGAGGTTTAATGAACGTGAGAAAACATCGCACGGGAGGTGCTGGCAAACCCCCTCCCGACAAGGGCCACAGTCCAGGTCCTGGGAGGGGCTCACGCTGCTCAGCCGCCAAAGATATGGGGAAGCCCCCCAGACCAGTGACCCATTATCCATATCCATGGGGGCCTAAGGAGAAGGGGACTTGCCTTCAGGTAGCTCCCAGTCCGGTGATCCCCCTGCCGACAAGCGCCCATGTGTGTAAAGTGGGGTAATGGAGGTGGCTCAGGGAGCACTGACCGTGAAACAGGCGAAGTGGCCACTGCCTGAGCGTTCCACATTGTTCCAGCGCCAGCCTGACGGGCATTTGTGGGCATTGGGCGGAGCACCTATGACATCGACAGAACCCCAGCGCCCGCCCCAGAGGACAGCGCCGATGGAGAGGAACCAGGGGCACAGAGACGTTAACTGACTTTCTCCCAGTCACACAGCAGTAGAGGAAAGGGCCTAGGCAACCCCACCCTCCCAGGCTCCCAGCAGTAGATGGATGAAGGATGAGGGGACACCTAGGGAGGAGGGCAGGGATGGGAGGACCAGGAGCTAAGGCTGGGAGCCGGGAGGAAGGCGGCCGGCACTCAGGTGAGTGTGGGGCCAATGCCAGGCCCTGGGCGTGGAACCGGGGAGTTCGTGTTTCAGCTCCACAGCCAGGACTCACTTTGCAGGGAGAGCGAGGGGGAGGGTCACCTGCTCCCTGAAGCCAGGTGTGGGCAGTCAGGCTGGCTTCCTCTCCAGGCCACCTCACCCCACTTCCACCCCACCACTTCCACCCCACAGGAGGAGCGTGGGCAGGCAAGTCCCGGCAAGGGTGCTGCTTTCCTGGGCCTGAGCCACGCCCAGTGGCCGTGGGGCTGGGGAGATGGCAGATGTGGGGGAGAATGTTGAGGCTGGTGATCGGTGATAGCTGCGGCCCAGCCAGTTTGGGTACTGCATGCGCCATCCAAAGCCCCGAGGCCCGGGAGACGAGCCAGCCCAGTCAGATCGCCAGTGGAGAGCCAGGCCGGGCAGCTGGGAGACCTGGCTGCAACGGTGCCTCTGGGCTCCAGGGGTAGGTTTGGCCTCAGCGGTCCTGACTCAGGATGCCCCGGCCTTCTCCACGGGTGCCCAGCACAGGGGCTCCTCCCAGGGCCAACACTGCACTCTCCAAGGATTTACTCTACCCTCTGGAGTGGGACCCCTGGCATCACCCGTGCCACCCCACCTTCCTTGCTGGGCCAGCCTCCACACGGCCGAGAGTGATGATGTGGTTGATAATCACCACCACCATTATCGAGCCCATTTCACATGCTGAGCCCTGAGCCCCAGACACACATAGCCTGGGCTCGTCCCCTCCTGCCCTGCTCCCGCGCTGTTCGTACCCTCAAGGTCCCTGTGTGTGTTTGCTGCAAGCGGCATTTGGGTAGGTTCTTTGCATCTGTTTTCTCTACTCCTTGCAACAGCCTTGTCCCCATTTTACAGATGATAAATTGAGCCACGCAGAGGAGAGGTAACTCCCTCCTGTCCTCAGAGTGTCCCGAAGACCCTCCTTTGCCTGGTGAGTGACATACTAGAGCCCGCACGGTGACAGCTCAGGTATGTGGCACCCCTCGGACCCACCCCTCCCTGGGTGGAGTGGCCCAGCTGTGGTGGGCACTTCCTCACCCAGCCGTGGGCACAGGCCAGACCCTGAGCCCAGCGGCCCTGTAATTTCAGATGTAGCTGGGCATGTGTGTGTTATTGGGTGATACTTAAATCCTAACCTTTTCAAAAGCAAACCCAAGTAAGCACATATTGGAGAACCATAATTCCAAGCTTGGAGGCCTCCCTCAAGGCGATGGGGAGTGTGGCATCGTGACCGCTAACCCGGTCCCTCCGCGGCCTTGGGTTTAAAAGCGTCTGTGTCCAGCCGGGAGGTGAACTCCTGACAGCAACGCCCGTCCAGCCCACACCTCTGCCTGGCAGTGTGCAGCAGGACCCCTGAAGCCCAAGTCGAGAGCAGCGCCTGGTCTCCACCCGAGACTGGGTGGCGGAGAAGCGCTGCCTCTGACCTCAGTGAGCATGGAGAGGTGAGATGCCTGGCGGCCCACGCCATTGAAGGCACAGCTGAGGGCTGGTCAGGGCAGGTAACTGGGAAGGCTGTGGATGCCTCGGGCCCCCAAGCAAACAAAGCCTTTGAGGGAGCCCAGGGTCCTGACCGGGAGCGATGCAAGGCCCCCGGCTGCAGGGACAGCTTGGGAAGGGCCCCCGCTCACTCCAGCTGCACTTTGTGGGCCGTGGGGAGCTAAGGGATGTGTTCAAGGAATGCAGATGTGTTTCAGGAATAAACCAGCCCAGAACCCCCTGGCAGCTGGCAGGGAGTTCCCCACCCTTATCTCATTGCAGGCTGCATGGTGTGGCCAAAGGCACTGAGCCAGGCTTTCCCTCGTGGGAACCAGGGCAAGGGCCTGGCCCAGCCTGGGGACTGCAGTGGTCTCGCTTGGGTTTGCTGTGCAACTGGGTAGCGGTGGTGCCTGCCCCGAGCCCTCGGTCCAGTCAGTGAGGGTGTGACAGCGAGATGAGCCAGGAGACGATGTTCTCCCTCAGCACACGACTGTCCCTGAGAGGCCACCAGGACCTGGCTGTCATTGTCCCTGTCACTGACAGCTGGAGAGGATGCCCAGGCTGTGGGCAGGGCAGTGTGGGAAGGGGGCTGGGCAGGAGGTGCTGGGACAAGGCCAGGCTCCTTCCTGCTGGCTTCCCTCGTGTGTTGATGGGCTATATGTTTTCTTTGATTAAGGCGGTGACAGGTTTGGACAGTAGAGATTTCAGCAATTTCTGGAAGGGTGAGTTGGTGCCGCACAACCTTGCCTGGGAACTGGGACACACGGCCTGGACCAAGCTGTGGTGACAGGGACACCCCTCCCAAAGCCTGGGTTGCCTGCTCAGCCTCACTCCCCCCAGCCTGCATGTGGCCGCCCCTCCCCTCAGCGAATTTGTCTGTTTCCCCATCCACCTGCTCCCAGGCTTCATTTGAGGCTGGGTCCGAGCACCGCCCCGCAGCCTTCCTGGCCCCAGCCCTTCACAGGAGCCTGCTCGGGGAGCCTCGTGGGCGTCAATGGAGCTGGACGGGGGGCTTCCTCTGCACCCCCAGTGCAGAGGTGGGGAGCCCTGCCAGGGGTGACTGCCTCCCACTACCCCATGGGGCCCACAGAGTTGGCCAAGATGGCCCCCTTCCCACGGGGGCTGAGCAGGGCCCCACTCCCCAGGGACGGGGACTTGTGGGACCAGGAGACACAGCCCAGGGCAGTGGCCGAAGCCACTGCCCCTCCCACCACACCCTCTCGGGCTTGCACTGGTCCCCAGCCCCATGCCTCCCCTGCTCTTCATGTTCATCTTCAGGGGACCCCCTCTGTCCCTGACTGTCCCCTCGCCACCACAGCCTGTCTCATCCATCTCAGCTCACCACTCCCACCGCCCAGGGGGTCTCCCTGCCAGGTGTGAACTAGGGGTGGTGGGGTGGGTGGAGGGGTGAGCGTGTGCCCTCTTCCTGTGCTGGGGGAGCTGGGGGTGTCAGGTGTGGAGGGAGGAGCCTGGTGGCGAGGCCTGGAGGGACCAGCAGGGGCCGTGGAGTCCTGGGCCTGTGGTGCATCCCCCACTTCAGTCTGAACAGGACCTGCCTCGGAAGCAGAATCGGATTCCGCTGACTGGGACAACGTCACGTGACAGCGAGTCCAGCGCCCGGGGCCTGGGAGAACAAAGGCGGCTGACCCGGTGAGCAGCAGTGACCGAGCATCCAGGGCTGCTCGCTGGCTCTCTCCAAACACATTAGTGGGCTTGTCAGAGATGCATGCTCCCCTCCGCCCTCATTCACGATACAAATGCCATTCCCAGGTGGCTTCGGGCCAGACGCACTCTGCTTGAATGCCCGCCGAAGCAGGTCCCAGCCCCAGACCTCAGCAGTCTCTGCCCCATGCGAGCCCAGTGCTGCCATCTGCATCTGGAAGGGGGCAGAGGGGGCCCAGGGCACTGATGAGCACTGGGCTGGGCTGCCTCCTCATCCGGGGCACCCTGCATCCGGCCTGCCCCCAACACTAGGGCCTGACGCATCTTCCCGTGCCACCTAAGGAGGGTCCTAGGGGGCCATGTGCTCCCAGGCCCTCCACGTCAGGTTCTCGGGAGGGAGGGCCTGGAAGGACTCAGAGCCTGCCTGATTCAGGGTGTCTTGCTTAGGTACAACCCCTGCCCCACCCACCCCAGCACCCTCCTTCCCGCCCCTCTCCCGGCAGTTCTTCCCTCTCTCTGTCACCCAGGCCCACGCATATTCTTTCTACATATTTCACTCGGATGCTCCCTCCTCCAGGAAGCCCTCCCTGACTGCACCCCAGCCCAGCAAGCCTAGGTGCTGGCCATGCTTCAAATATCACATACACACGTACTCACATGCTCACACATGCACACATGTACTCACACGCTCACACATGCACACACACACTTCCCCTCCCACAGCCACCATATGGTGGGAGGCGAAGTTTCCATCTCCTGTGTTGATCAGAGTTCACTAAGTGTAGGGACCATGTTTTGATCACCATGGGATCCTTGGCCCCAGCCAGACCCAGGGCCTGTTGTAGGACCCCGGGAAATGTTTGCTGAGAACCGGGAGTATCTGCAGCCTGCAATGGTGCAGACAGCGGCTGCTTCTCTGTGACACCGCGGCCAGGCCCCCAAAGGTTCTGGGTCATGCAAAGGGCAAGTTACCATTTTTTGAGCAACTGCTATGGGCCAAGGGCAGTGCTGATTTGTACAAATCACCTCATTTCCTATTGTTCCTAATGGTTTTGTGAGCATTTTCACCCCCACTGGAGAGTCAGGGAGATGGAGGCTCAGAGAGGAGGCCAGGAGCAGAGACTGTGGGAGCAGAGACACCTGACCACAGTGTCCCCAAGGTGCCGGAGCCCAGGCAGGCTACACACATACACACACATTCACACACACATTCACATTCTCACGCACACATAGGCACTCACAGGCACTCACACACATTCACACACACACACATTCACACACATGCACTCACATTCACACACATACACTCACACACATGCGCACTCACATCACACATGCACATTCACTCATGCACGCACTCACACATGCACGTTCACACACAGTCACACATTCACACACACATTCACACTTTCTCACTCCAGTTCACACTTTCTCACACACAGTCACACTCACATGTACTCACATTCACACACATGCACTCATACACACTCATACACATGCACACTCACACATTCACGCATGTACTCACACATTCACGCATGTACTCACACGCTCCTGGCTCTCCAGGTGCCCTCCAGGTGGCCTGCAGACCTCGGCCAGGCCTTCAGTCACATCCTGGTGGAAGACTGTGGCCGAAGCCTGGAGCCAGGCCAGGCGGGTGCCTGGACTGCCTCCCTGGGCACCACCTGATGGGGGCTGGACCCGCCCAGTTGCTTCCTCGTCAGAACCTGCCTTTCCTGCTGGGGTGAAGCCAAGGCTGTCCTCCCTGCCCCCACGGCTGCCACATGCTCCTGGCCATAAGCAGAGCTGACGGGCCCCAGATGGGAGTTGGGGCAGGCTTTGGAGGGTGGCAGGGCCCAGTGATACTGGGGGCTCTACCTTCCGGCTGGGCGCGCCCCACCTTGGCTGATGGAAGATGACCCAGTCCTGGCCAAGGCCCGGGCACTTCCTCACAGGCCCTGCACCCGGGTCCCATGTGGGACAGGGCCAGGAGTCCCCGTGGGGACAGGGTAAGCTTCCCTCAGGATGGCACGAGGTCTCAGGATGAGTTGTGGTGTCAGTCCCAGCTGAAGGGGGGCCCACCTTGTTTCTAGCTCTGGCTCTGGTGAGTCCCTTTGTGCCTCAGTTTCCCTGGATGTAAGTGACACGGCACCCACAGGGGCACTTTTGCGGACTTGGCAATGTAATCATGGCACGTGAGAGGCTGGCAGACGGCGGGGCTACCCGCTTGCTCTTCTGGTCTCCAGAACATGCTCCTTCCAGGCACAGTCCCCTTGTTCAGCCCTAGACCTGACCCTTCTTCCAGCTTACCCGGGCACCCCAGTTCCCAGAGGAGGCCTTCTTCCTGATTACTGTACACATCCCAACACACCTCCCCTGCCCCTCACACACATGCCCCGCACCCTGTGCCAGCTCACCCGGGCACCCCAGCTCCCCACTCTCTCTCCTCTTGAATAGACACCAGCTCTTAGAATGGCTGCAGCGGCCCTCACAGGCCCACCAAGCACTTCCATTCTGGCTCTCCCTGGACAGCTTGGGAAGAGTTTTCTAAACGCAGAAATGAGCCCACGCCCCCTGCCCTCGGCTCTCACCAAGCCCCCTGGGCGCTCTCACAGCAGGGCCGCCACCCACCCAATGCCCACTCAAATGTGCCCTCCAAGACCTCCCTCCTTCCCTCTCCCTGCCTGGCCCCTCAAAACCCCACACCTGCTGTTGGCCCGAGACTCCCCGCAGTCCCTCCTTGCCCGGGTCCGCCATGGACCCTGGGCACAAGTATGGGGTCGCCTGCTCATTGACAAGCCCAGGGCTCAGTCTCTGATCCTCAAAAAACCCTCAGGCAGGTGAGGCTTGGGGCAGCCAGAGGCCTCCTGCTATGGTCCCGCTCCAGGTGTCCGAGCCGGGACGGGCTCCAGGGTCCTTGCTGCCCGCTGCGGGCTCCTCTTCTGGGCCCCCCTCCGCCCACCCTTCCCTGCATCTCAGGTCTCACTGTGACCCCTGGCAGAGGGGCACACTGCCATCTGGAGCAGAAGGTGGCCTGGCAGGGGCCTGGCTTGGCTTCTGGCCTGTGGTCACTCCTTGGCCACCTATGCCAGGGGCAGCACTGAGCCCCCCAGGACAGGCTGTCCCTGAACAGAGCGGTGAGGATGAGGGGCTCCCAGCCGCGGCCCCAAAGACTACCTGCCACCCCACCTCGCCATTCTGCTGTCCCCTCTGCCCCTGAAGCACATGGACTCTTTCTGAGACATCGGCTTTAGCGTTGCTGGCTGGGCTCCTCTGGGGGTCGCTGGCCATCAGGCTAAAGGGGTCTTGCCCACCCAGGCATGGAGAGGCCAGCCAGGGGTCTGAGGTCCATCCGAGTAGCCAGGCGCCATCTGGGAGATGACCTCCAGCCTCGGGGCCAGGCTGGGTGGGTGCTGAAGGCAGCAGGGACCTGAGTGTCTCTTGCCGTCCCTCTCAGGCCTCCTCTGGGGGTTGGGGGGCCTTTCAAGGATGGAGAGGACCGTCAGCGAGTCGTCCCGCCCCATTTTGTTCCCATCCTGATGGGAAGCTCCGGTGGGGCCCCTCGCCCTCCCGGCGGGGCCGTGACTAAAGCCCGATCCCCCTTCCGCCCCAGTCACTGGGCCTGGCTTTGTGCGCCGGGCCTTTCTTTCTCTGCCGGACCGTGGAAAAGGCGGCGTCAGCGCCGGCTTTGTCTGGCCCCGCCGCGCCGCTGTTCTCAGGGCTGGACAAAGCCGCCCGCTTCACAGCCGCCCGGGCGGATGCAGCCCATTCACTGTTTGGATAATTCGACCACAAAAAGCGTGTGGCCCTTTCGCCTCCATCGGCGGGACTCGGCACCCCGCCCCCACGGCCTTTCAGGGCTCTCGGGAGGGAAAATTCCCACAGGTCCCACAGGCAGGCAAGGGCCCTGGAAAGACAGCGGCTTCGGCCTCCAGCGGCCCCTGCCCAAATCCCGGTACCGGCTCTGCGGCCCGGGCGAGGGACCGATTCTCCATCGGAAAACAGGACGAGAGGCCCCCACCCCAGAGGCAGGGTCCTGGGGCCCTGAGGAGCTCTGCCCTTCCCCTCTCCCCTGGGAACCAGCGCCAGGCTCTGGGCAAGTCACTCCCTCCCTCCGGCCTCAACTTAGTTCTTAGAGCTGCAAAAACGGGGGATAAATCATGTTTGCGTCCCAGGGGGTCACAAGGCCCGGGTGGGACCACCAGTCCCAGAGCTTGGCACGTGGTGAGAATTGGAAAGCCGTCAGCCCTTCCTCCCACACCCACGGGGCTGCGCTGTGCCCCACAGGCTGCACAGGGTGCGGGGCGTGTGTGTGCGGGGCGTGTGTGTGAGGGGCGTGTGTGTGAGGGGCGAGTGTGTGAGGGGCGTGTGTGTGCGGGGCGAGTGTGTGAGGGGCGAGTGTGTGCGGGGCGAGTGTGTGAGGGGCGTGTGTGTGCGGGGCGTGTGTGTGCGGGGCGTGTGTGTGCGGGGCGAGTGTGTGAGGGGCGTTTGTGTGAGGGGCGTGTGTGTGAGGGGCGAGTGTGTGCGGGGCGAGTGTGTGAGGGGCGTGTGTGTGCGGGGCGTGTGTGTGAGGGGCGAGTGTGTGAGGGGCGAGTGTGTGAGGGGCGAGTGTGTGAGGGGCGTGTGTGTGAGGGGCGTGTGTGTGAGGGGCGTGTGTGTGAGGGGCGTGTGTGTGAGGGGCGTGTGTGTGCGGGGCGAGTGTGTGCGGGGCGAGTGTGTGCGGGGCGAGTGTGTGCGGGGCGAGTGTGTGCGGGGCGTGTGTGTGCGGGGCAGGGAGGTGTGTTGGGATGTGTGCAGTAATCAGGCTGCCACACTGAGAAAGGGATGCACCGCTAGACCCCACGAGCAAGGGCCCTCCACGTCCTGTCAGACCTAAAACCAACTTTCGGCCCAAGACCAGCCTCATTTCTCCAGAGGATGTTGTCTGAGAAACCGCCTTCCTCCCTGCTCCGACCCCTTCCCAGCTCCCCGCACGGCCCTCGCCTCCTTCCTCCCAGGAGCTCTGGCCGCAGCCCCGGGCTCTCCCGTACCCACCGTTCTCCCAGCCCAGCGTCTGTCCTTCAGGAACCCCGCCGGCCCCACCTCCGCGGTCTCCATCGCGGGTCCCAGCACCGCCCTCCCTCTCCTGGTAGCTGCAGCAGCACCTGCCCCACGTCCCCCGGCCCCCCACAGCCTCTGCTAGAGGCTCACCCCGCGTCCTCACCCCGCGTCCTCACCCCGCGTCCTCACCCCGCGTCCTCCTCACCCCGCGTCCTCACCCCGCGTCCTCACCCCGCGTCCTCACCCCGCGTCCTCGCGCCCTCACACCTGGCTTCATCCACCCCAGCCACAGATGTTTTCTGGGCCTCAGTCCCCCTCATCCTCTGCTGCTCCTCCCACGGCCCCCCCACCCTGGGGCCCACTCCCTCCCCGCCTTCAGGTCTTGGCTGTGGGGACACTTCTCGGTGAGGCCCCGCTTCCACCCCATCCCTCAGGGCCCTGCCCTGCGCCAGCCCAGGGGCCCCGCAGGATGTTCACCACCGCCCAGCGCTTCCCTTCCTCTTTCGCGTTCTGTGTCTGCACTGGAGCGGCCGGCCCGGCAGGTAGGCTTTGGTCTGTCTTGTTCACCGCGGTGGCCCAGTGCCCACACGCGCCCGCGCCCCGCGGGAAGTAGCTAAGTACTGTTGGGAGTGAGTGTGGACACCTAGTACCCCACCCCCGGGATCGGCCACACCTGTGTGCACAGCGCCCCTTCCCCACCCAGCAGCCTATCCCTGCCTGATCTGTCTCCCTCTGCCTCTCTTCCCCTCCAAGCCATGAGCCCCTGTGGCCCCCACACCAGGCCAGACACCCCAAGGGCCACCTTCAAATGTGGTCTGTGTGTGTGGAATGAACAAAGGAGCAGGCTGAGCCCGTGCCCTGGGGGATCAGTGCCTGTAGCAACCAGAACCAGCAGAGTCCCAGCCCCACCCACCTCACCCGGACAGCCCCCCGAGGGGTGCGCCGACCGGGGTGCCTCCAGGCCTGCCGTGACTCTCTTGACTGAAGTGGGCAACAACCCCTCCATCTCCTTGGCCACACCCGGGCCCCGGGCACTCTCAAGCCCCCATCTCTGCACCCCTCGGTGTGGTCACGCTGCTCCCCGGGCCATGCAGACAGCCATTTGCAGGGACCCTCTCTGGAAGGAGAAGGGCTGGCCCAGAGCCCCAAGACCTGAACACCCCAGACCCTCGCCCACACGCAGCAGCCTCTGGAGAGAGCTCCTGCCCAGCCCGGGGCATCCCTGTTCAGGTGGCCCTCTGGCGTCTTGGTAGCGGCTGCCTGGAGCTGCTTTACTGGGAACACCTAAGCCCTGCGGAACCGATTCTCCCCCCTGCTCCCGGGCTTCCCTGTCTGGGCAGGGCCCTGGGCTGCGGGGGCCGCCTCAGGAGGCCTTGGCAGCTGTGGTCTGGGGCTGTGGTGAGCAGGCTGGGGCCCCACTGGGGCCTGGCTGGGACGTGTGAGCAGCCTCTGGCCTGGCAGGTCCCCTCCTGCCTCATGTGCTCAAGGCCCTGGGGAATCAGCTCCTGACAACATGAGAAGGGGCATCCTGCAGGTCAGTCACCCCATTTTACAAGTGGGGAAACTGAGGCGGAGGAGGGGACCTGCTGGAGGCTGAACAGGAAGGAAGCAGCACTGTGAGGCTGAGAAGCCTGGCAACTGCCCATAGACCAGACCCCTCTGCTGGGCCAGGCTACGCCAGCCCCTGGAAGCCCTCTCAGTGCAACTGCTTTTAGTGCACGGATCACTCGGTGATTCCCAAACAGTGTCCCACGGAACCCCATGAGATAGGACATGCCTGACCACAGAAGGGCTCGGGGGCCAGGGAGGACAGGAGATGCCACGTGAGGCATCAAGCCATGGCATGAAGCCAGTGGCATTTCAGGCTGGTAAGAGAAGTGGCGTTGGAACCAGATATCCTGGGGAGCCACCTCCGGCCAGGGCCCTGTGGCCCCTTCCCCACATGCAGCACCCGCACACCCTATGCCCCCGGCCTTGCCCACCAGGCAGGCATGGCTAGACATGGGTTCAGTCTCTGTTCCACCCTGGCTCAACCTGGGTGAGGCACCTGCTGACCCAGAGCCTGTTTCCCCACTTGTGTCTCAGGGGACTAAGACCCACCCACCGCCTCAGACTGTGTGTGGCTATAAGCCAGTGAAAAAGCCCACATGTCCTCCTGGGGCCTACCTCTCAGACCCTGGCCTCCTAGGGGCTGGCTGCACCTTGGCAGGTACCTGCGGCCCTGGCCGTCGCGGCCTGTGCTTCCAGAAGCTGGGCAGGGCAGCTTGAGGGGAACCCTGGGATGGAACTTGCAGCCACCCTGGCTGGGGACAGCTGGGACCACCCCTACTCCTGAGACACCACCAGCAAATTGCAAATTCCAATGGCAGCTAGATTTTTCACCCGATCTATGCAATCAAGGTAAAGCTTTTAGAAGTTGATTCTGTCTAGAGTGACTCATTAGACATGATCGTGAATGCTCTTGCAAATTCAGTTTAAAAGTTCAGCACGAAGGCAAAATTGTTTGTTTTTGCAGTGATGATAGACACAGAAATTCTGTGGTAAAAGCAATGTTCTCATTAAAGTCAGACACCAAATGGGGTAGAGACGAGCTTGGTGGTGACGCTCACAGAATTCATAACTGCGGCTGTGACCAGGTGGCAAAGCAGAGGCTGTGGTTATTCACCTTTGCCACTGTCTTCCGGTGTGCCCAGTCACAGGAGCTGCACGGCAATGCATCTGAGACCATGCGGTGTCACCTTCACAGAAGTGCTCTGGCACAGAGACTCCAGCCTTGCCGGCCTCTCGCCTCCCAAGCACAGAAGCCTCCAGAACGCTGCTTCAAGGACAAGCCCAGGAGACCTGCCATGCTCATGCGTGTCTTTGGAAACAGGTTCTCTAAATTTTGCTTGTGGTTTGTTAAAAAAAAAAAAAAAATCAGAAGTGTAATCAAAGACTTCAACAAACGAAGCACCAAAACACTTCAGCTTTGAAATGTAGAATTGCAATGACTGGAAACACGGCTCGCAAAGCAAAAGACATTAAAATTCAGTCATCCCTACAGAAGCCGGACAGGAATTGATCACATCCACTAGTGAAGGCTCAGAAAGTGACAAGATTTCATTTGGAAATCGTACCTGTGTCCTTGGGAACATCCTGAACCTTGGGAAGCATCAGCTCATGGAGTTCCTATTAACTGGATAAATTTATATTCTAGATTGAAATGGAATGGAATTAAGTAGGCCCACGGTTTTGCAGCACGTACATTTGAAGAATCATTAAAAATCATCATAGAAACAATTTATTTGACGAGATTTGTCTTGTACAAATATTTGTTAAATATTTGTACTCCGAACGGAGGCCAAAAGACAGCACCTGTGGGAAACTTTAGGCTGAAATATTTACACATTTCAACGCAAAATGTCAGAACTGAGAATCTGCCGTGTGCTCACAAGGTACCCCAACCCTGCAGAGAGAGACAATTTTCTTGATCCAAATGTCATCATCTACCCAGAAGTGTCCATGGACAGCACAGATTCACATTCTGGGGCCGTTAAAATGTGAATGTGAGCTATCAATGGACACTTCTGGGTAGATCATGACCTTTGGATTAATTAAGATTGATCCAGGCCCGGCGCAGTGGCTCATGCCTGTAATCCCAACACTTTGGGAGGCCGAGGTGGGCATATCACTAGAGGTCGGGAGTTCGAGTCCAGCCTGGCCAATTTGGTAAAAACTGTCTCTACTGAAAATACAAAAATTAGCTGGGCACGGTGGCAGGTGCCTTTAATCCCAGCTGCTTGGGAGGCTGAGGCATGAGAATCGCTTGAACCCAGGAGGAAGAGGTTGCCGTGAGCCAAGATTGCGCCACTGCACTCTAGCCTGGGTGACAGAGTGAGACTCCATCTCAAAACAAACAAACAAACAAACAACCCAAAAAATTAGCTGGGTGTGGTTGCTGGTGCCTGTAATCCCAGCTACTCGGGAGGCTGAGGCAGGAGAATCACTTGAACCCGGGAGGTGGAGGTTGCAGTGAGCCGAGATTGCACCACTGCACTCCAGCCTGGGCAACAGAGCAAGACTCCCTCTCAAAAAAAAAAAAGAAAGAAAGAAAGAAAGATTAATTCAAACTTTGAAGATTGCAGGAAAATTGATGGAAACAAACTTTAAAAATAATAAGGCCATATTTTAAAAATACACTGTACTGCGAAATACATAGAGACAGATGGGCTCAAAAATGCGAGTATGACCAAGACTCAATATTCCACATGTGTTATTTTTCAAAGGTCAGATAGTCAATATATTGGCACTCACCGTGTGCATGCCAGGCTCTTGGAGGGGACTCGGCCTAGCCCCTGCAGAGGCCACAGCGTAAAGTGGTCAACACCTCGGGGTGGCAAGGGCCCTCGACAGACTCCAACCTGCCTTCCTGATAGCTCCTTCCTGCCTCCTTTTGACTTAAACTTCTCCTCCATCATCACCTCCTCCAGAAGCCTTCCCAGGACCCAGACAGTTTTCCATGGCCCCCGACTTCCCTCATCAGGGCCTTGCCCAGCGAGGAGGCAGTGAAGGCTTCTGGACGAGGGGGCCTGGAGCTTTTTCTTGGAGGTAAGCAGGAGTCTGCCTGGCAGAGAAGGCAGGCGAGGACCCAGGTGGGGTCTGAGGTCAGGCAGGGAAGGTGGAGGGTGGAGGACATGGCTGGGGAGAGGGCTGTGGTCTCAGCAGCACTGAGGTTGGTGGCCCCTGTCCTTGCAGCAGGCCTGGGAAGGACAGGCCTCTGAAGGCCACAGGGAGAAGCCACCCGGTACCAGAGCCAGGCTCTGACCCCAGCCATCCTGCCGGCCGCGGTGCTGCCTCCGTGCATCTTCTCCAGGATGCTGAGCTCTGTCCCCAGAGCCCAGGGGAGGCTTCCATGCTGCAGATCTGGCAATGGGAGTGCTGGGAGCAGCGCCTGTGCAGACTCCGGCTGTGGATGAAGCTTTATTAGCCCAGGCAGGGAGTGGGGCCACACAGCCGTCAGGGCAGCGTTGGGTGGAGAAAAACGTGACAGCGTGCCCCTTACAGATGGAGCCATGGAGGCCAAGGTGCATGGCTCAAGTAGCTGCAGACTGGAGACAGAGCACTGAGCTAGGGGTCCTGAGCCCCTGTCCTCCAGGGCTCTGCCCTTCACACCGAGAACTGCATCCTCAGCCATCAAGGGCCAAGCTGCTCCGGCTGTCCACAGGGGACCCATGGTTGACCAAGGTGGAGGCCCTGGGGATGCAGAACTGGATGCTGGGAAGAGCTGGCTCCTCCTAGCTCTGTTTTACAGAGATGGGAACTGAGGTCTAGAGAGATGCAGCTGGCTTGCCAGAGACCACAAGGAGGGCAGCTGCTTCCCCAGATGCCAGGTCCCTGGGGCTGGAGAGGGGCCTCTGGGCAGAGCCCTTCTCAGGAGGGAGCCTCGTGGTGGCTCTTTCTTATGGAGGAGAATAGAGGGAGGAGGCAGGAGGGGAGGAAGGCAGGCCCTGTCTGACCATGCAGCTTCTTGTAAAAACCTAAGAAAAGCTGCCGGGAAACTCATCCGCAACCGGTTTGGCCAGTTCCTAACATCCTCCCTGAGAACCTGGGTTCAGGCTCACTGTTGCCGAGCCATTCTCCCAGGCCTCCTGTGCGCTATGCGCTGGCCGGGCCTTACGGTGGGGAGGGGCCTCCCCCATGGGCTTCGTTCCCAGGCCTGTAGCATGAGGACTTGTCTGCAGTCACCGAGAGCCCCTCTGGTCCTAACACCCTGGTCACGGCCTGGCACTGAGCCCTGGAGAAAGAGCGTGACGCTGATCCCTCGCTGGCCGCCTGTCCAGCACCAAGCAGGGATCTCGCATCCTCCAGCTTTGGTTTTGCCTCACCCCAGCCCCTGATGGGGGAAACTTTCTCCCAGTCAAGGGAACGTATGTCCCAAGAGGGGCTTGTAAGTGATAGAGAACCAGAGCAGCCCACCAGAGTGATCTTCCCCCACCCACCCTAGCCCCACACAGGAACGCTCCATGGCTCTCCGTTGGCCAGAGTCCAAACTGCCAGGCCTGGAGTTTCAGATGTCTCAGGACACAGCTCTTCCTCCTGCTCCAATCTTACTCCCTATAAATTTGCCTAATGGAGCACTGGGCTGCCTGGGATCCCACTCTCAGAGGATGAGAGTCCTTAATTCTGGCAGTGCCCAGGCCAGGGTGGGGGTGAAAGGCCCGGTGTGCCTGCTGGGAGTGGATGATTATCTAGAGATTGGGCAGGAGGGTCTGGGGGTGCTCAGAGGCTGATGGGAGGGGCCTGGCCCCAAGTGGGGACTTTGGGCTTGGGCAGAGGCACTGGCAGCCCAGGTGTCAGGCAGAGTTCAAGCTCTGGAGTGGGGGTCTGGGTGGCCCTCACCACCCATTTCTGGCCTTGTGGACTTGGCCAGGCCACTAAAGCTCTCTCAGCCTCAATTTCCCCATCCAGACATAGGGTTATTCCCCAACACACACCCTATGGGGCTGTGGGGAAGATGGTCCTTCACACAGGGCCCATCAAATGTTCTTAAAAACCAAGTGAATAAAGGAACGAAAAAATGGGTGGGAGGTGACAAGAAGTGGTTTTCCAATCTATCCAGAGACCAAGATGCCCAGGGGCTATCAAGGCCATACTCCCCACAGGCCTGGCTCAAGGTCACAGAGAGTGGGGGCAGGCGGCCTCACTGGCACCTGGCTCCAGGTGGCCTCAGGCTTCCTGTTCACACCTACCTGGGGCGTAACTCTAGAACTCTCTACACAGGGCCTCAAGGAGTCTGAGTTAGTGCCAGGCAGGGCAGGGCCAGCAGTTGAGGACTGGCCAGTTTGAATGATTTCTGTGGGCTCTAAACATAGGGCTGGTGTCCAGCTGCCTGGTCCCTGGCCCAGGGGCGATTATGGCCAAGGAATATCGCCTCCCAGGGGCTACACACCAGGCAGAGGAGGACGGGCTCTGGACTGGAGGTCTGCGTACCAAAGGCCTGATCCAGGTGGGCCCTTTGTGGTCTCTAAGGATTGGCTAGCCTGGGAAGGGTCATTCTCTCCCCAACCAGAAAGGTTTTATGGGTTTTTTTGTTTTTGTTTTTGTTTTTAGACAGGGTCTTGCTCTGTCACCCAGGCTGGAATGCAGCGATGCAATCACAGCTCACTGCAGCCTCAACCTCCTGGACTCAAGCAATGTTCCCACCTCAGCCTCTCAAGTAGCTGGGACCACAGGCTTGCACCACTGTTCCGAGCTAATTTTTTATTTTTTATTTTTATTTTTTTAGAGATGGGGTCTTGCTATGTTGCTCAGGCTGGCAGAAAGGTTTAAGATGTCAAAACGTTACTATATGAGGGAAAAATACTTAGACACACACAAAATACACCTGTGTACCTGGGGAGTTACGTCCACATCCCTTGGGGTCCTTGTTCTCTTCACCTGTAAAGTCTGGACAGAAGTGCCTGGAAAACCTCCCTGTGGCCCCTACCTCCTGCAGGGGCCACCCCAGGAGGCCAGGCAGCCCAGCTCAAGCCCCGGCTGACCTTTCCACTCACATGTCTCCCTTACACTTCACAGTTTGCAAAGAGCTTTCTGCCTGTGGTCTGACCTGGCCTCACTCCCTCTTTGAGGAGGGCTGGGGTCCTTGCCCCTAATGTGCAGGTAAAGAAACAAACCCTGACAAGAGAGGTGACTTGTCCAAGGTACCACGGGGACCCCAGCTCCCTTCCTGTCTGCCCCAGAGCATCGATGGGGACCTCTTGCCAGGATGGCTCTGGGGAGCCAGTGGGGGGAGATGTCCACCTCGTGGCACTGGGAACCCCGCCCAGGCTGCCACCCAGGTTGGTCTGGTTGGTGAAATTGTTAATGTTCAAACCACAGCCAGGAATTCCTACCTTTCCACACGCCCCCGCCCCATGTAGATAGACTCACCGAGTGCCTGAAAAACAAGCTCACCCATGATGGGGAAGTAAGGATGGGGTCTCCCTGCCCACTTGCCTCCCACCCAGAGGCAGGGGCCTTCCCGGGCAACAAGGCACCCTGGAGACCATGGGGCCAGCAGAGAAGACACCGCAAGCAGCGGGCCAGCGACAGGTAAAGTCCTTCTAACCATGGCATCTCTCAAAAACTGCAGAAGCCATTTTGCTTAATTAAAAAGAGTAATATAGTAATACATAGACTTGCTAGAAAGCTACAGTCATCGAGACAGTAAAACAATAGACAGATCAATGGAACAGAATAGAGAACCCAGAAATAAATAGACCCACCTATATGAGGTCAATTGCTCTTTGTTTATTTTTTGTTTTTTGCTTTTTGTTTTTTGAGACCAAGCCTCTCTCTGTCACCCAGGCTGGAGTGCAGTAGTCCGATCTCAGCTCACTGCAGCCTCCGCTTCCCGGTTCAAGCAATTCTCCTACCTCAGCCTCCTGAGTAGTTGGGATTACAGGCATGTGCCACCACGCCCAGCTAATTTTTGTGTTTTTGGTAGAGATGGAGTTTCACCATGTTGCTCAGGCTGGTCTCGAATTCCTGACCTCAATTGATCTGCCCGCCTTGGCCTCCCAAAGTGCTGGGATTGCAAGCGTGAGCCACCGCGCCCAGCCTCAACTGTTCTTTGACAAAGGAGCAAAGACAGTCTTTTAACCAATGGTGCAAGAACAGGTGGACATCCACGTGCATAAAAACAAACCTAGACACAGACCTTACACCAGTCACAAAAATCAACTCAAAATGGATCATAGGCCCGAGTGTAAAACACAAAACTGTAACATTCCTGGAGGATAACAGAGGAGAAGATCTAGGTGACTTGGGGCTCGTCAATGACTTTAGTGGCAACATCAAAGCAGAATCCAGGAAAAAAAGAATTGATGATTTGAACATTTAGCTTCTGTGAAGACAATATGAAAATTCTGGGAGAATTTAAACTTCTGTGAAAGACACTATGAGAAGAATAGAAAGACAAGGCACAGACTGGGAGACATGTTTCCAAAGCTCATCAGGTAACTGGTATCCAAAATATACGAAGAACTCTTAAAACTCAACAATAAGAAAACAAACAACCCAATTAAAAAATGGGCAAAAGATCAGAAAAGATTCCTCACCAGAGATGAGAAATAAACGTATTTAATATCTTGGCTGGGCACAGTGGCTCACGCCTGTAATCCCAGCACTTTGGGAGGCCAAAGCGGGTGGATCACTTGAGGTCAGGAGTTTGAGACCAGCCTGGCCAATATGGTGAAACCCCATCTCTATTAAAAATACAAAAAATTAGATGGGCGTAGTGATAGGCACCTGTAATCCCAGCTTCTTGGGAGGCTGAGGCAGGAGAATCGCTTGAACCAGGGAGGTGGAGGTTGCAGTGAGCCAAGATGGCGCCATTGCACTCCAGCCTGGGCAACAAGAACAAAACTCTGTCTCAGAAAAAAAGAAGAAAGAAATGTATTTAATATCTTATAGGATGAGCCACTGATGGCAGACAGGCACATGAAAAGGTGCCTAACGCCGGGCAATTACAAATGAAAACAGTGAGCTATCACGACACACCTATCAGAATGGTCCAAATCCAAAACACTAACAACGCCAGATGCTGGTGAGCATGTGGGACCGCATTTGGTGGGAATGCAAAATGGTACCGCACCGTGGAGGACAGGTCGACTGTGTCTTACAAAGCTAAACATACCCTTTCTGTATGATCCAGCAGCCTCACCCCTTGGGATTTACTCACAGAAACCTGCACACACATGTTTATCGCAGCTGCATTCATGATCACCAAAACTTAGAAGCTGAGATGTCCTTCTGGAGGTCAAGGGACCAGTAAGCAGTGGTGCAGCCAGACCGTGGAGAATTACTCAGCACCAAGAAGAAAGGAGCTCTCCAGCCATGGAAAGACATGGAGGAAATGCTTTTTTTTTTCTTTAACATTTTTTATTTTTATTTTTTTGAGACAGGGTCTCACTCTGTTGACTGGAGCGCAGTGGTGTGATCACAGCTCACTGCAGCCTCGACTTCCCGGGCTCAAGCAATCCTCCCACCTCAGCCTCCCAAGTACCTGGAACTACAGGTGTGCATCACCACGTCTGGCTCATTTTTAAAAATGTTTTGTAGAGTCAAGGTCTCACTATGTTGCCCAGGCTGGTCTTGAACTCCTGGGCTTAAGTAATCCATCCGCCTTGGCCTCCCAAAATGCTGGGATCACAGGCATGAGCCACTATGCCAAGCCTGACACAGAGAAAATGTAAATGCAGCCGGGCGCGGTGGCTCACGCCTGTAATCCCAGCACTTTGGGAGGCCGAGGTGGGCGGATCACAACGTCAGGAGATCAAGACCATCCTGGCTAACACGGTGAAACCTCATCTCTACTAAAAATACAAAAAAAAATTAGCCGGGCCTGGTGGCGGGTGCCTGTAGTCCCAGCTACTCGGGAGGCTGAGGCAGGAGAATGGCGTGAACCCGGGAGGCGGAGCTGGCAGTGAGCCGAGATGGTGCCACTCCACTGCACTCCAGTCTGGGCCACAGAGCAAGACTCCGTCTCAAAAAAAAAAAAAAAAAAATGTAAATGCATCTCACTAAGTGAAAGAAGCCAGTCTGAAAAGGCTACAGCATGATTCCAAATAGACGACATTCGGAAAAAGGCAAAACTCTGGAGACAGTGAAAGGATCAGTGGCTGCCAGGGGTTGGGGCGGGAGGGATGCCTGGACTGAGCAGAGGGGGTGCTCAGGCGGGGAAGCGGCTCTGTGTGACTCTGTGATGGAGGAACCGTGTCGTTATTCACCTGCCCAGACCCACAGAATGCCCAGCGCCAAGAGGGACCCCTAATGTAAACCATGGGCTTGAGTTAGTGATCTATCATATTAGCTCTTCAGTTGCAAGGAATATGCCACATGAATGCAGGATGTTAATAATAGAGGAAACTGTAGGGGAACAAATGGGAATGCTTTGTACTTTCCCCTGAATTTCTCTGTAACCCTAAAGCTGCTCCAAAAAACTAAAGTCTTTTTTTTCTTTTTTTTTTTTGAGACGGAGTCCTGCTCTGTCGCCCAGGCTGGATTGCAATGGTGCAATCTCGGCTCACTGCAACCTCTGCCTTCCGGGTTCAAGCGATTCCCCTGCCTCAGCCTCCCCAGTAGCTGGGAATACAGGCATGTGCCACCATGCTCTGCTATTTTTTGTATTTTTAGTAGAGATGGGGTTTCACCATGTTGGCCAGGCTGGTCTCGAACGCCTGACGTCAGGTGATCCTCCCACCTTGGCATCTCACAGTGTTGAGATTACAGGCATGAGCCACTGCCCCCAGCCCTATTTTTTTTTTAAAGTAATACATGAGTTACAAACACACAATAGCATGGGCAGGCTGGGCACAGTGGCTCATGCCTGTGGCCCCAGCTACTCAGGAGGCTGAGGTGGGACGATGGTTTGAGCCCAGAAGGTCAAGGCCGCAGTGAGCCGTGATTGTGCCACTGCACTCCAGCGTGGGTGAGAGAGTGAGACCCTGTTTCAAAAAATAAAATAAAATAAAATAAAAAAGAGACAGTAATATGGGTGAGTCTTATAAACACGATGTTGAACAAAGAAGCCAGCCAGCAAAGAGGATGGGGTGTGTGAGCCGTTCCTGTGCGGTGTAAAAACAGGTGATAGCGACCCACGGTGCCACGGTCGGGAGCGAGGCCCCTGATGGGACCGTGGCCATCGTCCACGTCCTGCCTCTGGCCTGGGTGCCCGTGACATGGAGGGTTTGGTTTCTGAAAATCTGCTGGGTTGTGTACTTCTACTGCGTCCGCTTTCCTGTGGGTTACACTTCACTAAAGAGTTCCAGAAAAAATAGTGTTTGCGGTAGAAAACTGGAAATCCCAGAAAAGGAGAAGGAAGATGCCACCCCTCATCTACTTAATGCCGAAGGGGGTGTCTGGCTGCAGAAGACCCTGGCCCTGGGCCGGGCTGGGGGACTCCGTCCTCACTGGGGACAGCTGAGCACAGGGCCAGCTGGGAGGAGGGTCAGTGGCACTCAGGAGAGCCTCCCAAAATGTGTGAATCACAGCGTCTTGGAAGGATGTTCTCCTGGCTCAGGAAGCGCCCCCTCGATGCCACTGCAGCCTGGCCCAGAAGCCAGGGGGACTCGGTTCCTGCTGCTGAGGGGGTCCCAGGTTGGTGGCCCAGCCTTTGGAAGGCATGGAGGGGCAGGGACGCCCACAGCCTGTGCTAGGACAGGCACCTGAGTCCCCTCCTGGTGCCCCATCCCAGCATCTCTGAGCTACCCCAGGGTACCCTGCGTCCTCCCAGAGGTGGTGGCGGGGCTGGGGCTGGGTGGTGACATCATGGGTTGAGCTGTGCCAGTTCTTTCCCGACCTCGGAAACCCCAACATCCCGCTCCAGGAACTGGCCTGCGGCGTTGGCTTTGGCTGGGCGCCCCAGGAGTGTGGCAGGGAGGCCCGGGGCCCCCATCCCCCCAGCAGTCAGCCCTGAGGCCCCCCCCTTCCCTTCGGGGGCTCCCAGGGAGCCTGGGCCAAGTGTGAGAACCAGCAGGGTCAGCTCCTCAGGTCCTGCCCCCGCCCCTGCCCCTCCTCTACTGCAAGAAAAATAAACAGCTGTCCCGTCTCTCTGAGACTGGAAACACCACCGCAGCCGCAGCCTCGGCCGAGCTATGGGGCTGACTCACTGCCCGCCCTGGGCGGGGGCAGCGAGAAGGGGCCGGGGCTGCCCTGAGGAGCCCTGTGGTGACCCTTCTTTCCACTGTGCCAGGGGGACGGGAGGACACGTCCATCTCAGGACTCCTGAGCTCGGCCACGTCACCCTGCTCTCCCTCTGGCCACTCTGTGACCTTTGTCAGCCAGGCCTTGACCTCTCCTGGCCCCAGGGTCCTCATCGGCCCAAACGCAGGCTGGAGCATCTCTTGCTCTGTCCACGGTTGTGAACAGGGAGGAGCATGGTGGCTGGGTTCAGGGGTCCACCCTGGGGCCTCATGTAGTAGAGCAGGAAAATAAATGTGTCGGAGTGACTTTCATCAAGGGTGGAAATGGAAACCTGTGTTCCTGGGCGCCTCGATCATTCGGGAATCTGATGATCCTGAAGTCACCATCGGTCTCCCACGCCTCCTGCGCTCGTCCTTCAAGCCTTCTTTCTTTTCCACGGATACCTTCCAGTGTTCCCAGGCCAGCTCCCTCCTGTGGGTGGAGGGCGTGGGCAGGAGGGCAGTCCCTTTTCTCCGAGACCCTTGGTTGAAGCTCCAGGCAGCTTCTCAGAGCCTTACAGCCAGCCTTGCACTGCAACTTACCAGGGGCCTCGCAGGCCTTAATGAAGCACCTCTGTGTGCCAGGCTGAGCCCCTTGTCCTTGGAGATGACTCAAACGCGGGCTGGCCACATAAAGGGAACTGATAAGGGCAGGGATGAATTGGAGATACGCAACCTTTTTTAAATTTAACTTTCCAGTTCAGGTTTTATAGTACATGTGCAGGTTTGTTAAATAGGTAAAGTTGGTCATAGGGGTTTGTTGTACAGATTATTCCATCCCCCAGGTATTAAGCCCAGTACCCATTAGTTATTTTTCCTGATCCTCTCCCTCCACCGACCCTCCACCCTCAAGTAGGCCCCGGTGTGTGTGGCTCCCCTCTATGTATCCATGAGTTCTCATCATTTGGCTCCCACTTATATGTGAGAACATGCGGTATTTGGTTTTCTGTTCCTGCATGAGTTTGCTAAGGATAATATAATGGCCTCCAGCTCCATCCATGTTCCTGCAAAGGAGGCGATCTTGTTCTTTTTTATGGCTGCATAGCGTCCCATGGTGTATATGGACCACATTTTCTTTATCCAGTCTACCGTTGATGGGCATTTAGGTTGATTCCATGTCTTTGCTGTTGTGAATAGTGCTGCAGTGAACACACATATGCATGTGTCTCTATAATAGAATGATGTCTATTCGTTTGGGTGTATACCCAGGAATGGGATTGCTAGGTTGAATGGTATTTCTGTTTTTAGATCTCTGAGGAATCGCCACACCATTGTCCACAAGGGTTGAGATAATCTGCGCTCCCCGCGGCGGTGCACAGGTGTTCCTTTTGGAGAGATGTGATTTGCTGCCCAAGCAGGGGCAGCGGCATGGTGACCGTCATAAGAGCCATGTGAGTGGAAGACGGAGGCTCGCTGGGACAACGAGGCCTTCCTGTGCCGGGCAGAAGGGTTATCCTGGGTTGGGTGTGGGTGAGGACGGAGAGGTAGCTGGGCAAAGGTGGAGAGGTGACTGTGGCTGGAACGTGGGGCACAGACAAGTGTACCTTTGGGGCAGTGCTGAGACACTTGTCCCCGCACAGGAGCTCCGAAGACTCACAGGCTCTGGGGGATAACGAGGGAGGAGCTGGATGCTGAGGAGAGGGCCTGGCAGGGCAGGGCGGATCAGAGGGCGACGGAGCCCTGCTGGGTTCCCACGCCGGACAGCGGGGCAGGTGTGGCCTTGGGGTCAGCAAGCGGCGGGAGGCGCGGGAAAGCCGGGAGTCTGGCCCTGGCGGGCAGCAGTGCCAACCAATTAACCTGTAATCGCCCAGGGAGATGCTAAGAGGATTTGCCTTTTGTCCGGCTAATTATTCTGCTTGGACACTTTTCCTTTCCTCGGGGAGCTCAGGCCCTTTGCAGAACTTTAATTAAAAGGAAGCCGCTTTCTCAATTACCCCAAGGGCGGGGCAACCGGTGAAAACCGCAGGGTTGCCCTCCCCGGCTCAAGCTGATGGTCTGGGGGTCTTCCTTATCTGACCCCTGGGCCAGCCGGGGAACCTTCCACTGTGCCCCTGACAATGCGGTGAGGACTGCCGCTAAGGTCACGGAGGGAGAGGGAGCTCCTGCCCCGAGGTAGGAGGCCCCCAGTGCTTGCTCTCCCAGCCCCTCAGGCAGGAGCCGACAGCTCCCAGGAGCAGAGCTGCACTGACAAGGGCTCTGAGATCCACAGTGAGGTCCCGGGGCCGCTCCCGGAGCCCTGACCACTGGCCACTTCCTGGTCCCCACAGGACCTTTGCGGGGCAGCCATTGCCGAACCGTAATGCTGAGTGAGGTCCACAAGTGTTGAAGGACCTGGAGTCCAGCCTGTGAGCTCCCCACACCCGTGCCCAGCCCCACGGAGCTCCCAGGAGGGCAGTGAATGTTCACTGCTGCCAAAGGAATGCTGTGAGATCACAGAAGTCAAATTGCTGGCTGTTAACACGAGCGAGGCACGGCCGCTGTCCATTGCGTGCCAGCCGCGCTGACTGCCGAGCTTTCAGGGCCTCCTCCAGTCCTGATGTCTTCCGCAGGGTGGCCCAAGCCCTGTTTTACTGAGGAAGAAACGGAGGCCCCTGGGGTGAAGGAACTTGCCCAGGATCAGCCTTGTCAGGTCCCTGTCACTGGTGGCTTCCTCCGTGGGTGTGTGAGCGCTCTGGGCTAACGGGATCCCTGCTCTGCCCCCAGGGCCTCAGGGCCCAGCTGAGGCTGATGGGCTGATGGGCTGGTGGGCTGGTGGAGGAAGATGCCCTCCTGTGGGGCTGACCACAGCTGCAGCCATGGATACACCCAAGCCAGGCTCTCCCCGAAGCGAGGGGGGAGCTAGCCCCCGCATCCACAGAGGCACAGTCACACGCTCAGCCCCGTCCGTGTCCGGGCTTTGACTGTGCTGCCTATGCTGCCACTGCCAGCAGCAGACACTCTGCCTGCCTCTGTGCCCTGCACACGCCACATAGGCTACGTGGTCACGATGGAGCTGTAAGGGAGAGAGCCCCATTTTGCAGATGAGCAAACTGAGGCTCGGAGATGTTAGGACACCCAGATCTGGGTCTATGCGGGAGCAAAGGAGCTGGGCACTGATATCAAGGCCGTGCCAGGCCCCAAATTCTGGCCAGTCCCTTTCGGTGCAGGGTCCCGCCAGCCCCTCAGGAGTTCAGGCTCTGCTCCGGGCTGGGAGAGGGGTGGGGTCGTGGGACTTGGCTGGGAGGTTGCACCGCACGGCCCTCACAGGCCTTGGAGCAGGTCAGCAGGGACTGGGCCCTGGAAACCCTGCCCCTGAGCTCGTCTGTGCAGCACTGGGGCTTCCTGGAGGAGGTGGCACGTGAACAGATCTCGAAGGATGCACAGTTTAGCAGACAGAGAAGGCAGGATGCTCACCTTGGGCAAGAGGCAGTGAGCCGGTGGACCTGGCCGGGAGCAGTGGCCCGAAGAAAGGGCCCTGCGGTCCTGTGGGTCTGAGCATGGGCCTCACTGGCCCAATTCACAGGGAACCTTGGGAGACGTTTGGACTCCCAGTAGCCATGGCGCCCTGCGGCGGACCCGGACTGACCCCTGTGTGGTCCTGCGTGGCGTGGAGAGGGGAATGGGGCGGTCTGCTCTTTGGAGAATGCTCCTGCTCTCTTCTAAGGCAGAATTGGAGCTTCGCGAATTCATTCATTCACTCACGTATCCATTCACTTGTTCTTCCGTTTGTCTATTCTACCTTCATTTGTTCTTATTCGTGTGTTCACTCATTCACTTATTCATTCACTTGCTCATTCATTTCTTCATTCCCTCGTGGCTTCTCCTTCACCCTACTCTCTCCTTCATTCCTTCACTCACTCACTCTTTCACTGGTCTTTCATTCCTGGGTTCAATCCATTCTTTCACTGTTCAGGAGGCTTCGGCAGGTGCCGGTGTGGGGCTCACAAGGAGGGACCTTCCCACAAAGGAGGTGATCAGCAGTGGCAGACGGCAGGTGTGAGGCCCATGTGAGGGGTTTTAGAGCAGCCAGCGGGTGGGACCTGCCCAAGTGCTTCCCTGGCCCTGGGGTGGGGCAGGCAGTGGCCCAGGTATGGTGTTCCTGGCCCTGCACACTCTGGACCCAGCCCCAGCTGCTGGGGACCCTCAGGCCTCCCAGAGCTCCCCTCCCCTGCGGGCACCCAGGGCAGAAACCAGCCGGCCTCAGCTCCCTGGGGTCCTTCCCTTGTCACCACCAGTCAGGCTGGGAAGGTCCAATTCTGCCCTGGGCAGCGGGGCCAGCACTGCCTTCTCTGTGGCCCGCTAACCTCCGCACCTCACTGAGCCCTGGACCTGCCCGGGCTCCTTGTCTGGTCTCCTTTCCAGGAAGCTCCTTCTGGAAGGGTCCACACCTTTCTCACCTCTCAGGGTCTACCAGGGAGGCCCGGGGCTGGGTGGTGTGGGGTCGGCCTCATAAGATGGGTCACACTGGGTCCCTGCATGCCCGGGGTCACAGGCGTACTCTGCCTACTCGCGTTGTTCCCCCACAGGCAGAGCAGCAGCCAGGCCTCCTGGGATGTGGCAGGTGGGCCAGTCCGTCCTAACCCCAGGTGAGCCAACCTGTGCCTGGTGACAAGGTTCCCTATGCCGCCCGCCCTGACCCACGACCTCAGCGACTGTAGCTAGCATGCTCAAAAGCTCTCAGAGAATTTCTGGAACTTCTCTTTCCTGTGGTGGTCTCACTTAGGCGCATTCTAGCACAGTCTACTGGGGTTGGCTTTCGCCAGCGCTGAATGTGGGTAACTGCGCCACCCCTCGGGTCTGCAGGAGCCAGCAGCCCAGCCTCAGGGAGCCCTTGTTTGCGGTTGAGCCCCTGGGTTTGGGCAAATGTGGCCAGGAGAGCAGCGCAGCCTGTGTGGCCCGGGGTCAACCAGTACCCAGGAGGCTCCAGAGCCTTGAGTAAAAACTTCAGGGCTGGACTCACTTCGTGGTTTTCAAATGTTTTTAGCAGCGGGGCCCCTTTGTCAAACCAACTCTTTTGTGGGACCCTGACTTGTAAAACCATCCAAGTGGAGTGTCCTGTGAGGGGGGTCTGAGGGCCAGACCCTGCCTGAGCGGGTCCTGGACACCCACCCTGAGCCCTAGACCACATCAGACATGGCCCAAAGTCCTCCCAGTGCCCAAAAGTCCTCCCACACTCTGCACCCCAAAATGACATCTGACTTCGTGGCCTCTGAGTCAGCCATGCCAGCGATCCAGGCCCCAAGCCCCTCTCCCTCCAGCACATGCGGTGCGAGATGGAAGAGACCCTGCAGCCTCTGCCACCTGGCTGCCCCCCTGCAGCTTCTGCCACCTGGCTGCCCCCCTGCAGCTTCTGCCACCTGGCTGCCCCCCTGCAGCTTCTGCCACCTGGCTGCGCCCCTGCAGCTTCTGCCACCTGGCTGCCCCTGCAAAGCCCCACCCAGTGTGAGGACAGAGATGTGCTCCTCTTAATCCCTTGGGGCCAATTGTCCTGTGTGATTTGGTTCAAAAAGTATTCGCTAAGTCCTGCTGTGTGCCAGGCTCCAGGGCACTCCAGAAAGATGCCCAGCCTTCTGTTCTTCTCTGGAAAGGTCTCCAGACCCTAAGGATGGATGGGTTGAGGGCCTCATCGGGGTCCCCTAGTCCCAGAGTGTTCCTGGATCTGACACTCAGTACACTGTTCCCAGGGCAGTCTTTGCATTCAGTAGTGCTCAAAAAACACATTCAATGGACAAAGGTGCACCGGAGCTCGTGTTCTCTTAGCGACCTGAGCACAGCCAGGCTGGGAGGGACCAGGCCTGGGGTGGGAGGAGGGGACATCGGCATCTCCTTTGGGCTTCCTGGTGCATCTGGCGGGCTCCTGAATCCTCTCTTTATTTTGATTTTTAATTTTTAAAATAGAGATGGAGTCTCGCTATGTTGCCCAGGCTGGTCTTAAACTCCTGGATTCAAGCAATCCTCCTGCTTTGGCCTCCCAAGGTTCTGGGGTCGCAGGCCTGAGCTGCGGCACCCAGCCAGGTTCCTGCCTCCTCTCTGCCTGGCGTTTGCTTCTGTACTTACAGATTCTTGTTTTCTGAGTGTGCGGAGAGCCTCCCTGGCTTCCTCTGGGCTGGAGTTTTGGCATCATCTCACCATTGAACCGGTATCTGGAAAATACCCCTCCCCTGGTTCCACAAAAGCTCGCTGTGTGCCTGCCACGCCCCGGGGTCTGTCACTGGCCTATCGCGGTGACAAGCCGGCCACCACCCCCAGCTGAGGCATTCATGCCGATCAGAACAAACCAGAGGCCTGGGGACCATGCTCAGTGGCCAGTGACTGGGAGGTGTCTTTACGTGGGGCCCGGGGGTGAGGCCTGAGGATCAGCAGGTTGACCACAGGGAGGTCTGTGGGGAGAGTCCGGGCGGAGGGGCTGAGGGTGCCGCGGTCCCAAGAGGGGGCTTGTTTAACGGAAGTTGAGGACCAGGGCAGGCACAGACCTGAGAGCGTCAGAAGGGATTAGGGGCATCCTTGGAGGTTTTGGACGGGCTGCCGGTGCGGCCTGCTGTGCATGTTACTAAGATCACTCAAGTGGCAGCTGGGAGACACGGTGGGCGGAGGCCCAGAGTTGAAGGGAGAGATGATGGTGCTTGGGCGGAGGGGATGGGGTGGCAGGGTGAAAGATGGGTGTTGGGGGTAGGGTTCAGGGGACAAAACTGGGGTTCCACGTTCTCACCTGACCCACAGGCAGACAAGGGGGTCTGGGGAGATTCCACAGGGAGACTCTGATGTCCTTGGAGGTAAGATGATCCCTGGCAGGAAGGCCTGGGGTGGGGCATGGGAAAGGTAAGAGCCACTGGTCACTGAACATCCACTCTGCACAGCACCTCACTCCCGATGCCCACGAGAGCCCTTGAGCAGGGGCCAGGATGACCTAGGCCAGGCTCAGGGCCAGGTGCTTTGCTGCACACGGAGCCCCAAGGGTCAGAGCCGACGCTCACCCAGGCCTGCCGCACGCCATCCCCCACCCGACCAGCAATCATGCCTCTGGGCTGTAATGCACCAGGACCCTTGCTTTTCTCCCCAAACCCCAATTCTGGATGCCCAGCTGCAGCCAGCTCCGATGGACCCTCTTCTGTCCCCTGCTCCAGAGGAGCTGCCCCTGGGGTCTTCTCTGAGCCTCTCTACCCAGGCCGCTTGCAGGAGGCTGAATGATGGCCCCCAAACATGTCCAGCCCCTGAGCCCTGGATTCTGGAGAGATTGCCCTGCAAGGCAGATGGGGTTGAGTGGAGGATTTTTTGATGGGAGGATTATCCGGGATGATCCGGATGGGCCCTAATGCAATCACAGGCATCCTTTTAAGAGGGAGCTGCGGCCCCAAGGCCGTGGGAAGAGGAGCGCAGGGAGATTTGAAGATGCTGCCCTCCAAGTCCGGGTGATGCCGCCGCAAGCCGAGGGCGCCGGCAGCCATCAGAGGCTGGGTCCTCCCCTGGAGCCAGGAGGGAGCGTGGCCCCGCCCACCTCTGGATTTGGGCCCAAGGATGCCGATTTCAGACTCCTGGCCTCCAGCACTGTGAGAGAATAAATGTTGCTTCAAGCCCCGCTTCTGTCATTCATTCCAGCAGCCCCAGGACACCATGCCCTCCCAGCTCAAGTTCCTCAGCGTGGAAGCCTCTTTGCTGTCCCCACCAGCGGCTCAGCCAGACTTCCCAGGTCTCTCCAAGCCTGGGAGCTCCTGGGGAACATCTTGCTTTCTTGGGACACAGCTCAGGGTCCAAGATGGGGCCATCAGAGCAGCACCCCCAACAGGAGGACGCCGGCCCCCACATGGCTCACGGAGGCCCCGCCAATCGCTGCAGGGAGTCCTGGGCAGGAAGGGCATCCCTAGGGAAGCAGGGGGAGCTCCAGCCAACCTTAGGATGCAGGGCATCACTGCACAACACACCGAGGGGAGGCGCGCCGGAGCAAGGGTGAGAGGGGGAAGTTGCCAGGCGAGTTCAGGAAGGGCTGGGGAGCTCAGGGAGGGTGGAGACCCTGGGAGGCTCTCTGGAGCGGGAGGCTCTGCGGGGTGGGGACTGTTGGATGACGCAACCAAGCATGTGCTTCAGGCCCCAAGCCCTCCATTTGAGCCCTTTTAAGAATAAAAACAAATATTTGTGTTGCATATTGTGCGTGTTGGGGTTGAGTTTTCTTCTTAAGGCTAAAAATAGGTGCATCTCCGCGTCCCCACAGGGATTCCTCCCGCCCCACCCAGAGTTGTGCAAGTCCTGGTCTGGCGCTCCGGATCTCATGCCAAGTTTTGACTTCACCGCCAGCGATGGGTGTAGGAAAGGTGGCAGAAAACGATTATGAGGTGGAGGCTGCCCACTGCAGCTGCAGAAGGCTTGGCAGGGCCAGGCAGGCCACGCCCAGGCAGGTGGCATCGACCCTGTTCTGGAAGAGGCATCGTGCCCACTGAGGCCTGAAGGGCGACCGGGTGAAGGGGCTGTGTCTCTGCCTGAGGGAACTGCCAAGGTGAGGCTGGGACAGTCCTGGACTTACTGGCCCTGGCTAGGCTGGTGTGGAGACTGAGGGGGCTAGTGAGGGGGAGCCAGGGAGCACTGGAGGATGAGAAGTCTGCAGGGCTTGTTGGGGGGTGTGGGGTGTGGGGTCCAGGGTAGACATGGGGAAATGATGGTCAGCCACTTCACGGGGTTTGGGGAAGACACTGCAGCCCCGAGTGCCTGCGGGGACAGAACAGTGTGGGGGTGCAGCTTGGCATGAACATAGGGACCCCCAGGAGAGGGGCCTGTGGGGTCCAGGGGGAGCCCAGGGCAAGTGGCCCCAGGCAATCTCCAGCAGGGAGGGGCAGTTCGGGGAAGGCGCAGCTCTTACGAGATCATGATAAGTACAGAGGGGATGGGGGGTTCAAGGAGGAGCTCTCTGGCTGGCTGGGGACAGGAGGGGACCCAGGGGCCAGTGAAGGGAGAGAGGGCCCTGGGGAGGAACCGAGGAGAGGTGAGAGACACCAGCTGAGGGGCCCTTGAAAACTAGCAGAGAGGCTGGGGGCTTCCAGGCCTCAAGGCTGAGCCAGATAATGGTCACAGGGGGAATTCATAAACTGTAAAGTGCTGTTGGCACGTGGGCAAGGGGCTCTTTGAATCTTCACCAGGAAGCGATCCAGCTGCCATGAAAATCCCCTTCTGGAGCCCCAACTTCCCAGAAGCCAACCCTGGGCTGCCTCCAGGTCTGCAGAGCTCCCAGGACACAGCCCTGCCCTCCCCTACCGCACCCACACCCCCATCTCCCCTCCACCCATGGGTCTGCCCAGGGGAGGGGAGGGGCCTTTGCTGGGCCCTGAGCAGGGCGGGTGGCTAAGAGACCTCCCAGGGCTCCTGGCTTTGCTGCCAGCTGGAGGGACACAGCTGCTCTCTGAGGGTCTCTTGGCCCCCAAGGCGGGCAGGGGGAGGGGCTTCCATGGAGTACGCCTCCCTGCTGCTACCCAGGCACTCTCAACCCAGCTTACAGGGGAAACTGAGGTAGCACGAGGCCAAGGTCACACAGATAGACCCCACCAGAGCCTGTCTGAGAGCGGCTGTCCAGCTCAGAACCCCTGCTCTCAGCCTGCTCCTGGGCCCGGCTAGCCAGTCCCTCCACCACAGGCCATGCCAGGTGAACGAGGGGCAGGTGCCTCCCCCGCCAGGTTCCCCGCTGAGCCTGTGTCCTGGCTCCTTTCCCCACCCCTGGGGGGGCCTGGAGAAAGTCCCCCCACACCTGAAGGATACCTGGGATGCTCAGCCTGGGCCAGGCACACCCTTGCCTCCTCTGGCCTTCCCTCCCTGGGGTCCCTGTCCAGAGCCTGCCTGACCTCTGTGCGGGGATGCCCCTGGTCTGCCTGCAAAATGCCTCTAGAACCCCATGCTTCTCCCATGCACCTCTTGACCTGACCTGAGAGTGGCCTCCTCACCCTCTCCCTGCCTCATCCCCTGCCTCGCTGGGCTTTTCCCTGCACTGCAGCTTAGGGACCCTCTTAGAAATGAAGGCAGACCATGTCCTTGTCTGCCACCAGCCCTGCAGTGCCCATTGAGTCACTGAGAGGAAAGGCCACATCATCTTGGTGGCCCAAAAAGACCCTGCTGTCTGCCCAGCCACACCTCTGCACTCCTCTCCTCTCGCTCTGTCCCAACCACTGACCTCCTACAGCTCCTGGCCATCAGTCATTCTCCCGCCTCCCAGCCTTACCCCTGGAACACCGTCCACACCCTCCACACCCCACTCCCTCCTCTCCTGCACTGCCATCTCTGTGTGGCCTGCTCTGCCTCTGGCTCTTCCTGAGCCATGATGACTTCCTTCCATGCTGAGTGCTTGATGATTTATAACACCTGCTTCCTTCATAGTAGGTGTTGATGGTCTCACATCCCCCTCCAGACTGTCACCTCCCTGTGGGCAGGACTTTTGCCAGACACATGGGAGAAGCAATAACGTCTGTGGAACCAATGAACAAGGGTGAGACAGAGCTTCTCACCTCTGAAGGGAACTCCCAGTGTCAGGCACAGAAGAAGAGGCTTCCCCCAGACCCTGGCCCAGAACTGCAACCCCTTCCAACCACAGAACGAAGTCTTCTTGTACTACAACTAAACATACAGCCTCTCAGCATCTCAGAATTGTGGAATCAGAACACCAGGGGCTGCACACCTCCCTCTCCATCATGCGGAGATCAAACCATGCTTGAATGCCTCCAGTGGTGGGGAATTCCCTCCTCCTAGTGGCTTGGCTAGCCTGAAAAAGGCCTTTCTAATGCAGCCTGAGGCCTGCCCCTACTAGGCCTCCTAGGGCTGCCCCATGCAGTGTCTAGAATGAGAGGTGCTGGTGGATCCACATAGCAGTAACCCTTGCCACAGAGTGGGGCCCTTTGAGATTGAGGAGTGCCCTTCCCTGCAGAGTACTCCCTGGCTCCCTGAGATAGTCCTGGTGACTCGGATCTGTCGCCACCTGCCCTCACCCTCCCAGAGTGTCTGTGGTTGAGATTTAATCGATCCCTCTTTCCTGGGAACCAGGTGAGGAAGCAGATGTTAGTCACTGTCTGTGTCAGGACCCATTGGCCAGCCTGTCCCCCCTCTCAGCAGGCAAGGTGCCCCCCTTGCAGGGCTGGTTGACAAGGAGCCCAAAGCCCTTGGCATTGGCCTTGTTGGTGCAATGCAGGCATTTATGATGAGCCTGGGGGAGCAGCCTGCTCTGTGCCCACCCAAGCTCAGCCCATCCTGGGGTCTGATACGAACCCCAGGGATCAGCCTGTCCAAATAGGGCAACCGAGGCCTAGAGGAGGAGTGTGGAAGCCTCTCCTGGAGAGCTTTTGCTGGGCTAGACGGACCTGGGGAAACAGCCTCCTCCCCAGGGCAACCTGAGGCCAACAGCCCTAGCCCACTGGGCCTGGCAGGGGGCTTGAGAGGGGGCTAGGAATAGCACCAAGAGGGGCCCCAGTGCCCAGCCCTCACTCCCCACTCCCCTACAGCCTCATCACAGCATGGGACACTTTCCTCCTGGGACCTAGGAGCTTGGCAGGCAGCCGGGGGTGGCTGGGCAGCCACAGGCCTTGTCCAGAGGGCACCAGGCTGCAGGGCCACAGGTGGGTGGGGTGGAGGGGGTGAGAGCTCCTTGTCCAGAGGGCACCAGGCTGCTGGGTCACAGGTGGTTGGGGTAGGGGGGCGAGAGCTCCTTGTCCAAAGGGCATCAGGCTGCAGGGCCACAGGTGGGTGGGATGGGGGGTGAGAGTTCCTGCTGAATGCTAGAAACCATGGGGCTCAAGAGCAAGAGTCCCCTCTGTCCCTCCAGAATCTTCTGAAACCTTGTCTCCAAGCTCTACCAGCCCCTGCCCCAGCTCCCACTAACTCCATCTCCACTGTCCCTTCAGTTACCCCAGGCTCGCCGCTTCCTTTCCCTCTGGCTCCCACGGTCTCCCCCCTTTCCTTTCCTACTTTTGCTTCTGGTCTCACCCTCCACACAGCTCCTCTAGGAAGCCATCCCTGAGTGCCCAGGCAGGGCTGCACTGCTGGCCCCTACTTCCCTCCATGGCACACTTGGTCATGGAGGCTGAGGGGAACTGTTCATTTGTCATTTTGCCCCTCGTCCTGGCCTGGGGCTAACTGGGAGAGGACCCCACTTGAGACTCAGCTCTGAGACCCCACAATGCCCGACCATGCTCCAGGCGCTGAAGTGCCCAGCACGTGATGGGCACGTGAAGACATGAGTGAAGAAACGAGTGTGTGACTGGGTGGATGCCATGGGCCGTGCTTGGTGGGAGCCAGAGGGAGGGTTGGAGCCGGGGGCCAGGGAAGAACCGTGGGCAGGGCCCCCACCCATCTGGAAAAGTGGGATGGTGTACGCAGGTCCAGCCGGCAAGTGGCCCCAGCTGTGGCTTCTTTGGCCCCAGCCGCTCGGACGGGGATGGTGTGCGCAGGTCCAGCCGGCAAGTGGCCCCAGCTGTGGCTTCTTTGGCCCCAGCAGCTCAGATGGGGATGGTGTGCGCAGGTCCAGCCGGCAAGTGGCCCCAGCTGTGGCTTCTTTGGCCCCAGCAGCTCAGATGGGGATGGTGTGCGCAGGTCCAGCCGGCAAGTGGCCCCAGCTGTGGCTTCTTTGGCCCCAGCAGCTCAGATGGGGATGGTGTGCGCAGGTCCAGCCGGCAAGTGGCCCCAGCTGTGGCTTCTTTGGCCCCAGCCGCTCTGACGAGGGCTTCCAGGGCTGCAGACGCCACAGGGACCTCTCCAGGGGTCCTGCCCAAGACCTTCCACTGGGCTTCTCCTGGCACTGTGCTTGTGAGGCCACCCTTAGGCCTCAGGGTGGTTTGGCTGCCTGCCCAGGGAAAGCAGTGTGGCCTCAGGTAGGACACCTGGGTCTGGACCCAGAAGGTGTCCCGGCCTTGCCCTGCTGGCCTCAGGCCCTTGCCTGCAGATGGAGTGAGAGGACTCCTCAGCTTCCGCCTGCGTCTCCTCCCCGCTGCTTCCGAGTGAGGCTGGGAGGGTTTTCCCTTCTGTGGCTACAGGACTCCAGCTGTGAGAGGTGAGTGGCCCAGACCACAAGAGGTCCTGGACACAGGACAGTGGCCTGGAGGCCCAGGCTGCCTCCCCTGGCACGACCTCCATGTGTCCTAAGGTGGGGTCAGCAGACGACTCGAAAAAGAGCTGGGTCTCCAGTTCTGGCTGGAGGCACTGCTCACCCCAGGGTCCTGGCAGGAGCACCTGCCAAGGGCAGGCTGTAGGTGAACTTTGGGTCCTGAGACCCCCTCTCCTTTGCATTTTGCTGGCCACCTGCCCACTGGGCACTGTGTATCTATGGGGCACTGCTGTGGGCATCAACATGCAACTCCCTGGATCCCCAAAACTCACAGGCTCTGATTCCCAAGGGTCCTAGGGCACCCAGGCCAAGTGGCTCTGAGTCCCCGGGTCCTTCAAGTGCAAAGACCTGATGAACAGACAGGTAGAACCCTAGGGAAGGAAGGCAGGTGCAAGCTCAGACTCAGAGGGAAACAGGCTAGGACGAGGCCTGGGTCACCGCCAGCTGGAGTCCCTGGTTCCCGTGGCGGAAGGAGTCTGCAGCACCTGCTCCAGCTTTGGGCTCTCCCGGGAGCAAGCTGGCGGCTCTGCTCGGGGAGCTCAGGTTTTCCCGTGTGTCTGGCACACGGTGATTCAGCCACCCCTCCCTGTGCACCGCTCTGCCCCTCTGCCCCTCTACCCCCTGACCACGGCCCCTCCCAAGGGGCCAGCAAGACTAGCCCAGCTTGGGGAAAAGGTGGTCCACAGCCCCTCCTTCCTGATCCCCCTCCTTTAACTCCCAGTTCTGGGAGTTGTGAAGTTCACTCAGACGCATCGAACTCAGACCTTGCCTGCTGCTTTTTAACTGGGTCTTTCTTGTTCTGTTGGTGAAGATACAGTGTTGCTCGTCATCTCTCTGCGACCAGCCATAGCCACTCTGTTCCCCTTCATCTCTCTGTGACCTTGGACAAGGTCCCTGGGCCTCTGTGTCCCCTCATGGGAGGAGGCACATGAGTTGGGTAGAAGGAAGACCCCAGAGGGCCTGGATTCAAATCCTGGTTCTGCCTTTCACTGGCTGTTGAGCTTGGACGGGTTTCCTTACTCTCTGTGCCTCAGTTTTGCCATCTGTAAAATGGAACTAGCACTGACCTATTTGGGGAAGGGGTGTTGTAAAGGTCGTGGACACGTGTGGAACAGGCCCAAGGCCTAGCACGGGGCTGTGCTGGACCTCAGCCAGCTTGGGAGACAGGGGCCGTCACAGAAACAGGACGCTGCCCCTAAGGGTGGGAGCTGAGGCAGGGGAGGAGGAGAGAGCAAGACTCTACAGCCAGCTTGTTGCAAGCCGGGGTCAGGGAAGGAAGAGTGTGGGGTGCATCCTGGGAAGAGCCAGCGGGAGCACAGGCAGGGCTGGGGCTCACTCTGCAGGGGGACGGGGAGGGGATGGGCTGTGGGCACCTCAGTGGGTCAGAAAGGACTCTAAGGGTACACCAATGAGACATCCTCTGCCCTCCAGGGCCACAGGGCCCCTGTGTGCTCTGGCCACCAGACAGTGCCAAGTGAATGGCGCGGGCAGCCCTGTGGGACAGGGCAGGGTGGGAGCCAGGGCTGCAGCTCAGCTGTGAGTCAGGGAAGGACGTGGATCCCCCAAGAGAGGAGGAGGGGACCCGGTGGCAGCAGGGCAGAGGCTCTGTTCCCTTACGTCCCTTCTACAGAGCGGGAAGCCCGGGCTCAGAGGCCTGGAGGAGTGAGTGCAGAAAAAACCCTTTCCTCGCTCCCAGGCTGCCTGGGTCGTCAGCTGTTGCATCCCCCCAGATGGGCCACCAGCCTCACCACCGGCAGCTGTGGGCACAGGCACCGCAGGGGAAGTGGGGTCGGAAGTCAGGGCCAGCCCAGGGCAGAACTGAAGTTGCAAAGGAATTAGCCAGCGAGCCTGCGTAGAGATGGGCTCCCAGAACTCCGGCCCTTCCAGCCATCGGTCCCCAAACCTTACGCAGCAAAGCCCACAGGAATGGCCTATGTCTGGGAGCAGCCAGGTGGCACGCCTGGTGCGGGAACCGCTGGGGCCAATCAGAGGGCAGGAAAGCCCCTGGTGTGGGCAACACCTGCAGGGCAGGGGTGGCCAGGGCTAAGCACGTGGGGGCACCACCCCATGCAGCAGTGAGCCACTGAGTGGGGGTGCGAGGGGCTGGCCAGGGGGAAATGCTCCCAAAATGTGAGCCTTAGGGGCGGAGGCTGGGGTCAGGTGGGCCCCCGGGCCAGGCCAGCAGTAAGGGTGAGGCCTCCAGCAGGCCCCCTGGGAGGATGTGCAGGGCAGCCCGAGGGGACTGGGTGGGGGTTGAACCAGAGCCAAGAAATCAGTACAGTCTGGGCACCAGGGCCGGGCATCTCAGAGGCTTCCTCATTCCTGGCCCTGTGGGAGTAGCCGGACCCCGGCGTGCCGCTGCTGCCGCCGCCGCCGCTGATTCACTTACTGTCTCACGGGGAACCAGGGCCTCCTGCCAAACTGCCCAGCCCAGGCCCCATGCACGCCAGCCCCATGAGCCCCACCGACCACCAAGTCCTGGCTCCGGGCCACCCTCTGCTCTTAGATGGGGAGACTGAGGCTGTACATCCAGGAGGGTCGCCCCAGAGGCTGCCCATGCATCAGGAAGGAACAGGGCTGGGACTGTGAATCCAACACTCTTTTCTGGCTGTCGCCCCCTCTCCACACCCTGGAGGGGTCCATTCCCCTTGAGAAGCCCCTCCACTGGGATCTGGGTCTGGGGCCAGTTCCGTGGGTGCCCGGGCTGGGCACAGCAAGGATGGGGTCTGTTTGATCAGCAGTTCCACCCGATGCCAGGCTGCTGGGACAGCGGGCAGTGGCCAAACCGGCCCTGCCACATGCCTCTGGCCCTCGGGGAAGTGCTGTGCATCGCCGTGTGCACGGCTCTCGCAGGATGCAGGCTGGGAGGCCCTGCCATGGCCAGGCTCTGGGGAGGAGCAGCGGAGCCTGTGGCCAGCTGCAGGCTGTTGAGCTTCTGGGGGCCTCATGCCACCTTCCCAGGCCTGGTGAGAGCAAGGCAGTCCCCAGGGCTGTGGAGCCAAAATCCACCAGACCCAGCTGGATGGACCTACAGGGACCCTGAAAGCCAGACCCCACCCTGGTCAGAGGGAAGCAGAGGCACAGGGCCCAGTGGGGCCTGCTGTCCCTTCTTCTTACAGCAGCTCTGGCCCAGCCCCCAGTAACCAGGTGCCAGGCCCATGGCCCTCCTGTCCCCGCAGCCTGAGCCTGGTGCTGTCCAGCAAGGCCTCAGGGTCTGTGTCCAGTGCCCCAGCTCCCCTGGCTGGGTGGGGACAGCCCAAAGGTGCCTGGAGGCAGGTAGGCATGACTTGATCTCAGGGGTGGGCTCTGGGCAAGGGTGTCTGGTGTGAGGATGGGAGGGACGGCCCACAGAGGGGCAGGAGGAAGCCAGACAGCTGGGGGCACATGAAGGCCTCGGGGGCTCGTCCTGGGTGGGCAGAGCATGTGTCCCCACCGGTGGGGCCGCAGCTGCAGGTACATCGCATGGGGATTCCACACACACTCACTTTTCCGATTCCAGCTTTTATTGGGCCGAGCACTCCCCTCCAGGGGAGGCTGCCGTCAGAAGGGTGGGGACGCAGCACCTTGGTCGCCATCACCCCCATCTGGGCCACCCTGACCCCCGTCTCACCCAGGCAAAGGGCCTGTTGCTGGCAGACTTTGGGGTGGGCAGGGGCTCAGTGGGGTGCCCGGCAGCCAAGGGACAGTGCGAGTGTCTCGGTGGCATCAGGGGCCCCAAGGGTCTGTTGAAGCAGGAGGAGCCTGGTTCGGGAGATGGGGGATGGGATGGGGGGTGGGTATGGGGAATAGGGATGAGGGATGGGATGGGGGATGGGGTCAGGGATGGGATGGGGGATGGGATGAGGGATGAGATGAGGGATGGGATGGGATGGGGGATGAGGGATGGGGGCCGCAGCCATCCCCCTCTCCGGTACCCAGTGTAGGTCACAATAATTTAAAGACACTATAGACATTTCGACGCTATATAACAACATAAGTTAACCAGGTTCCTTGCAGAGGCTGCCGGGCCTATGGACTCAGGTGTGTTCTGGGACTTGGGGAAGGTAAGGGGATGGGGCCAGGCTGAGGGTGGGGCATTCACGGTGGCCCGGAGACTCAGAGCGTCCAGGCATGGTTAGAGGCACATGGGCTGGACCACAGGGCCAGAGCCCAGGAGGGACCCACTTGCCCCAGGCTGAGCCCAGGCCCTTGGCTTGTCGGCTGCTCAAGAACACATTCCTACGGGCTTCCAAGAGAACACACCCTAAATGGGGGCCAGGCCGTGGGCAGTGGGGGTGCACCAGGAGCCAGCTGCAGACCATCCTCTCTGGCCTCGGACAAGTTCCTCCCTCTGTCACTCATGCTCCTCAGAGACAGGGGTGGGAGCATCCAGAAAGGACATGTCCAGCTCTGGATCCAGATTTTCTCAGCACTGGGGTCAGGGTAAAAGGACCAGGACAGGGCTAGGCGAAGCCTCAAAGGCACCGAGGGGAGTGCAGGCCCCAATGAGGCTGTCAGGGGGTGGAGGGAGCAGCCAAGTGCCTCAAGGCATGGGAGCTACCTACTGCCACCCCGGGCATCCTGATGTGTTCTCCCAGGTCCAGAGCCCCAGGCTGGGCAGGAGAAAGGTGGAAGCCTCCAGTCACAGCTGCAGGGTCTCTGGTAGGTCCTTGTGCCACTCTGGGCCTCAGAGTTCCCATCTGTCAAGTGGGACAAACATCCCTGACCACTCACCACCTGCCTGACCCCCGCGGCAGCACTGTCCCAGGGGTCAGGCTGGCTCCAGGGGGAAGGGGGTCTCTGTAAACTGGAGGTGCCAGGCCGGGAGGGTGACAGGATGAGGGAGGGAACGAAGGACTCCTGGAACCTGACGTGGGTGATATTTTGATTTGCTTGATATTATTTTCTTTTCTTTTTTTGAGACAGAGTCGTGCTCTGTCACCCAAGTTGGAATACAGTGGCACAATCTTGGCTCATTGCAACCTCCACCTCCCGGGTTCAAGCAAGTGTCCTGTCTCAGCCTCCTGAGTAGCTGGGATTACAGGTGCACGCCACCACGCCCAGCTAATTTTTGTATTTTTAGTAGAGACAGGGTTTCACCACGTTGGCCAGGCTGGTCTCGAACTCCTGACCTCAGGTGATCCACCTGCCTCGGTCTCCCAAAGTGCTGGGATTACAGGTGTGAGCCACCGCGCCCAGCCATTGATAGGATTTTCAAAAGAAGGAAAGACGGCATGGAGGAGCCTGTCCATGGCTCTCCTCCAAGGCCCGGTCAGGGCTGTGTGGTCTGAAGAGCCCCTGCCCAGCTCACTTCTAGGACCTGCAGGCACCGCGTGGTCCCCATCAACCCCAGGCTGCCTCAGCTCTGCAGGGGCAGAGGGCCGGCCAGGTGGGGCCGGGAAAGGAAACAGAGGGTGTCTAGGGGATGGGCTGACACAGAGTACGGAGTTAGGACTGGCTATGTGTTAGTGCCGAGAATCCTCTTCTGATACTAAGAAAACATAAATAATTTGTGTCAACATCTGTCCCCACCGCCCCAGGGCCCAGCGGCAGACCCAGCCTGGGAACTGGTCTGGAGAGGCCAGCCGGCGTAGCTTTTCTGTGTCCATGCCGCCAGGTGGGGCTGGGGACGCTCAGTCTCCTCATCACTTTGCTCTCTGGGATACAGGTGTGTCCTGGACGTTCATTTTCCCAGAGAGAAGAAAGAGAACTTGCCGGGCCCCGTCGGGGAGCACCAAGACCCCTGGCCTTGCTCTCTGGGTGGGTCACGGGTGCTGTTCTGCCGCAGGAGGTGATGGGAGGAGGTGGCAGGAAGGAGCCCCAGGGAGGCGGGCAGAGGGCGTGGGCCCCGGCCGGTGCCCTCCTGCACCTGGAGCTCCCCGCTTCTGCACCCGTCTATGTCTGCTGCTGGCAGCACCAAGGCAGGGAAGGTGAGGAGTGGATGTGCAAAATGCCGCCGGGTTCCAGGGTGCCCGCGGCCGCCTCCGGGCCTGGCCTCACTTGCAGGTGAAGACCTCGGTGCGCTCGCTGCAGGTGTTGCACTTGACGAAGCAGCACCAGTGGAATTTGCAGTTGCACTGCCACACCTTGGTGTACTGGTGGGTGTTGTAGCCTCGGCCGCAGCACATGGTGTCACAGCCGTCCGCGCCGGGCGACGTGCGGTTGCAGAGACGGCCCTGCGTGCCCACGCTGCCCGTGGCCGCGTCCTCCTCGCAGTAGTTGGGCGACTTCTCAATGTACACCAGGTCTGTCTCCATGGGCTTCTGATAGCTGCGCAGCTGTTTGATGCGCAGGAAGGTGGGCTGCCGCAGACGGCTGGCCCGCACCACCTCCACCTGCACGGCCGCGTTGTACTTCTCCTTCAGCAGGTGGCCCACCTCTCGGAACTTGGGCAGCGTGGTCCAGCAGGTTTTGGTGGTGCAGGAGCCAGACACGCCGTGGCACTTGCACTCCAGCTGCATCCGGTCCTCTAGAACCTGCGGGTGACAGGGAAGCTGCTCGGCACGGCATGGCCCAAGCTGGGCCCCTCTAGGTTCCCCTACCCCTGCCTCTAGCCCAGCCCTGGAGCCCGCTCCTCCCCTTGGGCTGTGTGACCACAGGTGAGTGTCTCTCCCTCTCTGACCCTCAGCCTCCTCACCTATTACATGGGGCTGCTAACAATAGGTCTCCACTGCATAGGAGGTTGTGAGGGTACAGTGAGAATATTCAGGACTTGGCAGAGCCTGCTGTACATTTATTGAAGGTGCTTTGTTAGACTCTCACAGCCCTTCAAGGAGATGCTATATCCTGGTCATGCACTGGTGAGGAAACCGAGGTTTGGGGCTGTGGGACCTGCTGCAGGTCACAGGCAGCAGGTGGGGTAGGCCCAGCAACAGTAGGTGCTTAATAAATGCTCATTACCCCACCCTGCCATCTCTCCCGCTCCCCACCCTCGAGCTTAGCGTAGGGTCTGGCATGCAGTTGGTGTTTAATGGAAGCCTGGTGTGCCGGTGGCCCTCGGCGCACGTTGCCCAAGGCCAAGGGGAGCAGGGGAGGCGAGTACACGGATCAGCGAGGCCCGGGCATGCTGAGAAGCCGACAGCCCCGGCCCGCCCGCTGTTCTTTCTCCCCAGCTCCACAAGGGCCCTCCACGGGTGCAGCCGAGTGTTTTCCTTGGGCCTCCCTCCATGGCCCCGGAAGGCTGATTCCCAGAGCCAGCCCTGACCCCAGGTACTCATTTACCCGGATCGAAAGGGCCCTGCCAGCCGGGCCTGATTGAAGATGGGGAATTATTAGCTGGCGCCCCACGGCTGCAGAGAGGCCATTTGTCAGCTGTCAGAGCTCTGCTGGCCTCACTCGGCAGCCCAGCCCTGCCGGGGCTTGGCCACCCTCTGTCCCTCGGGCCAGAACTCACGGTCATGGGGCACCTGCTGTTGGCCCCCAGCTCTAGCCTAGTGGAGAAGTCCCCCAGAAAATGAATGAATGAATGAGTACAAGAAAAAGAGGGAGAGAACCCCACAGAGATGGCTACTGCCCCAAGCAGCTTCCCTGGCCTGATTGCATGAGGTCCTCTGGGGCTCACAGTTCAGCATGGGACATAGTGAAGGTGCTGCGGGAACCCAGGAGAGCCTAATCCTGCTGCAGTGAGGGTCCTTGAGGTAGGGCTTCCTGGAGGAGGTGTGGGTATTGATGGATGAGTCGGAGCTCGTTAGACAAAGAGGACAGCATTCCAGGAGGGGTTCAACATGAGCGAAGGTCTGGAGACCACTGAGCATGAAGGAAAAGGCTGGGCCCAAAGGCTCATCAGGTGGGTGCCAGGTGGGCCCTAGGCTGGCAGGTGGGTGCTGGGGGTCCCAAAGGCTCATCAGGTGGGTGCCGGGTGGGCCCTAGACTGGCAGGTGGGTGCCGGGCGGGCCCTAGGCTGGCAGGTGGGTGCCGGGGGACCCAAAGGCTCATCAGGCAGGTGCTGGGGGGCCCAAAGGCTCATCAGGCGGGTGCTGGGTGGGCCCTAGAGTGGCAGGTGGGTGCTGGGTGGGCCCAAAGGCTCATCAGGTGGGCACCAGGTGGGCCCTAGAGTGGCAGGTGGGTGCTGGGTGGGCCTGAAGGCTCATCAGGTGGGTGCTGGGTGGGCCCTAGGCTGGCAGGTGGGTGCCGGGCGGGCCCAAAGTCTCATCAGGCAGGTGCTGGGTGGGTCCAAAGGCTCATCAGGTGGGTGCTGGGTGGGCCCTAGGCTGGCAGGTGGGTGCTGGGTGGGCCCAAAGGCACATCAGATGAGTGCTGGGTGGGCCCTAGGCTGGCAGGTGGGTGCTGGGTGGGCCCAAAGGCTCATCAGGTGGGTGCCGGGTGGGCCCTAGGCTAGCAGGTGGGTGCCGGGTGGGCGCAAAGTCTCATCAGGTGGGTGCTGTGTGGGCCCTAGGCTGGCAGGTGGGTGCCGGGTGGGCCCTAGGCTGGCAGCCTGGAGCTGGGGTGTTTTCTGCTCTGCATCAGTGATGCCCTTGGACAAAGACTGGAGAGACTGGGGAGACTGGAGAGACTTGAGGGAGGTGGGAGAGGGAGGCTGATGTCCCTCCCAGGATGGCAGAGGGTGGGAGGAGCCCGGGTGTCCTGAGAAGAGGGCGGGGCAGCTTTGGGGAATTGCAGGGCTAAGGGGCATCTGGGCCAAGGTCATGGGCCAGAGCCTGGACTGCGTGTCTGGGCGACCCCCAGAGAGTATATTGGGACCTCCTCCCTGCCTCCTGTCCCTCTCCCATCCTGTCCATCACCCCAGCTCCCTGTTCATCTCTGCTGGGATCTGTCCCCTCCTGGAAAAGCCCTTCCCTCCACTAACCTGCCCTTCAGGCCTGGAAGTGTCCCTGGCCCTGGCCACACGGCCTGCTCGGATGCTCCCCAGGCCAGGCGCCACCCCAGGAGCTGCCCTGATGGTGGCCCCTCTCGGAGTTCCCAGCCGGGAGAAGTTCACCCCACCCCGGGCTGCTCACCCTCCTCAGATGGGCCTGGATGGCCGGAGACCTGGCAGGCCTGTCCAGACTAGAGGGTGTGCAGGCCACGTGGTCTAGGCCCAAGCTGCCCTCTAGTGCTCCTGCTGTGGCCCAGGATGGCTGCCCCTGGTACTGTGCCCTGTATCCCTCCCCCTCCTCCCTCCCCTGTCCCTGTCTCCCGGTCTTCATCAAGGCCAGGGAACCCAGCTGCATGCTACTGCCCGCCTGGGGATAATCGGCTCCCGCAGGGCCAGGCCCGTGACCATCCGCAAATAAAGCCTACTGGGCCGCTGCTTGCAGAGCGAGGGGCCACATCCTCGCTTGGCTGGATCCCTTGGGTCAGAGCCTCTCCCAGGAAGTGATCACAGGGTTCAAGAATGTGCCGTTTCCTTCTCCAGTGCCCTGGGCATTCGAGCAACAGCAATGGTGGTGCCAGCACTGAGACCGGCCCCCTGCCCCAAGAGACCACCTGGCAGGGCACAGAGTGAGCTCATCTTGCTCAGGGGAGCTGCAGGCTGCCGCAGGGGCCGCTCCTCCAGGCCTTGGTTCCTCCTCGACGCTGGGGGCCTGGTTGGGCAGGGGGGTGGTGGACTGAGGGGGCTCCAGGAAAGGGCCAATTCAATGTTCTTTCCAGAATAAGGGTGTAGCCTGTGCTCTGGAAACAGTGCTCAGTTACAGCCAGGCAGGGGAGTCATGGGGTTGGTGGACTAAAGTCCTTCCAGGGCGAGACTGACCAGCCCAGGAGCCTGGCGTCCGATATTCCGGCCACTGGGGCCGACAGAAGGCACCTCACCCTGGATCCTGGCCATGGCCTGCGGCTGTGGAATGAGGTGCCTCACACCCTCTTCCACAGCACCTCCCATGCTGGCCGGTCCCTGCCCCTAAGTAAGTGTGGCCCTGACCTGTGAGCCCCTCAGGGACACAGCACACGTCTGCTTCACCCTCTGACCACGAGCCCACAGAGTGGACTGAATGTGGCCTCGAGTGAAGTTACATCATGAGCCACTGGCCGAGAAGGAGAGTGTGGAGGGTGTGCCCCTCCCAGGATCCGGCGCTCCCATTAGGACGGTGTGAACAATGCGCCCACCCAGCAGGACGCTGTGGACCCTCAGTCAGGGAAGGGCTGTGCCAAGACGTGGGACATGGCCAGCTAAGGGGGTTCCCACCCCCTGGCTCCAGGAGCTGGTGGAACTCCACAGCGATAGCTTCTAACCTCATGTCACCAAGAGAGGTGCCCTCAGCTGTCCGGACAACAGCCCCCAGGCCTCTGCAGATGGACAATCTCTTGCCTTCACTGGGTTGGTCTTGGGGGCATGGCCTCTGTCTGCCCTGCTGACCTGCCTGCCCCACGTAGCAGTGGGGACCATGTGCCAGGGGCAGAGCTGGGGGCCGGGCACTGGGCACTCAGGTCTCCAAAACCTCAGGGGCTGCTCTGACAGTTTTCCGCACAGGCACCCTGCGGCAGCCCATTAAAGGTCACCCCCGCCCCCCAGGGAGCTTGGGGAAGGGCAGCCAGGGCCTTGGTCTGGTAGAAGTGGGGGCAGGGCGGGGGCGGGCCTCCAGACTCTGCCCATCTCACTCTTGCCCATCAGGGACACCAGCCTGGGCCACATGCCAGCTAGGGGAACGGCATAGCAACCCCCCAAATTCATGTCTGCTCAGAGCCTCGGCAAGTGACTTTATTTGGAAGTAGGGCCTTTACAGATGTGGTCAAGGAAACAACGGAGAGGAGGTCACCCTGGGTTGTCCAAGTAGGCCCTAAATCCAATGAGAGTGTCCATATAAGAGATGGAACAGGGCCAGGTGCAGTGGCTCACACCTGTAATCCAAGCACTTTGGGAGGCCGAGGCGGGCAGATCACCTGAGGTTAGGGGTTCAAGACCAGCCTGGGCAACATGGTGAAGCCCCATCTCTACTAACAATACAGAAATTAGCTGGGCACAGTGGCACACGCCTGTAATCCCAGCTATTCGGGAGGCTGAGGCAGGAGAATTGCTTGAACCCGGAAGGCAGAGGTTGCGGTGAGCAGAGAGCAGGCCACTGCACTCCAGCCTCAGCGACAGAGCAAGACTCCATCTCAAAACAAAGAGATGGAAGAGAAGACGACTCAGGCTCAGAGGAGACCTGGTGAAGACAGGCAGGGGCTGGAGGGATGTGGCCACAGCGGAGGAACACTGGGAGCTGAGGAATGCTGCGAGAGCCAGGAAGTCTCCTCCCCTGCTGCCTAGAGGGAGTGCAGCCCTGCCAACCAGCACCTCGATTTTGGACTTGGGGCCCCAGAGCTGAGAGAGAACAGGTGTCCTTTGCTCTAAGGCCCCACCCGCGGCACTTGTCTGTGGCGGCAGTCAGCTGCTTTCCACCCACCTCACTGTGCAGCGGGGTCCTGAGGAAGCTGGGGGGCAGGGGCAGGCCTGGTACTCTGTGATGGGGCTAGGGCCCCAGCACCAACCCAGGAAGGGCTGGATTCAGTGCTTATGGAAAGTTCCAAAGCCCCACCCTACACCCACCTCCCACTGCCGTGATGCCACCACCCTCGGCCTTCTCCAAGGGCTCAGACCACGCTTGTGCCCCACAGGTGCACAGGGTCGGGGCAGTGAGGAGTTGGGGGACAAAGTGCATTGCACCCACTGTGCAGATGAGGAGGTCAAGGCTCAGCAGCAGCGTGGGTCAGCCAGGGCCCCACCGGCCATCCGAGACAAGGCTGGTAGGAGAATTGGCCACTGGCGGCATCATCAGAGCCCTTTCCTGTGGCTGTCCTCTTTGTCTCCTGCCCACCCGTGGGGACCATCACCAGCCGCCTTGTTTTCCCACCTCCTGTCTCCATTTCCCTTCTGCCTTTCCATCACTTGTGAGTCACCAGACACCTCCAAGTCCCACACCAAGTCAGCCCTGGGGTTCACACAGCACCCTAGAGCTAAATCAGACACAACCCTGGTCCCTGAGTTGGTCAGTGTCACTGCCCCAGGGCCCTGCAATGGCACCTGTAGCCCAGAGACCAACACCACCCTACCCGGCCATCCTGGCCCTGGTTTCCCCATACCGCATACCACGACATACCACGACCTTGGTTCCCCATGCCTTTACCTGTGCTATTCCCTCTGCCTGGAGTGCTCTTGCCCGCATCTCTGCTGTGTACACTTCCCCACAAGCAGGGACCCGAGCTTAAGCCTCCAGAGCCACTCATCCAGGTCTGCTGCTCACTCTGAGCCTCACTCTCCTTATCTTTAAAATGGGGAGAGTGAGAGTTTCTTCCCCGGGGGTGTGGGAAAGGCTCTGCTCAGAACCTAAGCAGCTGCAGAGGCTCGAGGATGGTGGTGGTTCCCACGAGGGCTCAGCCTTGCCTTCTCCTCTTTCTCCTCCTCCTCCAGGGAGTCCTCCCAGATGCCTCCAGGTAGGTGAACCACACTTTCCTCTGGACTCTCAAGGTTCGTAGGCCTCCTTTATGGCATGGACTGTGATCTGCCTGTACCTGGAGACTAGTGCTCACATGCTGTCTGTGAGTTCCTTGGAGGCAAAGCCTGTGTCACTCATTCCTTTATCCATCCATCTATTCACCCATCCACCCACTCACCCATCCATCCTTCCATCCACCCGTGAATCCACTCATCCATCCACCCACCCACTGATCCATCCTTTGATTCGTCCATCTACTTATCCTTCCATCTGTACATCCACCCACCCACCCACCCACCAATACTTCCGTCCATCTTTCCACCCACTCATCCTTCCAACCATCCTTCCACCCATCCCCTCATTCATCCATACTTCCATCCATTCATGCATCCATCCACCTGCCCATACACCCATCCTTCCATCCATGCATCCACTCATCCATCCTTCCACCCACCCGCCCATCCTTCCCTCCATACTTCCATCCACCCATCTTTCCATCCACCCGTGAATCCACTCACCCATCCACCCACCGATCCATCCTTTCATTCATCTGTCTACTTATCCTTCCATCCACCCACCGATCCACTCAACCATCTACCCATCCATCTATCTTCCCATGCACTCTTCTATACATCCACCCACTCATCCTTCCATCCATCCATCCAACCATCTACCCACTCATCCACTCATCTATCTACCCATCCATCTATCCTCCCATCCACCCACTCATCCTTCCATCCATCCACTCATACATCTATCCATCCATCCAACAATAACTTAATAACCACCTGCATGATAACCTCCACATCTACAAGAGAAAGTCAAACCCCTGGCCTGGTGTTCAAGATCTCTTCTGTGCCAGGCCCTACTTGCTTCCCAAGCCCTGTGGCCATCAAAGCTTCACTCTGACACTCTCCTACACAACCAAGCCCTCACCGTCCTGGGTGTGACCCCTGCACCCCTCATGTGGACCCAGTTCCCACAGCCAGGGCCCTGATTCCTCTCTGCCCCGTGCCCAGCCTAGCACCTGGCACAGAAAAGGGCAGTGAGTGACCAGTGGCCTCAGCTATGGTCCCTGGGCCCGAGGGATTCTTCAGCTCCACTTTGCCTGGAACGGCAAGTCTGTCCCACACCTGAGAAGCCCCCTAGGCTCTGCTGCCCTGGGTGCAGCCCCCAGGCCTCGGAGCCGGAGCCGGCTGGGCGTTCCACTTGGCTGGCCACCCTATCTCAGGCCATCTTGCCGCCGTGCAGCTGCTCCTCCCAGCCCAGTATCTGGGGCCCTCATCTCCAGTGGGCGGGGCCCGGCTTGCTCTGACTTCTTCCCCGGTGTGTCCCTGCCTGAATTTCCTCCATTGCCACCCACCACACTCCGTCCCGCCCCATGCAGGAGCGGCCTGCTCCCCAGCAGCCCCCGGCTCACAGCTTCCACCTTCCTCAGGCTGCTCCTGCCTCCTGGGGGCATCCCTTCCTTGCTGAGCAAAAAGGCTGCCTCTGCCAGGAAGTCTTTCCTGGTGTGCCGAGGTGACCTCCGGGACCAGGAACGCCAAGGGCAGGGACATGGGCTGTGGCCTGGGACCCTCCGCCACGGGGTCCCCAGCCAAGCCCAGCTCACACCCTGCATGGAAATGGAGTCCCCATCTTCCCTGGGGGCCGTGAGCATCGCGTTGGCATTCAGAGCCTCGGCTCTCACATCTCTGGATGGGGACAGCCTCCTCCCGGTGCTGGGAGGCTCAGAGCCATGCACGTGGAGGACCCAGACGGCCCCACCCCCTGCACACCTACGGAGACTCAACTGCTTCTGCTAGAAGAGGAGCCTGAGGCTCCGAGAGGTCAGCGGGTGATACAGCGGTCCCAGCTACGGCCCCCACCAGCCGCACCCGCACCCTACCTTCCTGCCGGCCTCATTGTTATGCAGGTTCATGAGGCGCCGCGCGTTCTTCTTGATCTCCCGAGCGTCCACGAAGCGCCGGGAGAAGTCGATGCCGTAACGCACGTCGGCCGAGCAGCCGCCCCACTTCCAGCCCTCGGCTTGGTTGTAGTAGCCCTGCTTCTCGCGGTCGCAGCCGCAGTTGCTCAGGTTCCCTTGGCTGCAGGCAGCGGTGACGGCGTGCGCCACGCCAGCCGCGGTGATGGCGTACGTGAAGGCAGCCTCACGGCTCCCTGCGGGGACAGACAGGTGCAGAAGGTGAGACCCCAGGCCCTGGGCCAGGTGGGCTCAGGGGACAGGGTGCCGGGCCTCGATCCACCTGCTGTTGGCTGGTTGTGTGACCCTGGGCTCATCGCTCGCCCCCTCTGTGCCTCTGACTCACCAAAGCGGGGCTGATGGGAGCCATCTCTCAGGGCTATGGTAGGGGCAGCACCTGGTATACAGCAGGCCCCAGGTCACCCTGTGAGTGCCTGGTACACAGCAGGCCCCAGTGCACCCTGCGACTGCCCTCCAGCATGCAGTGCTGCCGACAGCTTCTCTCCCTGTTCCCAAGACTGGGCAGGAGAGGCCCAGTTTCTCCAGCCCTGAGAGTGACTGGTGGGGACCTGTGGAGGGGGATGGGTGTCCATGCCTCTGCTCCTCCCCTCTGCCAGCCTCCCAGGAGCCCCTCCTCATGAACGGGCATTTGCACTGACCCCCGTGGGGACCAGGCATGCATGGCTGATGGAACCTGGGGCCACGGGGAGCATGGGGGGCCTCGTCCCCACCCCCAGCCAGGAACCCAGGCAGAAGTCACACAGCTCAGAAGCTCTTTGTTGCCATCTCCCTCTTGGTCCACCCGCCTTCAGTCCGTCTCCAGATCCTCGGCCCATTTTCCTCACTTCCTCCTAATACCCCTGCCTGACCCAGGGGCCCCAGAACTGCCTGGACTTGGGCAGCAGTCCTCCCTGCTGCTTCATCTCCCCAGCCACCAGCTGGTTCCCTCCAAGGGCAGTCTGGCCAGGTCCCTCGCTGGCACCTTCACTGCTCCCCTCTGCCGGTAGAGCCAAGCCCACGGCTGAGCTGGGAGGGGAGGGTCCCAGGTCAATGCCTACTGGCTGCCTCAGCCCTCTCTCCCCATCCTCTGCCCAGAACAGTGACTCAGTCCTTCCAGGCGCTGCTCACATCCCCTGGGGATTATGTGGTCTTTTTGGTGGCATTCCCTCCCACTTCATACCCAAATCCCAAGGACCTTCCAAGGCCCGGGTCTGAGGCCTCCCTGTCCAGGCAGCCTTCCCAGACCCCCCCCGCCAGAAGGGAGCACTTGGTACCTGACCCTTCAGTTCCTGATTTGACCCAGATCCGGACACCCTCTCCCTGGTGAGCCCTACCAGCGGGGACTTCCATATGGGTCCGAAGACCCGAGATGGGCAGGTTCAGCTCTCATTTCCTCTTTGTTTCCCCCATCTCCAGGCCAGGCCCTGTGCATCCTTCCATCCTGGCTCTGGACTCTTGGGTCCCTCTCAACCTGCCCCTGGCTGAGTCCATGTCATTTCTATGTCCCCAGCGCCTGGTCCATGTGGACACCGAGCAGGCTCAACCATGCCAGCTGGAGGACCAAGAGCCAAACTCCAGTGAGTGGGAACCTCCCTGCCCATCTCAGCAACAGGAAGAACAGGGACAGTGCTCAGCCCAGGAGAGGGCAGCTGGAGACTCACACTGCTGGCATGGTGCAGTCCCCTGCCCAGCACCCGCGAGCACCTGCACAGCCCTCAGTTGCCCACTGCTGTGCCTGTTATTGGGGCTGAGGTGACAGCCCGCAGATAGAGAGGCAAGTCAGGTCTGTTCTATGAACAACTACTGAGCACCAACGGCATGCCCAGCTTTGTGCTAGGGGCTGTGTGCATGCTCTGGGGCCACTTCCTTGCCCGCAGCCTGCTGGGGGCTCAGCCAGGTGGGGGTCCCTCTTCCCCTAGGGTATCTTCCATCAGGGTGAGGACTGGGATGGGGCCCACCAGCCTTAGGAGAAGACCTTGGTAGGCTGTCTGTCTGCCGTCATGGAGGGAGCCACAGCTTCCCGGGAACTTCCTTCCTGAGAAGAACTAAGGGGAGGATGGTGTCCAGCATCCCTCCCTCCCCAGCAAGGTCCGAGACTGCAATGATCAGCCTCCTCTGAGCTGCAGGCAGCACAGCCCCTGCCTTTGAAGGGCCTCATCCTGCCAGCCTCTCCTCTTCTGGCCACTGCCTACCCACGCTGCCCGCTCCCTGCCTGGGCCAGGGCCAGGAGGATATAGGAACCCACTTCCCCGAGTCTAAATTAGGTCAAGATGATGCGAAGGGAAGCCCATGCATGAGGTGTGAAGTGGGGTATTAAACGCCCCGTTCTGTCTGCATTCCCCAAGCACAACAGGGCCCACTGGCAAGAAAGCCTCAGAAATCTCATGGGGGTAGGGGGAGGGGGCAATAAACCAAGAGGGGGATCCCAGTAAAGGGTGGAGAAGGGCCACAGAGGGATCATGGCACCTCAAAGGATTCACTGACCTACCTCCGTGGAGTGGAGTCAAGGAAGGCTTCCTGGAGGAGGTTACATCTTAAGTGGGTACAATCTTAACAAGGAGCATGGATTCGCTTGCTGTGTGTGTGTGGTGTATGTGTGGCTGTGACAGGCGTGCACTCCCGGCCTGGGCACACAGAGGCAAAGATGCTGAGCTGTGGAAGGGTTTGGTGAGGTCAAGAGTGGCCACAGAGGAGGGGGAGAATGTCTCGCAAGCAGGTGGCACTTTCTGTCCAGGTGCCAGGGCCAGCTGCTGGGGAGGGCTGGATGTCAGGGCACTTGTCTGGCCACACAGGCGTGGATTCCGGAACATTCAGAGGCCGGTCGGCACCAGCAACAGCGTAGCCCACCCTCAGGGCTCTCCACATGCGCCGGGCGCACACCCAGCCCTCACATGCGCTCCCATTTCACCTGGACGTTAGGATGAGGCGCGTCCAACCATGATTCCCGGTTTACAGAGGAGGAAGCAGAGGCACAGAGAGTGGCTGGAGCAAGATTCAAACCCAGGGAATGAATTCAAAGACCAGGAAGGCTGACGGAGGAGCAAAGTGCCTGGGGTCGGGGGCCCTGGAAGGTCCTTCTGCCCCCAGCTTGGCCTCTCTGAGGCTAAGGTGACCTGGGGCAGGAGGAGAGGGGGGATGTGGGCTATGCAGCCCCCAGGGAAGATGCTGCCTGTGGACAGTCTGTGGACCTGGGGGAAAGGCGCAGCTGTAGGCAGGCTCTGGGTAGGAGCTCTAGGGAGGCTGAGCTGGCTCTGGAGTGGGCATGTGTCACCCGATGGAGGGGGTCTAGGAACCCCAAATGATTGTGCGGGCCCAGCCGGTGGACCTTGAGGACAGATGTGGATGTCCCCTCAGAGGTCCTGGAACAACAGCCTGTGACCCTCCTCTTCCTGCCCCATAGGAAGGCTGCAGAGCGGGTCAGGGGATGCCACTGTCCTGAAGTCCCTGAGCAGGCTGGCAGATCCACGGCTGGGTTTGCACCCTTGGAGGACACTTCCCACAAGCCTCCCTTCCAGCCTCCCGCAAGCGCCTGCTCTCACCTGGCTATGCCTGCCCCAGGCTCAGACTCAGTTACTCACCGGTTACTCATCGCCTGCCGCTCCTGCTAATTCCTTTTTTATTTGCTTTTAATGAGCCAAACCCTCTGGTCTCTCGTCATGGAGACAAGGGGGAGGTGAGCTGCAGAGAGTCATAGTTTTGGCACAATCAGTAAGAACGACCTTAGGTCCGGCGAGAGTCGCTGCCGTGGACTGTGGGCTCCCGTGCGCCCGGCACGTTGCCTGTGTTGTCTGGTTTAATTCTCACAACAGCCCACGGGGGAGGGCCCGTTACCCCATGTTACAGACCTAGACGCCCACTCCGAGGGCTTTGTCATGGTGTGCCTAGGTGTGTAGTGGGAAGGGCAGAAGGGCTGCAGGCTTCCCCCGTGTCCCTCCCCAAGTCCCTCCTGGGGCCGTGACTGGGCACCTTGCCAGTCCGCCCACACGCCATCCTTCCTCCAGGCTGACAGCGAGCCAGTGCTTAGACTTAGAAGCCGGTCCTCTGCAGTGGGTGCAGACAGCCTGGACCCATGTGCCTTGCTCAGCAGCTGTCAGTGGCCCCCAAGGCCTCTGAGACGACTTCCAGTGCCTTGGCCTGGCCCCCAAGGCCCCAGAGGCCTGACCCCACCGCTCCTCGCCCACCACTGCCTGCAGCCCAGCGTGGCCTGCCTGCAGGTTGGGCAGCCACCTCTGGTGCACAGTAACTACTCCTGAATAAAGGACCTGCTGGCTTCCTGCCGCCTGCCCTGGGGGACAGCAGCCCCCTCCCTTCCTGGAATACCTGCCCACCCTCCCACATATCCACACACTCCTCAGGCTCTGGACGCAGGGAGGGAGGCTCCCTCCTCCCCGAATGCCCTCTGTAGTGGGCACACCCTCCCCTGGGCTCTCACTGGGTGCCCCTCAGGCTGCAGGCAGGATCCACATCTGATTCTTTTCTGTACCTCCCACCCATCGCTGTTTCCCAAATCCCATGCATGAGCAGGTCTGGACTGGGCACCTCCCCCACACCACCTTATCTCCAAGACAGCCCCATTCTGATCAGACCCATTTCACAGATGGGAAAACCGAGCCTTCAAAGCAGGAAGGGATTTGCAATAGGCCCATGGCAGTGACGAAAGCCATCTGAGCTCAGCAGCTGCCCTAGATGTGTGTGGTGATGGGGAAGCTGGATGAGGGCAGCACGGATGCTCTGTTTGGGGCCGGCAGCTGTCCTGCTGGTACACTTGGGTCTCGGGGGGCCTAGGGGCCTCTCTGAAGACCCACAGCCTACCCAAGCACAGGTCTGTACCCCCAGATTCTAGAGCCAGCAGCAGCATCCAGCAGTATCCCTAGAAAATGCCAGAGCAGACTATATTCTGGCCACCCCTCACCCCACAGCCCTCAAGAGCACTGGGTGGGTTTCTGAGTAATGGTCCTGAAGGTTCCAGCCCTGCGGCAGGATTCACTGTTTCCAGTGCAGGCTATCTCTGGTGCCTCGGCAAGTTACCAGCCCTCTCTGAGCCTGTGTTCCCATTTGATACATGGAACTCAAAATCCTCACCTTGCTGCACAGCCCTAGCTGCCAGCTCTGAGAGCAAACAGGATGAATGGGCATGGTACCCACATCACTAAGATGGTGGGCAGTCCAGGGCCGGCTACGGGTGGACCAGACACAGCAAAGGACTCCAGGACAGACCGAGGTGTCTGTCTGTGCTCCATGCAGACTGGGCTGGAAACAGCCTCTTCCCCAAGGCCAGCCCCATCGGCCCTGCCCAGCTGTCCCCTCAAATCCAGAGTATCAGAGTCCTCAGAGACATGTGGGTAAATGGAGGCTGCTGGGTCAGAAATTGCCTGGCCATGCAAGGGCCATCCAGCTCTGCTCCCTTTTCCGTAAGTTATTTGAACTCAAGCCCTCAAAGGACCCCCTGGCTGGGCCCAGGACAGGCTCAGAGGGAGGAGACGCAGCCCCCTGCCCTGCCTCTGCAGTGCCAGCCAGACCCTGATGTCCAGGGAAGGGGGTGTGTGCTGGGGCAGAGCTGCGCCCTCATCCACAGTCATCTCACTCTGACCATGAGGAGGATGGTGGGGACCCTGGCAGATCTTTGTGAGCAGCTTCTAGAAAGAGCAGATGTGTGTCCTGAACAAAGCCAGGGCTTGGGCAGGATGAGGCTTCCCCCTCTTCTCCTCAGGGCAAAGCTGGGGGCTGAGTCCACCCTCCCAGCCGCAGCTGCCACTCCTCACCATCCACTCAAGCTCCCTGCCACTTCCTAGCGTCCACAGGGGCCGGTGCACTTTTGTTAGAAAGCCATGGTTGAGCTCCTAATGACCTGATTAACTGCACGGAGGAGGAGGTGGGAGAGGTACTTGGTGCCCTCCTAGGAGGAGAGCCAGGAGTCTGCAGCCTCAGTGCTGGGAAGGCCCTTGGGGACCATCCAGTGCGGCTCCTCCATCCCCAGCAAGGAGCCTGAGGCCCAGAGGTGGGCAGCATGCTCCCCAAGGTCACACAGCAGCTCAGGAAATGGGGGATCCAGGACATGAGGTTCTCAAGTGACTGAGGTGAGGGCAAAGGTCTGGGGGCCACACATGCTCCTGGAGCCTTCTGGAAGCAAGGGGGAGGCTCAGAGTCTGACACCCTGCCTTCAAGTCCAGACCCTGAAATTGGCCAGCTGAGTGACCTCAGACTGGTGAAGGGGCCTTTCTGTGTCCCTGTCTCCCTACCTGCAAAATGAGAGAATTGCTCCAATCTGGCCAGAAGGGCACACACAGTCCTGGGGGCAGGCTGACCTGAGCTTCATGCCTGTAGGTGTGACACACGACACATTTGGGATCTTCGTGGGCAGACACACATTTGGGCATCCCTGGGCAGCAGGTGTGCACCTCAGCACGTGTCCCTGGCGTACACCTGGGCTGACCCTTGGAGGCAGTGCCCGCCAGCTGCCATGTGAACCTGTGCTCACGGGTCTGTGCTTCCGGCCCACACAGTTCAATTCTCCTCCCGTACTTGCCCCTCTTTTTAAAAAATGACATTTTTGTCCGGGCACAGCGGCTCACGCCTATAATCCCAGCAGCACTTTGGAAGGCTGAAGCAGGTGGATCACCTGAGGTCAGGAGTTCGAGCCCAGCCTGGCCAACATGGTGAAACCCCAGGTCTACTAAAAATACAAAATTAGCCAGGCATGGTGGCAGGCACCTGTAATCCCAGCTACCTGGGAGGTTGAGGTAGGAGAATCGCTTGAACCTGGGAGGTGGAAGTTGCAGTGAGCCGAGACCGCGCCATTGCACTCCAGCCTGGGCAATAGAGCGAGACTCCGTCTAAAAAAAAAAATGACATTTTCTACAACTCAATAATAAAATGGTTAACAACTCAATTAGAAAGGACAAAGACTAACGGGTGAAGGGATAAAGAAAAGGTGGTATAGATACACAATGGAGTATTACTCAGCCATGAAAAAGAATGAAACCCTGTCATCCCTGCAGTGGCACGCAGGTCATCATGTGAAGTAAAAGAAGCCAGGCACAGAGAGACAAATATCACATGTTCTCACTCACATGGAGGAGCGAAAAAAGTTGAAGTTATTGAGGTAGAGAGTGGAATGACAGACACCAGCGCCTGGGGAGGGTGTTGGAGGATAAAGAAAGGTGGGTTAAGAGGTACAAAGATGGCTGGGTGCTGTGGCTCACACCTGTAATCTCAGCACTTCGGGAGGTCGAGGCGGGTGGATCACCTGAGGTCAGGAGTTCAAGACCAGCCTGACCAACATGGTGAAATCCCGTCTCTACTACAAATACAAAAATTAGCCAGGCGTGGTGGTGTGCGCCTGTAATACCAGCTACTTGGGAGGCTGAGGCAGGAGAATCGCTTGAACCTGGGAGAGGGGAGGTTGCAGTGAACCAAGATCTCACCACTGCACTCCGGCCTGGGCAACAAAGCAAGAATCTGTCTTGAAAAAAAAAAGAGAGGTACAAATACACACAGGTGGAAGGAGTGAGGTGTAGTGTCTGACAGCATGCTGGGGTGACTACAGTTAAGAACAACATGTTGTGTATTTCAGAACAGCCAGAAGAGAGAACTGGAAATGTTCCCAACACATAGAAATGATAAATATTCTAAAGGAAGGAAATCTTAAATACCCTGACTTGATTGTTACACATTGTATACATGTATCAACATATCACATGGACCCCATAAATATGTGTAATATTACGTATTAATTTTCAATCAAAAAATAAAAGCTAAAAAATAGTAGGCCAAGGACCTGAACAGACATTTGTCCAAAGAAGGTATAAAAACATCCAATAAGCAGACAAAAGATTCTCAGCATCATTAGCTGTCAAGGAAATGCAAATCCAACCCACAGTGAGATGCCACTTCACACGCACTAGGAATAAAAGGCAAAAAAGACTGACAATACCAAGTGTTGGTGAGGATGTGGAGAAATGGGGACCCCTGTATGCTGGTGGCAGTGTGAGATGCTGGTGGCAGTGTGAGATGCTCGTGGCAGTGTGAGATGCTGCAGCCACTGTGGCAAAGTTGGGCAGCTCCTCAAAAACTTAAACGTAGGGTCACCATGTGACCCAGCACTGCCACTCCTATGCATACACTTCAGAGAAATGAAACAGGCGCCCACTTATATATTGTGCAGAAGTATTCATAGCATCCTTATTTGTAACAGCCCAAGGTAGAAACAACCCAGATGTCCATCAATGGACGAAAGGATAAAGAAAATGTGTTCTATCCATACGGCAGAATATTACTCAGCCTTAAAAAGGAATGAAGTATTGATACATGCTACAGTGTGGATAAAACTCAAACATATCGGCTGGGCACAGTGGCTCACGCCTGTAGTCCCAACACTTTGGGAAGCTGAGATGGGCGGATGCCTTAAGCCCAGGAGTTTGAGACCAGCCTGGGCAACATGGCAAAACCCTGTCTCTACAAACACACACACACACACTCACACACACACACACACACACAAAAATAGCCAGGTGTGGTGGTGCACGTGCCTGTGGTCCCAGCTCCTCAAGAGGCTGAGGCAGGAGAGTCACTTGGGCCCAGGAGGTCAAGGTTGCAGTGAGCCATGTTCGCACCACTGCACTCCAGCCTGGGCAACAAAGTGAGACCCTATCTCAACCCCCACCTCAAAAAACCCCAAAACATCATGCCAAGTGAAAGAAGCTAGACACCAAAGGCCACATATAGTGTGATTCCATTTCTATGAAATGCCCAGAGGAGCAGGAGTTGGAGAGTTAGACAGCACCTGAGTGTTGCCAGGGGCGAGAGGACTGGGACTGATTAAGCCACAGGGTTTCTTTCTGGGGTGATGAAAATGTTCTAAAATCAACTGCAGTGACAGCTACACAACTCTGGATATACTAAAGACCGTGGGCTTGTACACATTAAATGGATGAATTGTGAAGTATGTGGATTAGATCTCACTGAAGCTGTGATGGACACATAGGGCCAATGGATGGCTTTCAGAGGGTTTCATACCCGTGTCCTACTCAATTTAAACCCTCTCTGAGGCCCCATGGGTATGAACTAAGACCCCCCACTTCACAATTAGGACACTGGGCTCAGGAGAGGCAGGCGACTGGCCCAAGGTGACACAGCAGGTGAGACACCGAGCCGGGATCTGACCAGGACCCCAGAGTTTGTGCTCAGCCCACTCCACACCCACCGGGACAGGGAAAGCTGCAAAGTCTGCCTTGTGCCTCACTGACCTGGACGCCACGCTTGCCTGTGCCAGCCTCTTGACACTCTACACACGCGCGACACTGCCTGTAACACTCACGTTATTGCCACCTGTGTGTCCCTGGCACCAAGTACAGCCTCCCTCCTGGCTGGACCTCCCAGAATCCCAGGGGTGAGGCTCTCAGCCTCCCATCCATCAAGTAGTTGCCCAAGGTCAAGTGCAAGGCCGAGCACACAGCAGGGCAGAACCAACACACTGAACCCGGGGAGCAGACAGGCTGGGAGCGGCTCACAGACAGTGCCGCCAGAGGCCAGGGGTCAGAGCCACAGAGGAGCCAGCAGGGTAGGGTGGCTGGAGGGACTGGGGTGCAGGGTGGCCAATGAGTGCTCCTCTCAGGAAGGGATGCTGAAGGTGGGTCCCAAAGGATGGGAGAGGTGAGGAACACAGGTTCAGGGAACAGTGCTCCAGGCAGAGGGAACAGCAATGCAAAGACCCTGAGGTGAGAATGAGCTGAGCATGAGTGGTTTGTCCCAGCAGAGATCAGTGATGATGAAGTCGGGGACGGCCCTTGGGGGCTGTACCATGTTGCCCTCAGAGAAGACCTTGGACTTTGTTCTGAAAAGATGGAAGCCCCTGGAAGGTGTCACTTTGACTTACATTGAAAGGGACCCTCCACCCCACCCACCGGGAGGCCTGTGCAAGGGTTTGGGTAAGAAATGCTGATGACCCGCCAGGTAGAGGAGGTGAAAAGCTGCCAGGTCTCAGAGTCTCAGCGTAGAGCTAACGGGATTAGCAAGTGGATCGGGTGAGGGGGTTTAGGGAGGAAAGAGTGCAGAAGGGCCGGGCGCGGTGGCTCACGCCTGTAATCCCGGCACCTTGGGAGGCTAAGGCGGGCGGATCACCTGAGATCAGGGGTTTGAGACCAGCCTGGCCAACATGGCGAAACCCCGTCTGTACTAAAAATTACAAAAATTAGTCTGGTGTGGTGGCAGGGGCCTGTAATCCCAGCTACTCGGGAAGCTGAGCCAGCAGAATCACTTGAACCCAGGAGATGAAGGTTGCAGTGAGCTGAGATCGCGTCAGTGCACTCCAGCCTGGGTGACACTCCAGCCTTTGTCTCAAAAAAAAAAAAAAAAAAAAGAGTGCAGACTCTTCTGCAGTGAGGACCCCAATGCAGTGAGGGCAGCTGGTGGGGGGCTGTTACCAGGAAGCTGGACAGGATCAAGTGGAAAGAGTTGCCTCGGCCACGGGTGGCTTAAGGTGCCCAGGGATGGCAGGAGAGAGGCGAGGGGCAGGTGGGAACTCAAGCCTGGCCCCGCGAAGATGTCCCAGCATTGCCCAGCCCCCACCTCCCGGGGCCAACTCCCCATGGAACTGGGGCTTGTGCTCCGTGACCCTGGCCAAGGCCGTCACTCCTCGAGCCTCAGCTTCCCATTACCATGGGATGAGGCCTGGTGTCGTGGGTTCTTTAAAATCCCTTTAGCAGGGGAGCTTTTGTGAGATAGACTTCCCTGAAGAATAGGTCAGGGGAGGACTGCTGGGGCTGAGGTAGGGTAGGGATGCAGGGTGGGGTGGGGTCCCTGAGGCCTGGCTGGGGAGGGGTCCCTGGGACACGGCTGGCTGGGGAGCTCCTTGGTTTTCTGAGCCCCCATCTGCCCCCTACCCCACCTGATTCCCAGGCTCTTCACAGCCTAGAGCTGGATGGGGAGTACTGTCCCCGCCTCCCCAGTTTACTGGTGTAGAGATTGAGACCAAGGGAGGTGAGGAGACACCCCCGGGCCACATCCGCAGCTCCTGGTGTTACCCGGCCCAGCTGGTGTGGCACCCGTGTCCAGGCTGGGGGTCTCGGTCTAGACAGGACTCAAAGTGGCTGTTGGGCACAGAAGCTGGAAGAGAAGCTCAGGGCCCAGGTGGGGCCCCACAATGGCCCCCTGTGGCTGTCCACACCCCAGCCTGCCCTTTGACCCTAGCCAGGGCTCAGTCCCAGGGGGACAACTCACTGCCTGAGCTAGTCTGGGATCTGCATCCCTGACACACACAGAGCTCAGGCTGGGGACATCGGGGTGGAGGCAGAGACCAAGGCACAGGCAGAGAAGCCTCCAGGCCACGGCTTGGCCCCAATCCCTGCTTGTGCAGTTGAAGGATCAGAAGCCCAGAGCCCTCGCCTGCCTGGCCCTGCTGCAATCCTGACCTGGACCAGCCGGGGCCAAGGTGCACTCTGGCCAGGGAGGGCTGGACAGGCTGCCTCACACCCTGCACCTAATTCTGCGGCTTACACGAAGGTGATAGCAGCACGCACCTCATGGGGTCCTACGTGGATGAGTTGAGGCAGTGGAGGGCTCAGGACGGGTAGGAACATAAAAGTGCTGGATGCGTCTGGGCCGCTTTTATTAATATTACCCGTCTCCAAGCAGGCCTGGACCCTGGGCCTCATGGTCCTGGCCTGGGTGCAGCCTGAGTGGGTGCTGTGTGTGTGTGTGTGCGTGTGTGCATGTATGTGCGTGTGTGTGCGCGCGTGTGTGCAGTGTGCACGTGTGTGCATGTGTGTAGGCGTGTATGTGTGCAGTGTGCATGTGTGTGTGCGTGTGTGCAGTGTGCATGTGTGTAGGCGTGTATGTGTGCAGTGTGCATGTGTATGTGTGTGCGCGTGTGTGCAGCATGCATGTGTGTGCAGTGTGCACATGTGTGCACGTGTGTGCGTGTGTTTGTGTGTGTGCATGTGTGTGTGTGCCAGGTGTACTGCTGTATGTCTCTCCACACATCTCTGTCCTTCCCCCCCTGTTTCTCCCTCTCCCTCTGGGTCCCTTGGTCCCTCTCTGTCCCTCTGTCTCTCTCCAGCCCCACCCGGACCCCACCCGGGCTCGGGCTGAGTCAGCGTCTCCACACTAAGCTCTTCCCTGCCGTTGTCATAAACAGATCATTGGAAAAAGTCATGCCAGGTCCAAACACGCCGGCGCCCGTGCGCCCGAGGCCTTTGTTCCGACCCAGCGGAGGCCCTCACACGCCAAGCGGCAGGCCCCCAGGTGGGGACAGCAGGCTCCGAGTGGGAAGGACCTGGCCTTCCGGGAGTTTTCCCCAGCCCTGAGGTGCTCGGGGAGCCCAGGAGGCCCCTCCTGTGTCCAGCCCAGGGTGGCCTGCCCTCGGGAGTGCTCTGGCAAAGCCAGCAACTGCCTGTGTGAGGTGGCACAGAGACCCCTTCCTCCCCGGGGCTGCCCCAGGGCCTCTCAGCACCTGGATCCTGGCGGGCGGTTCCCTGAGAGCCTGCGGGCTTCTCTGGCCCTTGGGGGCAACATGGCCTTGGGTAAGCCACATGGTCTCCTTGGGAGCCTCAGTCTCCCCATCTGTGATGTGTAGACAACAGGACCTGAGGCGGTCATGTGACAGGGCCCAGCCCAGGCGGGGGCTACCGACATGAAAGAAATGACCCTCCTGAAAAGGCGGCAGGAGTTGGGCTGAGTAATGGCTGAGGGCCGGGCTGCTGTGCCCCTGTGAGGCCGAGGGAGGGGCCCTACCCACCCCGGGGTCTGTGTCCTGCCTCAGTGGCCCAGGGCTCTGGAGCCTTTGCCCACGGAACCCACGTGGGAAGCTCTGCGGGGACCTCCATGTCCCCATTCTGAGGAGAAACCCCAAATCCTGGCAGAGTCCCAGCCCCCACCTCGGCCCCTCATGAGGCAGGTGGGGCATCAAGGTCCCCAGGGCACCAGGCTGCACCCAGGGTAACACAGTGGGACCCGGGCAGATAGGGCCTGTGTCCTTGGCCATAGCCTCTCTGCAGCCAGACTCCATCCCCACTCCACTCTTGTCCGTCTCTCAGGGCTCCGCTGGGGAGGATGGAAAATTCCCAACTTGCATGAGTTCCAGGTGGCCTCGGAGGGGCCATGTGGAAGGACTGGGACTGGAGGACCAGCAGCCGCCTAGCCCACAGGGCCTCCATGCCACCCCCAGGAAGGGCCACAGCCCTGCCACTGCCATAGCCCCTCAGGCTCCGTCCTCCCAGGAGCCTGTGAGCTGCCTTCCCGGGGAGGGGCAGCCCCGGCCTCGTCCCACCCTGAGCCAGGAGTGGGCTTGGGCAGCTTCGCCGCTAGGAAAGTCTTTCTGACCCTGACCTTCAAGGCCCCAGTTGTCCGTACAGTCCTGGCTGCCTGGCCCCTGAGCCTCAGAAATGTCTGTTGAGCTGCCTTGGGCTGGGCCCCTGAGATGAGGGTGGAGGTGGGGAGTGACCAGGGTCGTCAGCCTGGGGCCTGCAGACCACCAAGGTGTGGCCAGCACGAGACTGGGCCCAGCAGGCATTGCCTCCCGGCCTGGCCCCATTGGCCTGTGCTCACCCATCGTGTCCTGGGTGCAAGCCCTGGCCTGGCATACAGCAGACACTCAAGGAATGCAGGCTGATGAACAACCAGGCCTGATGAAGGTGGCTGCCCTCCCACCCCCGCGCTGACTGTCCTCCGAAAACGGCTGCTCAGTGACCCTCTACCCTCAGACTGCCCCACCCCACACTGGAGGACAGTGTCCTGGGAGTGACAGTCAGATCCAGGTTCAATTGTCCCGTCTGCCCCTGACCAGATGACTTTGGGCCACCCCCTCCTGTCCCCTATGGGTGCAGCACCGCTCAACGGAAGGTTCAGGTGAGCCGCAGGTGTCCGCTGAAATTTTCTAGTAGCCACATTAAGAAAAGTGAAAATAATTTTGGTGAACTTAATTTTTTTTTTTTGAGACGGAGATTCACTCTTGTTGCCCAGGCTGGACTGCAGTGGCGTGATCTTGGCTCACTGCAACCTCCACCACCCGGGTTCAAGTGATTCTCCTGCCTCAGCCTCCTGAGTAGCTGGGAGTACAGGCATGTGCCACCACACTCAGCTAATTTTGAATTTTTAGTAGAGATGGGGCTTCACCACGTTAGGCTGGTCTCAAACTCCTGACTTCAAGTGATCCACCCGCCTCAGCTTCCCAAAGTGCTGGAATTACAAGTGTGAGCCACCATGCCTGGCTGGTGAACTTAATTTTGATAGTATATTTTATTTAGCCAATATATCCAAAATCTTACCATCTCAATATGTAATCAGTAGAAGAGTTATTCAAGAGATACTGTATTTGCTTTGGGGATTTGAGTCTTCAAAATCCATGCATATCTTACACTTACGGCACATGTCGGTTGGTCCACACCATATTACAAACACTTCCCTGCCAGAGGTGGCTTGGGGTCACCAGAGTGAACAAGTGAAGAATCCAGCCCTCGAGACCTCGTCCCTGCTGGGGGTCACTGGGCCTGGCCTGCAAAGCCCCGCAGGGCGGCAGGTGCACCTGGCCCGGGAGTCACCCTCTCACCACACGACCCCTGGCCTCTCAGATACCCCGAGATGGGTCCCTTGGCCCCTCAGGCTGTCCAGCAGCCAACAGCCCTTGCTGAGCCCCTGCTGTGTGCAGCCCAGGAAGACACTCCCCACGCAGAGCTCGCCCCCAAAGCAAACAGGAGCGGGTGACAGCTGTGCTGGTGTCCCGGGCCGCTCACGTGAGCATGGATTAGGGGCAGTCTCTATGCCTGGTCATGTCTGAGGCTAGCACATGATGGGCAGGACTCAGCATTCCCTGGCAGCTCAAGGGTGGGGCTAGGGGGCCCAAGAGCACGCAGTCGCTGCCCCAGGCCCAGGCCCGTGGTCCTGGGGGACTCTGGGCTCTAGGGGGATGGGGGCGGCGCAGTGGTTGGAAGGAAGCAGCCTGCAGAGGGAAGCCCTCACCTGCTCAGAATCTCCTATGCCTTCTGGACCCTCCAGAGCTTCACTGGTACTCCAGCCCTGCCCTCACCCTCCAGCCTCTCCTGTTAGCCCTGGAAGCTCCTGTCATTCCTGCAAAAGTGCTCTCGGCTTTCTGGCCCCAGAGCCTCAGCAGATGCTGTTCCGTCCACCTGGCACCCCCTTCCCTGCGCTCACCTCCAGTCTGGCCTGGGTCACCCCCTCCGGGAAGCCCTTGCTGACATCCCTGATTCGATGATAGTGCCTGGTTGAAACTCCCTGCCTTGTTGGGGGGCCCCAGGTTTCCAACAGACTTTCCTGGGATACGAGGTTCTCCTGATGCTCACGCTGCCCCTTCGTTCTCCTGCCCCCACCGTGGCAGAACACTGCTCGGCTGGGGACAGTCACCTCTAAGCTCATTTCCAGTCAACAGAAGACACAAGAGACAAGCCTCTCTCGACACATGAGGAATAGGCCTGGGATGGGCTCAGGAGGCCTCCAGGCACGAGGGGGACCACAGCAGTGGAGGGGGGCCTAGTGTGAGCCTTGACCCTCTGAGGCGAGCAGAGCAACTGGAACCCAGGGGCCCAGGGCAAAGCCAGCACAGGGTCCTTAGAAGAAACCATCTGTCTAATGGGGAGAAGTGAGCGCCCCATCCCCAGAGGCATACAAGCACCCACACCAGGTGATGGAAAAGGGATTGGAACTTTGCACAGGGGATTGATTTGCCCTTTTAAGGGGTACCCTTTCAGCCCTCGAGATTTAGGCACAGCCCAAGGTCAACGCCTGAAAGGGGCTGTCCCACCCACACAGGCCAAGCCCCTTCTCAGGGCCAATCATTAATTGGCACTGCTTGAGTGGCTGTTCCCACGAGTGTCCTGGCAGCCTGCCAACCTATGGCCCAGCTCCCAGCCCATGCCAGGGCACCCAGCTGGCCTCGGACATGGCTGGCCTCCCTGATCAGCCCCTCTTCCTGCTCATGACTCCCCGCAGCTGAGCCCTGGAAGGGGAACGGGGCCTGGCGTGCTTGGGGAGGAGAGAGGAGTCAGATACGCCCGAAGCTCTGATTCTCAGAAGGGATGTGGGGAACCAGGGTGAATATGGGAGGCAGCTACTGAGATTCCCGGCTAAGAAGTTCACTTTATCCTGAGGCCATAAGGAGCTACTGCAGGTTTTGGAGGAAGAGCTTCTGTTTAACTCAGCAACTAGGGCTGGTGTGGGCAGGAGGCAGTGACAGCTGCCAGGGGAGGGCCAGAAAAGCAGACCATGCTGCAGCCATAGGGCAGAGCCCTGAGGTGTATGGGGAAATGATACCAGGTTTCTGCTGAGACAACTGGCCGGGAGAAAGCTGGGGACAGGAGATTTAAGTAACGGGTGCTGAGTGTGTCAGGCCAGAGGTTCGCATGGGTCGCAGGGAATGGAAGCCATGAGCAGGAGTGAGCCTGCGGCCAATAGGGCAGAGCGGGGCGAGGGGGCCAAGGTGCACCTGGAGGAGCTGCCACTTCCCAGCTGGGACTGGGCAGAGAAGTCCAGGCTACAAGCCGGGGCCCAGAAGCCAGGGAAGAAGGGGAAAAGTTGACACCAGGAAGGTCACAAGCGGCCCAGACCAAGAGCAGTAGGGGCGATCAAGGGTGTGAGGTGAGGATGGTGGGTGTGGACAGCTCTGCCAAAATGTTTGCTTCTGAAACGCTCGGGAAAGCAACAGGGGTGTCTTAGGTGGGCTCCCTAGCAGAAGAGACTGAGACGGGATGCAGCGCTCCCAGGATCGAGGAACAGGACAGGACACACAGCCATATGCCACACAGCCTGATCCCCAGGCGAGCTCGGGGACCCCACAGTGATGCCCAGGGTGGCCCACACGTCCCTCACCCCATGTCTCATGGTCCCAAATAAAGTCCAAGCTCCCAGCCCTCTGTCGAGCAGCAGGACGATTTCCACGTCTGCCCCTCTCCTGGCGCAGCGAGGCAGCAAGGATTAGCAGGAACAGCGAGGGACACCTGATCGACGCTCAGCTCCACCACAACTCCCCGGGGGCTCGGCCGGGAGGCAGGGGCACCCACAGCTGCCTCTGAGCCCGCCAGCTCAGCGCTGAGGGGCCAGGCAGGCAGATGGGCCCTGGCATGAGTGAGCACTCGTGCCGACGCCCTCCCCACTGGGGTGGATGGGCAGCCCTGCCTGCCACAGCTGGCACCTGGAGGGAGGGAACTGCACTTGGGTGGTGGGGCCCCAGGGAGCGGGCGGTGCCACCCTCTTCGCTGTGCCAGGCGCCACCCACAGGCTGCTCACCACAAAGCGGGCCCCAGGGGCTTTTCCCCTGCGCCACCCCCAGCCCCACACCAGCGTTCCAAGCCCTGCAGAACCTAGGTCTGGCCTGTGTCCCGGCAGCTGCGGCTCTGCTCGGCTCCAGGATCAGAAGGACATGTTATGCCCATGGGCTGGGCACCCCTGCAAGCCTGGCACTCTGCCAGTTATCCCCCCCCTCCTCTGCCTCTTGCCACAGCCTGGAGGGCAGGGTACATCACTAGCCCCACTCCCATGCACACAACAGCAGTTTACTGAGCACCTGGGAGAGCCATGGGGACCCACACGAGGGCCTACTGGCTCGGAGCTCACATCACCAGTGGGGAAGCTGAGGCCCTGAGCAGCCCCGAGTGACGTGTTCAAGGTCACACAGCTGGATTCAAACCCAGGTCAGGCTCCAAAGATCCCTTTTTTTTTTTTTTTTTTTTTTTTTTTTTTCCCCTGAGACAGAGTCTTGCTCTTTTACGCAGACTGGAGTACAATGGTGCCATCTCGGCTCACTGCAACCTCTCTCCGCCTCCCGGATTCAAGCAATTCTCCTCCTTCAGCCTCCCAAGTAGCTGGGATTGTCTGGCTAATTTTTGTATTTTTAGTAGAGATGGGGTTTCACCATGTTGGCCAGGATGGTCTCGATCTCTTGACCTCAGGTGATCCACCCCCCTCGTCCTCCCAAAGTGCTGGGATTACAGGCATGAGCCACCAGGTCCGGCCCAAAAGTCACTTTTTAAAGCCCCTCTCTGGGCTCAGTCTCCTTGTCTGTAAAATGGGCATGATGAAGCCTTACCCCCAAGGCTGTGAGGACAGGGAGGGGTTGTGGCCTCAGGGGCTGTGCACAGGCAGCAGGGATCTTGCCAGCCCACCTGGCAGGTTTCGGTGATTGCTTGGTGTCCATCAAACCACTCCCCACACCCGCCCACCCACCCTGCCCTCCGGCCATTGGATTCCCCGTGCTCCACGTGTCATGCTGGAGCATCCTGCACAGTTCACTCGGCTCCCTCTACCCAGCTCCACTCTCGGAATCTACGACATTCACACAGCACTTCCTGTGCCCCAACTACCCCCTGCAGTAAGTGTTACTATTCCCTGCTCTCCAGATACAGGAATGGAGGTTCTGCCAGAAGAGGTAACGTGCCTCCCTCTACACGGCTGCTAGGCAGCGAAAGAATGGGCCCCAACCACTGCACGGCACCGCTAGCACCACCGCGCCACCAGCCTACAGGCCCAAGGGCCCACGGCCACGTCACGACGATGTCCTCCAGCCCCGAGCAAGGACCTTCATCTGCACACAGCCTGGCTCCCATTGAGGCCTCCCCTGCCCCAGAAGCAGTGGTGCTGCCTAGGGCCAGGCCAGGCACGCAGAAGGGCTCACAGGAAGGCAAAGAAATTGGCCCCCCAGGAGATGTGTGCAGAACAGCGGCCTAGGCTGGCCTTCAGTGGGTGGCCTGGCCTACTGCCCCTGGCCACAATGGCTGGGCCCCTTGAGCCCAGAGGCGCCCTTACCTACTCGGAGCTCTTGCCCGAAGACGGTCTTCTCGCCGAGGGCAGAGCAGTTCCAGCGTCCGAAGCGGAACTGGTACTGGCACTCGTTGATGCCCATCTGCGCCCCCTCCCCAATCACAATGATGGCATCGGGCCGACTCTGGCAGATGGCACGCTGCCGCGGGGCTAGGCCAGGAATCTTGTTGCAGATGATGTTGGCTCCCAGGGCCACCACGGATGACAGTGCTCTGTGGAGGGGAGGAGACAGAGGCCGTGAGACGGCGGCGGCCAGCGCCCCTCCTCACCCCCAACACCTTTCCCCCACTCAGCCTCTCAGTCACAGGCCCTGCACTAGCTCCGCCCACCAGGGCACAAGCAGATCCCTGCCCTCAAGGGGCTGTTTCCCATCAACTCACATGCGTGACCCCAGGAGACCACACCAGTTCACCCCAACTCACACGCGTGACCCCAGCCACACACACCCAGGCCTCTGAGCCTCAGAATGGAGAATCACGCAACCGCAAGTCCCACAGCTCTCCAGGCCACTGAGTCAGATACACAGCCCTTCAGATCAGACAGCATCATGCTTGGGATGTGGCAGCCGCCAACTCGGGACTGTCTGCGCTGTCTCTAAGCGGCAGACCCCAACTCCCCGACCAATGGGGCTTTCCCCTCATTTATAAATTCCCCGATGGCCCCTCCATGGCACCTGGGCCAGGCAGGCTGCTGAAAAGGCCGGCAGCCAAGCCCATCCGGTACTGACTCCAGCTCCGACCTGTGTGTAACTTTGAGAAGGCACTCCCCGTCTGAGCCTCAGTTTCCACACCCATGAAATGGGGGTATAAAACACCCATCCCCCACCACCCAACCAAAGGCTCAGACGACCACAGGGAGAAAGCCCGCACCGGGAATGGTGGCTGTTGCTGTTTTCTCTCCTGTCAGGGTGACTGGGTGCACGCAGAGGAAGAAATTAGGCCTGCAGCAAATTGAGCACCTACTGTGTGCCGGGCTTGGCAGGGGCCTTATTGCAACACTGCAGCCTTGCAGTGGTCCACTGAGGGGAACTTTGTCATTAATCTCCTAGCAACTCTCAGGACCTGAAGCCCTAGACAAGAACCCGCAGGTCACGCTCACTCTACTTCAAGTGATATCAGCGGGATTGTCATTTGTTCATTTGTTTGTTTGTTTTGAGACAGAGTTTCGGAGTCTCACTCTGTCGCGCAGGCTGGAGTGCAGTGGTGTGATCTCAGCTCACTGCAACCTCCACATTCCGGGTTCAAGCCATCCTTTTGCCTTAGCCTCCCGAGTAGCTGTACTACAGTTGCCCACCACCACACCCGGCTAATTTTTGTATTTTTAGTAGAGACAGGATTTCACTGTGTTGGCCAGGCTGGTCTCGAACTCCTGACCTCAGGTCATCTGCCCGCCTCGGCCTCCCAAAATGCTGGGATTACAGGTGTGAGCCACTGCACCCAGCCTTGTGTGTTTTTTTAATGAGGTGAAATTCCCATAACATAAAATGAACCATTTTGAAGTGTACAGTTCTGTGGCATTTAATACATTCGGTGTTGTGCAACCTCCAGCACCGTCAGGTTCCCAGATATTTCTGCCACCCCAGAAGGAAACTGTACCCATCAGTCACTCCCCGTTCTCCCCTCCCCGACCCAGCAACCACCAGTCTGCTTTCTGTTCCCATGGATTTGCCCATTCTGGATGTTTCCTATGGATGGAACCATTCATTGTGTGACCTTTGGCGTCTGGCTTCTTTCACTTAGCGTCGTGTTTTCAAGGGTCATCCACGTGGTCACAGGTCAGTGCTTCATGCGTTTGTAAGGCTGAGTGATATTCCATTGTGTGGACAGACCATATTTTGTGTATCCATTCATGGCTGGGCATTTCGGCTGCTTCCACCTTTGGACTACTGTGAGTGATGCCGCCATGAACGTGCGGGTAAGGTTTCTGTTTGAGCCTGTTTTCAGTCTCTGGGGCATGGACCTATGAGTTGCTGGGTCAGGTGGTCCCTTCGCTTTCTGAGGACTTGCCGGACTGCCCTCCACAGCGGCTGCCCCAGTCATCTGGCTTTAAGCACCCATGGAAGGGGCAGTGAGCTGGAAGGAGGGGGGCGGCTGGTTTCAGGCAGACCCGCAGGCAACAGTGGGTTTCAGCACAGCGCTTGGCTTCAAAACAACAGATCAGGCCTGTTTAGTGAGGGGGCAAGATGTGGGAGTTGGGGGGACCGCCGGGGGCTCCCCGAAGCTGATGCCCATGGCCCTGGGCCCCTAGTGTGCTGGGGACCCTTCTTCTACCTACTGCCCGCCCGCCCTTTTCTTGAGGGAAATAAGTCAGTGATTTTCCAGGGCGGCCGAGCACCCACAGCCAGCTGGAAAGTCCCCGTGCGGCCTGAGCCCACAGCACGTGCTGCAGCCGGGCTGCCAGGGTGACACTCAATCCCCGAGGCCCGCCCGGCCCGCCCACTAATCTGGCCAAGACCTCCCTGGGTCTCCCATGGGCACAATGGGCAGAAAAGCCCCAGGCTGGCATGGAGGAAGAGCATCTGGATGGGTGGGGCTGGGAGCGGGCTGGAATCTGGGGAATTCAGCCCAAAGTAATTGTAGATCCTCGGAAAACCGAGCTGGGGAAATGAGATGGATGGGAACCCTGCCGGGCACCCTGTTTGCCGTGGGGCAGAGCCCGCCTCAGTCCCAGCCTGAGGGACACTCTCCAGTCCCAAATTCTCCCAGCAGGCTCAGGGCCGAGAAACCCCCATTATCTGCGGTAGGTGCCCTTGCTGGGGGGACCCTGATGGGACTTAGTGTGGACCCTGGGGGTGGCAATGGATCACTGCCATGGCCAAAGCCCTGGCTTCCCGCCACCAGCCAGCTGTCCACCACCGGCCCTGCCAGCACCCGGATCTGACCAAGTCCGTCTGCTCAAAGCCCATCCATAGCTCTCCATTGCCCAGGGGACCGTCCCAGCCCCTGTGCCTGGAACTAGAGGCCTCATGGGGTCTGGCCTCGGAAGACCCCGCCTCCCAGCTGTGTCTGCTGGTCCCTCCCCTGGCTGCTGCCCCTTCTCCGTTTTTCTGTCTGACATATTCCATTTCCCTTTCAGGGCCCAGGTGAAAGCCCCACTGTGCTCAAGCTCCTGATTCCCTGGCACTGAGGGGGAGCGCGGTGGGCACTGGTTTTGCGGGTGTAGAGCTCATTCTGCAGTCTCACAGTCACCGTGTCCGTGCCCGGCTTCCCCTCACAGCCACCGTGTCCGTGCCCGGCTTCCCCTCACAGCCACCGTGTCCGTGCCTGGCTTCCCCTCACAGTCACCGTGTCCTCGGCTTCCCCTCACAGTCACCGTGTCCTCGGCTTCCCCTCACAGTCACCGTGTCCTCGGCTTCCTCTCACAGTCACCACGTCCATGCCCCGCTTCCCCTCACAGTCACCATGTCCCCAGCTTCCCCTCACAGCCACCGTGTCCATGCCCCGCTTCCCCAGCAGACGGTCGGCCCCTCCAGGACAGTGTCAAGTCTGCGCTCAGCCAGGTCTCCGGGCTGCCGGGTGTGGCCATCCCGAGTGTTTGTGGAATAGATAAATGAGTAAATGAACAAGTCAGTACTTAAGAACCACATCTGAAAGAACTACAACTCAACAACAAAAAGACAAACAACCCAGTGTTACAATGAGCAAAGCGCTTGTAGACATTTCTACAAAGAAGATATACGCACCGCCAACAAGCTCTGGAGAAGACGCTCAACCTCAGTAATCACTGGGGAAGGGCAAACCAAAACCAAAATGAGATGCCACCTCACACCCACTAGGATGGCTATGATTTAAAAAAAAAAAAAAAAAGAAGAAGAAGAAGAAAGAAAAGAACAAGTGTTGCCAAGGATGTGGAGAAATTGAAACCCTCACACATTGACGATAGGAGCGGACAATGGTATAGCCACTGTAGACAATGGTTTGGCAGTTCCTCAATAAGTTCAACCTGGAGTCACCCAGGGATTCCACCCCTTGGCATAGATTCAAATGAACCGAAGACAGGTGTTTAGACTAAAGTTTGTACACAAATGATCACAGTAGCACTATTCACAATAGCCAAACGCTGGAAACAAACTCAATGCCTGTCAACAGCTGAGTGGATAAACCAAATGTGGTCCATCTATACAATGGAACATTATGTGGCCATAAAAACGAGCAAAGCACTGGGTCATGCCACGGCATGGAGGAACCTCAACAATACAATGTTACATGAAGGAAGCTAGACCCCAAAACCACGTACTGTGTGGTTCCATGGCTATGAAACGTCCGGAATAGGCAAATCCATCGAGATAGAAAGTAGAAAGGTGATTGCCAGGGCTGGGAAGGGGAACGGGGAACAGGGAGTGGCTGCCTAATGGGTATGGAATTTCCATCTGGGGTGATGGAAAGTTCTGGAACTGGGGGTAGTGATTGCACCACATTGTGAATGGACTAGATGCCACTGAATTGTTCACTTAAAAATAGTCAAAGTGGTAAATTTTATTTTACGTATTTTAACCACGATTTTAAAAAACTCTATCTATACACGGGACTTCTGCACCCCAGTGAAGATTAGGACCCAATTGAAGGGGATGCGAGAGGCCCACCCAGCCGACGCCCTGCTTGCCTTCTTGCACGCTTATCCGGGGTATGTGGGGCTGACAGAGCAGGGGGACTAGAGCCCCCAGCAGCCCCCTGCGTGCCCGTGCATGGGTTAAAGGGGAAGTAAAGGCATCAGGGAATAGAATACAGGCTCCTGCACTGTATTTTGTGCCAGGAGTATAAATAGTTAGATGTGGTTGATAATTCAGAAACAATTTCAAAATTGTCTCCCTTACTAAGTGGGGGTGTTTGTGTTCCCACTAAAAATACCAAGTGCTCCCATTCTGAGGGTTAACTCTGGGCCGTTGGGACCTCAGACCTCACCTATGTATCATTTAATCCTCACCTTGCTAGGTGAGTGGTGCCATCCTCATTTTGCAGGTGTGCAGATTAGAGCTCAGAGAGGCTAGGGGACCTGTCTGGCACTGCACAGCCAGGCTTGGAGCCCAGTCTCTGAATCCAGCACTCAGGTAGAAGAAGGAGTGCCACATAGTAAGTGTGGGACACACGCTGGAACATGGCCTGGAGCAGGCACTGTGTCGGCTTTTCATTCTCAAAACAGCTTAAGTTCTTCCTTTGCTTAAAATCCTTCAGGCTGTGCAGCAATTCATTCCAGGTGCACAGGCGGCTCCCATGCAGCTGCCATCCCTGCCCTCCCACTGCTGCCCCGGGCACTGTCCAGTCTGACCCCTGCCCTCCCCGAGCCGGCCTGGCCCTGCCACACCCCAGGCCTGGCCCATGCCATTCCTTCCACATGGAGGCGAGGGGGCTGGGGAGAGGGGTGACTGGGATGGGCCCTCCTTAGAGAATGGTCGGCATGGGAAGTGGGGGAAAAATATCTACCAACTATTTTTATAGCCAGTGATTTAGAGGAGGCCAGAGAGCCGTGCGGGTAGTGTGCTGGGGCCACTGGGGAGCGTGGGCCGGCCATGGGCACCCTCAGCAAACCCTGCGGGGCGGACCCAGCTTCGCTCCAAGTGTGAAAACTCTCAGGGATGGCTTCCTCATCCTCAGCTGCTTGCCTGGGTGCCCAGGGAAGGTTGGCCAGGAAGGCTCTGAGTGGCTGTGAGTGCAGAGATGCTGGGAGCGGGGGCATTCATGTTTCAGTCGCTGACCTTTTTCATGGAAAATTCTGCCCCCGGCTCATCCCCCTGCACTGAATGGGGCCTCGGGACAGGCGAGATGCCAGGTGGGATGGGCAGGTTGCAAGTCTGGAAAGTTTCCTTACCCCAGCCTGGGCCAGTCCACTGCAGGGAGGGCGCTTATGGGAGAAGAGTTTAGCCCTGCAGACAAGAAGCCTCCTCCTCATTCCCCAGGGACTGTGGACAAGGCCCTGCAGTCTCAGGCCAGAGGCCAGCAGAGGCCCAGGAGCTTCCTGAGGTGCATCCTGGCGCAGGCTTTGAGCCGGCCCCCTGTACAAGGAGGGGCTGCCGCCAGGTAGCGGGACGACCTTGGTCTTTGGCAGAACAGCCCCAAGGGAGTGGGGCTGCCTCCAGGAGGAGGTGGCTGCGGTGGGGGTGAGGGGCAGGTGAGGACACTCCAGCCCCTTCAACCACTGCCAGGTGACAGACGAGAGCAGGAGTGGACAGAAGGCAAGTCCCTGGCTGCAGGGTTAGCCAGGTACCAGGCCAGCCCCACAGCCCTGGGGTGCCTGAGTCTGCAAATTCCTAGCTGTGAGACTCAGGCAAGTTTCTTAACTGTGTCTCAGTTTCCTCCTCTGTCAGATGGGAGTGATAACAGCTCCCATCCATCTCAGAGCTGCTGGGAGGGCCTATCCTGTGGCGTCCACAGCACGGGCCGCTGGCCTGCAGTGACAGCCCTCATTATTAACCCTTGAAGGTTGAGACTGCAAGCTCATTACTGACCTCATTCACTAGACACACAATCTCCGACCCCCAGGATCCAGCCTCCCCCGGGAGATCAGGGACCAGCTTCATCTATGGGGCCCCAAGCCCGAGACCAGCAATTGTGAAGCTACTGGGTATCCGCGTCAGCCACTGCACCCACCACCGATGGGTCCACGCCCACATCAGCCCTTCCCTGCAACCCAGCAATCTCTCTCCTGTACCCAGGAAAAACCCGTGCATGTGATCACCCAAGGATACGCACATGGGTCTATAGCACAAATGGGAAACAATCCAGGCGTCTGTCAACAGGAGGATAGATAAAAAAAGTGTGGTCCATTCATGCAGCGTGACTACACGGTGAGGAAACTGCTGACACACGTCAACACGGATGGGCCTCACAGACATCATGGTGTGTGAAAGAAGCCAGGAAAGAGGATGTGTGGATTCCACCACTTCTGAAAATCCCCGGCCAGGCGCGGTGGCTCACGCCTGTAATCCCAGCACTTTGGGAGGCTGAGATGGGTGGATCATGAAGTCAGGAGATCGAGACCATCCTGGCCAACACGGTGAAGCCCCATCTCTACTAAAAATACAAAAATTAGCTGGGCGTGGTGGCGTGTGCCTGTAGTCCCAGCTACTCAGGAAGCTGAGGCAGGAGAATCGCTTGAACCAGGCAGTTGGAGGTTGCAGTGAGCCAAGATGGCACCACTGCACTCCAGCCTGGTGACAGAGCGAGACTCTGTCTCAAAAAAAAAAAAAAAAAAAAATCCCCAGGACAAGCCCACCTCATCTTGGAGACAGAAATCACAATAGTTACCCTTGGGTGGGTGGCACCAACTGAGAGTGAGCAGAGGGAGCCTGCCTGTATGCCACATGTATGTAAAAATGCATCAAGGTGTCCACTTGAGATTTCTGTGCTTTACATAAGTTATATCTCAGCATAAAAGTAAAGCATTATAGCATGTGACTTTATTGAAATGGGGCAATAACAAAGCAGGAATGGAAACTCCAGGCTTCTTACAATAATTAAAATACAGAAAACAGGCCGGGCACGGTGGCTCACACCTGTAATCCCAGCACTTTGGGAGGCCGAGGCGAGTGGGTCACCTAAGGTCAGGAGTTTGAGACCAGCCTAGCCAACATGGTGAAACTGTGTCTCTACTAAATATACAAGAATAAGCTAGGCATGGTGGTGCACGCCTGTGATCTCAGCTACTTGGGAGGCTGAGGAAGGAGAATTGCTTGAACCAGGAGGCGAAAGTTGCAGTGAGCCGAGATCATGCCACTGCACTCCAGCCTGCGTGAGGGAGCAAGACTCCGTCTCAAAAAAAAAAAAAAAAAAAAAAAAAAAAAACAGAAAACACGCTTCAAAATTCAAATGCCAACTTTACAAATCATGCCCGTGTGCTTTGTATGTGCCTAGCCCGCACGGGGGGTGCTAGCCCTTCCTGCACACACGCTCCATGGGGCTGCTGGGCTGGGCCAGCCACCGACCTAAGGCAGAGCTGGGCTGAGCCAGAATGCCCTGCCAGGGCTCCTCTGCCCCAGCCTGTGCCCATCAGCCAGCCTGTCCCCACCAGGCCCTCAGCCTCTCTGGACCCTGAATGCGGGCAACAGCCCACCGCAGCAGCTCCCACGCAGCGAGAAGGTTAAGTGCAGGAGACCTCAGGGAGTTGTAGGGGCTCATAGCCCTTGGTGGAGTGGCCTCCTGCTCTGCCCGTGCCCAGCCTGGCACTCAGGCGGTGGACAGAGTCACCCACATAGCCACCATCCTTCCTCCCAAAGGAGCAGGGCCCGTCAGCAGTGATGCGGAGGCCAGGAAGGAACAGGGTTGTGGGACGTGGCCCCTCTGGCTAAGACCCTCACCTGGGCGACACCGTCTCTGCCAAGGCCCAGCCTGGGGGCTCCCTCCTCCAACATTCTCAGGAGCTTTGGGGTGACCTGTCATCTTACTCTTGGGTACCCTGAGCCCAGGTGGCAGGGAGTGGGCAGCATCTCACCTGTGACCAGAATTAGAGCCACCCTGTCCTCTCCCCGACACCCCTGTTGTGTTCAGGAGTTTCTCCCGCTTCAAAGCCTCCCCCAGCAGGTAGGAGTCTAACCTAAATCCCTCATGCTGTCGGGGTCTTCAGTGGTTGAGGCACAGTGGACACCCACTCCATGCCTGACTGGCCTCAGAGTCCCCTCATGGTTGCTATTTCAAAGCTCGGGGGGCCAAGGGCTAGAATGGTGACAACAATCATGATTACTCTTCCCTCAGAACAGGAATCGGAGGTCCAGAAAAGTTCAGCAGCCTGCCTGGTAGCTCAGGAAGGCAGGGAGCGAGCACGGCTGGAACCCACCCCCACTGTCCCGGGGCTGGCCAGTGCCCTGTCATCAACCCTGCCCCTGGGACATACCCCATTCCTGACCCTCGAAGACAGCGGGGGCAGGATGGGCAGAGTATGGTCACTTGTCCTCCTGGAGAGCCACCCTCCCATGTAAGTCAGGGGCAGGAGGCTGCATCTGGGGCCAGGCTGTGTGGGGTGGGCCTTCCCTGAGGAGCTCTTGGAGAAGGAAGCCCCCCGACGGGCACCCAGCTGCAAGGAGTCTCTCAGGCTCCAGACTGAGTCACGGGCCCTCCCCGAACAGGTCCGAGCCCCCATAGCTGGGTCCAGGATGGCAGAACCCTGTCTTACTCCCCACGATATGCTGGGCCTGGTGCAAGGCCAGGCGTGGCAGAGCCTCAGCTGTCACCGCAGAATGAGTGAATGAATGGTGGGTGACGAGTGGCTGACAGACACATGCGGGAGACACTCTTCCCCGACAGAGGCCCCGCCTGTGCAGGCAGCAGGATGGGGCATCTGGGACACCCTCAGCAGGGCTGGGGCTGCAGGCTGGACAGGGGGTGGGCAGCAGCGCGGCCGTGGGCTGTCCCCTTGTCACTCAGACTGTGTAACAGGTCAGTCGAAACCAGCTTGCACCCCCACTTCACATAGGGTTGAGAAAATGCCCACGGTCCACGTCAGGGCCCTGCGTTTAAAACTGGGGGATGGGGTGGTGAGGATTATGAGGGTGAAACCACCCAAAGTCGCCCTCGAGAGGGCACAGCTCCCCGCCAGCAACAGGACAAGCTGTGTCTTTCTGGTGATGAAGCCTGGGAGAAGTCGGCTGTGCTATGACAAAGATGTGGGCTCGTGTCCCGAGGAGGCCTGGGAGCCAGGCACCTCCACCTCAGTATCCCGTTTCTCCTCCAAATTCCCAAAAACCGACCCCACAAACCACAGCCCAGCTCTGTTTTGCCAGTGGGGGTGCAAATGACCCCACAGCAGCAGAGACTCCTCCCACCTGGGTGGACCCCCGCTCTCCCGCCTCGCTCTGGACTGGACACCGGCTCCCAACCTGGCACCCAAGCAGCCCTAGTGCTGCCTACCCCACCCAGTTCAGGGTGGAAGTAGCCCCCTACCCCGCCACTGAAAGCATTCCCCAGAAGGACCGGGGCAGCTCTCCGTGGGGGAGACACGAGATCTGACTTCTTCCTGGAACCCAGCTGGAGCCTGCCCGGGCCTCAGCATCCCAGACCCCCCAGAGCCACAGGAGCCAGAAGCGGGAACCCTGGGGCCATCTGCCCTCCCCCGCAGATAACATGGACCTCTATCAAAAAGCTCATCAGAGATCAGAAAGGCTTTCCCCAGCATGCCCCGCTCTGCCCCCAGGGCACCCACCATCCTGCCCCTGGCATGGACCCACGCGCCACCCTGACACCAGCAGGATCATGGCCTCGGGGCCTGCCTGAGCCACCTCCCAGCCCCAGCCCAGGCTGCTTCTCCTTGGCCACTTTGGCCAGGTGGCCCCAGACCTGCCCCCTCAGCCCTCACTCTTGCCCACACCCGTTCCTCCTTCCTCGCATGCTGGCCCGCCCCCGACCTGCTGAGCTCTCCACTGCAGAGACCCCTCCTTGGGGAGGCACTCCCACCCACCAGCCCCCTCTGGGAGTGCCCAGACTCTGTGCTTGACCTCTCAGGCTGTCCTAAGGCCACTGTGTCAGCGGCAGACTCCCCAGGGCAGGGGTCCCCAGAATTGCCCAGCACCTGGCCAGGCCCTACGCTCACCTTGGTCATGAGCCACCCCACCCCCCCAGCTGAGGGAGCATGGGCAGCCCCCTCCCCAGCTCTCTGGGTGGCAGGGACAGGCTGGCTGAGCCTGGGCCTGATCTTCAGCCTCCCTCCCGGCCCCTGGCCCTGGCTGCCGGGCGGCCCTGGGCTCCTGCGGCCCACGCTTCTGGCCCGGGGCGCTTTGTAATTCTTCCTTCTCAGGCATCTTCTGGCAAAAATATCTGAAGAATGTTCCAATTATCTGTGATCAGCCAGGGAGGCGGGCCTGGGTCCACCCATCCAGGAAGTAAGTCAGCAGATACCCGGGAGGACAGCACCTGGCCTCCGTACCCACCCAGGGCCGAGTCCTCGCCAGCCTCTTCCTTAGGTGGGCAGAGGGTTGGCCCGGAACTTTCCATCCATATAGGGGCTCTTCTATGGCTTTGGAGCCAGCAGGGTTCCTTGGGGCTGAGTATGGGGCAGGGGCTGGTGGTGGCCTCAGTGTTCCTGCCTGTCAAATGGGGATAAGAATGTGGGCCAGGTCTGAGGTCATTCAGCAGACCCCATGAGCCACAGGCTGCAGACTGGCCAGATGGGTATCTACTCACCCAGAACAGAGCTCCACCTGCACCTGCCCCATAATGCCTGACCCCCACAGCAGCTCTGGCGCTGCCCTCAGAGGAGGCTGGAAGGGACGCATTGCAGCCCAGAGCTGGGCGCGCCGGTGAGAAGGAACCAGAGAGAATGAATAACAGGTCTGGGCTCAACAGCTGGTGCCCCGTCCTTTCTCAGGGCCCAGCTCCGTGGGGTGGAGGGGGGTGGGGCTTGGGCCAGGAGTTCCGCCCGGCCACCCCAAGGCTGTTCTGAGTCTCAGTTTTCCCATCTGAGAGCAGGGAACAATCACCTCTCCTTTGGCAAGTGGCAGGGGAGGCCCGGGAGGGGCCTTACACCTGTGGGGGAGGGACAGGCCCAAAGCGCTCCCCTTTCCAAGCAGGTTCATGGTGTGTGGGGCCCTGGAACCGTTTCCCACCCTGTCCCACCCTCTCCCCACTGTGGTTCCCCTGGCTGGTCCTTGCCAGCCTGACCTTACAGATGAGGAAACTGAGACTCAGAGACAGCAATCAGAAGAGAGCAGTGTGGGTGGGGGCCGGGGCAGTGCATCCTTAGAGGAGGCACAGGGAGCTGGGCAGGTGGGGGGTGGGCAAGGACGGGGCTGGGGAGAGCAGAGGGCTGACACCCCCAGGGCCCAGCTCAGGAATGAGGCCATCCCTCTGCTCCTCCCTGCCCCTCCCTGCCTCAGTTTCCCATCTGTGTAGTGAGGGGCTGAGGTGACAATCTGGGTACCTGCAGCTGTGTCCTAAAGAGGTTCGCTTGCTTGCTTGGGTTTGGGGTCCTGTGTTTGAGTTCTGCTCAGCCACTGGCTCTCGCTGGCCTCCCTGAGCCTCAGTTTGCCGGTCTGTTCAATAGGGAGAACTGGCCTGCTGGTGGGTGGGGCATCCTGCAGGCTGCACTCCACCACAGTCCCGCCTGCCACTCTTTCCACGCCACTGCTCTGCTCAGCTCTTGGCTCTCAGTGTTCCCAGGGAAGGGAGCAGAGCGTCCGCTTGCTCCCTCGCGCCCCCGGCGGGCGGCTGCCCTCCCACCCTCCCCACATAGCTGGCATTCCTGGCCTGGCAGCCTGGGACCCCACCCTGGAGAAGAACCAGACCGCCTGGGAAAAAGCTGGTGAAGAGCTGGGGGCCCCAGGCAGGGCTGAGGCCGCTGCAGGTGGATGAGCCACAGCCATGGGGTCCATTGCACCCCTGGCCAACACAAGGGGCCCGCAGCTAATGAGGTCAAGGGCAGACACTCCCAGCCACCATATCTGCTAAATCTGTGAAATGAGAGCCTCACCCACTCACTGTGACCTCCCAAACCACAGGACGCTGACCTCTGACTTCAGAACCTTCCAGATCTCTACCGGCACCCAGGGCCCACCAGGATGCACCAGGTGCTGGCCATACTGGACCAGCTCCTCCCCCTCCAGGGGCAGGTACCTTGCTCCCTCCAGCAGCCAGGCAAGATTCCAGACCCAGCTTAGTGCCTCCTCCTCCAAGAAGTCCACCAGGGTCTCTCTCAGTTCTCCCCTCTCCACTCCCTGCAGGATCACATCTGTGCTGGGCTCCTGAGGAAGCCGTTGGGACTGAAATTCAGCTATGCCCTTCCCCAGGTCTTACTCTGGCCCTTCTCTTTGCTTCCCACAGTACAGATGGGAACAGAAACACCCAGAGATGCCACAGCACCTGAGACCACACAGCTAGCTGAGACCCTAGCAAGGATGGGAGTCCCAGTCCTGGCCCTGGCCCTGATGCCACAGATCTGTTGGACGCAGGGGCGCCTTGCAGGCCTGGGTGACCAGGATGCCAACCTGAAACCTCAGGACAGATGGGTGGGTGGACAGACAGGTGGAACACGTTGGAGAGAGCTGGCAGGCCCCATTGGCCCATAGCCAGAATGGGAGTATGGACACTCTGCGGCTGGGCCAGCGCCTCGGCCTTCCTGGCTGCCCTGGACTTGGCTGAGCGGCAGGTCTGGGGGCCGAGCCACCACCTCTCTGCAGACTGCAAGACAGGGCTGAGCTCCCGGCCCTGGGACTCAGCCTCAGGCCGCAGTCCTGAAGGGTCCTCCTTCCAGGAACAGATGGGAGCCACGCCCAGTCCATGCCTGGGCCACACAGCATCTCAGACAGCATGTGAGCCAGAGCCAGGCCAGCCCCACACAGGTCATCTGCATTCTCCAAAGCAGGGGACCCATTCTGGGTCAGAAGTCCCCTATGCATAATTCCACATCCCCCTCACCTTTCAAGCAGCCCACTTTTCTGGAATGCTCCCTCCAAGAATTCCTAGGCCGCCACCGCCTCCTAGCCAACTGCTCAGCTTGGATGCCTTGTGGCCCAGAGTGCCCACTTCCCCAGGGGCAGCCTCCTCTGCCTCTCATCAGCCTGGCTGAGTGAGTGCTTATGGAGCCTTCAGAACTCCAGGGGCCTTGACTGAAGTGGCCCGAGGTCCTGAGTGCCGTCCCTGCCTTCCCCACGGCGAGCCCCCAGTTGGAGTTCATCATTCCCATTTTACAGAGGCGGCTTAGAGAGGAGCAGCATCTTGGGCCAGGCCACACAGCAACGTGGCAGTGGTTTGGTATCAGAGACAAGAGCAGGACCAGACCCTGTGGCTTTTCCCCCCACCTTTGGGCTCTGCCTCTTCCCACCCTCCCGTCTTCCCTGCCACAGGAATCTCCACCGTGGAAGGCGGTAAGTGGAAGCCCAGCTGGGCTCTGGGCTCACAGTCAGAGCTGGCTGCAAAGCCTGGCTCTCCCCAGACTCTGAAGGTAGGGGACCAGCCCCAGCCACCCTCCAAGGCTGCTCCAAAGCAGGGGACTCCCGCAACAGAGGGAGGCATCACACCGCACACCCTGCCTGGCTCCTAAAGATGCCAGAAGGAAATACAAGAGCACAATGGGGCGCCAGGTGACCCCCCGCACCTCCAGGAGCTGCAGCCTGGAGGGGAGCCCCCAGGCCACAAGCTGGGGAGGCAGGTTCTGAGAGAGAGCAGGTGCGGCCCATGTGCAATCTGCAGCCCTCAGCCCAGTGCCCCTCCCCAGGTGCAGGTCCACAGCAGCCCAGCCTGGCCACTTCAGGGACTGTGTCCCACAGGTCCCCAGGCCCTGTGTCCCTGTGTACTCTGGACTACTGCAGACATGGAGTGACTGCAGCCCGGAGCCACTGACTCCCTATCCGGTGCTCTCTCCACAACACCAGCCTGCCTGGCATCCAGGGATCCTGGGCCTGTCACCCCCAGGAACACTCCCTGAACACCCTGAGGCTCAGAAAGGTGTGCCCAACATGCGACTCCATCCCCAGGGCAGTGCTACCAAGGCGGGTGACAACCTTGCTGGAGCAGTGATGGGGCCGAACAAGCGCTTCAGCCCACAGGAGTGTGGCCCCTGCAGGCCAGCCCCCCCCAGGCTGAGGGGAGTCATGGGGCACACAGGAGGAGCCCCAGGAAATGGAGATGGCGGAGTGATGAATCTGCCTTCCTAGTGGGGGTGTCAGCCGCACCTGGAAATTCCCAACACTTCCCCGTCAGTGGTGAAGTCACCCTGGGAAGACCTGAGTCGGGGAGCCTGGAAGTCATCCAGCCCCGGGCCACCCACTCCCCCTTCCCACCTGTGCCACTAGGGGCCAAGCACGCCTGGGGCCACCACAGGCTCTGCCACCCCTGGGCAATCGGCCGTGACCTGGGAGTTCACGGGGCCCCAGACCCACAAGTGGCCATCAGACTGACAGATTTGCTGGGTACCGACTGAGTGAGGGCCTGGCACTGCCCTGAGCACTGAGGAGGAGGCAGGCAACCCTGCAACCCTAGACCTGGCCAAGCACACTCCCTTGGCACCGCTGCCACCAGATGGTCCTACAGACTCAGCCACCTCCTCTCCTCAGCCCTGGAGTGTCCCGGGCCCTGCATCTGCAGCTGGTGGGCAGGACCAGCCTCCTCCATGCCTCCCCATCCTCCACCTCATTGCCCAGAAGGGTCTTTCTAAAGCTCTGCTGAAGCCACTCCTCCCTGCCCTGGGCTCCCCAGACCCGAGATCACTGCCTCCGGCCCCGCCCCCACCTCACCTTCCCCTGCTCCAGCCCTACTCAAACCTGCTGCTCCCCACTCCTGATGCTGCCACATCCTCTTCACACCTCCAGGTCTTTGCCCACGTCTGTCCCTTTCCCAGGAACCCACCTTCCTTCCCTCCAGCAGGTCCTTCAGGGCCGAGGTCAGAGGCTGCCTTACTTGAGAGGTCTTCCCTGGGCCACCCTCATCACAGATGGCTTAGAGCTCCTGCTGTGGGTCCCACAGGGCTTTGTGTCAACGACGCTGGAAGGCAGGGCGGTAGGGACTTTCCTTCCCAGTCACACCTGCACACCTGGCCAGCCCTGATAACCCACCCGCGGGGGCTGCCGTCACGCTGTGGGCATGAAGGGAAAGTTCAGGGTGGTGGTGGAGCCAGCAGGAAGGGGAGGAGGGAGGAAGAGGACCTGGGGGAGCATCCAGACCCACCACCCAGATGGGGAAACTGAGGCCCAGAGAAGGGGAGGGATACCCTCAAGGTTGCCGCAAGCCCACAGCTGAGCCAGGAACAGGACCTGGGCATCCAGGACCACACACATGCTGACCCAACAAAGCTGGCCAGGCTGGTCTCAGAGCTCCTGGGTCAGGGGCGAAAGCAGGACAAGACCCAGAACAGAAGGCCTCTGGGCTTCCCATACCCGCAGGACAGCTGCACCTCTGGTCCCAAAGCTAAACTTGGAGGCAGCCCCTGCAACCTTGAGACCCTCGCTCAGGGCCCCGGGGACTCTTGGTCAACACACAGTTCTAAGCAACTGGAGGCATTGGTTTCTGCCTGGAGAGGACAGGCAGGAAACGGGACACGCAACAGAGCCCGCCCAAGGCTGGAAACCCGCCTTAGTAAAACACCGTGACAAGTGGCATGGACCCGACAGCCAGGAGTCCCTGGGCTCAAATCTGGGCTCAGCTGCTTGACCTGGGCGAGTGACTCTGCACCCTGACCTCGTCTTCCTCACTCCACCACCTACCAAGGCAGACGGGCCTCTCCTAGCTCCCCTTCTCTGGCAGCCCGAGGGGGACACAGATTCCAAAGCAGACCCTGGGCACTGTGCACACGTCAGTCCCACTAGGGAGGGCCTTCTGGGGGAAACTGAGTCCTCCAGAAGTGGGAATGCCTCATCCTGTGTCCCCCAGGCGGGGGTCTGCAGGGCAGGCAGTGCATTCTGGAGGACTTCCCAATTGGAAGGGGCTTTGCCATCTGTCTCACCACGTGGGACTGCGCGGGCCTAAGTCTCAGCTCTGGATGCCTCCTCACCCTGGCCACGCCAATACCCACTGCGCGGAGGCCAGCTGAGACACCACCAGTCCTTGTGCCCGGGCTCCCTCCGGCCTGGCCCATTCAGAGCTCCAACAGGGCACGGAAGGGTTGGAGCAGGGATCACAGTGCGGGAGGGCTCCAGAAAGCGATAGAGGCCTGCAGGGGTCATGGGATAGGACTCCAGGGGATGCTCACTCGGGCTCTTCTCCGTTGCTGCTGACACCCGGCAAGCTGCTCGTCGGGTGCGGTGGCTTCCTCCCAGGCCCAGCTCCAGGCACCTGCAGGCTTCACACTCTAAAGCTGCAAAGGCTGCTTGGGGGAGCAGGACGTTAGTGTCTTCTGCACACAGCCTCAGACCCAGCCTCGTGGCAGCTCCAGCACCTCAGCTGCCACCTGCTCCAGCCTGGGGATGGAGGAAGTGTCGATGGCCCTGTGCCAAGCCTCACTTGCCACTCTACTACTGAGACTGTGGGATGGCCTCTGGAAAGGCCAACCACTCCACCGGCTGCTTGCACAGAGAACCTGTGAGCGCTGCTTCTCTGCCCAGGCAGGGACCCTCCCCAGCATCCCCGGCCCTCACTCCTGCATCTGCTTGTATGCCTCCGGGGCTGGAGAACTCACTGCCTCTCTGCCAACAGTGGAGCTGACCCAAGCCTCAGGACCCACGCTCAGAGGACAAGAACGCCCTGGGTGAGGGGCAGGGATGGGGGAGGGGCCCCAGGCAGGCTGAGTGGGAAGACAAGGAAGGGGGGAGGGAGCGCACCTGTACCCACCCCCACCCTGCCGGCCAGCCTGAGGTGAGGCCCCCAGCCCTGCGCCAGGGACGGAGGACAAACGGTGGTTTTGTCCTTGGCCAGCGGGCGGCCCGCACCACACAATGACCCTTTCATCAGGCTGAAGGAGCCCTGGGCCGGGGTTTCATCTGACAAGGGAGGGCGCCCGGCCTCCTGTCCCTTTGGGAGGGGAGCTGAGCCCCATCTGAGCCGGACCCAAGGCTGTGTAGGGCGGCAGCCTTAGGAGCCTGCTACCGCCTCTCCATCTGCTGGGGATGACAGGGAGCAGTGTGAGCCGTGAGGGCTTGGGCTCCCACTGCATGTGGGTCCTAGTTCTGGGGCTCCCACTGCATGTGGCCCCTTCCAATTGGGAAGTCCTCCAGAATGCACTGGCTCCGCACCCTGGCCCTGGGCCGATGGCCTAGACACCCACAACCGAGCCCTCTACCTCATCCAACACCGCTATGCCACACCCAGGGTCTGTTAGGGTCCTCCGAGAACAGAGCCTTGGTCCACACCCAAGCAGGGGCCCTGGGCTCCCCATAGGCACCCACCTGCCCTGCCAGGGTGACTCAAGCCTCCGGGGATGTGGTGGGTGGGAGGGGAAGGGGCGGGAGTGTGACTTGCTTGGCCATTGTCCACTGTGTCCCCAGAGGAGCCCAGGGAAGTGTGTGAATGAGGGAACAATAATGTGCCGTCGGCGCCTCAAAAATCACCAACTTCATGATCATCACCTCGCCCCCCATCAGCACCTCCAACTGCTGGCTGGAGCCTGAGGCCCTGGGAGACCCTGATTCCACTCCCCGTGGGACTGCATAGGGGGAGCTTCCCTTCAGAGGCAGCGCGGGCACTGGGTGAGGAGCTGGAACTGGGAGGGCTGAACCCCTGGGATCCAAGGTGACCTTGGGAAACAGCCTCTTCTCTGGATCCTGGCATCCCATCGGCCCACCTCAGCAAGATGTTCTGAGCCTCCCTGGAGGGGAACCCCTGGTGAATGTGTTTGACAGTATTGTTCCCTCTTCTAGGGGTCTCTTTCATGTGCCTGTTTAGTCTGGCCAACTCCTATCCATCCTTCAAAACCCTGTCTGAGAGTCATCTCCTCTGGGAAGCCCTCTGAGATGCCCTAGGGGGTCCACCACTCCTTCCTGAATGAACACAGCCACTGGGCCTCCCTCTGTGCTGCCTGTGGCCAACCTCCCTGTTCCTGATAGCTGAGAATGGCCTGTCTCCTGCACACCGACCACACCAGGCATCAAGCTAGAGCTTCCCACAGCCACCCGGTGAGGTTTGTGCTCCCGTGATCTGCACTGGAGAGGGAAGAGCTGGGCCTTGGGACACAGCCAGGCAGTGAGGGCCCTGTGGAGTCAGGATGAGGACCCAGATCTGAGTCACTATCATGCCCTTTGGCCTCACGGGAAACCATGTTAGAAAACGGCGCATTATCCTACAGGCCTCAGTGCACAACCGTGGAGTCCAGCGTCACCCCAGGACCTCCTGTCCTCCCTCTGCACACAGACGGTCCAGGATGCACATTCTCCCCTTTAGCCAATGGTTGTTGGGTCTCGTCCACCTGGTGATGAGTTCTGGGGAGTTTCCTGTGATTAGGGAGGCTCCACTTGCCCACCTCCAGTGGGGGGTCCCCAGTTGAGATCTCATCAGATTTCCCAGCTTGAACCCCACATGCACACCCTCTATGGAACGTTCTACACTTTCAAGTGCCAACTACACGTGGCCTGATCTGAGCCTTGGGAGAGGGATCACCATCCCAAGTGACCCATGAGGAGACTGAGGCCCAGAGAGGCTCATGGACCTGCTCAGGGCACACAGCAGAGCCCCTCCCAGACCTGGATAGACGCAGACCCTCCAGGCTGGGAGTTGCCCCTCCCCCAAGGGCAACCTGAACACGCCTGAGCCACGGGGCGCATCCTGTCCCCACACGGGCCATGGTGCCATGGGAGTAGGCCTGGTTCATCTCCTCCCCCTCGAGGGTCATGGCCACAGCACTTCTGGGACTGTGGCTGGCACCGCTGACAAAGCCACAGCGGTGGAGCCGGGAAGAGGCCTGGCCTGGCGGGGCCGTGGTAAGTGCCCCCCCACCCTGCCACAGCCAGGTGGTCGGTGAGTAACCGCCCCGTCACCCATGACTCACTTGGCTCCCCAGAGCAGGCGGTCACCATGACAGGCTCCTACCGGAAGACCTGGGGGGGTCGTCAGAGCCAACCCCCACATCTGGGAGAGGAAGACTGAGAGCGGAAGAGACCTGCCTGGGACAGAAGCGCAGCCTGGTCCTGGTCAAGGCCTCAGCCAGGCCCCCATTGCAGCTGACCCAGCACCACAAGCCTTCCTCTTGGCCTGCAGTCCCCTACCTGCCCTCCCTTGGGCCCTTACTGACCCCCGCTGGCCCTGGGAGCTCCTGCACTGACAACAGAGCTCTGCACAGAGAAGGCGAGGGCTGGCCAGAGCCGCCTAGCACGGCTGCAAGTCAGCATGTAGCAGGGGCGCAGGGCGCTTCCAGGCCAACACACCCGTCCAACCTGATCAGTGGCAGGGGCCCAGGCATGCGTCTGGGATTCGGTGTGCACCGACCACAGCCCAGGACAGGGAGCTAGAGGAGCAGTCCAGATGAAAGGGGGAGGATCAGCTGTCAGCCAGCGTCTGGGATCCCAGCAATGGGATCTGGAAAGCTCCTGAAAGTTCTCTGGAGCAGAATGAAGCCTCCACCCAGCGACCCTCCTAGCCCAGGCATCCTCAGATCCAAAGGCCAATGCCATCGAGTGCGCCTGCAGTGCTGAGGGTCGGCTGACACTCACCCCCACCTCTCACAGCTCTCCAAGCACTTGCTGCTGGCTGCCTCCCCCAAGTGCAGCCATCGGGTCAGAGACATCGAAACCAAGGTCTTCTCACTTTGCATGCTTTCATTCAAACCGAATCGCGCAGGCCCTACTCCCATCTATGGTCAGCCTTGCGCCCACCAAACAAACCGGGCAAGGGAAATCTGAGACCCACCCCCCTCACTCCGGGAACGTGTCTGGGTTCCTCTCCGCTTGGGGAAGGCTGGCGTCAGCGTCTTCCTCCCTGTGGGGCAGGAGCTACTGAGGGCAAGTCAGGGATGCAGTCTGCCTTCCTGTCCCCGACGACCCAGGCCAGACCCCAGCACTGGCCCAGGGATGCCTGGAAAAACTGTTTCCTTAGGAGAATTTCTGCCAACACAGCTGGGCAGTGCACACTCCAGGAGCAAGCCTGGCGGGGGTAGTCACTGCAGGCCCGGATGAGGGGCCAGCCCTGAGGTAAACCCGGGGTCTGCAGAGGTACACTGGGCACCACCTTGCCCCAGAGGCCCCTCACTGCTGCCTTGGCATCAACTCCCACCAGGCTTCTGGGGCCCCTGCGCACCTCCCTCTCTCCGACCCTTACCCCAACCCCCAACCCCCCCACTTCCCTTGCCTCCACCTCCGCAGGACTCCTGGTCTCCCACCCCGGACACCTCTCTATGAACACCGAACCTCAGCCAGCCGGCTCCAAAACTGATTTCCCAAGCACCGGAGCTGCCAATTCTCTAGCAAGGCCTAAGGCTGAAACGCCAGGATTCTGGGGAGGGGGAGGCTTCCTGGCCTCCAACCGCTAGACGCTGAAATTCCAAAGTCCCCTGGTTGATCCAGTTCCTGGAAAGGACACCAGAAGCAGGACCCAGGGACCCTGGCACTTTATCAGCCTGGGTCCCCACTGCTCAGGCGGTCCCCACCCGCATGCGCCCTGCTGCCCCGCCCCCCTCAGGCGATGCCTCCGCAGCCGGGGCTGCCCGCCGGGCCTGGAGCGCTCTCTGTGCCCGGACCTTGTAATTATGTCCCACAGCCCGGGAAACCGCGGGCCTCGCAGCATCTGGCTGCGGTTGCGAACTTTTGTTTCAAGATGCGCGACTATTTATAGAAGGAAAACTGGTAGGATAGTAATTTCCTAGGAGCAAGAGGAGAAATTGGCTGCGTCTTTATTAAATGGGGGTGGGGGCGAGGCGATGTATTAGGACTGCAACCGCATGGGGGGAGGGGGTGGCGCAGGGAGCGGGAAGGCAGCGGCTGCCCCCTCTGGCCGCGTCAGGCGACCCCGGACGTGGCCCGCGTGTAAAGGAGGGGGAGGGGGAAGGGAAGAGAAGGGGAGGGAGAGCAGGCTCTGAGGTTTAATCAGTAGCATCCAGCTTAAATTCCCCCAAACGGCGGTTCCATAAATGAAACTTCTTTTTAAGTCAGAGGCCAGAGCATATGCGTCCCATTAGGAATTCGGCGAAGCCACCACTGCGCGCCCCCTGGGCTCACTGGGCTGGACTCGGCCCTGCCCGGAGCTTCTCAGAGCCCCGTGGGCTCTGCCTTGCCGGGCACACACACGCGCGCCCACGCTCCGCGCTCTCCCTTGGCCGAGACAACTGGGCGAACGCGGCCGCCAGCACGCAATGCGCGTCCTCCTCGCCCCCAGGTGAGGACTCGGCAGGGGCAGGGATCAGGCTACCCAGCGCGGCAGGAAGGCGCGAGAAGCCGCAGCGACTTCGGGGTACAGTCCGGGCGCTGTCCGGTGAAGCGCGGCGTGCACGTGCATGCCGGTGTTTGCACGAGGGAGCGGGTGTGTGAGTGCGGCTCTCCCAAGTGTGGCATGGTATTGCGCGCCGCGTGGGTTAATATGGGGAGGGGTCCCCCGCTGGTCCAGGACTCTGCTGGGACGCGCAGGGAATCTCGGCGCCGCTCGCGTGCCCGCGGGCCCTCGCGCTGGGCGTGCACAGCCTGCTCTACTCCCGCAGTCGAGCCGCTCTCAGGCCATCCTTTCTTTGACCCCAGAGCCAGGACTTCTCACTGCCGTAGCTGCCCGCCAAGTGCTCCACCTCGGCAGCTTAGGCTGGCGAGGCGACCTAAAGTCCCCCGGCTCCCGCGCGCGACGGTCACCCGGTGCCCCGCCCAGGGGCCTCGCTGCCGCGTTCCCTGCCCGCCCGGTTCCAGCGCTGGAGGCCCGGGGGGAGCCCACCCGCCCACCCCGCACGCCGCCCGCGGCACTCACAAGTAGCTGCCGCTGGACAGGAGGAGAAAGATCTGCGGGCAATAGACGGAGACGAGCGCGCTGCGCGGCGACAGTAGAAGCATGGTGGGCCGGCGTGCCTGGCGGGGCTGAACAGGCTCCGCGGGCCGGGCGCCTGGGCCAGCTGAGGCCGGGGTCCCCGCGGAGCTCCCCGATGCAGGGCGGCGGCGCTGGGCGCTAGGGGCCGGGTCTCGTGGGCCCGGGCGCAGTTGTCGCCCGTGCCCCGCCGCTAGGGCCGCGCATGGCGCTGGGTCTGGGGCAGCGGCGGGAGCTGGGGCTGGAGTGCGGGGCGGGGACCCGGCCGGGGGCAGCGGGCGCGCCTTGGCTGCGGTCTGGACCTCCGTCCGTCTGTCGGTGCGAACCGGCTCTGTCGCTCGCTCTGGCTCACTTCTCCAAGTCTCCCGAGGCGCGCAGCTGCCATTGGACGGGCCGCCCCTACATCCGCCTCCTCCCCCGGCGGGTTTTTTTAAAGGGGAGGCTGACCGGAGCGTGCGGTGGGAGCCGCCTCCAGGGCTTGCCCAAGTTGCCTTGGCTGGGACACCCGTACCCCCACCTTTAGGGAGCCACACAGCTCTGGCCTGGCTCCAGAAGGTGCACGTGGGGGCGGCTCCCCGGGGGAACTGCGCGGAGGCTTGTGCTCCTCTTGGGGGGCTGTGCTCGGCAACGTATGCGCGTGTGTGCATGCATGTGCCTACATGTGCCTGTGTGTGCCTGCGGGAGCGTGGGCAGTCTGTGAGGACAGGTGTGTGTGCACAGATGCATTGAGTGTCCTGAGCCTCTGCCCCCGTGTGCCCTGGGTTTAGGGAGGCTGGCTGTGGGTCGCACACAGGCACTGCCATGGCTAACCAGGCCCAGCCTTGTGCTGGTGCTGAGCTTGCACGACCCTGCCTGGGCACCTCTTTGGAGAGGCCGCCAGTGGGAAGGCATCGCCAGCAGGTGCTGCTCTCCTCACACAGAGGCTTCCCCACTCTGGCTTCCCCATCCTGCTTCTTTTGCTCTCCTTTGAGCGGTTGGCGGGGATGGGTTTGTGGAGAAGTAGACCTACAAAGACGTTCTCCCTCCTCGAGTTCCTTTTATTTTTTGTTTAAGCCCAGAAACATAGGTCTAGTGTCCCACCTCCTGTCGTTAGCCAATTCTGGTTCCACATGACCATCCCTTTACATCTGAATCACAGCACAAAGCAGGAAGATGGCAAGACAAGGGAAGGCTGGGCGGTCTGGCCCGTCGTCCTGAGGAAGAGGATTTTCTAACTTCTAGACCTGGTGTGGAGGCTCATCATCCAGGAGGAAGCAGCCACTTCCTCCACCTTCATCCCCCCTAGTCCAGGGCTCTCGGGCCCCTCTGCTTCTGGCCCCAAAGGCAGGGACAGGCTTTCGGCAGGGCTGGTCCTAGAACTGCAGCGACTCCAGTTCCAGTGAGCAGAGAGTGTCCAGACTCCAGACGGGCTCCTCTGAGTTCTGCTTTGGCCTCCTCCAAGGCTGGAGCTGAAGGCCGCTCAGTCCAAAAAGGGCCCTGGGTGAGAAACTGACTCCCTGAAGCCATCAGGTTTTCAAATTGCTCCAAATCCCAGGTGCATTTGTTCTTAGGGCCCTGACCCCTAAGGGCATTGTGAGGGCTGAGTTCTGGTTCCAGCTGGTACTGGAGTCCTCCAGGGGTTGTACATGTGAGTTGCACCAGGCTTAGGGGCACATGTGTGTGATGGCTGCACGTGCCCAGGTGGCCCCCCGTGTAATTAAACACAGGCAGCATGCAGGGAAGTGATCACGTAATACCCCATCCATGCATACAACCTCTGATCTTTGGTCAGAACTTTATGACCCTGAAAATCCCAGCTCCTGGGATGCAGATGCCCTGGAATACACCATCTGGAGGAGTCCCCAGGGTGTCAGCCTCAGTGACATCACAGTCATTAACAATAAGAAAGATTCTCCTGGTATCTACAGGTGTTCATTGGGACACATATCTCCAGCACCCACAGGGCAAAGGCCCTCAGGAGTAACACAGGCAGCACGCAGTGAAGGGGGTGTTGTGACCCCATTTTTTGGATGAAGAAAGGGAGGCTGAGAGGTTAAAGGGCTCACTCAAGGCCACAGGCTAGGAGTGACAGGAGGACAGAACAGACAGCCCATTGGTCCCAGACTCCCCAACCTCCTCCTTAATGCAATGGGCTTCCAGGTCATTTAACCCCTGACGACACACCTGGGCCCAGCTTCCCCCTTCTACCGCTGCGCGTAGCCAAGATGGCTTGCAAAGAAAGCAGGGCCCTTCTCTCCATTCCTGGCGGGCAGGGGCTGAGCCTCGAGGGAGGGATTGGCTCTCCTTCCCTTAGCAGATCCCAGGGTAGATCTCTGGCTTTCCTGCTTGCCATTCCACAGGGTGTTCGGAGGTCACATTTTGGAAATCCAGGAGGTGGGTGGGGAGTGTGTGTTTTAGATTGGCTCACCAGGGGGAGGAGTTTCCCCTCCAGGGGCCCTGGGTGGGGCCTGAGGGCAGAGCCAGGGCCACACAGAAGGAAGCTCAGCCACTGCTTCACTCTTACCCCCTCCCAGAGGGAGGCTGACACAGGTGCCCGGGGCTCAGGCTGGGCTACACGGAGGCCCGGTGGGGTCTTGCTCACTCAGACCTCTCTCAGACACTGGCCACCATCCTGTTCAGGATGGCCAGAGCTGCAATCCCTGTTTACAGAAGGGACCAGGAGGCTTGGGAAGGGCATACAGACCTCAAGCCCTGGAAGCAGCCCCAGGAGCCGGGCTAGGGTGGACCGTCAGCTCCTTCTGCTGTCTATGGGGGTTCCTAGAGGTCTTCCCACCCACTCACTCGTGGGAGGAAGGGCTGCTTTCCGATGACTGAGGCAGAAGAATGGACGCTAGGAACAGCAGCCCACAGTGGGGGGTCAGAGCCAACTGCAGCCCCAGCTCTGTCACTGAATTCTGAGGACAGTGACTTAGGTCCTGTGCCCAGTTTCCTAATCCTTGAATCCGGGAGAGTAAAAGCACCTAACTACTCTAGGGGTGCCAGGAGGGGGAAGGCCTCAGCGCTGAGAATCAGGCTGCAGGGACAAAGCCTCATTAAGGGTTGCCATCACTTTGAGGGGCCCAGCGGGAGTCACTGCAGGACTGCTGAAGATGCAGGAAAAGAGCAGCCTGCCCACTCCACCCCCCGCCCAGCAGGCTCAATGCCCCGCACCCCTCACCTCCATAAACAAACACCCAGGGACACAGCCTACCCACAGACCTATGATAAACGGGGCTACCGGCAGCCGCAGACACGCCCGCCCAGACCTGCAGGGCTCAGGCTAGGACGGGGGCTTCCAGTCCTGCCTCTGAAGCCACTGGCTTTGTCTCTGCAGGCCTTGGGCCTCAGTTTCTCCACCTGTAAAATGGCGGGGCAGACATGGGATGGAGGGTGATGGAGAGACGATTCCCAGCGCCTGCTTCCACCTCTCCGCCTGGGAAGCCGCGTCTCCCACCAGTGGTACCTGCACCTGCCCCTCCCGCGGGTCTGTTCACCGCCTTGCCTGTGGCCTGGACGGGGCTCGCCTCGGGGCAGCCGGCGGCGCACAGTAGGCGCGCAGGGCGCGGCGGGGCCCGGGTCCCCGCAGGTGCGAGGAGCGCGGGGCCAGCAGCGGGCGGTGGGCGCCCCAGGCGAGGTGCACCGCACCCCCTCTCCGTCACGCCGTTTCTCCACCCCCACTTCGAGCGAAGCCGAGACAGATTCTGTCTAAAGGAGATCGCGGCTCAACAGGTAAGGACTCGGCTGGGTTCAGGAATGTGGAAATACGACTCGGAGCAGCTACCGCAGAGAGCAGCTAGCGCGGCTCGCCGGGCGCCCGCCCGCCGGGCCGCGCCAGGGGGAGCGCGGCGAGAGGGGGCCGGGCCCAGGGCCCAGGGCCCCGGGCGGGCGGGGCACGGGCCCCGGACCGAGCCCGAGGCGGCCCGGCCGGCCCCACGGCCCATCCCGAGCCAGCCGGACGAGTTGTCAAGGTAATTTCAACACGTCTGGGTGATGGATAGAGACGAAGGGCCGCGGCGGGTGCCCCGGCCTGCGCGCTCGCGGCCGGGTGCGCGCCCCCCGCCCTCCCGGGCCTCCGCAGGCGCCGGACGCCCCCCGACCCCGCCCCGGCGCACCCTCCAGGCGGCGAGCGCTCGGCCCGGGCTCGGCGCCCAGCGCAGCCCGGGGGAGGGAAGGCGCGTCCCACCCCCGGGGCCTGGAGCCCAAACAGGTGAAAGTACGCGCCGGGCACGCTCGCCGCTACCCGCGAGCCCGGCCGGACCGCCCGCGCGCCCCGCTCTCTCTCCTCCCGCGCTGGGCTCGGCGCCTCTCGGGAGCTCAGGGGGTTGGGCTGCGTCTCTGCTGGCGTGGGGCGAGGGTCTGACACACGGGCCAGCCCCGGAGCCCAGAGAGCTGCAGTGGCCCCCTCCAGTCCCCACGTCCCCACGGGGACGCCCCGGAGGCAGCTCCTTCGTGCTGTCTTGGCCCCTGGCTGCTGCCCTCGCCCACGGGGTACTCACCCGAGCTTCACGTACAGGACGCCAAAGCAGAGAAACACGTAGAAAATCCACTTGCGAAAGTTTCTGTGCATGATCCAGGGAGGGGGGCTGCGCCATAGACAGCGGCGGCCGGAGGGGACGCGCGGGCCCGGCAGGGCCGGGCAGGGGCCAGGGGGCTGCGGGCAGACTGCGCTCAGCCCGCGCTGCGGCTCGGGCGGCCGGCGACGCGCGGGCACTCGGCGCGCGCTGCCACCATGGTGAGCCCGGGATGCCGCCGCCGCCACCGCCGCGTGAGCCCGGGGAATTGACCCAGGCTGGGGGCCGCGACCTCGAAGCCCGGTTGAGCGACCGTGGACCCCTGCAAGCGCGGGCCGGGGGCCCGGGCGCGGCTGGCGGGCGGGTGCAGCCTGCACTAGGCGCAGCCGCCTGAGGCCGTGAGCGCCTCGCCGAGCGCCGCGGCGGCCAATGTGTCCGCACTTGTCGGCCGCCCCAGGTGACTCGCGGCCCCGGCAAGCGAGCCGCGAGCGAGCGAGCGCGCCCCAGGTAGGAGGATCCGCCTCCCGCCCGCCCTCCTCGCTCGCCGCGCGCTCTCTCCCTCGCTCCCTGGCTCTCCCCTCCCTTTTCTCCTCCCTCCCCCGTGACACACAAACGCATCTACCCCCCGGCCCCCCCTCCCCAGGCCAGCTCCCTTCCGATTGCCCTCCGGGGACTGGGCGGGGGAAGAGGGCTTGGGTGACGAGTGGTGGGGGTGCGGGGAGGGTGCGGCTCGGAAGAGACACCTGCGCTCCTCCGCGCACGCGGGGGTAGGGGCGGGGGTACAGGTGGGGGCGGGAAACTACTGGTACAGGTCGCGGTGCCACTTGGCTTCCAGTTTCCGGTGGGGGAGGGAGAGACCACCCACTCCCATTGCCTCTCCGAGTGCACTTCCCTGACCCCCAAAAATTATCCGCATGGGGTACTCTGGGGCCATCCTTTTAGTCCAGGCATCGCTGCCACTCCAGCAAACCTCAATGGGAGATTCCCACAACCCCAGGTCCCAGCACTGCTGCCACCTGCGCTAGCCCAGCTTTGGGACCTGAAAGATGACAGACGGGCTAACCTGGCCACATGCAGGGAGATGGCATGCGTGACCTCCTGCAGAACCCATTGGCCAAGCGCCGTGATGGAGGCCTGTGGAAGGAGGTTGAGGGGCTTCCCCGGCACTGGGGGAGGCTCCTGGCCCCCAGAGTCCCTGCCCCTGCGCCATGGTTTTCGTGGCTTCCTCTGCAGCGCCCAGCTGTGTTCAGTTTCCCTGAGGAGAGCCCGAAGTCAGATTGACTCGGTGCCGCGCACACCCAAAGCCCATCTAGCCTGATTCGGCTAGCCTGATTCAGGGCGAACGAGCGCCAGAGTCCCGCAGACCCTGCTGCGCCAAGCCTGGTCTGTCCTCAGTGGGCAAGACCCAGACCCACAGCCAGATCGCTGTCCAGGCCAGGCTCCCTGCCTGCTCTGTGCTTTCTCAGCCCTGGATGGCTCCCGGTGCTGCAGGCGGATGGGACAGGGAAGAGCTCAGTCCCCGAGGACCAGCAGGGACTGCGGCCACCAAGGCGAGAGTCTGTGTATGCATCCGGCTGCCCTGTCCCACCTGGCCAAGCCTGGGTAGGGACCTCGAGCTCAGAGCCTGCCTCCCCTGCCCGCCGCAGTCCCGCCAGACCCCCGCCCCTGATCCCTTCTTAATCCCTCCAAATCCCTGAACCTTTGCCACGACCCCGGTGCAGGTCATTCCTGGGCCCCTCGATCTGAGGCCCCCGGTGCCGCCGAGCCCCGTGCGCCGATGGGGAGGGTTCCCAGATAAAAGGGACATTGGGGATCAGCACACACAGGGGAACCGAGACACAGGAAAAAGTGAAATGGCAATAGCAGCTCCACCCCTGGGTGGCCCCTGCTCCCCAGAGCCCCACTCTAGGGCAGCCACCCCCATTTCACGGCCTGGAAGCTGGACGCGGGGAGCAGGAGGGTCTGGCCTGGCCCTCGCAGCCAGTGGCGGGCGCGGGCGCGGGCGCAGCTCGGGCGCGGGCGGATGCTGCCACCCGGCGGCGGCACTGAGGGAGCTGGGACTCAGGCGCGCAGGGGCTGGAGGTGGCGGGCGGCGGAGCCACGCCAGGCCCCGGGGCCATGAGGCAGGAACCCCATCCCCTCCCGGAGCCCGGGACCCTGTCCCCACTGCCGCCAGCCTCAGTCTCGGCGCCCTTTAATTGGGCGGATCGCCAGGAGCTGTCGGGCTGTGGCGGAGCTGGAACCACAAGGACTGCACCGGCGGCCTCCCTGCGGCGGGTCTGGGCGCTTGAGCCCCGACCCAGCCGCGCCAACCTCCACCCGATCTTCTTCCGGCCCGAGGTGGGGTCGGCTCTGGGACCGGCCGGGCGGGGTTCATCCGGGAGAGGAGGGGGTTACGGTCGGTGGGCGGGATGCCCGGGTTCGTTCGCAGCCTCGGCTGCGTCTCAGTGCCTCGGTTTCCCCGGGAGAGCGGGAGGCGGAGCCGCGCCTCGGAGCGCAGAGGGACCGCGGCGTGGTGCTGCCCCCTGTCGGCCGCGGGGAGAGCCGGCGTGCGGAGAAGGGCGCGGAGAAGGGCGGGGCTGAGCGGGGTCCGGGCTGCTCTCAACCCAGCGAGTCGCTCCCACCACGGGGTCCGGTTTCTCCGTCGTGGTCTCCGAAGGTCTTTGAATGGCTCCAAGGTTGGGGAAATGTGGGGTGGGAGGAGCTCACAGCCCACGCGCACACAGCACACATACACCACACTCAAACAACACACATACACCACACACAAACACAACACACACCACACACACACACACGACACACACACGCACACACGACACAAAACACACATACACCACACACAACACACTCCACTCAAAAACACACCACACACCACACACAACACACACACATACACCACACACAAACACAACACAGACCACGCACACCACACACACACAAAACACACGACACAAAACACACATACACCACACACAACACACTCCACACAAAAACACACCACACACAACACACACAACACACACCACACACAACACACACACACCACAAACACACAATACACAAATCACACAACACATGCAACACACATAACACACACAACCCAGAAACATACACCACACAACACACACCACACAAACACCACACATACCATACACACAGCACATACCAGAAATCACACAAACACACAACACTCGACACACCACACAAACGCAACACACAACACAACACACACTACACACACAGCACACAAACACAGCACACACAACACACAAACACAACCCACAACACACAGCCACCATATAACACACACACAACACATACAAAACACAATACACACCCAACACACAACACAACACACATACACCACACGCAAACACAACACAACAGACACATGCAATGCAATACACACAACACACTATGCACAAACACATCACACACAACACACACCACACACATCACAAACACAAAAAACACAACTCACACAACGCACATAACACATCACACACACATTAGACATAACACACATGAACACACCACACCACACACACAACACACACATAGCACACCACCCACAACACATACACAGCACACACACACCATACAGACACACCACACATACACAACACAAATACACACACAACACACCACACACACAACACATGAACACCACACACACAACACAACGCATACACGCCACATTCATACACCATGCACCCATACCACACCACACTCACACCACACACAGGCAGCAGGAGTCCCCAGGGCAACAGGGCAGCTGTGTCTGAGCCTCCACCCAGCTGGGACTCCAAAGGCTGGTCCCAGGCCTCAGAGGTCTGCATGACCACAGGCAGGTCCACTGTCCCCCCATATGGGATCATGGCTCTGATCATCTCGAATGTGAGGGTGGCCGGGATCCAGGCCCAAGGGTCCCCACGCCTGTTGTGGGTAGGGGGTGATTGAGTGGGCGGAGGTGGAGCCTATGCTTCTGCTGGGAGTGGAAGCCTCTCTGGTTCCCAGTCAGCATGGAGAACTGTCAAGGCCTGATGTCTCCAAAGTCAGGACACCCTGGGGCCCCAGATGGTCACCTCTGGGCTCCATGGAACTCAGCTACTTCTTACCTGTGTGTGCTATGTGTTTCTGTGTTGTGTGTTTTGTGTGTGGTGTGTGTGTGGTGTGTGTGGCGTGTGTTGTTTGTGTGGCGTGTGTTGTTTGTGTGGTGTGTGTGTGGTGTGTGTTTGTGTGTTGTGTGTTGTGTGGGTGTGTGTGCATATGTGGTGTGTGTGTTTGTGTGTGTTGTGTGTTGTGTTTGTGTGTTGTGTTTGTGTGTTGTAAGTTTGTGTGCTGTGTATGTGTTGTGTGTGGTGTGTATGGTGTGTGTGCATGTGTCATGTGTGCATGTGTGTGGTGTGTGTGTGTGTGGTGTGTGTTGTGTGTGGCGTATGTTTGTGTGTGACCGCAGGTAGAACTGTCAATGTCCCCAGCCTGGGCATAGTAATCATGAGCCCACACTCCATGGGGTTCTTCTGACAGGGGAATGAGTTAACTCAAAAATGATTGACCAGCCGGGCACAGGGGCTCATGCCTGTAATCCCAGCACTTTGGGAGGCCCAGGTGGGCAGATCACGAGGTCAGGAGATCAAGACCATCCTGGCTAACACAGTGAAACCCCATCTCTACTAAGAACACAAAATATTAGCCGGGCGTGGTGGCAGACACCTGTAGTCCCAGCTACTCGGGAGTCTGAGGCAGGAGAATGGCGTGAACCCGGGAGGCGGAGCTTGCAGTGAGCTGAGATCCAGCCACTGCACTCCAGCCTGGGCGACAGAGCAAGACTCTGTCTCAAAAAAAAAAAAAAAAAAAAAAAGATTAACCTGGCCAGGCGTGGTGGCTCATGCCTGTAATCCCAGCACTTTGGGAAGCCGAGGCGGGCAGATCACCTGAGGTCGGGAGTTCAAGACCAGCCTGACAAACATGGTCTTTAGTAGAGACCAGTCTCTACTAAAAATACAAAATTAGCTGGGCATGGTGGCACATGCCTGTAATCCCAGCTACTTGGGAGGCTGAGGCAGGAGAATCGCTTGAACCTGGGAGGCTGAGGTTGCGGTGAGCTGAGATCACGCCATTGCACTCCAGCCTGGGCAACAAGAGCAAAATTCCGTCTCAAAAAAAAAAAAAAAAAGATTAACCTAAAAACAAGTACAGTGCCCAGTGCACACGGGCCTTCAATCAGTGCATGTTCTATGTCCTGACCCTACAGGCCTGTGCCAGGCAGAGCTTAGGTTGTGGCCCAAAAAGACAAGCCAGGTGCCTGATCCCACTGCCAGACCACCTCCCTCCACTAGCCCCACAGTTCCCAGAGAAGGCTGAGAGGAGCTGACTGTGGGGTGGCCATAAGTAGGACCAGTCCCTAATTGCATGGGGCGTTGGGGCAAGCATCCATGTGCCCTGCCCAGGTCTCCTTGAAGTGCAGGAGTGTAGGGGAGAAGCCCACCACACCTCCCTCCGCCAGGCCCATGGTGGACTCACAGGCGCCCTGGGGCCTCTTTCTTTTCTCTGGGCAGCAAGGACTCCGGACTTTCTTTTTAAGCAGCTGCCTCTATTGGGTCTGCCTTCTCTGAACATGGAGGGTTTCTGGAGGAGGTGACCTGCAAGAAGCTGAGATCCGGAAGAGCATGGCCCCTGTGGGGAGAGACAAGTTCCGTGTGGCTGGAGTGGAGGCAGAGCCTTGGTTGGCCACACAAGGATCCTGGGCTGGACCTTGAGCACGGTGTGAGCCATGAACTGGTTCCATACAGGGGAGCAACAGGGTCAGGTTTCCAATTTAGACAGCCCATGTGCCCATGACACCACATTGGCCCTTGGCCAGGGTCCTCCTCTGTGTCTTGCAGGTTAGACATCTTAAGGCCAGTGCCACATCTGACTTATCCCCACGTTCCCAGCATCTAGAACAGAGGTGAGGGTTTGGTGAGAGTGAAAGATGGATGGATGAATATGTGTAATACTGGGAGGATGGATGGATGGATGCATGGACGGACAGATGGATGTTTAATACAGGATGGATGGATGGATGGATGGATGGATGGATGGATGGACGGACAGATGGATGTTTAATACAGGATGGTTGGATGGATGGATGGATGGATGGACGGACAGATGGATGTTTAATACAGGATGGATGGATGGATGGATGGATGGATGGATGGATGGACAGATGGATGTTTAATACAGGATGGTTGGATGGATGGATGGATGGATGGATGGATGGACGGACAGATGGATGTTTAATACAGGATGGATGGATGGATGGATGGATGGATGGATGGACGGACGGACAGATGGATGTTTAATACAGGATGGTTGGATGGATGGATGGATGGATGGACGGACAGATGGATGTTTAATACAGGATGGATGGATGGATGGATGGATGGATGGATGGATGGATGGATTTGCTGTGGGAGGAGAGAGCACACCCCCTACCTTCACCCTGCTCCATGTGGACCAGTGTGGGCTGTAATGATGGAATCAGGTCTGGGTGTGGTTTTCCTGAGATGTTCCCAGTTTTAGCCCTGGAAGTTCCACATCTCAGGAACCCCTCAGTACTGGGAGAACAGGGATGGTCGGTCACCCTAGATCTAAGATTATAAAAGGAAAGATGACTTCATCTTCAGTATTTTCCTGGGTACAAACAGTTTCTCTGGTGCCCTGGCAAGGGGCTTCTGGACTGGTCACACTGGGATGTGTTTTGTGTGGGAACGGGACTGTTAAAAGCGATTTAAATAATAGTAACAGCTCCCATTTAGTGAACAGCTGCTGTGCCAGGCCTGTCCCAGCTGCTGGATCCCCCTGAGTCCTTGTGAGCTTACAAAGCAGGGCCTGTCCGCACCCTCGTGCTCTGGGTTCATTTGTCCTCCCACTGGAGAGGCATTTCTGAGCACCCGTGATGTTCCAGTCTGGAGTGAGGTCCTGGGATGTGGAGAGAACACGTCCCCACTTTGGGGGCTGGCAGGCTGGAGGGGGAGGTAAGGACACCGAGGTCACAAGATAAGGGCCTGGGGCCCGAGCCCAGCACTCGCACCTGTGAGTGCACATGTAACCCAGCCTCTTCCCCAGGGGCTGCCTGCAGGGTGTGTTTGTGTCACTGTCACCAGAGTTGGAAGCTTGATTCCTTCACTACAAAGCCTCATCCCAGTTTCCCAAGATGGAATTCGAGAAGCTGCCCTCACTTCCTCATCCTTTCTGCTTCCCACACAGAATACACTCACAAGGCCTTCGGCCCTCATTCCAAAACAGATCCTGCTCCTACCCTCCCACCTCCACCACTGCTACCTACAGGTCTGAGTCCACCCAGAAGATGAAATAGGCCCCAGCTGCTCCTCTGCGTCCTCTCCTGACCTTCTGCAGTGCATCTTCCAGCCGGCAGCTGGAGGAGTTTTCGATAAATGCAAGCCAAATCAGGCCACTTCTCCTGCTTAAACCTTCTATGGCTCCCCATTGCTCTCTGAATAAATTCAAAGTCCCGATCTGGCCTGCAGCCTGGCATCTTCTGGCCCCTGCCTGTTCCTCAGTCTCATCATGTAAATGAGCCCGCTTCTTTCTCCTCTCCATTCTCCATGTTGTTCCTTCTGTTACTTGAACAAGTCCAGGGTGGTTCCTGCCCCAGGACTTTTGTATGTGCTCTCTTTTAGCACAGGGCTCTTCCTCTGGTTTTATGCAGCCTCAGCTTAAATGTCCCACATCAGAGGGGGCCCACACTCCTCCCCACAAACATACTCTCTGATAATTGCTACAATAACACTTGCTGTTCCCTTGGTGACACTGAGGACACTATGTCATTATTTTTTCCTGTCTGTCTCCCACCAGTACATGAGCTCCACAGGAGTCATTGCAACACCTGCTTTGGTTACTGCTCTATCCCCAAGACATAAGACAGAACCTGGCATGTAGTCAGTGCTCAATTAAGCAACTATTGAATGAATGAATGAATGAATGAATGAATGAATGAATGAATTATTTTCTAGGAAGCAGCTGGCATACATAACCAGCATTGCTATAAGCTGGAGAGGGCAGAGACCTGACCTGGACTTTTTTGAACTTGACTTTGAGCCCAACTCAGCATGTCCAGTGTCACTCCATTCTTGCTGCCCTACCCCGGCTGCCTTCTTGCATCTTATGACTGGTGTGACTGACAAGCATTTCCTGAACCCCAGCAATTCCTGCTTGGGTGACACTGAACGTGTATTGGTTCCTCTAGATAAGGAGCAGGTGCTTGTTTGTTGCACCTGGCACAGTCTTGTGAAATGGTGCTACTGGACTCATTGTGTAGATGAGGAAACTGAGGTACAGAAGGAAGTGCTTGAAGTCACACAGATGGTGGAGCTGGGATTTGAACCCATGCTTGTCAGGCTCAGAGCTTGAGCTCCTTCCACCGCATGGCCCAGCCTCCTGGAGTGGGGACTATGGGGTAAGGTGTTCACAATTTGCTGCCAGGACCCCCAGTCCTATGGCAAGAGGACATGAGGTCATGAGGAGCTCATGATGTCACTGGGCACACTCCAGCAGGACCAAGGCAGGTGCAGGGGGCCTGGAAGGGAATCAAGGCATGGTGGACAGAATCCTAAACCACCCCAAGATGTCCTGCCCTAGTCCCAGAACCATGAGTATGAACCGACGTCACACCCATGGTTTTGTTGTCGTCTGTGGCAAAAGATGTAATTAAGGTTGCTAATCAGTTGCTGTGATGGTTAAGTGTCAACCTGATTGGATTGAAGGATGCGAAGTATTGTTTCTGGGTGTGGCCAGAGGAGATTAACATTTGAGTCAGTGGACAGAGGGGAACACCCACTCTCAGGAAGACCCACCCACAGTGTGCATGGGCACCATCAAATGGGCTGCCAGTGCAGCTAGAAAAAGCAGGAAGAAGAAAGTGGAAGAAGCTGGCTTGCTGAGTCTTCCAGCCTTCGTCTATCTCCCGTGCTGGATGCTTCCTGCCCTTGAAGATCAGACTCTAAGTTCTTCGGCTTTTGGACTCTTGAACTTACACAAGCAGTTTGCCAGGGGGTCTCAGGCTGGAGACTGAAGGCTGCACTGTTGGCTTCCCTACTTTTGAGGTTTTGAGACTCCAACTGATCTACCACTGGCTTTCTTGCTCCTCAACTTGCAGACGGCCTATCGTGGGGCTTCACCTTGTGATCATCTGACTCAATTCTCCTTAATAAACTACCTTTCTTATATACATACATCCTATTAGTTCTGTCCCTCTAGAGAACCCTGACTAATACAGTTGCCTTTGAGTTCGTCAAACAGAGATTTTTCCCAGTGAGCCTGGCCCCATCACGCAAGCCCTTTCCAGGCGCAGTTTTTACTGACTTGTGGCCAAAGGGCCATTCAGAGGGCTGTGAAGCATGAGAAGCCCTGTCATCGCTAGCTTCGGAGATGGAGGGGCCTTGAAGTGAGGAATGTAGGAGCTCTCTGAGCTGAGAGTGGCCCCTGGCTGACAGCTGACCAGGAAATGGGCACCTCAGTCCTACAGCCACAGGGAACTGAATTCTACCAACAGCCCAAATGAGCTTGGAAGAGGATCCCTTCCAAAGCCTCCAGATAAGATCCAGCCCTGGGATGCCTTGATTGCAGCCTTGGGAGACCCTGAGCAGTGCAGGCATCCACGCCAGGCTGGAGTTCTTAAGTACAGAACTGTGAGCTAATAAATAGATGTGGTTGTAAGCCGCTCAGTTCGTAGTAATATATACACACTATAAAACAAACACAGGAGGGCTTGGCCATGTGGCGATGGGGAGCAGAAGTTGAAATGATGGAGCCCTGTGAGCAATGGCTCCTGGAGGCCCAGCAGGTTATGGAGCAGAGGAAAGGGGGAGGCAAGGGCACACGCACAGACAGCCGGAGTGCCAGGCTAAGGAGCAGGACGTTACTTATGGTCACTGGGGAGCTACTGAAGATTTTGAGAGAGGGGGGCACCAGAGGTGGGCCCTGGATGGAGTGTCCCCAGCTTGCCTGACCAGCCAATTTTTAGCATTACCACAGGCCCACTTCTCCGAAATATCTCAGGGAAGGGGCTAGGAATCTGAATGTTTAATCAACACCCAGGTGGCTCCAGAGATCAAGCACAATTGGCAAATGATAGTTCTGGCAAACGTGTAAACTGCAGAAAGTTCCGTGGGAAGGTCCACACCCCAAGTCCTCTCAGTGTACACCCTGAGCCCCTAGGGGGTTCCCAGCCCTTGCCAAGGGAGGTGGAGGGCTCCTAGGGGAGAAGCAGTCCCTCCCAGGAGGGACAGAGTCCCCACTGGGGATGGGGAGCAGGGGCCACCTGGGGAGGAGGCTGCGGGCGTCAGATGATTTCCAGCAGGAGCCTGTGTGTGCCCACCAGGACCCCTCATCCAGAGAAGGGCAGACAGAGCTCTGGCATTTCTGGAGGGAGAATGAGGAGCCCCCAAAGGCAAATCCAGGAGCTTGACCCAATTCAGGGCAGAAGCTAAGGGATATCCAAGAGCCCAGGGAGCAGAAGGAGGGGGTGAGCACCAGTGACGGCAGTGGCTGCTCCAAGATGGCCTCCCACTGCCATCACACAGACTGCAGCAGGGAGGCATGGCCAGGGCCGCATACTCCATGGAGCAGGCCGGAGCCCCACCCTCCTAGGTGGGGCTGCAGCCGCCCAAATTGTGGCTGCAGATCTGAGCATCCCTGTGCTCTTGGGACAGGAGCAGGCAAGAGCCCTACCCTCCCAGGCACAGCTGCAGCCACCAAAACTGTAGCTGCAGACTCAGGAATTTCTGCACTCAGGGACCTGGGAAGGCCCCCACTGCCCTTGCAGGCTTGGAAGTGCCTGTTCCCACTGCCTGGCTTTTCCCTGCCGTCAGTGCCTGCTTTGATCTCAAAGCAAAGTCAGGGCCAAGCCCTGGTGCCATGAATGGCAGCAGGAGGCAGGCACATTCCTGGGAGGAAGGGGACGGGTCCCCCGTGAGGCTCCACCTTTAGGGCCAGGGAGGGCCTGAAGGCTGGAGGCTGGGCTTCCAGTCCCACCAACCTGAATGGGAATTTGTGGTGCCTTTTCTGGGCCTGCCCATGGCTACCCATGGACCAATCTGCATGCACTTTCTCCCCTCTGAGGCCCATAAAAACCCTGGGCTCAGCCAGAGCTGAGCAGATTACAAGTTGATCAGCTGCTGAGAGGAGCTACCCTCTCTGCTGAGAGCTTCAGAGACCTGAGGAGATGTCAGAATAACCTGCCTGCAGAGAGGCACTACCCTCTCTGGGGCTTCCTCTCTGCGGAGAGCTGAACACTCGATGGGACAACCTGCCTAGAAAGAGGAGCTACCCACTGCAGGTCTCCTCTGAGCTGTTCTAATACTCAATAAAGCTCCTCTTTGTCTTGCTTACCCTCTACTTGTCTGCATACCTCATTCTTCCTGGATGCAGGACAAAAACTCAGGCAAAGACGCCACTGGTCACAGAGGTTTCCAGCTAAAAAGACGACACCCAAAAGATCCTGTAACACCAGGAGCTAGCATGGGTTCACTGGGAATGAAATGTGTAGGCTCCCTGTGACTTCTGACCTCTGTGAGGGTCATGAACCCAGGAGGTGAGGCATTTGACAGGGAGGCTCGGGACTGCCTCATAGACAAACTCACATCACATCTTCTATGTTAAAACAAATGCTCTGTGTCTCTAACAAAAGTCCTCTCCAGGACCAGGAGAGCTGAGGTCAGGCTGCCCAGCACATCCAGCTGCACCTTGACCAAAACTCCAGGCTGCCTGAGCCTGGCAGTCAGCCGAGAGAGGAGGTGATGAGGGCCAGGTGTGCTGAGTGAGGCTGAGGCAGGGGCGAGCCCCCATCTCTGCAGATGAGGATCTGGAGTCCAGGTGAGGCCTGGTCTGCGCTTGTCCATGAACCCCTTCCTCGGTAGGAGAGCCAAGGACCTGAGTCTGGAGAGGGATGCTCCTGGCCCTCCCTGACCCCAACATACAATCACTCCTCGCCTGTGGCAACCGACCAGCACCGCCCTGATGGGGCAGCTCCAGGACCCTGGCTAAGCTGGGTTTGCTGGTGGGCAAAAGCAATGTGCCCTGGGCAGTCCTTTACCTCCTCCTTCCATGAGGGTCACTTTGACCTCCACCCTGCACTGATGACTGCTGGTGGAAGATCCAGGTTTGAGCTTTGAGGGAGGAGGAGGGAAGGCCCTTTCCAGTGCCTCCCACCACAGAATGAAGAGTCCTTTGATTTCCTGCTTGAGTCCCCCATGGGGAGAAGATGGATGCCCAAGGCTGAATCTGAGCCTTCCAGAGTTCCCTGCATAAAGCCCACCCTCTAAAAGTGCCACGACCCAGTGGGACTAACCTAGCACATGATGCCAGAGTGCCCAGCACCCAGGGCTGAGGCTGGGTTAGGCCACAAAGGCCACCGAAAGCCAGGCCACCATTTGGACCTCATCCTTCTAGGCAAGGGCCCGACACCGAGCACTCAGCTGCCTGTCTCCGCTGGGGCTTCTTGTGGCTGCACCATGGGCATTCAGGGCAGGATCGTTCCCTGTGGTGGGGACCGTCTGTGCCCGGTAGGATGTTCAGCAGCGTCTCTGGCCTCTGCCCACTAGACGCTTTTAGCACACAGCATCCCCTGAGGTATGACAACAAAACGTATCCCCAGACATTGCCAAATGTCTCCCGGGGAGCAGAATTGGCTCCAGTTGAGAACCACTGGTCTAAGATATGAGCGTTGGACTTTTTGGTGTGGAGGACCCAGATTCTATTCATCCTGTTTCGTGGACACCCCCAGGACAGGGACCGGGTGGCCAGGCTTAAGCTGAGCCACAGGCACATCTGAGCTCCTGCTTGCAGGAATCAGAACAGCCCAAATAAACAATTTCGTTTTAAGCAAACCTGCAGCCACGATCCTACCTGTCAGGGTGATCTCCTGAAAGTCATGGGGTGTCTGTTTTAGTCTTGGGCACCAAGAGTCACAGCCCCAGGGCTGACCACTGATGGCATCGACGCCTGGAAACTGGCCTGCTTCCCCCACACCACACAGGACCCATGAACGACCAAGAACCACTGATCTGGTCTGAACCTCTTGCTTTAAGGGTGGGAAGGCCGAGACCCAGGGAGGCTGCCAGGGTCACACAGTCATCAAGCAGGGGTTTGAGCCCCAGCATGCTAGCCCCAGGAGCCAGGAACTCTGGTGCTGACAGTGGGGTTCCCCAGGGCTGTTTCGCCATCTCCTACTGGGTGACTACAGCTGGCAGATCTGGCATCAGACCCACGGCCTGGGGTCCCTGGCTGGACCATACAATCTTCCTTCCCTGCAGGGGCCGCCTAGGGAGGTTGGCACACAGACCTGGACTCCTTAGCCCCTCTCCACAGGGGTCCCCATTTCAGCCTGAGAATGCACACAGGCCATCAGGAGGCAGTGGCCAGGGCGTGAGGGTGGGCTCCAACCCAGGCCCAGAAAATGCCTTCATAGCTGTAAGGCTATACAGCTGCGGAAGACTTCGGGCAACAGCTCAGACTGAGTCCAATTCGAACCCGGGCCTTCCGTGTACACGCCGTGGGATTCGGGCAAATCATTCCTCTCCAGGACACCTCAACCAAAGGTGTGAATGTCCACATCACCGGGAGGTTTAAGGAGGTAACACCATCTACCCAGCAGGGTGCTGGGGGGCCTCCTCGGGAGCTGTCACAGCTGATCCTGGGTCCACAGTGAACAGAAAGTGGGTGTTGGGGGCAGAGTCTGGAGACGGGGACAGTGGACCACCAGGCTCTGTGACCCCGAGCCTCAGCTTCCCCATCTGTGAAAGGACACCCAGCACCTTGATCTGTGGGCGCATGAAGCCCTAAGTGAGGGCCTGGCACACGCTAAGTGTTCAGCTCAACCAGCGAGTCACACTAACTGCGGAGACCAGGGCATTGCCAGGATTACTGGAGTTTGAAGGCCACATTTGCAGTGATCCCACCTGGGCTGGGGCTGATTGCTCTTCAGAGTTGCTGTGCCCAAAGGAGGGAGCAGATGGCACGTCAGGGAGGCAGCCCAGCCGTCACCCCCTTCAGGTGGGCAGCCAGGGTCCCTAGGGAGGCGCTAGGTGGAGGGCATAGGTGAGACACCCCATGGAAGCAGGCAGTAAGAAAGTCCAGGCCAAGGCCAGGGACAGGGCCTAACCTCTGAGACAGTGGGTCCTGCCCATGTACCCTATTTCCTGGCTGCCTGAGACCACAAAGAGCTGCAGCTCCCGAACACTCCCCACTTCTAATGCACTCTTAGCTGTACCCTGAGTGCAGCATCCTGGGCCACCTCTCAGCGCTTGAGGTGCCTTTGCCCTCCCTGCCTGGTGGGAAATGGGTACATACAAGTCCCTGGCAAAAGGAGGGGCTGGGGCTTTTATAACACTCTTTTCAGGAACTGGAGCCAACATACAAAGATTTTGAGGGGTGGGAATCATGACACATATCAACATGCCTCAAATATACACATCAAGCTAATTTCCTCACCAGTTAAAGTGGCTGAAATGTGGTCTTCTCATTGAGCCAGGCCAGGAGGAAACTGATCCGGATCCCAGGAGATTAAAACACGTGCAAGTCAAACGGAAAGCTCAGAGAGTGCTGGCTGGGTCCTGAATTGAATTATGTTGCCTACAGCTGGTGCTGTAGTCGTAGGGCACTGCGGACCACTGAGTTATTAAAACAGATATATTACTGCACAGGATCCATCCAGCAGGGCTGTTTCTGGTGGTGGAAACTTTTTTTTTCTTTAGACTGAGTCTCACTCTGTCGCGTAGGCTGGAGTGCAGTGGCGTGATCTCAGCTCACGGCAACCTCCGCCTCCCAGGTTCAACCAATTCTCATGCCTCAGCCTCTCCACTAGCTGGGATTACAGGTGCACGCCATCACACCTGGCTAATTTTTGTATTTTTAGTAGAGACGGGGTTTCACCATGTTAGCCAGGCTGGTCTCAAACTCCTAACCTCAGGTGATCCACCCACCTTGGCCTCCCAAAGTGCTGGGATTACAGGCGTGAGCCACCACGCCCGGTCTTTCTCTGGGCTTTTAAAAGTTCCACCAGGGCCAGGAGCAGTGGCTCACACTCCTCCTAAAGTACTCCCAGTACTTTAGGAGGCTGAGGCATGTGGTTCACCTGAGGTCAGGAGTTTGAGACCAGTCTGGCCAACATGGTGAAACCCCATCTCTACTAAAAATACAAAAATTAGCTGGGCGTGGTGGCTCGCACCTGTAATCCCAGCTAGTGGGGAGGCTGAGGCAGGAGAATGGCTTGAATCCGGGAGGCAGAGGTCGCCATGAGCCGAGATCATGCCACTGCACTCCAGCATGGGTGACAGAGTGAGACTCTGTCTCTAAAAAATAAGATAAAATAAAAGCCCAGAGAAAGAGCTGCAGACTTTATGAGACGCTAAGATTTCCTTCACTCCCACCAGGACCTGTGGCACAGGCCAGGCAGGCATGGAAAAGGCCAGATGAGGGACAGGCAGAGGGGCCCACAGTTATATCCCGGCGGGGAGAGCATGGGCAAGCTTCTAGCCTGTCGAGGCAGAATCTTCGCCCATTTGGGCCAGGGGCTCATTCACCAGGACTGGTGGCAGAAGGAGACGGAGGGGTGGCATCAACTATGTTCGATGGGCAGGCCATGCTGGCCGGGTCCCAGGGCCTTGGGGAGAAATCAGCCTTCAAAGGAAAATGCCACAGAAACTAACAAGAGCCCAGTGCCATGAGAGCCCCAGGGAGACAGGCAGCGGGCAGGGGTGTTCGGGGAAGGCTTCCTGGAGGAAGACAGCCATTGCTGAGCCCTGAAGGGTGAGCCAGGCAGACAGTCCAAGAAACCGTCTTCCTGGCTGAGGGACGGCACGGAGATGAGCAGGAGCAAAGCCTGCTGAGCCACGCATGGGGCCACACAGCCATCGGCTTCAAACCGGCATTGGGTGAGTGGCCTTCTCCCAGAAGTTTCAGTCTTTTGCTCTAAAATGGGGTGATAGGGCCTGCCCTGTCCCCATAGGGCCCCTGCAGGCACTTCCCTGGGGCTCCCAGGAGCATAGCCCCTGCACCCACCCTCATCAAACCGACCTGCACTGAGCTCCAGCCCTGGTTTCCACTACCCTTTGTCCCTATTGATCCCTCATGCTCTCTTTGGGGCACATTGCCTAGATCACCCTCCTCCAAACTTCTCACCAGGAAACTCCTCTTCAGCCTACTGAGGTGGCTGGCACCTCCTCCAGGGAGCCCTCCTGGTTGTTCAAGGTAACCTTAGATGCTCCCTTCCCTTGCCTCCACACACCTTCTGCCTTCCCATCTCAGCCTGGACCCACTGCACAGTGTCTGTCTCTGTCTCTTCAGGAGCAGCTTCTGGGAAGGTCTTGGGCCAGTGCTGTTGCACTCTACCTTCCCCTAACACCTCGAGTGCAGAGCGGTGCCTGAGGTACTTGTGGGAGACACACAAACATGGCCGCGGCTACCATGGGCTACCCAGTGATGACCATTGAGAGGGCTTCTTTGGCAAATGTTGTTGTTCTTGTTAGCGATGATGATGGTGGTGGTGGTAGTGAAGGTGATGGTGGAGGTGATGGTAATGATGGTGGTGATGGTAATGATGGTGGTGATGGTGACGATGGTGGTGGTGGTGGAGGTGATGGTGGAGGTGATGGTAATGATGGTGGTGATGGAATGATGGTGGTGGTGGAGGTGATGGAATGATGGTGGTGATGGTGATGCTGGTGGTGATGGTGGAGGTGATGGTAATGATGGCGGTGATGGTGATGATGGTGATGATGGTGGTGATGGTGGAGGTGATGATAATGATGGTGGTGATGGTGATGATGGTGGTGGTGGTGGTGGAGGTGATGGAATGATGGTGGTGGTGGTGGAGGTGATGGTGGAGGTGATTTTAATGATGGTGATAATGGTGATGGTGGTGGAGATGGTGGTTATGATTGTGATGGAGGTGGTGATGAAAGTAAGGGGGTTAATGGTGGAAGAAGTGGTAGTGGTAGGGGTGGGGGTGATGGCAATGATGGTGGTGATGGTGGTGATGGTGATGGTGATGATGATGATGATGGTGGTGGTAATGGTGGTGATGGTGGAGGTGATAGTAATGATGGTGGAGGTGATGGCGATGATTGTGGTGATGGTGGTGGTGGTGGAGGTGATAGTAATGATGGTGGAGGTGATGGAGGTTATGGTTATGGGGTGGTGGTGGAGATGATGGGGGAGGTGATGACAATGATGGTGATGGTGCTGGAGGTGATGGTGATGGTGGTGGTGGTGGTGGAAGTGGTGGTTATGATAGTGATGGAGGTGGTGATGGAGGTGGGGGGTTGACGGTGGAGGAAGTGGTAGTGGTGGTGGTGGAGGTGATAATAATGATGGTGATGGTGATGGAGGTTATGGTTATGGTGATGGTGGTGATGGTGGTGGTGGTGATGGTGGAAGTGATAATAATGATGGTGATGGTGCTGGAGGTGATAGTGATGGTGATGGTGGTGATGATGGAGGTAGGGGGTTTGACGGTGGAGGAAGTGGTAGTGGTGGTGTTTTTGTTGGTAGTAGTGCTGTTTTAGAGAATTAAAAAGAGGAAGAAGATCTCTTCTCCACCCACTGGGTCCAGTTTGGAACCTGGACATGCCCTCATCATGTTACAGTCTCTGGACACCAGCTGCCCTCTTGGCCATCAATTTTCCATGGAAGTGATGGGGTGATGGGGTGGGGTGCTAGGTGACCTCAGGGCACTCTTCTCAGTCCTGGGGTCCCAGGACCTCTTTTCTGTTGGGGGAGGGGAGGGGTCATTCTCTCCTTAGTGGGTAGAGTCGGGACCAGAGTTGCAGATCAACAGCTGGGCAGTAAAAGTGGGGGAGGCCAGCCCGTGCTCTCACAGCTGCCTGAGCCTGCAAGCCAGCAAGGGGCCTGTGCCGGGCTGGAGTCCACATGTCCCTTGCAAAGGATGGCCTGGCTCCCTGTGAGAGGAGGACGCAGGGGCAGCTCTGAGGTGAGGCTGGTGATATCCAGGGCCTCGGGGCACAAAAGCTCCTTCCTGGGACCCCGCCGACCCCATTTCCACCTCCTGACCAGACCCCGAAGATCGAGCCTGAACGCGGGGCCTCCCGGTCCCAGGATCCACTGCACGATGGGGCAGTGACACCAGCGCCTCCTGAGAAACTGGAGGTCTTTCCCCCAGGCCCCCAGGATTCACGTAGCTCTTCATCCCCAGCCAGTCCCTGGCCTCTGGCCCTTCACCCTGTCCTTAACCTTGGGGTCGGCTCTGGTTCCTCCGCCTCATCCCTGACAATGCCCAGCATGCCCACCAGAGGGCGCTCAAGGGCAGGGAAAGGACCTGGTTTGTGCCAGGCCTTGGCATGGGAGCCGAGACTCCTGGGACAAGGGGAGTCTGTCCCGCCCGTGGGAGACACAGGGCAGGAGAGTGCGGGATCTGGATTCCCAAAGACCCAGCTTCCAAGCCACTAGGCCGTATGACTCTGGCAAGTCCCTCGCCCCTCCGTAGTACTGCCTGCCTGGGGGGCTTCAAGGAGGGCCCGGTAGGACCGGGGGACACTTGGCTGCACCTCTATCCCATGTGGGGAGACTGAGGCCAGGTGGGGACATGGTGTCTGGGGCCTTTGCTGTCCCCATGAGAAGTAGGGTGAGTTTTTGAATCTGCAGTCCCCAGGGGGCTGAGGGGTCTGCAGGTCCCAGAAGCACCCCCTTGGCCGCCCAGGACACACAGCACACCGCAGCAGCCAGGCCCAGCCCCGAGGTGGCGAGAGAGGAGGTGTGGACAGGCCCTGTTCTGTTCCTCCATCCCCCTGGGTGCACGCCGGGACTGTTTCTCCTCAGCTTCTGTGAGCGGTGAGGAACCTCAGGGTGCAAGTGTCTGGTGTGTCCCTGTGGCCGCTTCTCCCGACTTACACGCAGGAGGGGACCTGTTCCTGTCCATGCCATGGTGGCTCTGGCTCTCTCTTCGGTGTCCACAGTGGCTGCACCATTTCACCTTCCCACCAGCAAGCGTGTGCACAGGCTCCAATCTCTCCACGCCCTCCCCTGCTCTCTCCGGCTGTGTGATTCTTCACTGTGGTTGCTGTCACAGCATCAGTGACAGTGAGTCGGTGCCGCACTGTGCTCCGTTCCTTCTCACGGCTGATTCCCACCCTGTTCTCTTCCCCCCCGGGAGCTCACGCTCAGGAGGGAGAGGGCTCCGGAAGCCACAGCCCCGCACCATGAGTGGCCAGGGCGAGGGAGCGGTGGGCCAGCAGGCAGGGGCGAGCTCGATGCCTCAAGGAAGGCTCCAGAGTTCACTCATTCCATGAGTGTCAACCAACAAGCAGCTCCCTGCGGGCCTTATGTGCCAGGCCTGGGCTGAGAGGCTCTGAAGTTACCAAAATCAGCACCAAAGTGTAGCAGTCCCCCTCAGTCCATGAATTGCTAAATCAAGCTCAGAGTCTAGCGGGAGAGACAGACCGGTCGGCCAGACAGACAGACAGACAGACCACCCTCCTCCAAGCTGGAAGGCACCTGATGCAACAGGGAGCGCCGAAGGCAGATCAGGGAGGGCTTCCCTGAGGCGATGCCACTTGGCTGAGTCTGAGAGGCGAGGAGGGGATAGCTGGGCCCTGGGAACCACCTGCGGGCCCAGGGTAAGTTCCACGTAACGCCCCGGGGGTGACACTTGGGTCAAAAGGAGGTCAGCAGCAGGCAGGGCTGGGCCTGAGGCCTGGGACAGAGCTGAGTCCTGGCCTATGGCAGTGGGGCCAGGGCAGGCACCAGGACCTCCAGGGTGCCCCGGTCCAGGGAAGGGACCTCCAGGGTGCCCCGGTCCAAGGAGGGGACCTCCAGGGTGCTCCGGTCCAGGGAGGGGACCTCCAGGCCATCCCAGTCCAGGGAGGAGAGCTCCAGGCCGCCCCCATCCAGGGAGGGCTGCTTGACTCTGGTCTCTGCTCCCTGCGCTGACTCAGAGGGCCGGTTCCGCTTTGTGGAGCTCAGTGGGGCCGCCCTCCTGCTCCACGGCCTGGTGGCCGGCTGTGGTCTATGCTGAGGAAGGGGAAGCCCAGGTCCATGCTGCCTGCCCAGGACCTCTCTGCAGAGCCTGCCTCTTCTCTTGGCCCAGGTCTGGCATCGGGGTGGGCTCCTGCAGCGGCCCCGCCCGTCCGGAGTATTTCCAGGGCCAGGGAGACGGGCAAGCACACAGGCACGTTGCGATGGGTGATGGAGGGGCGTGCAGGCGATGGAGGGGTGTGCAGGCGATGGAGGGGCCCACGCCACGTGGGTAGGCAGGGCCTGGGAGAAAGGGTGCCCAGGGACCACAGGAGCTGAGCCCTGAGGGTTCAGGGGAGAGTGCCAGGAGGGGGAGTAGGCAGGAGAGGAGGAACAAGAATGACTGAGGGGACCTCAGGACCCAGACAGGAAATCATAGCACAGGTCAGGGCCCATGTCTGGGGAGAGGGGACAGGAAGGGCTCTAAGGCAAGGATGGAGAGGCAGGCAGGCCACGGGAGGCCTCTGGACTGAGACCCAGATGCAGCAGGCTTGAGGGACCTCAAGAGAGGGCACTGCAGGCAGGGGCCCAGCCGTGCAAAGGCCCTGTGGCAGGAGGGCTGAGGTGCCACCCACACAGCCCGAGGGCAAGGGCTGCAGGAGAAGGGAGAGATGAGGTAGAGATTTTCCCAGGGCCATCCCTCCCAACTCGACCCCCTCCCCAACGGGGTCCCAGGGCCCTGCCATTTTAAGCCTGAAAGAAACCAGTTTGACTCAAACTGGAGGCATCTCCTCTGGGAATCTACAGCCCTAAATCACAGCGCCTGGGCAGCGAGTTCACTTCAGGACACACTGGTCTTCTGAGTTCTGTCTTCCTGTGTAGCTGGGGGGGATGGACAGCCCTGGCCCCGGGCCACTGTTCCCCGCCAGCGCATTGTCTGCCAGGCCAGCGGCGGAAGCAGCAGCTGCTGGGGCAGGCGGAGCCTGCTGGAGGAAGCCAGGGCCCCCCTAACCCCCGCCCTCCGCTGTCTCCACTTGCCCCACCCCCTCCACCACTGGAACCTGGGGGACAGAGGCTGGGCATGGAGACCCGCCCTGCCTCCAGCACGGGCCCCCCCAACGCTGGCCAGAACCCTCCCTGTCCTTCCACCCACCCAACTCAGCCCAGTCCCCTGTAGACTCTCAGGACCATCTGGTTTTCCAGCTTGTGGGTGACTGACCCACAGTTGCCCTGACTAGATGTCGGCCACCTCTCCGCCCAGAGGGAGGGGAAGAGAGAAAAGCCAAAGCCTAGTTTACAAGGGAAGTGACTCCAGGCCTGGTTGCCTCCTCCTCCCCAAAGAAAAAGAGTTCAGCTACTGGCCCTGTGGGAATCTGGACCCCAGACCTCAGGGGCAGGGACTGGGGGGATGCAGAGGTCAAACCTGGGAACCTGTAATGGTTCCCTGGTCCCAACGGCACCTGCCCTGAGCTGAGCCCTGAGCCTGACTCTACAGTCCCAACCCACCACCCTGTGCCTCCTACCCCTCCCCAACCCCAACTCTCGAAGCCAGGGTCACCGGACACTTCCCTCATCCTTTGAGGAAAGATGGTGAAGCCTCAGAGGCGGGAAATGGATTCAATTGTCCACAGCTGAATGTGTATGATCCTGTTCAGGTGTGAAAACTGAGTCAGTTCAGTGCCCGGTGGCACCTGACATTCACAGCATCCCTGTTGGAGTGCCCGCCTTGGACGCCATCTGTCCAGGCAGGTGTCCTCTGCGGGCTCTTGTTCCAGGCTGGCACGGCTGCCAAGTCCCCTTAATGGGCCAAGTCCCTCTGGATCACCCAACGCCTGGGTCACTGCTCCTGCGGCCACTCCTGGACCTGCCGCTCCTCATCCCCACCCCTCACCAGGGCCCAGCTGTGCACCTGTGCACAGCTCCCGCTGGCTGAGTTCCCCCAGGCAGTGGGCACAGGCCAGCCCTGCCCGGCCCGCAGAGCCCACCCTCTCCTGTCCTGAGGATCTGAGAGCCCTCTTAGCCTGGTCCCTTCCCCAGGGCTGGCAGCAGTGCCCCCCCAGGGGCCCTGGCTCTTTGTCTCCTCAGGGACATTGTTTGGAACGTAGACTCCTGTTGGCCAGGGATCTGGTTTCTAGACTCTTCTTTTGCTGTTTTCCTTCAAACGTTAGCCACGCTTTTCAAAGTATACTTTAACCTCAGACGCTGGCCGGCATCTCCATCGTCCCTTGCTGGGTACTGCCCTTGACCGTGCAGCTGCCTGGGGCTGGAGGAGGTGCAACCTTGGGGAGAAAGTCACATCCCTTCACCAGGCAAGGACAGCCAAGCCCACTGCCAGAGGAGTCATTGGGTTCAAGTAAATAATCAAATTGGAACTGTGTGTTCAATGTAAGCATCAGAGAGCCTGCTGTGCACCCTCCCCCCCATAACCTTCTGTGGCTCCCTGTCGCCTCCCTGAAGGCCTTGCTCTTCAGCACAGCACACTTGAGCCTCTGGGTCTTATTTCTCCCCTGTTCCCCCTCCTCAGGCACATGGGAGCCATGCCTCGTGCCTTTGTCATGTGGGCCCCTCTGCCCGATCGGCACAGGCTCACAGGGCCAGGTTCAAAGGACCTTCTAGACTCTTTGGCTTCAGAGGGGCTGTCCACACACCTGGCCAAACTGCTCCTCACAGCCACCTTTCCATCTGCTCTCCCCTGCCTTCCTTGCCCTGGCTAACCCTACTCAGCCCTCAGGTCTCACCACCTCCTCCGGGCAGCCTCTCCTGACAGCCTCCACCAGCCCCCAGACTCCCACAGCCCCCAGACTCCCGCAGAGGCCTGAGGTGCCATCTAGGGGCATTGTCCAATGACAGGGGACAGCTCAGAGGTGGGGGGATGTTCTGTATGCACTCCCTGCCTGCTGAGCTCAGGAGCCTGGGGGCCAGGCAGTTGGAGAAGCAGACAAGCAAATCAACAGCAGAAATAGAAATGACACTGACAGCTACCACCTGGCACCTGCCTTAGAAAATGCATTGAGCACAAAGGAAACAGACGTGCAGGCGGCCAGGCGACATTGACACTGCGTGGAGTAGGGGACAGGGATTCAAAGCCCAGGCTCCGGTGGGCGCGTCCCAGGCACCTGCTGCCGCGCTTCCCAGAGAGTGAAATTCGCCACTGTGGGGTGGGGGCATCTTAAGGGTTGTAGAAACCAAGGAGCTCAAAGGAAGGAGCCAGGGGTCGCCTTGTCCAGAAGGGATTTGGGGGTGCAGCAAAGATGCCGCAGAACATCAGAACATGTATTTAAAAGTAGAGGTGAAAGACCAAGGGAACGGGGAGAGAAGGTAGGTCTAAGTGGAGGCAGAGATAGGCCCACGGCTTTGGCTCCAAGCTTCCCAGTGGCAGAGGCAAAAAGGGAAAGGGGCAGTTTACACAAATTACTATTCTATGGGTACAATTAAAAGGCACCACATCCTACTCCTGATGCTTCCCTTCCATGGCGGACTGGGGATGGCACAGGAAAAGAGCGTGTGGAATTCCTTCCCATCCTGTACATGTTCGGAGCATTGCACTCTCCCGGGCTCTGGGGCTTCCAGGTGAAACAGCCCCTACCTGCCAGGCCCTCAGCCCGTACCTGTGACAGCCCCCTGCTTCGTCCTCACAACAGCCTGGGCACTTGAGGTTGGGGTCTCAGCTGTCACTCTTCCAACCCTATAAATGAGGAGGTGGAAGGAAAGAAGCCAGCACTTCATGAGGACATGGTGGTCTGTCTGCCCATGATGCAGACGCCGGCTTTGTGCAGGGACCCCATTCCTCAGCCCCACATGTGTGCACCTCTTTGGCCGGACCTGTCCTCCCATCCAGGTGCCTCCCAGATGAGGGGCCTGTGCTGAGGGACTTGGTTTTGTGTCTAGTGGCTGCTCCTAGCACCCTCACCTCTGTCCTCACCCAACCACTGGCCAGCTGGGCTCCTGCCTCCCTGCAGGTAGGGCAGGTGCGGAGGGAGCACAGCCCTGAGCATCCAGTCTTTTCAGTCTGGCCAACCCCCAACCCAGTGGCTCTGAAGGTGCCTGGAGAACCAACAGCTCAGGACCCCGCTGGGCAGACCAGGCCTCTCACGTGGCTGTAAGAGAAAGTTCCTCCACCCCACCCTACCCCTCGATGTCTCCTGCCCCTTCCACCCTGGGCAGATGATGGCTCCATACAGGCCAAGCCTGGATGCAGGTGGATCCAGGCCAAGGACACGGGGGTCCCCTGGAGTGAGCACAGATGGTGGCATTCGTTTGACCTGCTGTGGCCTCTAGAGCCCCGAGCCACGTGGGCCAGAAGGTGCAAGAGTGTTCAGGGGAGACCAGGGAAGCCTTGGGGCTTCTCCAGTTACCCCAAAACATAGACACTGACAACAGCCACTTTCTTATGCTCCATGGGTCATAGTGGGAGTGCCTGGTTTCTGTTCCCCCCAGTGGGGGCCTCAGCTAGAGGGAGCTCCAGGGCTGGGCCAGAATCAAGGTTTCCTCACTTGGTATCATCTGAGCTCCACCAGCCAGCACCCCTGGAGAGCCAGGCAGATGCAGGGGCTTTCCCAGCCCAGCCCAGTGCTCACATGGCACCTCCACCACCCACTCACGGGGTGGTCACAGGCCCAGTTGACCCAGGGGAGAAGCATTAGCACCACCCTGGATGGGGCATGGTGTGGCTCTAGGAGACGCCTTGGATGGGAGATCCAGCCCTTCCACAGCATCCTCCACTCCTGTATCAGGAAATCCGCCCTTTGCCCTGGCAGCTTTGCCTGTCCCTCACTGGAACATGCTCCAGCCACCAGGCTTGCATCTTCAGAGCCCCGCTGCCGCTTTTCTCTATGCCTTCCCAGCCCCTCACTGCACCTGCTCCAGCTGGCCCAGAGGCCGACCCTGTGGGCACGTTTGCCAGCTCCCTGTGCTGGGACCTGTCCGTGGCCTCTGCCGGCGCGAGGCACTGGCAGGAGGCCTAAGGGTCCCTGCCACCAGTGGCTGCAGCTACCTCCCCGTTTGGCCACCAGCCCCAGAGAACGGCTCCTTCCCTCCTAGCTTTTCCTGAGCTGGGCCCACGCCTTTGTCCTGTTTTTAAACGCTCCTCAAGTGGCCCAAATTAAGGGGCCACACTATCTGCTTCCCCCAGGGAGCCAAGAGGGCTGCCAGCTGTCACTCGTGGGACTCCGGCCAAGGGGCCCCTTAAGACTTCCATGGAGAAGAGCTGCTTTGAGACGGTCACTGCCCTCGTGCTGGCTCAGTGGGGACAGGGCTGCAGGGTCTAACTCCAGAAAGACTCGGCCCCAGCAGGGGAGCTGGCGCCAACCAGACAGCTGAATCAACAGCCACCGCCATGGGTCCAGGCCCCCTGCAGCCTGGCGGCCCCACACGCAGGACTGGGGGCTGCTCAAGGCCAAGGGTGGGGCTGTACTCCTCAGTGGTGACGGCAGCAGCCCCCTACCCCCTTGCCCACCCTGGCTCCTGTGTCCCACAGTGAGGTCTCTCCGGTGCACAGCCTGGGTGAGGGGTTGGTGGGTCCAGATGGCACATTCAGACCCTACATCCCCAGCCTAGCAGAGCAGGGGGCGTCAAAGGGGAAGGAGCAGTGGGGGGAGGAACGAGGGGTGGGGGTGTGCTTTGGAAGCCTTGAGAGTTGCCCTGAAGGCTTGAACCGCCCCCAGGGCCAGCAGGAGAGCCATTACCATAACCAGGCAGGGTCCCCTTTTAAGAAAACTGCCCTGGTGGGCTGGTTGCGGTGGCTCACGCCTGTAATCCCAGCACTTTGGGAGGCTGAAGCAGGCAGATCACGAGGTCAGGAGTTCGAGACCAGCCTGACCAGCATGGTGAAACCCCATCTCTACTAAAAGTACAAATAATTAGCCGGGCATGGTGGCGCGTGCTTGTAGTCTCAGCTACTCAGGAGGCTGAGGCAGGAGAATTGCTTGAACCCGGCAGGCGGAGGTTGCAGTGAGCCGAGATCGTGCCACCGCACTTCGGCCTGGGCGAGTGAGACTCCGTCTCAAAAAAAAAAAAAAGAAAAGAAAAAGAAAACTGCCCTGGTGGCCACTGATGGAGAAATGGAGGGACAGAGGCCAGGGAGGGAGACTCTCGCTGGGGCATGGAGGGCTTCCGGGCAACAGTGCAGCCCAAACAGAGTGGGCCTTGGCCAGAGGTGGACAAAGCCAGATGCTGAGGGTGGGGTGGGCACAGCGAGAGGCAGCCACACTAGCTGCTCCCGCTGGGCCAGGCCTGGTGGATGGTGTCATCCTCCCTCACATTCCTGGATCTCAGGGACACCACTTCCCCAGGCTCAAGCAGCTGAGTCATGAGTGTCCTCCCTTCAGGGGACCCAGCCATTGGCTTGGGTAGATTAGTTCTGATTTAACCCCAAAATAATGACTTAGTGGCTTTCCTAACTGCAGCCAGCTTTGCAGGGCCTCCGAGCTTTCAGGCCACCTCCCCTCCCAGATGCCCTTGAGCTGGACCTGAGAAGACCCGCCCAGAGGAAGGCGAGGAAGACTCCACAGGGGTGACAGGGGCCCAGACACCCCCTATCTGCATCAGGACCCATGTGAGCAGAGCTCACCCTGTTGTCGCCCTGGGCACTGTGGCCATCTGCCAAGGGACAGATAGATGGACCTTCCTAGTCCTCAGGCCTCAGGCCATCCACAGGGTAAACCCACATCCACCCACATCTCCTGGAGCCTCCCCCGCCTGGGAATGGGAGCGAATGACCCCATCACACTGGTCTGATGGATGAGTGAGCAGCACCCAGGAGGCCGGACGCGGGAGGCTTGGCCTGGCCGGCAGGGAGTGGGCGCCCTGGGCTGGGACCGGGTTTCCTGCTCCCCTCTGTCTAGGCTTTTCCTGGGGGACCTGGCCTTGGAGGCCAGCGCCTGAGGGCCCCGCAAGACAGTCAGTCTTGCTGTCACTCCCAATGCCATCTTGTGTCCCCTCTCCCCAGACCCCTCTGCTCTGGGAGACTGGTGAGTGAACACCTCGTGAGGTGCATCCTGTGTGGGCAGGATTCCGACCAAGTGCTCCGACGTGGAAGGAAAGAATGCACACTCAGGCAATCTGGGTGTGACCACCTTGCTGTCCTGCGATCTAGGGGATGAGAGGAGGTGACAAGGCCCAAGGGGGTCATGCCGCAGACATGCCCAGGCCCGGCCTGTGTGGTCAGCTGAGGGTCCTTTAGCTGCCCGTCTACTGTCCTCAGGTAGGATGCCTCGTGCTGGGAGCCAGGCCGCCCAGCACCCTTCCAGCCTCTGCTGACTCCAGCTGTGTGTCGTCGGGCATCTTACTCAACCTCTCTGTTTCTTGTCCTTCTGCGCCTAGGGTCATGATAGACCTTGCTTCCCAGCAAGCATGGAAGAGGCTGCGAAGAACAGCTGGTGCCCAGGAAACTGGGAAGCCCTGGCTAGGTCTCAGTGCTGTGGCTGCTGGTGTTCACACCATGGGCCAATGCTAGGGATTCACAGAGGCAGGGGATGGGGTCCCTGCTCCAGGGTTCTCCCAGTCTGAGGGGCAGACATGTGACTGATGTCAACTCTCCTGGGTGGCCTGGGGTGAGAGAGAGTGACTCATCCCTGGGTGCCTTGGGGACGGTGGCCCTAGGAGGGGACTCCCCTGGCCCTGAAGAGTTGTGTGGCATCCCAGGTAGAGGGGCTGGAGGGGTAAAGCCCACCGCCATGCTCCGAGCACGCTGAGGGCTTGGTGTGAGAGTGTGGTGGATGTGGGTTGGGTGGGCTGCGAGGCCTCCAGCCTCCCACCTGCCTGCCTTTATTGATTTCCAGGGATTCAGGACCTCAGACGCTGGGCCGGTGACAGGCCCCTGGGATTCTGGTCGCAGTCCAAAGGGTCTCTGGCCACCCTGGGCCTGATCAAGTCCTCCCTCTATCTGGATCTATTTCTCCGTCACCAAAAGTTGGCACTTGGGTTTAGTGGCTGACAGCCCTTCTGATTCTAACAGGAAGTGGCTCTGCAGGGTTCCGTCACGCACGCGCTGTGCTGGGGGTCCAGGAGAGGGCTCTAGGAGTCGGACGGTTGGTGGGGGAGGATGGAGTCTGGCTGCAGAGCCCAAGCATGTTTTGTGGGGGCCCGGCGGGTGAAGGGTGTCACAGCGATGGAGGTGCAAGGTGATAGATGAGAGAGGCAGTCCCAGCACAGGAACCCAAGCAGGCAGCACCTGCATGGCATGGCTCTCCCGCCCTCCATTCGCGGGGCGGCCTCCCATCCTCCATTCTGATGGTGACATTGAAAATGAAACGCCAGGACCCCAGCACCTGCATGGTGTGGCCCTTCCGTCCTCCATTCTTTTTTCTTTTACTTTTTTCTTTTTTTTTTTTTTTTTGAGACAGAGTCTTGCCCTGTCGCACAGGTTGGAGTGCAGTGGTGTGATCTCAGCTCACTGCAACCTCCGCCTCCCGAGTTCAAGCGATTCTTCTGCCTCATTCTCCCAAGTAGCTGAGACTACAGGCACCTGCCACCATGCTTGGCTAATTTTTGTGTTTTTAGGAGAGACGGGGTTTCACCATGTTGGCCAGGCTGGCCTCGAACTCCTGACCTCAGGTGATCCGCCTGCCTCGGCCTCCCAAAATGCTGGGATTACAGGCATGAGCCACCACGCCCGGCCTCCATCCACCCTTCTGATGGTGACATTGGAAATGCCAGGACCCCAGGGGTTCAGGTGGCCAACCCAGCTTCCAATCCACCCGTGTAGCCCCATGTGCCATGCCTTGGGTAGGTTGCCAGGGTTCTGAGCCTCTCCCTCCTTGTGTGAAAGCCCCTCTCCTGGATCTGGGCAGAGGGTGTGCACAGCCTCTGGAAGTGGCCTGGCGGGCGTGGGGGCTCAGTGAGCACAGGGCCTGGGCTTGCAGGTGAAGCCCGAGGAGGTGGTATGGCTCCACCTGGCTGCCCTGGGGACCCAAGGTGCGGGCATGGGCACTGGCCCTCTGCCCCAGGAGAACGGCTGCCGGCCTTGACATCTTGGCGCCTCCCCCGCTCCCTCAGCCCTGTCCCCTGCACCTAGGGCCCTGTAGGGGCATCCCAAACTGGCACCTTATTCCCGTGAACTGGGCCCTTCTCTTCAGTTTCCCTCAGTTAGGAAGCCAGGTCCCGTCTTTCTTTCTTTCTTTTTTTTTTTTTTTTTTTGAGACAGTCCAGCTCTGTCGGCCAGGCTGGAGTGCAGTGGCATGATCTCAGCTCACTGCAACCTCCATCTCCTGGGCTCAAGCAATTCTCCTGCCTCAGCCTCCTGAGTAGCTGGGATTACAGGTGTGTGCCACCATGCCCAGCTAAGTTTTGTATTTTTAGTAGAGACAAGGTTTCACCACGTTGGCCAGGCTGGTCAAGAACTCCTGACCTCAGGTAATCCGCCCGCCTCGGCCTCCCAAAGTGCTGGGATTACAGGCGTGAGCCACTGTGCCCGGCCACCAGGTCCCATTTTAGTGACCACCCCCACACCCCGAAGAATAATAAGCCTCGACCTTCCCCACCCACTCCTCCCCTCCTAGAGCCTGAAGCCCCAGGTGGCTGTTGACTGGAGGGGAGGGGAGCACTTTCCACTGGAATATCTGACTTCAAACCTCTCCGGCCCCAGCTTCCTGCAGGCTCTGCCCCCTGAAACTGACAACCCAGCTGTGAAGCGGCAAACATGATCATCCCTCTCTTGTGTGTGGGAGGGGTGAAGATTCAATGAAATATCACAAGTGACACTCTCACCCAGGGCTCCCAGAGAGGGTGGCCCCAGCCCTACGACACCCATGGCCCCAGGGGAGCTCATGACTTTGAGGGTGTCGGTGACCCTGGGGGTGCCCTGGCTCTGGACTGGGCCACCATGTGTCACTGCAGCCACCAGGGGGCAGCAGAGGGGAGCTGTTCTGCTTTCAGGAGCTGGTGCCTGTGCTTCCTGCAAGGAGGGGGGACAAGAAGGCCCCCGGGGTCACTCGAGGCCAGCAGAGGAGTCCAGACTCCGATCCCAGCTCCACTGCTGCCTCCCGCACGCCTGGAGCCAGCCCGGCCCTCATCTGTGCACGCAGGGTGTGCTGCACCCCACCAGGCATCTCCAACTCGGAGATTCAGCTGCAGCCCTGGCCGTCAGACCCACGGGCCCTGAAGTCCAGGGGGCCCTCTCGCCCGCCTCCTGTCTGCAGATGGGGAAATTGAGGCCCAGCCAGGGCAGGGGATTTGCCGACGTTTCGCAACAAATTCGAGTCAGAAATAGGCCCAGCTGGGCCTGCCGGCGCGGAGGCCCGCTCGGGACACTGCTGGCCAACGCAGGGCCCAGCACGGTCCCAGTCACACCCACAGCAGGGTCCTGCCAGCCTTCTCCGCTCTCCCCTGGGGGAAGTGACCCTCCTCCACCTCCCAGAGCCCACGTGAGTCCGCAGGAGGCCCCCCTGGGCCAGGTGCCAGGTGCCGAGTGGCTGCCTCCAACTCGGGGGCTGCTATGCAAGGATGTTTCCAGTTCTCCGGGTCCTTCCTTCCACCTGGGAGGTCCGGGGCTGCCGGGCCATGCTGGTCCCTGTGGCCCTAGGGCCCGCCCAGCGCAGGGCCTGGCAGGGAGAGGGGGAAACGTGGGTGAGGGAAGTGAGTCACCCCTTGGGACACTTCCCTGCTCAGTTCCTGCCTCTCAGCAGCTTCTGCGAGGCAGGTCACACCTGCAGGGGAGCCTGGCAGCGCTAGGAGAGGCAAGGGGTGGGGGTGCCGCCTTTTCATGGGGCCAAGAGGGGCCCTGAGAGGGACACCGGGTGGACAGCCCCAGGGGCCTCCTTGCTCGGCCAGCCGGCATCTCCCCCTGCTCCCAGCATAGGAGGGCCGGTGGCCTGAGTGCTCTGCTCCGTGCCCGGAAAAGACTCATGTTCCAGGAAAAAGCCGCTTGGCAGGTCGGAGCAAGCTCATGGTGCTGTTCCCAGACCCGATGCGATGCGTGTGGAGGGAGGCCTGCCCTTGCCCCCAGGGCTGCAGGGCGAGAACAGACCTTGATTCCTGCTATAACCCTGGGCACGGCCTCTGTTTCTCCGCGTGTGCCCGGGGGCGGCGTGTTCTCAGGGCAGGGGCCTCTAAGGATCAGAGTGAGGCTGCAGGCCCAGGCTGAGGCCTGCACCACCTCGGCCGGGAGATGAGTAAATGTCTGGGTCCCCCTGGCCACTCCAGAGTGAGGCCGCCAAGCCTCCGGCCTGAAGTCCGGCTCCTGTTCTCAGCCTGCCAGGCCCTTGTGCGGTGGCGTCGGGCAGGCAGGGCAGGGAGGCCACGGCAGCCATCTTCCCGGGGAGCTGGGGCCTGGCCAGCAGCGTTTCCCAGTGGCCTCCTCCTGTGCTCCGAGCTGCATTACCTCATCGGGAAGCCATTCCAGAAAGGAGCTGCGGAGCCCCTGGGAGTGGGAGTGGGGAGAGCTGCGTCAGCGCCCTCCTGGCAGCCTCGGTGCCAGACGAGGGCAGGCGTCACGCCTCCGGGTGTCTGCCTGCCGAGCGACTGCTGGGAGAGCAGCTGGCTTTTGTCAGCGTTTCGGGGTGACCGGGCTGGGCTGCAGCAGGCAGGTGGCGTGGCACGGCCCATGGCCGGCCAGCTACCAGGTGGGCAGAGGATCTATTTCAAGAGCCGGAACCAAATGGCCAGGCATGAGGGGAAGCCAGGTGCAAACTCAGTGGCAGAGACCAAGCCCTGACCCCGCAGTCCCAGGCCTCAGTTTCCCCTCAGGCCAGCCCTCCTCCCAGCACCTGTCCTCTGCTTCCTATAGCCACAAAGAGCACCAGACACGAGTGAGCAGGTGACTACACTCCCTGCTGCCCGCTGGTGTAAGCCAGAGGCCCTGCCACCCACAGCTGGCCTCCAGAGGCCTTTCTGGACCACAGGGTCAGGGCTGAGAGGGGTGGGGGTGGCAGGGGCAGCTGAGGTGCTGGAGAGGGAGGACAAGCTTCCTGCCTGTGGAGGAGACAAGGGCAGCTCCCAACCCTGCTCCTAGCCTTCCTGCCAAGTTTGGATTCCAGAAACACCTCTTGGTGCCTCAGTTTTCTCATCTGTTTTGTGTGTGTGTGTGTGTGTGTGTGTGTGTTTTGTAGATAGGGTCTTTCTCTGTCACCCAGGCTGGAGTGCTGTGGTGCGATCATGGCTCACTGCAACCTCTACCTCCTGGGCTCAAGCAATCCTCCCGCCTCAGTCTCTCGAGTAGCTGGGACCACAGGTGCACACCACCATGCCTGGCTAATTTTTGTTTGTTGGTTCATTTTTGTAGCGACAGGGTCTCCCTATGTTGCCCATACTGGTCTCAAACTCAGCTCAAGTGATCTGCCCGCCTCAGCTTCCCAAAGTGCTGGGATTACAGGCATGAGCCACTGCGCCCAGCCCGGCTTTCTCATCTGTAAAATGGGTTGACAATGCCCACCCAGATAATGGTTGAAAGGACTCGTGAAACCACGTAGGAGGCACAGGCAGACAGGCACTTGTGGGGGTCCATGAATGAGCCTCAGTGCCAGCTCCCCCAGGCCAGCTTCCAGCCTTCACACTGTCTGGGCCAGAGGAGTCTTCCTAAAACAGAGGACTGTGTGGAGCACTTCTCCACAGAGAAGCCTCTTGCCTCAAGTCAGTGACACTGTCCTCCAGCCCCACCCAACTGTACATGTGCCCAAGCTCATCATACTTTTCCTCAAACCCTGTCTGTCAGGAAAACTCCTACTCACCCCGCAAAACTCCATGTGAGATGCCCACTCGCTCATCTAAAATGCCTCACAGGATTACTCTAAGAACCAAAGAAGAATATACATGTGTGAACACATGGGCATGGTTGCCAAGTGAGGGGCATCACATTCATGACTGTCCCCATTACTTATTAGAGCAACCATAACCAAGAATGCAGCGGTGGGCAGGAAGTGTTACTGGGGATAGGAATTAGCAGGAAGTTTTTCTGGCTTGGAATTTAAGCCCAACTTTGGCAGATGGCAGAATTTTCAGAGAGGAAAGGAGGAAATTGGAGGCTAGTGTGGCAGTGTTAAATATGGCTGCAAAGTCCTTGGTCCTTCTCCCATTGAAGCGTGGGCCCTATGGCCTCTCCTCTTGAATCCAGGTGGGCTTGTGACTACTTCAGCCAAGACAATGCGGCAGAAGTGTTGTTGGGTAACTTCCAAGGCTCACTCATAAAAGACCATATGGCTTATAACTTGGAGTCCTAAGTTGCCATCTAAGAAGGAAGTTCAACAACCTGAGACTTCCATGCTGTGAGGAAGCCCAAGCTCCATGAGGAGTCACATGGGGGTGCACTGGTTGACAGTTCCAGCCTTCCAGCCAGCCCAGCCCAGGCACCAGCCATGCGAATGCAGAAGCCATCTTGGAAGTGGATCCACCAGCAGCAGGTGTCCCGGCCCCCAGCCATTTGAGTTGTCTCGGGTGAGCCACTGAACCACACAGAGTAGAGTGGAGTTGTCCCTACTGTGCCCTTTCAGGACAGAATTCCTGAGCGTAATAAAGTGGCTGTAGTTTTAGTCACTGTTTTGGGGCTGTTTGTTATGCAGCACTAATTAACTAGAACAGGTGAGAAGATCAGAACTTCCTGGTGCTTAAAGCCAGCCACACAGCCCCTCGAAGCAAGATTGTCTTAATCTGGAAGTCAGTCCCAAGAACAGGTTCTCCCCAGTGCTCTCAGCATTCCCCACCCCAGCCTGGCCCATAAGCAGTGCTTGGGGCATGCGGGGTTGCTGGAGCACTCCCAAGCCACTCCCAACACCTGGAAGGAGCCTCCCCTCCTCAGGATTCTCAGCGGCGTTTGCAGCTTGGATGACTGTGGACCCAGAAGCTCTGGGGAGTTATCCAGGTTCTATGTGGCATGAGTATCCCTCTGTGCCTCAGTTTTCCACCCATGGAATAGGGCACGAAACTCATAATCTCTCTGATCCCTCTCGGCTCCTACCCCACCTTCCTGGAGGCCTTGTTCATTCTCATGTGTGTCTCCCCCACATCCTCTTACCCATGTGACTCTGCCTGCCATGAAAGCAGGAGTCATGACTGCAGTCTCACGGTTGAATGTTCTGCACCTGGCACCCAGCCTAGGCCAGAGGATGGATGCCACACCACTGGTGTTTTCTGAATGAATCAATGAGTCAGTCAATAAATGGAGTGAATGAATGAACAAAAGAAAGAACTCTTTCTATACTCACTCGATCCATTAATGTCCCCTCCCATACAATAAAGATTCCCTTATAGCAGCCCTAGGAGTCTACCCTTGCATGCCTCACATGACAGGGAACTCACCACCTTTCAAGATAGCCTATTTCCTGTTGGGGCAACTCAGGTCAGAGAGTATTTCCCTGAGCTGGCCTCATCCCTGGCCCCTCCCCAGGAGAGTGGCTGGGGGAAGGAGTGCCGGGGGGCAGAGGAAGGAGCCCTCAGTCCCCATGGTCCACAGAGCTTGCGTCTGGTGAGTGCTGAGAGCAGGTGGAGGGACTCCAGAGCTCCAGAAACCCCTTGGCTCTCTCTGTGCTGGGCCCAGCTGAAGTCCCAGGGTGGGCGGGGGCAAGACAGTGAGTCCTGCTCTGCCCAGGGCCCAGCTGGGATAGGGCCAGCGCACCAGGAGGTCCACAGAGGCAGAGAAAGCAACCGAGCGGGAGCGGAGCTGGGGCAGGACAGGTGGTCTGTGCTGTTTCCATGGCTCCGGTGCCTCTGCCTGCCTCACTGGCCTGGGAAAAACAAGCCGGGCACTGAGCAAACAGCGCCTGTGACCGCCCCGGACAAAGGCTGGGCTGTTTAGGCAACCGGACGGCCAAATGGGCCTCCCTGGCGGAACACCGGTTTAGACTGGGCCCGTCGGGGCTGAGTTGCCAGGCCCCACAGCCTGTCCCTTGGGTCTCTGGGGAACAAGCTGGGGCTGGCGGTGGGGACAGGGAGTGGAGGGGAGAGGCTGGGAGGGCCGGGGCAGGCACTACCCCAGTTCTGCCCTCTGGCACCCAGTTCCCTTGCCCAGCCATTCAGGAGAATGAAGACAGCAGGATCTCAGCGGATAAAGGAATAGGGTTTCTCTGTCCAGCCACAGTGACTGGGGCTCAGCAGCAACATATCCCGTGGGACTTCCACCCTCCCAAGGGGCACCCCCAAAGAGTGACCAGTCCTGGGCCCATGTGTGAAGGGTATTTTTGCTGCTACTGTGGACAGATGCTGTCTTCGGCCCCAAGCCAGGCAAACCCAGAATGCCAGAGTGCAGTGCGGGAGGCGGTCCTCCCCCAGGGAGGGATGGGGCTGGGGACAAAAGCCCTCCACAGGGGCAACTCAGAGGCCTGCCCTCCCGGCTCAGGCTCCCGAGACAGAGCCCAGGGCCAGGCGGTGGCTGACTCCACTAGCGGAGTGCCCTGGACTGGCCGAGGCCCTCCCTCCCGGGGCCACTCACATGAATCTTTGCTTCAGGGCCGGCTTCTGGGGAGACCCAGAGCACGACAGGAGCTCATAGACAGGCCTCTGCGGGTGCGTGGGTTACAATGGCGTCTGCGGTCCTGGAACTCAGAGGCAGAGGAGGCGGGACCCTGTCATCCCAATCACTGTGATTCAGCAGCATGGGAAGCCAAGGGGCACTGAGGCTAGAAGGACCCAGAGCTGAGGGACACTGGGCTGGCCTGCAGGGGAGAGGCTCTGATTTTAAGGAGAAAGGAGATAAGGATGGGGCCCAGGGCAAGGGGTGCCATCTACAGAGCAGCTCCCAGGCCTGCAGAAGCTCCCTGGTCTGTGTCACTGTGGGCTCCCTGGCAGTGGCATTCCCAGCACCCCTCCCGCTGCCACTTCCCCACTTGGGGCTGGACCACCGGCCTGCCTGCAGGGGAGCTTGTGGGGTCTCAGCCCAACAGCCTGGAGCCCAGGGGCAGGCAGCAGCATGCTCTGCTGACCCGGCAGCCACATGGGCCCCCGGAAGCTGCCTCCGAGGCAAGCTTGCACCAGCAGGATGTCAGGGCTGCCCTGGAGCCAACACTGGGGACCGAAGGGAAGGACACAGGCGTAGGCAGGGGCAGCAATTGGACCCTGTGCGTACCTGACCCTATGCGAGCTCTGCAGCTCAAAGGGACCAGAGCTGGCCTGAGTTGGGCAGAATGGGCTGGACCTTATGCTCTGGATCGATGGGGCTGACCCACGGAAGCCAGGACCTTCGGGCCAACCCTGAAGGGACCACGGCTGAGGACTGTGTGCCCTGGAGGGAGTTCTGAGATGGGGGGTGTAGGGGTGGGGAACCCACAGGCAGGCACTGCCTCAGGGCCTCCCTCCTGTCCCATGGCCCCCAGGTGTCCTGCGGCCCCACACTCAGCCTCCTTCTGGGGGTCTGGGTGGCTGCACCTTCCATGGTGCCAGCCAGGCCTTGTGCCCATCTCCACCCCCTTGCCCTCACCTGCCCCAACCCACCACGCCTTGGCGGCCTCCTCTCGGGGCTTCCTGGCCTCCACCAAGCTGCACCCACCTCCGCCCTCATCACCCAGGAGGCCTTCCCCGGCCTGGCCCGACGCAGGCTCCACAGTCTCTCACCAGCCTCCCAGCTGCTGGCAGTGAAATTCACAGGAGCTCCCTCTGGGGCAAGGGTGCCTCCGCCTCCTCCATGGCAGCGTCCCCAGCCCTGCACGGGGCCCCCAGTGAACACATGGGCTGAATAAATGAGTGAGGGCATGAGGGACGCCTGAACACACGAATGAGAGAATGGCACTGGGGGTCCGTGAACAGCTTGTTGCATTGAAGATGGTGAAGGATTTTCATCCTGGTCCAAGCATGGAGGCCTCTCTAGAAACCGTCCCTTCCAGCTCCATGAGGGGTGAACTCTGAGCTCAGAGGCCATGGGGCCAAGTGCAGAAAATGGCTTTGAACTCTGGAGGAAGGAAAGAAGCCACCCTCCAGGAAGGAGTAAGAACCGCTCTGGAACATTCCCAGGAAAGGTCGCTGGGGGGCAGACCTGAGAGGTTCCCCGGACTCGGCGGACCCAGATCCCCCGCAGGGCAGCCCCTGGTGAGTCAGGGCCTGAGTCAGCGCCCTCCGCCTTCCCAGAGGCCCCGCCAGGACCTGCAGCCCTGGGCGCCCCAGCAGCCCGGCCCTGCTCAGCGCAGCTCTGGGTTGGAACTTGCACTTTCCAGTAACTCGGACCTCCCCCCGGCCGCCTTCCCAGGCGCCACCGGGCCCAGCAGATCGTCACCGTCCAGGTGCAGGGTGGGGGTGTGTGAAAGTCAGGCCTGGGACCCGGGCAAGTTGCTGCCGTGCCCTCTGGCTTCCCGGGGGACATCCTTCACCTTTGTGCGCCCAAACCCTCTGTGCTGCGGTTCCAACCCCCCTCCACATTCCCGCCTGCTCCTCCGGGCCTGCCCGTTCCCTCTGCCTTCCTGGGAACCTCCCTCTATCTCCGCATCTTCCGCCGCTCCCTTCCCTGCGGCAGCCGGCGGGCTCCGACTCTCGCTCTTCAGGGAACACCGCCCTTGGCGCCACGCCCACCTCCACCCGCGGCCACCTTCCCTCCCTCCCACCGCCAGACCTTCAAGACAGGATCTACCCCGGGCGGCCCCCAGCACAGGTCTCAGCCCCCTCCAGACTGGGGTTGTCGCCACCCTCCACTGAAATGGCGGCAGCCAGCTCCCTCCTGCCGCAGCCGGTGGCAGCCAGCTCCAGGCCTGGCCGGCCCCGCCCACCCTGTGTCTCGAGTGGCACCCACGGCGCTGTCCCTGTCCCGCCTGTCTTCTCGTGACCTCATCCGGCTCCAGACTCTCACATGTTTACGCCTTCAGCCCTGCCCAGCCCTGGACCCCAAGTCCCCTCCAATATTTCTTTTTCCTTTCTTGTATTTTTATTTATTTATTTATTTATTTATTGAGACAGTTTCGCTCTTGTCGCCCAGGCTGGAGTGCAGTGGCGCGATCTCGGCTCACCGCAACCTCCGTCTCCCCGGTTCAAGCGATTCTCCTGCCTCAGCCTCCCAAGTAGCTGGGATTACAGGCGTGTGCCACCACGCCCGGCGAATGTTGTATTTTCAGTAGAGACGGGGTTTCAGCATGTTGGTCAAGCTGGTCTCTAACTCTTGATCTCAAGTGAACCACCAGCCTCAGCCTCCCAAAGTGCTGGGATTACAGGCGTGAGCCACCGCGCACGGCTATCCCTTCCAATATTTCCGAGGCCAGCTGCCCAGAGAAGGAGGGCTGGGTGGAGAGGACCGTGCCAGCAGCAGTAGGCCTGGGCCAGGAGACAGGCACGCACCTCCGCGGTCTCTGGCGAGTCTATGTCCACACAGCGGCAGGACCTCCACCCCCAGCCACCTGCAGCAGCCCCACATCTCCACCGGGTCACCCTGCTGACATCAAGAGTGCCTCCCGCAATGTCCCAACCCATGAGGGCTTCTTGGAGCTGAACCAGGGCACCGGCCACTTCTGGAGGGGGGCTGCTCGTGACTTCCGACCTCTGTCTCGCTAGTTGGCATGAGAAGACTGGACTCCTTCTGCAGGCCTCAGGGCAGAGGCAGATGTCAGCCCCCAGGGATGTCACTGCCAGAACCCCAGATGCCCCAAGCCATCTGGACTCCCCCTGTGCAGTATCTCTGCTACAATAAAATGTACCCAGATCTGAGTCCTCTCACCTGGGCGACTGCCAATGTCCCCTGCGGCCCTATACCCCGCCCCCAGGAGCCCAGAGGATCTTTCTTTTTAAAGATATTCAGACCTCACAGATAAGTCTGCCCTGACCAGCCCCTCCCCAGTTCCCAGGCCCTATCCTGACAACGGCCACAACTTCAGAGCAGCTGAAACCTGCTGTGAGTGAAAAATGAGAAGCTGTTGTTTTAATTTTACTTTCTCTGATTACTAATGAGGTTATTTCTTCTCTGCATAAAAACTTCATTCGTGTTTAATTGGATTTTTGTCTTTTTGTTAATGTATAGGAGCTCCTTTTGTTCTTACATATATTATGAATTCAAATTCTTATAGATAAAGATTAATGTTTAGAGGCAAAATCATGGTTCTCATGCAAATACAAATTGAACACACCTAAGATTTTATTTAACTCGTTAATAAGGGAACCAGTAAGGTTAAAACCAGTTCAAAGGAGAATTGGAAAGACAGATGTGTAGGCAACAAGGAAAGCTGAAACAGCTTTGCTTATTGGTGCAAAGTGCTTAATATCATAGAGAGCAATAAAGTGTACTGTTTGGGATTATCTTTTCCATGGGACAGAATTCAGTTCAGTCTCTATGGAGCAAAATTCATTTGCATTCTATGGGCAGGATCATTGGCCTTATAATTGGTTTTCTATAAGTTAATTTCTCCCCTGACAGAGTTGTAAAATAGCTGAGTCCATAGCATAGCAGTTGAAGAAGGACCCCATCGAATGAGATCATTCCCAGCGGGGTCACTAGACAGATGCCACTTAGCACACCACTGAAAGGACACCCGCCTTAAGCCCATTTCCAAGTCTATGACATTTTTTTGCTCTATGTCACTTGTCTTTTCACTTTGTTGTCTTTTGTCCTGAAGTGATGTTATCATTAACCAATGGTTTCATCTGTGATTTGTGCTTTCTGTATCTTGTTTAAGACATCTTTGCAACCCATATAGAAACACACTCAATTTTTTTTTGCAAGTTGACTTAAAGTATTGCTTTTCGGCTGAGTGCGGTGGCTCATGCCTGTAATCCCAGCACTTTGGGAGGCCGAGGCGGGCGGATAACTTGAAGTCAGGAGTTTGAGACCAGCCTGGCCAACAAGGTGAAACCCTGTCTCTACTAAAAATACAAAAATTAGCCAGGCGTGGTGGTAGGCACCTGTAATCCCAGCTACTCAGGAGGCTGAGGCAGGAGAATTGCTGGAACCCGGGAGGCAGATGTTGCAGTGAGCTGAGATTGTGCCACTGCACTCCAGCCGGGCAACAGAGTGTGACTCCGTCTCAAAAAAAAAGAAAAAAGAAAAAGAAAAAAGTATTGCTTTTCTTATGCATTTGTTTGTTTGTTTGTTTGCTTTTGTTTTTTTTTTTTTGGAAATGAAATCAACCAGGCTGGAGTGCAGTGGTATGATCTTGGCTCAGTACAACCTCTGCCTCCCGGGTTCTAGTGATTCTCCTGCCGCAGCCTCCTGAGTAGCTGGGATTACAGGTGCCTGCCACCATGCCCGGCTAATTTTTGTATTTTTAGTAGAGACGGGGTTTCACCATGTTGGCAAGGGTGGTCTCTCAAACTCCTGACCTCAGGTGATCTGCCTTGGCCTCCCAAAGTGCTGGGATTACAGGCAGAGCCACCGCGCCCGGCCTAATTCCTGTATACATCTTATAATCTAGCAGGGCAAGTTCTCACCATCTTCTTCTTCTGCTTCCAAATAGTCCCGACTATTCTTGGACATTTCCATTCCCATATGAATTACAGAAGCAGCTTGTCACAGAAATCCCATCTCTCTCTTTTGTCCTTGAGAGGTTTAGTGTCAGGTTTCTTGTATGTTTTAGCCCTACCATAAATGGGAGATTTAAGTTTTGTTACATCTTCTAACTTGCAATTGCTGGTAAATAGGAACACTGCTTATGACTGATGAGGATCTGATGTCAATCTGATGAATTTTCTCTAGAACCAGTAGCTTTTATTTATTAGTAGATTTATGGATTTTTTTTTTTTACTCGTAGCTTTAGATTTTTTTCTCTCTATCCTAGATGTTCTGAAATTCCATTATGAGGTACCTTCTAGTGGAATGTTGAGATTTTAATTTGTGTTCTTTCATTTGTCCTACTTGGCATTCACTGAGCACTTCCAATCTGAGGACTCACCTCTTCCTTCAGTTCTAGGGGATTCCTGTTTAATGTATCACTAAATATTAATTATCTTTCCTTCTCACTAATGTCTACTCTTGGGCCTCTGATTAGATAAATGAGGCAGCCTCTGGATTTGCACTCCCTCTTTTTAAAGAAGCTACTCGCTGTTGTGTCATATAATTCCCCTTTATTGGACACTTCATTTTTTTCTTCCAAACCTTTCAAAAATTTTCCTTAGCCTTTGACTTTTAGAAATTTGACTGTGATTTGCCTAGGAGTGATTTTACTTGCGTTTACTCTGCTTGGGGTTTGTTGAGCTTTTTGGATCTGCAAGTTAATCCTTTCCATTAATACTGAGAAGTTTTCAACCATTATTTACTCAAATTTATTCTGCCTCTATGTCTCTCTCCTCTCCTTCTGGGACTCCAATTACATGTATTTGTGATGCTTGGTACTGTCCAAGAGGACACCGCCATTCTCTTCTTTTTTCTCCATTTTTTTTTTTTTTTTTTTGAGGCAGAGTCTCACTCTGTCACCCAGGCTGAAGTGCAATGGCACAATCTTGGCTCACTGCAACCTCCATCTCCTGAGTTCAAGTAATTCTCCTGCGTCAGCCTCCCAAGTAGCTGGGATTACAGGCACCTGCCACCACATCTGGCTCATTTTTGTATTTTTAGTAGAGACGGGGTTTTGGCATATTGGCCAGGCTGGTCTCAAACTTCTGACTTCAGGTGACCTACCCGCCTCCGCCTCCCAAAGTGCTGGGATTATAGGCATGAGCCACCGTGCCCAGCCTTTTTACTCCAATTCTATTTTCCTCTTTTCTTTGAGTTAAATATTTTCTGCTGATTTGTCTTCACGTTACTGATCCTTTGTTTTTCTGCCATCTCCAGAACTGGAGCCCGTCTAATGAATTTTTAAAATTTCATTATTGTCCTTTTCAGCTCTATAATTCTCACTAATGTTTCCATTTGTCTGTGCAAATTCTCTCTTCACTCATTGATATCATATTTTTATTTAATTCCTTGAACATATTTTCCCATGAACCTATTTTTCTTTAATTCTTCAAACATATATATAACAGATACTTTGAAGTCTGTAACTGCTAAATCTAAATTCTGGGCCCAGAGATTACAACTGTTAGCTTCCTTTATGAAACACGTTTTCCTGTTTCTTCATCTGGTAATTTTCAGTTGAAAACTGGGTATTGTAGCTAATATATCATAGCAGCTTTGGAATCAGGAGTGGAATCAGGGAAAACCATCCAGGGCCAGAGCACTCCAGGAATGACAGGTGTGGCAGGGTAGACAACTGAACCATCTCAGAGTTCATCAGAGCTTTCACACTGCCACTTTCCCTGTCCAGACAGTTGCCCTCACTATTCTCCTCCCCAAATTTGTCTCATTATGCTAGACTTGGCTTAAGAATCACCCCCTTAGGGAAGTCTTTCCAATGACCCTGACCAGGTTAGGACCCCTTGTCAAACACATTTATAAGTATTTTCTACAACTACATCAATTATAAACTTGTTTGTATAGTTTCTTCTTTAATGTCTATCTCCTGCACTCTACTGGAAAGGAAATGAGAGCTAGGACAGACTGTATGTTGTTACCACAGGCCTGAGGCACAGAGGAGCTCAATAAATATTTGTTTAATGAATTAATGTGGCCCACTTTGCCTTGAGGACATTTTCAGAATTTGCTGTCTCACCAGCAAACAAAAGAATGTTACATTTTCAGAATTTTGCTGTCTCACCAGCAAACATAAGAATGTTCATTCCCTGAACACTTACTGGTACTTATAATTTTTTACAAGCATTTTTAATGATCTTTTTATAAGCTTTTCCAATCTAATAGCTGAAAATTTTATCTTAGTCTAATTTGGATCCTTTGAAATGGAACATTTTTCATAGTTATATTGGCAATTTGAAGTTTCTCTTCTGTAAATTTCCTTCCCATATCCTTTGCAAATATTTTATCTTATTTACTTACAAAGAGACTTTTGTATGTTACTGATATGATCTGGTTCTGTGTCCCCACCCAAATCTCATCTTGAATTGTAATCCAAACTGTAATACCCATGTGGTGGGGGAGGAATCTCGTGGGAGGTGATTGGATCATGGGGGTGGTTCCCCCGTGCTGTTCTCATGATACTGAGTGAGTTCTCGCGAGATCTGATGGTTTTATAAAAGGCTCTTTTCCCTTCGCTCTGCACTTCTCTCTCCTGCTGCCTTGTGAAGGAGGTGCCTGCTTCCCCTTTGCCTTCCGTCATGACTGTAAGTTTCCTGAGGCCTCCCCAGCCATGTGGAACTTGAGTCAATTAAACCTCTTTCCTTTATAAATTACCTAGTCTTGGGCAGGCACAGTGGCTCACGCCTATAATCCCAGCACTTTGGGAGGCCGAGGTGGGTGGATCACTTGAGTTCAGGAGTTTGAGACCAGCCTGGCCAACATGGTGAAACCCCATCTCTACTAAAAAGTGCAAAAATTAGCTGGGCATGGTGGCACGTGCCTGTAATCCCAGCTATTCAGGAGACTGAGGCAGGAGAATCGCTTGAACCTGGGAGGCAGAGTTTGCAGTGAGTCGAGATCGCATCACTGCACTCCTGCCTGGGCAAAAAGTGAGACTCCATCTCAAATAAATAAATAGATAAATAAAATAAATTACATAGTTTTGGGTATGTCTTTATAGCAGTGTGAAAACGGACTAATACACTTATGTTAGAAGGATTTTGTCCAGCACATAGTTTTTCCCGGTTTGTTGTTTGCCTTTTCACTCTGCTTATACTGTTTCCTCCCACACATGGAAACAAAACCGTATATATATTCTCCATTCTTTTCTTTGTGGCCCTGATGTGAGTCTCACTGCTTAGGAAGATATTTCTCAACCTCAAAATTAGGTAAATATTTATGTATACTTTATCCTCGTGTATTTATGGTTTCATTTTTTTTTTTGCCTTAAGGTTCTTTTTTTATTTATTTATTTTTTTGTTACCTTAAGATTCTTAACCCATCTCAAATTTATTTTGGTACAAGAAGAGAGACATGGATCTAATTTCATTTCATCTTTCTCAATGGTTGCCTGTTGCTCCATCCATCCCTTATTTAAAAAAAAAAAAATGTGTACCCAAACAAGCTGGGCACAGTGGCACATGCCTGTAGTCCCAACCACTTAGGAAGCCAAGGTGGGAGGATCACTTGAGCCCAGAAATTCAAGACCAGCCTTGGCAATATAGCAAGATCCCATCTCTAAAACATATCCCATACCTTTACCTCTTTCTACATTTTCTATTCTGTCTGTTGATCTACTTATTCCAGTGACAGCCCCATAAGTTTTTGAAAATGTTTGCTTTATAATTTGACTATCTGATATTAAATCCCACTAGAAATTATTTATTTAGCTAATATTTATTGAGTCCTTATATTGATCCCAACACTGTTTAGGTGCTGCGGGTACAGCAGCGAACAATGCAGACAAGAATTCTGTTTTTGTGGAACTTACATTCTGTTCAGATACCTATTGCTCATTCCTTCAAAATCTGGTGAAGAGTGAGTGGCAAGTACTCTTCAATGCCAAAGGGTGGGAGATCAACCCTGTCATGCGGTACTGTGTCCCCCATACTAAGAATACAAAGGTCCAGGAACCAAGGGAAAGGCTTAAGTCCAGGAGGTGAGACTGACTTCTCTCACCAGTCTCACATCCTTTGACTTTGTTAAGTTCAAGGTTCCGGTTCCCACAGGGGGATTCTTCCACCAAGCAATAAACTAGAGTCAACTGATCTTGAGGCCTCAATGACCTCTTGATCATGTTGGCTTCTTCATGCCAGTGGACCAACAGTGAAAGAAAGGAGTCACCATCCTGGCAGAGTCATTGACCCTGACCTCAAGAGAAGCTCGGCTTCGGGGCAAGGAGGAATCAGTCTCAGAACCAGATAATTCACTGCAGCGCCTCTTGGCACTTCCAAGGTGGTCATAGCGGGGACCTGGCAATGGCAGCAACCACAGCCAGCAAAAGCAAATGCAGATGAGGGCTCAGACCCTCCAAAGAGGAAGGCGAGGGCCCTGCCACTGCCACACAGCCTAGGCCCATGGAAGTGCTCATCTGGAATTGTGGTGGAGGATTGAGATGAGGTTATCGATCACGACCTCAGACCAGCTGCAGCAGTGGAGACTATAGCTTGTTCCACTAATAATCGTGTTTTAAGAACTTACAGATCTTGCTGCTGGCTGCCACCTTGAAGGGAACTCTGTGGCAGACTAGACATCATCAAAGACTCACATGCACATGTGAGGGAGGCAAGGGGTGGACTACACCAGGCCCCTCTTGTGCTCCACTTCAAGGTCCTCTCAACCCCAACTCCAGCCATTCCCACCACAGCCGGTCTTACAGTGGCTTCATCCAGCTTCATGTGGGTGCCAGCAGCCAGACAGTGCCTTGCCTTGGGCCCATGCTGGAGATCTCTTGCTTCCTGTCCAGGTGCTTCTCTGAATATGCGACTTAGTGGTCCTGGTGGAGCCCTCTGCAGTCACACTCGTGCAACATGGGAATGCTGGAAGTTAATGTCTACAGAACCACCTTGACTGGTGGCAAGTTGAGCTGATGGAGAAATGCTCTCTTTCTTCTCACAGGTGGTCAGTTCTGAGATATATTTCATGAGATCCCCCAGAAACCCCCGTCAGGAGCAGGTATGAGCCTCCTGCAGCTGTGACTGACTCAGTGAAACGTCCTTGTATTGGTTTTCCCAGGAATCTCATTTCCAGCTGAAATGTCTGCAGACAAGTCTTTGTCTCAAGCTTTGCTTCCAAGGAAACCAGACTATGGTACGCGCCATTGTGGAAAGACAGAGTACAAAAAAATGAACTCACAAATTTAAATTAACTATAATAAGTGTTATGGAGAAATAATACAGGGTGATGTAATGGGAGTATAACTGTGAATCTGTGCCATCTAATATGGTAGCCACTAGCCACGTGTTAGTATTTAAATATAAATGCAGGCTGGGCGCGGGGCAGTGGCTCACACCTGTAATCCCAACAGTTTGGGAGGCCAAGGTAGGTGAATCATTTGAGGTCAGGAGTTCAAGACCAGCCTGGCCAACATGGTGAAACCCCATCTCTACTAAAAATAAAAAAATTAGCTGGGTGGTGGTGACGCGCACCTGTAATCCCAGCCACTTGGGAGGTTGAGGCAGGAGAATCACTTGAGCCTGGGAGGCGGAGGTTGCGGTGAGCCAAGATCACACCACTGCACTCCAGTCTGGGCAACAGAGTGAGACCCTGTCTCAAAAATAAATAAATATAAATGCAAATTAATTAAAATTAAATGAAATTTAAAATTCAGCTCCTGGGTCACACGAGCCACATTTCAAGTATTTAACAGTCCCATGCATTTAGTAGCTGTCTCACTAGAAAGTCCAGATATGGAACATTTCAAGCACACAGAAATGTCTGTTGGACAGTACTGCTCTGATTTAGCCAATGCCTGCTGCTTTGTACTAGATTGTAAGCACAGAATAACAGAGTCGATATCTGTCTAATTTTACTTTCTGTCTCTAGAAAGTAGCACAGACACCAGCACAGAAGCAGACAGTAATCAAGTTTACAGAAAGAAGGCAGGAAGGGAGAGAGAGAGAGACAGGAGAGATGAAGAAGGAGGAGAAGAAAGGAGGAAGGGAAGGAAGGAGGAAAAGGAGGGGAAGGGAAGGGAAGAGAAGGGAAGGGAAGGGAAGAAAGGAAGGAAGAAAAGGAGGGAGAGAGGGAGGGAATAAGGCAGAAAGGAAGCCCCCAGCCCATCCACATGGAGCAGTTTGCAGTTTGGGACCTCAGGCCTGGCGAACAGAAGTACAGAGCACAGGTCAAAACAGCCTGGGTGTGGAGGGAGGGAGACTCCAGGATGCTAGCGTTTACTAAGCACTTACTATGTGCCCGGCACCGTCCTAATTCCTAATTCCCTGCAGTTTCCACATTACACCCTACGATTGTTATCCGATTTCACACAGAAGGAAACTGAGGCTGGAGAGGTGAAACAGCTTGTCTAGGCACACGGGACCATGAGTAGCAAGCCAGGGTCAAGCCAGGCAGGCGGCTCCAGGGCTGGTTCCTTCCCCTCGCACCACTGAGGTCAAAGGTGGGAGGATGCCGTGAAACAGAGGCCGAGTGTCCACACTCCCTTCCTTCTCTCCTGGGCCCGGAAACCTCTAAGACTTTGCCAATACCCTCTGGTCAGCCCCCACCAGCCCTGGCAGCTGCCCACTGAGCCAGCCCCTCTGCCCAAGGCCCCTCCCTGGGGCGATGGCAGCCAAGGGGGCAAGTCACATGGCTGCCAGCTGGAGCCCAGGCGGCCGATCCACACAGGAGCCCTGTCCGTGATGTCAGCACCACCAAAGCATCCTCATTAACCGCCCCCTGGGTGACGCAGCCCAGCTTTTCTGCGTGGGATGGGTGGGGGACTCACTGAGACCCAGGTGTTCGCAAGAAGCCAGGATGGAAAGTATGACTCGCTCCTTCCCAAACATGGGATGGCTTTTCCATTGCTAATATCCGAGGAATCCGGTGAAGTAGTGGAAAGACCGAGAAGGCGGGAGACTGGTTCTCACCCTGGCCCATCCTGGCTTTAGACCAGAAGCCCAGAGCCTCAGTCTCCCCTTCTGTCCACCAGAAACCACAGCCCTGTCCAGCTCCGACTCTCCAAGGTGCCCAGGTGTCAGTGAGGCTGACAACACAGCAGTCACCTCGGGGCTGCAGCCTTTTAAGCTTTTGTTTGTTTTCCAAGCATGTCTTTGGGAGTGAAGATCCATCAATCATGACATAAATTTCATTTCAGAAGTTATATTTTACTAGTAGGAGTACAAAGGACTCAAGAATTCAGAACTGGATCTCCCTCCCAGACACCCTCAGGATGTCCCAGCCTTGCCTCTGGAACAGCCAGACTTCCAGCAAAATGAGGACCCGGAAGCTGTGCTGCGGCCACCAGTACTGACTGTGCTTCAGGCTTGCTTGCTCCTCACCCACCCTGGGAGGTTGGTACTGCTGTTATTTCCATTTTACAGCGATTTACCTCCCTGCCAAAATTAGACCAACTCTTCACCATCACTTCCTCTAGGAAGCCATCCCTGACTCCCAAGTCTGAGCCAATTCCCTTCCCAGGTGTCCTCCAGACCCTAGAGTGCACTATGCAGTGTGTCCTGCCACATCAAGGCTTCCTCTCCTCTCCTGGTTTTGCCCACTCTGAGAGCAGCAGACCTGGCAGGTAGGGCCCAGCCGCCACTCAGCCAGCCCCTGATAGGTGCACCCCATATTCCTCCTGCCCTGATGTTAGGGGGCCATGGTGAGGACCTGATGCCATGCAGCTCACAGGCCTCCAGCTTTTGGGGCCAGAATCAACCTGCCCATCTCTTGTGCAACCAGCTTCTCCTTAAAGGCACTCAAATCTTGGGACTGAGAAATTAGTGGCCTCCCAACCTGCGACTCCTCAGGAGTTCAAGGCAGGCTTTTTTTTTTTTTTTTTTTTCTTTTAACTCAACTCACCCTCTTCCCCCGTTTCATTTTCCCACCCTGACATTTCCTTTAGCTGGACCAACTTCTATATTTTATTTTAATGTTGGTGTTTCTAGTCCTGCTGGCTACCCATGAGGCAGAATGTCTGTAAATGCAAAGAAATAGGACAATTTGCCCAAGGAAAGGATTTCTTTAAAGTGAATTCTGAGTGTCCTTCCTCTTTCAGAATGTTCCTTCTCCCTAAGTGCTCCCTCCTCTGGAATGCTCCCTCTCCCTGGAGTGCTCCCTCTCCCTGCAGTGCACCCTGTACCCTCTTGCTCCCTCTGCCTGGAGTGTTCTCTCTCCCTGAGTGCTCCCTCTCTCTGAGTGCTCCGTCTCCCTGAGTGCTCACTCTCCCTTGGGTGCTCCCTCTCCCTGAGTGCTCCCTCTCCCTGCAGTGCACCCTGAACCCTCTTGCTCCCTCTCCCTGGTGTGTTCTCTCTCTCTGCGTGCTCCTGCTCCCTGAGTGCACCCTCTCCCTGTAGTGCTCCCTCTCCCTGCAGTGCGCCCTGCACCCTCTTGCTCCCTCTCCCTGGAGTGTTCTCGCTGAGTGCTCCCTCTCCCTGAGTGCTCCCTCTCCCTTGGGTGCTCCCTCTCCCTGAGTGCTCCCTCTCCCTGCAGTGCACGCTGCACCCTCTTGCTCCCTCTCCCTGGATTGTTCTCTCTCTCTGAGTGCTCCTGCTCCCTGAGTGCACCTTCTCCCCATAGTGCTCCCTCTCCCTGCAGTGCACCCTGCACCCTCTTGCTCTCTCTCCCTGGAGTGTTCTCTCTCTCTGAGTGCTCCTGCTTCCTGAGTGCACCCTCTCCCTGCAGTGCTCCTTCTGCCTGGAATGCTCCCTCTGCCTGGAATGCTCCCTCTGCCTGCAACTTTCTGCCCAAAGTGCTCTCCACTCTCTTCTCCTGTTGAGAAGCTGCTCATACTCCTTGAGGCTCAGCTCAGGCGACCGCCTCCCAGGAAGGCTTCCTGGACTCCTCCATCGCCTCCTCTGTTCTCCCATGCACCATGCCCACCCCCTCATGCTTCCTTTCTCACCACATTCACCATCTGTGTCCTTATCTTCCCTCCTCACCTCTCCTGCCTCTAGCCAGGCTCTGAGCTCCCAAATGGCAGACCAGGGTCTCATGCCTTTGGGGAGGCAGGGGTCTGTCCCAGTGCCTAGCCCAAAGGAGGCCTCCGTGAGTCGGCTGCTGAAAGCCAATAATCCCAGGCACCCTGGCTGGGAAGGATCCAGCCCTGTACACCATCCCCATCCTTGAAAGAGTGATCTTATTCATGTATATCTGGAGAAGCTGGAAGGATGCTTAGAGAGCGTCTCTACAACCTCCTCTTTTAGCTCTGGTGAAACTGAGGCCCAGACAGGGAGCATCTTGCCCAAGATCGCCTTCTCTGAACCTCTTCCTCCTGTCCTGAGCCCTTGCCATGACAGAGCTGAGCTCCCCAGCACCTTGGCAGAAATGAACCTGTGTGCACGCTCCCCACCCACACAGGTGTGCGTGTGCGCAGGGACCCTCACAGCCACTGCCTCTGCAAGATGGGCAGGCAGTGCTCACAGACCCCTAATCAGGTGAGGATACCGAGTCTCTGGAGGACAAGTGATGGGTCGCCAGTCAGCTGCGGGGCGGGGACATCAGACTCTGGGTTGTGGCTCTGTCACCTATCACAAATGTGCCCAATCCAAATTTACAGAAGTTGCTGGAATCACCTGGTCAGGCACATGTACATAAAAATCAGCTGCAGCTGCCTACCTGGCACGTGTGCTTTTTCTGTCTTGTCTGTTTAAACCATGTCTGAGCAGGTGGGGAGGGGTGCCGCAGGACACACATGTGGGCCTGGCGCCTTTCTGGGCTCAGTTGAGCACATTGTAGTTTAGCAGCTCTTGGTGAGGTCCCTGTCCTTTCTCTTTGCACATCCACTTACGGCCCCGGAAGACCCTGTTGACAAGCTGTTGTCCCTGTGACCGGGAAACCCAGTGGCAGGGACTGTGGCACAGCACAGAACAGTACCATGCAGTTTTTAAAAGGGACATTGGTAAGAGGTTGATGACAAATGTTATTTTCCAGGAAAAAGTCAAGACGCTGAATTGAAAGTTCACCCTGGGCTGTGAGGAAGAATTTGCCCCAAGGGGAGAGAGGAGGCGAGGGAGTTCCTCTCCACGCAGCAGAGCTCTCCCTGGGTTGGGACAGTCATTGGGGGCAGCCTTTATTTCCTTACTGATCATTTACAGGATCTTTAAAAATCAACCTAATAAAAGAAAAATAAGAAGGGCAGGAAGGAGGGAGAAGCAGTCACCTCCAAGGGCCTAAGATCTTTTGGACCTGGTCGCAAAGGGACTCTCTCTCCAGGAGGGTCGCCAGGGCCGCAGGGTCCGGGACCAGGCCCAGGGTCCAGCTAAGCCCGGGCCAACACGGGGACACATGCGCACACCCGGACACACCCGCACGCACCCGCACACGCACGCGCCCGTGGGCCGCGCCCCGCCGCGCCGGGGGCCCGCATTGACATTCTGCGCAGTTCCCAGCCCGCGGCGCCGCGTGGGGACAGTGGCGCATTGTTCCCCGGACACGCCGGGCGGCGCAGCGCCCTCGGGGCTTGGCGCGGCCCCGCCGCGATTTGCATGCGCTCCAGTCACAAAGGTTCAAGGTCAGGAGCGCCGGGCGGGGCTGGTCTTCGCCCCGGCGGCGGGAATTCCTCGCCGCCCGCGCCCGGGACGCCCCTGCGCGTGAATGGCCGAGCGCCGCCACCGTCTGAGGTGCTTTGTGTCTCGCCCCGGCCAGCTGGGCCCGCGAGGGACGTGCCAGCTCGGCCGGCGGCGTCCCCGCGCCAGCGCCCCTCGCCCATGCTAATCAGCCTGGCAGCGCGTCTGGGCGGGCGGCCCGGCCCGGCCTGGGAGCCCCTCACGTTCCCTGCCGGGAGCCCCCTCCTACCAGGCCCCCTCCCCCAGCTTCCCCTGCCGCCAGGAGACCCCACTTACTCTGCCAGGAGCTCCCCACGACCCTAGCTGCCAGGTGCCTCCACCCGATTCCACCTCCACTCCTCCTGCCAGAAGACCCCCTCTCCGGCTGCCGTGGGTGCCTTCTGCCCAGCCAGAAGGGCGGGTGCACCTTGCAGGAATGGCTGGCTGGGGAGCCTGGGGCGTAGGACCCTTCTGGGACTCTGACAGGACTCTCTGTGGGGCCTGGGGCATCTTCTCTCAGCCTCGATTTCCCCTGAACAATGAGGCAGGTTGCCCTTCATGATCTCCAGAGGCACTTCCAGAGCTGGGGTCTCCCAGCAGGTGCAGGGAAGGTAGTGGTAAAGATGGCATTCCCCCAGCTCCCGCCTGCTCTGCCATTATCCAGCCTGCTGGCCTGGGGACAGTCACCCTGAGCCCTGAGTCTGGGTCACCGTCTCCAGAGATGCCTTGAGGACTAACGGAGCTGAGCATTCCACGTTGGGACCAGCCCTCAGAGTGTTCTGCCCTTATCATCATCCTTCCCACAGTGTAGCCCTGCTCAGGCAATATTATCATCCACCCGCTAGACTGGGAGCTTCGAGTAGGCAAGGACTTCTGAATTCCCACAGCACAGTGGCACCCAGGACGCACTGAATGACCTCACAGTTGGATAGGTGAAGGCCCACCAGTGTGGGTCACTCTGCACGATGGTGGATGGGGACAGGTCACCGCATTTGGCATTTCCAGTACTTGGAAAGAGGCTCAGAGCCTTTCTTGGGAGGTGGGAGCAGGCTTCTCCTGGGAGCTCCCCACTGGGTGTGTGGGCTCCATTGTCCAACAGGAACGTCCCCACCCCCAAGCCTCTGGGGAAGTGAGCAAGTTGTCTTTCTGCAGAAAGGTGTGTGCAGGAACACAGTGCCTGGCCAGGATGCCCATCAGGAGGTCTAGAGACTGGAACTGCAGACCTGGGGCCTCCGGCATGAGGTTGCCAAGGACCCACAACTTCCTGTAGCACTTTCCTCCTGGCACGTGTGAAGTCAGCGGCCCCACCTGATACCAGAGACAGCCCCCAGTGTTGGGGGCATCATGCTCGAGGGTGCGTTTCCCCCAGAGCACAAGAACCTGGGCCCCATAGACAAGCAGCCCCAGCCAGTCTCAGGCCCAAGAAAGAGGGACCAGGTGAGGCGGTGAAATGGGCACCAAAGGAGAGAAGCCAGCCTCAGACAGACCCTCAGACAGCAGAAAATCTAGCCTGGGGGTTCGAGGCCTTTCCCCAGCCCTCTCTCATTTCCCTCCAAACCTTAAATATGAAGTAGACATAATTACATGTACCTCGCTGCTCTAAGAATCACTTAGGGCCAGACGCAGTAGATCTTGCCTGTAATCCCAGCGCTTTGGGAGACTGAGGTGGGCGGATCACTTGAGCTCAGGACTTCCAGACCAGCCTGGGCAACATTAGTGTGATACCTTGTCTCCACAAAATAATAATAATAATAATAATAAGGCCGGGTGCAGTGGCTCATGCCTGTAATCCCAGAACTTTGGGAGGCCAAGACGGGAAGATCACTTGCGGTCAGGATTTTGAGACCAGCCTGGCCATCATGGTGAAACCCCATCTCTACTAAAAACACAAAATTAGCCCAGCGTGGTGGCACACGCCTATAGTCCCAGCTACTGAGGAGGCTGAGGAGGGAGGATTGCTTGGGCCCCAAGAGGTCAAGGCTGCAGTGAGCCATGATCACACCACTGCACTCAGCCTGAACAAGACCCTGTCTCAAAATACAGAATCACTTAGAAGCCTGGATGTTACCCTCCCTACACTGTGTTGCTAGCATCAGTTTCCTATGCGTCCCTAACCCCGTCCCTGCTTAGCTGGCTGGATACCACCCCCAGCTGTTTTCCAGCCACCCCAGCTTTGTCTTGCACATGGTGCTCTCCTGCCCGTGGAATGCCCTCTCAGCCTGCCACTTGCCAATGAGCTCATCCTGCAAGGCTTGGTTCAGATACCACCTCCTCCAGGAAGATGCCCTTGATCCTTTCCTCCTCTCTTTTCCCACCTGCCTAGGTTTTTGATGCCATGATAAGGAATTCGGCTGCAGATCCTAGGGCAATAGGGAGCCACTGCAGGCTCTAAACAGGGAGCAGTGACCCAGCAACTCTCCCTGGTGGCCTCTGCAGGGAGCATGCAGACAGGGGTTCTCAGACATCCGGAATTCACAGGCTGGTCAAATTTCAAAGGAGTATTGCAGACCTACGGAAGATTGCCAACTTTCTATTTTTCCATGTTAGGGCCTTTAGAAAAATAATTACAATTTCCCTTTTTGAGAGAATATCTTTAAACCAAAAAAAAAAAAAAAGTAAGAAGACAATCTCAGGGCAAAGGCCATTCCATTGTGCTGGATAAACAGAGCCTTATGGAAAACTCGCCACATGGTCCTCACATTTGATGGTTGGAAAACAGCTAGCGGTGGTATCCGGCCTAACAGCTGGAACCGTGATCAGGGCTGGGCCTCCATATAGGTGTGGCCTCCTCTCGGCATCCCTTCCTGCCCCAGACCACAGGTTTCCTGAACCCCCTAGACCAAGTGGGTTTCCTGGCTGGTCCCCTGGCTGCACTCAGGCCCTCTAACCTGGCGGTTCTCAGAGGTCAACCCAGATGAGTATCGGGCTGGCCAGTGTGATGAGCGCCCACCATGGGGAGGCCCCTGGGGCAGCCTGCAGCTCCAGCACTCATGGGTCACTGCAGCCTCGACTTCCTGGGCCCAAGCAATCCTGACTCCAAGATGCAAGGACGCTTATGAGAATAGAGAAGAGGGGACAAGGCACAGATGCCCTCTGTCCCCACAGTGTGAGGCAAGGAGCAAACTTGTGTGTGCATGAGCCTGGGGCCACCCATGGGGGAGGGAATGCCTGATGCATGACCAGCCTGAGTGGAGCGTCCACACTGAGCCTTGCAGATTGTTCTAGAAGGAGATTCATCCTCCCTTCCAAGGGCAGGCTCTACTGTGGATGTTCTGCTGATCAGACAGTGGGTACTATCAGTAATTAGCATTGAAATCCTGCGCTCAGCCTCAGAGCTGGGAGGCCCAGGGTGACCACTGAGGACAGCTCAGCATTGAAGAGAGGCCTGAAGATGATTAGGGGCAGGGTTACACTGGTTACACCTGCTCTATTAGGTGACGTGAATTTGTAATCTTGTTTCCAGCTTTCCTTTGCCTTTTAATCCTTCTTTGTCAAGAACAAAATTCAAGCTATCCTGTTACCAAATGATCACATGTTTGAAATGTGAGGTCTGGAATAATCTCCGACCAGTGCTAGCCCATGTATCAGTGCTCAGCCGCTCGCTTTAACCAGGCTGTGTTGTCCTGGACTTGCCCCTCCAAATATGATGTGACTCAACACTCATGTCAGGCCCTGGGCTAGGCACCGAGGACGCTCAAGACACAGTCCTTGGCCGGGCGCGGTGGCTCACGCCTGTAATCCAGCACTTTGGGAGGCCAAGTTGTGGGGGGGGGGGGGCGGATCACCTGAGGTCGGGAGTTCAAGACCAGCCTGACCAACATGGAGAAACCCCGTCTCCACTAAAAATACAAAATTAGCCCAGCGTGGTGGAGCATGCCTGTAATCCCAGCTACTCGGAAGGCTGAGGCAGAGAATCGCTTGAACCCAGGAGGTGGAGATTGCAGTGAGCTGAGATTGCTCCATTGCACTCCAGCTTGTGCAACAAGAGCAAAACTCTGTCTCAAAAAAAACAAAAACAAACAAACAAACAAAAAAACAGTCCTTGCTGTCTTGTAACCAGAGGCAGGAAGAGCCTATTTCTCAGGAGTGGCTTGTCATGGCCAAGGGATCCATCCTGGAAAGCTCCCTGGAGGAGGCGGTAGCTGAGTGGAGCCTTTCACATGGTAAGTGCTCACTAGTGTCAGCTGCTGTTGTTATTCCCAGTAGGAATAAGAGGGGAGAAGCTCTGATCACCATGCAGGTGGGAAGAGCATCCCCTTCAGAGGGAAAAGCAGAGAAAAGGCAAGGAGTTCTCTCCCAGCCAAGTGGGGGGTGGGGTGGGGAGTTGGTGGTCAGTGATGGGGAAGTGGGGGGTGGTGGCGAGGCTGGAAAGAGAAGCAGGGGGCCAACCCTGCTTTGGTTCTTAAAACAAAACGGTTTTTTGTTTTTGTTTTTTTTTTTTAAGGTGGGGATAGGACCTGTGTGGATTTGGGAAACGACTCTGGCAGCGGCCCAGCCCCGGGGGAGGAGGCTGCAGTTAGGGAGGCCACTATTTGGGTGAGGGGAAGTGTGGCCATGGGGAGGGGAGGAGCCCAGGCTGAATTACAGGGGAGGTTTTAGGAAGAACAGCCAGGACTTGTACATCTGGTGGCCCCAGGGCCCTGGCTTGTGCTCAGGATTGACAGATGTGGAACGGGTACCCCAGGTCAGCCTTGGTATGGGGCTGAGGCCCTGTGTGACTGGGCTGAGTGGGGTGGCCACTGGAATATCCTGCAAATCACCCCTGTGCTGCCGTGACGGAGGGACCTGATGGTGGGAGGCTGCAGGGGGATCCTAGTCGTGGCCGCTTCTTACGGGGGTCCTGCTTCCCAGCAAAGATGCATCAAGGAATATGGAGCCTGCAATTGTGGGGCTGCCCTCCACACCAGAGTGAAGAGCCAGAGGGGCCTCGTGGAAATGTGCAGGGCATGTCACACCCACACCTGAGAAAAGGGCCCAGTCCTGACAGCACCAGCAACCAAGCAGTTAAAAGTATTCCGTGGCTTCCAGGGTCACAGAGTGGAGCCTTCCCCAGAGTCCAGAGCCTGGATCCAGGGTCATTGTCCCTGCAGAGCTCAGAGCCCAGATTCTCCCTGCCCCACCTCACTGTCTTTGGGATTGATTGCTCAGCAAAGACAAAAAGGCAGCGATCCTCCATGGACCAAAGCCTCTGAGCCAGGGCCCATCCCCCAACAGTGGGGTTCCTGCTATAACAGGTCTCCTGCCAGGTAGGATAAGACACCTCTGTGTAAAAAACATGTCCACACACACTCCCGCGATGTTGGTGCAAAAACAATCTGTTCGCCCTTCCTAGAGTACTGACTGGTAATACCATATTCAAAAGCCTTTAAAAAAGCAAATCCTCAGTGAAGTTACAATTATTCTCCTGGGAGTACACCAAGGGAATTATTAGACAAAGATGTTCATAGCAGCAGGTTTGTAAATCACCTAGACAGCCAATCATCAAGAGTGAGGTAAAGAAGTTACATATGGGACATCTGAACAACGGATTCTTCTGCAATCATTGAAGTGTGATCTAGAAATATTTAAAGAGATGAGTTGTTTGTGGCAAATTAGTGAAAGTGCAGAGAGTAAAATGTGACGTATGACCACGATGACTTTAAATATGTATTACAAATAGACAAGAAAGGCTGGACAAATATCCACCTGAATGTCAGCTGTGTTTCTCTGAGTTGGGATTCTGTCTATTTGTTATGGTCTCAGGGATGCTTTCCCATGTTTGCAAATTTGCAGATGACGAACATGTATCATCCATGTTTGCAAAGGGAATCAGTTTGTGTGTGTGTGTGTGTGTGTGTATCTCAATGGCACAGAAATAAAAGGCCAAGTTAAAGATCCATAGTGACTCACTGCTTCCCCAAAGCAAGTTTTCTCTCTCCCAGCTTGGAAATTATTATGGAAAATGCCAGATGTGTGAGGCCTGGCTTGGACCTTGTTTATGCAGAGCTGGGCTCCCCAGAAGGGCCATCCCCAACCACCTAGGCAGGGTCACCCAGGAGGAGCTAGTTACGTGTGCAGGCCTTGTTCCATGCAAGCATTCTTGGGACCAGAATCTAAGAAATATCTTTTATTTTTTTTCCTCCAGAAATGTCTTTGTGTGTATCTAGTAAAATATACATAACAAAATTTACCATTTACCATTTCAGTAGCATTAAGTACATTCACTTGCTGGGCAACCATCACCATGATCTGTCTCCACAACTTTTTCATCATCCCAAACTGAAACTCCATACCTACTAAATAATAACCCCTCAATCTCGGCTCTCCCCAGTGCCCAGTAAGCACTGCTTTACTTTCTGACTCTATGAATTTGACTATTCTCGGGACCTCGTACAGGTGGAATCGTACACTATGTGCCCTTTCGTGTTTGGCTTGCTTCACTGAGCGTCATGTTTTCAAGGTTGATCCACGTCATATCATGTGTCACAACTTCATTCCTTTTGAAAGCTGAGTAACACTCCATCGTATATATATATATCACCTTTTCTTTCTCCGTTCATCTACCCATGGACACTGGGGCTGTTTCCACCTTTTGTCTATTATGCATAATGCTGCTTCTTTTTTGTACCAGAAGTGTACAAATATTTGTTAGTGTTTCTGTCTTCAATTTTGGGGGGTATATTCTTAGGAGTGGAATTGCTGGGTCCTGTAGTAGTTCTGTATTTACATTTTTGAGGAACTCTCATACTGTTTTCCATAGCAGGTGCACAATTTTACATTCCCACTAACAAAGCTAACATTCCCACCAACAAAGCTAACATTCCCACCAACAGGGTTAATTTTTAAATTTTTTGTAAAGATGAGTTCTCACAATGTTGCCCAGGCTGGTCTCCAGCTTGTTTTTGTTTTGTTTTGTTTTGTTTTGCTTTGTTTTAGACAGAGTTTCACTCTTGTTGCCCAGGCTGGAGTGTAATGGCACGATCTCGGCTCACCACAACCTCTGCCTCCCAAGTTTAAGCAATTCTTCTGCCTCAGCCTTCTGAGGAGCTGGGATTACAGGCGCCCACCACCATGCCTGGCTAATTTTTGTATTTTTAGTAGACACAGGGTTTCTCCATGTTGGCCAGGCTCCTCTCAAACTCCCGACCTCAGGTGATCCACCCGCCTCAGCCTTGGTCTTGAGCTCCTGAGCTCAAGCAATCCTCCTGCCTTGGCTTCTTAAAGTGTTGGAATTACAGGGGTGAACCACCATGCCCAGCCAGGACTTCTTTACATATTCTGCAAATGAGAGATATTTTTTGTATATACAGTACTACAGTTTAAACCAATTGTTAAAATACTAATTCATTACTTTTTAAATTTGGAAAACATAAAAAGGGAGGTACAAGAAGCATTCGTGTTTATATGCTTTGACTCAGCAATTCCACATCTAGGGATTGGATATGCACAGATTTAGCTGCAAGAATGTTTATCGTAAAAGAAAGAAGTAAGGAAGAGATGAAACTGAAAACAACATCAATATCCAATAATCTCACATGGGTTAAATAAAATACAGCCCCGCTGTGTATGATCATAAGCAATGCTGTGAATGAACACTAAATGATGTGTGACATTTAGAATATAGCCACGGTTACAAAGACAAAGTTGCAAAGCAATATTTACGGCATGATCCATTTTTTGTCTCAACAAATGCATAATTGTGTAAAAAGAAAGTCAAATGTTAACAATGGTGATCTCGTGTGAGGGAATCTCAGTCTACTTTTCTTCTTTGTATTTTTTTCCAGTTTTCCAAATTTCATGCAATAAACGTGTGGTCTTGCAATCAGACAAAAAATGTTATTTTTTAAGCCACAAGCATATATACAATGTTATCCCGATGATGTAAATATCTATATATTTCGATAAAAAGATACTCCAGGCCAGTATTTTCCCTGGTGCCTCGGAAAGGTTTCTCCTTTTCTTACTTTGTACTCGCCTAGGTTTTACAAATTCTCCACTGTCTGGTTGTTTTACCTGGTTTAGGGAGGGGAAAAATACAGGAAAAGTTGTTAAACTTTAAAGTGGAGATCCAATTTGCGCGAAAGCTCGGAATCAGCCCCACGGCCCGCGGCCGCAATGAGGCCCCGCCCAGGCCCCGCCCCAGCCCCGCCAGGCCCCGCCCCACAGCCGCCTGCCGAGCCTTTCCCTGAGCTTTCTGAGCGGGCCGCGCAGAGGCCCCGCCCAGGCCCCGCCCAAGCCCCGCCCTCTCGACTGTGACGCAACATCCGCACAGCCCGCGGCCTGGAATCTAAGAGACTGCCACCCAGAGGCCCCGCCCCTGGCGCGTAGAGGCCCGGCGATAGACTTGGCCCCGCCCCCTCAGCTGCGGCGCTACGTCCGCACCGCCCGCCTCACCCTCGCTGGGGCTTCCGGAACAGGTCGCGCCGAGGCCCCGCCCCCCGGCTGCACCAGGCCCCGCCCCTTTGGCTACGGCACTGCGACCGCGCCGCGCGTCGCGCCCTCGTCCTGACTTCCGGGGCGGGACGGAAGAGCGGGCGGGACCGTCCAGTCCAAGGCGCCGCGGCTTCCGCCCGGGAGGCGGGCTGGTCCCAAACGAGGTCGTGCGCGCTTCCTGCGATGGTTTTTTGCTGTCCCCGTCTGGCCCCAGGTGCGCGGGACGTAGAGGCCGGACAGCCGGGAGGCGGAGATGAAAGGGGCCAGCGGCCCGGCCCCGGGGACACGCGTGCCAGGCCCTGCTGCAGCCCCCGAGAGGTCGGAGGCGCGGAGCCAGGGCTGACCCTGTGCACTGGGTCGAGGGCCACCCCTCGTCTCAGCCTAAGCTGGACGCACCACCCGGGCAGAAGTGACATCAGAACCCTAGGCTCCGTTGTCAACCACGGTTACTGATGTCACCCCTTCTGCACAGGGAGGAAGGTGTGGCCCAGCGAGGCATCCTCCCGTCTTAGTCGGGGTCTGCCCTGGGTGGGAGGGATTGTAGGACCCCCTCTCCGCTGGCTGTGACAGCCTAAGCTGGTGAGCTGTTTCTAGCCAGAGTGCCCCTTCGGTGAAGTCTAAAGCCCCGAGATGTCAACGGCAGCTGCCGTGTATTGAAAAGCATGTGCCAGGCCATCCTGGACTTAGACGTAAATGTGTTATCTCAGTACTCCTGGCAGCTGTATAAACGTGCATGCCACCCCTTTTCACAGATGAGGGGCCGAGGTCAGAGAAGCAGCTTGCCAGAGGCCCTGGAGGGCAAAGGGACACAGCCTAGATTTGGACCCAGATCCTTGATACTGAATCTCAGCTGTTAGCCTGTGTGCTGAGCCGGCATCCTGTGATAATAGTTTCCCTTCAGTAGGTGTAGCTGGCTGGCAGCTCTGTTGATTACCTTAGCTCACTGCTGCCTCCTCGAGTTGGAAGACCCGCTTACCCAGAGCTAAGCCCCTCTCCCAACTCTGAAGGTGCTCAGCATCCCTCAGCTTGACCCAGGTTGCCTGGAGATTCCCACCCACTGGTTACCCCAGATCTCCCAATACTCTGCCTCCCTTTGCTTGGGGTGGGAAAGGATGCCCTCTGCCCAGGATCTGAATGGCCGGTGTGTGGCGCCAAGCCTGCTGGGCCTGTGGTGCCAGGGCTACAAGTGCACAACAGAACACCCCCAGTGTGCTCACACAGTGTCAAGCCAGCCCCCAGGGTGCCGAGGCTGCCTCTCCCCTCTGTACCCCGTCCTCCCTTGTAATGCGGAGGGGGCAGTCTGGCTTTTTCCTTGGCTTTCCAGGTTGGTATATGCTGGACGTCAGCAGCAGATAGGACACCCCAGCACAATGAGCCCGCAGCAATCCGGACTTTCTAGCCTTCAAGTGTACCTCAGAGCGGAAGCTGCGCATTTGATTTTTTTTTTTTTTTTTTGGCTCCATATTAAAGAACAAAGCATGGGAACTGGACAGGTCCCTCTGTAAACAGAAAACACATGTTTTCTGAGAGAATGGGCCCTTCCTTTCCTGGTTTCATCTCCCGTGGACAGAGGCCTCCTTAGGCCCGCTGACTTCAAGACCATGGAGACTGTGGACCGAGGGCTGAGAGGAGGTGATTCTTCTTTGCTCAACTCAGGGACCGGACACTCGCCTTCTTTTTTTTTTTTTTTTTTTTTTTTTGAGAGTCTCGCTCTGTCGCCCAGGCTGGAGTGCAGTGGCGCGATCTCAGTTCACTGCAAGCTCCGCCTCCCGGGTTCACGCCATTCTCCTGCCTAAGCCTCCGGAGTACCTGGGACTACAGGCACCCGCCACCAAGCCCGGCTAATTTTTTTTTTTTTTTTTTTTTGTATTTTTAGTAGAGACGGGTTTCACCATGTTAGCCAGGATGGTCTCGATCTCCTGACCTCGTGATCCGCCTGCCTCGGCCTCCCAAAGTGCTGGGATTACAGGCATGAGCCACCGCGCCCAGCTGACATTTGCCTTTTTGAATGGGGGCCAGGACAAGTGCTAGAGGTCTGCTCAGCAGTGGGGTGTGGTCTGAGGAGGGAGGGCCCCTCAGAGACCTGAACAGGAAGTGGGGGTCTGCACCATTTGTGTCCTCCAAGCACACTAGAATTGTTTAGGGTTCTACCCGAGCTAGCTCCAAGTGAACGTGTGTTCTTTGGAGCCTGCTAGCCACAAATGGGCAGAGACCTCTAACTCAGATGAGAAGCCTGTGTCTGCAAAGAATGGGCATTCTTGGACTGAGTACCCACTGCTGTGTGTCCTTGGGCAAGTTTCTTAACCTCTCTGGGCCTCACGTTTCTCATCTGTAAAAGCAGGATAATAGTTATTTAGGATTCAATAAGATCATGGAAATAGCCCCATTGGACACATAACTAGGAGCTAATTAATAAGTGAGCAAAATCAAACATTGTCTCTGTTTCAATGCTGAGCTACGGTAGAGTGGCCCAAGAATCCTCTACAGACACCCAGGGTGCCCATACTCCAAGGAGCACCTCCTCTTCCCCTGCCTTCTGTTGGGCACAGCCACTCCCAGGCCGCCGTGACACCTTTTTGGAAGCAGCCGTCTTGCAGACAGATCATCCCTTTGAATCTCCCCAGCAGCCTGAACTTTGTCCTTGAGGGGAGATTTGATTTGCGGAAATAATCAGACATCCTTTAAGACAAGTCTGCTGAATGGATGCTCAGAAGCCAAGCCAGGGCCTCCTGTCCAGGGCCAGCATGTGCCACGACTGTAAAGTCAGAAGCCAGTCTGGCCACGTGCTCTGAAGGCAGTATAGAAAAGATCTGGACTGGATCATCGCCACTGGCGTTGGTGGGTGTGAGCGACGTGTCCGTGTGTGTGTGTGTGTGTGTGTGTGCGTGTGTGCATGTGTGTATGAAAATAGAGATATTCACACACACCCCTGAGCTTGGTGGACGGACCAAACCAAAGCCTGCCTAATTAACATGAGGCTGCCTTTCATCTCTCAGCCCACAACTTGATTTTCATGGAAATTTCTCTGTGTGGGAAAATTACAAGCATTTCTGATACAGGCAAGTGTTGTGAGAGTATGGCAGCATGTTGTCCTGGAATACTGGGATTTAGAGGCTGGGTTCCCCTAGCCTGTTCCTAACCAGCTGTGTGGCCTCTGGCTCCTTTCTTCACCCCCCATCTCTTGGTTTCCCCATCTCAAGTGCTCCAGGAAGGAAACACACAGGCTGTGCCCACATGCGTGGGCATTCACAGCACGTGCGGGTGACATTGCTCATTAAAACACTGTAAAAATTAATTGGCATTCACAAAGTTCTAGTCACAATAGCAAACATTTTAAAAAATCAGAAACAGGCCAGGCACAGTGGCTCACGCCTGTAATTTCAGCACTTTGGGAGGCCGAGGTGGATCACTTGAGCCTGGGAGGCAGAGGTTGCAGTGAGCCGAGATTGCACCACTGCACTCCAGCCTGGGTGACAGTGAGACCCTGTCTCAAAAAACAAACAAACAGACAACACAAACAATTCAATTGTCCATCAGTATGTGAGTGGGTAAACAAATGTCAATAGGCATATGATAAAATATCACGTAGCAGTAAAAAGGAATGGGCTATTGATAAACTCAACAACATAGATAGCAGGATCCCGAGCAAGAGTTCATACTCCATGAGTTAAAATTTTTTTTTAATAAATTGAAACTGATCTACGGTGGTTGGATTCAGATTGCTGGCTGCCAGGAAGTCAGAGACTGCCTGCAAGGGGCTCTAGGGAACATTTTGTGGTGATGTTTTCTTTCTTGATCGTGGTGATACATGTCACGGTTGCATACATTGTCAAAACTCATCGAACAGTAGAGGTGAAAGGGATTTTGCTGCATGGAACTTATTCCTTAATAAGGTTGATTTCAAAAATTAACTGGTATTTATACTTTATTTTTCAAATCTTGTAGAAAATAATGACATAAAATGCTCACAACGTATTCAACAAAAAGACTGTAAAATAACCTATAGTATGATCTAATGATTATATATACATGAATATATGTATGCATTTATAACTTACGATATGGTCCATTCATATAGATATGTGTACACACACACAAACACATATATGCATGCGCACATATATACACATACAGTTTGGAAAATATAGCAGAAGGACTTTCAACCAAATGCATTCAGTAATTACCTCATGGGTAATTGTTTTCTTTTTATTTTTTAATTCTAAATACCCTCTTAGTTTTTTCTTAATTCTAAATATCCTCTTAGTTTTTTTTTTTTTTTTTTGTACTTTTCTGTAATGAACACTATTTTTGTGGAAGAGAGTCTTTTTTGCTTGCTGTATTTTTCTTTATTGTTAATTGACAAATAATTGTATGTATTCATGAGGTATAATATGTTATATATATAACACTTTTCTTTTTATAAACAAATAAAAACAAACATCTCTCTTTTTTTTTTCCAGCTGTAGCAGGCCAGGGACATGGGGCTGGGCCCTGGACAGGGTGGTGAGGACATCCCGGTTCCCACGAAAAGCAACCGCCTGGCAAGTCTGGAGCAGGCGAAGAGGGAGTGAGGGGGTGTGGCTCGCTCCCCAAGTTCTTTGGCTCAGCTTCAGTGCTGGGTCATTCTTGGGGACTGCTATGCCCACTGGGCACTGCAGAACTTCTGGTGCGTGTGGCTAAGGGGAGTCGGGAAGAGCCCTGTCCCTGGACCAGACCTTCCTGTTGGGAGTACTGGGACCCAGTGACCTTGTGCACCTTTCCTGAAGCTTCTGGGCCCCAAGTGGTCGAATGCAGAGTGGGCTGGGGAGTCACAGACTGTGCTTCCTGCTTTCAACCTCCGTTCCAGGTTCCTGTGCGTTCCGTGGGCCCATCCACCTGGCTGGGCTTGGCTAGGCTGTGACCTTCTCTGAGGACAGGGCTCTGCCTGCATTTGGAGCTGCTGGGACCTCAGTGTCACCCCCCACTCTCGCCAGCTGGCCTCACAAAGGTGCCCAGGAGGAGACCTGATTGCCGACTCCTTTCCCCTCCCTGGCTGAGCAGATTCTACAACAGCCTGTGGAAATTAAAATAAGAGCTTAAAACTGTCAAAAAAATTTTTTTTAACCAAGTCACAAATGGGAAAGCTGAGGCGGCAGCAGGTTAAGGACACTTTGTGATGTAGCGTTCTCTCCCAGTGCTTTCGTACTGTAAACATCACAGTCCACGGTCCCTGTGAACAGGCAGCCACAGAGACTGGGTTTAGACTTGCCGGGGAAGGCTGCATCCAAAGTGGGGCCAGCTCAGAACTATTCCACCACATGGGGGGCCATTAGTTCTGCTCAGTTCTGTGGGGCCTCACTAGTGTTTCTATTTAAAAATAAGTCAAGGTAAAAGAAAAAGTTTCAAAATGTAACAGTCACGTATCTATTTCTGTAATTGTAAAGAAATACACTGTCATGTGACGGCTGGAGGCTCTGGAGCAGAGGGCCTAGGAGGAATTTTTTTTCTTTTTCTTTTTCTTTCCTGAATTCTCCAAACCGTCTATCACAGTGTGTATTGCTTTTATAACGGGAAGAGATAAAATAGACTTACATTAAAAATAATCAAACTGCACCTGTGCCTACATGTCAAATGATAAACGTGACAATCAAAGGCACTTTTTATTTATCGAATACCTGGTTCATGCCACATCTCCTGCTAGGCCCTCCCAGCGTGCTGGCTCCTCAGAACACCCTGCAGGTGGGAGCTGGGCACCAGGGTCCCTGAGGCAGCATTCAGCACCCACGTGGCAGAGCCAAGGCTGGACAGGGATGATTCCAACATCCAGGATTGTATTATGCTTATAACGACTTCCTGCCTGTTTGTATTTAAGACAAGGTCTCTCACTGCAGCTTTGACCTCCCGGGCTTGAGCAGTCTTCCCACCTCAGCCTCTGGAGTAGCTGGGAGTTACAGGTGCACACCCCCATGCTTGGCTAATTTTTGTATATTTTGCATAGACAGGGTTTCGCCGTGTTGCCCAGGCTGGTCTGGAATTCCTGGGCTCGTGCGATCCACCAGCCTCGGCCTCCCAAAGTGCTGGGATTACAGGCGTGAGCCACAACGCCCAGCCCCTGTCTCTTAAAGGTGAACATTTTCCCTAAATACAATGATCTTCAGTTAAAATATTTGTATCTTACATAGAATCTGGAATTATTTCTGTAAACAGAATTTAGTAAAAGAAATATAAAAATCAGCTGGGCACGTTGGCTCACGCCTGTAATCCCAGCACTTTGGGAGGCCGAGGTGGGCGGATCACAAGTTCAGGAGATCGAGACCACCACCCTGGCCAACATGGTGAAATCCCGTCTCTACTAAAAATACAAAAATTAGCTGGGCATGATGGTGCGCACCTGTAGTCCCAGCTACTCAGGAGGCTGAGGCAGGAGAATCGCTTGAACTCGGGAGGCGGAGGTTGCAGTGAGCCAAGATCGCACCACTGCGCCACTGCACTCCACCCTGGTGACAGAGCAAGACTGTGTCTCAAAAAAAAAAAAAAAAAAAAAAAGGAAAAAGAAAGAAAGAAAAAAAGAAATATAAAAATCATAGATTTTTACCTTATTTTACCTTATGACACTGTTGACCAACAGCCAAAGTCAGAATCAATTATGTAACTCTCAGAGCCTAGAACAAAATGAAAATATGGGTTCCCTTGTTCAAGAATGACTAAGAATTTTAAGACCGGGGACAGCCAAACATTGAGTGTGGGGCCCTTCTGCACACCGGCCCTCTACCACTGGGCAAGCCACACAGCCACAAAGTCAGCCCTGGACAAGTTATTGATAGTGTATGATAGAACTAAGGTGACGGTTCCCTTTGGGACACACTCTAATCACCAGTGACCACCAGTCAGAAAACAAATGGGCTCAAGCCGCAGGAAGATGAGCCGTTCCCAAGGCATTTTCCAATCCAAAAAATAGCGGTCGCAGCTCAGGAATGAAGTTCCCAGTGAGGATGCAGCGGGAGACACAGCCAGCCTTCCCTCCCCAGGAAAGGGCCAGGCCCTGCATAGGAGCTTTCATTAAAAACCAGGGAGGCTGCAGATTCTCTTGAAATGACAACACGCTCGTGCCACACCTCGATAGAGCTTCAGTCACTCTGCTGTGGAGCGTGCGAGGCTGACCATCCTAGGCCTTGGGGAGAAATCATGACAGCTGATGCCAGTGCTTGTTACTGGGAAAACACAGTAAGAAACTTCATCCCTAAATGTTTATACCTACTATGTACTCACAAAAATTTAAAAAAAGATTTAGTATGAAAATGTAAAGTATCTCATTAATCTTTATCTTGATCGTATGTTGAACTGATAATATTTTGGATATATTGGTTTAAATAAAATATATTAACTAAAAAAAAAAAAAAGGAAAACTTCATCCCGCCGCCTCTGAGAAAGGATCTTGGGGTTCATTGGCAGGTAAATGCTCCCCCAAAGGAGGTCCACTGTGGATGCTGGAAACGAACTGTCAGCTGACAAGCATCTGTAGCTCTGAAAACAAGGGCTCCACACATTGTCCCAGCCAGCGCCCCACCAGCCCATCCCCATTACCTCTATGTCTTCAGCCCCACGTCAGGTTCTGGAAGTTTCCAGGGGGAGTGGACAGTACCCTCAGGGGCTCTTGGGGCTGAGACCTCTTCCATGAATCACGTATGGAAGCCCAGGACCAACCTCAGAGAGGATCATGTCTGAGAAGTCGTTTGAGGGGAAAAATATCCACTTAAGAGAGAGGTTCTCCAGCCCTTTGGAGCATCACACACGTTTGTGGGACAAAAGACAAATATTCCTCCCACCCCAATCCCCAACCAGGCTCCTTGTTCATTTTTCTTTAAAAAACAACAACAAAAAAAAAATCCGCATTCTCCCCAGCCTGAAATAGTGCTCTGGAGGAGCTGGCCTGGCCCGGAGTGTCTTCTCCGTAAACACACCTGGTGAGGAAGAACAGGAAGGACGGACAAAGGGAGGCCTCAGGCCCAGCTGGCAGCCAGATCTGTGCCTCCCAGCGCCTCCAGGGCCCTTGCAGTCTCGAGAGATGTGGCTTGGCCACTTTTGCAGATTCCCAGGCCTGGGGCCACTCAGTTGCCTCCCCCAGCCCAGGTGTCTCCTCGGGACCCTTGCCTGGGAGGGTTTGAAGCCAGGCAGGGAAAAGAGGGCAGAAAATGGTGGTGCCGGGGAGCTGGGCCGGGCCAGCAAATCATTCCGCAAGGTGGAGAACTGCAGGCTGAGGGCACCGTGGGCCTGGGCCCGGGACCCAGCATGGAACCCCTTCTCCTGGAGCACCAGGGGTCACAACAGTCCCTCCACTCCAGGGATCACGGGTGACCCACGGCCGGGTGCTTTGGGGACGAGACAAAGACAGCGTGTTCCTCAAGCCCCTGCCTACCGCTCCGTCACTGGGGCCATGGTCTGCGTGCCAACAACCTTTTAGGAAGCATCTTGTGCCCAACCTCACCACCCCGCAAAAAAACCTGTGTCCAAAACACTTGGCAGTGGGGCTTAAAACGCTCAGGTGCCCCGAGGAGGCGCCGGGAGATGAGCCCAGAGCGGTGGCTGGCGAAGGCCCCAGCAGGACTGGGGCGTGGAACTTGCTTGTTTACCTAAGAGAAAAACACGACGAAAAAAGCTTCTGGGTAGAATTGGAAGTTCTGGGGCTCTCGGCGCCGCGGCCTCCGCGCGGTTCTCTTCCTCCCCTCCCCGGCCTGCTTTTCCTCCTTCTTTCCCTCTTTGTTGCCAACCTCGGAGCCGCGACTGAAACCCAGCCCAGCGTGTCCGCGAAGCCCGGAAACTTCCAGCTCCGCGACTGTGCAGAAAGTTGGGGGGCGCGGCCGGGGTGACAGCAGCGCTTCGGGGGCGGCCGCGGCGGCCACCCGGACCTCGGCCTCCCGCGCCTCCCGCTGCCCCAGCCGCGCCCGGGGACCTCGGGCAGCCCGCGGGCCGGACGTGAACTTGACCCTGCGCTGTGCCCGCCTGGACCGCGGCGCGCTCGGGACGATCTGGTAAGCGCTCCCCCTCCCGCCCTCGCCCGGCGGCGCTGGGGTCCGGGTCGGGGTCCGGGCTCGACTGCGAGGGCGTGTCCCGGGGTGGCGGGCGCCGGGGCTCCTCGGCCGCTGCACCGGAGCGCACGGCCGAGCCCGCGGCCCGGCCCCCGGCGAAGTCAGCCCCCAGCCTCCCAAACAAAGACTCGCAAAGTTCGGAAGAGAATCTTTCCCGACATTTTCCCTCCCCTCGGGCTCTGCGCTGCGGCCATCAGGGCTCTTAAAAGAGAACCGAGAGCTCTCTGGTTTTCTCCTGGTGTTTTCTTCCCTGCGCTTTGCCCCCCACCTTTGGCTGGAGGGAAGGAGGAGGGGGCATGGATGCCCCTCGGGCCCTCAGGTGTTGACCCTCCGAGGCCAGGCTGCCCAGGGGCAGCACAGGAGGTGAGGGCCTGTGGGATGAGGGACCCCCGACAGCACAAGGAGGCAAGCCCCTCGCCGCTGCAATGCTCCGGTCCTGGGGCTCAGGTGGAAGTTGCTCCTGATCCCCCCACACCCCCAGCACCATCCTGAGTGACTTCCCTTGACCGTCCTGGGTGACCATCCTGAGCAAGACTCCCTGGCCACCAACTGTCCTGTCGGCTCTGCTTGGGGCAACCACAGTGCCAAGTGAGCCTGGCAGGTGCTGGGTCACAGGACAGCCATGGACAGGGCCTGGGGAGGAGGAGAAGCTGGGGCCCTGTAGAGCCTGTTCCTTGGGGAGCAGGTGAGGGACCCTGCTGCCTCCCCTATTCCTGTCTGCAACAGGCCCAGCCCATACCTCCAGCTAGCTTCTCTGCATGCCACTCTCTCCGCCTGAGACAAGGCCTCTGTCCCTGTGACTGGTCTGATCCCTGGGGGGCACTCCTGGGATAGAAACCTACCCCACCAGTCGGCGGTGGCAAAGCCCTGGAAACTCACAGACCTGTCCTGGGCCTGGGCCTCCACAAGCCTCCCAGTTTGATCAGGTGCCCCCAACCACAGCAGGGACCATCTGTCAGGTCTTACTCCCAGTGGTGGCCAGGTCCCCAGCCTTCCAGAGAGCATTGCTAACTTGCCTCCATCCCTGGGTGCCTACGCTCCCAAAGTCCTCCTCAGGGGAGCACCCAAGCCGAGAGGGCTGGCCAGCCAGAATCTGAGTGGGTCACCCCACCATGTCCCTGGACTCTCTGGCAGGGCTGTCACAGGGCAGCCTACAGGCGTCAGTTGGAGCACAGAGGGTGTTTGCAGTGACGGCAGGGGACAGAGTGCCCAGTTGGCTCTAGCCTGTTGCTGCCATGAGGATAAGGGCTGAGGCTGTTAGAGCTTCTGACTTCAGAAGAAATCCAGATTTGTACATGAAATGTCCAAAATTTGAGCACATTGCAGGACAGAGGAAACACTCTGGGGTTGAACCCAACCCATGCCCCCACCCCGAGACTGCAACTCCTGTGTACGCCTGAACTGGTTAGTGTTCAAAGAAAGCAGATTTCTTAGTGACCCTGGCCCCAGCCCAAGATTTGAGCAGGAGACCCCGGGGATCTGGGGAGCAGGGAGGCAGGAGAGTCTGTATCTCATGGACCCAGCACCACAGGGAGGGTCGGCCTCCACAGGCATGAACTGTCCAGGTAATTAACACTTGCTCGAGCCCACTTAAAGTTAAAATCTCCCTAAAATGAGGAACCTGACCTGCCCCATCCCCAAACCCTCTGGGGGACCTTCTATACCCGCCCAGGGTATAATGAAGGAAAGATAGGATGCAGAAAGTGAACCTGAACTTGAACTTTCTTCATGTCCCAGGCAGTAGAGTCGCAGCATACCAAAAATCCTGGGCTTATAGGGAAGTTCTGCATTGAGGCAGGCCTGCCTCCACCTGCCAGCGCTACCTCATTCTAGCTGGGTAACCTCACCTCTCTGGGCCTCAGTTTCCTCACTCATAAAAGGGGCTTAATAAGAGTTCTGCCAGACAGGTGTGGTAGCTCACACCTGTAATCCCAGCACTTTGCGAGGCCGAGGCAGACAGATCATGAGGTCAGGAGTTCCAGACCAGCCTGGCCAACACGATGAAACCCTGTCTCTACTAAAAATACAAAAATTAGCTAGGTGTGGTGGCACACAGCTGTAGTCCCAGCTACTCAGGAGGCTGAGGCAGGAGAATTGCTTGAACCCGGGAGGCGGAGGTTGCAGTAAGCCGAGATTGCGCCACTGCACTCCAGCCTGGGTGACAGAGCGAGACTCTGTCTCAAAAAAACAAACAAACAAACAAACAAACAAAACAAACAAAAAGAGTTCTGTATCAGTTGCGTTGTTGGGAGAACGGTGACAATCGCTGTGAACATCGATCACTCCGCTAGCACACGGCAGGCACTCAGTATCAGCGGCTGCTGCTCCAGGGGCCCGTGGCTGCTGGCTTCTCTCGCACATCACCTGCTTCTGGGCAGCTCAGGAATTTCTCTCCTACATCTCATGTCAACTTTGCATCGCTTACCTCACCACCTTCTGGCACTTGTTTCCGTACCCTAAAGGAAACAGTCACTGAACACCTCCCCCACACCTATACTCCTGTATGGAGTACTGGGCACAGAGAGAAAAGACGACAAGGTCCTGCCTTAGAAGCTGCCAGATACCCTGTGCAGTGACACCCTCAGGTGAGCTTCTCTAGGCTAATGCCAGAGAAGGTGTTTCCTGTGCAGCCTTTGTTGAATGCCTCCAGAGACAGGCAGCTCACCACCTATCTGGCAGTGTGGCTGCAGAAGCCGTAGGACAGAGTCACCCAGGCATCCTTGAGCCTTAACTGGTAGAAAGAGATGTAGGACAGGTCCATAGGCAGTGCCCCTGAGTCAGAGGCACCTGGTTTTACTGGAGAAAACACATACCTCATAAGAAACTTCTGAAAATTTGGTGAGGTGTACAGAAAGATTTCAGTCTCCAGAAAAAGCACTGCAAATGCTCACGCATGTTTTTACAGAACAGAGCCCTGTTTCCTCTTTTTGCCAACAGCCCATTTAGCAATGCCAGGGCTGTGCCAGTGACCCCACCCACCTCCTAACAAGGCAGCCACTGTCCCGGGGGACAGCCAATATATGCTTTGATTTTTTGAGGTTAATGTCCTTGGGCCCCTGATTTTGGAAACCCTGGACAAAATATAAGGAGTCACTGCATGGGAAATAAACCTACCCCAGAAAGCTGGCTGCGGCATTCAGGAAACTGGAGAGAAAAGTCAAGGTGTCCGGAGGCCCAGGGTTCCTCGCCAGGATCGGCTATAGAGTTTGCAGGGCCCAGGGTAAGAAGAAAATGTGGCCCCCTGGTTTGAAAATGCCTGAGAATTACAAGGTGGTGACGATGGTGTGAATTAAAACGAGCTTGGGGCCCTTCCGAATGCAGGGCCTTCCTAAGCTCAGGGCCCTGTGCGGTGGTATGGGTCACAAACCCACAAAGCCAGCCCTGCCCCTCACACGTGTTCGTGCCGCATGCTGAGGCCCAGGGAGGGACCAAAGGCAGCTTCAGTGAAGGAGTACAACTCCTCGTCTTTGCCATTCTTTTTTTTTTTCTTTAATGCCATCATTGATGTTCCATGCTCATTTTAGAACACTTTGAGTCCTCAGAAAAGAAAAACATTTGTCAATCACCTATGAAAGCACACTCAGAGATAGCCACTGGGAAGGCCTCACCCAGCTTCTGTCAAAACTTTTTTTTTTTTTTTTTTGAGATGGAGTCTCGTTGTGTCGCCCAGACTGGAGTGCAGTGGTGCAGTCTCGGCTCACTGCAACCTCTGCTTCCTGGGTTCAAGCGATTCACCTGGCTCCAAGCGATTCTCCTGGCTCAGCCTCCCAAGTGGCTGGGACTACAGGCGCCTACCACCACCCCCAGCTAACTTGTATTTTTAGTAGAGATGGGGTTTCACTATGTTGGCCAGGCTGGTCTCGAGCTCCTGACCTCAGGTGACCCACCCACCTCAGCTTTCCACAGTGCTGGGGTTACAGGTGTGAGCCACCACACCTAGTCTGTCAAAACATATTTTAAGCAAAATTAGCATCTTATTAGGTGTATCATTTTATCTTCTGCTTGTTTCATTAATATTTTATCACAATATTTTCCTAAGTCAGAAGATACTGTCTTGCAAATGAACTTTCATGACTATTTAGCATATTCCACTGGACAGAGGTCCTTAACTAACCCCTTATTATCAGGCACTTGGGTTCTTCCCAGTTATTTCCAGTTTTCCCCATTGTAGGCAACACTTCCAGGAACATTTGTCTGCACTTTTCTGATTACTTCCTAGCATGATGAAACCCTGCTTTAGTGGTGGGGCTCCCAGTTAAGTCATTAGGGGTGATATTTTGGCTCCAGAAGACTCTTGGGGTGGTCTCTGAAAAACCCCCTTGGCCAAGTACCTCAGCCCCCATGCCTCATGCAGTGACAGTCCCACACCACAGCCCTGGCATTGCATCTGACTTTTTTTTTTTTTTTTTTTTTGAGATAGAGTCTCACTGTCGTCCAGGGCTGGAGTGCAGTGGCGTGATCTCGGTTCACTGCAAACCTCTGCCTCCCAGGTTCAAGTGATTCTCCTGCCTCAGCCTCCCAAGTAGGTGGGACTACAGGTGCGTGCCACCATGCCCGGCTAATTTTTTGTATTTTTAGTAGAGACAGGGTTTCACTGTGTTAGCCAGGATGGTCTCGGTCTCCTGACCTTGTGATCTACCCACCTCAGCCTCCCAAAGTGCTGGGATTACAGGCATGAGCCACCGTGCCCGGCCCTGACTTTCAAGAGAAAAACCTGACTCTTCCCACAGCTGACTTGATTGGCAGCATAGGCAAAGACTTGAAGCGAGTTTGGAGCGCTGACTGCCTGCCCTGCACTGGCTGGGTTTATCGCCATCTGTGAGGTGCTACCTTCATCCCCCTGTACAGACAAGGACCCCAGGCTCAATAGGCTGAGGCACTGGCCCAGGGACCTCCATGCCACCCTTATTGTGAGGAGGACACATTTGTGACTCTGAAGCAGAAAAGGCCCTTTGTCCTGCCAAACCATGGGCAGGATTCAGGGGTCTACAATGTGACTGCTCGGGTGGCCTGACCGCTGAGCCTATGAGGCTGGGGTTGGGAGGAGGACACTAGCCTGGTGCCTACTCACAGGGAGCACTCAACAAACAGCAGCAGGAGGAAGAGGAGAGGATGGGGCAGCAGCAGCAGGAGGGAAGGTTCGAGCCTCCGCAGTGGAGGGGAGGCTCTGCGGGCGTCTCTCAGCTGGCGAAGGCTCCTGAGAGCAGGGATCAGGTCTGCAGCCCCAGGGCCAGCTCAGTAGGGGAGCAAGGTGTGTGAACACATCGATGAGGGCCGTGCCTTGTGCCATCCTTCTTCCCCTTCACAGGCAGCTGGGCATGTTGGGGCCAGAGGGGAGGGCCTGTTAGTTTCCTGTGGCAGCCATGTAACAACTTATGGCTGACTCAGTGGCTTAAGCAACGCACATTTATTACCTTACAGTCAAGGGGGTCAGATGTCTGAGGTGGGGTCCCAGAACTAAAATCCAGGTGTTGGCAGGGCTGGTTCCTCCTGGAACTCCAGGGGAAAAATCCATCCCTTGCCTTTTCTGGCCTCTGGCGGCACTTGCACTCCTTGGCTCCTCGTCCCTTCTTCCGTCTTTAAAGCCAGCAGCGTCCCCTTGTTCTGTCTCTGACCACGGCTGGGAAGGAGTCTCTGCTTTTGGGCACACGTGGCTAATCCAGGCTACCCTCTCACTGCAGATCTTCAACTCAATCACACACCTACAAAGTCCCTTTGGTCTGGGAGGTAACACTTTCCCAGGCTCCAGGGATTAGGGCTTGGACATCTTGGGGACTTTATTCTGCCCAGGAAAGGTGGTATCAGGGAGTCTGAGCATCTGAACCTCCCCAGGGGACTGAAGGAATGCCTTCAGTGTCCTCTTCCTCCTCCTCAGCAGCTGTGAATCCAGAATAGAGGCCATCTACAAGGTCACACCTGGAGGGATCTGGGGAAACTGAGGTCACAGAGGTCTTGCCCAGGACCCCAGGCCAGGCCCTGTGTTTCTTCCACAGATGGCCCCTTCCCCACCACCCTGTAGTGCACTGCCCAGGGGGTGGAAGTGTTTTAGCCTGGAGGGACACCAGCTTGAGGACTCTGTAGAGCTCTGGGCCTAGGGGGAGGGCGGGCAATGTCATCTATGGGGTGGCTTCCCCACACCAGGGGCAGCTTTACGGAGGTTACCTTTTCATCCCCCCAAGTCCTGTGGCAAGTGAAGATCTGTTTCCTCATCTCATAGGGTAAGGAAGCTGAGGCCCTCAAAGGGGCAGTGGCTTGTCCGTGGAGAAGAGTCTGCTCCTTCCGACAAGCCTGTGGCTGGTGGTGAAGCAGGTGTGAATGGTCTGTCCCATGAGCAGGAGGGTGGGTGTGCGGCGATGTCGGCGTGGTCTCCGCAGAGCTCTGTGCACAGGCCTGTGCATCTGCTGACAGGCAGCTGAGAAGGCTTGCAGTCACATCGCTGATGGTAAAGCTGTAGCAACAGGCTCAGAGAGGTGTGTTAGCTTTCCCAGAGACACACAGCTCTCTGGAAGAGTGCCATCCTCTGAGCTCCATCGCCTGGTGCTTTGCATCCCTTGCCCCAAGGGCACACGTAGAAGCAGAGTTCCTTGGGGTTGGATCTGTGGGGTGGTTTGTGAGGGGGACTGTGTCATCCACTGTGGAAAAGACTTAGCTGCCTCTCTGTAAAACATTTTTGCCTGACGTGAGTTCTCTCCCTTGACCGGGGGCCAGCACAGTACATAGTAGGGTGGTTAAGAGCCCTGGGTTTGGGCTGAGCGCGGTAGCTCATACCTGTAATTCCAGCACATTGGGAGGCCGAGGCAGGAAGATTGCATGAGCCCAGGAGTTTGAGACCAACCTGAGCAACAAAGGTTAAAAAAAAAAACATTAGCTGGGCATGGTGGCACACGCCTGTAAGTCCCAGCAACTTGGGTGGCTGAGGCAGGAGGATAACTTGAGCCTGGGAGGTTGAGGCTGCAGTGAGCGGTGATCACGCCACTGCACTCCAGCAGGGGCAACAGAGCAAGACCCCATCTCAAAAAGAGAAAAGAAAAGCCTTGGGATGGGATTTGGGGTGCTCTGAGTTTAAATCCCAGGGCCCCCACTTTGGTGTGATCTCAGGTATGCTCCTGAACTCTCTATGCCTGAGTTCCCCCAGCTGTAAAGGAGGGGGTGATAATAATGCTGCCCAGACCCCAGAGGACCCCTAGGAGGCTCTTGCTGGGCAGCTGGTCCTGCCCCAGAGCCCTCCCACTCCACACACCCCTGCATACGCTCAAGGGCAGATGGGCCCCCCACAACCAAGCCAGGCCTGGTGGCCCTAGGACACTCTTGGCCACAAGAATTCAGATTATTTTCTCAGCAAATTTCTGACCAGTGTCCTGGGGCCTCAGCAGGGGCAGGGCTGCATGGTCCTGGGTCTATCTGGACTTGTTCTGGCTCAGACCTCAGCCCACCACAAGGACAACGAGTCTGGGAACTCGGGCAGGCTCTCTGCCAACCAGGAGCTGCTCTTGCTCGCCGGGACCCCACAGGGCAGGAATAGTGGGCATTCATATCATTCCCATTTTGCAACCAGGCAGACCGAGGCCCAGAGAGGCCAGATAACCTGCCTCAGGCCACACAAATGGCAAACAATAAGGCCAAACCTTGGTGATGGCCAGACTCTAAATCCGGGGCCACTTCTTGCCTTAGGAATATAGTCTTTCCTGGCACTCACTTAGCCAAAAATCTTTCTAGAAGGGTGGCAGGCCTTCCTGCCCCACTCCCGGAACAGGCCGGCTGCTTTCAGGGCCAGAAGAGCCAGCCCTTTGGAGGAGGAGGCTTGTGAGAGTGGGGATGGGCCGCAGAGCCTCCCCAGGCAGGGCAGCGTTGCAGCTTGCATGTGGCAGGGATGTAGGGTGAAGCTGTGCAGGGCAAAAGACAGGTCAGTTCCCGCTGGAAGTGCCCCACTGGGGGGCCTCGGTGTGTCTCTTTCCCCAGCACTGGCATGGCACATTTTGACCTGAGCAATGGTGAGCTGCCCGGAATACGAACAGGAGGAAGAGAACCTTCCCCAGGCAGCATGTGAGGCTGGGGTGGCACTCGACACAGGACAGCAGGCAAGGACATGCCGCCCTCCAGGCTGAGGGTCTTGGGAGCCTCCCCTCCCAGCCCCTGCTGTGGCCTCCCCCTGGGCCCTGGCATGGGAGGAGTTAAGCTGCCGCGGGCACCTTGGCACATTGCGCTGCCCAGAGTGTCCGGCTCCCCACCCCCACTGCTTTTCTTCCTTTTTGCCTTTTTCCTTCTTAATTAATCATACGCTGCTGCCCAATTTAAATATGGAAATGCCCAGGCCGAGGCGATGCAATTATTCATGAGGGCCGGGCGGCTGTCCGGGGCTCTCGGGCTGTGGGGAGTACCGTGGCATCGCCTCCGTTCTGATGTGTGTGAAATTATGTGCACAAAAGGCGCCTCCTTATCTGGGAGTGTGAACTAAATAAATAAATAAGGGCTTTTGTTTGTTTGCCGGCTCCTGCACATGGCTGCTGGGACTCAAGCGCTCGTGTTGTCTGCGCCTCTGTGGGACTCTGGGGACGGGAGGCAGGGGAGGCCCCCGCAGGCCGGCCAGGGGCTGGGGGCTGGGGGCCGGGGGCCGGCCGCCGGGCACCTGGGGCCCTCTCCCTCCCCAGGCACCACCCTCACCCCGCAGCTCCCCCCCATACACACCCTCGCTGGAAAGTTCGCCCTGCCCGGGCTGGGCTCCCAGGCAGCCTGGCACCGTGCCAGGCTCGCCGCCGAGCTCGGGCAGCAGGGTGGGGCAAACGCGGAGCACGGAGGACGGGGCCGGGCGACCTGGGCACCAGCAGGACCCGAGGCCAGGAGCCAGGGGCCCAGAAGGTGAGGGCACCCCGGGTGGGCGCAGGGTGGGCGCTCTGTGGGCAACGGGCCCTGCGGCCGGGCCCAGGAGCAGGCCTCGTTGCGGGGTTGGGGGGGGAGGTTGGAGCGGAGGCTGGCAGAGGAGGCAGGCACAAAGGAGGGCAGTGCCAGGCAGCTGTGGCCGACGCAGGCATCGCTGCCCGCCTGCCCCTAGCCGGCCTCCCCGCCGAGGGGAGGACGCGTGTGCAGGGGCCCGGGCAGGAGCGGCAGACACCGAGCCGCGGCCACAGGGCCAGCCGCACAGTCGGAGGAAGGGCCGGAGCGAGGCGGGGCCCGGGGCTGTCAAGGAGAAAAACATCCCAAGGCCTGCAAATTGCTGCTCTCAGCTTTTTTCCCCCCTCCTCCTGCTTCGCGGGGTGGGGGGGTTGGGGGGGGGGTGGTGGGGGGAGAAAGCAGCGCTTCCTCTGGAGGCGGATGCAAAAAGGATGCAGAATTTTAACCATCTCCTGCACCGGCCCGTCCTTCCTGAGCAGGGTTTGGGCCCAGGCCTGGCGCCGTGGCTCCCTGGGAAGGGAAAGGCCAGAGCAGCCGATGCCGGTTCTGGGGGACGCCGGAAAGCCCAGCCTCCTCTGCACCTCCATCCAGAACCGGGGGCCCCGCAGCACCTGCAGCAGGGGTGGAGGGTGGGAGGCAGAAGGGGCCTGGTGCTCTCGGAGGCTGCACCTCACGGTACCAGTCGCTACCCAGAGCAGCACGCCTGTTTGCTGGCCTGCTCTTGGGTGTTAAACATGGTGTCCAGGTCCCCGGTTGGAGACCCCAGCCCTGTACCGGGTGAGGGTCTTAGCTCCCACTGACTTGGGGCCTTCAACCACACTGGCATCCCAGGCCTTCCTCCTGACTGACTTCTGTTTTAAAAATAATGTGGAACGTTTTCTGGCATCTGGTGAGGGATTCACACACTGTTTACTGAGGGCAGGACTTAAGGAATGAGTTCAGAAGGTATCTATCTGGTCACTGGACAAACGGCAGGCAAGCCCCCTGTGCTCCTCGCTGGGTGAGACTCAGGGGCATGGGTTTGGGCATGGGAGCTCAGAGGGATGGTCTGGGCCCACAAGCCCACGAGGCATAGAGCCTAGGGCCCATGAAATGTTTTCATTTTAATTTCTTTTAAAATCAGAAGAAAAAATGACTATAAAAATAATGAATATACGACAATGAATTCGACCTGGTTTTATTGGCCTTTAGTCTGATGTAGTCATAAAATAGAATTTTTAGTATTTATGGAGGAAGGGAACCAGGAAGCCAAAAGTGCCCCGGCCCATGGAAGGCGGGTGTGGCCTGGGTTGGTCCTGTCTGTCCCAGGACAAAGGGTCAGATGTCTGGGTCCAGGGGGGGTTTGGAGGGCATCTGGGTGCCCTGTGAATCTGGCTTCCACGAAGGCTAGCTGGGACAGGTTGCTCCAGCCTGCGGTGGACAGGAGCCAGGGCTGTGTATGTCTGTGCGTGTCCGTGTATGTGCACGTGGGTGTGCAGGCATACTCGTGTGCATGCCAGTGTTTGACAAAGGATTCCTAGACACCTGCGTGTGTAAGTCCCAATTCTCAAAACGGGGAATGCAAGGCCAGGGTCAGGAGACAGTGTGGCTGCAAGGGCCTGGTATTCCTGACAATGATGGGTAGGGAGTGCCATTGTCTCCCTAGGAGAAAGCAGCCTTCAAGGTCCCAGCACCCCCAAACCCACGAGCTCACACAAAACAACGCGAGCCACAAATGCAAGCCACATCTGTCATTTAACACCTTCTAATAGCCACATTTTCAGAAAGTGAAAATAAGCGGGTAAGATTCACTTTAGTACTAAAATTCATTTTAATCTAATATAAATTTCCAAAATCCTATTTCAGTGTGTTGCTCGTATGAAACTGTGAACGGGATATTTTGCCATTTTTTCCATATTCGATTTGGCCTCTCCCCATTTCAATGGCTCCTTTGCTGCGTGTGGAGCAGCTACCACGGCGGTCACGTAGGTTTAGTAGGTCCCTGTGCCCCCCACTTCCCCACCCAGAGTAGGGGAGACTGGTTTTCTGCTTCTTTTTTGCTGGTGGCCCTTCCTGGCCAGGGAAAGGGATACTTCCACTGGCTCATCAGCCCCCAGCAACCCTGAGAGCTGAAAGAATGGATGTTGGGGCTGCAGGTTCCAGAATGAGGGGGGCTGCTGGAAAGGGTTCTTCGGCTGTGCTCCCAGACGCCAGGGGACGACACAAAGGGCTGACTTCAGACTCACAATAGTGGGGCGGTTAGTCACAGTGCCAGGGCAGCGGGCAAGCAGACAGAGCCCCCTGTGTCTGTGCCTGGTCGGGCTGGGCCCTGCAGCCCCCATTTCCCCAGCTGGCTTCCCACCCCACCCCTGCCCGCTCCCCACATTAACCCCCTGCCGCCTGCTGCCTACCTGGCAGCCTGGCCGGGGCTCCCTTGGCCAGGACTGGTTTCCACCAGCCACCCTGGCCAGAGGCGTGCTCCTTCTAGAAGCCGGGCTCAAGCCTGCATGATTTCATGGGCCTGTCTCGGGAAGCAGGCATTGGAACAGCTCCGTCACCGTGGCCGGGCAGCGTCCACGCAGCCTGAAAGGGGAGATTTTCATATTAGTTTAGAGGCTCCTCACTTAAAGATTTCATCAGCATTTGCGAGTGTTCGCCATTCAAGGACTGTGCATTTCTGGAAACAATGAAAAGCCAAAACTGTGAAAAATTAAGGAGTGGCCCTGAAGCTGGTGTCTGTAACTGCACATTTTAAAGTGAACAGACTGATATAAATATTTTAATCCTGTGCCTAGATAGATGGATAAGATAAAATAAATTAGTCATGTTCTGGCCCAGTCTGGAGACTATCTGAAAGCAAGACAAATGTCAGCATTTGCTGTTTAGGGGTTACAATTAAAATCTCTCCTTCTAGATTGAGCTTCTAGAGCCTCAGAGATGGAATTCGCCGTTTTGCCGCGATTTGGCGTTAACTTATTGACCCATGGGGAGGAGGGTCACTTCCCGTGAAAAGGTATAAAATGAAGTTGTCAGTCTCTCTTTTTAATTAAAAAAAAAAAAAATCTCTGCAAAGATTCTGCATTCTGGCTTCTCTTTGCTAAATTAAAGTGGCATGTGTTTTTATTTTAGAAGGCAGAGATGTTTTGCTGTGCCCAGTGTGAGGAAGCGAAGGAAAAGAAAGATCTTTTGAAAATGTGTACATCTACTTGCAGCTTGAAAATTCCAAGTGCCAGACATTTTTCTTGGAGGAAATAAATGTCTTCAATTTATTCATCTTACCTGTTGATTATGTTCTGTAATGATTTATTTTATAATTTAATCCTTGTCTAGAACCGAGGCCATCTTTGGAAAGTAAAAGACCTAGGTCTCTTTGGTCCAGGAGACATTGTGGCCCTCTCTTAAAATCATTGACTGCCGAGATCTGGGCCCAGGCGGCTCTCGGACTGAACCGGTCTGTGCTAGGCAGCCTGGCCCACTCGGCCTTCAAAACACAAGGGATGGGAGACATATGCTCGGCTCACATCGTTTTGTTTTGATTTATTTTAAACTGCTTAAGATGATTTTAGCACAAGGAGTGGTGTATCTTACTTGCATTCTGAGAGCCACTGGATTTGCAAGCTAGAGTACAATTTTTTTTTTAATCCAAATTTAGAAATTGCCTTTTAGAGTAGACAACAGCATGCTACTTTGCCTTTTAACTCACTTTTAAAGAACGATTCTTAAGATCAAGTACATTGAATTTGGAGATTGGTCCCCCTCCGTTATTAGGGGCTGGAAATGGCCCACTTTTCAAAAATAAGGTCAGAAAAGGGGTGTTTCTGACCTAAGAGTTCTTCCAGGCTGGGCTCGTACCACAGAGATTCTTCCACACCCATGTCCTGAGTCCTTGTCCTACACACCATTTTTTCTTCCAAGGAGAAGGAGTGTGGCATTCAGTTCCAGTGTCATCGTGTGGAAAAGAGTCCCTGCCTGGCTGAGAAACTGTCACAGGCAGCCGGGCCACTTCCCAGCATGACCCACAAGCCCGATGGTGCCCCTCGAATGGTTAAGGGACCCGTACAGATACCATTCTTTTAAAGCAAGCCAATGCAATCTTCACGAATTGCAGTTCCACCCTGGCTGCTGGTACTAACTCTAATAATGGAAAAAAATTTAAAAGATTGGGGACAACAGGAAACACATTGGATCCCCAGGGGAAACGGCCTGGAAGCTACAGTAGAGACATGGGTGACCCAAGGGCTCTGTTCAAGTCCTGGGGCTGTTCCCTTTATTCCTCCAAGCCTCAGCTCCCCGGATTTAAAGTGAGAACAGCACCCAGCCCAGCCCACTGTCAAGGGCTGTTGCAGGAATATGACAACAGCCACCAATATTTGCATAGCAGAGATGCCCAGTTTCGTTTTCTATTTGAAAGTTTCTCTGAAGGGGGATGTGCTAGAGACACGAGAACAACTGCTACCATCTTAATAACTTTTCTGGCAATACACGACGATGATTGTTTATGTTAATCTCATAACTATTAACAATAATTCATTTCATTCTCATAATGAATTATATCTATTTGACTTATAATAAATAGAATCATATCAGTAATATAGTCCTTTTCTGATCATGAAAGCAACATATGCTCACTATAGAAAATTTGGAAAATACAGAAAAATGCACATAAGGGAAAAATTATTCATCCTTTCTCCCACGCAGAGACAAGCTCTGGTCACATTTTCCTGTGTTTCCTTCCAGGCTCTGCTCTCTGCCGAGCGGCTTTCATCAATTCTCCTAGCATCTATTTTCAGATAACTCCGTGGGCTTTTGTGATTGGTCCTCCTTGTCGCCTTGGCCCCTCTGGTCCTCAGTGGCAGTTCTTTCTCTCTTGCTGCCTCCTTCAGGAGGGCCCGGCTCAGGGTCTGGGTGTTCAGGGAGAAGACCTCAGGCTCCACGGCACCCAGCCTCCTTGTCCTGCTGTGCTGGGAGCCCGGTTGGGGTAGCCCAGATACACGGCCAGCACAGCCCCACGGCAAAGCCAGGCCTGCAGGTGGGCTCAGGGCATCAGGGAGCCGGAGTGAGTGGCATGAAACCCATTATCTCGCAGGGCCCGAGCTGTGGAGGTGAGCGCGCTAGGCCTTCCCATGCAGGAGAGGGCTGGGAGGTGGGAAGATGCAGGCAGGCTGTCCCCGACAGAAAACCCAGGAACACTGCAGCACGGATTGGGAGGGGGGCGCTGAGAGAGTGTAAAAAGCAGCTTCAATGCTTGAATTCTAAGCAAAGAAAGATGCTTGGGCCAAATCAAACCGCTTCTTAGACGTGCAAAGTTTCATCGGAACTGTTGGGATAATGTTTCCAAGGTGTTCAGCTTTATGGCCCTGACTTACACCCGCCGCGTGGTTGGGGGTTAGTGCCAAGTGGCTTGGTAGGCAGAAATCCACCAGAACTTCAGTGCAAGGGCACAATCCCCCAATAGCATGTCACAATCATGCATGTGCCTTGGCCGACCCCACAAGTCCATCAGGAAAAAGTTCCACAGAACCAGGCCTCTGGAGGGGGAACCACACAGACCTCCCTATTGCCTTCTGAGTAACTGATCCAAAGGCATTTCTAGAATAGCCGGGTACGTTCATGATAGGAGAAATGAAGTCTATGGGGTCTACCTTTACCCGCTTAGAATAATGCAGTGGCCTCAACGTCTTAACAATAGATCATTTGAGATTTATTAATAACCCAAGTTGCAGACAAACTTCATAGGCAAGATCATAGGTTGCAGTGTTCACTACAGTATACAAATATTAGCAAGACATGACATAGGGAATCATAGGGGACATGACAGTAAATTATCCCATAGTGAAATAATGGAACATTGTGTCACCGTTAAAACGGTGGTGACATTTTGGGAGGCCAAGGCGGGTGGATCACCTGAGGTCAGGAGCTCGAGACCAGCCTGGGCAACATGGTGAAACCCCGTCTCTACTGAAAATACAAAAATTAGCCGGACGTGGTGGCTTGTGCCTGTAATCCCAGCTAGTCGGGAGGCTGAGGCAGGAGAATCGCTTGAACGCAGGAGGTGGAGGTTGCAGTGAGCCGAGATTGCGCCATTGCACTCCAGCCTGGGTGACAAGAGCGAAACTCCATCTCAATAAATAAATAAATAATAATAAAATGGTATTGACAAAAAGTTTGGAATGGTATGGGTGTGTACGGGATACAACACCTTCCTACAGTATGTACATATGTAAGGCATGTCTGTGTATGTATATGTGTGCTGAACAATGGTTGGGAGGGAAATACAACAGAATATTATTTCTGGATTGCGGCATGTAGGTGAATTTTCCTTTTTTTGTGTATTTTATACTTAACCCATATTTTTTATTTACTACTGAAATTATATCTTAAATATCTGTCTTTATATTTTATTCTTAAATTGCGTATAATTTACACTTTCCTGTGCCTTCATTAAACACGTGGTATATTTATAATCAGGGAAAAACTATTTTTAAAGACTCATTATAGGAAGATAGACAAATAGAGACAAATGGCATGCTTTCTTTCAGTCATTGGGGATGGATGATACACGTAGCAGAAGTATTCGTTAGACCAACAAATAGGAATAGTAAGTCAATATTGTTCTTTCTTTAATAAAAGATTTATATGTTGGTAGCTTATTAATCCAATACTATGTGAGTTTTCTAACCAAACACATATACTTGTACGCCAGGGCAGAAAAATCTCAATTAAGATTTTGTGTGGACTCGGGAAGTGTTTTTGTTCCCTAAACAATAGCCTTAAGAAGGGTGGAAAAAGGCCCGTCTTCTTCTTGGATCCTTGGTTGGGTGACAACCCTCCGGTGGTGAGACATGGTGCCTGATTTTCAGTTGGGGCTTTCTGCTTCCCCTGTTTGGTTTTCTAGGGACAATTTAAAAGATTCTGCAAGTTAATTACTGGAGAAGTCCGTAGATCCTGGATTCATAGTATCAGATTAATTGTGGTCTTTGAGTGGGAATCCTAGTGGTTTATTTAGACTCATCAGTTGTCTTATTCTTTTTTTTAAAAAGAAAGAAAACATTTATTTTCGTAAGCTTGTATTGCCCTTAAAATATTTCTCTGCACTCTTAGGTCACCTGCCTATTCACGCCAGGAGCGCATCGCTTGCGTTAAGAGACTAGAAGTTTCTTTCTTAACCATAATGTGCCAGGATTTTGTTATACGGAAAAATCTGTCCGTGTTTCCAACTAATATTTCCTAGCCTTCAGGCAAGTGCGACTTGCTTCACTGTAAAATGGATTCCCAGGACCTGCCGTATCGGGACGGGCAGAATTCTTTAAAATGCAGTGCCCCGGGCAACCCCATCACTTCCCGGCTGGCTCCGGGCGGTCCCGGGCTGCCCGCCGGCCGCAGAGCCCCCTCTCCCGGGCCCGCCCGGCCGGAGCCTCAGTTTCCCCGGCAGAGCGGGGCGGAGGCGAGGCTGGGGACGCTCGGGCGGCGGGGAAGGGGCCGACTCGGCCAGGCGCGCCCGGCTGGGAGGTCCCGCGGGCCCTGGAGCCTCCCGCAGCCCGCCTGGGCCTCCGGGGCGCGACCCCCTAATCCGCTTTAGTCAATATCTTATGAGCTCCGCTTGGGCAAAGTAAACAGGCGCCGAACAAAGCGGCGGCCGCAGCCCGCGACTCCTGACCCCGGGGTCGCGCCCTTTGTTCGCCCTCAATGGGGCAGCCCCGCCGCCCGGCCTGCGGCTAATTGGGGCGCGTGCCGCCGCCTCTGCCCGGACCGCACCCTGGACTCTGCCTGGGACGCGCCCTCGGACGCAGGCCCCGGACCCGCCCGCCAACTCCGACCCGACCCCGGCCTGGGACCCCGGCTCGAACCCTCGTCCCTGCCCAGGCGGACCCCGGCCCCGGCCCGGACCCTCTGCAGCGGCTCCGGGCCCAGGCTCCGACTCCAGGCCTCGGTTCGAACCCTGGGGACCCGCCCCGCCCCGCTGCAGACCGGCCTCCCCGCCCGCCGCGGACCCCGAGCCTCAGGCCTGGTGCCGGACTCGGCCCTGCCTCGCGTGCCCGCCCTGGGGCTGCCTGGAGGAGGCGCACCGAGGCCTCCCTGCCTTCAGAGCCGCTGCGGGCCTGGGCCCTGTGTCCCCCCAGGTCCGCAGCTGGCCGGCTGAAACTGGCCCGCACCTCCCGCCCCGGGGCCGGGTGCTCCTGGTCCGCGCAAGGTCCCCACGCACTCCCGCGGCCACGTGGGTGCCTGTCCCCTGGAGCGGGGTTGGGGGAGGCCGCAGAGACACTGCTCCCGGGGTCCCTGTGCAGGCCCCGTAAGGATTTCAGACAGCCGTGATGCAGAGGAGACGTGTATTAGTTCTTGTTTTTCTTTTTCTGCTCTTTATTTCTGCTTGGAAGCCTGTCACACGGGAAAGAAAAGACGCTCCATCTATGCGAACCCCACTCCCCTGGTGAGGGAAGCCGGAACCCTTCAGACCCTCTGCACGTGGGCTCCCTCCCCGACAACCTCTTTTTCCTCCACATCACAACCTTTCCAGCACCTGGGAACGGTTCTAGGCCAGAGGAGGATGCTGAGGCCATGAATGCATCCGTTGACACGAAATTCAGGCCTTGACCATTTCACGTCTTTCTGTTCTTCGTTTTTTCCTCAAATGTTGGACAAGGTTATAATGTTTATCCCAAGAAGCTTTTGAGACTTAGCACTTGTAATTTTCGTAAGGGTTCTGTTTGATTTTTAAAAAGGTACTTTCTTTTGTAATTAGGTGCAAAAAGGAAAGCACAGAAAGGACTCTTCTTGAAAGCCTTTGCCTCCAAAGATGAGCAGAAAGGCTTCCAGTTCCTGGCACCGCCAGGCAAGGCCCTCTACCTGATTCTCACTTATTTCAGTTTTGTTCACCAGCTGTAAATACTGCTAGGCTTTGCCAGGAAGACTTTTTTTTTTTTATGTTGAGTTTGTTTTTGAGCTTGTTGATTGCACGGTGGAATATTCTAACGTGGAATTTGGCTTTGGGAAGACTTGGTGTTCAGGAGTTGTCGGATATGCCCTGCTGTTGTGAGGATGGAGCTGGGTAGGGGTCCTGCCGTGGGCCATGAGTGGGGGTAGGCAGGTGTGGCCGTCACCTTCTGGGTGTGCGGTGCAGATCTCCACCTGGGAAGGAAAGCCCTTGGGAGACATGCCTTGTGATTCTTGCCTTTCATAGAATGACTGCCAAATAGCCCGGTGCCTCTTTACTCGCCTGCCTCGTTCCTGTGCATCCCTCCTGAGGTCACCACTTCTATGTAGCCTTTCTCCTTTCTGAGGAGCAATAATCCAATCTGATCAGTGTAAGTTTGCCTCCGTGGAATGCTGATGCCCAGGCTGGGGACCCCCGCCACCCCTCTCTCAGCAGTGCTTGCAGGCATGAGATGGTGAGGGTTCTCAAAGGCTGTCCTCAACACTGATCGGCCTTTGATATTGAGACCATGGGGCAGCTGCCTGCCAGGTTCACAGAGGGCTGTAAGCAGGGATGAGGCTTAGGTGGGGCTTGGAACCACCCCGGGTGCCTGGCCAGGGAGGCTCTGGTTGCAGGGACTGGCAGCCCGGCAGACGAGGACAGAGGACGGGGTTATTGTGCTCTTTCAGCTCAGGCAAAGCAGCTTTGTGACAAGGACTCTCGTGGGGCGATTGTGTCTGTGATTTTATACCCAAGGTCTATTTGCCCCAGTCTAATTCTAGGGGCTGATCAGGATGCACCTGGCAGGGAAAGTGGGCACCTCGGACGATGGAAGCCACTGCAGGGAAGATGGGGGGAGAGCTCCCAAAGCCAGACCGGCGTAAGGCATTTCTGGGACCTAAATTTCAATGGGGCTCTGTTTTGCCTGGAAACTGTTCATAAAATAAAATAAGCCTATGTGTGTATGAGTATGAAGGGATGGATGGTGATGTTTTCCTTAAAAAAACAAAAATAACAAAGTGCATGTGTGTACACAGCAGTCGGGGTCCCAAGTCTGTGTGGTATCAGGCCTAGTCACGGCACCACTCACCTGGGCCTCAGTTTCCCCAGTCTTTAAAGAGCTAAGAGAGTTCTCGTTCTGTCTGCTGCACGGGCCAGGAGAGTCACGTGAGGCGAGGTGAGAACACGTTGTGTAAATGATGAAGTGTTTGCTCTGCACACGTGAGGTGCTGTCTTTACTACCTTAGGGAAAAACCCTCTACTCTGAGGCCGTTGTTTTAGGATTCAAATGGTTAGTGATTGACATGGTGCCGGGCACTTACTAAGTGATCAGGATGATTTTGTTGACTTGAACCGTGGTGTCAAAATCCTCTGCATTGGCTGTAAGAAAGAGGTGGGCTGAGCACGGTGAGAAATGGAGTCGAAACAGAGAGCATCCCAGGCCTCTGAAGGCCTTCGAACATGACAACGAGTTGGCCCCCACTTTGGGGGATTGGAGTGGACGGTTTGGAGATCCCCCTGGGACATACGCCTGAGAGCCCTAAGTGTTTGTCCCGGGGTCCAAGCCTGTCGTCTGCAGCCCTTCATTGCCCTGCCTAGCTTGGACTGCGTAAGCGTCTGCTGGGCCCAAACCCCAGCCCGGTCCACACACTTGGGCCATCTCTCCTGGGGGACCGGATTGTGCGGCCTCCAGAGCTGCCTGGCAGAGGGCACACCTTCTCGGCGCCCTGGTGCCGCACCGCGCCGCGCTCCCAACACCGGCTTGCTTATGCTTTGTCCTGATGATGATGAATGAGGTCAGCCTGGCTTACCATTCACAAAATAATTCTTTATTGCAGAGAAAGCTTTTCTCTATCTGAGATCTGCCCTTGTTATCTACAGCAGTTATGCTTTCCCTGGCTTTTGGTGTTTGCCTACGTGTAATGAAGTAGGGAGTAACCCAGGGAGAACGCAGGTAGGGCCTGCTCCTTCCTCTGGGCTAGGGGCGTTCCACCAGGCCCTCAATCAGCCCCCAGGCCATAAAGGCAACAAAACATTTATCGCTACACACAAACCTACATATACACACTTATGCACACGTATACATATGCGTACACACACACACGTATCCCAGGATGCTATCCTCGTGGAGCTAACATTTGATATTCTAAGTATTAAAGTTTGAGGCACCAACAGGCTGTCTTAAAAGGCTCATTCAGCCTGTCTGCCTTGGAGCTATTTTATTTATAATTCTTCTTGTCACGTCAAAGAACTCTGTGTTTCTTGCAGACTGTGTTCGGGTGGTTGAGTGTTTGGTTTTTGGCTACAGCCGGTTACTTTTTCCGAATCTGTAGGTCCAGGTGTGCGTTGACAAGGTTTTTCCCAACTCGAGAAGTTTCTCAGGGAGCCTTGGAGTCCTTCTATAAATTTCTGGCATTCTACGTGTGAGAGACTTCCAGTTTTGGAGAAGTCGGGAGAGTGAGGGAAGGAGCGTGCGGTTCTGAGTCCGCTGCCTCCTCTCAGACAGAAAGTCAACGGGCAGCATCTTGCAGTATATTTAGAATGCAGACTTGAAAAACTGACGGATAAGATATTATTAGCAAAGGTACAAACCTTTGATGATATTCAAAAACCCCTGCCTCTGTGCATCATTGAAAACCAAGCGAAAAAGGAGTGAAAATAGTGAAAATACCTATCCACGTCTCTGATTACTTTGAAATCGATTTTAAAAATATGTTTATCATGTAAATATTATGTAGACTTTCATTTTCAAGGTCAGTGTCCCTTCTTGTCTGGTTGCTTACAGTACCACTTTTTTGGGGAGTTAAAAAAATGAACTTCATGTTCTTTTGAAATTAGGAATTATACCAAAAGTTGCCTATAAAATAGCAAGAAACAAAAAAGCATCGGTTTTCTTCTTTAGCATTTTTTGGACAGCAACTAAATATTGTCTTGTAGTGATAAGTTCAGTTCAAACACTTCTTGTATTTCTGTAGAAAGGGTGCCTATGAAAAATCTGACCTTAACCTTGAAGTTAACCAGGTCTAAAAGCTAGGATACTGGGACATAGTCAGGAAAATGAAACTGGTTTTATATATAAATTAGTCACCTGTGTTGTGTGAAGTCACATTTGATTTTTTAAAAATAAAATGGGAGTCTCTCAATAAATAAGACCAGTGTGGTCAAATGCCAAACAACTTGTAATTGACAATCCCCCAAAACCAAATCCCAATTTCAGTATGAGTTCCATTTGTGGGCAGCTTAAGTTTGTTGTAGTAATTTTAAAGAAGTAATCTGTGAAATCTTGATTTTAGTAAAAAGTTCCTGCAGTCCCTTGCAACTTAACAACAAACCATTTGAGTTCAAAATCAGTTTTTTCTCCTTTCTTTTTTTTATTTATTCTAGAGGAATTTACCTAGCCCGCTGAAGACCTGTACAATAAAATATTATAAGTAGCACATAAACTTTTTAGAAAAATGTTAATTTCCCCATTTCTGATTATTCCATTTAAGAAATTGTAGAAGTGATTGACTAAAATTAATTCAGCACCCACTTCTGGAATGGTAATTTTTGTTTTTTAAAAATTTAGTTTGGTGCCCTTTCTCATTCCTCATTTAAAGTCAGAAATCTAGCTTTGGCATTTGATAGATGCATATATAACCAGAGATATTGGCCCGTCATCCTTAATACATATTTTCAGATTTGTGTTGTTACTACTTTGGAATGGAAAACATTAATCGTAATTCCTCATTCCTAAGGGGAAATTTTTCATACTAGCATGTTGTTTATTAATATTATGTACAATATATTCATATATGATTGAACACACGCCTGTCGTAGACTTCTAGTTGTTTTATGCGCTCCTTTTGATTGAAAAGTAATAATTAACCCCTTAAGAATGCTTTCGGGGTTGTTAGACTTCTTTTTGAGATACATACGCAGGCACCGCAACATGAAACATGAATGTGTAGACTTCCAAAGCATGTTAAAGGTGACAAAGCGCTGCTTACACAGGTTTAGAACCAGACATGTGATTGCACGCGTGTGGAGCTGGCACCATGAAAGCACGATGTGCATCACTCATAGAGGCAGGCACACTTAAGTATGTTCTTTACATTGAAACAGAAAGGAAAGAAGATAGGAAAAATGGTGCCAGCACGCTGGGCTTTTTTTGTTTGCTGTTTTGGGTGGGGTGTGCTAGTGCAGTGTCCGGTGTACGCTTTTGTCCTCAAACAGGCTTGTTCCCCGGTCAGAGTTTCATTATTGTTGCTGGTAAACAAATGCCAAGTTTGACAAAAAACAGTGAAATAAAGCAAAAGATTTTGAAAAATGCTTCATCATGTCAGAAGGAAAGAACCCTTTTCACGGGTGCCTGCCCACATTTCCTTGCCCAGCCTGAGACCCTATTGACTTTGAATTATCTTTTGCTGTTTTATTTCTATGAAAATTATAAACGCGTATGTTCGTCCAAGGTGGATTGATGCTTAGAGGTTGCGTATAAATAACTGAGAGTGAAAATAAACCCATCATGCGGTAGGAGCGTATGTTGTCATGAAACAGGCCTATGAAAATGGACTCTCAAACCTGCAAACTACTTTGAAACAAAGGCAAAAGAAAAAAAATCATAAGCCTGGTTTGCCTTTATCCAGAGTCCCCAAAGCTGCTGAGCAGCTCCTCAAAAGGCACATTGTCTAGGATGATCGAAGTGGCATCTTATCCAGGAGCCACTGAAAACTTGCAATCTCAAGTTTATTGGGCTGGCTTTAAAAACATCATTATTCTTGGATGTGCAACTGAATGTTCAGAACCCAAGTGAAAATGTAATTTTTCACTCACTCGCCGTCCTTGCTTTAATTAGATTAAATGCATCTGTTTCCTAAGTCCTCATAATGCCTTGGATACTGAGAAATTTAAAATGTCGACCCGTTGAGAAAAAAGAAACGAAACCGAAGCACCCCCCTCAGCCTTCTGAGGCTGGACTGTGGGCCAGGGGCTGGCGGAGAAAGCAAGGCAGCAGGAAATTGCCGGCTCCATTCCCATTAGGCGGATCTGGGGAGAAATCAGGAAAAAAATAACTGTATAAGGCTGACACTGTAAACATCCTAGTACAGCAGCAGCCTTCCTAGACCTTATTTTCAAACATCTGACCTCAGGCATGGCTGTGGCCCACAGGCGAAAACCAAGTTTTTCTTCCTGGAAACTTATCCATCACAGTGCTCATCAACAATGTAAATTTTCCGGGTTTTCTTGTTGATAATTTGAGCATACTGTAAAAAATATTATTATTTACTTTGAATAATATGATAGCAAATAGACAGAAACAATCTAACCTGAATAATATCCAGTGGAATTACCTGAGTGCTCTTATTTTTGCTGAATAAAGCGGCATTTGATTTCTGAATTTGCAACCAAATTATATGTAAATCCTTGCCAAGTACAGGGGAAATTTTTTTAAAAAGAGTGTGTGTTCTTGAATATTGTTCTGACTTATCTGATTTCCTGCTTTACCAAATAAAAATTGGAAGTGGGAAAAAGGCATTAAATTAACTTATTACAGTGAGAGCAAGAAAAAAAAATCATTTAATAAAAAGAAGGTTAGCAAGCCAGTATGATTATACAATGATTTCAGGTGAAAATTACAAAGCTAATATCCTGGCATTTAGTCACTGCGTTCAGTAATGATACAGTTGTCAAATTTGTATTTGTGCCAATGGAACAAAACTTGTAAGTGGCATAATAGAAGATAATCTCTTTTTCTTTGTGGCTTTTTAAATTCAATGTTTTAATCCATTTAATCACAAAACATATATCACATTAGTTATAATATTTATAGTGTTTAGGAACGTGATTATAAATACAGTGTGGTTGTTGGGTGTAGCCTTTTTTTTTCCTTTTTTCGCTTGAACGTGTATCTCCGAGGTATGCATCATTTCTAGAGATTGCCCTTGAGAACAGTTTTATTGAGAATAGTAACCATATATTTATGTTCAGAATCCCCATTTGGTCGTTACCGGCTGTGTTCATTATTTTGGAAAAACAAGATTCCATATTAAAAGGCCTGGTGCTTATGATGTTTAGATCTCTGCATTCATCTCAGTTTCTAAAGCATTTTTGTTCTTCTGGAGTCCCTAAACTTGCTAAACCACAAAATATCTGTAGTATGTTTTTTAAAGTAGTTGAACCATACAGCAACGATGGGGTACAGGAGGAGTTTATAGAGCAGTTAGCGGTTGAGTTCTGCCTTAGTGTGGCTGGGTTAGGAGGGGCTACAGGGGCATATGTGGGACTTTGGGCACTGCTGGGCACAGACTCATCCTGTGGGAATGTGTGCTCTCACCCCACACTTCCTATTTGGGGCTGAAAATTTTAATAGTGAAGAAAGAAAATGATAAAGCACTGTGCTAGACAGGATTGATTTCCCCTGCTGTATTGCTAGAAGGTAGACACGGCATGTCTGCGTCTCAGGCTGCCGAGAGAGCCGTGCCCTTTTCTGGGGAAGCACAGAGCTCCTGAGCTTCCAGCTCTGGGCCCCACAGCCCTTGGAGCTGGGGGGTGAGGGGGAGACACAGGACCTTCCTCAGGAAAAGAGGGCACCCCACTCGATAGTGAAGCCACCAGGCAGCTATGGAAAGTGAAAGTTGGTCCGGATTCCAATGAAAAGATTAATTGGAAAACATTTCTACTCCATTTTCTAAAACTGAGTTTTCCCATAGAAAAAAAAATAATAAAGCTATCCCTAAAGTTCTTTCAGCTTCTAAAAAGAAGATGCTGTAGTAAGATTCCAGTCCCCACCGCCCCAACTCCCAGGAAAGCAATTGGGAAGGTTTCTTAACATACCCTGAGTTCTTCCTTCCCTCCCCCCAAATTCCGTGTGTCATGGGGTGGAGGCAGTGGTGTGTTTATCAGGGTGGCTGGCACAATTCACAGCCACAATCATGGGGGTCTAGCGAGCTGTGGAAGGCAGCTCAGTGGGCAGCGAGGCCCTGGCAGAGTTGCCCGGCTGCCCCAGCCCAGCGTTGCCCTCCTGGGCAGTCTAATCCAATGTGAAATGAAGTTTCCTGGGAAGCAGGGCACACGAGGAACTTTTGAATTTACCAATGGCATAAAAAGTATATATATTTTTATGACAACGGGCAAGTTTCAATTGGTTGGCAGAAATGGCGAGATGTGACGTCAAGGGACACTGGTTAGAATGCCAAGGCCGGCGGCGGGGGGTTGGGGGGAGACAGGCACAGACAGACATTGGGTTGGGACCCGGGAGGCCTTGTTTCTCTCGGGCCCTGGCCGCCAAAGGGCCGTCGCAGGCGTCTGGGGACATCAGCTCCATGCGGCTCTGGGCCAGGGCATGCTCGGGCAGGGGGACGGGGTCTGCGAATAGTGACTCTGTGTCCGCGTGCGTCCCCGAGAGCCGGAGGCCCAGGCCGGCCCCTCTGCGGTTTGGGAACCACTCAGGCGCCTCTGTGGAGCGGGCGGGAAAAGACGCCGCGGCCTCCTTGGCATTCTAACCCGTGTCCGGACCCTAGAGGCCGGCCGGTCTCAACCACCGGGAGGGCCTGGGAGGGAACCGTGTGGCCCGGGGCCAGCAGTGTCGCCATCGGGCTCCGAGAGAGCAAAGCTGTGGCCTTGAACTTCTCCCCGAAGCTCCTGTGCCCTGAGTCGGGGAAGCAGGAAGTTGTTGCCACCGGGAAGGAAGAGAGCGCGCTCGGAGCTGGGCAGCGGCTCCAGGCACCGCGCCCCTGCCCATCCCACGCCTCCCCGGGCACCGTGAACCACCCCCCAACCCAACTCCTCCAGGCACCTTGCGCGCCCCTCTTACATCTCCCGGCACTGTGCGCTGACCCCTGCCTCCGCCGGCCGGCTCCCGTGTGCCGAGTCCGGACTCCCACCCCTCTGGGCACCCCTTGCTCCGCGGGGCCGGCGGTGTCCTGGAAGCCGCCGCGGGGTTGCCCGTGCGCGCGCTCCGCCCTGGGGGAAGCCCGCTGCCACCGTCGGCCCCGAGCGCTGTCCCGGGGCCGCGTCGAGAGCTCCGCAGCGCACACTGTTCCCCGCGGGGACGAGCCTGGAGAGCCTGACCGCTGTCCGCGGCGCGCTCGGGGCTGCGGGCACCAGGTTGCGGGGACTGCAGGGACCGTCGGTCAGCCAGGGGTCCCAGAGCCGGGCCCGAGCGTGCGCGCGCGTCCCGCTGCCCGCAATCATGGCAGCCGGCGCCTTGGAGCGCAGCCGCCGAGCGCGCCCCAGCAGCCGCCTCGGTGCCAGGGCGGCGGGGGCGGGCCGGGCCGGGAGCTCGCGCCCGCCCGCCCGCCTCGGCCGCGCGGGCCCCGGGGCGCGAAACGGAAGGCCGCTGGGTCTCCGCGACGCGGTGCCCTTGCCCGGGGCGGGCGGCGGGAGGGGCCGCGGGGCGGGGGCGCGCTGGAGGGGAGCGCCCGGGGCGGCGTGCCCGCGGGGACGCGCACGCGGGGCTGCGGGGCGAGGCGCGGGGCCCGGGCGGCGAATCCGCTGCTCGCACCGCCCGCCCCGCCCGCGCGCGCCGTCCCGGGGTGGGGGGCGGTGGAAGGGGGAACCCAGGAGGGGCGGCGCCCGGTCTTCACCCGCAGCGGGCACGGCGGGGGCCGCGGGGGGCCTCGTTGGTATTCCGGGCGCGGTTGCATCCGCGACCTCCCCGCAGAACAGGGGTGCCCGGGCGCGCGGGCACCGCCGCCGCTCTCGGGCGGTCTCCGCGGGCTGCGGGGCCCGCAGGCGCCTTGCTTTCCCCGTCCCCTCCTCCCTGGGTTCCCCGTACTCCCTCCCCCGCTCCGATCCGGCGGCGAAGGGGTGGGCAGGGAAACGCGCTCTCTGGGACAGGTGCCAACTCCGAGACAAAAGACATAAAATAGGCGGCAACGGGGGAAGCGCGGCCGGCGCGCTCGGGCGGGGACGGCGGCGCCGCGGGGGCCGCATCCTCGGTGCCGACCCGGGAAAGTTTGGGAAGTCGCCGCAGCGGCTTCGCAGCGGCGGGGGACGCGCGGCCCGGGTCGCCCTCCGCGCCGCGCTCGCCCTCTCCGCGCCGCTGCTGAATAATTCATGGCGCGGCCGCCGGCCATTAGCATGCACCGGGCGCGCGGCGCGTCTGTGCCAAGCCGCCGCCGCATTCGGCGCCCGGGCAGCGCCAGACGAGCGGCCGCGCGGCGGCCGGGCCCACGCTGTCCCCGCGCCCGCCCGTCCGGCGGCGCCCATTGTGCCCCGGCCCGCCCCGCCGGGCTGTCCCCAAGCCCGCCTGCAACCCACCGCCCGCCCGACGGCCCGGCCCTGCAAGTCCTGGCTCGCGACGCCCGCCCCGGAATGCACGTGAACTTGGAGAAAGTCGCGGGGCGCGCCGGCCGGGCTCTCCGCGGCAGGGCGTGGGCGTCCCGGGGCCGGCGCGCTTTCGTTTTCGTCTGGGACAAAGGTCCCTTGCGGCGCGCGGACGCCGTGACCGGGTCCTGCGGGCCACTCTGTGGCGCAGTCGGGTCGCTAAGCGCAGGGAAGCCGGAGCCCGAAGGCAAGGAGAGACGCGGCGCGGGGCCGGGGAAGTGGGGCCTGGGCCGTGCGCTTCGCCCGCGGCAGTCCAGAGCCGTCCCACCCTGCGAAGAGTTGCGGGAACTGGCACCGCTCTGCCGTCCGCCGCTTCGACGCGGGAAGAGGGTGAGCGTTTGGAACCCAGGACTCAGACCGCTAGCTGAGGGCCTGTGCAGCTCTGGGCACGCGAGCGCGGCGCCGGCGGCGGCCAGGCACGGTCCTCCCGCAAGGGCAGGGCTGTCGACCTGTGCGCCCCAGGTCACGATCGGGTTCACGGCGACTCCTGAGGACGGTAAGTGCATTTCTCACTTTCGCTGCTTAGTGAGTATTTAAATATTAATGAAGGGATCTCTAAGAGGGACCCTTCCGTAGGGCAGGCCTTCCACAGACCAGGGAACGCACCGAGGAGGTTGCTCTTGAACCTGAAGCCGCACCAGCTTGCAAGAACTCCACTCGGCATTAATCTGGATCTTGGAATTTGTGAAGCACAGCTTCTAATCTCAGGTGTGCAGGCTATTTGCCAGAGAGAATCTTGTTGAACACATAAAATAAGCGTTAGCAGACATCTTAAACACAATGGGAAGAAAAGAAAAAACATCTGTTTTTAGATTTTTTTTTTTTTTTTTTTTTTTGGTGAGATGTGTTTGGAAAGGTTATTGGGAAGCTACAACTCTTTCTTGGAAGATTGAAATATTTCATTTACTTCCTAAACCCACGCTGCTGATTTTTTCCCCCTGGTCGGACACTTGGGGACAGCTGATTTGAGGGGGGATCCTCGGTTCGGCGTTGGCGGCATTTGGGCCGGTTCAGTGAAAGGCCCTTGTGTGAAAGCTGCTGTTTACGGTGGTGTAAAACGAAAAACAATTCGTAACTTTTTGTGGTAAAATGCCCCTTTATAGGTGCCTCACACAGGCCCAGCCAGTGGTCCTGGGGAGTTTGTGAGGAGCAAGAAAGGGGTGAAGGAATGCTTGCGTGCAATGATTATAGGGTTTCAAGGTAACGTGGAGATTAATTTTTTTCAAAGGTGGGTTTCAAAAGCCGAGGCAGCCTGCAGGCCAGCAATAGCTTCATTTTATTGGAGTTCATTGGCTCTAGCTCTTTGGGGTTTTAAAATACGTGTTTGTCCGTGTGTGTACGGAGCTAGGGTTAAAATGAAACCCCAAACTGTGGGGGATTGAGCCTGCTTTTTAGTATGATTGTGTCACAGGTGCAATGTCCCCCCTGCCCTCCCCACCCTACTGAGGTGGTTTGGATAATCTTGCTGGGTGCTTTCACCACAAAATAATGGGGGGCCTGTTTCCATAACACCCCAGGGCCATGAGCTGGCTCTTGGAGGCTGTGTTTCTGGGAACAGGGACAGAGGCCTGGGTAGTCCAGGCTTGCCTCATGCCTCCCTCCCACTGGGCTGCCTAGTGCCCTCCCCAAAAACCCCAAGGACTGAGGGGACCATTTCAGTCGGGTCCAGCCAGCCGCGGCCGGAGGTGGAAAGTTTGCCTCCGTGCTGGAAGAACTAACCTTGGCCGTCTTTTTTGCTGGGCTGCCTCTCCCATTGCCCCCTCGCTCCATTTTGGGCTTTTATTTATGACTTTATCAGAGGCAGTTAGCAGACATGAAACCTGGGGTGGGACATTCGGGGGCGATCTCAGAATCGGGGCGCAGCTGCAGAAGGCATGCCGTGATAGCCGGGAGCTTCTACTTGGCATGGCGTTGGCAGTGACGAGGTTGGTAATTAGAAGAAGCTCAAGTTCCACCGGGGCCTTGCCTGTAAAATGCTGGAGACGTTTACCCGGAGGCCACAGCAGACTGGGAACATAGCACGGAGGGCAGGCATGGTGTGGCACTCTACTGAGGCTGCGGGGAGTCCCTCTGGATTAAAACAGATTCCGAAACAAGCGGTATCCAGCTCTCCTGCTCCCACAGGCCAGACCTGGGGCTAGCCAGGGAAAGGCCTGAACGTCGGAGGAGGCAGTCTCCAGGGCCGCCAAGTGAGGGCTGCTATTCGTCAAAGCTCCAGAGCCCTGTCTCCTGCCACACAGTGTGGCCCTGGCCCATGAAATGGGATGAGGTCAAGATTCTGCAGCCAACAGTTGGGGCCAGCGCTGGGCACAGAAGCCCTGGCGAGGCCCTGTCCTGCCTTTGTCCATGTTCCTTAGAGCCAGCTCAGCCTGACAGAGTCTCAGGGTCCCACCAGGGGCTTCCCAGTGGTGTTGGAGTCTCCCATCCCGGCACAGTTCATTTTTGAGGGCACACACACAAAAGAGAAGGCTCTGAAAATGAAACTGACACTTGTCTGTTTTTTTAATCACCTCTGGATTTAACATCAAGAATGTGGAAAGCAGTGGCCCAGGGCCACAAGGACTATGGTGTGGGCTGGTGGAAGGATGGGCCCCGGTTTTTCTGGTTTTGTTTTAAACCGGGGCCTACCCCAGGATAGTCCGTTGCCTGTGCTGGGGCCTCACCAGGCCCCAGACCCTCCTGGGTGAGAAGGGTCTCCAGGGTGCTGATGGGGACGAGCTGGGCTCCACTTGGGCAGTGCCCCTCTGCCATGTTGAGGTCTCGTGCACACTGCCTGAGCAGGTGCAGGCCAGCAGTTTGCCTTGCTCCGCAGCAACAGCGTGGTGCTTTGCAGCAGGGTTACCTTTTGTTATGTGGTTTGCACCTGGCTGGGTCAGGCTGTCCGTGTGAACCTGTCTCACTCCCTCCGACCCCCTAAAGGGCGGTGGGGCCTTTCCTACCTAGCATGGATGGCGTGTGACTGGAAGGCAGACCGTGTGGCCCAGGAGGAACTGGGAAAAGCTCTGCCCACCCAGATGGGCACCCTGCCTGGGCAGGTGCTGCCTCGTGTCCAGGGGAACCTCTCGTGCAGTGTAGATGCATGCATGTGCTGAAGGGCGGCCTCTGGGAAGGGAGGGGTCCTTCCAGGCCGGGCAGGAAACACCATAAAGCCACCATGCTTCCTTGGGGTGTTGTCGCTGGGTTTTGAGGGTTCTTTGCATGTTTGGGGAGAGAGGAGAATGCTCTTGCCGAAATCGCAGCAAGCTGGAGTCTTTGCACCCTGAGCTTCAGTCTGCCCCTGCCCCTCCCTGGGTGACCCTGGCACATCTGAGCTCCTCCCTCAGCCTGGATTCTGAGCTGTAAAGCGGGAAGAGTGTTAACCCACCTCAGAGACTTCAAACATTATTTCCATAAAGCACCATTCCAGGCACGTTGTCGGGGAGGGGCGGGACATAAATGGCTACTGCTGTTGTCACTTATTGTTGTCAACAATAATCACTGTTGTTGTTTAATTTTTATTTATTTTACTTGCCACTACTATTATTTTATATATTGTATGATGTTATATTCTAAGTAACAGATAACCCAACTTCGGTCTCATCAGAAAATGAACCAAGAAGTTTACTCTCCCGGCCCCACAGGTGGGAGCAAAAGTGGACCTTGATGATACCTCCCAGGTAGACTGGCAGGAGGTTGCAGAGCCAGCACTTTTCTCACCACAGGGACTTGGTGTGAATGTGGCTTCCAGATGCATCTTGCACCTCACATTGGGTACACAAGATGAGACCAGGGTCTCCTTGGGGACCCGGGAAGTGCTGACGGAGGAGGCACTCCTTCCCAGGGACAGGACGGAAAGCATGCCTGGGTGCTGGCTCTGGATCTGACCTTTGCCCCCCCCCCCACTTCAGGGGCAGGAAAGAAGGGGGCAGGACGTCCTGATGCAGGGGCCCAGAGCAGCCACACCAGCCACCAGCGTCCTCGCTGGAAATGCAGATGGTGATTTGTTGGGAGGGTTTCACCACTCTGACGAGCTAATTGTTCTTTGGCCTGGTACGTTAACCAAAATGCTTGCTTTGGAGAATTTTCCCTCCTAGCTGGTTGTTCAGGAAGACCCAGCAAGATCGTCCTTGCTGAAAACATCTTGTCGGAATAAGAGAGAGCTCTAAATGGCATGGGTCATGCTTTCTGATGTTATAGAACTGAGTAGGGAGAAAAAGCAACAATTGTCTCCAAGCAGAGACAATGGATCTTTCATATGAAATATTTATTTTCAGGGCTGCCCAGTGTTCCCTGGGCTGGGACGGTCCGTGGAGCTCGAGCATCCGGGAATGGCAAGCCCCAAACATGTAGTTGGGGACAGAGATTTAGAGAAGAAAAAAGAAAGTCTCCTGACCCGTGGTTCTTGAACAATTTCAGTGGGCACGTCTGGCTTTCTTTGTCGAGTGGAGGCTAAGCTTGCACGAGTTAATTTTGTTTTCTTCCGTGATTTTTTTTTGAAAGCCGCAGGGCTGCACTTGGCGAGTGCTAGAAAGACGGCCACGTTTGGGATCGTGGGCCGGATGGGGCCTCCGTCGGCCAGGCCCAGTTGGCCTTAGCCGGCTGGGTCACAAAATGGAAGTGTGAGGAAAAATAGAGCCCAGAAGAGGAAGGGTCTGTCCCCAAAGGGCTAAGGGAGAGGCCATCGAGAGGGCGATTTGGGCCAATATTTGTGGTTTCCCAGTGTCTGCTCCTCCCCAAATTCCATTCTCAGATGAACTTGGGAGTGGCCCGTAGGTTGTGGGAGAGTCTGGCCTGACTTGGTGAAGCCACACACAAGCAAACACCCTTCCAGGCTGGAGAGGGTGTTTTTGTAACTCTGACAAATGTGGCCCAGAGTTATGGCTCCGTGAATATTTTCTGAATCGACAGAATGAAGAGGCCTACACATGAGCCATCCCCTGGTCCCTTCTCTGAGGTGCTGGAGGAGCTGCCCCGGAGAAGCCAGGCCAGAGTCCAGGCTCCCGTTAGCAGATGTGGGAGGAGCGGGCCGTGCTGGGGCCGTAGTGAAGCGATCTGTGGTGCTCGGGGAGCGTTGGGAAGGCTGAGGTGGCCCATCAGCTGGGGACACCCGGCACATTACGGGGACCTGTCTGGACACCCCAGCGATGCCTTGAAGGAGGACAGATGAGGGAGTGGCCCTGATCAGGTGGGGGACCAGGGTCACCCAAGCAGCTTTCTTGGCCAGTTATATCTGGCTTCAGAAATGAGGTTTTATTTTTTCGTCAATCGGCTGTCACGTTTTATTTTTCTTTCAATGCCAGAGCTTCTCAGCTTGGCCCCTGTAGCCCTGTACGTTAGCCCACTCAGAAGAGAGCTCTCTTTCAGGGTGTCCAGGAGCCTCTGACACTATAGGTAGAATTGGTATAATGGAAATCATGAAAAAGAATGAAATTTTGTGACAATGGGCAGAAAAACCCCAAAACCAGGTTTCTAGTCACTTTTTTGTGCGTGGTGGGAGGCAGTTTGAAAGTAAAACGGAAATCAGGGATGGGAAGCTTCTTGGTGGGGTCTGGACTGGGGAGTCTCATCTTTCTGACCACCCAGGAACCTGTGTGGAGAGAGTGGCTGGGCCACTGTCCAGCCAGCGCCGAGAGGGTTTCCGAGTAGAGATGTTACCGCAGGGTCACCGGTTAGTGTTGTAAAATAAGACTGGTGGTTGTGGATACTAAACGTGTGCATGAGATCTACACGGTAAAAAGGCCAAACAATTTTTTAAGCAGTGATAGAATTTTCCCTCCAGATTTAGAAGGAATCGTCCCTGATGCTTCTGGCTTTCTAAAACCAGGGCGGTTTTCCCCCCCGCCCCGTGGAACGCCCTTTCCTTCATTCTGGCATTTCAGATGGCAGGAAGAGCATTTAGCTGAAATATTTACCTGCTGATTTGGGGTTCTTAAATTTAGAATCCCCTTTCATGTGTTTAAGAGAGATATTTACATTCAAATCAGCCTTTTATAATTACATTTTAAATTATAATAAAATGATGGTGCCGGCGCTCCAGTTTTCCGTGTCTTTTAACTGTAAGAGAAGCTGCCGTGAATTGAATGGGGGCTACCCATCACCCAGAGTCCCCGCTGCCCACCGTGTGGGTTCTGGCCTGCCCGGGCACACGTGTCCTGAGCATGGCAGCTACATGGGTGTTACCTGTGGGGACCTCCCCGCACTGCCAGGAGAAGGGCCTGACGGGGATTCTGGCCCCACACAGTGCGATGGTTGCCCAGCCTCACCGCCTGCAGCTCCATCTGAGAAGGGCCTGATACGGGCTGGGGTCCAGGCCCACTGCCCTCATGTCCTGAGCCCCACGGTGGCCTGCAGGCCTGGTTTGGAGGCCATTATCTCCTCGGCGGCCAGCCGGGCACAGCAGTGGCCACTTCTGGTCGAGGCAGTTCTGTGGGTGAGGGGCGAGCATCGCCTCCTGCAACCGTAACCCAGGCCCTGCCTCCCCTGCCATGCCCCTGTGGGTCCCGTCGTTGCCATCTCGTCCTCAGTGGCTTCCCGATGTTGCCTGCTGGCAGGGCAGGCCCCGTGCCATGGAGCATGAGGGACCCTTCCCCTCCCAGGGCCAGGCTTTTGGCAGCCAGGCCAAGCCGCTGCTGGAATGGAATTCCCGGCGTTCCTGGTGGGGCGCATGGCATCGGAATCCTACCTGCTTTGTCTCTGGCATCAGCTGGTGAGCCAGTCACGTGGCCGTGTGCGTGAGACCAGAGCCCAGGACTGAGGGCTCCTCCCGGGCGCTTCCTCCTCGCTCACTCACCCCCACCCCCTTTTTTTGGCTTTCAGCAGGACTGGCTCTGAGCAGGCGTAAAACAGTGTTAAAACTGAATCCGGGCAGCAGGGAGCTCCTGTCCACGGCGGCAGGCTCTCACAGTCCACCGGGCTCTCGCGGTCCACCCAGACCACCCTTTACCTCGAGTCCTTATGCACAGAAAGGCCCTGATATGTCCCATACACTCAGGAGTTAGGCCCAGAGCTGGGCAGTGGTCACTCCACGCCATTCCCTCTGGTGTAGAGCTGGCCCTGCCTGCCCCCAGACGGCCGTGGGGTGGGTGGCACCGCTTCCTGGGGAACCCCTTCCCACACTTCTGGCCTTGTTTCTCACCCACACAAGGACACCCCAGTGGTCACTGCTGCAGCTCGCGGTCACATAGAGGGTGAGAGGGGAGAGCTGGACAAACAGGTGACCCAGCAGACCCAGCCTGATGCCCGCAGGAGAGAGCAACGGGGTCTGATATTTTGTCTCCAAATGAAAGAGCCACAGTGAAACCCCAGGCCTGCCAACCCCAGTTGTAGGGCCAGAGAACAGGGATGTTTCCCTGAGGCGGTGGCAAGGTTTGGTTTGGTGAAAACGAAGGATATGTGAGGGTCTGAGAGGGGAGGGTGACTGGCCTAGACTCCACCCCTGGCGCCCTGTCCACCGTGGCTGGCTGGCCACTCTCGGACCCCTCGGCGTCAAGCGCTGACTGGGTGCCTGCCTGGGGCTTGGGGCTCTGTACGTGTTAATTCTGCCACTCCAGCAGCCCTGAGTGGGAGGAGCCATTATCCCCCTTCTTTCTGTAGATGGGGAAACTGAGGCAGGCTTGCCCATGGTGAAGTGGCCAGTCGGACACAGGGCCAGATTGAAACCTGCAGCCTGGGCTCCCGGCTACAACAGCGCCAGCCTCCACAGGCATTAGAAGGGGACTCACTGCGAGGGCCCCAGCCAGGGCAGCTTTCAGGGTGGGGTCTCTGGCCTCACCCTGGGGAAACAGCCGGGGCGCTGGCTGCCTCCTGCTGAGCCTGGCGTGGGAACAATGTGGCCTCTATCCCTGGAGCGAGCCAGGCCGCCTGGACGCCCAGCCCTTCAGAGCAGCCCGGCCAGGCAGGCGCCCACAGCATGGCGCCCGGGCCGCGCTGTCCGTCCACGGGGTGCGGGCGCCTTGGCCAGGCCCAGGCAAGCCGCTCCCCGTGTCCTCCCTGGCTGGCCACTGAGTGGCCAGACGCCGGCTTCCTCCTCCCTCTCCCGCCCGGCCAGCCTCCTCCTTTTTTGGTGGTGGGTTTGGGGGCCCAGCCCACCCGCCACTGCCACGTCTGCCATCCTCCCGCACCCACGAGCATCTTTCAAAAATTCCCGGTGGGCGGGGCTGAGCTGCAGCGGCCGCCTCTGCCCCCCCTCCCCGGGCAGCCAGTGCCAGATGAGAGCAGGAGACAAAAGTAGCATTTTCCTCGTACTCCGGGGCTGGCAGCGGGGCCTTCCCCCAGCACCACATGGCTCCTGGCAGCCCTGCCCCCTGTGCCGGGGTGGCCGAGGCCCAGCCGGGCCCACTGGACCGAGGGACGGCGGCGGCCAGAGACTAGGGGGCCCGTGGGCCCATAGCTGGGGCTGGCACCGGGCAGCCTGCTGGCCGGCGGGACCTGCCCTCCTCCCCCACCCGGGTGACCGGCTGGGCCCAGGGACGTCATTTTCACTTCCTGGCTTTGGAGAAGACGCCTCCATCCTCCGGCACCTCGGGTAAGTCACCTTCTTTCCTTCTGTCGTGAAGACGAGCCGAGGGTGCTGCCATCTTGTGCCCCGGTGCCTGTTACGTGTCCTCCCTCTAATTGGTTCTCCAAACTCAGAATTCTATTTCAGAGCCCTCCATCTTCCGTGCAGGAAGCCCTGCCAAAAACTGCAGGGAAAATGCAGAAGCCAAGCCCATTTACTTTCAAGATCCAAAGCTACAGGCTTTAGAAATCACAATAAAAATGAATGTTTATTATTTCACAGTAGCTGCGTCTTCCATTTTAATGGGAACAAATGCTTTGGGAGTATTAATAGCCATGGCCTACTCCTGCCTTCCTGGTTGTGGCAGTTTGTGTGGGGGTCTCATTATTATTATTATTATTATTATTATTATTATTATTATTATTATTGTCTTAATTTTTGGCGGCGCCAGGAGTGGCAAAAGGAAAACCACCAGGACCATCCACGGCTCCTCCCAGCAAACTCATCGGCAGGCAGGGCCAGGCTGGCACCCGGGAGGGAGGACTTTGCATCTAGAAACAGAGGCCCTTTTATTTTGTCCGGCATCTTTAATGCTACCATGTCCACAGTTTAGGGATCTAGTTCTTTCTCCCTTTCGTTTTATTTTTTGGAAAAAAAAGAAAAAGAAAAAGGAAAAAGAAAGAAAGCTCCTTTTGGCCCTCAGCTCAGTGTGGGGAAAAATATTTTCGGTTGTTTTGGGCTTTGTTTTTGAGCACTTATTTCAACTTGGGGGTTCCGCCTGAAAGTGCTGGGCCTGTCTTGTCACCGCCCTGACCGCAGACTGTGTGTGGCGTGCGCGTGGGCACCGTTCACTACACAGACCCTTGGGGAAGCCCTGAGTGCCCTCATGGCCTGCCCGTGTCCTGGATCCCACCCCAGTTCCTCACCTGCAGAGCTGTTGGGGGAGACACCCAGGTCGTCCAGGGCCTGAAACGTGGCTGGCAGGGCCGGGAGTCCCTCAAAGACCTTTGAGTCCCCCCGCCTTGCCACCTCTGTCCAGGAGCTGGGCTCAGTGGCTGCCCGGGTGTCCCTGTTGGTCCCTGCCCCTCCAAAAGTGCTGATCCTTTTGATTCAGAGGTGGGCTTTGCAGAGCACAGCCCCATGTCCACCTCCACGCTGTGGCAGGCTGACAAAAGCGTCCTCGGATGCGGCCTGGTTCCCCACCCTTGAGGGGAGCCAGGGTCTTGATATATAGAAAATGGAAGAATCAGACCCGGAAAGTTCTAAACGGCACTGAGAGGAAAACTCCCATGGAAATCCATCTTTGTTTTCCCAGTTCGGAGGCGCGTGGGCCCTGCGTGCGCGGGCCTCGGTCTGAGCGGCCGGCCTCGGCAGACAGCACCAAATCTGTAAACGGAGCTAAGCTCACACGAGGACTCTCGGCGGCTGCTTTTGTTCGTAGATGAGCCAGCAGTCGATACTGGAGGGTCTGGGGCTGCAGAAACAGGCATATATAGCAGAGATAATTAAAACATTTCATGATTATGACAGCCACATTCTGCTGCTGCAAGCTGGAGGATTCATGCCACCCAAATATTTAGCAAGCATCAAATAAAACACTGGTGGCAAAATAAAAGTAATAGAAAAAAAAAACAGAGCGTAATACATTTCAAAGGCAAAAGAGTCAAGGGGATGGATAGGGAATGGATCGGGGGAAAAGTGGGGAGAGTTCAGCATTTTAAAAGAATTCACATGTTTAATAGCTGGCCACTCATATTTTTTTTTTGGTATAATTAATGTAGGCAAATAGACCCTTAATTCTAAGTCCTGGAATGAGAGATGGTAAAATTTCCTGATTATTAATTTATCATTTTTGTTTTTTGTACAGGGTAGGGGCAAGTAGCAGAAAAATCAATTAATTCACATAAAGGAACATTTTCATTCTAAATTAATATTGCCACTGCAATTAAATTTATCTAGTATTTTTAACATGTATGGATAACACACTTTCCTGTGTACACCTTGGATACCTGGGACCGTTATATGTGATCAACTATCATCTTAGTTTTTTAGCTTGGTTAACACTTGACCCCTCCCCCCACCTCAAAATCAGTAAAATGCTGTGGATTCTGCTTTTTAAAAAAATCAGGCCAAAATCTCAGCATTCTCCATGGCTCCCAGTGCTTCTCGGCAGTTTTTTTTTTTTTTTTTTTTTGAAGAAAGTACCACGCAAAGCACTTTTCACATCATCGCTTCTATATAAATTCCACTATAGACTGAAATTATACATTCTCGCAGCACAGATGGGCTGGTCTGTCATTACGGCTGCTGGGTACTTGTTGGAACACACAGCATATTTCAATTGTGGAGTCGACAATTTCGAAGAACTGGGGTCAAAATAAACAAGTTGCATTTGTGTATAGAAACAGACTTATTCAATGATCTTCTCATCCCCTGGAAAATTCGGCAGAGGAACGATCATCACCTTCATTAAACTTGAATTTAATTTTTGGTCTTCATCTTTTAAGACCCCACATGCCCTGTGTCAAAGGCCCATCAATGTTTTAATTAATTACCAATTTTTCTCTTATGCTGCAGCATTAGCAGTGGAACACAAGATTTAAATTCAAACTCGTGGGTGTGGTTTTTAATATCTTTTGACTTTAATTTTAACATCTTAATAATTTTAATATCTTACTAATCTCTATAGGGGAGGTGTGAAACCTCTGTTCTGTGTCGAGTTGCCTATTGTTTTGAGGCCTTTATGAAAAATCAGATGATTCATATTTAGGATGGTCTAAAGATACATTTAAATCCAAACACCACCCACAAAAAAACTCAGCAGGTAAAATACATAGAGTAGCCATAAACTTAAAAAAAAATTATCTCACCAAGATAACAAAGTGCAGAATTTATTGGTTTGTATCAGCCTCCTTGAGGGCAGAGCAGTTTTTACAGCCACAATAATTTGCAAATGATGATAACTGTTTATTTTGCAAATATGCTCATATTATGAGGCCATCAGTGGAGGCTTTTTTCTTTTCCCATACGTGTAAGTGTTTGCCTCTGTGTTTCTAAATTCTGGATTCAGGCTCTGCAGTTTCTCACCGGCTGAGACCACGTTCCCACGTTCCTGCCTCAGTGGCAGTGGCCGGGAGGAGGGAAGGGCGCGCCCCCTGTGTTGCCTCCTGCGAGCTCCAGCCGCCACATCCATTTGTTCGTAGAAGTGCTTTGTTGTGGCTTGTTTATTTTAAGGGATGTACCTGTTGGTGGAGATGTTAGCAAATCATAAGAAAAGTAAAAAGTTGATGAAATTTGCCAGAGCCGCTTGGGAGCCAGCTCTGCTGTCTGGTGGTTTTAACGACATCATCCCTTCCAGTTCTGGTCTTTTAGCCTATTGACTCCCGCCTCCTTAGCAAGAGGAATATGGCCCTGGTCTGGGCGCTCTGAAAGATGAGGCAAAGTGAAAAGGCCCCAGCCTCTGGGCCGCAGAGCCTCTAAGCAGCGGTGGGCATGGCGATGGTGGTAATAGTAGCAACAGCACTCTCTGCTGCTGTTCACAGGTGCCCGCTGTGTACCGGGGCTCCTGCTTTCAGAAAAGCACCGGCTCTGGGACCCAAGGTCTCGGTTCAGATGGGGTCGTCTTTGTTTCCAGGCCGTGTTGATCAAGGGCAAGTCATTTCACCTCTCCGGCCTCATTTCCTTATCTGTAAAATGGAGGCAGTAAGTGTCAACTTTCTGAACACATGGAAAGCTGGGTTCATGGTGAGCACCCCATAAATGCTATTGCTTCCTTGCCTTATTTCTAAGGCTCAGACTATGCCTGCAAGGGGGCATTTTCATTACCTCCATTCCACCAGGGGAAGCAGCGAACCTCTGAGAGGCTAAGTGGGTTCCCCAAGATTCAACCAGCTGATAAGTGTTGGGCCAGGGCTTGAACCCAGCCCTGCCATCCTTCAAAGCCCATGTGCTGCCATAGCATTCACCGACGCGTGTTGCGGCACGCGTGTGCGTGGTGCCCCGGGTGTGGACAGCATGTTGGTACGCAGAGGTGCAGAGGTGTGTGCGTGTAATGTTTGCACGTGTGCATAGGTGTCCTCTTATTTCTCCATTGCGTGAGGTTCCTGGTAGGTCGGCAGTTTCCAAAGAGGTGAGCTGGTGTTTGGAGGTGCATTGGTCGGAGTGGGCCACACAGTCCTCAGACCACACCTGGGGATGACTGTGCCATGGGCTCTCCACCACCCCAGGGATGCCCGTGGGAAGAAGGGTGGTTTTCCCCAGTCCAGGGCTAGCCAAAGCTGGCAGCGGGTGGACTGGGCATCCAGGCGTGGGCTTCTCGTAGGTGCTCAGCACTGCTGAGGGAGGCTCTGGCTGAGTGGCCTGCATGCTGGGCCTTGGCCAGACGCGCTGCTGCCTCCTTATGTGGACAGGCGGTTCTGGGCGCCGGCCATTTGCAGACTGGGAGGAGTGGAAGTGAGGCCTGCGGGCCCCGGAGAGGAAATGGCGGCGTGGGCAGGCCCAGAACAGGACCGGGAAGGCGGGCCGAGGGAGGGAGTGGCCCAGAAGGCCTCTGTCGGCCGGTCAGCGTGCTAGCGGCCTTTCTCCAAGAAGCGGCCAGCTGGCCAGGCCTTCCCGGGCAGGTCTGTTTGTCTGCCCACATGCACACACGTGCACCTGCGTGCCAGGGCACGGGGAGGTTTAGTGGCCTTATTTCCTAATAGGGAACATAGCAGGGCCTGGGGTTTGATGAGACGGCGTAACGCCCAGCACACCTTCAGACAAAAGAGACCGTGATAAAAACGGTTCTTACTACAAGGTCCCAGCTTCTGTCTTTAAAATGGGGCTTCCAGCCTCCGCCTCAGTAGATGGTTGGAGGCACTGCATGAGATCCTGGTCTGGGGAGCCCCTGGTTCGTTGGTGTTTCCCTTGCCTTGGCCTAGTAAGAGGGGACGGGAGGCCCAGGCTCTGTGGTGGGCCTGTCTCAGCCCATTTCAAACCCTACCCACTGCCTTCCCATGACCTTAACAGGATGGCATTACCCAGCACTCACCCAGATGCCAGGGTGGCACCGGGTGAGTGGCAGTTTCGGGTGGTCCTGGAGAAGGGTCCTGGCATCGGCTGGTATGAGTCTCTGGGTTTCCGAGCTTCAATGAGGGCTGGATTCAGGGTGTGGGCTGGGCCAGCCATTCCGGCAAAACCCCAGAAGGAATCCACAGGAGGTGGGGACCGGGAAGGCAGCCGGGTTGCGCCAGTGCCTGCAAGGGAACCTCTGGCCCCATTTCCTGGGAGCCTGACCCCGCCCTAGGATTCCTGGAGTGGGTGTGCCCACGCTTCCGGCCCAGACGTGGGTGGAGGGATCCCACCCTGCCAGGCCTCCCGCCTGTGCGGCTTCTTTCAACTCGATGAGAGGAGGACTCCTCCTGGGCCTGGTGCTTCGAGGTCCAGACGAGCAGACACTGGCGCCTGTGACCCTGCAGCGGACGCCCTTCAAAGTCCGTGTGGCCGCATTTGGAAGCCTGGGCGGCGTGGAGACGGCGCCTTCAGCTTGAGATAGTAAGTTGCCCAATGCCTGCACCTGTGGAGACTCCCAGCACCTGGTGGGTGAGCCGCAGGGGGCTCGGGCCTCCATACTGGGTCTCCAGCAGCAGGGGTGAGGTCTCTCCTGTGATGGACTCAAATGACTCAAACCCACTGGGCTCTGCCCGAGGCATCTGCGCTATGGAAGCAGCTTGCAAATGGGCTCTCTGGGGCCACGCCGGCCCACGGCGGCCACAGCCTCGGCCAGGAGCCGTGGAGGGAAAGATGAGGCCGCTGCAGCATTTCCGTCTGCCAGGGCGACGGGGGCCAGCAGGGCAGGAGCAGCGGGGAACCCTGGGTGGTGGAGATCCCCTGCCTTGGTCCAGGGGAGAAAGCTGGGGGCCGCATTTGGCACCCCCAGGGCAGTGCCAGTGCATGTTGGATGTTAGACTCAGCCCCACATGGCAAGGGGTGTTGAGCTTTGTTGAGCACATACTAAGTGCCAGACCCCAGGCCAGGTGCTTTCCATCCATTTTGATAAACATCCATTTTTAAATTTAATCTGCCAGTTCCATTTCCCTGCCACATCCATTTGGAGCCAGCACGTAGCAGTGCTGTTCTCAGGCCAGAATGTGGAGTAAGCAGGACAGACAGCGTCCCTGTCTGGGTGGAAGTTCCAGTCTAGTGACGTGTGGGTGCTAACGGTTTTCTATATGAGGAGGCCAAGGTTCAGAGAGGCCGAGGGATCTCCCCAGAGTCACGGGGCCAGCAGGTACCAGAGCCTTCTCCCTAACCCAGGTCCTCCCCACGACTGTGCCTGCACAGAACCACACAGGATCCCTGTTTATCTTCAGATCTTCAGCCTCTCTTGGATGCTGGCCTTGTCTGGTTCTCTCCAGACACCCAGCACTAGGAAGGACCATTCCGTCGGCTTGGAGTTCTTTTGCCCCGGGGAGAGCCGGAATTGTCCTGGGGTCATGGGTCACTCTGGCTCTGAGGCCCTGAGTCCTCTCTGGCTGAGTGGCCAGCATTCAGCGCATGCTGGTTTGGGCTGTATGGGGCTCCAGGGCACCCTGCCACTCTCGGGCTCTGTGCCCAGGCTGGTGTGCTGGCAGGTGTGAGACTGCACGCAGTGTGGCAGCAGGCGGTGGCAAGGAGGGAGCTGTGGTCATCCTCGTTCTTGGTGTTCCTACGGCCCAGAGGTGGGAACGTATGAGACTGTACACCCAGATGCCGTGTGCCAGACCAGGATGGGCTCACAAGACACCAGCCCTGCATGGGCAGACGGGGACCACATCAGGTCACGGGGCACAAGAACCTTCTGGAGACCCCACCCCATCTGTCGGCATGGTTCACGTTCATGGATGACCAATCATCTCTGAGCGCTGTGGCGCTCATGGCCCTGAGTCCACGGGTTTTCTCGTGTTTCAGAGCAGTTCTGAGCCCACTTCATTCTGCAGAGCACTGGCTCAGAGAGGTTATGGAACTCATCATGTGCCAGGCCCCAGGACGGCCACGGGAAGAGGCCTGAGAATGCCGTCGAGTGACGGGATCCAGCAGACCTGGTGGAGCACCGGGGCCTTGGCCAGAGGGGCTGGAGCCCTAGACCCAAGGTCTAAGCCCTGCACTGCCTGCGCCTGGCCCACAGGCATGGCGGCCTCACTGAGAGGCAGGCTGCATGTCCTCAGCAAACACGGGCACCAGACGGAGACCAGACAGAGGCCAGTACCAGGCGGGGCTGAGAAGTTAGCCGGAGCATCCTAGGATGCCAGGAAGCCTTCCAGAGGTGGCAGCCCCGCAGCCCCCGCTCCTTCCCACAGCTGACCTCCAGGGCTGCAGCTGCAGGGCCCCTGCGTCCAGCCCTCGGACCTGCCACGTCCCAGGGCCCCACTGCCAGGCACCGCCCCGTGCCGGCCCTGTACAGGCCACATCTGCTGCAGCAGCCATGCCAGAGCTCCGCCTCCCGGGCTCCGTCCCCATGGAAACCACGGTGGGGGGGGCTCCTCCTGCATTTGGCCCGCTGACTGGTTTCCATTAGAGCCGGCCTGCTTTCCCTGAGCTCTGCCCCTGCAGTTCAAGGCTTCCCCTGGGGGTTTCTTCCCACATTTACCGAGCACCAGCCGTTCCGTGCCAGGGAACCCAGCGGTCTGGGCCCCGCCCGCCCTGGCCAGCACCCACCGGTGGTGCCTGATGCCCGGCACCGTGGCTGCTCCCCTGTCCTTTCTTATCGAAGGCCAGCTGCTGCTGGGTCCTGGTGTCGTGGACTCAGCCCTGGATCTGAGTCAGGGCACTGGGCTCCCATCCTGGCTGGGCCGTAGAATCACTGGTGGGCACTTGAATAAGCCCCTTCCTCTCTCCGGGTCTCAGTTTACCCATCTGTAAAATGAAAAGCTCCATCTATTTCTTGAGTTCCTTGCAATGCCGAGAAAGAAAGACAAAGAGAAAATGAAGCCACAGTACACTGTTGCTGCCGGGTTCTCAGAACTGGGATTTTTGTTTGCTTTCAAAGAGGGTTTTTTTTTTCTAGGGAAAGAGTCATGGAATTTGACCAGAGATGATTGTTTGAGGGGCCAAGAGCCAGCCAGAGCCCACGGACATGCAGCATGGAAGGTGTAGCCAGAAGCCTGGGCAGCGATACCCGCCGGTCCGCCTTGGCATCTGCTTGGCACCCAGTGACCTGGCTGTGAACACAGTGAGCGGAGGCAGGAAGTGTGCCTGCGCCGGAATCCGAAGGGCTCTGGAAAACTCCCCAAGAGGTTTCCGGAGGTCAGAAATGTGGGCAGAAAATGAGATCCAGCTTTTAAAAACCTGGCCGACTCATCCCCCGGGAGCCTAGGGAGGCCTGGGAAGGTGCCTCCACCACCACGTGGCTGAGTTACGAGAAGAGCTCGCCGGGCTGGACCTGGGGGTGCTGGGCTGTTAGGGTCGGCAGCAAGGTGGCCCCAGCCCAGACTACGTCCTGGTGGTGTCTTCCTCCTCCAGCTCTTGGGAGTTGGGAGGCTTCAGCGGGGAGGTGGTGATGGTACTGGGGCCTTTTGCCTGGCCTGCCAGTGGCCAGCATGGCTCTCCCCGTGGGACCTTCCAGCTCCTGCTGCCTGGGGTGGTGGTGCGCGTTGGCCTCCCCTGGGCCCTGTGGGTGCTGGTGATGGCCTGGGAACACGTTTCCAGCTCACAGATGAACAGAGCCCGGGAGGTGGAAGACCTTCTTGGCAGCAGGGAGTGAATGGCCCAGTGGGGTGGGCAGCTTGCTTAGCCTCCCCCAGCCTCGGTATCCTCATCTGTAAAATGCGGCTAGTAACCTTGATCTCCTGGTCAGGGTGAGAGTTAGACGAGACGAGAGGCGGGATCAAAGCTGGATAAATGGCAGGAGACAGCACCGGAACTGCGCCCACCCCGCATCCTTGTCATGATCAAGGCAGACCACACGTCCCAGAGAGCCCAGCTCCATGATGGGAGAGCAGGGCCAGGCTGACTGTGGTCAGGCCCACCTGGAGGGGCTGCTGGCAGGCTCTTGGGTGACAGCCACCCTGCCCTGGTGGCCCAGGTAGCCTGAGAGTTGGCGTTTCCTCTTCCTCCATCTCAGTCAAGAGGCCGAGTCAATTCCCCACTCAGCTTCTGCCCCTGCCTCCTGCCCGAGGCAACCTGGCTTTGCTGACTGGTCCCAGTGATAGGGGACATTGTCACTGTGGCTCAAAGGGCGGGCTTGGTGGCATTTTCAGTTTTCTGTCCTGGGAAGGAATGAAACCTTGGTTCGAGTGGCCGCATCTGGGTGGCCACGGCCTTTGCACCCCCTGCCTTTGCGCCCCCCACCCCACCATCCCGATGAAAGTAGGCCGAGGGCGTCGGCACAGAGCGGCCGCCGCGGTCCTGGCCAGGGCTTGATTTAGATATTCGGGGAGACTGGGATAAGGTAGGAAATGAAGGAAATTTCCCCAGGGAAAGGGGAAGAGAAGACGGAGGAGCTTAAGTACCCACATGATTATTAAGCGTGGCTGGTGATTTACGGCCGGGCAGGCGGCTCCTGGCGGCTCCCTGCCCCCTCCCTCCCAGTGCCCTGCACCCTGGAGAGCCGCCATGGGGAAAACAGAGGCCACCAGGTGGGCCCAGCACCCGAGCTCCGCCTTATCTCCTGGGTCTAGGCCCTCGGCAGTCCCTGGGCAGGTGACGCAGCACGGGACACAGCTCCTCCATGTGCTGGGCACTGACATCTGTCATTGGGGCCACCTCACAGAACCCTGACGGATCACCGGCCCTGTCTTACAGGCCAGGAAGCCCAGGTCTGGAAGGTCGAGCCTCACGTGGCCCTCTAAACGGTGGAGTCTGAGCCAGCCTGGCCACCGGCCCAAACCCTAGGCCTTTCTCTCTACCACGGCCAGGTTCAGTGGCCTCTGGTGGGAAGGGCTGGGGAGGCCCTTGTCCCTCCTTAGAACAAGGGATGCGGGTGGAATGGTGGTGGCTGTGGTCGCGAAGCAGGCCTCTGCCCATCCTGCCCTGTCTCCTGCCTTTCAGGGTGCCTGTACTTCTCTTGGCTGAATTCCAGTCTCCCCTTCAGGGGACTCTTGAGACCCTCAACAGCCAGCCCTGACCCCCTCCGTGGCCCCATCTTCGACCTCTGTAGACTATGGCCTAGTGTCACCTCCTCCTGGAAGCCCTCCTTGCTCTCCACTCACCCATTGCCCTGCTGTGGGGCCTGGGGCCTGGTAGTAGCCTGTCTGGGGCCAGGGAAGTGTTCCTCTGGGAAATATTTTATGAGTGAATGAATCAGAAGAGAAAGCCATGACCTGCCTGCCTGTGCTCAGTGCCACGTCAGAAGCCACCAAGCTGTGGCATTGCCCCGGCAAGTTTATTTTTCCACCTCCACTAAGTAAGTTCCACTTCAGGACTCATCCGAGAGGTTGTGAAGCCACACGTCATCAAAAACGGCATCTTTGCACTCAGCAGGCAGGCTGGTGCAGCCCGTGGTGGGGGACCATCCTGCCTGCTGTGGGGTAAGGACGGCTGTGTGCGCCAGGCTACAGGGAAGCCAAGGCTACTGCTTGGGGGTTTCACTGGGGAATATTAACAAACAGAGGTGGCCCAGAAGGGTCATGGAGCCTTTTCTTCTCAGACTGCTGGGTATGGAGGGCAGGGACCCATTGACCCGTCAGGTGTCACCGGTGGGTGGTGGTGCATTCTGTTAATTTAGGTCAGAGAATTTAGGTTCAGTTTACAGATTTCCTGCACAGTCCCTCCTCTGCATCGTAGCTCATGAACATCCTCTTCCTCCAGGAAGCCCTCACACGCTGCTGGGCCCTCTTCCTCCAGGAAGCCCTCACAGGCTGCTGGGCCCTCTTCCTCCAGGAGGCCCTCACACACTGTTGGGCCCTCTTCTTCCAGGAAGCCCTCACACGCTACTGGGCCCTCTTCCTCCAAGAAGCCCTCATATGCTGCTGGGCCCTCTTCCTCCAGGAAGCCCTCATATGCTGCTGGGCCCTCTTCCTCCAGGAAGCCCTCACGCTGCTGGGCCTTCTCTCCGGCCACCTCATGGCAGCTGGGTCCTTGGCCCATCTGGTCCCTCCGGAAGGAACCGTCGAAGCTACCATGGCCTCGTCTTTCCACGTTCCACCTTCTCGGGTGCAATGAACAAGTGTGTAGATGCCACACATCCTCCTGGGGCCTGGCATCTTTGTCCAGAGGGCCCGAGGCAGCTCGGGGAAGGCCTTTCAAGTGCGTCTTGGGAAGCTCACGGCTGACCAGTGAGCAGGGCCTGGGTCCCACTCGGCCGTGTGATCTTGGGCCAGCCCCTCCCCGGCTCTGAGCCTCAGCTTCCCACAGTCTCTCTGACCCCCACTTCTGACATGTAGTGGATCTCTAGAGGGTTCTGAGGGTTCAGGTGTGGAATTGGCTGCCTCAGGCATAAAAACATTCCTGGGCTTCAACCTGGGATCCCACCTGGAGGACAGAGGAGAGATTTATTGCAGAGATGTTCATGCAGTGCCTCTTTAAATGTGGAAAGCTCGACGCACCAGCCGTGCTCCTGGGGTTGGGCGTTTGAATTGAGGAGTTGTGATAACATGACCTGCCGGACTCTCGTGTGGCCGTTCACAATGGGAGAAGCCTCTGTGGGCAGGTGGAGGCGGCCCACGTCCACACGCACACGGGAGCCCCTGCGAGCCAGGCCTGGCACAGGGTTGTCAGTATTTGCTGCCACGTTCTCTCTCTCTCAATTTTCCAGAACTTTGTTGAATGAGCACCCATTCCTTGTGCAATGGGCAGAAAATGTTTAAGTTACAAAACTTATCATCTGGCCAGAGTGACCCTAGCCTGGCTAAATTATCGCAACATGTTCTCCCCCAAAAGAGAGACATTTGCAAAATGCTCAGGAGGTCATGGGGCGGCCATCTGCCAGGCACATTTTATTTCCTCCATTTAAAAGGAGCAGAGCCGATTGAAGGGGAAGGAAGGGGTGTTCTGGAGATTGGGGTGCACAGGGGTGCTACAAGGCCAGCTTCCCCCACATCTGGCGTGGCTGATGAGAGCAACTTTGCTGCTGCTTTTGGGGCAGAATCCATCCTTGTATAGCCTCGGGCACATGGTTAGAATGCTGGGAGTATGATGCCTGGAAACAATACTATAAAGAAAGCAGGACTCAGTTCTCTCATCTAGAACCGGTGGCCCGTCGTTTTGCCGTTACAGATACCAGCAGTGTTTGTGACAAACCCTAATGGAACAGAAGCTCCCGGTGGGTGTGTGAATGGCCACGTGTCTGGCCGTGGCTTGCTTTTCCAGAACCAACTTGGTGGTTAGCAGTCGTTGCCAGCTGCCTCGTGTGAGCACCTACTGTGTGCCGGGCAAGCCGCTGGGAATTTCACGTCTGTTCATTTTCTCTTCACTGTGGCGTCAGATCACGGAGTAGGTGTAAATAGTTGCCTTTAGGATGTGAAGCTGGGGCTCGGAGAGGAGAGGCCAGCTTCTTGAAGACTGAAGAGCCTAGAAGATTCTGTGCAACCTGTGTGTGGCTCAAGAGCCTGTGCTTCTCCCAGGGGTGACAGCTCCCCCACTAGATGCCGTGTCCTTGGAGACTTGAACTCCCCCTGTGCTCTGAACACACCAGCTGCCGTGGTAGCCATCAGACGTCCCTACTGGAGCCATTTTGGCCCAAGAGAAGTGGCTGAGATGGGGATATGGCCCTGGTTTGTGCAAACTCAGGGAAACTCGGGGATGTGACCTCCTGCAGCTTTGCCGTGTGTTTTGACCTCTCCCAACTGCTTGGGTTTCTTTTTTTTTGGAGACAGAGTCTCACCCTGTCGCCCAGGCTGGAATGTGGTGGCGTGATCTTGGCTCACTGATACTGCCGCCTCCCGGGTTCAAGCAATTCTCCTGCCTTGGCGTCCTGAGTAGTTGGGATTACAGACGTGCGCCACCACTCCTGGCTAATTTTTATATTTTTAGTAGAGATGGGGTTTCACTGTGTTGGCCACGCTGGTCTCGGAACTCCCGACCTCAGGTGATACGCCCGCCGTGGCCTCCCAAAGTGCTGGGATTACAGGCATGAACCACTTTACCCGGCCTGCTTGGGGTTCCTTTGAGGCCTTGGACATCCGACAGCATTACTGAGGGCCGGATTTCAATCCTTTCCACAGCATCTTCACACGTAAATTGAGGGGCCCTTGGTATAACTGACCTGTGCATGGAGGATGTTTCTCCTACATGTGACCTTGGAGAGGGACCAGTTCACTGCTGAAGATAAGACGAGTCTGAATCCCTGGCTAGTCCTGGTCCCGGGCCTAGGCCCTGCAGCTTGGCCAACATCGGGGTTCCTGCAGGGCACTCAGAGCCTCCTGGGCTGCCCCCAAAAGTGTCTGCTCAGGTCCTGCTGGCCACATTTATTGCCACATCTCCCAGCCAGCCCCTGCAGCCTCCTCCCAGGCCCCTCCTGCCACAGGCCCAGGCTAGAGCTGGCGGTCAGTTGTATGAAAAGAGGTGGGGGAGGAATTTCTCCAGGCACTGGAGCTTGGAGTGACTTCTCCCATGTACTCGAAGCCCCCTGGGGGATTAGCAGTGGGTGCTGCTGTCCACTGAGTCCCACCATGCCCAGGCAAGGAACATCGTCTCTGACCTATGTGCAAATCCAAGAAGTTGGGTGTCATTGTCCCCATCTTACAGACAGAGAGACTGGGTCCCAGAGAGGCAAAGGAGCTTGTGCAGCATGACCAGGGGCAGAGCTGAGATGGGAACAGACCCTGTGGATGGACCTAGGGGTGCTTGTGGGCAGGGGCAGGGAAGGGGCTAGGATGGGGCTGGGGATCGGCCTCTGGGGCATTGTTCCCAGCCCCGTGTTCACTCTAATGGGTTTAGCACCAGCCTCGATGGGCCACGATCTGTGAAAATGGCCTAAGCTGGCCCTGTCCTGGGGGCCACACAGGGGTCCTGCAAGGAAGCACACCTCGGGGTGTGGGCTCAGAGCAGGGACAGCCTTGGGAGGCTCAGGCAGCCCCAGGGAGGAGAGCATTTTCCGATTTTTTAAAATCTCCGTAGGCAGGTAATGCAGCATTTGTCCAACTCAAGAACACAGTCACCAAAACCAGGCAGAGAGGAGGGGAGGTCACTGGGTGAGTGGTGGCAGGCAGGCTGCGGGAGCTGGTGCTGCTTGATGGGGCTCCTGTGTCTCCAAGCCGGGGAGCTGAAGCTCCCAGGGCTACACCTGCCCCAAAGCTGGTGCCCACTCACTTGTGAGGGCAGAAATCCCACATCTCTGGTACATCCAGGGCAGACGGGAGGTGGCCTGTGGGGCTGGGCCCTCGGCAGCTGCCCTGGCGCAGGGGGGTTCGGGCCCCACTAAAGGCTGCTCAGTCTCTCTCCACTTGCCACTGGGGGAACAGGCTTGTCCCGTCTCCCCTCCCCTCCCCTGGCTCCTGTAACCTGGAAGTCAGACTTTTGATGCTAACCTGGGTTCGAGATACATTAAATTGGGCTAGCTACAAAAAAGTGGGCCTCCGTGGCTGGGCCTGCCCTGGTGGCAGCCCTGTGAACCTGAGCGGGGGCATGCCATGCCAGTCCCCATGCTGTCTGGGGAGCTCCAGTCTGTGGTACTTTTCCTGGGGGGCCCCAGAACTCCTGTCTTGTCTGCTCCAGGTGAGGGCATTGGGGTGGTCCCAGCCAGCCCAGGGCGGCAGGTGAGGGCATTGGGGTGGTCCCAGCCAGCCCAGGGCGGCAGGTGAGGGCATTGGGGTGGTCCCAGCCAGCCCAGGGCGGCAGGTGAGGGCATTGGGGTGGTCCCAAGCCCAGGGCAGCAGGTGAGGGCATTGGGGTGGTCCCAGCCAGCCCAGGGCGGCAGGTGAGGGCATTGGGGTGGTCCCAGCCAGCCCGGGGCGGCAGGTGAGGGCATTGGGGTGGTCCCAGCCAGCCCAGGGCGGCAGGTGAGGGCATTGGGGTGGTCCCAGCCAGCCCAGGGCGGCAGGTGAGGGCATTGGGGTGGTCCCAGCCCAGGGCGGCAGGTGAGGGCATTGGGGTGGTCCCAGGCAGCCCGGGGCAGCAGGTGAGGGCATTGGGGTGGTCCCAGCCAGCCCAGGGCGGCAGGTGAGGGCATTGGGGTGGTCCCAGCCAGCCCAGGGCGGCAGGTGAGGGCATTGGGGTGGTCCCAGCCCAGGGCGGCAGGTGAGGGCATTGGGGTGGTCCCAGCCAGCCCAGGGCGGCAGGTGAGGGCATTGGGGTGGTCCCAGCCAGCCCAGGGCGGCAGGTGAGGGCATTGGGGTGGTCCCAGCCAGCCCAGGGCGGCAGGTGAGGGCATTAGGGTGGTCCCAGCCAGCCCAGGGTGGCAGGTGAGGGCATTGGGGTGGTCCCAGCCCAGGGCGGCAGGTGAGGGCATTGGGGTGGTCCCAGCCCAGTGTGGCAGGTGAGGGTGGGCCACATGGGATTTCCTAACCAGCCTGCAGGGGGATATCTCCGTGGGTGGCAGGCAGGGGGACCCAGGGTTATTAGAGTGGCTATCAGGACTCGCTGGGCCCCAGGGTGGGGGCTTTTATTTTGGCCCAGGCTGCTGGTGGGAGAGGTGGAGAGGGCGCCCCAGCCACCCTGATGACGGGCTCTGTGGCCTCAGTGCAGCCTCCTAAGGGTCAGGACAGCATGCAGCACAGCGCTTCCTGCAGGCTCTGTCCAAGAGGCAGGAGCAGCGGGCCTGCGCCGACCTCCCCTTGCTATCTATCACCTGCAGCTTCTGTGGGACCCCAGACCCCTCCCAGCCCTCAGTGGGCGTGGAGATTGTCACCATGGACCTGTTCCCATTTTCAGAGATGGGCTGATTATGGCACAGCCTCTGTGGGATGGGAAGAGGGTCGGGGTGGGGGTGCTGGCTGTAGGCTTTGCCCAGTGTGTGGCCAAGCACATCTGTGGGATGCCACCAGCAGGTCCCCCAGCCTCGGAAGCCTCATGAAACCAACTTGAGGCCAGGAGTGTTGCTGAGAAGGAGCCCCCCTAGCTAGTTAGCAGTGACCGGGTTGACTCCTGGCCCTACCCCCGTCCCTGACCCAGCACCACTCACACTCTCAGCTATCAAAGAGGAGAGTGGCCCCGGTCCTCAGGCGACAGGGTTTTGGGATGGCCACACTAGGCCACCCAGCCGGCCAAGCATTCTTGCAACCTGGGGTCCATAGGAGCTGGGAAGCCTGGGCCTGGGGAGGGTTCCAGGGGGTGTGGGAGAGAAAACAGTCTCCGGGGGCCTCAGTGCCCGAGGTGTGCAGCCGTGCAAGGCTGTGCAGCGCCCTCCCGCTTCAGGACCTGGACCCTACCTTCCTCCTACCCCCACTCAGGGCTCAGCATCCCACCTGAGTCTGGCCTAAGGCCCAGCAGAACCCCAGCTGTGGCATCAGACTTGGGCTGGGTTTGCCCTCGAATCCTCACCAATAGCGAGCGGTGCCCGCCTGCCAGCCTGACTTGAGGCAGGATGGGGAGGGGAAGGAGCGGGCCTCTGGGTCACCCTGGGCGAATGCCGGCTCCTGGGCCTTGATGTTCTCCTGCAGTCAGTCTTGGGGTGTCTCTCTCTGTGGCTCACAGTGACCACTTGAGTCACCTCTTCGGAAAGAACCAAAGTCCCATTTGTACCTTGTAAGTCCCAGATATTGGATGTCATTCCAGGAGTGATGGGGGATGAGTGGGGCACTTCCCAGCATCCTGGGTGCCAGGCACTATGTGCTGGGCCCAGGGACAAAGCCACATAAGACATGATCCATGCCATGGAGCTACCAGGCCTGGGGAGAGATGGGCATTGCAAGTATCTGTGAGCTGATTTCAAGAGACCCCCAGTTTACTGCTAGAGCTAGGGAGATCCCTGATTGAGGAGGGCTCCCTGGAGGAGGTGGCCTAAATAATGGGTAGGAATGGGGCCTTTGATGGTGGGAGAACACTCCAGCCCTCGGGAACAGTGGGTGCCAAGGCAGGGCTGAGCGAGGGTGGCAGGGACTTCTTTGAGCACTGAGGTGGAGAGACGGTGCTCTGCTGTGAGCCAGCACCCCAAGCCCCACTGGCCCTTCCTCTGTGGACACTAGAGGACATCCACGTCCACAGCTCGCGTGCAGGAGCCAGCGGGTGGGGTTTGATTTTGGGCGTGCGTGTCAGGCAGGAGCGGAGGCAAAGGCAGAGGCCGTCCTCACAGCCCTTTGTCTCCCAGGAAAGTTCTTAACCTCAGGCCTCGCCGGGTTGGGCCCACCTGCAGGAAGTTGTGAGGGGTCCCTGAGGGGTGGAGGGAGAGGCCACCTTCACTCCCTCCCCAGTCTTCAGCCACCAGACCTCCTGAGCTGACTTCCTGGTCTCCTTGTGTCTTGCAGAATGTGGCCCCGTCCCAGAGCACCACCCGAGACATCAGGAGCCCATCGTGGGCTAGGGAAGATCCTCCGGGACCTAACGGCCCAGGTAGCTGCGTCTTTACTCCCCGCCTGGGCAGGGAAGGACTCACTCCAGTCACAAGCAGCCTGGAGATGGATGGTTTGGCAGAGAAGGGGAAACCCCAGCACCAACCCAGCCCCAGGCCCCACCTTGCAGCCAGGTCTGCCCTGCCCAGAGTCCTCGAGGGGCTCAGCCTGACCCTGACAGGTAGAAGAGACCCCACTCCAGGCCCAGAAGTGAGGGAGTAGAGCAAAGGGTCCCTGGCCTACTGTGTGACCACTACCTGCCGCCCTGCCCAGTGGGACAGGGATGCCCCGCACCCAGCCTCCTCACCATCCAGGTGGCCTGGGGGCACCCAAGGCTTCGGGCAGCCCCTGAGCTGGGCCCAGGTCTCATGGCGGTCTCAGGGCAGGCAGGGTGAGAGCTGACAGGGAACAGATGAGGGAAGAGCACCCCACACACCCGGGGGTTCCACCATAAGACTTCCTCAGCGTTTCTCTTTCCTTCCAGGTCTTCCACCCTTGGCCACCTCCCCAGGTGATGCCTGAAGCTCAAGGGACTGTGTCCACCCTCAGGTCAGTACAGTTTGTGAATGTTGATGAAAATTGGGGCTCCCCACATCCCTCCCTTCTGGCTCCACCCTCTGCCGGGCGTGCCTGAAACTGGACACACACACACACACAGCACACACGTGTATATGCACCAGCCCCAGAGCTCTGGGGGCCAAGGAGCCAGGCAGGTGCTTGCTGCCCATTGGCACGGGCTCAGCTGGATCTAGCCCGGCCTCCTGCTCCTTGCCCCTACCAGCCTCTTTCTGCGGCCACCAGCCTCTTTCTTTCTGCAACTGAGGGACCAGGGCTCCAAGCAGCTGGGTTTGGTCCAGGTCTGGCCCTGTTTTTTGGGCTCCCTTCTGCCTGAGTTGGGTGACACTCCTGTTTGCAAGGATCCAGCTGTCTCAAGGGCCCTGGGAGGGGAGGCCAGGGGCAGCCTAGGGGACCAGTGACTACAGGGCAATTTGCAGTACCTGCTGGGGGCTCAGCAGGTAAGATGTCCCCTGCCTGCTGCTGTCTGTCATGGCTGTCTGGTGGCCATGGCCGGGGGCGGGCTTGTCATGCTGGGAACTGCTCAGAGGCTGCGGCCAGCCTGAGGCCCCTCGCCCTGGCGAGCCAGCCCCCGAGTGCAGACTGTCGCCGATGATTCTTGCCTCCTGGGGCATCCGTGCGGCCATGTGGGTTGGGCAGGACTGGCATTCTCCCCTCCCCACCGTTGCCATGGCCAGGGGCGGGCCCACCTCCCGAGGCTGTGCGGAGAGGACCCCAGGCTGCTGCATGTGAGCAGAGCAGCCGGTGTCTGGCCCGGACCCCTCTGCCATCTGGGGCCCGGCGTGTTTACAGGTCGGCCTTGCCCGCCAGACTCTGCAGACGCTGCCCCGGGGCCTTTGTGTCTGCACGCAGGGCTGAGCCACCAGCCGAGCGGAGAGTGGGGAGGGACACAGGTGGGGAGTAGGGGGAGGCCCCTGGGGGAATCAGGGAGGAGGGGCAGGACAGAAGAGAAAGGGGATGAAGGGTAACAGAGGAAGGAGAACAGCGTGGGGACAGGAGAGGGGCAGGGACTGGGGAAGAGGAGACACAAGGCAGGACAGGGCAGGGCAGCCCTTGGAACTGTGGGGCTGTCACAGGGATACCAGCCTGGGGGAGCAGCTAACCCCAGGCATCTGACAGGGACCTAGTGGGTCTTGGCCAAGGCGATCTGGTCAACGGAACTGGGGTTTTCCTGGCACCCACCATAAGCCCAGGCCTGCCCGTGGGACCTCATCCCACCTGTACCCAGCCCTCCCTGTATACACAGCTGGCCACCACCTAATGTAATCCCTCTGACATCCCACAGGCAGCAGTGTTGGTCTCTAGGGTCCAAATGAAACAGACCCCACAGGCGTGTCCCTCACACAGGACTGAGCATGGAATGTGCCCCTCCCTGAGTCTCTGACTCCCAAGCCTGGACTGACATGTCCAGGGAGGCTGCAAGGGTGTGTCCCCTGGATCATGGGCAGGGGGCACCGTGTGCAGCTGCTGAGGCTCAGGATGTGTGGGAAAGGGCCTGGAGTGGAGGAGAAGAGGCCTGCAGGGGAGTGGACAGTCCAGGGCTGGGACCAGCACCCCAATATGCATGATCCGTGGAAGATGAGGCTGGTCGCACACAGAAGGTGCTTACTCAGTGCTCGTCAGATGCCAGATGCTGGCGTAATCACCACAGGGGTCACACACCCTCCGTTAGGACCACCAGCAAGGCAGGGCCACCGTCCCACACTGTTCTTGCAGAGACGGAGACTGGGGATCAGGAGCCTGGCCCTACTCTGGCCTGCAGCCTTGGGGGCTGCTGGGGCTGTGGAGGGCCTCTGGGGTGCTGGCTTGGACTGGGGGAGCCATTGAAGGTCCATGGGGACCGGGACTCCTTCAGCAGCGTTTGTTTTTTAGCTGACTCAAAACTGCTCCCCTTGGAGGCCTTGGCCCAGGATGGGGAAGCCTCAGCCGGGCAGGTCCCTCGGCCTTGCCCACCTCTCATGGGCCTCACGCTCAGGAGGTGGCATCCTGCTGGCCACACCATGGCATTAGCCCCGTGCCTCACCCACACTTGGTGGCAATAACAGGAGCCACAGCCCCAACCAGAGCCGGCGGCCGCGTGGCCCCCTTGATACCCGGCACTGGCTGGTTTTCTGAAGGGACTCGTTCCTGTTCTGGGTACCCTGGGTTCTGGCTGATGGAGAGGCCGCCCTGTCCTTCAGGAGTGGGTGCAGATGTGGGTGCATGGGAAACCCAGACGTGAGACGGGTGATGGCTTGGCACCCCATGGCAGAACCATGCTGAGAAGCCACATCGGCCAGCTCCAAGACTGCCTAATGGACCTGGCATCCACAGCCTGAGAATGGGCCCCGGGGGACCACAGTGTGACCTCAGCAGCCTCTGCAGATGGTGGAGTGGCACTTTTTCTTCTCCCGAGAGGTTGAAGGGCATCAGCAGCGGCCCCAGGTGGCCTCCACATGCAGGTCGAGGGGACAGAGGTTTGTTCTCATGTCAAATACCCAGACGCCTTTTTAAATTTTTTTTAATGTTTTTATTTTCTATTTTTTTGGAGACGGGAGTCTCACTCTGTCTCCCAGGCTGGAGTGCAGTGGTGCGATCTCGGCTCACTGCAACCTCTGCCTCCCGGGTTCAAGTGATTCTCCTGCCTCAGCCTCCAGAGTAGCTGAGATTACAGGTGCCTGCCTCACACCAGGCTAATTTTTGTATTTCTAGTAGAGACGGAGTTTCACCATGTTGGCCAGGCTGGTCTTGAGCTCCTGACCTCAGCTGGTCTGCCCGCCTTGGCCTAAAGTGCTGGGATTACAGGTGTGAGCCACTGCGCCCAGCCTGATGCCTTTTTATACCCAGACAGAAGCAAGCAAGCCCTTACAATGGCCCTGCATTTGATCTTTCAGTCCTGCTGAAAATGCAGATGCTTCCTGACTTGCAGTGGGGTTTGTCCTGAGAAACCCACTGTAAATTGAAAATATTGTAAGTCAAAAAAGCATTTAATACACCTAACTACCAAACATCATATCTCAGCTCAGCCTCCCTGAAACGTGCTCAGAACACTTATGTTAGCCTCTAGTTGGGCAAAATCATCTAACACAAAGCCTATTCATGATAAAGTGTTGAAGATCTCCTGTTATTTATTCAACACTGTACTGAAGTGTGGTTGGTTTCTACTGAATTCATATCCCTTTGGGTTGAGAAATCTTAAGTTGGATCCTGGTAAGTCGGGGCTGTCTTTATGGACAAAATGCAGAGTGATGGCCCTCACGCGGCACCTCCCTGTTGGCTTTGAGCAGCACTCTCTGTCTGGGAGAAACTTTAGTGAGCATGAAGTTGAGCCCTCACCGTGATGAGGGATGGGACAGGGTGCAAGGACAGCCACCTGCTGTTGCAGGTTTCACCTGGGTGAAACACCTTCTTGATTCGGTTCAGATTTGTTAGGAGTTCCTGTGGGCCAAGCCCTGAGCCAGTCACATGGAGTCATCCCTCTTCCTGATGGCCCTGCTGAGTGCCCCTCCCCTGAGGCTCCCAGAGCCCACGGGGCTTGCCCTGGCCACCAGGCTGGCATACAGCAGAGCAGGGCCCTGGCCCCAAGCTGCCCCGCAGTAGAAACACCTCTGGGTTCCATGAACGTTGTCTCGCCAAGGTGTGGGGCCACCAGATCCCTCAGGGGCGGGGAAGGTCTGGGGTCTGGGCCGAGCCTTCCGAAGTCTGGCTGTGCAGTGGGTTCAGGCCCTGCCACTCAGACCCTTGCCGGGATGGTGCCGGGGTGGGCCAGGCCCCCAGCCCCAGTGCTCCTGGCAGTGGCCAAGGCTGCTGCCTCCTCAGCTCTGGCTTCCCTCCCTGGCCTGGTTGGTTGGGCACCTGGCCTCAGGCATGGCCCAGGCTGGGGGCCTTGCTCCCCACACAGTAGTGAGCTGAAAGCACTGCCATGTCCAGCTCTGGGAAGGAGCAGGCTCCCAGTTCATCCCGCAGCCTCGTGTCGCTGCTCCAGCTGTCCCGGGTACGACGTGCCCTTCTCCAAAAACACCTCACCCACCCAGCTGGGCTGGCCTCGAGAACTGGGGAGTCAGAGGCCCTTGGCTGTCCCTGAAAAAGGAAAACGGGCCTCCTGATGGGGGCTTCCTGGGCTCACCCAACACAGAAGGACCTCCTAGTGCCCGTGCGCCGGCAGGTAAACCTCTTTGGGTCCCCGTTCCCTCATCCCTGAAACATGGGGAGCACAGTTGCTCCTGCGCTGGCTGTGGCTGTGGGGGAAGGAAGAGCCGCTCCATTCCTGCGTTTGATCAGGTTGTCACGAGGACTGAGTGAGTCACCAGGTGTGAGGGGCTTTGGTGGGTGTGTCACAGTGGCAAAGCATTCACACCGGCCAGGTCCCCAGCTGGGAGCATGTGCCCAGGAGCCTGCGGTGTGCAGCTGGTCTAGCCCCACCGTGGAGCAGCCACGTGGGAGAGGCCCCGGGAACAGGCGAGGTGGCTGTGCCGTTCACACCCAGAGAGTCGTCAGGGCAACTGGTGACACGGTGATGGGGACAGTGGCACCTGCCCTTGATGCTGCCCTGTGTCACCCAGGCAGCCCCCACCCCATGAACACTGTGCAGGCTTTTCCCTAATTTCATTCTTGTTTTTTGATGAAGGCCCTGCCCGTGGCTCTGGATCGGCGGTCCCCATCAGAGGCCTGGGCTGAGTCCTCAGGTGTGTGAGTACCATCTTCCCCTGACCCGGCGGCCCCACAAACACCCCTCTGCCAGCCACAGCTCGGCCGCCCTGGGCCTTGGCCTCCCAGTCTGTGCAGTGGGGTTGGTGACGATCACAGGCTTCTGCTCTGTGCAGGTCGGGAGGGAGTGCCATGTGGCTGCACCCCCAGCCCAAGAGCAGCCTCGCTGCTGGACCTTTGGGTTCCCAATAAGATCTGGTGAAGACACATGGAGACCACTGCTGGGCGGGGGCAGGAAGGCGTCCCTGTGGCACCCTGGGGCCGCCCATCTGTTGGATCTGGAGGTGCTGCCTGCCAGGCTCTACTCTGCATCCAGCGAGTGTTTGTTGGGGGCAATGGGGCCCGTGCCTTTTGTCCAGAGGAGGCCGGAGAAGGGGACACAAGAGGGGAGTGGACAGACGGTCACCAGGCAGATAAGCAGGACGGGGCTCGGGGCTTGTTTGGGAAGTGGCTGGTGCTGAGCTTGGCTGGGGCAGGGCTCCAGGAGGGGCCGAGTGGGCCCCACCCCCGACCCTTGTCGGCAGGGCCCCGAAAGTTCCACGCTGTTGGGGGGGTGCCGTGGAAGGTGGAGCGGGGAGCAGCCTCCGATCCCTGGAGCAGGTTCCCCAGCGTTCCCGTGGCAGCCACTTCATGGCACAGTGGTCCCCGGAGTTCAGGCCAGGCCCTCGAGCCGCCTGTCTGGGGACCACTCCAACCTCAGGCAAATGAGGGGCGGCCCTCCCCGGGTCTGGGGGCAAAAGAAGGTTTTGAATCCGGAAGCCCAGGCTCAGTAGGCCCTTGCCACCTCCCCCAGAGGTCATGCCTCAGGCTAGGCCACCTGGGCTGCAACATGGGAGGGCATCAGTGCCCCAGGCAGCCCCCAGTCCCCCGGGGCCACTGCAAGACCCTTAGACGGGACGACAAGGCCTCTAGAAGCCCCGGCTGCTGGGAGCCTAGGCAGAAGAAGGGCCCACCTGCCTGTCTCTGGGGCCGTGCGCGGGGCGGGCACTGTGCTGCTTTTCCGGTGGCTCCTGCTCCTCCCGGCCCCATCACCACTCCCACCCGCGGCGGCCTTTGTCTTCCAAGCGCTCTGCAAAATGGCCGCCCGGCCTGCCGCCATTTTGTGGCTGAGGTGGCCGTGGCCTTGGAGAGGCCTGGGAGGGAGGGCGGCCATGGCCTGCCTGCCTGCCCTTGGCGGCCTGGACAGAGCCCAGCGCCGGCCCCCGCCCAGTCTGGCCTTGGCCGTGGCTGCCCCAGGCTTGGCACCAGCCAGCCTTTGGCAAGGCAGCCCGGGAGTCCTGGCCCCTCACCCAGCCCTGCCGGCCCCTCGCCACCCTGAGGCAGCCCTGCTGAGCAGACGGAGAAGCCTTGAGCCAGGGCCGGGCCAGTACAGCCTCGCTGGCGGGGGAGCCCTGGGCCGAGGGCAGCTCAGGCGGGTGTGGGGCCCACCTGGGCTCCCGGCACCTCTGCAGGGGTGACGCCTTCAGGCCTTGACGGCTGCACCTATCGCGCTCCTGGCCTGGCCCGGCCGGGAGTGGGTCTCTCAGTGGCCGGCCCAACTTCTGGCTTAGAGAGGGGCACCGCCATCCTCAGGAAGAGGGCAGGGCCGCACTCTGGCCAGGATTTCCCTGTGTTGGGGCCAGCCAAAGTCTCTGACACACAGGAGTGGAGGACCTGTTCCCTCCTGGGCCCCTCCACAGCCCCCACTCTCCTGCAGGCCCCATCCCCGCAACCTCAGCCATTCCAGACAGCATCTCCCTCCCCACCAGAGCCCCTCGGCCTCTCCTGAGCCTCTGAGCTTGCTTCCTGCCCCGTCACAGGCCCATGCACCTGCCCTTCCAGTAGCCAGAGGATCCCAAGTGGCACATTTCCGAAGGGACGGTCTCCAGGAACCCCCAGGGGCCAGGGTGGCTGCAGAGCAGCATCAGGGAGATGCTGGGTGTTGGCCGTGGAGGACAATTGTGCCCCTGGCCAGGCGGGGAGGGGGCAGGTGGACCCTGTGGGAGCCCTGTGGGAGCCCTGTGGGGTTGGCCACACATCGGTTCCTGCTATCCTTGCAACAAGATCCCCTGGAGGGCAGTGTGCCTCCTAGAAGAAGGCAGGAGAAATCACCACGTGAAGCAGAGAATGGCGTTTGATGAGTGTGTGCTTTTTCTAGGGGTCGACGCAGGTCCTCTGGGCAGCATGGGGTGGTGCCGGGTGGACCCCACGGTGGCCTGTGTTCGCCACGTGGCCGTGGGTCAGTTCCTCGCTGGAGGAGACCCTTCCCCAGACACCTGCCGGGCACCCAGCCAAACCCTTGAGGCCTGGGAAGGTCTCTGGATGCCACCCTACACCCCGCCCAGACTCCTCTCCCTGTGGTTCCTGGACAGAACATTCCGTCACCACGAAACGAAGTTTGCCCAGGCCCTGCCTTCACCCTGGGAAAACCCAGCCGGGCATGGGAAGGAGGAATGCTGCCCGCCTGCCCGCCCAGACCAGAGTCGCCCCACATGCCAGGCCAGGCCCGCATCCTCCTGGGGCACACGGGAGCCCCAGGCTTCCCGGCAGGAAAAGCCCCCCACCGCAGAAGGGCTGGTCTCTGGTGGGGAGTTGCTGCTGGGTGGGGTGACCACAGGGCGGGGTTCAGGCTGGGGTATTTTTAATGATGTAGTTGCATCTGGTCACCGCCCCCTGCCACCCCCGATTCTTTCCTGCCCTCCCCACCTTGTGACCCAGACTGTGGCTTGAATTAAGAATGTTTTCAGATAAGTACACGCCTTTGAGGTTAAAAGTATGCCTAATGATTAAACACCAGACAGAGATCCCCACAGGAGAAGAGCGGGCTCCGCATTCCTGCTTTTCCCCTTTGGACTCCAAGCAAGCCTGTTTGCGTAACCCGGGAGCATTAAAGAGCAGCTTCCCCGGATTCTCCCCACAGCCCTGGGGGCTGGCGTCCTGACCCATCATACGGAGGAGGCAGCTGAGGCCCAGAGGGGTTAACCTACCCCATCCCAGGCCCATCACTGAGGGAGACAGAGCAGGTCAGAACCAAGCCTGGCAGCCCCCAGGGCTGTGCCCCATGGACGCAGGTGTGTCTGCAGAGCAGGGTCCTCCCCTGCCAGTGCCAGCCCTCAGGTGTCTCGGGTGCTGCGTTACTCTTGTGAGCTTCCACGCTGACACCTGTGGCCACAATGTTGGTGTCTGCTGGACCTCTGGCCCTGTTCTAGGTGCAGGACATGTGGCCACAGCAGGCCTGGCCCCTGCCCCAGGGAGTGGACATTCCCTGAGCCTGCCCCCCACCCCCACTGAGAACTTAGTGGCTATGAGAGAACAGGAAAGCAGGAAGCTAGACAGGGCACAGACCCCCGACGGTGGAGACCCTGACCCGGAGCACGTGGGTGTCAGTTTTGGGGAAGCCAGACAGGGAGGGTGCTAACAGGAGGGCCAGTGAGGGGACCTTGGGACCCCAGACAGCCCTGGAAGGAAGGCAGCCCTGGAAGGAAGGCAGCCCTGGGGTCCGGGCCACGCTCCATCCTGGGGGCACCCCCTTCCCACCTGCGTGCAGTGTGCAGGGCCGGGGGAGGAGCCTGGATCTGAGGAGTGCAGTTCCAGTTGTGGCTTTGCCGCGGCGTCCCCATGGCATGCTGTTGGGGACCGTGAGACTGTGGGCGGCCTAGCTGTATTGCAGCCTGAGGCCAGAGGAGAGGTCAGTAACCCTTACCCGTCCCATCTTGATTTAAGTTTGATATTTTTAGATCATGGACGTTTCTGCATTGATTTTCTTTTTTAATTTTGCAATCAGATATTTCTGCTGATGGCTGGGTTTTTGGTCCTTTTAACATGCTTCCCACACCTCGCCCTGGTCCCTGCCCTGCTGCGGCCGAGCCAGAGCCGCAGGCTGCCCCGTGTGTGTCTCGTTAGCTTTCTGGGCCGTGTTTGCAGGAGGCCCGCCTCCCGTCCTAGCCCCCGGACGCCACCCCTCCCTGTCTTTTTCCCAGATCCATTGTTGGCACGGCTTGCTGAGCAGAGACACTGGCCGCTTTATGGGGAGAAACCCAATCAGGGTGGCGGGGGTGTGCTCCTTGGGGGGGTCCGGCTCCCAGTGGCCCTGAGCCAAGCCCGAGGTGACTTCGGGGTGACACCGTCTGTCTGCCTCACTTGCTCCAGACATCCGCCCGGCCCTGAAATGGCCACCTGCCCACCGAGGCCTCCGCACACCTGTCCTGGCTGGCCCGGCCCCTCCCCCGCCTGGGCCTGCCGGGCACCCTGCCCACGGGCAGACACCGTGGGGCCGGGGCAGCGCCCGGGAGGTGGCAGCTGGCAGATGGCAGAGCGCCTGCCGACTGCTCACTCCCCGTCAGCTCTGCTCAAGGAGCACCGTTTACGCTGCATGGCCCTCCCAGCCCTCATCCAGGCTGGCTGCGAAGGGTTTCTCTGGTCTGTCTCAGGAAGCCTCCTGAGAAAGGGGAGATTCCTGCTGTCTCCCCAGGCCTGAGCCCCATGCTCACCCCCAGGGCTGCCAGGTAGGTGGGCCTGGAGATCACCCCCGCACACACCCCACAACACGTGCAACTGGCCTTCTCCCCACCAGCTCAGAAATGGCTCCATGAGTGGGTCACGAAGCTGAAACATCAGTCTTTCCCCACCCCACACCCCAGAAAGCCCTGGTTGTCGGCTGGAGTTCTCCTGATTGCGTGCAGATCCTCCTGCGGTGGGGGTGGAGCCCGCTGAGGTCACAGCATCTGTGTCCTGGTCCTGTGGAGCACAGCAGGGTTGGGTGTGCAGGAAATGTGTCCATACACCCTCCTCAGAGTCCCCCGGAGCGGGCACTGCCACATTCAGGCTCCCTGACCACTGCAGGCCTGGGTGGTCCAGATGCGAGTCCTAGAGCCTTGCGGGCAGAGCTGGGACTCACCAGGGAACACAGGGCCCTCAGGGGAAAGGAGCAGGAAAAAGCAGGGTGGTTGTGCCTGGCAGAGGGACAGGCCAGGGCAATGCTGGGAGCAGAGGCCTGCCCGGGACACTTGCTGCTCTGGGAGGCTGGAGGGGGAGCCCGGGCTGCGGGCATGCTGGGGAGGGGCAGAGACAGTAGAGAGGGTGTCAACAGTGGTAGACGGCCTAGCTGGCTGGGAGCGTGGGCAGGGCTGGTGCTCAGGGAGGAGGAGGGAAGGGCACCCCCCACCCAGTGTCCCCACAGGCCCCTCAATAGCCTGGTGGGTGACTCTCCCGGTCCCCAGCAGGGCTGCTCTTGCTCGAGGTCACACGGTACAGGGCTGCAGGGAACCACGGTATGTCTGCTCCCATCCAGCGTCTTGGGCTCAGCCCCGGGGACCCACATCCCTTCCTGCCTGGATGCACCTCCCTGGCCTTTGCACCCCGTGCGCACCCTGCAAGGGCACTCCTGCCAGAATGGGCTGGCGTGAGGTGAAGTTTTCATTCACTGGACAAGACCTTGCCGAAGCCCTGCAGCCCCAGACTGGATGCTGTGGGCCCCTCCCGGGGGTTTCCGCTCGTGGGAGAACCCCAAGCCTTCCTCGTCCTGGGTCCCAGGGGAAGCCACAGCCCCCCTGGACCCTCAGCATCCTCCTCGGTGCAATGGGGGCTTAACCCCTCCCTCCATAGTCCAGCCACCTGCTGACAGGCCAGGCACCCGGGAAAGCAGCACCAGGCTGTCCCCCCTGTGCATCCTGCTGCCCTCCTCTGGGCCCTAGAGCATCCAGGCACCAGCCTGGCAGGGCACAGGCTTCCCAGCAGGGGGACATGACCACTGACCACTCAAGGACAGGCTTGGGTCTTGGTCCCCTCTGACCTGGCATTGTCCAACACAGGGCTGGCCACGGAGGCCATTCCACATTCCATCCAGGCCCTTACAGGGGTGGGTGAGCCACTAGGCGAGAGACGGGCCAGGCTGGAGTGTCGGTTCTGGTGCGGGACGGCTGGGCAAGGCCCAAGGTCACAAAGGGGTTCAGAGCTGGGTAAGGCCACGTCTCTTCCAGAGCTGACACTTGTCACTTTTGTTTTTAAAACCCAACAGGTCAAGAAGTGGCGCTGACCTGGAGCCCCTGCCTGGGGCTGGCCTTCCTCACAGTGAGCTGGGCCTCCTGCCATCCTGGCTCTGGAGGTAGGAGGAGCCGTGGGAGGTCTGATAGGGAGGGAGGGCTATCTCAGAGCCAGGCCACTCCCGGTCCTCTCCAGGCCCCACCCTCAGGCACAGAGGTCCTTAGGTGGGGACTTGATGGTCTCACAGCCAAACCTTCGCCCAGGCTGTGGCCTCCCCTGAAGCCATGTCTCTTCTTGTCTTCCCGCCACTCTTCCAGCAAGCTCCCCCCGTTGGCCCACCTCATCTGCCCACTGTGCACTTGGGGCATGGTGATCTTTGACCCTGGTGGTGCACCCCTCAGGCTGGACAGGGCCTGAAGGAGCCGTGGTTCATTGCAGGGCGTCTGAGTGGAAGAGGCTCAGCCTCACCTCCACACCCTGAAGACTCACTCTCTGGCCCTGGGCTCTGTTGTGTGCACCGCCTGTCTGCAGGGCCCAGCCTGCCTCGAGCACTCCCTGGGGACAGAAGCTCCTGCGCTGGCCTCTCCTGTCACCTAGCCACCGGGCATCCTGGAGTGCAGCCCTCATGCCCCGAGGCCACCTGCCATCGCCCAGGATGACTCAAGATGCCACCTGGGTAAGTCTAGCCCAGAACGAGAAAGGCCGAATGAGGGAAACTGAGTCACATCTGCTTCTCCCAGGTGGGGCTGGGGGCCCAGGGGGAGGGCACTTGTGGTGACGACCAGGGTGGACTAGGGGCCTGTCTCCCATTCTGTCTCTGCCACACGTTATAGAGCCCGACCTGTGGGCTGGGTCCCCCCATGGTGAGCACTGTAGGCTCTAGGAGGCTGAAGTCCTGGCCTGGGGGACCTGTGGGGGCCAGGCTGGGGCCATTGGAATCAGTATGGTGGTCCCCACCTGCACTCCAGCTCCGATGGCTGATGACGGGGGCCCTGGCAGCTGACCCCTTGCCTCAGTGGGGAGACCACGGCTCACGAGGGCATGAGACCTGCCCAGAGCATAGCCCAGAGGCCGGCCTGGATTCTCACAGCTCCGCCCACTGGGCTGTCCTGCCCCACCCCCTTTTTAGCCTGCTGGGACCATGAGTCAGAACCCAGTAGGTGTGAGGGGACCCAGCCAGCCCAGGTGGCCAGTCCAGCCTGAGGGGGTGGGGGTCTCAGAGATTAAGTCAGGAGCCCAGAGTGCGTGCTTAGGGTGCAACCCACCCCACAGCCTCCCCCAAGGCACCTCCCGGGGGTGCAGATGGGGGCAGACGCAGGGACACTCAGGGTGGACCACCTGACTGGGAGCTGATCATGAGGTGTGCGACAGCCTGAGTCAGCCTCAGCTCAGAGGAGCTGGGATGGCCTTGATCTTCCCCCTCCGGCCACTCACCACAGCTGGGAGGGTCCAAGGAGACCCTCAGCCACTGTCCCTTCAGCCCTCACCCCACCCTGGCTGGCTCTGCCCGGACAGTCCTTAGGGACATCTTGGTCCTGCCCACCAGCCAGGGGACCCAGAATTGGAGCAGGGGAGCAGGACCCCCAGACCCTCTCATACCGCTTTTGTTCTGAGGCCTTGAGGGAACACGGGGTCTTCGCGACCCCAGGCGAGATGATGCTGGGACAGAGGAGGGTCGGGCTGCATCGGGGCCCTCCTGGTCCCCACTCCTGGGTGAGTCAGCATCTCAGTCTCCAGTTCTGGGTGGGCGGCACCAGGTGTGAGCCTCAGCGGTCTCCTTGCTGGCTAAGGACCTGGGATTTGCTCCAGTGCCCCTCGGGAGGGAGTAGGACACGTGCCCAGAGAGCAAGCAGACCCCCTCCCCGACCAACTTCTGAGAGCAAAGACACCTAGAGCTAGAGATTCAGCACCCCCTGAGCCTCAGTTTCTCCACTATGAAGTGGGATCCGTGATCTCAGCCTTACCAGGGCTGTGAGGATTAAATGGTCCAGCCCAGCCTGGGGCCTGCCTGGAGTAGGCAGCCTGCTCAGGATGGGCTGTGGAAGGAGGGCTGGGGTAGACCTTTCAAGTCCACTTGGGCATGGGGAGCTGAGAGCTAGCATGCCGTTTAACTTGGCAGGAAGCAGGCCGGGCGCAGTGGCTCATGCCTGTAATCCCAGCACTTTGGGAGGCTGAGGCGGGCGGATCACGAGGTCAGGAGATCAACACCATCCTGGCTAACACGGTGAAACCCCCTGTCTACTAAAAATACAAAAAATCAGCCGGGCGTAGTGGCGGGCGCCTGTAGTCCCAGCTACTCGGGAGGCTGAGGCAGGAGAATGGCGTGAACCCAGGAGGCGGAGCTTGCAGTGAGCCGAGATCGCGCCACTGCACTCCAGCCTGGGGGACAGAGTGAGACTCCATCTCAAAAAAAAAAAAAAAAAAAAAAAAAAAAGCTTGGCAGGGAGCAGGACATTTGGACCTCACTCTGCTGCCCCCTTGGCTGTGTGACATCCAGGTCACGTTGCCTCTCTGGGCCTCGGTCTCCTCACCTGTTTAAGAGGGGTTGACAGTCGTATCTGCCCCCTCAGCTTTTCCCCAGGAAGGTGGTAGCCACAATTAGCATTTGTTGAGGCTGACCCTGCACCAGGCCCAGGATAGGCGGGGCTTAGGGAGGCCCGTCTCTCGCCACGTTCCCCTGCTAGGGGAGCCCCGAGGCCCTCTCAGTGTCATCCTCATGCTACACTCTGTCCCAGCCCTGTGCGTCCCAAGCTAGGGCACTGAGTGTGCCAGCACCCGCAGGGACAGGCACTGGACCCTGGGTGGACCTGAGGGTCTGTGACTACCCCCCCAGCTGCTCTCCCCTAGAGGCCACTTCCCTCAAGGAAGGAAAGAACCTTCCCGCCACCTCCTGCAGTGCGGTCAGCTCAGGCCAGCCTGCACAGCAGGGCCAGAACCAGGGCCCCTGGGGAGGGATGCCTGCCTGCCCAGTGGGAGGAGACGGCACGCCCGTGAAGCCGCTACTCAGCCAGCCTGGGGGCCACGAGTGCTGCTTCTGGTGGCGCTGTGCGGGGAGGGAGGGGGCCGAGCAGGGTGGGCACTCGCATGCCTGTGTCTTGCTGGCCTTCGACAGATGACAGCCCTCCTCCTAGGGTCTCCAGTGCAGAGTTCCTTGGGGACATTATGGCCACTCCTGTCCAGATGAGAGGGAGCCGGCTGCCTGTGACAGCGTCGCAAAATGCCGCCAGGGCTTTCCCTCCCTCCTCCTTTCTCTCTTCCTCGTCCCTCTCTGGTTGGTGGTTTCCTGCAGGCTCCCGTCCCTGCTGGTGCTGGCCACAATGTCCCCACTCCCAGGGTTTCGGCGTCCCAGCCCCCTGCGCCCACCGCGCCTGCCCGCCAGAATCCCTGTGCCCTTGGTGCGTGTGGCCTGCCGAGCCTCGAGCCCCTGTTCTCCTCAGCCCTCTTTCCTCCCGCGTCCCCAGGAGGTGCCTCTGGAAGCCACGGAGTCCCATCGGCACCAAGACCGACTGCCCTTTGGGGTGAGGTAGTAGGTTGTATAGTTTGGGGCTCTGCCCTGCTATGGGATAACTATACAATCTACTGTCTTTCCTGAAGTGGCTGTAATATCTGCGGTGGACAGAGCGTCTGGAACCCTGGCTGGGAGCGGGCAGGGCCAGGTTTGGGGGCAGCCTTGGCAGCAGTCGGGGGCAGGGGCCGCCTACACTGAGAAGTCTGACAGGCCTAGGTGCCACTTGCTGTGTGACCTTGGACAGGCCCCTGATCTCTCTGGGTCTCAGTTTCCTCCTCTGTAAAATGGAGGCAAATGAGGATGGAAGGAGATGCAGTGTGGAGCATCGAGGGCAGAGGAGAGCTGAGCCGACCCCACCCTCTGCCCCAGCCGCACTGAGAGAGGCGATCCACGCAGCTGTTTGTCTGACCTCTGTCTCCCAACACTCCCCAACACTCCCCCCGCCATCAGGCCCAGGCTCATGGGTGGCCCTGAGCCGTACCCTCCACTGAGCACCAGGAGAAGGCACCGTGGGGCCAGGGGTGGCCGAGACGTTTGGAGGTCACAGGGCTGCGAGTATTGGCGTTGCCCATCACCCCAGGTTCCCAGCACGTGCCCCAGCCTGGCCAGCTCAGTGGCAGGGCCTCTGCCTGTGGAGGAAGGGAGGCCAAGGCACCTTTCCTGAGCAGGAAGTGAGAGGAACAGCTCTGCATACACTGGGTCCCACATGGCACAATCTGAAGGCAGACAGTGGCTCCTCTGTACCTGGGGAAACTGAGGCCCAGAGAGCCAGGGACTTCCCAAGACCAGCCAGCAGCAGCTGCCCCTTCCTGGGGTGCCATCTCCCCTGTCCCTCCTGCCCTGCGCCTGCCCAGCCCTCCTGCTCTGGTGACTGAGGACCGCCAGGCAGGGGCTGGTGCTGGGCGGGGGGCGGCGGGCCCTCCCGCAGTGCAAGGCCGGGCCTGGCGGGGTGAGGTAGTAGGTTGTGTGGTTTCAGGGCAGTGATGTTGCCCCTCGGAAGATAACTATACAACCTACTGCCTTCCCTGAGGAGCCCAGTGACACGACCCCATGGGAGGGCCGCCCCCTACCTCAGTGACACGACCCCACGGGAGGGCTGCCCCCCACCTCAGTGACCTGCAGGGGGCCTGAGCCGAAGCTGGGTGGGCATCTGGGAGCTAGATTCAATAAAGCTGTTCTGACCATGAACTTGGAACTGGCCCCTTTCATTCTGGAAGCCCAGGGACTGGGCTCTGGGGCGCGTCTGCTGCGGGACAGTGTGGAGGCCCCTGGCCACGAGCTGTTCCAGGTCATGAGACTTGTCTGCTCACGCCTCCCGGTGCCTCCAGAGTCCTCAGTTGGCTCCGTGCTGTACCCTGGGCTCAGGATCCCAGGCCCAGCCCGTTCTCTGCCCTCTCGTGCTGCCTTTGAGCCAGGCGGGCTGAACACCGGGACCCAGGCCCGGTGGAGAGGTCCCCACGGGGCAGCCACCAAGGCCCCAGGTCAGCAGCTCAGAGCACTGCCAAGTCCTGGCTCCTGAGGCCACCTCCGTGCCTTAAGTGCCTTGACCAAAGTCTGGACGTGCCTGTCCTTCCGTCCTCCCTCAGGACAGTTTCCAGGGCACCCGTAATTCCTCTGACAGACTGCCATCCCAAAAGTGCACCCATTCTCCTGGGAGGCCTCAGGCCCTCGTCTAGCAGCTGCCGTAGGCTGGGCCCAGTGATCCCGCCCTGGGCATGTGGGGTGGGCTTGTTCATGCCTGGCCCAGCACCGAGAGCCCCTGGTGGGGAGGGGCTGATACAGCTGGGCCCACACCTCCCCCACCCAAGTGCCCATCCTCGCCCCTCCTGTTGACCCAGGCCACAATCTTGGCCCAGATTCCCCCCTGTGCCCTCCTGGCCTGCCTTGGTTCTGCAGGCAACCCCAGCCCTGCATGGCCACGTCTGGGCAGACCGGCACCCCTACCCTGACACCCATCTGTGCCAGTCCTGCACGGCAAACACCTCAGAGCCCAGGCCTGCCTACCCTCCCGGAGCTGCTGCCACCCTGTGGGCCAAGGGCAAAGGGACGTGGAGGAGGGGCCCAAGGGCAGGGAGGGCTTCCTAAAGCAGGGACCATCTGAGCTGGGTCTTGACAGCTGCGTAGGAGTTTGCAGCTGGAGATGAGTGACGTGCCCCATGGTCCCTTCTCCCATCATCCTCTGGGGCCAGAGTGGGTGACACATGGGCACTGTCCAAATCCCCTTCTTCACCCCATAATTAGTCAGCAGCCACATCTGGCCACTTCTGTCCTCTAAACACCATTTCCATCCCTCCCCACTCCCACTGCCAGGCCTCAGAGTCTCAGAGCAGCCCCCTCTGTCTCCGGAGCAGATCTCTGCTGACACCCTTGCCTGCACTGCCTCCCAGCACCCCTCCCTCATGCCTGTGCTCACCTCCACCAGGACTCTCCTGCTCACCACCGCTCCCCCACCCCTCAGTCCACGGCTCAGACCCATCTCTGGCCACCGCAGCCCCTGTCTGTGTCTGAACAGACTGTGAACGTCCCGAGGAGCCAGCCTCTCCTCCCAGCCCCCATACTGTGTAGTTGGAGCAGGGTTTGGCCCTGCAGAGCTCAAGGCCTGGTCGGGGAGCTGCCAGGGACACACAGTGGCCATGTGTTGGGGTCAACATCACAGTGGAGCAGCCCAAGGGCTGGGGAACCCTAAGGATCCCTGGACCCAGCCCTGCAGTCAGAGGCAGCTTCCTGGAGGAGGTGATGCCTGGCTCACCCCACTTCCCTCCCTACCCTCCAGCTGACCAAAACCTTCCCTGCTGACTGGCCGTCCCTAGAGATGGGGTTGCCAAAACTCGCCCAAAATATAGGATGAGGGCAGCCTGTGGAAGTTCTGGGGGTGACAGGCCTAGATTGGTCACTCTGCTCACCAAACCTGTTTCCCATCTCGCAGTGGGGTCACCGTAGCTTCCACCTCCCAGGGCGCCCATGAGGATTTAAGCTGATACCAGATCAGAGTGCCCAGGGATGTGGATGAGTTGCCTTGAGAACAAAGTCCAGGGAGGAAAGCCGGGGACCAAGGACCTTCAGGATGGCCCCAGCTTCCCGGGCTGTGCGGGAGCCACGTGCCACGGACCCCTCCCAGCTCAGGCAGTACCGCCAGAGCACAGCCTTACCCTACAGAAGAAAGGTCGGCGTGGCCCTGTCCTCCGAGGAGATGAGGGCTCAGAGAGACTCGAGGGGGCTCCTGGGCTGTCCAGAGTGGGCCCTTTGAGAGACCCCTGGGCCCTAAGGTTCAAGTAGGCCACCGCTGACCTTGGCCTTCCTAGGAGGGATGCAAAGCCAGCCCACCACTTGAACCCGGCAGCCTGAGCACCGAGGGACAGGGCCGCCATCCAGGGCCAGGGCTAGGACAAGGCCAGCAAGGTGGCAGACACGGAGCATCTCGGCCGGGGGGCCTTTCTTGGGTCACACATCAGCACGGGGCACAGAGGTGAGAGCCCAGAAAGAGTCTTGTTTCCATTTCTTTTAAAACGGGAAGGGAAAATGACCCCTCCAATACTGAATATATAATGTATAATGAGTATATTATAGACTGGTGTAGATGATGGGGTGAATATAGCGCGAACCCAGCCTGGGTTCTGGGTGTCTTACCACCCCAGTCATGGGTGCGGTTTGTGATTTTGTTGTGAATTGTGGAGGAAGGGCCCAGGAGGGCCACATGCCCTGCCAGGGAAGCCATAGAGAGCCCTGCCCCGGGAGGTCAGTGCCTCCTTCAATGCCTGCGATCCCTCACCCTGCCCTGCTTCCCCCACCATCCGCCCCGCCTGGGCAGCCTGGGCCACTGCCCGCCAGCCACCCCCGCCTTCGGACTGTGCATTTCCCGACAGCGACACCGTGTGGCAGCAGCCCCCACCTCCGAGGCCAGCCCCGCCTGCACCCCCCCCCCACCTCCGAGGCCAAAGCTGTGAATAGGGTGACCCCTTCTGGGCTGTGGAAGCCTCGGGTTTGAGGACAATCCTGGGGAGGGACCCCAGGGCGCTTCCCGCTCTCCTGGCGTGTGTGTGTTTGCGGGGGAGGTGTGGGGGCCTCTGTACCCATCACAGCCACGTGCCGGGACCGCCGGCCATCGTCCCGAGCCAGCGACATGCCTGGCAGCCTCCCGCCCACCTACGCCCCGCTCACCACCAAGGAGCTGTCAGCATCACTGCCCCCAACGGCATCTGGCAAAACTGTTGGGGGTGAGCCAGAGGGAGCACCCCCGTCCCCAACAGCGCTGAGTTGAGAGCCACATCTGTCTCCAGGCACTGCCACCAGCAGGAAGGGAGGCCACCCTGAGCCTGGGAAGACTCCGGAGCTGGGTTATCTGAAGGCCGGGAGTTCAGGTGGCCCCAGGCAGAAGAGGTGGCACAGTGAAGGTCCACACATGGGAGGCGGGCGGAGTGGCTGAGCCTGAAAGTTGGCATCTGGGCCCACCAAGGACAGGCCTGCCATGTTTGAGCCCTGAGCTGAGCCTCCCCAGAGCCTGGGGGGAGGCTGGAGCCCCAGTGAAGGGCCTCAGATGCCAAGGAGGGAGGTCAGGCCCTAGGGCTAAGCCCCTGGCACAGACTCATACCCACACAGTGGCATTTAGTGAAATGGGCTCCTCTGACGTTGCCTCCTGAAACAGGCAGGGTCGGAGGGGTCAGGTCTGATGAGGCCTGGGGGCATCCCTGTGCCAGCTGGGTGAACATGGCTGGTCACTGTCCCATTCTGAGTTCAGCCTCTTTCTAGAACAAGAAGGGAGGTGGCACCAGCCAGGTCGCACATCTCAGATATCGGACAACTGGGGAGCTGAGGTGGACCAGGAAGGGGAAGGCTTTCAGGTCTGGCTTGCTCAAGGGACTCAGCTCCTACCCCGGCCCCAGCTGTTGCTGAGCCTGAGGGCAGGTGGTGCTGCCAGGTGCCTTGTGTTGGCCTCCCTGCATGCGTCCTGCCTGGTGGCCCAAGTTCAGCATCCACACTTATGCCAGCCAGTGCCCTATACCACCCTCACCCTTCCAAGGCTCCCACAGCCTTCAGGGCTGCCCAGTGTGAGAGCTGCTGTGAGTCTATATGGGTAGCTTGGTTTCTCTGATTGGGAGCAGCTTCCCCAGGGCTGGGAGCAGGACCCAGACAGTTGCTGTAAATGCTGGTGTGTCGGCCCCTCTGGTGCTGCATTGGTGACATCCAGGGCCTGATCTGCTTCCTGACAGTCCCCAGAGGGCCGCCATCCTCAGCCCATTTCATGAATGTGGAGACAGAGGCTCAGAGAGGTAGAGTGACTTTCCCAAGGCCACACAGCAGGCCGGGTACAGCTGGAATGGGCGGCCAGCTCTGTCCACCCCATGATCTGTGGCTGTCTTGCCTTCCAGGCTGCCTGGGGTTGGGAGAGTAATGGTGGCATAGGGGACAACAGGTTGTGTTCTGGGGTCCCTTCCCTGGGGCCAAGGAACTGGGCCAGGCCCAGGGCCCTGCCAGGTACCTCGCTTCCAGCCTTGTCCCTGAAGGTCCTCATGCAGGAGAAAAGCAGCCACCTGCACACCGCTGTCCGGCCTCCCCAGAAGGAATGCGCTCCCCCCTCAGACTTGACCTGGGTTCAAACATGGCGGGCCTGTCCTTGGTGGGCCCGGATGCCAACTTTCACCCCTCTCAAATCCTGGGCATCCAGGCTTTGTCTCCAGCCAAGCCCCAGGCAGGCAGCACTGCCTGGACAGGCAAGCAAGACATACTGGCCCTCCTGCAGTCCCCGGAAATAAAACAGAGAAGAGCAGCCCTTCCTCAAGAAGGCCTCACCCCGTCCCTCCCCTCTTCTCTCCCCTCTTCTACCCCTCTCCCCTTCCCTCTACATCACAGACCCAACAGCCTCTCTCGCCAAGCCCATCCACCCTCCTTCCTCCCGCTCAGCCTCCAGGGCTTCTGCCCATTTCCTGGGTCAGCCCCACACAAGTCCTGGCCCCGAGTAAAGATACCATATCCAGGCAGGCGCTGTGGCTCCCACCTGTAATCCCAGCACTCTGGGAGGCTGAGGCAGGCACAGCGCTTGAGCCCAGGAGTTCAAGACCAGCCTGGACAACATGGCAAAATCCCATCTCTACAAAAAAATACAAAAATTAACTGAGTTTGGTGGCTCACGCCTGTGGTCCCAGCTACTCGAGAGGCTGAAGTGGGAGGATCACCTGAGCCTTGGGAGGTCAAGACTGCAGTGAGCCCAGATCGTGCCACTGCACTCCAGCCTGGGTGACAAGAGTGAGACCCTGTCTCAACAAATAAATAAATAAGTAATACAGTTGTCATATCCTATGGAGCAGCTGGCCTGGGGGGTCTGGGTGTGGTGGGGAAGGATTTGAAGGCAGATGCTGGGGGACAGCAAGGGAAGAGAAGGGGGAAACCCAGGGAGGCAGCAGGGGAGGGGTGGCCTCCAGAGGAAGGAAGAAAGGGGGAGGGGAGGCAGCAGGGGAGGGCAGGGGAAGAGTTGTGGCTGGTGCTAGGCCTGGGGTGAGTGTGGGAGGGGTTCACCTGGGCAGACTCACGGGAGGTGCATTCCAGGGTCAAGGAAGGAGTTAACAGAGCCTGTCAGAGCATTCGGGGTGCCGGGTGGGGAGGGATGGCTGGTCCCCGAGTGAAGAAGGCCAAGCTGTGTCCACAGAGGTCATGGTGAGCCCAGGAGTCCAGGAAGGGCCCAGCCAGGTTGTCCACCGCCCCTGCCAGGCCAGAGGAGTTGAGGCTTTGGGTAGCACCCCGCAGGCCCAGCAGTAGAGCTCATATGGCCTGGGGTCACCTCCGGGGGGAGGCACCCTCCAGTGCCCAGCCAGGGGCAGGCTGAGTGCGGGCACCGGAGAGGCCAGCTAACAGCAGGAAGCCCAGCCCTCGAGTGATTGCCCCCTGCAGCCCTAATACATGACAGAGGGGCCTCGGGGTGGCAGAAGGAACACAGGCTGCAGAAACCACCCAGCAGAAAGGTGGCAGCCAGCCGTGAACCAATCCCATGGCCCAGGGCGAGGCCCTTACCCTCTCTGTGTCCTTATCCAGGCTGAAGACAAGGAGACCTGGCTCTCATGGGTACCACGAGGTCCAGGGGGCAGCAGGCAAGTGCCCTGCAAATGCCAGCCAGGGCAGGCCAAGCAGACCAACGTCCTGAGATGAGACAAGACCCAGCCTGCTCAGCACCCCGCAGTCTGGCCTCCTCCCCTAGACACACAGGGCTGCGCCTGACCCCAGGCCATCAGCAGGCGGAGGCAGGGGGCAGTGGGTGGCAGTGAGGGAGGAGACCAGCCGCTCCCCTCACCCACTTTGATCTTCTCCATCAGCTGCCAATGCCCTCAGCCCACGGAGGAGTGAGTTCCTGTGGCAACGCAGGCGGCCCAGTGTCCTTTGCCACGAGGGAGAATGCACGCTGTGGGATCTGGGGATCCGGGGGTGTCTGTGATGGGGTGTTTGGGGCTGTGCTGCGGGATGGGGAGGAGTCTGAGGAGGCGGGGCTCTGGGTTGGATGCTCTCAGGACGCAGGATCGTCCTCCGATCAGCGATCTTCACAAGCCCTGTCTCCAGGGCAGGGAGCCCAGAGCGAGGCTGGAGCTGCGATTGCTGACGTGGCTGCAGTCCCCCTGCTGCCTGGGCCAGGAGAGGCTGGACATTCTGTGGCTTGGATGGTGTTCATGCTGTGGTCTGTGCTCAGACGTGATTATGAAGGGGGTTTTGATTTGTCCTGACCCTCACAGTCCCAGAGCTGATGCAGATGCCCGCAGGTGGACACCCAGGGCCGGTCATGTGTCAGGTCTCGCCTGCCAAGGCCGCTTCCCCTTCCTCCGCCCTCCCTGGTACATTCTGTGTCTGCCTGTGTGAGCCCTGCCCCATGTGCCCCGTTCACTAGGCTGTGAGCTCCAGCAAGCGTGTCTTCTCAGCACCTAGTCCAGCACCCAGCACACAATAGATGGTCAATCAGTGCCCACTGAGGCCAGGCACAGTGGCTCACACCTGTAATCCCAGCACTTTGGGAGGTCAAGGCGGGCGGATCACCTGAGGTCAGGAGTTCAAGACCAGCCTGGCCAACATAGTGAAACCCCGTCTCTACTAAAAATACAAAAATTAACCGGGCTTGGTGGCGGGCGCCTATAATCCCAGCTACTCAGGAGGCTGAGGCAAGAGAATCACATGAGCCCGGGATGTGGAGGTTGCAGTGAGGTGAGATCATGCCACTGCACTCCATCCAGCCTGGCAACAGAGAGAGATGCCATCTCAAAAAAAAAATGCCCACTGAATGAACAAACAGGTTAGAGTGAGGACTCAGTCAAGTTGAATAGGGTGGAGCCTAGCACCATGGGGAAAGTGGCAGAGGGGGCTGCAGGGCAGGCCAGCAGTGGGGGGAAGCCCCCAGGGGACCCTGGGGACCCAGGCTGAGGAGGTAGCTGGCTGGCTGTCTCTCTCAAGGGCCTGGGAAATGCTCTTGGATGGCACGTTTCCTGGACAGATGATCCACAGTTGCTGCTCACGATGCCCTCTTGGAGTCACGCTGTGGTGAGCCTATTGAAGGCTCTGACAAGGCCTGCAGGGAGGAAACAGGTCCGTGTGACTTGGTTTACCCACAGTTTCCCAGGCTAGCCTGACTGTACCAGCTCTGGCTTTTTACGTCAGACCAGTGGCTGTCCCACAGTGCAGGAGCCAACACAGGGGTGCAGCCCGGCCTGGCAACCCTGCATTGGCCACCATGAAGGGAGAGGTGTTTGTGGGGGTATAGAGCTCTGAGAGGGTGGCTGCCAGGGCTCAGGCCAAAGGATGTGCTCAGATGACAGTAATGACCAGGGAGTGTTGGAGGTGTCAGGTTTGAGAAGCTATTGAAGGGTGACATTGCTGGGACCTGGGGACCAGCTGGGGCAGAGGCAGGGGTGGCAGGGAGGCCCAGGTCTCTCTAGGTGGGTGGGTGGATGGCCACTGGGACAGAGGAGCCAGGCTGGGGAGAGGTCTGAGCAGGCGAGGTTTAGGACCTGTCATTTGTGAGGTGCCCCAGGGACTGACCTTGAGGGCTGGAGGCCAGGCCTTTGCTGCCAGGGGAGCCACCTAGACCCACCCTGCGACACCAGACTCAGTAGCTGCCAGTACCCCCACCCTCCCTGCCCACCCTGCCCTAGGGGCTTCCAAAGAGAGGCCTGGCTTTCTTACTGTCTCGCCTGGGGCCCTCAGAGTCAGAGAGCACACCTCACAATCTACCCCCATGGGACTCAGCGGGCTCAGGAGCAGCAGAGGGAACAGCAGCCAGGCCTGGGACAGGACTTAGAGCTGGGCAGTGCTCTGAGCTGCTCCATGAGGCTGGCTCAGGGCTGGGAGCTCCGAGGACAGGCGCTGACACGTGGTCGTTGGTGCTGCCGCTCTAGGCAAAGCTCTGGGCCATTGTGGGGTCCCCCTTTCCCCAGCGAGCTGGGCCTTGGGCCTGGGCAGGGCCTGGCTCCTAGGTGTGAACCCCAGACCTGGTCTCATTTCCTTGCTATCAAGAGTGAGGCCACTGTCTCCTACAAAGATGCTGCCGAACATGGGCCCTGGGACCCATGCTGGGGAAGCAGGCGGGACTTGCCAGTGCTCATGGCTCCCAGGCCTTGGCGTGGCCAGGGCAGGTGCACCGAACCTCAGGCGCTGGGCTCAGTCCTCCGTCCTTGCATGGCCAGGCCCCCACATCTCCTAAGTCACTTAAGCCCAGCTGCAGGCGCTGGACAGGCGTCAGGAGCCCTGACCTCTGCCCCTACTCCAGGCCCTGCCTATCTGAGGGACCTGGGGAGCTCCTACCCCTCCCTGGCCTCAGTTTCCCCAAGCTTACAGGAGGACATTGAGGGTCTGGGGATGCTTTCCACACGGTTCTGGTAGCGGCGGCTTCTGGCTTGACCACCAGGTGGCGCCTGGTGCCCAATGAAGCACGTGGGGCTGGGAAGGGGCGGCCGCGTGGACACCGCCCCGCTGAAGAATCAGTGTCCGGGAGGCCTGGCCGTCCCCACACCGGCCCGAGGCTGAGCGGCCCTCGGGTCAAGAGCACAGAGGTGGTGGGGTGGGTGCGCAGTGTTTCCAGCACCGGCCTGGCCACCATCGCAGGGGGGCATCTCCGGCTCGGACAGCCATATCCCCCCCGGGCGGGCACAGAGCTGGGTACGGCTGGGGGCTGTGGGTGGAGGGGTGTGTAGGAGGCCAGCCCCTCACCCCTCCAGTGGGGTTGCAGGAGTTCTGCCAGGCTGGGGTCTCACCCCACCTCCCTCTGTTCTCGCTTCCACTTAGCCCTGGGCTCTGCTATCCTCTGCCTCTCCCAGCCTCAGTTTCCCCATATGTAAAACAGGTAATAATCCCACCCCTTCTGTGGGTGGGTGAGGCTGGCCACAGGCCAGGCCAGGAGGCCCAGCACATCCCCCTCCTGTCAGCACCGCCCTCTGCTCCCACTGCCCCAACGGTGGTGCCAGCCCCTGCACACAGGGTATCCCCACCAGGGCCGCCTGCAGAGCGGAGGGTGCTGCCCCATGCCCGGCTGCAGAAGGTCGTGTGGCCCGAGGTCACACCTAGCAGATGAAATGGCAAGAGACAGGAACAAAGAGGAAGCCCCGTGGTCTGGCACTTGCCGGGTGGCAGGAGGCATCTCTAGGTGACTCACATGATCCCATCTCATCCCAGGAGAGACCGAGGTCCAATCTCCCATCCTTGTGCTCTAGATGAGGACACGAGACCCAGAGACATGAGTCCAGGTCACACCGTGGTGTCCCCCAGAGACAGGGGCCTTCCCTGCTCCCCCCTTCCCTTGGGCCAGCCATAGGAGTGCGAGGCAGTAAACACTGTTGCCTGTTGCGCCCAGCATGGTGACGGCTGGGTGACCCTGGGCAAGTCTCCAACCTCGGGGAGACATCCTCAAGAGAGTCTCGGGGAGATCAGGGGCAGACAGCAGCAGGGAGGGCCGGGGTGTGGGAACGGCTGTGGGAGGGTGGGCAGGAGGCCCTGGCAGCTGGTGGGAGCTGGGTTCCCAAGGGCAGGGGAACCACCAGCTCTCCCAGCTGGACCGACCCATGCCTCAGTGAGGGGCAGGTGGCCCAAGGGTGAGATTGCCCCATCAGCAGTGGGCAGGGTGGCTGCTGGCTGGCACAGCGGGAGCCTGATGGCAGGCAGGGGAGTGGGCTGGGAGTTGCGGCCGGGCCTAGTGGGCTCTGCTGCTCTGTTCTGACCCTGATGTCCTGGGCCGAATCCCAGCCAGGGCAGCCTTGTCTGGAGGTGATGGGCGGGGCCGTCTCACTGGGCCTGGGGGAGGTGGTCCTGAAGTGGTCAAGGTCAAGGCCAAGGCCACTGCTGTCCTGCCCAGCGCAGGGCCCAGTCCCGGACAGGGTCTACTGGCCAGAGACACCAAACTGCTGGAGCCAGAGGGACTGGATGGCAGGAGCCCTCCCCAACCTGGCTCACAGCCTCAGCTTGATCTCCCCTAGCGCTGAGGGGCTCCCTCTCAGGGACAACCCTCTCCCTGCAGCCTTCCCCTGCCACCCTGGAGGACAGGGCATCTGGCCGCTGCTCCCGGGAGGTCCTCGCCTCAGACAACCTCCTGCTGGCCCCGTCCTTGGCTCGCCACTGCCCTGGGCCTTCCATCCTGTCACCCCATCCCACCTGCCAGCTTCTGCTCACACCAACACCAGGCCTGGTGTTATGCAGGGCTGCCTCACAGACTGTGACATCTGACCTCCCCAACTTAATGATGAGGAAACTGAGGTGAAGGGAGGCAGAGAAACCTTCCCAAGGTCCCACAGCCTAGAAGATGCCCGTCAGGAGCGCCCGAGGCCCCGACACACTTGCACAAACAGGCACACCCAGCCTCACCTCCACCAGCCCCAGAGGCTTCCTGGCCACTGGCTGTCCTCTGTGCCCCTGTACTTGTACCCAGACATCCCCAAGTCCTGGCATCATGGGCACTTGTGGATAGCTGGAGGCGGAGGGGCTCGTGGCCCGGTGCAGCCTTGACTGCAGACTGGCCGTGACAGAATGACCATTGCCTCAAGCGATCAGCGTGGTGGTGCAGCCCTCAAAACTCTTATCTCCTTCAACACATGGCATGGGCCAGGAACAGTTCAGTCAAGGGAGGAATGCCCAGGGCCTTGGGAGCATGGGATAGGAGGGAGGACCCAGACAGTGTGGGGTGAGGGGAAGGCAAGGGGGATGAGCTCATGGAGAACTTCCTGGGGCACGGAAGTCCTGAGTTGGGTTTTGCAGGATGAGTAGGAGTTTGCCAGAGTAGGAAAAGCAGTGAGAAGCCCCAAATCCACACTCTGTGACTGTGTGTTTGTCATGGAGCCTGTGAGTGTTGCTATGTGGTATACTGATGGGATGGGAGGGCAACAGACTCTGTGGGCACCAGGGAGCACCCACCCCTGAAGAAGCAAGTCCTTCCTAGAGTCAGACACGGAATTTGTGGGGAAGCATTAGTTTCAGGGGATAGAAACCCAAACCAAATTAGCGCAGGCCCAGAAGAGGATTTATTTGTTTATATAACATAAAAATCCAGGAATTGGTACAGCTTCAGGCGTGGCTGGATCGAAGGGTGCTTCCCCTCAGGGCTTCTACCACACGGGCCCCAGCCTCAGCAGGGTCCCCATGAGGCAGTAGAGCCTGCCGTTCCTCCATCCCGCTAGCTCCCACCAGTGCAAAGCTCTCTCTCCCCCTTTCCAAACAACCCCACAAAAGTTGCCAGGTAACCTCTGGCTGGCGGGGCTTTGGGTCAAATGCTCAGCCCTGAGCCAATGACTGAGGGTTCCCACTGGAGGGGCAGTGGGAGAGACAGGGGACACCCAGTGGGTGGAGCCGGCAGCTGCTCCTGGGGCTCACCGTGGAGTCCAGTGGAACGGGCACCATGCAGCAGGCTCCTTGGAGCAACCTAGAGCTGTGGAGAAGCAAGATGGCACCTGTGGCTTGGTGGGCTGGAGATTCACCTTCTGTCCCCAGAGCCAAGGACAAGCTCGTCTGAACACAGCCTCACCAGGGCTCAGCTCTGCATGGGGGCTGAGGGTCAGGTCTACGGCCCCACTGGCCAGAGTGTTGGGAAGGGGACAGCACCCACTGCAAGGCCAGGCCAGCGTGGACCTGGCAGTGACCCCTGGGCGGGCCATGTGCCCTCCCACCTGTCTCAGAGTATCGCCTGAGAGTGGCGTCTTCCACCCTCTGACCGCCATGGCTCCACAGGCAGCCCGCAAGAGCCTCCAGCCTCTGGCAGCCCTGGACCAGACCTTGGTAACACCTGCCCCATTCTACACAGCCGAACCAAGGCACTGAGCGCTCAGGAGCCCAGAGGAAGCCTGGTGGCTGTGAGCCGGGCCGGCTGGCTCATTCAGCCCAGGCCCCACCCGCCCTGGGATGATCTGGACCCCGGCCCTGCTCTCAGCTCTCAATGCTCCCTTCCCAGATGAGCCAAGACGTCCCATGCAGACGGACACCTTCCCCAAGTGCCCGTCCCGGCGCTGCACAGCCCACGCCCTGCTGTCCCGGGGAGCAGCATCTTCCACCAGGCTCAGTGTCCTCTCTTGGGGGCACTGGAAGGGCTGGGCAGGCTGCAGCTGGCCCTGGCCCAGAAGGGGCCAGGAGAATGTTCCAGTCTTGAGGCTCACAGCAGGTAGGACAGAGGCTCGGTGGCACCAGCCCACACACCCCTGGCCGCGGTGCTCACTGCTGCCCCGCAGCCATGCTCCCGGCCCCTGGTTCTGCTGTCACTCCCTGTGTGATCTCAGGGTGTGTTGTCACCAGCCACACCCTGAGATCCATTCTGAACCTCTCCATGGAAGGCTGGGTTGGAGGGGTGACGGCACAAGGCCTTCCACAAGGCAGGCGCCCAAGTCACATGTGGGGCTCAGCCCAGCCCCACAGACAAGAGGCGTGTCTGTGACCCATGAGTTCAGAACCTCGTCGTGTGCCCTGGGCCGCCGCCCCAGGAGAAAGGTCAGGAGTGTTTTGCAGAGACCTGCCCGGAAAGGCTGGAGCTCGGCACAGGCTGCTCCTCCCTGCCCAGGGGCCCCTCCCCCGAGGTTCCCCCACCCCCACCTTGGCATCTCAGTGCCACCACACTGAGTGACACACCAGTGAGTCTCAGAAGAGCCCTGTACAGACAATGAGACCCACAAGTACACAGATGACGACTGCCATGTGGCTGCCAGAGAGAGCCACGCTGTGGGTCTGGCCGGAACCTCTTTCCTTTGTGCACCTGTGCCCAGCCCATGCACAACGCAGAGCTGACACCAAGTGAGCATCTGTCACTAAGTGAGGCAGGCAAATGAGGTAACACTCAATCTGGGCTTTGAAGGATGAGTAGGAGTTCCCGGAGGAGAAAAAGAGAGGCCCTTCCCAAGTGGAGGACGCAACAGGCGCAGAGGCCTGAAGGTGGCGGGAGCTCTGTGTATCCTCCTGCTGCCCACCCTCTGCATGGGCTGGCACGGGCCGGGGGATGGGCTGAAGAGGTTGTGGCCCCTCCACCTGAAGGAAGAAGCAGGTCCTGGTCTACCAGGACCAGTGTCCACTCCTCCCGGCCCCTGCTCTGGCCTTGCAGTCTGTCCCCTGTCCTGGCTCCCCAGCACAGCCCTGGCCACTGTCCCTCACGGCTCCCCTTCCTCTCGCAGCCCCTACCCCTCCTCCAGGAACCCCCTTTGGACCACTATGATACTTCCTGTCCATTCCTGCCGCCCCTGCCCCTGACCTCACCCTGGTCAGCCCATGTGACCCCCACTACTGGCTGGACAGCACCCATTGGACAGATGCGGATACTGAGGCCCAGGAGGGTGCCAGGTGGCCCAAAGTGACACCCTCAGCTAGGGTGGATTAAGTTAGGAACCCCTTGCCCCAAATCTGGGGCCGACTCCTAGTACAAGACTAAAAGCCCTTTCTGCCTGGATGCCTGCACAGGGGCAGCTGCCCAGGCTGTATGGGGGCAAGGGTGCCCTACCCGGCCCCACACCCACGACCTCGAGACCTAGGCAGCCCCTGCCCCTGGTGGAGCCTCCTGAAGTCCCTTCCTGTGGTAAGCGACACCTCCAGGCATGCCTCAGCCTCTCCCTGACCAGGCCCTGCTCTTCCGTCTCTGGAAGGACCGTCACCCACCCAACCCTCGCCCAACAGCCCTGCCTCCATCTCCTGGGCTCCAGCCTCTCCCGACAGGCTGGGGCTAGCAGGGAGAAAACTGGGCCCCCCTTCTGTGCCCTCATGAAACTCAGCCCTGCCGGCTCTGCTCACTGCTTCCCTGAGGGTCCCCCACCTGTGTCACCAGCTGCCTGTCCCCGTCAGGCCCTGGCCACACCCAGCCACTGGCATTGCCAGGCACCCCAGATCATTTCATGCCTCCCCTGCCCTGGCCCTGCCACCCGCCTGCCTGGAGCACTCCCCCACCACCCCATCCCCACCGCCGGCTCATTCTTCCACTTTCCCCACTCAGTTAAAGCTGAGCTCCTCTGCAGCACTGCCCCAACCTCCCCGAGGCCAGGCTAGCAGTCACCTCGCCACACCCCAGCCCCCAAGCCCTGACCCCCAGCCCCATCCTCCTCCTGAGCACATGCGGCTGGGCCACAGGTGTCCCTGGGCAGCATCTTGAGAACAGGCTGGGGCCAGACTGCCCCCCAGCTGGGACCCCAGGGGTGGATGGGGCCAGACCCAAAGCAGAGTGTGGGAGGTGGGGCCCTCAGCTGCAGAGGGCCTGGCCGTGGCCCCCTGTGACCACACATGACTGCCCACACCCATCTCGCCCCTCTGACCAGGTGGGCCACTGCCCACGAGTTGGAAGGCTTCGAGCCATGGGCAGCTGCTCTCCTAGTCCCTGCTGGCATCCCCAGTGGCAGCAACAGGGCAGGTGGGCTAGGAGAGATGGGGGCTCCCGTCCTGGCTCCACCTATGTGCAGGGAGGCTTGGCCCTAATGCCTCTACCTCGAGATTCAGGGTCTCAGGACACAGAAGGCGCAAGCCTCGCTCCTCCTGTCTGTCCACTGGTCGCTCCTGCACTGCCTGCTACGCTGGGGTTAGGACCCAGCCTCAGATCACCTAGCCCAGCTCCCAGGAGCCCCATGTGGCAGCGCCCAACTGCCACACGAGAGGGCAGGTGCTCAACCTCCCCAGTGAGCTCCTGCAGCCAGAGTGGGCTTTGTCACCTGGTGTGAACAGAGCCCTGAGGCCGAGAGACCAGCAGGCCCACCCCAGCTTGGCCGCGCGTCCTCAGGCAAGACCCCCACTGTCTCTGGGCCTCTGCCGGAGTTAGTAGCCACACAGTGGAGAGTGAGGCTGGGGTTTGATAAAGCTTCAGTACTCCAGCTGATGGGGGACAGGCCCCAGGGTGCCCCTCCTTTGGTTCCCTAGCCCCAGATCACCTAAGTCACTCCCTCCCCTTCTCCTGGCACCCCAGCCCTGTGTCTCCACACCCACAATGGGCCTCTCCTGGAGTCAGTTGAACCAGATGGAGCCCTGTGGACAGGGCCAAGGCCAGGGCTTGTTGTGGTGCTGGGCCCACCTGGCTTTTGGTGAACAGAATAGTCAGTGGAGAGGGGAAGGAGATGGGGAAACTGAGGCACAGGGAGTGAAGTGCCCAGTCCAGGCCAGCACGGCCTCAGGTTCCACGCGGCTGCTTTCATCCCTGACACTCGCTCGTCCACCCCAAGCCTGTGCCAGCCCCCAGTGTCTTCACCCAGAGCCTGTGCGGCTGGAGGGGCTCTCAGCCCAGGCAAGGGCTGGCGGCCAGCCACCCGAGGTGACCTGCAGCTGCAGAGGGGTGGCCTTGGTGCCTCTCTTGCTGCAGGAGGAGGAGGAGGAAGAGGAAGTGGCCCCTCTGCTTTACGGGGCTGTGATTCCAGTGGTAAATGCGGAAATACGGCTTGGCTGAGTGCCGCGTTCGGCCAGGGCCAGCTCCCAGGAACAGCCGGGCTGCGAGGCCATGACCCAGGGCCTGGGAACACAGTGAGGCCTGGCCATGCTGCGAGGCCTCAGAGGGGCGGACTGCTTAGGAGGCCAACGACCTTCCTAAGGGTGGGCAGTCAGGGAAGGGCCAACAGCATGCCCGCTGTGTCCTCAGGCGGGCCCTCCCTCCCTGGGACCCTCCCAGTGCCAGCCTCCTGCCTGGGCCAGGCTGGGAGCTCCCTGACTGCTCTGGTCCCTGGGCTGCTCCCACGAGCCTGACTCTGACGGTGTCTGCTGCACATCATCCGCGGAGTCCCGAGTTTCGGCCACTGCGGTCGTCCCCATTTCACAGCCAGGAAACAGAGGACAGGGGAAGTCAACTGGAGGTCACGCGGTGGTGAGTGACAGAGTGGGTGTTGCAGGCAACCACTGGACAGAGCCACAACCACACTCTCCCCAGCACACCCCACTGCCCCTGTGCTGGGGGACTGCTCCCCATTTCACAGATGGGGAAACCAAGGCTGGCGGGAGGAGCAGCAGGAGCACATCCGTGGACTCTAAGTCAGCACCCTGCCTGCACACGCAGCCCCAATCCCCATAGTGAGGTTTGCCTCCCCGGCATGAACCAGGAACGTCCGGCCTCATCGGGAGGCTGGCACCAAAATCCATTCTATGTGGGTGAAGGCACCTACAGGGAGCATGCATGGGCCATGGGAGGTGTGCCCTCACCAGCCTGAGAATCACGGAGGGCTTCCTGACCACTAACCTGAGTCCTGAAGGGCAAAGAGCAGAGATGAAGCAGGGCTGTGGGGTGAGGAGAAGCGTGCACAGCCTCCACAGGTGAGGAAGCCCCTGCCAGGGACGGGGCTTGGGGGTCAGGGGAGGGTGGGCAGGCCACCAAGGGCCTTGGGCACCCGTGGGTCCCTGAGGGCCATAGGAAGTCATTGAAGGTTTTAGCAGGTGAGTGATAAGATGAGAGGAGTGTTTTGGTGCTGGTGGTTGTGGTTGTTGCTTTTTTGAGATGGAGTCTCACTCTGTCGCCCAGGCTGGAGTGCAGTGGTGCGATCTCGGCTCACTGCAACCTCCGCCTCCCAGGTTCAAGCGATTCTCCTGCCTCAGCCTCCCGAGTAGCCGGAACTACAGGCGTCCGCCACCACACCTGGCTAATTTTTTTTTATTTTTAGTAGAGTTGGGGTTTCACCATATTAGACAGGCTGGTCTTGAACTCCTGGCTTCAAGGGATCCACTCACCTGGGCCTCCCAAAGTGCTGGGATGACAGGCATGAGCCCCACGCCCGGCCCAGAGGAGTCTTTTGAAAGTTCCTTCTGGCTGGGTGTGGATTCTGGATTGGGGTCACGAGGGTTGGGGCAGAGAGGGCAGGTTGGTAGGTGGGGGCTTCCCCAGGCAGGCGCCCTGCAGTGTGGACAGGAAGCTGGTGGGGATAGGACATGAGGCAGGGGCTGCATCCCACGGCCCTCAACTCTCTCCAGTGATGGATGAGGGGCGTGGATTCAGCGGCCCCCTGCCTCTGGCAGAGACTGGGTCTGGGATTGGTGCTGCCAGGCCTCTGGCCCCATTCCCAGGACCAGTCCCTCTACCCTCCCAGGCCCAATCTCGTCAGCCCCGGCACAGGGATTCACGCCGGGGATGGGCCTGGCTCAGACGGTGCCCCCCTCCTAGCCCACATCCAGGCAAACAGCCGTAAGAGCAGTGAGAGCGCCCTCTCCTGGGAGCGCTGGGCAGGTGCCAGGGCTGACGCCACCGTAAGGTTACAGGGCAGGGGTCACTCCTGCTAAGCCCCAGGGAAGCCCCTCCCTACAAGTTGGGTCCCAGGTAGCAAGGGCAGGAAGGGTGTTTCGGGCATGGGGAACAGCATGTGTGAAGGCTGAGGTGGAGGGAAGTGGGTGGGTCCGGCAGGGGGCACTGGTGGGTTTGGGGTTCAGAGAGAGAGCCCTGCGTTCAGTGTGGGCCATGGAAGGAGGGAAAGTGCTCTAGGCAGGCAGAGGGGAGGGAGGCAGCGGAGGCTGGGGATAGACTTGGGCCCTGTGCACATGAGGGGAGGGGACGGAATGAAGACACTGAGCTGGCCACAGAGGTCACCGAGGTTGTCCGGAACACGCCCACCATATTTATGGGACACCTCCTGAGACCCCCAGGCCTATTTCAGGGCCTTCAGTGCAGGGCCCCGGGATCAGCAGCGAGCAGCACAAATGAGACCCTGGGCTCAGGGAGAAACACAGGAGGGGAAGAGGGGGCGCAGTTGGGGGCAGGCTTCCAGAAGCACCTCGCCTTCAGGAGTGTGGGTCGGGGGGCTGGGCTGGAGACAGGCCCCAGACTGGGGCAGCAGTGGCAGGAGCTAAGAGTGTGGGTGGCCAGGGTGACTGGGACAGGGGTTGTGCCAGGAGCAGCCTCATCGCCCCTGGGTTTCCCAAGAGCCATCAGTGCCCATGCCCGGGTGCTTGTGGCTCTCATACCTCAGGACGAGCAGCAGGATTCGGACCCAGGGTGCTGGGGTCTGCAGCCCCCCACTGGACGCTGAGATCTGCACAGCCTCAGCACTAGCTGCTCTCAGCCATCAGGTCACCCGTGAAGCAGCATGCAGGGACCCGGCACTCTCCACCCCACAGAGAGGGCTCAGGCCCCTGGTCTGCTGTGCAGACCCAACACAGACTCTCATCTTGTAGTTGTTTTTTTTTTCTTTGTTTGTTTGTTTTGAGACAGAGTCTCACTCTGTCGCCCAGGTTGGAGTGCAGTGGGGTGATCTTGGCTCACTGCAACCTTTGCCTGCCAGGTTCAAACGATTCTCCTACCTCAGCCTCCCACGTAGCTGGGATTACAGGCATGTGCTACTACACTCAGCCAATTTTTTGTCTTTTGGGTAGAGATGGGGTTTCGCCATGTTGGCCAGGCTGGTCTTGAACTCCTGACCTCAAGTGATCCACCTGCCTCAGCCTCCCAAAGTGCTGGGATTAGAGGCGTGAGCCACTGCACCCGGCCTCATCTTGTAGTTAATGCTTTCTGTGTACCTGGCCTGTGCTGGCCAGCGCCATGGTGGTAGCCACCCACTTGACAGCAGCTGGGAGGTCCCTGGGCACAAGGAGAAGAGGTGACAAGGCCGGGTGGGAGGAGCTTGGTCTCGCACAGTCCTGAGGTGACAGCCACCTTGGGCTGCATACCACTGACCTGGCCCTGCAATGGAGGCAGTTGCCCAAGTACCGGCTGCTGGCTGGTGCTCCGAGGCAGAGGGCACAGTGGGGTCCAGCTGGGTTGGGGGGCCACTGACAGCCAGGGAGCAGCAGGGGGCTGGGTTGCTGTATTATCAAGGGCACAGCTGTCCCTAAAGCCACTAGGCCAAAGGGCCTCCTCACTCCTGTGCGACGTGGCCCTGAGAGTCCAAAGGCCAGGCCAAGGTCACGCCATGGTCAGTGCCGGCCAGGGCTGGAAGCCGAGCCTCCTGACCCTTGCACCAAGCTCTCTCCTCTGTTCAGGCCACGGCATCCAGGCCTGGGGCCACGAACCCGCAGTTTTCTCCCGTCCTGGGGCAGTCAGCCCTGGGCTGTGGGGGCTGCTGGGGCTGGGGGTCCGAAGGGCTGCGGACTCCCAGGAAGGAGATGTGAGCTCTATGGAATCCTAGCAGGAGCCCGTGGCATCCTCAGCTTTCCGGGTGTGCTGGGTACAGGGGCAGATGGCTGGCATGCTGGGGGGCCTGAGGCTCTGGCAAGGCAGCTGGGCACAGCCTGAAGGTCTGAGTGCCTGGCCCCCAGGGAGGGATGGCTTTGGGCCACCTTTGAAGGCCTCTTGACCCGCAGATGATGCAGCCTGCAGCCACCTCCGTCCACTTAGCAGGTCCTTTCCAGCCTGGCACCGGGTCACAGGTCACATTGGCCCCTGAAGTGCCAGCCCACAGCTCCAAGGAGGGCTACAGGGGAACATCGGCTGGCTGGGAACTCACAGAGCCCCAGGCAGCGCTCAGCTCCCTCCCCGGCCCTGCCACAGGGCCCTGCTGGCCTCTTCACCCCACACCTCCCTGTCAGTCCTCCTTCCAGGGCAAAGGCCCCAGCTCTCACTTGGGGCTCAAGCTATCCTGGGCTCCTCACTCTCTCTTGGTCACTGCCCTCCCCTCCCAGACACCCGTCTCCCAGCCACCTGCACCTCCCCAGCCCTGTGGTGCAGTGTAAAGCTGGCCCTGGCACCCTGTGGTTGTCCCGCCTCGCCCTTGGACCCCCAAACCCCCCAAGCCCCAAAGTCAGGACTGCATGACGCTTAGAAGCCCAGCCTCCAGAGCTGAGTCCCTGGTTCAAATCCCGGCTCCACCAGTTTTAGCTCTGTGACCCCTCTGCCTCAGTTTCCTCACCCACAGAATGGGGATCACTGGTGCCATCCCATAGGGCCAGTGTGGAGATTAAATGAGCAAGTTCTTACAAAACCTGAGAATGGGGGTCCGGCCATTGCTCCAGTCTGGTCTGGGTGTTCTCCCTGCTGGAACATTCCTGCTGCCCCCTCTCCCCACAGCGCCTTCCCCACCCCACCCCTTCTACCTGGAAAGCAACGGGCCTCATGCCTGGGAGGGGCCTCCTGACCCCCAACCCCAACTGCCCAAGCCACGAACCAGTGCACTCACCACTGGCCTGGTGATCCTGGGGTCTGGGCCAGAGATGGGGTCACCTCCGCATCCCCCACCCAGAGCAAACCTGCCCCTGTCCAGCCCCGGACAGCTCTGCATCTCCCTCCTCCTGCAGAGGGCAATGGTAATCCTTGACATGCGGTCCTCCTGTCCTCTTAAGATTCCGTGGCCTGTGGTGTCTGGAAAACTTTGAATTCCATGACTGTCTGGGGCCAAAAACGATGAGTGCACAACAAGAAAACCCTCCCAGGAGGCCTGGGCAGCCAGGACGCGCATCTGTGCAGGACCCTCAGCGGAGGTGCGGCCAGCGGACCTGCACCTAGAGCTCCCGGCATGCCCAACCCTGCAGGTTCAGTGTCCTTGTCATTCCCCATGAGCCAGAGGCACGTGACGCTGGGGGCTTCATCCTGTGGCCACAGGAAGGCTCCAGAACACTTTAGACAGAGTGACAGGGTCAGAGGTGTTTTTATTTTCATGTTTTAATTTTGTTCGAGATAAGAGTCTTGCTCTATCGCTCCAGCTGGAGTGCAATGGCTTGATCTCCACTCACTGCAACCTCCGCCTCCCGGGTTCAAGCAATTCTCCTGCCTCAGCATCCCAAGTAGCTGAGATTACAGGCGTGCACCACTACGCCCGGCTAATTTTTGTATTTTTAGTAGAGACAGGGTTTTGCCATGTTGGCCAGGATGGTCTCGAACTCCTGACCTCAAGTGATCCACCTGCCTTAGCCTCCCAAAGTGCTGGGATTATAGGCGTGAGCCCCTGCACCTGGCCCAGAGGCACTTTGCAAGAAGGGCTGAGAGGGGCAGGGGAGTGCAGTAGGGAGCTACTTGGGGAGCAGGCGGCCTGCCAGGGCACAGGTGACAGTGACAGTGTCAAGGGTGGCAAGGTGTTGAGGAAGCCACTCCTAGGAGGTGGTCACTGGTGTGGAGGGCAGAGGGGCTGTTAGGCCACGCACAGATTTCTGGCTTAGAAATAACTGACTGGCAGGCGATGCCCTACACCAAGACAGGGAGCACTGAGAGAGGTCAGGCTTCAGGGCAGTTTGGGGATTCCTGTGAGGCACCCAAGTTGGCAGCTCAGGAGGCAGGGGGCAGCTGGAGGCAGCATGGGAGACACTGGCGCCTGGGGATCCGGAGAGCACCCAGGGAGGGTGGCAGGCTGGGAAGAGGCTGAAGCCAGCAAGGGGCCTGGAGAAGGTCAGGGAGGCTTGTGTCAGGAAGAGAGAAAGAGAGGCCAAGTACATCCCACACATGCACATGGGCCAGGCATGGGCCATGCAGGCTAGGATGGATGCCCAGGAGGTGCTGCGGGGATGACCACCCCACCCCCTGCCCCAGCTCCTCCCCGCAGCTTCGGAATTCCCAGGCAGCCCATGGGCCTAGAGACCCTGCTCGGATAAGGAAAGGAAAAAATACATTCTTTGTGTCCCTTTCCCACAAGCCGCTACAATCATCATCTTTGTTCCCTGATTGCAGCAAATGATAGGGAAATGGACGGCCGTTCGAATTCCTGTTGAACTTTTAAGAGAAGTCCCCTCAGAGCCCTGGGGAAGGGTGGCAAGCTGTGGGTGATGGAAGCTGGCCGGCGGGGAAGGGCTCCATGGAGCGCTGGCCTGTATGCGTCCGTGGGGAGCTAACTGGAAAATGAAGCTTCCACAAGGACATGAGGCTGGCTTTTAGAACGGGCTTGAAACCAAAAGACACAGGCAAGATGCCCTCCATGGGGAAAAGTTGGGAAATAATTGTCAGAGAAGGTCAAAGGTGCTGGCGCCATTGTCCTGGGACGCCTCCTGGCTCTGCCGACCTTGTCTCTGCCAACCTTGACTTTGCCGGTGCCGAGTTGGTGTAGGATGGGCCCCAGGCCCGGGACATCTGCTTCTCTCACTTCTGGCTTTGTCTCCACCTCCACCTCCACCGCTCCTGATTGTCCGAGGGAGTAACAAGAAACTCACACACGCAGACATGTACATGTGTGCACACAAATAGCACACACACCCATATGCATATACAGAGACATGCACAGGTGCTCACTCACATATACATGCAACACACACGGGTGCATTCATGCATGCACACACAGGTATGTGTGTACACAGACGTGTGCAAGCACATATGCGTATTTGTACATGCATATACACATGTGCTAACACAGGTGCCACACACGTACACATGTGCACACACATGCCTGCTCACATGTACCTGTGCACACACGTGCCTGCTCACATGTATGTGTGCGCACACACACACAGACACAAGCACATGCCCTTGTGCACACAGGTATGGCAGGCCCAACGTGGCAGGCAGGCTTCACCAGGTACTTGGTGTGGAGCTGGTTGCTCCCACTCCTGCCTTTCTCTGCTGAGCAAGGAGGTGGAGCCGTGGCCTTGGGGAACTCCCAACTCCCATCTCTGGGCGGCACACAGACCCCTGCTGAAAGTCGGACAGATTTGCTCACTCTGGTTTCTGGGATTCCAAGGGCAGACTGCAGGGATCTCCCAGCAACGTGAGAGGGCACGACCCTGACAGACACGCCATTCCTCTTTCTGTCAACCGGTGGAATCCAAGCAAGAGCAGCCCCTCACCGGCCGTGTGGTCACGGCTGCCTTAGGCCACCTTCCTGCCCTCCTGTCCCTCGCTCCAGGGTGTGCCAGGCGTGTTCTGAGTGTGGGCGCAGGCAGCACCAGGCTCGAGAAGGAGTGATGTACAGATGGACAGCTGTCCTGCCTACTGGCCTAAGCGGTCAGTCCCTCAGCTACATGGGCCAGGGCCATGGGAGGCTCCAGAAACAAGGCCACTGCCCACAGCACCGGCATTTGCAGTAGGTGTGTGGAAGCAGCTGCAGGCCAGAGGCAGGAGCCAGGGAAATGTGGCGCCCAGGCCGTCTTGTCCCCTCTGGGCCTCCATGTCCCCACCTGCACCGTGGCTCGATGGAGCAGGACATCTCCCTGGGGGTGGCAGCCACGTTGCCCTCCCGCCAGGAGCCTCCCGTGAGCCCCAGGGCACAGGCCCGCTTCCCCTCCAGGGCTGTACATTTGCCTTTTAGGAGCCAGAGTTGAGCAGCTCCTGGCTGGGTGTTGGGAACCGTGCCCCAGGCCCATGGACAGCACAGCCAGCCTCTTGGAAGTCTCAGAAAATGTATCACCCGTCACAGGGATGGTTTCCTGTCTCTGCAGATACTTCACTCTCCCCTCCCCCGACTCCTCCTCCTGGGCCATTTCCCAGAAGCGCTCATCCCCATGCCCACACGAACACAAACCTCCACGCAGCACTGACCAAGAGCCAGGCCCTACCCCAGGACCTCACAGATGTCACCTTCGCGGTCCTTTCAGCAACCGAATGAGGTAGGCCTATCATTATCCCCTCTTCACAGATGGGGAAACCGAGGCACGGAGCTGTGAAGTGACTTGCCCAAGGCCCCACCGGCAGCCAGTGGCAGAGCCAGGTGCCCCCCAAGATGTTCACGCCCTAATCCTCAGGATCTGCAGACATGTCACCTTTCATGGCAAAAGGTCTTTGCAAATGTGATGAAACATCTGAAGATGGCAAGATTCTCTTAGGTGATCTCAGTGGGTCCCAGGTAAGCACAAGGGTCTTTATGAGAGGAAGAAGGTATTTGTTGATGTCTCTTTCATTCCTGCTGATCACTTGATGAATACGGAGTTGGCCAGATTTCTCCACTGAAAAGTTACTGTGTTTCCTTTTGTCATTAACAAGCATCTTGTTGGGCGATACTTTGAGACTTTGTAAATATCCTATTACTCAAATTTTCACCCGCTAATTTTAGCATCCTTAGATGACTCCACCTGGATGGGTTATTATTATAATGGTTATTAAATGGTGATTCCATCATTCCTGTAGTTACTGTTTTAATCACCTCAGATGAGATCCAGATTCCCAAGAAACTTCCAGTCTAGTGAGGGAGATGACTTAGTCAACAAATATAATAAAGTGAAATCAGCAAGAGGCACTGGGGCTGAGGGAGTAAGGAAGAGGAACACAACACGGGGAGGAGTGATCAGGGAGGCCTTCCTGGAGGAGGTGGTGCCTGAAGTAAATCCTTAAAGGAAAAACAGAAGTGAAGGGAGGAGTTGCCCTACAGAAGGAAAAGCAAGTGCAAAGCAATGGGATGGAAGTGGAGAGCTGGAGAGAGAGGAAGAGACATGACCATGGTGGACTCCAGGTGTTGGGCCCAGGGTCTCTGCCCAGGCCTGCGGAGCCATCAGCAGTGCAGGGCTTGGCCCGGGGGTGGGCTGTGCAGGTGGGCAAATGAGAAATGAAAGGGCAGGGTGGGCAGAGCAGGGGCAAAGCCAGGGCGACAACTCGTTGACATGCGCCCTGTTGACCTTCGTAACCTCTGACCCTCACAGTGACCTTCCGAAGGTAGCCTTCTTCTTCCTATGGAAAACAGGCGCAGAGAGGTGAGGTGATCCGTGCAGGTCCCCCAGCAGAGCCAGGATTCCAGCTCAGACTCTCAGAACAAGCGGTGAACAGGAGGCTGGGCACGGTGGCTCACTCCTGTAATGCTGGCACTTTGGAAGGCTGAGGCGGGCGGATTACTTGAGGTCAGGAGATCCAGACCAGCCTGGCCAACATGGTGAAACCCCGTCTCTACTAAAAATACAAAAATTAGCTGGGTGTGGTGGTGCATGCTCCCAGCTACTCAGGAGGCTGAGGCAGGAAAATCATTTGAACCCAGGAAGCGGAGGTTGCAGTGAGCCAAGATTGTACCACTGCACTCCAGCCTGGGTGACAGAGCGAGACTCTGCCTCAAAAAAAAAAAAAAAACAAAAAAAAAAAACAGGCGGGGAAGGGTAAAGGGTACCTCTCTCAGCTGCCTGCATCTTTCTTACGGGCCTGAGCCTGGCCCTGAGTACTCACAGAGGATTCCATGGGGTCCTGTCCCCAAGAAACCCCCCGAGAAAGTTCCAATCAGGACTCAGGTCCCACTGGGAGGTCCCCCCCTAGCTGACTTCTTGGGCTCCCTCCCAAAGTGGGCAGAAGGGACTGGGTGAGGGACCTGAGCCTGGTTTTCACTTCCCTAAGCCCGAGGGTCCTCTTCCTGGCACAAGGCCTCGAGGACGCTTGGGAAGCCAGCCTTCAGGTCCCGCTGTTTTGTTATTTTGCCAAAGTATGTCCCGTCTGTAAGTTTGCCCCCTCGGGTCACTTTCTTCACCTTATCAGCAGGGCCCATCATTCCTGCTGCTTTCCAACAAGATGCCAGAGCATATTTTTAGACCAATGAAGTTGGTGGGACAGTGGGTGGGACCCAGAGAGTGACGGACAGTGAGTCGGCCTGGAGGGTGGGAAGGCAAAGCGAGTTCCCCTCCTGGGACGGGGCTGGGAGGGGACATGGGATGGTCTGTCAGCTACGAGTTTGTGGAAGGCAGAGTCGGTGACTTTCAGCTGACCTGCCTCGGTCTGGAAGATTCCAGTAGAGAAAGGGAGGGCCAGGGGCCTGGAGGCTGGTTCCAGGCCTGGGTGCTGGGCCTGAGAGCATTTCCAAAGCACTGAGCCTGGGACTGAAGGTAATTCACCACGAGGGCACAGCTGGGGAGGACCGTGTGTGTGCTTCCCCCACCTCCCAGTCCCTCAACTCACCCCCAGTCCCCCCACCCGCCTTAACTCAGGAAAAAGGCCTCCCTCGTGAGCACTGGCAGCTGCCTTTGGAGGCATGTCACGGTCACACCGCAGGACAAAACACAGAATCTCGGGCTGGCAGGGGACATTTGAGATCGGCCAGCCCAGCCTCTCATTTTACAGCTGGGAATGGGCGCAGGACGGCCATGGCTGCCCAAGGTCACAGAGCCTGGGAGGGAGCCGCAGACACAGTGGAAAAAGCAGGGTCACGTGAGCCAGGTCTGGGCACTGGGTCCGGGCCTGCCACTCCCCTGCATGCGGCTCAGGGCGATGGCTCAGCCTCTCGGTCTCAGGTCCACAGCTGGAAGCAGGCAGAGGAACAGCTGTTTGCGGGGCTGCCTGGGGAGCAGCGGGGCTGGGTGCCCTGTGCACACAGCGGACATTTCATCAGCCACTCTGCAGGCAGCCAAGCCAGGAGGGCCCTCTGGGCACCTGGGCCTCTCCTCAGGAAGAGGAGCAGGGACTCACTATCCTTTGGGTCAACGACGGCCTTAAGCAACGGGCTCGAAAATCCCTGATTAGTGACCACCTTCTGTTGCTAGGCAAGATGGGGACAAAGATGGGTCCAGTTCTCCAGCTGTTAAACATCTGTCTCATCAAGAAGATGGGACAGCACATGGAAAATAAATTTCTATGGTTATAATAACTGTCCCAGATTCTCTGTGCAGTAATGGCAGACCCCCTTTCCCTCTGAAAACAAGCAAGAATTTTGGATAAAACAATAACAAAATTAAGTTAAATGCATCAAAGGGCTGCTAAGCTAGTGGGAAACCTCCAGGCCAAGTTTCAGGGGGAAACCAAGAACCTAGAGAAGAACGCTGGGGTCACTGGTGCCTGCGAGCATTTGCCAACCTGGCAAGTTGGGCTTTGACCTTGGAGGGAGTAGAGGGGTAGACAGAGGTCAAGGTATGAGGAGCCTGATAGGGGCATATCAAGCTGGAAGCGTGAAAGGCCTCACCTTGGGTGAAGACTGAAGCAGAGATAACCCTGGCCCCTGCCCCAAAACAAGGAATTCGTTAGCATTAAAAGGAGTGGGAGGAAAAAAGGAAAGGAAACTCACGGATTCAAGCACAAAGAGCCTCGGAGCTCCTGCGGACTTGGACCCCTTGCCCATCACACCCGGGAGGCCCGGAGATGGTGGGGCTTCTGTGCACTTGGTTCCAGGTGGTCTGGGCTGTCCATGTGAAAGTAAACACTATCCTTGTGAGAAGGAACCTCTGTCCTTGGCCTCACGGAAACCCCACAGACACCCTTCAAAGGGCCCCAAGACGCACACAAAGATATCCAAGTCTGAAAGGGAAGAAGGCACCATGAGTAAGAACCAGCAGACAAGCTAGCGGACACCCGCGCGGTCTCCCCATATTATTAGAAAATTACCAAACAAGACACTAGAGGACATTTCAAACCATAATAGAAGAGATGGCCCATGTTCGGTGGCCAAGCATAGCACAGAGCTCCTCACTCCTCCAGGAATTCCACTGAAGGGTGGCAAGTTCTGGAGTTCAAGCCACTGGGGAGGCAACAGGAGTGCAAGTGGCCACAGTTCAGGCGCTGAGGGGCAGAGGCAGGGAGGGGGCGCTCCCAAGAAGTCCACTGGGAGACGCAGGCAGGGGGCTTCCCAGGCAGCCTCACCAGCTTCCCTTCACACTGATCCCCTGTAAAGGTGTGTCCAGCCTCGATGTAGGAGGAACAGGGAGAAACTGATTTGCTATTCATAAAATGCGTCTGCAGAAACAGATTAACTCCTGATCCACTTTCACGGCTGAAGCAGAGCCTGCCTTGTAAAACACATGGGCATTTTCCTATAGTTGTTTTTCTGTTTTCAGTTTTGTTTGCCATTTCCTGAATCTAACACCTTCTGAGGCGGATGCTAAGAGTTTAGAATTTACATAATTACCCGAGTCACTTGTTAACTCCCTGTAAGCAGCACCCTCACTGGATTTGATCACTTTTGCTTTGCCATGCCTGCATAAGCTTGCCACCGAAATACTTTAAAAAATGGACTTGAGGCCACACACTGGGCTCATGCCAGTAATCCCAGTACTTTGGATGTCAAGGTGAGAGGATCACTGGAGGCTAGAAGTTCAAGACCACCCTGGGCAACATACCAAGATCCCTTCTGCAAATAATAATACAAATAGTAATAATAATAATAAATATATATATATATATATATATATATTTTTTTTGAGATGGAGTCTCGCTCTGTTGCCCAGGCTGGAGTGCAGTGGTGCCATCTCGGCTCACTGCAAGCTCCGCCTCCCGGGTTCACGCCATTCTCCTGCCTCAGCCTCCCCAGCAGCTGGGACTACAGGTGCACACCACCACGCCTGGCTAATTTTTGTATTTTTAGTACAGATGGGGTTTCACTGTGTTTTAGTCGATCTCCTGACCTTGTGATCTGCCCGCCTCAGCCTCCCAAAGTGCTGGGATTACAGGCGTGAACCACCGCGCCCGGCCAATAATAATACTTTTAATTAGCCAGTCATGGTGGTGTACACCTGTAGTCCCAGCTACTCAGGAGGCAGAGGCAGGAGGGTTATGTGAACCCAGCAGTTTGAGGCTGCAGTGAACCATGATTGTGCCACTGTACTCCAGCCTGGGTGACAGAGCAAGATCCAACCTCCCCTCCGCACCAGGAAAAAAAAAAAAGGAAAGAAAGAAGACAGACTTGTGCCTCACAAGTGGTACTTTTGAGTTCCCACTCAAACTACTGTCTTTCGAGTAGGGCAAGACCACTTTCCATTGTGGTATCTTTGCAGCAGTGCCATTGTCCCTTATGGAACAGTGTCTCAGGACCCCGCTCCTGCTCCTTCTGCCGGCTCTGAGCAGGTGAGGACAGGGGACTGGGAAGGTCCCCTGCATCTGAGCCCGCCGGTGCTCAAGCATCTTTCTTGGCTGCCCAAGAACATTGTCTGCAGGACAATCCCAGCTCCTCAGCCTGCGTCTCTGGCCCTCCAGGTGCCCACTGCTTATGCTTCTCAGTCACATCCCTGGCCTGCCTGGGCTCAGGGCTGACTCTTACTCCAAGGGTGGGCAGCATGAAGCTGGAGCCATTTTGCAGCAGGAAGGATTCTGCCTACTAGGAGCCGAGGCCACACATGGGGGAAGGCAGGGTTCCTCTGCCGGAGCCCCTCCTGGTGTGATGAGGGAGGCAGGCACACAGAGAGGGAGTTAGAAGAATGGGGTTAGTGGGAAACTGAGGTCTGCCCCAGGCATGAGGAGGCAGTGAGGGCAGACTCCTAGCCCAGCAGGGAGAGGAGGTACTGAGAGCACCCAACCCTGAGTGAACAGCAGCTAGACCAGGCCGGGCAGATGGCCAGTCCCTCCTGCAGCGCACTCCAAAGTCTCAGGGAGCCAGGGAACAGGCAGAGCTGAGAAAACGTCCTGGAAACTCCACAGGAGCCCAGAGCCCACCATGTTCTCTGAGAGAAAGTCAGCACTGGGCACGCTGGACAGGGAAGCAGGGTCATGCTTGGAAAGGCCAACTCAGTCCTTGCCACCCACTGAGCACCCACTAGCTAGTTATTTGGTTTTGTTTTAAAAACTCAACTCATCACGAATACTCACCAAGATGCTTTGATCTAATTTCATGCCTCCACCTGGAGAGGGGGAACGATGAATTGACAGTCTCCCAGCCTGTCTTCCCCACCAGCCATCCAAGAACCCTGCCTGCCAGGATGCTGGTCCTGTGTCTGCCTGCCCCACGCCACCGTCACCTTGCAGAGAAACACTGATTGCCTTCACACATCTGGCTCCAGCCAACTCCCTCCTCTGCACACCTTGAGGCTCCCAGGCAGAGAGGAGGCTCTTCCCCAGGCCGGGGGCCCCCCTGGGAGGGTGTCCAATGTCATGCCAGCCAAGGCCCGTGTGGGCGTAGCTCCTGCAGGTTCTCAAGGTTGTAGCCCGCACCCTGCTCCTTGGTTTTGTGAAAGATCAAAATCAGGGCCTCACATAGAACTTTATATTCCAACGCTGCAAGTCTCAACACAAACCAATGTGTTGACTTGAAAATAAATATCACTAATAAAATGGAGAAGAGAGCTGGCATGGAAAGATTGGGAAAATGTCAAGAATTCTTGGTGCTGTATGTTTATCAGTAAATAAAGCACATCTGAGGGGTGAGGGGTCGGCCCTTGGACCTTGGGCTCTTACAGATGGGTGCCATTTTCAACAGCTTTGGAGACAAACATGGTGTTTGCCAATATCTTGGTTTTGCCAAGTCAAAGCTAACCAATATCAGCACTTCATCTAAGCAATTCCCACTAAGGAAAGGTATTTTCAACAACAACAAAAGAATATAAAGGATATAGTCTTGGGAAGGAAAAGGATATTTGTCTTGTTTTTCTTTGAGAAAAGAAATGAGCCTCTCAATGTTGCCCAGGCTGGAGTGCAGTGGTGCAATCACAGCTCGTTGTAGCCTTGACCTCCCAGGCCCAAGTGATCTTCACACCTCAGCCTCCTGAGTAGCTGGGACCACAGGCACGTGCTACCATGCTTGGCTAATTTTTTTTTTTTTTACTTTTTGTAGAGACGGGGTCTCATTATGTTGCCCAGGCTGGTCTCAAACTCCTGGCCTCAAGCAATCCTCCCGCCTCTGCCTCCCAAAGTGCTGGGATTACAGGTGTGAGCCACTATGCCTGGCCTGAAAAAAAAGGCTATTGCTTTTTTTTTTTCTTTTTGAGATGGACTCTCACTCTCGTTGCCCAGGCTGGAGTGCAATGGCGCAATCTTGGCTCACTGCAACCTCTGCCTCCAGGGTTCAAGCAATTCTGCCTCAGCCTCTCAAGTAGCTGGGATTACAGGCATGCACCACCACGCCCAGTTAATTTTTTGTATTTAGTAGAGACGGGTTTCACCATATTGGTCAGGCTGGTCTTGAACTCCTGTCTCAGGTGATCCACTTGCCTCAGCCTCCCTAGGTGCTAGGATTACAGGCCCACCATGCCCAGCCCAAGGCTCTTTCTTTTCTTTTCTTTTCTTTTTTTTTGAGACAGAGTCTCACTCTGTCGCCCAGGCTAATCTCCAGTCACTGCAACCTCCGCCTCCTGGGTTCAAGCGATTCTCCTGCCTCAGCCCCCAGAGTAGGTGGGACTACAGGCACGTGCCACCATGCGCAGCTAATTTTTGTATTTTTAGTAGAGATGGGGTTTCACCATGTTGGCCAGGCTAGTCTCGAACTCCTGGCCTCAGATGGTCCACCTGCCTCGGCCTCCCAAAGTGCTGGGATTACAGGCATGAGCCACCACGCCTGGCCCCGAGGTATTTCTTTAAATCAGCTAGTTGAAGTTCTATAGGAAACTCTTCACAATGTCAGTTTTTTGTTTTTTTGTTTTGTTTTGTTTTGTTTTTTTCACTTTGCTGCAGACCCAGAAAACTTTGTCAAACATGACCTGTCCCTTCCAGGAGATGAGGGACCATGGCCCAATCCCACGTTTTAGTGAAACCCAAGCAGAGCAATGCAATAGGGCAGCCCCCCTTCCACTCAGCTGCACAGGCTCCGGTTCAGATTGCCTTTCCTGGCTGGCAGGATGCTTTGGTGAAAGGCAGATAATAGGGTGGGACAGGGGATCACGGGCGGGAGACACGTAGGCACTGGGGCTGGTGTCTGCGAGGCATGAGGCCTGCCTGTCGGCTGTCCTGAGTGGAGAGACAGGACCGGGCAGTGGGCCGCCATAAAGATGGTGCTGGATGCGACAAGAGCCGCATGGAACACAGGAGGTGGTGGCCACACAAGGCAGAGGGCAGCTTTGGCAGGGGGACGGTTGCCAAGCAGGCTTCCTGTAGGAGGCAACTCTTGACAGAGCCCTCAAGCTGGTGGTTACCATGTCCCAAATATGACCCACTCATCAGGCCCCACCCTGCACCACCCCCGTGCTCCCTCCTCAAACTCACACCAGGACCCATCCAGGAAGGCGTCCCTGCCCCATTTTAGAGATGAGGGGGCTCGGATAGCATCACCGGCTGGAGGTTGTAGTTTGAGGAAAAGGTACAGGAGGATTTGAATCCAATTCTGTTGAACTCCAAACCCCAGGCACCCACTCATTCCATGAGGGAAAGTTGGGGGACAGTGCCCACGTGGCACGGTGCTGTGCACGTAAGCTTGCCTGTCTTGTGTGTTTCCAGGCTGTCATGCCAGACCTCATCTCTGCACTTGCAGTCTTCCCTGGCCGCAGCAGTGCCACTCACTGCCAACCACTGGGTCAGATCATTGCAGAATCCAACTCCACACAGAGCAGATTGTCCTTTATGGACCAAATATGTCTATCTGGTTGGGCGCAGCGGCTCACGCCTGTAATCCCAGCACTTTAGGAGGTCAAGGCGAGCGGATCACCTGAGGTCAGGAGTTCGAAACCAGCCTGGTCAACATGGTGAAACCCTGTCTGTATGAAAAATACAAAAAATTAGCCGAGTATGGTGGTAGGTGCCTGTAATCCCAGCTACTCAGGAGGATGAGTCAGGAGAATCACTTGAACCTGGGAGATGGAGGTTGCAATGAGCCGAGATCTCACCACTGCACTCCAGCAAGGACATAAGTGCAGAGCAAGACTCCATCTCAAAAAGAGAAGAGAAGAGAAGAGAAGAGAAGAGAAGAGAAGAGAAGAGAAGAGAAGAGAAGAGAAGAGAAGAGAAGAGAAGGGAAGGGAAGAGAAGAGAAGAAAAAAGAAAAGAAAAGTAAAGAAAGAAAATCCGTCTATCTACACATCACACTTTGCAGTGAGACTCCCACGGCACCTAGCATGACACAGGGAGGGGTCCTGCAGCTTCCAGTCCATGTCCTGGACTGGATAAACAACATCCATGATCTAGCCCTGGAGCTGGATCCTGTGTGACGAGGTGGACACCTGTCCCTTTGGAGGGGCAAAGAAGGGAGGCAGTGCAGCTGCAGGTGGGCTGCCCTGTTCTTCTCAAGATCTACAGAGACAGACATCTGAGCCATGTCGAATGGGCCCTGCTGCAAAGCTGGGGACTGGTTAATTTTCAAAGGGTACAGTGTCATGACAGCAGCAGTTTCTGGACCTGCGGAAGCTTCCAGATCCTGCAAAGCTAGAATGGGTGCACAGCTTAAGCCCCTCCCCACCACCTCAGCTGTGACCACTGGTTAACATGTAGCATGCAGCACTTGGTGCTAATCAGATGGAGTCATGCCTCTGCTGACAACCCTCCATGGCAGGTGTCCCACAGCCCTTAGGACCAAAGTTAAACTCCTCACTGGGCTGCAAGACCTGCCTGGCCAGGGCCTTGCCCAGCTCTGCCCGCTTTGTGCCATCTCCACACTCTCTCCCCTTGAATGTCTCCTGCCACAGGCTTCTGCACATGCTGCTGCCACCCCCCTGGAGCTGTGGGGCCAGGAGCAGCCACCAGGGAAATCTGATCCTTGACCCTGGGCTCCTGAGTCTGCCAGAGGCTGCCGTATCAGCCAACAGACAGCTTCTGCAACAGACAACCGAACCCCGGGGGTACCCAGGGCCAGGTGCTGATGGACTGGGACTCGGGAGAGTTCTCACTCCCTGCCGGGGACCTTGGCCACATGCTGCCATTCCTGGCCCTTCGTTCCTCATCTGTAAGATGAGCATAAGCACAGCTGCCTTGTGGGACTCTTGTAGATTCTGTCCCCTAGTATGACAATACTTTGTTACCTTGGACCCATGGGGTTTTGCTGTCAGTACCAGGATGGCAACTAAGGACATGCCCATGGTTGGCCCTCACCGACGAGGTCCAGCCTTGGGTCGCCAAGCAGCCGCCTGCTCGCTGCCAGTGAGCCCTCCCTTTCTCAGCCCACGGCCCCTGCCCCGGTGGACTTCCACCACCTGACCTGCAGGCACGCTTCCAGGAGCTCAGAGGCCACTGCCCTGGCGGATGACACCCTGGAAGCACACACTCCCCCTTGACAGAGAGCTTTGCACATCAGCAGAGGGCAAGCCAGCAGCAAACTTCGCAGGCCCTGGCTGGCAAACAGACTCCAGCCTGGACCCCAGGCCCATAGGAGAAGCTTCACCCTGGCAGGGTCAGGGAAAGCACTGGGGTCCCTGAACACAGATGACCGTCATCACCTGCTCCCAGCACTCAGGGTCTAACTGCTGCCCTGTACTGAGCGGCCAAGCCCTATCACTCCAGGTTGCCTCCTCCAGCAACCCCTTCCCGTCTGAATTCCCAGCTTCCCAATTCTTTCCCTGAGGCTGTGGGAGAGCCTCGGCTTCTCTGGCTGGCTGGCAGGTCAGCACTTGCAGGAGAGAGCAGCTCAGCAGGGCAGACGTGGGCTTTACAGACCTGCCTTCCGTCCTGCGCCCTGCCGCTGGCCTGGGGGACCCAGTGCAGATGGGGCTTCTCTGTGCCTCAGTCTCCATCTTGCAATGTGGGCACAGTAATAATTACCCTCAGAACATCTTCCGGATCAGAAAATGTAAAAAGGGACCTGAGACAGCATTGTCACCACATAAATGGTAGCTATGAACTAAGATCCATATGCACCAGATGCTCCCAGTAGTCACTAAGGCGCCAGAGAGGAAACTCAGGTGGTGCTCAGAGACATTTTCAGGAGCACTGATTTGTCCTCAAAGTTACAGATTTCTACTCAGTCCCTGCGCCAGCGGTGTTTCTGTTCTGTCGTGTGGCCCTCATTTCATCAGCACTGAAGAAGGTAAAGAGAGACTTCCTGGAGCTGGGAATGGGGGTGAGGGTGTGCCCTTTGTGACAGTTGCTCCCATGCTGGGTGTGTGACAAGGTCTTCGTGGCCAACAGAAAATTGCTTCATCTCTCTCATCTGAGCGTGGTTTCCCAGAAGAAACCTACCACCCCCGGGAAGCATGGATATGGGGCTGTTTCTGGCCAGGATACTCCCAAGAGAAGAGTCCTGAACTTGCTTCTACCCTCAGGACGCCTGCGGGAGACTGGCTGACAGCATTTGATTGAAAATGCTTATTTCTGGGACACATGGATGAAAAACAAGTTTTCTCTCCCTAAAACCTTGGGAGCCCCAAAAAACCCAAGAATATCACTTTCCTATGTCTGCTGAGTGTACGTGACCACTCTGCACACCCCCACATAGCCTTTGTCCTTGTTCATGAGAATGTTCACTAGGTCTTTCAACACCTGGTTGACCTGGGTGGTGCATCTGGGTCACACACCTGTGTGGACCCTGGTCCTTGAGAGTCTGGGATATGGGTATGCCAGGTAATGTCTTTGAGCCCGGAGGTCCTCATGAGGATGTAGCCCCTGAGCTCTGCGTGGGCAGCCCAGGGTCAGCTTCCCTCACCAAACACAACAGGATGACAAGCTTGGATGTGGCTGCCTGCACACCCCACGAGATATGCAGGATATTACGTGTACAGGTCACCCTATAAACTCTGAAACAACATAAATGATAGCTATTGCTGGCTAACATGTGCAAGAGAAGGTGAGGTTGCCGTGTGCCAGTGGGAAGGATATGTGGGTGTCTGGAGGGTGGGGCAAAGTTCACCATAGGTGCCTGGCTAATCAACAAGGGTGAGTTTAAGAGAAGTTTGTGAAAGGGCCAGTTCCCGCCTGATCTCCAGTTCCCCTGCCTAATGAGATCTGGGTTTGCTTTCCGGAGTGGGTCCTCCTGGGCGCCCGCTGCCACAAATAGCACAGTGGCAGGCACAGCTGGCAGCGGAGGGCAGGCAGTGGAGCGGGCATAGCACACATTGCGTTCCCGAGGAGGGGAGCCCTGATGTGCCGGCACCCAGGGGCTTTGTGCATTCCGCTCCGGCAGCTCGAGCGTCACGGCCCGAACAAAGCGGCTTTGCAGGGCGCTCTCCTACTCCTCGCCATTGGCCACCGGGCCGCGACCTCTCCTTGCTCTGGCAGAGTCCCAGCGCCTTGCGTAGGCACAAAGTCAGCCCCTCACCCCCCAGCGCATGAAGTAGGGGCGGGCATGGCTCTTGGGCCGCTGGAGAGGGGTGGGGTTGTGGGGTCGGAGCTGGCGGCGCCTCCCCGAGCCCGTCCGCGTTGCCCTTCACCCTCCTCGTTCCCCCGCCCACCACACCGCCCTGGCACCTCCCGCCACCTGTTTCCTTGTCCTCCCAGCTCGCCTTCCCCTTCTCCTTATTTTGCATCCTGGGGTTCCAGGGACAAGGTCCCTCCCGGGCCGCCTCCCACCCTACGCACTTCTGAGCCTCAAGGGCACCCGGTCCCGGGTCCCGGGTCTAGACCGGCTCATCGCACAGAGTAGCAGAGCCGGGCTCATCGAGGAGGCAGGAGGGGCTCGCCAGCGTGGCACGGGCGCCCGGCGGGAACCTCCACCCGCCCCGCGGCCGCGCGTCCCCGCCTCGAATTCAGCCCCGCCCCGGTGCGCCGGGCTGGAGGGGCGCTGACGCTCAGCGGTGTCCCATCGGTGACCTTGGACGGTCCCTCCACCTCTCCGGCCTCAGTTTCCCTTGGCTGCAGCGGCCGCGGGGCGCTAGGTGGGAGCCGCTGAGCGCTCCCGGGGCCCCGCCCACCGCGAGCAGCCAATCGGGCGCCGCCCTCCGGGGGGTGTGTCCCGGGGCCGAGGCCCGGGGCCCGGAGGGCGCGCGGGGCGGGCGGGGCTTCCGGGTCGGGCCTCGGGACACTGGCTCGCGCGGACCGGGGCAGGGGGCGGGCCGAGGGGCGGTGCGTGTCGCGGGGGCGCGGCTGGCACGGACGCGCGGAGGCGGCGCCGGGCATGGGCCGTGGACGCGGCGGCCCCGCGGCGGGGGCAGCGGGCGGCGGGGGCGGAGGCGGCCGCTAGCGCCCTGCCCGGCGCCGCCTCCTTCGGCGTTCGCCCCACGGACCGGCAGGCGGCGGACCGCGGCCCAGGTGCCCGGGGGCGGGCGGGCGGGCGGGCGGGAACGCGCGCGGGGGTCCGCGGTCCGGGCTTCCCAGGTCCCGGGACCCGGAGGGCGGCGGACGGGGGAGGGGCAGGGGCTGGGCGGCGCATGCGCGGGGCCCGGGGTCTCGGGGTCTCCGGGTCCCGGGGACCCGGGGGCCCGGGGTGCGCGGCTGGGGACCTGAGGGCGAGGAGCGAGGACACACACCGAGGACTCTTGCGAGGGATCTCGGGGCCCAGCTCGGCCTCCCTCCTAGCGCTGGGGGCCTGCCCGGAACCCGAGTCCGCGGCTGTCCCTGGGGTTTGGCGCTGCGCGGAGGTCGGGTCTGGGGACCGCAGCGACTCTGGGTCTTCGGGTTGTCCCCTCGGAGGGAGGGCCCACGGGCGGGGACATCGGGACTTGCCCTTTCCTCGGCGCAGCGGAGCTGGGGCGTCGCCGACTCAGAAGGTGCTTTCCGAGACCTCCAGGGATCTCCGAGGCGAGGAAACCCGGGCCCCGGACAGACCGACCCTGGGTGGGTGCGCCCGGCTTCTGCCGTCGGACGGAGACGCGCGTGTTTGTTCCTCCAGCTGCGACCACCTTTGAGGAACGGTTCCCACTTTGTGCCCCAACGCGGCGGGGCGACCCCGGACAGGCTGCGCTGGGCCGGGTGGCTTCTCTGCGGAAGCCGCGCCACGTCGCTCCCGGTCGGGGCCGCTGAGGGTCGGGCGCCCAGGTCTTTCCGGAGTCCCGGGCTGCGCGGCCCGCGTGGTGCGGGTGAAGCTGGAGGGGCGCGGGGTGGTGCCAGTGGAAGTCAGGAGGGTCGGCCCTGCCCCCTCACGCACCCCAACCGGGCACAACTGCACGCCTGTGCTTTTCTGAAGTCTTTTTTAAAAGTTAAAAGAGAGGAAGTGTGCTCCAAGTGTCAGGATTCTTTCCAAGAAAAACCCACAGTTGTCCAATGGCCTGGGCTTCGTGGGACCTCCGGGGCTGCACGCCCACGTCAGCCTCAGCCGACCCCTGCCAGGAAACCAGGGAGGCCCCTCCTCTCCCAGCCTCCTTGGGATAAGGGTGCCTTGGGGAACTGGGTCAGGGCAAGGACACGGGATTTTCCTGGGAAGGACCCTGCGACACCCGTGTCGTTGCGGGGCAGGGTCAGCATGACTTTCCTCTTCCAAGGTGAAGAGTTGGGGGGCATCCAGAGAACAACCGTAATCACTTCCTCCTTCACCTTCTTACTGCCAGGCTGAAGCTCAGGGCCCTGTCTGCTCTGTGGACTCAACAGTTTGTGGCAAGACAAGCTCAGAACTGAGAAGCTGTCACCACAGGTAAATAGAAGGTTTAATTTACTGTTTCCAGATGGAAATATTTAAGTGTTTTCAGTGTTTACTTCTGTTGCACTACAGACCAGCAATCTGGGGGTTATTACTTTGTGATGCAAGGTTAGATACGTTTTCAGACTGAAAGTAAAATACATGTGCATGGATTCATTTTTTTTTTTTTTTTTTTTTTTTGAGACGGAGTCTCGCTCTGCCGCCCAGGCTGGAGTGCAGTGGCCTAATCTCAGATCACAGCAACCTCTGCCACTGGGGTTCAAGCGATTCTCTTGCCTCAGCCTCCCGAGTAGCTGGGATTACAGGCGCCTGCCACCATGCCCAGCTAATTTTTGTAGTTTTAGTAGAGGCGGGGTTTCACCATCTTGGCCAGGCTGATCTTGAACTCCTGACCTCATGATCCACCTGTTCCTCCCAAAGTGCTGGGATTACAGACGTGAGCCACCGTGCCTGGCCTAGGATTCACTTTGAAGTTCTGAGTTATTGTGTGACTTTTGCTAGGAACTTCATTGCTTCGTGGCAGGCATGTTTTGTATAATTTAAAACTTGATGACATTAACTTTGAGAAACGTGAGTGCTTACTAGACCCTTGGGATGTCCACACTGACTGGTACCGAGTAGTGTACTGTCTCTGAGCTGTTTTCATTTTGATTTGAATATTAAGCAGATGGCTTCTTGAGATAGACCCGTGCCAGAACATGCCAGGGATAGGCTGAAGAAACGGGCCAGATGATACAAATTTGTGTGGTCACCATCCATGAGAGACCAGGGACACTGGGGCTGATGATGACCTCTGCAACTCTGAAGCAAAAGTAAACTAATTGGCAAGTTGGGTGCGGTGGCTCACTCCTGTAATCCCAGCACTTTGGAAGCTGGGGTGGGCAGATCGCTTGAGGCCAGGAGTTCGAGACCAGCCTGGCCAACATGGTGAAACCTTGTCTCTACAAAAAAATAGAAATATTGCCTGGGCATGGTGGCGGACATCTGTAATCCCAGCTACTCAAGAAACTGAGGCAGGAGAATCGCTTGAGCCTGGGAGGTGAAGGTTTTAGTGAACTGAGATTGTGCCACTGCACTGCAGCCTGGGCGCCAGGGCGAGACTCCGTCTCAAAAATAAATAAATAAAATAAAATTAATTAACTAATTGACATTAGAAAAAAATGTTTTTTCTTTCTTTTCCCACATCCTTTTTTTTTTTTTTTTTTTTTTTGTGACAGAGTTTTGCTCTTGTCACCCAGGCTGGAGTGCAGTGGCATGATCTTGGCTCACCGCAACGTCCACCTCACGGATTCGAACAATACTCCTGCCTCAGCCTCCCGAGTAGCTGGGATTACAGGCACTCACCACCACACCCGGCTAATTTTTGTATTTTTAGTAGAGGTGGGTTTCACCATGTTGGCTGGGCTGGTCTCAAACTCCTGACCTCAGGTGAACCGCCTGCCTTGGCCTCCCAAAGGGCTGAGGTTACAGGTGCGAGCCACCGCGCCGGGCCCTTTTCCGACATCTTAAACGTAAAGTAGGAGACGTGTCATAATCATCGAATACTGCAGTGGTTTTCATTAGCTCCTGTTTGTCAAACTTATGAACAGAGTTTTAAAAATTGTGTATCAGCCGGGTGCGGTGGCTCACACCTGTAATCTTTGGGAGGCTGAGGTGGGCAGATGACAAGATCAGGAGTTTGAGACCAGCCTGGCCAATATGGTGAAACCCTGTCTCTACTAAAAATACAAAAATTAGCTGGGCATGGTGGCGGGTGCCTATGGTCCCAGCTACTCAGGAGGCTGAAGCAGGAGAATCTCTTGAACCCGGGAGGTGGAGGTTGCAGTGAGCTGAGATGGCACCACAGCACCCCAGCCTGGGTGACAGAGCAAGACTCCGTTTCCAAAAAAAAAAAATTGTATATGAGAGAGACAGAACTAGACAGAGAAGAAGGAGAAAATGTGTCTTCTTTATACACTATTTTGTAACTTGCTTTATCGAGTAGGTTATGAAAAATCTTCCTATGTGAAAAACATTTCTGCATCATTTGAAATGTCTATATAATATCCCATTGTGTTTAGATACAATAATATTTAGCCAATCTCTTTATGTGTATATATTTAATACAGTCATTCTATAAATATTGACTGAGTAGCTGCTGTGGGCTACTGTCCGCAGTGCTGAACAAGACAAGCATGAATCCATGAAACTGATTTTCATACCAGAATATAAAAAAGAAACTTAAAGATAATCCTCATCATGGTAAAAGATGAAGAACCTATTTTTGCCGGGACATCTTACTCTTTAGTAATTGGTGGCCAGTGTTCTTTTTCTTGCATGCTGTTTTGGAGAGTCTGTTTTTTAAATAAATATTTAAGTAGCCTGGGCGCAGTGGCTCACGCCTATGGTTTCAGCACTTTGTGAGGCCGAAGGGGATGGATTGCTTGAGCCCAGGGCTTCAAGACCAGCCTGGGCAACCTGGCGAAACCCTGCATCTACTAAAAATACAAAAATTAGCCAGGTATAGTGGCGTGTGCCTGTGGCCCCATCTACTTGGGAGGCTGAGGTGGGAGGATCCCTTGAGCCTGAGAAGTGGAGGTTGCAGTGACTGAGATGGCACCACTACACTCCAGCCTGGGTGACAGAGTGAGACCTGGTCTCAAAAAATAAATAAATATTTATGTAATCATCTTTAAGCAGTGTTTTTAATTTTATTTATTTATTTATTTATTTTTGAGACAGGGTCTCACTGTGTCACCTAGGCTAGAGCACAGCTGCATGATCACGGCCTATTGCAGCCTCGACCTCCCTGGGCTCAGGTGATCCTCCCACCTCAGCCTCCCAAGCAGCTAGGACCACAGGCACACGCCACCAGGCCTGACTCATTTTTGTATTTTTTGCAGAGACGGGGTCTTGCTATGTTGTTCAGACCTGTCTCAAACTCCTGGGCTCAAGCCATCCTCCTGCCTCGGCCTCCCATAGTGCTGGGACTAAGCCATGAACCACTGCACCCGGCATAAGTGGTCTTTCTTTAAAAAAAAAAAAAAAAAAAAAAAAAAAAAAAAAAAAAAACCACATTAATTAAAATATGTATTTGCTTATTATAAATATATTTGAAACATGCCAATTTTTCTTCTCTTTTTTTGCTCTATTGGTTTCTGTGTGTGGATGGATATATTTTTAATGGCAAATAGGATGAGTGTCTTTACTTCCAAGTAGTCAGTGTTTTTCTTTAATGTTTGTACTAATTTTGTCACATTGCAGTTAGAGGTTGTGGCCTGTCTAATTTCTGCTTTTTTGGAACTTGAGAGTCTCTGTTTTTATTTGTTTTTGGTAGCCTGGCATAGAGTCCATTTTTCTTTTCTTTTCTTTTTTTGAGACGGAGTTTAGCTCTTGTTGCCCAGACTGGCGTGCAGTGGCGCAATCTCAGCTCACTGCAACCTCCGCCTCCTGGGTTCAAGCGATTCTCCTGCCTCAGTCTCCCCAGTAGCTGGGATTACAGGTGCCCACCACCACACCTGGCTATTTTTTGTATTTTTAGTAGAGACGGGGTTTTGCCATGTTGGCCAGGCTGGTCTCGAACTCCTGATCTCAGGTGATCCACCCGCCTCGGCCTCCCAAAGTGCTGGGATTACAGGTGTGAGCCACTGCGCCCAGCTGTAGATACTTTTTAAAAAGGTATAGTTTCTGATTATGGGGTAGAAATGTGCTATGTCTGTCATTTCAGCCTTATGAATTGCCCAGAATAAGCTAGATCACCTTTAAGGCCATGTGGTTAGGGAAACTTGGGCACAGAATTTACATTTTCAACTTGGTGATAAGATGGGTTTAAGGTAAGAATCAAATAGGAGAAAGCCTTAGCTGTTCCAGCGGCCCATGTTTAAAAGAATGTGCTTCTTTTTCCAAGTATTTCTGCCGCTTGCATGCACTGAGCTTCTTTGGAAAGGAGCACCATGCAGGCATATTTTCCAGACAGGACCGGATTTGCTCGTTACTCAGAGGTGTGTGCATTCTTTGCTTTTAGGATATTTAATTAGCATCTTTTAATAGTGATATTACGGTGTCTTAAAAGTTTATGCATTTGAAAAGAAAAGAACTTACTCCTTGCCAGGTCTCAACCTATCATGGTTATCTTTGCAGCTGAGCTGCGTTGGTTTTGAGGCTCACATATGGTAAAAGTGGTTGGAAATCTGGAAATATTGCTGTGTATCTGCAAAGCAGCTTGATATAGTGGAAAAGGTATTAGGTCATTAATCATGAGATTTGGATTCTAGCCCCTTAGCTGCTGCCTGCCAGGCCTGGAGACCTTTGTTCTCTTCTTTAAACTGCTGCTTTCTCATCAGAAAATGAAGTTCCTCTCCATACCACCTCTCTGAAGGGCTGTGAAGCTCGAAGTGGCAGCTTAAAAAACTGCCCATCTCAGGAGGTGTCTTAAGAAGGAGGACATACCGCTGGCTCCTGCCTTTCTCACTTAGCCAGGTCTGATACCTGTGTTGTTTTCACTGTGGCCATTTTAGGATTTTTCAAAGGCTTTCAGAAAGCAACATGCTACCGTACCCCTTATACACCAAAACTGGTTTTCATTTTGGAATATAAAAGTGAGATTTCTCCACCAGTACAATAAAGTTGTTACAAGTGGTTCCTATGTGTTTGTTTTTGTTTTTGAGACAGAGTCTCACTCTGTCACCCAGGCTGCAGTGCAGTGGCACAATCTTGGCTCACTGCAACCTCCGCCTCCCGGGTTCAAGCAATTCTCCCACCTCAGCCTCCTAAGTAGCTGGGACTACAGGCACCCGCCACCACGCCCAGCTAATTTTTGTATTTTTAGTAGAGATGGAGTTTCACCATGTTGGCCAGGCTGGTTTTGAACTTCTGACCTCAGGTGATCCACCTGCTTCAGCCTCCCAAAGTCTTAGGATTACAGGCGTGAGCCACCACACCCGGCCTCCTGTGTGTTTTGAAGGTGATTGTGACCTCAGGTTTTGGCAGGGCTATACCTTGTGTTTGCTCTTACTCCAACTCCATGGCATACCTGGACCAGGCCTCTTCATCTTGAAGAGGGATCTGCTGAAATGCAGGCCCAGTGAATCTCCCCATGCCTGGACACAGTTCCGTCAAGCCAGGACCCGGTGCTGCCTGCACCCCTGTTTCTGTTAGTCTGACTGTCCTCGCTGAGTCTAACTCCTTGAGGGCAGAGAGGATGTCTTATTTATTTCTGCCCCGCTAGCCGTGTAAACTGAGTAGGTACTTGTAAATGTTCATTGAATAAGTACCTGATTAATAGAATTTAATTCAAGAAGAATGTATTGATGGGCCTGTGTGGTCACCACAGTACTGAGATGTAGGTGGGAGCTGGCTGAAGGGGGAGGCACCTAAACAGGAGTGCAGACAGCGGCACCTACGGATGATGGCCCGCTCCATCCCACCGCAGCGAAATTGTCCCAGACCTCTGCAGCTTCCCCCACACCTAGACTGAGAGAGAGCTCTTCTTCCTTCTGTAGGGAGCAGGTGTTTCCTCCAGATGTCCAATATGTACCTCCCATTACAGCGGTGTTAGGAAGGTGAGGGCTGCCGCTGAAAGGGTCCCCTTCATAATCATCACTAGATTTGGGGTATATTATGGATTAAATAGAATTTTTATAAGATGACCTGAGGATCTATTTAAATAAAATCCTCTTTCTTTCTGCAAGATCATGGATTTAAATTCAACACAACTGACTTCATAGGGAAGGGGTATGGTGAAAGGGAAGTGAGGTGGGCAGCACTGATATTTAACAAGGTGAGGGTCCTTCTCCTGCTCTGACTGTCACATTAAAATATTCCCAGGAGAAATTGGAGAAAACTCAGATGAAATATCGTCTGTGTTCCAGGAGGCAGGACTCATCGGAATGCTTTTATTTTGCTCCATTTTAAGAGATTTGCAGATAAAGAGGAGTGAAGATTTCTATTCAGATTTACTTGCTTTATATTTTAACTTATAGACCACAAGCCAACTTTCGAAAGAGCATCATTTTGAATAGTAAGAGTTAGGAAGGCAAATACAGAAGGACTAATGGCTTCCAAGATTATGAGCTTCATAGGAATGGTTTGAGATGAGGCTATAGTAAAGCAGAATATTGAAGTTCCCCCACCCCCTTTCATTTTTCATTTTTCATTTTTAAGAGTGAGCGAGGCCAGGCGTGGAGGCTCACACCTGTAATCCCAGCACTTTGGGAGGCCGAGGTGGGCAGATCACAAGGTCAGGAGTTTGAGACCAGCCTGGCCATCATGGTGAAACCCTGTCTCTACTAAATGTACAAAAATTAGCCAGGCTTGGTATCAGGTGCCTGTAATCCCAGCTACTCAGGAGGCTGAGGCAGGAAAATTGCTTGAACCCAGGAGTCGGAGGTTGCAGTGAGCTGAGATCGCACCACTGCACATCTCAGAAAAAAAAAGAGTGAGGCCCCAAGTTTTTTTGCATTTGTTTGTAACTGAATACGTCTGAAGTTATGTGATAACCACGCCAAGGTGACAAATTGCCAAGTTTCAGTAAAAGAGACCCAGTTATTTAGAGGTTGACACGTGGATATGTCCCTTTCTAAGAAGTTCGTGGTCAGCTTTACATGAGTATTTAAATGCGTGTTTATAATTCAGCAATATGGCTTGTAAAATACAGATTGCCAATCAAGTGACATGCAAATCTTGATGATCTGAAACAAGTTTTCTTCTGTTATCTATGGAAGAAATGGTAATAGGGATATTTAAGTGGGATGAATTTTTTGAAGCATTTTCAGGCAGTTTTCCACATGGAACAAAATAACATTGAGTGGGCTGCTAACATGAGGAACATATTGCCCTCTGCCTAGGATTATGAGTAAATTTGATAAATTCTAGACTGCAGTCTCATTTTAGCTCATTTTATGAGGCAGCTTGACAACTGGGATAGTGTCTCTTTTTTTTGTCGGGGGTGTTGAGGCTGGAGTCTCGCTCTGCTGCCCAGGCTGGAGTGCACTGGCGTGATCTCGGCTCACTGCAACCTCTGCCTCCGGGGTTCCAGTGGTTCTCCTACCTCAGCCTCCTGAGAAGCTGGGATTGTAGGCATGTGCCACCACGCCCGGCTAATTTTTGTATTTTTTAGTGGAGACGGGCTTTCACCATGTTGGCCAGGCTGGGTCTCAAACTCCTGACCTGAAGTGATCTGCCCGCCTCAGCCACCCTAAGTACTGGGATTACAGGCATGAGCCACCACACCTGGCTTCTGTTCTATCTGTGCATTGGGGATGAAATTAACACAAATGATGTTTAAAGAAAAAAATGCTCAGAGAAGTTAGAAATGTGCTTTAAATTGGAATCATCTCTTAGTATGTAAAAGTTTTTTGTAATAGAAACAAGCAGGGCAGTATTTGACCTGTTGACAGTGTCCTTGGACTTTACAATTTGTGAAGCAGCGTATTTTGCTTGAGTTGTACGATTGTCGTTTTTTTCCCCCCACTTTGACAACTGTTACAGAACCTGTCACCAGATACAGGCAAGGGAGGTTGGGCTTCCCATCTCTGCACGGCTTCCCTGTGATTCACAAGCAAGCAATCAGAAGTGCACAAAAGTTTAGAACGCGATTTTCATTCTCTTCTTTCCTTAGAAAAACTCGCTTTGTTAGCCTTTTCCAGAAAGGAAGGCACTCAATTGTTGTAATACTCAAATCATAAAAAGAAGCCTAGTCTAGTCTATTCAGCAAGGTGTTCTGAAAGAGGGAATTTTTTAAGTTCAATTATGCGAAGATCTTGAAGGTGGGACTCAAAGGAGAGGGCTATCCTGGGAAGAAGGCTTTGGAAAATGAGAGGCATGAAGGGGAGAGGGTATTTAAATGTGTTTGAAGCCAAGGATCCTTGAGAGAAAAAGCTGGCACTAACAGCGTTCAAAGAACTTGCGTGACAAGTGATGACTAATGACACTGAGGGTGGGTTGTGGGTGCCTAGTGAATTCCTCCGAAGCCAAGAGAGAGGTTTCCAGACCCAGGGAAGAAGGTGTGTACACCCAGAAGTAGTGTAGGGACAGAGATTCCGATCACAAGCTGTGACTGGAAGACGCCGACCACCACTGCAGCAGCCTGAAAACCACAGTCTTGAACCGCCAGCGAAGGGCTGGGAAGTGCGGATCCAGGGCTGGTGCACTGAACCCAGAGGAGCAGGCTCCCATTCCCAGCTAAGGGTGGCAGCTGGCGGGGATCTTTCCAGCAGAAAGCTGTAAGTGGAAGCTTTCAATTCAGAGCAGTAGCAATGCCTTCAAAGTCCCAGGCTTCACGTGGGAACAGAGAATGTGAAGAGTATTTAGCAGGATGCCAATATAAGAAATCTATATTGGTGTTCGTTTGTTTGTTTTTGAGATGGAGTCTCGCTCTGTCACCCAGGCCGGAGTGCAGTGGTGCGATCTCAGCTCACTGCAATCTCTGCCTCCTGGGTTCAAGCGATTCTCCTGCCTCAGCCTCCTACATAGCTGGTACTACAGGCACGCGCCACCATGCCTGGCTAAATTGTTGTATTTTTAGTAGAGATGGGGTTTCACCACGTTGGCCAGGCTGGTCTCAAACTCCCGGCCTCATGATCCGCCCTCTGCAGCCTCCCAAAGTGCTGGGATTACAGGCGTGAGCCACCGCACCTGGCCCAATATTGTTTGTTTATTTATTTCTTGACAGGATCTCACTCTGTCACCAGGCTGGAGTGCAGTGGTGTGATCTCAGCTCACTGCAACCTCCACCTCTCTGGCTCAAGCAATCCTCCCTCCTCAGCCTCCTGAGCAGCTGGGACTACAGGTGCACACCACCACACCCAACTAGATTTTGTGTTTTTTGTAGAGATGGGGTTTAGCCATGTTCAGCTAGTCTCAAACTCCTGGGCTCAAGTGATCTGTCCGCCTTGGCCTCCCAAAGTGTTGGGATTACAGGTGTGATTCATGATGTCCAGCCCAGTATTTTTCTTTCACTCTGGAAACCAAAAATTATTGGCTTTTTTTCCTGTTGCATTCCCTTTACTTAGATGAATCTAGCAAGGTTGGCTGTTAGTGTCTAGGTCAGAAGTCTAAGTGAAAGTGAATATTTAACCACACTCAAGCACAGCTGATGATCTTTAATACTAATAGAGGTATAAGACTTAAAAGAAACAAGAACCCAGAGGGAAAATATGGCCATGGACTCAGAGAAAACCACGGCAGCTTCCATGGACTCATAAAAAGAGCTCAAAACCTAGGAAGTGGATGGAGACTCTTTTTGGAATGAATGAATTCAAATGTGGGCTTTCTTAGTAGATTAAATCATTTTCTAGAAGGAATTTCAGAAGGATGTGTGCCCAATTATGGTATCAGGTCTGTTGTAGACTCTTCAAGGAGGAAGCCTCTGAAAGACAAGAAGGAACAATTAAAAATTAGAATTCAGGTGAGTGGATCACGAGGTCAAGAGATCGAGACCAGCCTGGCCAACATGGTGAAACCCCGTCTCTACTAAAAATACAAAATTTAGCTGGGCATGGTATGGCTGTAGTCCCAGCTACTCGGGAGGCTGAGGCAGGAGAATCACTTGAACCCGGGAGGCGGAGGCTGCAGTGAACCAAGATTGTGCCACTGCACTCCAGCCTGGCAACAGCGAGACTCCATCTCAAAAATAATAAGTAAATAAATAAATAAATAAAAATTAGAACTCAGAAAAGGAATTAATTTCTTCTGAGAGAGAAAAAGATGAGATTCTAGCCTAAGGTGTAACACATCCATCCACCAGGTATCATTTTTATACACGTGAAGTTAAATCACCAAAGGACCAGGTGAGCAGATGTGGACTTTCCGACTGTGTGTGTGCGACTTCCTCAGAGCCCTCAGTGGCGTTCCCTTTTCCGCGCTAGCGTTTGGTCCCTGCGCTTTTCTGGATGCCCCCACCCCCTCTGGCTCCACGAGGCCCCCTGTACGTCACCATCACCTTTGTGAGCTTGAAACCTGTCACCCACCCGCCTTCCAGATGTCACCTGGGCCCTCCCGGAGGCCCTCGCCCTCAGTGTGTCTGATTCTGAGCTGTCCTGCGTTTTCCCCTCCCCTCACCCTGGCGACCCTTTTCGGTCTCAGTTGCCAGCCTCCTGCTAGGGCTGGGTGGGGGACATCAAAGGCAGGACAAGGTGTAGGGTCCTCACCCACCACTTAGCAGCTCTCAGATGCAGACAGATTTTTCAGCTGGCCTGTGGCTCAGTTTCCCTCAGCTACAAGAGGGGTGCATGCTAGGGTTTCTCTGGATTGCTGCACCTGGCAGGTAGTGTGAGCTTGGTAGGTGCTTCCTTGCTTATCATTGCCTCTCCCATCTTAATGTTGTCCCATCCATCCAATGTTTATGGGATGAGAGGTTGATAGGAGGGCATGGCCCTGACATTCCAGGGACTGACCGACACGCTGTCTACACAAACCCCTTCTGGTTCTTCTCGTGCACTGGGCGTGCCGGAGACACACTCCCTTACCCTCATACCCCGCCGCACCCCTGTGACCTCTACCTTTGAGACCTCAGCTTAAACTCACTCTTAGGGAAGGCTCCCTGAACCACCTGCTGGGGTTGTATGCTGATGCAGGTACTTGTAACACCTGGTGCTTTTCCTTTCGTGCACTCAGGCAGTGTTTATTCAAGTGATGGCTTGGTGACAGTGGCTCTCCCTGAGACCCCGTGAGGCCAGAGTCCTTGGCTCATCACTCATGGTTGAACCCGGAGCCTCTTGCTGGTAGGTGCTTCAGGACTGGCTCTGGGAGCCTGTGGCTCCTGCCGGGTACCCACCGGTTGAGATACCTCAAGTTTTAAATGCCACCTCCTTCCTGAAGCCTTCCTTGCTGCTCCCCCAAACTAGAGGCAGGAGTTTTGTCCTTCAGATAACCTATGGCATTTGAGTCACTCTGATTTGATGAATTCTGCCTTCACTTGAGCAGCTATTAGGGGCATATGTCAGTCATTCATTCCTCAGTTCATGTATTTATTCAGCAAATATTTACTGAGCACGTACTGCGTGCCAGGCACTGTCCTGCTGTGGAAAACAGCAGGCATGATTCCCTGCCACTACCAACCACTGCATCGCATAACTGGCAGACTCCCAGCTTCAAGGAGAGGCACGGAGGGAAACTGAGAGCAGCCTGCAGAGGGGAAAGAGCGGGGACAGAGGGTCACGGAGGTCGCAGGGGCGTGTGTGCAGCACCTGCCAGTGAACGGAATGTGCGGCTCCAGATGTCGTTGTCTTTAAACTTCGGAATTTCCTTTCACTAAAGAACCAAGTCCAGGGGGAGGAAAGAGTGAATACAAATTATCCAAGAAACTCAAGAGCTCATTTTAGTTCTCCTGATTATGATCTTAAAGGCATTAAGCGCTCAAGTTAAACTCCTTGTGACCCACATAGGTTAGCAGAATTTAAATCCTAGGTGATTATTAACTCTAATCATACATCTAATGACCTATATTGAAGATACACTGCCTGCTTAGTTGTGGCTTCAGCCTTTGCTCCGTCACTGATAGTTCTAGCCTGAAAAGCAAATGAGCCCTCATGCTCACGATTTCACCACAGTCACATAAGCGGGAAGAGCAGGCTCCTGGCTGTGGCGAGCTTGACTCCATTTGGTTTGATAGAAATGAGAGGTAGATGATTCCCTAGACAAATGCAGGCCTTTCTCGAAGCCCCTTTCCCAGGACGACGTGACATGAGTGGTCTGTGCCTTCCAGGGCAGCCACGTCATGCTTTGCCCAGCCAGGGCGGTGGGGAGGGAGACAGCCACATCCTGCCCGGGGCTCCTGGGCCCCGCTGCATCAAGTGAAAGCAGGGCTGGCTCCCTGATGTCCTTGGAGAAGTCGCCCACACTGCTTTCCCCCATGGGAGTGACAAGGATGTGTCCCGCCAGCCTTCCACGACGGACCCCCCACTCTCTATTAATTCCCAAGAAACCAGGCCATGGAGGTGGGTTTGAGGGTTTGTATTGGTGTTTTTTAAAGTCAGGTTGACCGAGTGCGGTGGCTCACGCTTGTAATCCCAGCACTTTGGGAGGCTGAGGCGGGCGGATCACATGAGGTCAGGAGTTCAAGACCAGCCTGGCCAACATGGTGAAACCTTGTCTCTACTAAAACTACAAAAAAAATTACCTGGGCGTGGTGGTGGGCGCCTGTAATCCCAGCTACTCAGGAGGCTGAGGCAGGAGAAACCCTTGAACTAGGGAGGCTGCAGTGAGCCGAGATCGCGCCACTCCAGCCTGGGTGACAAGAGTGAGATTCTGCCTCAAAATAAATAAAGTCGGGTTTATTAAGATATAATTTACATACAGTAATTTTTTTTTTTTTTGAGACAGAGTTTCACTCTTGTTGCCCAGGCTGGAGTGCAATGGCACGATCTCAGCTCACTGCAACCTCCGCTTCCAGGGTTCAAGCCATTCTACTGCCTCAGCCTCCTGAGTAGCTGAGATTACAGGTGTCCACCACCATGCCTTGCTAATTTTTGTATTTTTAGTAGAGACAGGTTTTCGCTATGTTGGCCAAGCTGGTCTTGAACTCCTGACCTCAGGTGATCCGCCAGCCTCGGCCTCCCAAAGTGCTGGGATTACAGGCATGAGCCACTGCACCCGGCCAGTACATGCTTTCTTGATTTGTCTGTTTCCCACCTGTCTCCCCTCCCTAGAATGGCAGCTCCATGACGACAGAGGTGTTTCTCTGTTTTCTCCATGGCTGCACCCTCAGCTGCTAGAAGGTGGCCCAGCATAGGAGGTATTTAATGAAGCCTTCCTCTCCACTTAAATCTACACCCTTGTGCTTATTAAAAGGTGACAGTTTTCTGTTTGAAAATTTTATTAGTGTTTTAATGAGAAAGTTATTATTTGGGTAATGCCTGAATATGAGGAAAACATTAAGGGTAGAAATGTAATTGTTTTCCTATTTCATTCAGTCTATGGATTTTATTGAAGATTACAGAATTACTTCTTTGTAGCTATGGAAGTAAAAAAATAATAAGACGAGTAGCTATTTCAAAACGTAGGGCTGATAAATTTGGGATGGTTTGAGAACGTTAAGTTGGGGAACTCCATTTCTTTTTTTACATTTTTATTTATTTTCATTTGTTTATTTATTTATTTGAGACAGAGTTTCGCTCTGTTGCCCAGGCTAGAGTGCAATGCCATGATCTCGGCTCACTGCAACCTCTGCCTCCGGGGTATAAGTGATTCTCCCATATCAGCCTCCCGAGGAGCTGGGACTACAGGCGCCTGCCACCACACCTGGCTAATTTTTGTATTTTTAGTAGAGATGGGATTTGGCCATGTCAGCCAGGCTGGCCTCAAACTCCTGACCGCAGGTGATCCGCCTGCCCTTGGCCTCCCAAAGTGCTGGGATTACAGGTGTGAGCCACCGCGCCCAGCCAGGGAACTGCATTTCTGACAGTGGCTCAGTAGTTTGGAAGTTAACTGGCAAAGGTGGACAGAATCTTTAAACATATGTGGAGGAATTGGAGAGTTTACAAGATAGTGAAGAACTGCCAGGCCATGGTCTGGAGAAGATGGAAACTTGATGTTTGGGGCCATTGTGTCCCTGGGGTGTTGGCCAATTTATGAAAGAAGCAGTTAAGAGCCTGAGTGGCACTTTTGAGGGGCTAGAAGGGAAGACCCTGGTAAACATCCCAAACTTTGGATTGGGACCCAAAAAAGCTCCATCCCAGGAGTACAGGTGACCTGGAAACGGATCAGCGTAATCGAGGACTGAAGTCCAGTTCTAGCTACGCCCAGTCCTTGAGACTGGATTAAGGTGATCTCAGATTGCAAGGACCTCAAATGCCTGGCAGAAGCAAGTGAATATCCTTCTGGAGGAACAGAGCCTCATCCTAGGCCTCTAATTATTTTTAAGGACAATTTTTCAAATGCAGGCTTTCCTCCCTTTGCACAGTTCCCTTATGCATAAATTTCAGTCAGTGGCCAGCTGCAGTGGCTCATGCATGTAATCCCAGCGCTTTGGGAGGCCAAGGCGGGTGAATTGCTTGAGTCTGGGAGTTGGAGACCGGCCTGGGCAACATAGAACCCCATCTCTATTTTTAAAAATAAAATATTAATTATCACTGCTTAGTTAAATTATAGTGGTCTCCCAACAATACAGATCAGATCCCAGCTCCCATGGTATATACACTGTGAGTGCTGTATAAAGTACAAGCTCTGCCGCCAGTTCTCCAGCCTACAAATCACAGTATAGATAACAGATGTGCATGATGATCACTGGCCAATTGCGTCACTTCTCTCAAAGTCAGTCTGTGATTGGTCCCTGAGCATCTGTCGGTCAGTTTCATGCACAGACTGCAAAGCATATGGTTTTGTCTACTCTTTGTCTCTCAGTGATAAACCCACATGGCATTTTGTAAAAGTGGATACATCAGGCCAGGTGTGGTGGCTCATGCCTGTAATCCCAGCACTTTGGGAGGCTGAGGCAGGTGGATCATTTGGGGTCAGGAGTTTGAGACCAGCCTGGCCAACATGGTGAAACCCCATCTCTACTAAAAATACAAAAATTAGCTGGATGTGGTGGCAGGCGCCTGTAATCCCAGTTACTGGGGAGGCTGAGGCAGGAGAATTGCTTGAACCCAGGAGGCAGAGCTTGCAGTGAGCCGAGATCATGCCACTGCACTCTAGCCTGGGTGACAGAGCAAGACTACCATCTCAAAAAAAAAAAAACAAAAAACAGTAATCAAGCATGAAAATTATGAAATGCTCAGAGATAAAATGCGCGAGGCCTGTACACTGTAATCTACAAAACACTGCTGAGAGAAATTTTAAAAGACCTAAATAAATGGCAAGTTATAACATGCTCTTGAATCAGAAGACTCAGTATCTTAGGATGGCGACTTTTCCCAAAATGATCTACAGATTCAAAGCAATCGGAATCAGACCTCAGCATGCCTACTTGTAGAATTTGATAACCTGATTCTAAAGTTTATATGGAAATGCAAGGAACCCAGAGTTGCTAAAATAACTTTGAAAAAGAACAACACAGTTGAAGGACTTAGACTACATGATTTCAAGAATTATTATAAAGCTACAGTAATCAAGACAGTATGGTATTGATATGAAAATAGACCATTAGATGAATGGAACAGAATAGCAAGTCCAGAAATAGATCCACACATATATGGTCAATTGATTTTCAGCAAAGTGCCAAGTCATTTAAGTGGGGAAAAGATAATCTTTTCAACAAATGATACCGGAACAACTGGATAGCCATATGCAAAAGAACCTCAACCTTCAGCTCACAGCACTACAAACTCATAATTATTATCATTATATTATACTATTATGTAATAATAGTATATATCATGTTACATATTATATTATGTAATATATATTATATGATACTGTTATGTCATATAATTATTATTGAAATGGGTCATAGATCTAATTGTAAGAGTTAAAACCATCCAGGTACAGTGGCTCATGCCTGTCATCTTGCACTTTGAGAGGCCAAGGCGGGTGGATCACTTGGCCCCAGGAGTTACAAGACCATCCTGGGCAACATAGCGAAACACCGTCTCTACAAAAAAATGAAAAAATTAGTTGAGCATGATGACACTCACCTGTAGTCCCAGCTGCACAGTAGTCTGAGGTGGGAGGATCACCTGAGCCCAGAGAGGTCAAGGTTGCAGTGAGCCATGATTGCACCACTGCACTCCAGACTGGGTGACAGAGAGACCGTGTGTTAAAAAAAGAGTTAAAACTATAAAACCTTCAGAAGAAAACATATGAGAAAATTCTAGTGATTTGGGGTTTGGCAAAGATTCCTTGAACATGATTTAAAAAGCATTAACTAGGCCAGGTATGCTGGCTTACACCTGTCATTCCAATGCTTTGGGGGACCGAGGTGAGAGGATAGCTTGAGGCCAGGAGTCCGAGAGCAGCCTGGGCAACATAACAAGAGTGGGTCTTTACCAAAAAAAAAAAATAAAAAGCCTGTGCCAGGCACAGTGGCACATGTCTGTAGTCCTAGCTACTCACGAAGCTGAGGCAGGAGGATCACTTGAGCCCAGGAGTTGAAGCTTGCAGTGAATTATGACCATGCCACTGCACTCCAGCCTGGGCCACAGAGTAAGACTAAGACTCAGTCTCTTAAAGAAGAAAGCGACCGGGCGCAGTGGCTCACGCCTGTAATCCCAGCACTTTGGGAGGCTGAAGCAGGTGGATCACAAGGGCAGGAGATGAAGACCATCCTGGCTAACACGGTGAAACCCCATCTCTACTAAAAATACAAAAAATTAGCCGGACGTGGTGGTAGGCGCCTGTAGTCCTAGCTACTCGGGAGGCTGAGGCAGGAGAATGGCGTGAACCTGGGAGGCGGAGCTTGCAGTGAGCCAAGATCGTACCACTGCACTCCAGCCTGGACAACAGAGCGAGACTCCATCTCAAAAAAAAAAAAAAAAAAAAAAAAAAAGAAGAAAGCATAAACTATAAAAGAAAAAATTAATAAATTAGTCATCCTCAAAATTAGAAACTTTTACTCATCAGAAAACACTTAATAAAATGAAAAGTCAAGCCATAGACTTAGAGAAAATATTTACAAAACATATATCTGACAAAGGACTTGGATATGGATTATATAAAGAACTATTGTAATTCAATAAGATGTCAAACAACCCAATTAAAAATGGGTGAAAGATGAACTAACTCTTCAACAATGGGCATGTCATTTGAATGGATGGTAAGCAAGCACATGAAAAGATGTTCATGTGCCTTTCCCTCATTAGTCACTAGGGAAATGCAAGTTCATAGACATCTCTCTTCGTAGAAAGATATCACTACACACCCACAAGAGTGGCTGTAATTAAGCAGTCTGACCAAGTATGCGTAAGAATGTGGAATAAGAACTCTCATACACTGCTGATGGGAATGTAAAATGATAGCCACTTTGGAAAACATTTTGGCAAATAATACCACTTACATTATTATCGAAAATATTGTATACCTGAAAGAACTCAAAGTGAAAAAGCTATATACTGTCTGCTTCCAAGGCTACACATTATGGGAAAGGCAAAACTATGAAGACAGTAAAAAGATGCGCCAGTGGTTGCCAGGGGCTCATGGGGAGGGAAAGAGGAATGAATAGGTGGAACACAGGGCATGTTTAGGGCAGTGAAACTATTCTGTATGGTACCGTAACGATGAATACATGTTATTAGGCATTTGTCAATACCCATAAAATGTACAACACAAAGAGTGAAAATGAAAACTGTGGGCTTCAGTTAGCAATAATATGTCAACATTGGCTCATCAGTGGCAACAAATGTACCTCACCAATGCAAGATGTTTGTTTGTTGTTTGTTTGTTTTGTGACGGAGGGGGTGCAGTGGCGCAATCTCGGCTCACTGCAAGCTCCGCCTCCCGGGTTCACGCCAATCTCCTGCTTCAGCCTCCGGAGTAGCTGGGACTACAGGCGCCCGCCACCACGCCCGGCTAATTTTTTGTATTTTTAGTAGAGACGGGGTTTCACCATGCTAGCCAGGATGGTCTTGATCTCCTGCTGTCGTGATCTGCCCGCCTCGGCCTCCCAAAGTGCTGGGATTACAGGCATGAGCCATCACGCCCGGCCACCAATGCAAGATGTTAATAACAGGGAAACTGTGGTGGGAGTGAGGTGGTATATGAGACCTCTCTGTACTTTCCACTCAATTTTTCTGTAAGCCCAAAACTTCTCTAAATAAGAAAGTTTATTAATTAAAAGTTACTTTTATAGTGTATCTATATCTAGGAATAAATCTGAAAAAGATATATAAGATCTCTACTCAGAAAACTGATTATGTTATTAAGAGAGCTTAAATATAGCCCAAATAAATAGATGGATATACTATGTTCATGGAAGGGACAGCTCAGTATTAGGAAGGTGTCAGTCATCTTAAGAAAAGCCTCATGTGTCACACAAGGGATACTGACATCTGACACCAAGCACATGTAGGCATCCTGACTACGTTTACTTGAATGATGTGGACTTTACAGAGCTGACTATAGACAGTTCAAATGGCCTGAAAACTGTTCAATGCACTCCCTCCCAGGCTGTCATGGGATGCACTTCAGGAACTTTACTTTTTAACAAGAAAATTCAGTTTTCCTCTTAAACAGCTGGCTTCTGTTCCATTAGCATTCTTGTCACTTTAAGTTGCATTCATCTTTGTTTTTTTTTTTTAGAAAAACATTTGTTCTGCAACCAGTCTTGTCCTTTAAATACTTGTACTGTATACAGGCTCTTTTTCATAGGTCCATTACTTAAAATGATGTAAGTGTGTTTTTGGTGGCAGGGGGGTGGGAGTTGTTTGTTTTGTTTTGTTGAGACACGGTCTTACTCTGTCACCCAGGCTGGAGTGCAGTGGTGTGATCTTGGCTCACTCCTGGCCTCAAGTGATCCACCCACCTCAGCCTCCTAAGTAGCTGGGACCACAGGTGTGTACCACCACACCCAGCTAATTTTTTTTTTTTTTTTTTTTTTTTTTTGTAGGGACGGGGTTTTGTCATATCACCCAGGCTGGTCTCAAACTCCTGGACTCAAGGGATCAGCCTGTCTCAGCCTCCCAAAGTGCTGGGATTACAGGTGTGAGCCACTGCACCGGTCCTGATTTGAGTTTTTGTAAGACAGGGAACAATGTTCAGAATTTAGCACCAATGTCAGACTCATTCTGTAAATTTTTATTGAACGTCTGCCTGGTGTAGGAGAGGAAGATGACAGACAAGAATTCTTCCTCCAAGAGTTACAGGTCAGTTGAGCAGAAAAGGCATACATCAATACCCACAATGAGAGTTGTCGTGATTCAGAGGAGGGACAAAGTCCTTCCCCTGGAGGGATCCTGAGCACTTTGGAGAGGAAAGGCATCTGTACTGCCCCCCAAATGTGTAGAATGGGATGCATTCCTGGCAGAAAGAAGTAGGATAAAGTACAGAGGCCAGGGCTGGGTGCAGTGGTTCACGCCTGTAATCCCAGCACTTTGGGAGGCCGAGACAGCAGATCACCTGAGGTCAGGAGTTCGAGACCAGCCTGGTCAACATGGCAAAACCCTCTCTCTACTAAAAATACAAAAATTAGCCAGGCACAATGGCAGGTACCTGTAATCCCAGCTACTTGGGAGGCTGAGGCAGGAGAATTGCTTGAGCCCAGGAGGCAGAGATCGCAGTGAGCCAAGACTGCGCCACTGCACTCCAGCCTGGGCAACAGAGCAAGACTCTGTCTCATAAAAAAAGAAAAAAAAAAAGTACAGAGTCCAGGAAGCCTGGGGTGGGGCTGGCAGATGCCGAGTCATCTATTTTGGCCAGAGTTCAAGGCTTGCTAGGGGACATGAAGAGAAGATTCGTGCATTCTAGTTCAAACTCCACCAGATATTTGAGCTCCTTCTCTGTACCAGGCATTGTTCTAAGATACGTAAGTGAACAAAACCCATGACACCCTCGTCTATGAGAGCTGATCCTCTGGCAGGGACAGACAGGTCATGAGTGGAGTGATGGAGCAGCTGGCCTGGTGACTTAGCCGCCTTCAGGTACAGTAGGAGGAGCAAGCCCAGGACAGGTGAGTGGGTCAAGGGTGCCAGAAGGGGTGAGGGCACCAGGAAGCTGGTCCAGTTTGGCTTCCCTGAGGTGGTGACCAGGACCTAGCATCTGAGGAAGGGCTGGAAGCAGGTGAGAGCAGGTGGAGCAGACATCAGGATGGGAGCATCCTGACAGGGAGGGCAGCAGGGTGGGCTCATGAGAGGAACAGCCAGGAAGTGTGACTCGAGCAGTGTCCTGGAGAGGAGGAGGAGGAGAAAGAGGTCAGGAGGTCCCAGGGGAGAGGCAGGACCAGTCTCGTGGAGGTCGGGGCCGTTGTGAGGACTCTGGTTTGTGTTGTGTGTGAAAGGCCATGGGATGGGGACCAGCGAGGGCTTCTTAGGGGACTGGATATGCTCTGATCTAGCTGCTAAAAAGCCCCCTTGGGCAGCTTGCAGGGCCCGGGCAGAAGCTATAGGTGGTTCTGAGGTTTGCAGAGGGGCCTGAAGGGGTGGGGCCCGGCCAAGCAAGGTGGCTAAGTGGGAAAGGCTCCACCGCGTTGGGTGTAGGAAGACCTTGACCTTAGCTCCAGCCCAGCCACTGAGCAGCCGTGTCGCCTTGGGTGATACCTGTCCCTGGTCGGTTTCCCTACCTGTGAATCTGGGTACTTGGAAGCCATGCTCGAGAAGAGCCCATCCCCAGGAGGTGATCAGGGTTCTCCTTCAGGTGAGGAACCTGGCAGCCGTGTGTGAGAACCTTAGAAAAGGGAGAGGGAAGAGGCTGTGGCAGGAAGTGAGGAGGGAGTTAGTGATACCCTGGGCAGGATGCCATGAGCTGGGATGGAAACCACAGGATGAATGCAAGTAATTAAAAAAAAAAAAAAAAAAAAAACAGCATTGGGCCGGGCAGTGGCTCACGCCTGTAATCCCAGCATTTTGGGAGGCCGAGGTAGGTGGATCACCTGAAGTCAGGAGTTGGAGACCAGCCTAGCCAACATGGTGAAACTGAAAATGCAAAAATTAGCCAGGCATGGTGGCGTGTGACTATAGTTCCAGCTACTCAGGAGGCTGAGACAGGAGAATCACTTGAACCTGGGAGGTGGATGTTGCTGTGAGCTGAGATCGTGCCACTGCATTGCAGCCTCGGTGAGAGAGCAAGGCCCCATCTCAAAAAAGAAAAAAACAGACTTTCCGACCAAACGATCGACAAACCAGACTGTCCAAACAGCCATAAGCCGTAACTTTGTGCGGAGGTAAAAGACCGAGGTCACATCGGGACCTGTTGGATTCAAGGCATGTTGACAGCTGTTTCCAGGCTTCAGATAGAGCCTCCAGCTGGCAGGGTGGCCACAGGGCTTGTTGAGTAGGAAGCCTCGTTGCTTTGACAGGTTACTTGGCCCCATGAGGGACAATCCCATAGTCAGTTACCCAGAAACGTGACTGTCTCCTTGAAATCCTCAGCATGGGGTCTTATGAATAAACCCTTACTAGATTTCCTGTTCTGTCTTATTTTTATGCAGAGCTTTACTTTATAGCAGAAAATTCCATTTTTACCCTTAAATGGCTTGCTTCTGCTCCCTTAGTGTTCTTGTCACTTTAAGTTGCATTCATCTTTGTCCCTTTAGAAAAGGATTTGTCCTGCAACCAGCTCTTGCAGAAGGTACTTGGTTTATTGTTAACCGATGTTTGCTAAATGTTTGAATTATGTTGAGTTGCTTAAAGTCATGCTATCGGGTAGATGTTGTGGCTGTTCTTTTCACTCTCTTATTTGGGGATTTACAAAACAGTTATGTTTTTAGTTTTCTTTTATTTGTTGTGTTGAATAGGAATGTAGCTCTGGGAACCTCTAGTTCCAAATAAGAAAGCCTTGGACACATTTCCAGTTGGCAAGCTGGCAAAATGAAGGGCGTACAAGTTGTTAGAGAGGCTGGGAGCCTATTTAAGCACCCAGCTTCAGGATGGGACATGGGATATACCTCGAGTTAGAGGTTCTTATTAACTGTGGATTCTTCTATGCAGATATCTGTCACAATATAAGTTACTATAAGTCAGTACTAAGGCAGCTGCTACATTCTGTTTGCCAAGGGGAAGAAGAAAGCTTGGAAATGGTATTCCTTAAAAATGTCAGTATCATAAAAGACAAAGAAAAGCTGCGGAAATGTTTCAGATTAAAAGAGAGAAGACAATAAAATGTAATACCTGACTCTGAACAGCATCCAGTACTGAAGGAGGAAAAATGCTATCAAGGACATTATTGGGTCAATTAACAAAATTTGAATACGAATCATAGATTGAACTGTATCTGTTAAATTAACAGAAGCGAAGTGTTCTGTGGTGTGTAGGAGCACACTGCCATTCTTAGCAAACGTGTAGTTTAGTATTTAGGAGAAAGGGCCATGAGGCATGCAACTCACCCTCAAATACACACACACATACACATATATACATACATACCTATAAAGAAAGAAATTATGGGCTAGGTGCAGTGGCTCATGCCTGTAATCCCAGCACTTTGGGAGGCCGAGGTGGGTGGATTGTGAGGTCAGGAGATCGAGACCCTCTCTACTAAAATACAAAGAATTAGCTGGGCGTGGTGGTGCACGTCTGTAGTCCCAGCTACTCGGGAGGCTGAGGCAGGAGAATTGCTTGAACCCAGGAGGCAGAGGTTACAGTGAGCCGAGATTGCACCACTGCACTGCAGCCTGGCAACAGAGCAAGACTCTGTCTTGAAAGAAGGAAGAAAGAGAGAGAGAGAGAGAGAGAGAGAGAGGGAGAAAGAAAGAGAGAGAGAAAGAAAGAAAGAAGGAAGGAAGGAAGGAAGGAAGGAAATTATGATAAAGCAGATGGTTAAGTTGGTAACTACCAGTGAATATGGGTAAAGTTAGGATGTTCTTTACTCTGTTTTGGGGGTGCAACTTTTCTATAAGTGAAAGTACTTCCAAATAAAAAGTTAAAAGGCAAGCAAATAAATAAAAGAGACAGTTTCTATGTTATATATCCTAGCTATGTTTACCATGTCTGGATTCTGAAAGCTGCAGAGCAGAAAACCTGAAGAACAGATCACCTGTTCTTAAAATACCACTGTTGGCCAGACATAGTAACTCACTCCTGTAATCCCAGCACTTTGGGAAGCCGAGGTGGGAGGATCACCTGAGCTCAGGAGTTTGAGAACAGCCTGGGAAACATAGTGAGACCCTGTCTCTACAAAAATTTAAAAAATTATCCAGGCATCATGGTTCGTGCCTGTAGTCCTAGCTACTCAGGAGGCTGAGGTAGGAGGATTGCTTGAGCCTGGGAGTTCGAGGCTGCAGTGAACCATGATCACACTAAAGCACTCTAGCCTGGGCAACAGAGCAAGACCCTGTATCAAAAAAACAATCAAACAAAAAATCACTCCTAATTTTCCTCCCTTTTAGTACTTTTAAAAATTAACTTAAAACATTTTTTGGATAATTGTAGTTTTTTTTACTTTTTTTTTTTTGAGACAGAGTCTCATTCTGTCACCCAGGCTGGAGTGTACTGGTGCAATCTCAGGTGACTGCAACCTCTGTCTCCTGGATTCAAGTGATTCTCCTGCCTCAGCCTCCTGAGTAGCTGGGTTCATAGGCGTGCACCACACCTGGCTCGTTTTTATATTTTTAGTAGAGATGGGGTTTCACCTTGTTGGCCAGGCTGGTCTCAGATTCCTGACTTCAAGTGATCTGCCCGCCTTGGCCTCACGTGCAGTTTTAGGAAATAATACAGAGATCCCCAGCACTCTTTCCAGTTTTCCCCAAGGGTAACATCTTGCAAAGTGAGAGGACGATATCACAGTCAGGATACTGACATTGATACCATCAAGATACATAATGTTTCCATCACCAATCAGTGGTCATGGTGCCTTTTATAGCCAAACCCACTTCTCTCCTACCTTCCCATCCCTTTTTTAATTTTGCCAGTCATTAATCTGTTGCCCATTTCTGTCATTTTATGAATGTCACATAGGCCGGGCGCGGTGGCTCACGCCTGTAATCCCAGCACTTTGGGAGGCCGAGGCAGGCGGATCACGAGGTCAGGAGATCGAGACCATCCTGGCTAACATGGTGAAACCCCATCTCTACTAAAAAATACAAAAAATTAGCCAAGCGTGGTGGCGGGCGCCTGTAGTCCCAGCTACTCGGGAGGCTGAGGCAGGAGAATGGTGTGGACCCGGGAGACGGAGCTTGTAGTGAGCTGAAATCACACCACTGCACTCCAGACTGGGTGACAAAGCGAGACTCCATCTTAAAAAAAAAAAAAAAAGAATGTCACATAATGAATCATATGGCATATAACCGTTTGAGACTCAGGGTAATTCTCATGAGACTCATCCAGCTTGTTGGTGCATCAACAGTTTATTCCTTTTTATTGCTGAGTAATTTCCATGGTATGGAGGAACCATGGTTTAACTATTCACCCATTGGAGGACATCTAGGTTGTTTCCAGCTTGGAGTTATTATGAATAAAGCTGCTGTGAACATTTGTGTACAGGTTTCTTGGTTTTCTGGTTTGTTTTAAACAGTTCTAGCCAGGCACGGTGGCTCACACCTGTAATCCTAACACTTGGAAGGCTGAGGTAGGAGGACTGCTTGATCCTAGGAGGCAGAGGTTGCAAGGAGCCGAAATTGTGCCACTGTACTCCAGCCTGGGCAACATAGCAAGACCCTGTCATTCATAGGTAGGTGGATGGATGGATGGACGGACGGACAGATAGATAGGTAGAAATGTAAATTACAGGGCTACGCTCAGTGGCTCATGCCTGTAATCTCAGCACTTTGGGAGGCGAAGGCGGGCGGATCACCAGAGGTCAGCAGTTTGAGACCAGCCTGGCCAACATGGCAAAACCCCATCTCTACTAAAAATACAAAAATTAGCCAAGCATGCTGGCATGTGCCTGCAATCCCAGCTACTTTGGAGGCTGAGGCAGGAGAATCACTTGAACCCAGGAGGCGGAGGTTACAATGAGCCAAGATCATGCCACTGCACTCCAGCCTGGGCCACAGAGTGAGACTCCGTATCAGTACTTTCTTTTTATTGTTTTTCTGTTATTATAGTTTAAGTTCATTGTTATTAGATTATATACTCTGTATGGCTTCAATTCTTTTAAATTTGTTGAGGTTTGTTTAATGGTCAAAGACATGGTCTGTCTAGGTGAATGTTCCATGGGCTTTTAGGGAAAAAAGTATATTCTAGTGTTGTTGAATGGTGTCTTAGTCCATTCAAGCTGCTATAACAAAATACCGTAAACTGGGTGATTTATAAACAACAGAAATTTTTCTCTCACAGTTCTGGAGGCTGGGAAGTTCAAGATCAAAGTGCCAGCAGATTCAGTGTCATGTGAGGACGTGCTTCCTGCTTCATAGATAAGAGGTACATACACGTTTAGGAGCATCGTGTCTTCCTGGTGGATGAATTCTGTTATCATTAGGTGATCCTTTGAGCACTTTTAAAAAGAATCTGTTGGCCGGGCGCAGTGGCTCACGCCTGTAATCCCAGGACTTTGGGGGGCCAAGGCGGGCAGATCACGAGGTTAGGAGATTGAGACCATCCTGGCTAACACAGTGAAACCCTGTCTCTACTACAAATACAAAAAAATTAGCCGGGCATGGTGGCAGGCGCCTGTAGTCCCAGCTACTCAGGAGGCTGAGGCAGGAGAATGGCGTGAACACAGGAGGCAGAGCTTGCAGTGAGCCAAGATCACGCCACTGCACTCCAGCCTGGGCAACAAAGTGAGACCCTGTCTCAAAAAATAAAATAAAATAAAATAAAAATAATCTGTTTAATAGCCTACTAGTGTTCTTCCTTTACTATTTTATTGAGCATTAATTAATCCCAACATTATGTCTATGTCAGGACTGATGACAATATTTGGTATAAAAATTTGATAGTCTCAGAGGCTGAGGCAGGAGAATGCTTGAATCCAGGAGGCAGAGGTTGCAGTGAGCTGAGACCGTGCCACTGCACTCCAGCCTGGGCAACAGAACAAGACTCCATCTCAAAAAAAAAAAAAAAAAAATCGATAGTATCATATCCTCCAGGATTCAAAGTGAACTTCAAACAGTCTTATGTAGTCTAAATTTTGGAATGCATCCCAGTATTGAGTTGCAGCAGGGATTTGAGTTTTTGTGAAGAGAGAGAGGTATATCAGAATCTTGGGCATAAACTAAGGAGCCATGTCAGAACCTCAGGTGTATGCCAATGAGATAGATCAGAACCTCAGGCATGTACCCGATGAGACAGATCAGAACCTCAGGCGTGTACCCGGTGAGACAGGTCAGAACCTCAAGCGTGTACCTGTTGAGACAGGTCAGAACCTCAGGCGTGTAGCCAGTGAGACAGGTCAGAACCTCAGGTGTGTACCCAGTGAGACAGATGAGAACCTCAGGTGTGTAACCAGTGAGATATATCAGAATCTTGGGTATTTACCCAAAGAGGTATAGCAGAGTCTCAGGTATATACTCAAGAAGGCATATCTTGAGGCTTTAAGTATCTAGCTAAGGATTTATATCAGGATCTCAGGTTTATACCCAGGGAGGTATAGCAGAATTTGGGGTATAGATCTAAGGAGGTCTATCAGTCTAGAGCATATAGCCAAGGAACTATATCAGAACCTCAGGCACCTACCCAAAGAGGCATTTTAGGACTCGTAAGGAGGGGGTAGATTTCAAAAGTGTAGTCTAACAGTTTATCTACTTTGAAATTTAAAACAATATTAAAGGAAAACATGAAATATTTCTATCTGTCAGAAGGTGACATGAGTTTTAAACAATTAAGAAATATACTGGCTGTGGCCTTGTAACCAAATTATTATGCCTATAGAAATTACAGACTCCATTTTCCAGGATAGAATAACAGGGACTGACTTACCTTCTCATCTGAGATAACAAAACCTCCATACAAATACATGAAACAATGTTCTTCAAGATGCTGGACATCAGGCAGTGAAGGGCACTGATGGTTGTAAGACAAGGTGAGAGGTGTGGCTTGAGAGAGTTTCCAGGTTGCAGTGCAGGGAGAGGGGAAACTGAGGCAGATCTTGGCAGACTTCCTCAGTTGACAAAATAGAGCTGAGAGTCCAGGGAGACCATGGTGTATAGATTATCCAAAGCAAAGTATGAGAGGTGCAAGCCATATACAGAGGGACTCCAGAGATCTACCAAAGTACTTCTTGGTGCATCCATATGAGCAAAACTACTTGAGGCCAGGAAAAGAACCATCTGAGAGGATTAGAAGGAACAGTGCCCAGTACTTGTGCCAGCCAGGAATGGTGCCTGATACTCACGCAGGGCCAGGAACAGTGCAGGGATGTGAGTGTTTGTTAGGAGAGGGAGGTATATCAGAATCTTGGGCATAAAGACAAGAAACCATATCAGAACATCAGGTGTGTACCAATGAGATAGATCAGAATCTCGGGTGTATACACAGTGAGATAGATCAGAATCTCAGATGTGTACACAGTGAAGCAGATCAGAATCTCAGATGTATACACAGTGAGATAGATTGGAATCTCAGGTATGTACCCAGTGAGTCCAAGAGCATGGTGCTGGCATCCGGTGAGGGCCTTCCTGCTGGATCGTGACATGAAGCAAGGCAAAGAGCCTGTCAGCTCAGGGCTCTCTTCCTCTTCTTATAAAGTCACCAGTCCTATCATGGGGGCCCCACCCTGATGATCTTATAATCCTAATTACCTCCCAAAGGCTACCTTCAAATGCTATCAACATATGAATTTGGAAACTAAGTTTCCAGCACATGAAATTTGGGGGATACATTCAAAGTATAGCAAATATTACATCATAACCAGTAGGATTCATCCCAGGAAATGCCAAATGGCTTGATAATCAAAAATTAATGTAACTCATCGTATTAACAGGATGAAAAAGAAAAACCATGTGATCATCTTAGTAGATGCAGAAAAGCAGTTGATTAAATCCCACATTCATTTCTAACTTAAAAAAACAACTGGATTTTGACAGAGGTGCAAAGGCAATTTGGTAGAGAAAGGACAGTCTTTTCAATAAATGGTGCTGGTGCAATGGTTATCCATATGCCCAAAATGAACTTTGACCCATGCCTCATGCCATACACAAAAATTAACTCAAAATAGATCAGAGATCTGAAGGTAAAATTTAAAACTATAAAACTTCTAGAAGAAAACACAGGAGAAAAATCTTTGTGACCTTGGTCTAGGCAAAGATTTCATAGATATGACACCGAGAACACAATCTATGAAAGAAAAAAATCAATAAATTGAACTTCATCAAAATGAAACTTTTACTGTTCAAAAGACAGTTTTAGGAGAATGAAAACACAAGTTACACATTGGGAAGAAATATTCGAAAAGCATTTGCCTGATAAAGGTATTGTAGCTGGAAGACAGAAAAAATTCTCAAAACTCACCTAGAAGAAAATAACCCAGTTTTAAAAATGGGCAAGAGATCTGAACAAACACATTGTCAAAGAAGATAGATGAATAGCAAGTAAGCATGTGAAAAATTCTCAATGTTATCAGTCATCAGAGCAATGCAGATGAAACCTACAGTCCCCATGCTAATGTTCTACAACTTACACAGTGGTGGTATGATACCACTACATGCCCATTTGAATGGCCAAAATTAGAAAGGTTGACCATACCAAACATTAGCCATGATGTGCAGGAACTAGAACTCTCATCTTTGCTGACAGGAAGGTAAAATGATACAAACACATTGAAAAACAGGTTGGCAGTTGCTTTTTTTTTTTTTTGAGATGGAGTCTTGCTCTCCCAGGCTGGAGTACAGTGGCGCGATCTCAGCTCACTGCAACCTCTGCCTCCCAATGAATTAGAAAAATAATAATAAAGGTAACAATAGCAGTAATAATAATAGAAATAATGATAGTTTCTTTAATAAAAATGCTGTTTAGGCCCAGACTGAAAGGCTTTAAGTAACCACTCCCCCACTGAAGTTAGAGTTAAGAAAGAATATTAATTTTCCTTGTGTGAAACATTAATCTTATCTAGCCTCCATGTATTTTGTAAGTTCTGTAAATTCCTGTTTTCCCTGCACAGCTGCAAGTTCACAAGGCAGATAAGCTTAAGCTGCAAAACATGTTTTTCTTAAGATGTAAGGCATGTCACAAGAATATCACAAGATGATAACGGCCTTTATTCTCACTTCTGTATGCCTGCTTCCTGCCTCACATATTTCCTGCCTCAAGATGCGTAAAAGGTACTTGCCTTCTTTGTTTGGTGCTCTGACTTTCTGGATGCAAGTCCACTGAGCCAGTGTACACCTTAAATAAATCCTCCTGAACCCCATCAATCGCTCCAGTTCTCTGATTTCCCACTACATTTTCTGGGGGCTCGTCCGGGATTGGAGATGGCAGATTTTCTGTCTCCCTTGCCTGTGGAACTGGAGCCCGGGTCGAGGGAGACCTGGGACCTTTGGTGCCAATGGGAGGACTTTAGCCCGGAAAGGAGATTGGCTCTCCTGCATCCCGGTGTCCTTCCTAGACAGCACAACGGAACCTATAAAGGGGTTGCAGGACGGTTCCAGCAGGGGCTGGGGATGGTGAGAGTAGCTCACTGATTCAGATGACAGGGTTTTGCCATGTTGCCCAGACCCAGAGGGGCTGGGGACAGTGAGAGTAGCTCACTGATTCAGATGAAACTTACACCTTAGCCGATGCAGGACACGAGAGTGGCTCACTAAGTTGGTCAGGAAAGAAACTGAAAATGGGAAGAGTGGCTTCCTGCCTTGACTAAGGATCGGGAACTGGGAGCGGGGAGGTGTGTGAAAGAGATGGTTCCGGGAGGGCCGTGATGTGGGGAGACACAGATCTCTTAGCACGGACTGTGTGCTCTGAGGCGAGTGTGTGATTGACCAGAACCAGGGCATCACATACAGCTGACAGGAGCTGCCCCACAGCTGCAGCAGGCTGTGGCAGGAATAAGGTACTCTCCTAGCTAAGCAGCACCTGAAACTTCCGTAATAGGACCCAGTCTGGTCAGTCTGGAACGAAAGTGAGAGTGAGTGTGCATCACAAAGGGCGGGATGGGAGGAAAAGCATCGAAACCCACTCCTCTGGGGTGCATGTTAAAGAATTTTAAGAAAGGTTTTGCTGGAGATTATGGAATTAAGTTGTCCCCCCCAAAGATTGAGGGTTCTGTGTGAAGTGGAATGGCCTTCTTTTAATGTCGGGTGGCCAGCCGAGGGTACAATAAATAGGGAAATGATTGGTCATATATTTAGGGTAGTGACTGGGGTTGGAGGACACCCTGGGCATCCAGATCAGTTCCCATACATCAATTCCTGGATGATCACAGTCTAGACATGCCCCAAATGGTTACAGCCTTGTCTGGCAACTTACTGTAAGACTCTAGTGACCTGAGCCGAACCTAAGGCAGTTAGAGGGCCCCCTTCACCAGACACCTCAGGTGGAAAGAAAAAGCCACAGGAAAATTAGGAAAGACCTGTTCTACTTCACTGGGATCAAGTGATTCTCCTGCCTCAGCCTCCTGAGTAGCTGGGAGTACGGGTGTGCACCACCACGCCTGGCTAATTTTTTTAAATTTTATTTTTAGTAGAGACGGGGTTTTGCCACATTGGCCAGGCTGGTCTTGAACTCCTGACCTCAGACAGTCTGCCTGCCTTGGCCTCCCAAAGTGCTGGGATTACAGGTGTGAACCACCATGCCCAGCCAGCAGTTTCTTATAAAGTTAAACCAATGCCTACCATGAGATCTGGCAATCCCACTCCTAAGTATTTGGCCAAGAAAAAAGAAAGCATATATTCCATACAGAGTCTAGTCCTGAATGTCTATAGCTGCTTTATTTATAATAGCTCAGACTTGGAAACCATTCAGATGCCATTAATAGGTGAATATATTCTCAAACTGTGGTTATCCATACAATGGAGTATTACTTTGCAATCAAAAGGAATGGCCTATGAATACCCATAACAACATGGATGAATGCTGAAATAATTGTGCTGAGTAAAAGAAGACAGGAAAAATAAGTATAATACATACTGCTTGATTCTATTTGTATAAAACTAGAAAGTACAAACTAATCTGTAATGACAGGAAGCAGACCAGTGACAGTGGGCATGGAGGGGCAAGAGGGAGAGATTAGATGGGCACAGGAGAGCTTTGAGGATGATGGGTCTGCGTACTGTCTCGGCTATGATAGTGGTTTCACAGGTTGATACATACGGCAAAAAATACCAAATTTGTACACTTTAAATATGTACAGATTATTGTATGCCAGTTACATGTCCATAAAGCTTTCTTTTGTTGTTTTGTTTTTATTTTATTTTTTGAGACAGAGTCTCGCTCCATCGTCCAGGCTGGAGTGCAATGGCACCGTCTCAGAGCACTGTAACCTCCGCCTCCCGGGTTCAAGCGATTCTCATGCCTCAGCCTCCCAAGTAGCTGAGACTACAGGCATACGCCACCATGCCCAGCTAATTTTTCTATTTTTAGTAAAGACAGGGTTTCGCCATGATTGCCAGGCTGGTCTTGAACTCCTGACCTCAGGTGATCCACCCACCTCGGCCTCCCAAAGTGTTGGGATTATAGGCATGAGCCACAGCACCGGGCCCATAAAGCTGTCTTTTAAATGAAAAAAAGTTGTCTTGAAATAAGCATTAGAACTGTGGCTTTGGCTCTGAAATCCTCATCTGAGGACCCACACTCGGGTGCCCCAATGTGGCGGTGCTTACAGAAATGACTCCATCTGCTAAATGAGTAAATGGGTAATTCTCCACTGAACACACACTCGTTTAGCAGCATAAGCAGCAAGAGTTCAGGTAATCCTCACATTGCAATTTGTCATTAGTTTAAACTTCCAGTCTTTGTTTTAAAAACACATTAGAATAATACTACATTTTCCCTCATCTCTAAACTTGACTGAAGACTCCAAGAGAGAGTAATATTCATCAAGAGGATCATCTACTCAACACAGATAAACTGGGAAAGAAAAATAACTTGTGAGTAATTCAGAATCTGGATTATCAGGTCAGGCTCAATGGCTCACGCCAGTAGTCCCAGCACTTTGCGGGGCCCAGGAGGGCAGATCACTTGAGTTCAGGAGTTTGAGACCAGCCTGGGCAACATGGCGAAACCCTGTCTATACAAAAAATAGAAAAATTAGCCAGGCATGGTGGCATGTGCCTGTAGTCCCAGTTACCCGGGAGGCTGAGGTGGGAGGATCACTTGAGCCTGGGAGGTCGATATTGCAGTGAGCTGTAATTGCACCATGCACTCCAGCCTGGGTGAAAGAAGGAAACTCTGTGTCCAAAACAAAACAAAACAAAACAAAAAAAGCTAAATTATCAAATGTCTAGATCGTTGATGGTTGGAAGTAAAGTTGAGAAATGTTCACACTGGGAGATGACACACAGTAAACCACACAGAGGGTTCTAACGTGGTTGTTAGAAGCAGAAACTAGAGGCTTGCTGCCTGAGGTCAAACCCCGGTCCCGGTGGTTCTGTGCCCCAGCGCATGTTGTGGTAGCCTCTCTGTACTTCAGTTTCCTCATCTGTAAAGTAAACATAATGATAATGCCTGCCTCATGGGGTTGCTGTTACCAGGAAGTGAGTTAATGCACATTAGGTTCTTATTTATGACAGTGCCTGGCATAGGATAAGGGCTCAAAAAGTGTTAGCTGGAACTACTATCATTATCAACATCTCTAATTTATTGCAGGGTTGGATCTGAAAAATGGCTGATGATGATTTGATGATGACTTCATTTTTATAAAACAATAATATTGCAGTGCAAATTAAACACAAGCAACCTGCAACACGCCACTGCAAGTTGGATGTCTAGAAAAGGTGCCATGAGTTACCTTCTAAAACATCATAAGAAACCATGTTCACCAATAATTACCATAATAGGAGAGAAGTACCAAGTACCATGGGGAGACAGAGTCCAGAATCTCAGAGAGAGACACAGTTACCTTTTAGTTACACTAATGGGGAAAACAGGAGCTTTGCTACCCTTGCACCTGATGGAGGGCTTCTCTGAATATAGGGCTATGGGGTCAGAAGCCAGTTTCCTCCCATATTTAGAAGGTTTCCAACTGTTATCTTTCACTTCCCATGTTGCTGTTGGAAAATCCAAAAGTATTCTATTTGGCCAGGCACAGTGGCTCACACCTGTAATCCCAGCAATTTGGGAGGCCGAGATTACCTGAGGTCGGAAGTTCAAGACCAGCCTGGCCAATATGGCAAAACCTCTTCTCTACAAAAAATACAAAAATTAGCCAGGCGTGGTGGCGCACGCCTGTAGTACCAGCTATTCGGGAGGCTGAGGCACGAGAATTGCTTTAACCTGGGAGGTGGAGGTTGCAGTGAGCTGAGATTGTGTCACTGCACTCCAGCCTACGCGACAGAGCAAGACTCCGTCTCAAAAAACAAAAAAAGTATTCTGTTGGATCGTTTGTGTGCGACGTGTTTTTCCCTCTCAGAAAGCTCGTAGGGTCTTCTCTTTGTCTCCAGCATGGTCTGGAATTTCCCAGTGAGTGACCATCTGTGTGTGTGTATTCATCCATTCCATGGAGTCCCTGCTGGGCCCTTGCAATCTGGAAATTCATGCCCATCATTTCTGAGAAGTTATCCTGAACGTACTGGTTGGTGGTTTCCTGTGCTCCATGTTCTTGCTTCCTGCTCTTCGGAGCTCCTGTTATTTGGTTGAGTTTTGTCTCCTGGACTGGTCCTCTCTTACTTCTCTTGCTTCTCCCATGTTCCATCTGTTTTCACTCTACTTTCTGTGAGATCAGGCCCTTTATCTTCCAACCCTTCTATTAGGTTTGCAATTGAGTTTGTAATTCCCTAGAAAAGTTCTTATTCTCTGAATATCCCTTTTGATAGCATACTCTTCCTTTTTCATGAGTGCAGTGTTTCTGCATGGCTCTCATCAGAACATGCTAGTGTCTCCCATTTCTCATAACTTTCTAGAGTGAGGACCATTTGAACTTGGAGTGCCCTCATTTTAAAACTCTGTGGTTGACCTTGTTCCCCTCTTTTGCTGCTGCTTTTCACCAGACTTTGAAGAAGCAGAAGTACATTCAGAACTTGTCTGCTCTGGCAAAAGACAATACTGTTGGCTTAATCTAAAAATTGAAGAAGAAAGCTCAAGGAGAGAAGTTTAAAAATATACCACCTCTGGCTGGGCGCGGTGGCTCACATCTGTAATTCCAGCACTTTGGGAGGCTGAGGCAGGTGGATCACCTGAGGTCAGGAGTTCAAGACCAGCCTGGCCAACATGGTGAAACCCCGTCTCTACTAAAAATACAAAAATTAGCCAGGTATGGTGGCAGCCGCCTGTAATTCCAGCTACTCGGGAGGCTGAGGCAGGAGAATCACTTGAACCCAGGAGGCAGAGGTTGTGGTGAGCCAAGATCACGCCACTACACTACAGCCTGGGTGACAAAGTGAGACTCCGTCTCCAAAAAAAAAAAAAAAAAAAAAATATATATATATATATATATATATATATATATATATATATATATATATACACACACACTAACCTTCAGCATATAGGACTATTGCAGAAGGGATTATCTTTCTACTTGGTTGGTTCCTCTTGGTCTTGAGCAAATTTTGACTTCCCTGAGTTGGCCCCTAAAAGTTAAAGGGAAAGGGCCTTTTCTCTTTCCTTTAAAACCAATATGGCATATTTGCTGAGAACTTAGATACCACAGGATTGGCAGTGTAGACTTACATTCATAGACCGGATGCCATCAGCCAACCTTGAGTAATTTGCAGCACACTGCATCATTTTATTTAAGTAATGCGAAGTCCTTGACATGTCTCAGACATTGTCTTGGTTACTTGTAAGGTCTCACATAAATCTAATTTTCCTCTTTCTCTGCCCTTTCTGGTTCAGCTCAGTTTATTCAAGGGTGTATTTGTGCAACACACTTGAATAAGGTGTGGTCCCGCCTTTGTAGATGTTATAGTTTGGGAAGACCAGCCGGGCAGAGAGAAGAGCATGATTCAAGGATGAAGGCGTGGGCTGGGGGCCGAGGGAGCAAGGATTCCCAGTAACGAGGGAGGAAGGAGCAGCACCATGTGCCCATTACTCTATAGACATCTCGAACCACCTGGCCATGTAGCTGTCATTAACCTAAATTTACAGTTATTGAAACTGAGGTTCAGCCAGGCGTAGTGGCTCACGCCTGAACACAGGAGGCGGAGGTTGCAGTGAGCCGAGATCACGCCACTGCACTCCAGGCTAGGTGAGAGAGCGAGACTCTGTCTCAAAAAAAATAAATAAATAAAAGAAAAGAACAAAACTGAGGTTCAAAGAAATGTACAGTGCTCCCCCCCTTATCCAAAGAGGATACACTCCAAGCCCCCACAGTGGATACCTGAAGCCTCAGATAGTATCAAGCCCTATATATGCTATGTTTTTTCCCTGTATATGCATACCTATGATAAAGTTTATAAATTAGGCACAGTAGGAGACTAACAACAATGATAATAAAATGGAACAATTATAACATACACTGTAACAAAAGGGTCTCTTCCTCTCTCTCTCAGAATATCTTATTGTACTGTACTGGGGGTAACTAAAACCAAGGAAAGTGAAACCATGGATAAGGGATATCTACTGTATAAGGTGGAGTTTTCAAGGTCATAGCACTGCCTTCCCCTGAGGTTGGCCTTGCAGCCTCTCTAGGCACTGCTGCTGCTGCTAAGAACCCCTGTGAGGTGAACACTGTAAGCATCATCATTGCTTCTCAGAAGAGGAGACCTGGCTTACAGAGGTCAAGCCTCAGGTACCTTAAACACCATTTTAAAACTGAACTCATGGCCAGGTGCATTGGCTCATGCCTGTAATCCCTTCTCTCCATGCTCAAAACCTGCCCTCCTTGTCTTTATATTCCAAATTTCGTGGGTGCCACCTCCTCTGCCCAGTGACTTAAGCCAGAGCATACATTCATCCTAGACTCTGTCCCAGGTCCCTGGTCCAGGCAGCTGCCAGTTGTCAGGATCAGCTCTTTATCTCGCAGTCCTCCTGCCTCTTGTGTCATTACCCAGGGCTGTCACCATCTTTTCTTGGGACAGTTACAACAGCCCCGTAAGGAGTTGTGCTGCTTCTAGTCTTGTTCCCTTTGAATCTGGATTCCTTCTTGCCATCAAGACAATCCTGATACAAATCTGATCACGTCACACTTCCCTTCAATAGTCTTCCATGGCTCCTTATTGTTTTAGGATGAAATCCAAACTCCTAAACATGGGGATTAACAATGTGCCATGATTGGCACTGCTGGCCTCTCCTACCTCTGCAGACTCACCTCTTGCCACTTCTCCCTTGAGGTAGATCAAAAATGGTCACAAGTTCTTTGAGGCTCTTCCCATCAAGAGGTAGAGTTTATTTCCCCACCTCTTGGATCTGGCTTGCCTTGTGACTTGCTTTGACCCACAGAACGTAACAGAAAGGACACTGCCTAACTTACAAATGAGGTCTACCTTAAGAGGCTTTGCAGATTCCACATTCAACCTCTTGGAATGCTGCCACCATCTGAGAAGCCTGAGGTGGCCTCTGTGAGGATGAAAGACTTCATGGTGAGAAATACCTAGCGAACAGCCTGGCACCAGCTACCAGGCATGTGACTGAGGCCATCCAGCCATAGCTGAGCCACAAAATGACCACAGCTATGTGAATTATCCCAGGTCAGACCAGTAGAAGAGCCACCTGGCTGAGCTCAGCCCAATTTGCTGACCCATAGAATTGTGAACAAATAAAATGGTTGTAGTTATAAGCCATTAAGTTTCAGAGTTTGTTACACGGTAACATGTAACTGATACAACTCTTGGAGCCAGTTGTTCAGCCATTCTCAACCACTTATTCAATGATGTTTTGGGCCATATATGCAGATATGCTGTTCCCTTTTCCTTGAAATGGCCCTTACCCTCCTTTCTGTTGGGTTTTCCTATGGAATATCCAGTCAGCCTTTAGGATTCATCTTGGGTGTCCCTTCCTGTATGTAGGCTCCCTGGCCCTCCAGGATTCCCCCAGTAACAGCCCTCATCATGCTGCCTTTGCAACCATTTGTTTATTTGTACCTCTCACCTGCTAGTTGGGCAAGTTACTCACTTCTCTCAACCTCTGCATTTTTCTTCTTTATAAATGGGACCAATAATACCTACCCTGCCCTGGCGTGGATAGATTAAAGAAAAAAAATACATGCAGCTGCCATTGAGGGCCTGGCCCACGTGTGATGTTCAATAATATTATTTCTCCTTGTTTTCCTTCCCGTGCCAGTGCCACACCCCCCTGTCCCAGTGCACTGGGGCTGTGGATCCCTTCAAAGCTGAGATTGCCTGTCTGTGGTCTCCAGCGTTAAGCACAGTCATTAGCTCAGGTGCGTACTCATGTGTTCCACGAGTTCAAGCCTCAGCCCTGTAAAGTTTGCCTGCCGTGTATCTGATATATTTCTGCTAAAACCCATTAGGCCTTTCTTGCTCTGAAATGTCATCGTTAGTTGTGTGTCACTTCAGTTTTGTAACTGGCCAGGCCACTGCGCCCAGGCTGCTTCCTCGTCATCTGGCTGCTAAATGCTTCAACCTTACCTGCCTTGCTATGCGTCCCATCCTGTATCAGGTCAGAGCTCTTGAGTGGTGAATACAAATTTCATTTCAGTTGACTTTTGATTCTTGTGGCAGGCCTCTCGGCCTACTCTAATTTGATTGCAACGGACACAAAATGTGTCCAAACTTGCAGCTTTTCTTCTCTTATTTTGATATCACCATCCACAAAGGTAAGATATTTTAAAGCAATAACTACAAACTTTCTGAAAATTATGAAGAAGTGCTGGGTTTTAAATGGAAGTCATATAGTGTGAACTTTGTGTAAAGTCCGTAGGGAGTTTTCTTGGAAATGGCTGGGAACATTCTTTTTGCACCTTTGAAGATAAAGGTAGGTGGAGGAGCTCACAGCTCTTGTGCCATGTTGGGCTTGTCACTCTTGTTTATGTGCCAAATTCTTTTGATTACAAAATTTTAAGTTTAATGCTTTAGGTATTGTTGGGCAAGATCTAGATGTATCTAGTTAAATGTAGGTGATATGCAAACTATTTATGATGTATTTGATTTAAATTCATTAAGATAGAGTGTCTTTACCACCATTATAGTCTGGTCCTTTTCCTTCTGTTTTAAATGTGTTTCCATTGGCATTTTCTAAACTGACTTTGTTAGCGTGTTAATCATTTGGCACTGGTAATGATTAATCTTTTCTTTCTTTCTATTTTTTTTCTTTTTTTTTTTTGAGACAGAGTCTTGCTCTGTCACCAGGCTGGAGTGCAGTGGCGCAGTCTCAGCTCACTGCAACCTCCGCCTCCCAGGTTCAAGTGATTCTCCTGCCTCAGCCTCCCAAGTAGCTAGGGACTACAGGCACGTGCCACCACGCCCAGCTAATTTTTGTATTTTTAATAGAGATGGGGTTTCACCATGTTGGCCAGGATGGTCTCAGCCTCTTGACCTCGTGATCCGCCCACCTCGGCCTCCCAAAGTGCTGGGATTACAGGCATGAGCGACTGCGCCCAGCCGTGTTCATCTATTTCTGTGAACCGATGCTAGGTGAAGGTACAGAGGGCTTTCTAGCTTCTGGGTTTGTTTATTCTGAAATGTTATTTTAAATCTTAGCCCAACAAATTGAGCGAAAAGACTTCTAGATGTTAAATATGATATTCAAAAAATATAAAGACAAGGTGATAAATTAGAATTGGTGGGAAAGAGAAAAATCTGTCTTCTGATGGTCACCTGCCCCAGCAACACTACTCGTTTGAGAAGACTTCCATCCTTTACCCTCAAAGTGTTCCATGAGGTTGGATCAGACATCATTTAGCAAAGAAAGATGTAAATAGATTTCTGTAGGGTGGCATTATTAAGCATATTAAGTGGTTACAATACAGTAAATTAGAGGGAGTAGTACAGAAGCATAAGCAGTCAAAAAAGTGAAAGTCTAACGTTCGTAATTATTGTTCTGGAGGCTTTTGTATCACATATAAGTTCCAGGCTGGGTATGATGGCTCACACCAGTAATCCCAACACTTAGAGGCCAAGCCGCGTGGATCGCTTGAGCCCAGGAGTTCGAGACCAGGCTGGGCAACATAGTGAAACCTATCTCTACAAAAATACAAAAATTAGCTGGGGGTGGTGGCAGCGCCTGTAGTCCAAACCACTTGGGAGCCTGAGGTGAGAGGATCACCTGGGCCCGGGAGATCAAGGCTGCGGTGAGCCATGATCTTGCCATTGCACTCCAGCCTGAGTGACAGAGAGAGACTCTGTCTCAAAAATAAAAAAGTTTTGAGTGTGAAAATTCAAGCTCAATTCCATTTGTTGGTTGTCTTGAGTGTCTGATCACATAGAATATAAAGATGTTTTGATAGTTGGGACAGTATTCAGCTACCTGCTATTTAATACATTATTTCAGAAAATATTTACAAAGGGGGCTGGGCACAGTGGCTCATGCCTGTAATCCCAGCACTTTGGGAGGCCGAGGTGGGCGGATTACCTGAGGTCAGGTGTTCAAAACCAGCCTGGCCAAACATGGTGAAACCACATCTCTACTAAATATACAAAAAATTAGCCGGGCGTGGTGGTGTGTGCCTGTAGTCCCAGCTACTCAGGAGGCTGAGGCACGAGAATCGCTTGAACCCGGGAGGCGTGGGGTTGCAGTGAGCCGAGATTGCACAACTGCACTCCAGCCTGGGTGACAGAGTGAGACTGCATCTATAAAAACAACAACAAAAAAGAAAATATTTGCAAAGGACCTTCTGGGTCCAAGAACCTCATGTCCAATACAAGGGTGCACACGTGGGTGAGACACGGCAGCTGCTCTCCAGAAGCCCACAGTGGAGGGGTTTCCCTTCGGTCTCCTTTTATTCCAAGCAAGTGGCAAAACTACTTTACTCTTAATACAAACCACTTCCTTTTATCACAGGACGCTTCCCAAGCTCTGCAACTGTTGCTCCTGAGGAAGGGAGTGGAACTGATAATCTGTTCCTCCCTATTGTGTTCAGTATGGTTTTTTTTTTTTTTTTCCTTTTGCTGGCTTTGTTTTCCTGTCCCTGTGATGATTAAAATTCACTCTGCAAATTAGATCACCTTTCCCACGCAGAGTCCCTTTGACTTCTGTTCTAGATATCCATTACATTTTTGTAGTCTTCGGACACACTGTGTGTGCCGCTTTGCCCTCTGGGTGACAGCAGGCTGTGGCTGCGGCGACAGAGCTGAGGTGAATTCTCACAGACCATCACTGGGTTACTCCTGGAGTAAGTAATTCCCAAGAGCTCCTTCTGTGCAGATCGTTAGAAATAGATATTGAGGCCAGGCGCGGTGGCTCATGCCTGTAATCCCAGCACTTTGGGAGGCTGAGGCGGGCAGATCACGAGGTCAAGAGATCAAGACCATCCTGGCCAACATGGTGAAACCTTGTCTCTACTAAAAATACAAAAGTAGCCGGGCGTGGTGGCGCACGCCCGTAGTCCCAGCTACTCAGGAGGCTGAGGCAGGAGAATCACTTGAACCCGTGAAACGGAAGTTGCGGTGAGCCGAGATCACGCCACTGTACTCCAGCCTGGTGACAGAGTGAGACTCCATCTCAAAAAAAAGAGAAAGAAAGAAATAGACATTGAACACCTGCTACACAGCAGGGATTGTGCTAGAAGTATGGATGCAAAGATTAGGTGAATATGTTCCCTAGCCTCACAAAGCATACAGTCTAGTAGGAGAGACAGACACGTAAAAAGTTTCAACAGCACAGATAATCAGGGCTACACCAGAATTGGGCCCAAGATGCTGCAGGAATCTATAGGTGAATGGGTTTCATGAAGGAAGAGCTTCTTCTCCCATTTATAACTCATTTTAGCCTAATCTTCCAAACAGTCACGCATCTAAGAGCAGGTGATGCAGAAAATACCCTCGTGTTAGTTATGAATTACCGTTGGAATCCTTCCAGTGTTTGCACCTGCCCTGTGCTCGGGTAACATAAAACAGTGATATAATTTGATGTCTACTTCCTCTTGTATTTGTCTGTTTTTAAGTGTTCTACAATTTTCATATACTCTGTTTCATCGTTCTCAAAGGAATATTTTGATTGATAAATGTTTAGTTAGTAAGACCTAAAAACTGAATCTCAGTAGTTTGAGCTTATGATATACAAGATGCAGCTCTAACATTTAAATTGGAAGGGAAATGTCAAAAAGATACCTGCACTCTTGTTTGTTGCAACACTGTTTACAATAGCTAAGATTTGGAAGCAACCTAAGTGTCCATCACCAGACAAATAGATAAAGGAAATGTGATATATATACACAATGGAGTACTATTCAGCCATAAAAAAGAATGAGATCCTGTCATTTACAACAACATGGGTGGAACTGGAGATCATTATGTTAAGTGAAATAATCCAGGCACAGAAAGACAAACTTCACATGTTCTCACTTATTTGTGGGCTCTAAAAATCAAATCACTTGAACTCAGAGAGATTAGAAGGATGGTTACCAGAGGCTGGGAAGGGTGGTGAGGGGTTGGGGGCAGTGAAGATGGTTAACAGGTACAAAAAACTAGAAAGAATGAATAAGACCCACTAGGTTTTTTGTTGTTTTGTTGTTGTTGTTGTTTTGAGACAGAGTCTCACTCTGTCACCCAGGCTGGAGTGCAGTGGCATGATCTCGGCTCACTGCAACCTCCACCTCCTGGGTTCAAGCGATCCTCCTGCCTCAGCCTCCCAAATAGCTGGGATTATGGGCACGCGCCACCACACCTGGCTAATGTTTGTATTTTTAGTAGGGACCGGGTTTCACCAGGTTGAACAGGCTGGTCTCAAACTCCTGACCTCAAGTGATCCACTCGCCTTGGCCTCCCAAATGCTCAGATTACAGGCGTGAGCCACCGCACCTGGCCACTGTTTGATAGCATAATAGGGCGACTATAGTCAATAATAACTTAATGGTATATTTTTAAATAACTTAAAGAGTATAATTGGATTGTTGTAACTGAAAGGATCAATGCTTGAGGGCACAGCTACCCCATTCCCCATGACGTGTTTAGTTCACATTACATGCCTATGTCAAAGCATCTCATGTACCCCATAAATATATACACTGAGTATATACCACAAATATTTTAAATAATTTTTAAAATAAAAAAATAAATTGTAAGGGAAAGAAAATTATGAATTTAGAAATGTAAAAGGTCTCAGGTAAGGAAGGAATGAGAGGATCATGCAGAACCTCCCATCATTGCTGGGACTGGAACAGAAGCCCTACCTTTTCCCAACACCCTATCCACCTGTCCCTCACCTCTCAGCTTTTGTGAGACTCTGTCTGTGCTATGAAACTGAAGATCTAATTCAGTGCTGTTTGCATTGTCTTGCCTCCTGGACCAGAGGTTGCAGTTGTTGAGAAAAGGGATGGTTGGTTATGCCTTGATCCCCCCCAGAGCATTTGGGGCATAGGACACGGGAACTGGCCAGCCTGGTTCACTCTTCTCGATTAGCTGGACAGCGGCATGTCATGTGGGTAATAGGAAGGGGTGGGGACTTCCCCGGGATATTCTGCTCCTGATCAGAAGCGCCAGTGATGTGGGGGGAGCCCCAGCACCAGAGCATGCTGGGAGGGCGTGCAGGGTGGGGCAGGTGCCCGTTTGGCCTCTGCTGTCTATCTGGGGGATGCATCCAAAGGCAACTGTTCCTTATCTGCTCTTGTTGGGAGCAAGGAAGGGCCAATTTGTTCAATGATCCGTATACAGCCAGTCCCTCTGGCCAGAGTTCAAGACAGTATTGCCTCACTCTATATAGAGATTGTATCTTGGTTAGCTCTTCATTCATAGCAAGACCAATGTTTCTGTAAATTAATCCTGGTATTGTTTAAAAGCAACTAAAAATGATGAAATTGTAAAACTTTGAAACTCCCTGAATATAACGACAAGCAAACTAACATTGTTTTATTGGTCGATGCTCCTGGCCAGAAGAGAGAATATTAGCAGGGATAAAAGGCATAGGCCACATGCATTTTCCACCCCAGTGCTGAGAACACGATGGGCGAAAAAGGGAGGTGGCCACAGCCCATCCATCACACAGTCTCTGCCCATCTACTTGCTTTTTCCTTTTTTTTTTTTTTTTTTTTTGTGACAGAGTCTCGCTTTGTCACCCAGACTGGAGGGCAGTGGTGCAATCTCAGCTCATTGCAACTTCTACCTCCCAGGTTCAAGCGATTCTCCTGCCTCAGCCTCCCGAGTAGCTGGGATTACAGGCACCTGCCACCAAGCCCAGCTAATTTGTTTGTATTTTTAGTAGAGACGGGGTTTCACCATGTTGGCCAGGCTGGTTTTGAACTCCTGACCTTAAGTGATCAGCCCACCTCAGCCTCCCAAAGTGCTGGGATTACAGGTGCGAGCCACCACGCCTGGCCCCAGCTACCTGTTTTCTTTCTTTTTTTTTTTTTTTTTTCTTTTTTTGAGACAAAGTCTTGCTCTTGTCCCCCAGGCTGGAGTGCAATTGCATGATCTCAGCTCACTGCAACCTCCACCTCCTGGGTTCAAGCGATTCTCTTGCCTCAGTCTCCTGAGTAGCTGGGATTACAGGCGCCTACCACCACGCCCGGCTAATTTTTGTATTTTTAGTAGAGACGGGGTTTCACCCTGTTGGCCAGGCTGGTTTCGAACTCCTGACCTTAAGTGATCTGCCCGCCTCAGCCTCCCAAAGTGCTGGGATTACAGGTGTGAGCCACCATGCCCGGCCCCAGCTACTTGCTTTCTATTGGGATGAACCTCATGGTTAATACAGTTAGTTAGTGACTGCAACTTTTGAACTTTTTGTTCATAGTGAAAAATATTTTAAGTAATGCTTACCCCATTATGTTTCTTGTCATTTGAAAAAAAATCTCCCTTCAGACAGAATGCAGAATAAAATACTACAGAAAATCTGTACAGAGTCCCAGCCTGACTTATGCTAGTAGGTTACAGAGAAAGAAAGTCTTCTAAACCCTATGAAAGGTTAACAGTTCTCTTATTTTTCCCTGTGTGCTATTTGATGATTTCCCTGTGAACTTTGATGATTTATTGCCAGAATTCCAAACATAATATGTGAATTTCACAAAAATGGATGAAATGTATCTATTTTTCATTGGTAGAAGAAGCCAAAACATCCCTTCCTCACCGCACTAAAAGCTGTTGTTTACATGAAGCAAACCTCAAATGTGAACATATTTTTACGCAAATGCATTTAATGGGTGAATATTTGCTTTGGGACGGTATTCTTTACTCTATCTGGAGAGTCTGGCGTTCCGTAATCACCATGTGATGACGGCTGCCCTGACAGTGGCTGGTAGCAGCACATACCCCCGAGCCTCTCCGTGGTGTGCGCCGTGGGCACCATGTGACCATTTTCAGAAAGGAAGACAGTTCTGGAAGCTAAAGGTCACCTAGTCAGCCTCGTTGGGTGATTGATGACTCAGCTGGGTTCAGGGAGGTGGACCCGAGGCAGAGCCTCTAGAAGGCAGCGGTGGGCAGGGCGGTTCAGGCAGGTGGCACCTGGGCAAAGGTGCAGACGTGGAATCCTGAAAGCAATTCTCAGCGCTGCTGCGTTTCCAGGAGGTAGAAGAACAGTGACAAGTGCACAGTCGGGTAGGGACAAATGTGGAAGGGCTGGGAACAGTGTGTTCAGGAGACTGGGCTTCAATCTGGAGGTCTCAGGAAGTGGTTTAGGATGTTTCAGCGAGAGCATGATACAGACTAACCCAGGAAGAACCGCTGCTTTGTCACTTATACCCCTATGGAAATGCCGTTCGCTTTGCTAGTTGAAATAGCCTACCATTGTCTGGGACTCACCCAGTTAGATTTGTTTGGACTCCACAAAGTATTCTTGACCATACAATCATGGTCGAGGACCCCCTACATGAGCTGCCTTCATGGCTACAGGGAGAGCACACCAAAGTGGATGTCACACCCAGCACACATGCCACCGGCTTGGCCCTGCGCCCCGCAGCCTGAGCCACACTGGCTGCCTGTTCCTGGAATGTGCCAACATGTTTCAGTCCTGGAGCCTTTGCACTTGGTGTTCTCTTCGCTGGAACATTCTCCCCCAAGACATTTACACAGCTTGCCCCCTCATTCCCTGAGGTTATCTCCTGCCCCCTAATCAGTGAGGCCTTCCCTGGCCTCACCCCGGACACTCCACACGTGCATTCATTTCGTTGTTCACCATCTGTGTCCCAGTTACAAGGGAGGCTCCCTGAGAGCAGGGATCTGATTTTTGTTAGTTGTTGTTGTTGCTGTTTTGAGGTGGAGTCTTGCTTTGTCGCCCAGGCTGGTGTGCAGTGGTGCGACCTCAGCTCACCGCAACCTCCGCCTCCCATGTTCAAGCGGTTCTCCTGCCTCAACCTCCTGAGTAGCTGGGATTACAGGTGCCTGCCACCATGCCCAGCTAATTTTTGTATTTTTAGTAGAGACAGAGTTTCATCATGTTGGTCAAGCTGCCCTCCAACTCCTGACCTCGTGATCTGCCCACCTGGGCCTCCCAAAGTGCTGGGATTACAGGCATGAGCCACTGCACCCGACCCTGTTTTTTGTTTGGTTTTGGTTTTGGTTTGGTTTTGGTTTTTTTTTGAGACACGGTCTCACTCTGTCGCCCCGGCTAGAGTGTGGTGGCACCATCTCGGCTCACTGCAACCTCCACCTCCCAGGTTCAAGTGATTCTCCTGCCTCAGCCTCCTGAGTAGCTGGGATTACAGGCACATGCCACCACACCCAGCTAATTTTTGTATTTTTAGTAGAGATGGGGTTTTGCCATGTTGGCCAGTCTGGTCTCAAACTCCTGACCTCAAGTGATCCGCCCGCCTCGGCCTCCCAAAGTGCTGGGATTACAGGTGTGAGCCACTGTGCCCGGCCCAGGGATCTGTTTTTGTCTCCGCTGTGTCCCCAGCACCTCAAACATATTGTACGGAGCTGCGACAGCTGCGCAGTCAGTGATGACTGAGAGATTCCTGGCCCCGTGGGCTATGGCTCCTTCAACAGTTTGTTGTTTAAAGGTTCTTCACTTTCTCAGCGTGCTGATCAAGAGACAAGCCTGGAGGAGAGGCTCAGTGGTGCTCCTGTGTAGATGATGAATTCAGGTGTATCTTGGATGGTAAATGACGTTGCATTTAAAACCAAGCAAGTGGCCAGGCGCAGTGGCTCACACCTGTGATCAAAGCACTTTAGAAGGCCGAGGCGGGCGGATCACCTGAAGTCAGGAGTTTGAGACCAGCCTGGCCAGCATGGTAAAAACCCGTCTCTACTAATAATACAAAAAAACTAGCTGGGCGTGGTGGCGGGCACCTGTAATCCCAACCACTCAGAAGGCTGAGGCAGGAGAATTGCTTGAACCCGGGAGGTGGAGGTTGCAGTGAGCTGAGATCGCACCACTGTACTCCAGCCTGGGCGACAAGAGCAAGACTCTATCTCAAAAATAAAAAAAATTAAAAATTAAAATTTAAAATTAAAACAAACAGCCGGACGCAGTGGCTCACTCCTGTAATCGCAGCACTTTGCGAGGCTGAGGCGAGCGGAATACGAGCTCAGGAGATCGAGACCACCCTGGCTAACACAGTGAAACCCGTCTCTACTAAAAAAAAAAAAATACAAAAAATTAGCCAGGCGTGGTGGCAGGCGCCTGTAGTCCCAGCTACTCAGGAGACTGAGGCAGGAGAATGGTGTGAACCCGGGAGGCGGAGCTTGCAGTGAGCCGAGATTGTGCCCCTGCACTCCAGCCTGGGCAACAGACTGAGACTCTGTCTCAAAAAAAAAAAAAAAAGAATAAATAAATAAATAATAAAAAATAAAAACAAACAAGTGAACGTTGTTATACGTCAGTCTTACCAATTGTTCCTCTTTCCTCCCAGTAGCTTGGAGCTCGGCGGCACAACCAGCACCATCTGGTCGCGATGGTGGACACGGAAAGCCCACTCTGCCCCCTCTCCCCACTCGAGGCCGGCGATCTAGAGAGCCCGTTATCTGAAGAGTTCCTGCAAGAAATGGGAAACATCCAAGAGATTTCGCAATCCATCGGCGAGGATAGTTCTGGAAGCTTTGGCTTTACGGAATACCAGTATTTAGGAAGCTGTCCTGGCTCAGATGGCTCGGTCATCACGGGTAAGTGTGCCGTTTCCTAGAAAGTTTTATTTAGAAATGTTTCTTCCTCCAAGAAAACTGTTCTCTCTTTTTTTTTTTTTTTTTTTTGAGACGGAGTCTCGCTCTGTCGCCCAGGCTGGAGTGCAATGGCTCGATCTCGGCTCACTGCAGGCTCCACCTCCTGGGTTCACACCATTCTCCTGCCTCAGCCTCCCGAGTAGCTGGGACTACAGGTGCCCGCCACCACGCCCAGCTAATTTTTGTATTTTTAATAGAGACGGGGTTTCACTGTGTTAGCCAGGATGGTCTCCATCTCCTGACCTCATGATCTGCCCGCCTCGGCCTCCTAAAGTGCTGGGATTATAGGCGTGAGCCACCGCGCCCGGCCGAAAACTGTTCTCTTTAGCTGGAAAAGAAGTCACACTTTTTTGCAAAGAAAGCTTCAGACGTGGTAAAGCATGACCTCCAGTGCCCCTGGGCCCTGGAAGGCGCGTGTCACGGCTCACGGTGCCCCCTCTTGTGAAAGCCATGCACACATCAAACAGTGCTTGAGATTCAGTCACGGGGAACAGCTAAAGTACACAGACCCTAACCCCAGCAAGCCCGCGGGGGGCAGCTAGACATTTTTAAGAGGAGACGTGTGCAAGGGTCTGCATAGAGGTACTGTTGGTAAGAGGGAAGGATGGGAAACAAGCTGTACATGCGTCAAAGGGAAACAGATAAATTGGGATGCATTTATACAGTGGTATATACTTCATAGCAATTTAAAAGAACAGACTAGGCTAGGCGCGGTGGCTCACGCCTATAATCCCAGCACTTTGGAAGGCCGAGGCAAGTGGATCACTTGAGGTCAGGAGCTTGAGACCAGCCTGACCAACATGGTGAGGCCCCATCTATACAAAAAAAATTTAAAATTAAAAAAAATTAGCCAGGCATGGTGGTGCATGCATGTGGTCCTAGCTACTCAGGATGCTGAGGGAGGAGGACCACTTGAGCCCAGGAGCTCGAGGCTGCCATGAGCTATGACTGCCACTGCACTCCAGCCTGGGTGACAGTGAGACCCTGTCTTTAAAAAAAAATTTTTTTAAGCAACATTGAATGAAAATAAACAAGCTTAATGAATATTTTTATGATCCAATTAATGTAAAATCTTTTATTTTTTATTTTTTGAGACAGAGTTTTGCTCTTGTTGCCCAGGCTGGAGTGCAGTGGTATGATCTCAGCCCACTACAACGTCCATCTTCCGAGCTCAAGCAGTTCTCCTGCCTCAGCCTCCCTAGTAGCTAGGATTACAGGCACCCGTCACCATGCCGGGCTAATTTTTGTATTTTTAGTAGAGATGGGGTTTCACCGTGTTGGCCAGGCTGGTCTCAAACTCCTGACGTCAGGTGGTCCGCCTGCCTCAGCCTCCCAAAGTGCAGGGATCACAGGCATGAGCCACTGCACCCGGCCCAATTAAAATCTTTAACACTAAACAATCTAGTACATCACTGGTGGAAACAGACATACACCTATTGCAAAGGGCATCTCAGCTTTAAGGACTCAGTCACCTCCTGAGCAAGATGGAGGGAGAACTGGGGAGGGGTCCCATGGGGACTGTAATTCTCTCTAGGTTGTATATTTTTAAAAGACTTCAGCAGTGTGATAAACCTGGGTGGTGTGTACATGGGTATTACAGTCATGTTGCTTAATGACAGGGACAGGTTGTGAGAAATGCATCCTTAGGTGATTTCATCATTGTGTGAAAGTCATAGAGTACACTTAAACCCAGATGGTAGAGCCTGCTGCACACCGAGGCTCTGCGGTGCAGCCTGTTGCTCCAAGGCACGCACCTGTACAGCGTGTTACTGTACTGAACGGCGTAGGCCCCTGTGACACAATGGTAAGTATTTGTGCGTCTAAACATACCAAAACATATAGTAGAAAAGGTTACAGCAAAAATACAGTATTATCATCTTATGGGACCATGATACCACAGTTGAACTTATGGTCTATTGTTGACCAAAATGTCACTGTGCAGTGTGTGACTATACAGAAATAAGCTCAGAGAAATTAAGTAACTTGGCTGGGCGCAGTGGCTCACGCCTGTAATCCCAACACTTTGGGAGGCTGAGGCAGGCGGATCACCCGAGGTCAGGAGTTCAAGACCAGTCTGGCCAACATGGCAAAACCCCATCTCTACTAAAGAATACAAAACATTAGCTGGGAGTGGTGGCAGGTGCCTGTAATCCCAGCTACTCTACTCAGGAGGCTGAGGCAGGGAGAATTGCTTGAACCCAGGAGGCAGAGGTTGCAGTGAGCAGAGATCATGCCACTGTACTCTAGCTTGGGCGACAGGGTGAGACTCCATCTCAAAAAAAAGTTGGGGCGTGGTGGCTCATGCCTGTAATCCCAGCACTTTGGGAGGCTGAGGCGGGCGGATCACTTGAGGTCAGGAGTTAAAGACCAGCCTGGTCAACATGGTGAAACCCCATCTCTACTGAAAATACAAAAATTAGCCAAGCATGGTGGTACACACCTGTAATGCCTGGGCAACAGAGCAAGATTCCGTCTCAAAAAAAAAAAAAAAAAAAGTAAGTAACCTGCCACGGTTCATACAGCCAGAAAGACACAGAGCCGGGCCTGGACCCCGCCTCTCAGCTTGCTCTAGAGGGCTATTCTCTGCATGCTGGCATGATCGCGCCTTGTAAAAGGTGGCAGTGTTCTCAGCTTAGTCAATCAGGAATTGCAAGAGGCAAGTGAGCCCCTGAGGACTCTGGGGGGCCTTTGTGACCGAGCAGCTTTGGGAGTGACCCTGACAGACCTTTACAGGTGGTGCAAGTTTTGACTCCCTTTCTCCTGGCGCGTTAAGCAGAGGATAAGCGCTGTGGAAGGAGTGAAGGTGTAGGGAGATCATGGCCCCCAGAGCAGTGGGGAAGGGGACAGGGAGGCTGGAGGAGAGCAAGGAAAAGGCTCCGTGTCAGGTGGCGCCTTGAGTGGCCTGGGTAGGTTGTCTTGCAGTGAACCCGGGTTAATGGCCTTGACAATGACCGCATTGTTTCCTGAGCACTGCAGGCTGCCCACACACCTCACACCTCGGCTTGCCTAAGCCCAGAGCAGCCTTGTGAGGTCGTTGTTATGTTTATTTAAGGAAGGAGGAAAGGAGGCAGGTCCCAGGACATCCTGACGTGCTGGAGATCACCAGCCCAGAACCCAGCTCTTAACCCCACAATGTGGGACCTTTCTTCACCCATCACAGACACACCCCATGCTGGTTCACCGTTTTCCTATAATGACTATTTGTGCTATTTATTAGAAAAATCTTTTCCTTATGGATTTGAAAAGATTTATCTTGCTTTTGTTTTTCTTTTTTGCCTTTCTTTTTTAAGGCAGGCAGGCTCCCGCAGCCCCACCCCCAGGGTGAAAAATATAGTTCATTGTCTAGTAAAAGAGTTCAGAGATACACTTTTTTCTTTGGGTAAGATATACTCTAGAGCTTGTTCTGAAATATGGAATTTGTGTGAGCTGCGGGAGTGGGTGGGTGTGTGGCTCTAGCTCTGGAAAGTTCTTTCCTGGCAGTGGCCAGGAGGGCTGCCCAGCCCCCTCCTGCCTCCTCTGGCAGCTTAAACACAGGACCCCTTATTCTGTGCTCTCTCCTGACCCCTGGTCCTCATGCAGGAGGGAACCCTGCTCTTCTAGGGTCCTTTTCTAAAAGTAGTGTCTTTTAGGTCATTGTCAAGAACTATAATCTAAAATGTATTTTTAACTCATCTGGAAATTCTGACAGAGGTAAGGCTTGAGAATTTCCTGCATACTAGCCTTGTGGTCTATATAATCCATTAAAAGCCACATTTAACCCAATTCCACAGACTGAACTGTGCTTCCCATCTAAATAAATTAAAAGCAGGCCGGGCACGGTGGTCACGTGTGTAATCCCAGCACTTTGGGAGGTCGAGGCGGGTGGATCACCTGAGGTCAGGAGTTCGAGACCAACCTGGCCAACATGGTGGAACCTCATCTCTACTAAAAATAAAAAAAATTAGCTGGGCGTGGAGGCGTGCACCTCTTAAGCTTAAGGACATATTTCTTATGATCCAATTAATGTAAAATATTTTATTTTTTATTTATTTTTTGAGACAGAGTTTCACTCTTGCTGCCCAGGCTGGAGTGCAGTGGTGCGATCTTGGCCTGTAATCCCGGCTACTCAGGAGGCTGAGGCAGGACAGTCGCTTGAATCCAGGAGGCGGAGGTTGCAGTGAGCCAAGATCACACCACTGCACTCCAGCCTGGGCAACAGAGTGAGACTCTGTCTTTAAATAAATAAATAAATAAATAGCGAGGGTTCAGGGCAGGAGAAAAAGGGTTCCAAATTTGTTCTGAACCAATTCCAAGGAACTTTATGGCACAAAGAAAAAAAAGGGGAACTTACAAAAAGTGACCACACTGAAGCGTCCTGGTCACCCATCCCTGGTTTTGACCACCAGCCTTTAAAGTGGCAAGCGGGTGATAACCCATTTCTTATTTCCCCCTCAGCATTTCCTCACTGTTATTCATACATGTGGTCATTTGTACTCATCTCACAATTGTTAAAACCTCTTTCCTCCCTTCCAGGTTTTACTGAACTGTTACTGCGAAGTCTGAGAGATGAGGTCATTTAAGATTATTTCTTATTTGTAAATTAGATCGTTCATATTTGTACCTAATCTGATCTTTTGGGTAATATTCCTAGTTATGTAGACTGGTCTCTCAGAAGAGCCGGATATTAAATGCAGTACTTTAAACTTTACACCCAGGAGACCGGATGGGTGAGGCTGGTTCACTCGGCCAAAGTACCATTTTATCTCTGCTTTTTCTTCCCGGCTTTATTGCCATAATTGACATACAATAAACTGCATGTATTTAAAGTGTACAATCTGTTGGGTGTACACACACACGCATCTGTGAAACCATCATCACACTCAAAATAGTGATGTAGAAATTTTGCTCCTTAGTTCGACTAAATCTGGGTTCTTGTGTCATGACCAGGAAAAATTAGGCACGTGGACACGTTGAAGGGTGAGGAGAGCAGTATTGGGCGAAAAGGAAAAAAGAAAAAAACTCTCAGCAAAGCTAGAGGGGATCCTGCCAATGAGTTCCCAGCTCACAGACTGATTAGCAGGCCACCACACATGAGCTGGAGGCCAGGCTCCTCCCGCTGCGCAAGGTGAGAACTTCCCGTGGCTCCACCCCATTCTCCCAATGCCCAGGTGGGTCCCCGTCCCTTGCGGGCCTGTCCAGACAAGGGAACCCTGGGCAGGTTCCCTCATCTACACAAAAGCACCTGAGGTAAACACTTGTGGGGCAGGTTGCAGATTCTCTGGGGACGCCCCCCTTCTCTGCCTCCTGCATCTATCAGTAGTGCCTCTGTCTGTCACCCCTAAAGTTTACTTGTGCTGTTTCTAATTCCTCTTTCCCCAGCCCCGTGCCTCCCTGCCTCCCTCCCCCAGTAAACCATGAATCCACTTTCTATCATTCTAGGTTGCTTTATATTTCCTAGAATTTTATATAAATGGAATCATACAGCACGTACTCTTTCTAGGCTGGCTTCTTTCACTCTGCAGAATGGCTGTGAGACTCATCTGCATTGCAGCAAGCATCAATAGTTCATTCTTCATCCATCATGTGGACATAGCACAGTTTGCTGATTCACGCACCTGTTGATGAGCATTTAGGTTGTTTCTAGCTTATGGCTATTACAAATAAAGCTGCTATGAACATTCACGTACAAGTCTCTGTACAACCCTCTGCTTTCATTTCTTTTGAATAAATACCTAGGAGTATGACGGCTGGAACAGATGGCAGGTGTTTGTGTAACTTTTTAAGAAACTGCCAAAATCTTTTCCAGCATTTCAGAAAAATCTTAGAAAATGCTATACTATGTTATATTCCCACTGGCAGTATATGGGGGAGTTCCAGTTCCTCCATACCCTCATCAACATGAGGCATGATCAGTCTTTTTAATTTTAACCATGTCAGTAGGTGTGTGATGGTCTCTCACTGTGGTGATTTTTATTTGCACTTCCCTGGTGATTTTGAGCATCTTTTCGTATGCTTATTTGCCATATATCTTCTTTGGTGATATTTCTGTTCAAAGCCTTTGCTCATTTTTTAATTGAGTTGCTTTTCTACTATTCACTATTGAACACTATTTATATATTTTGAATACAAATACTTTATCAGACATGTGATCTACAAATATTTTCCCCAGTGTGTGGTTTGTCTTTCTTTTCTTTCTACTGATAGTATCTTAAAAAAAAAAAAGAAAAAAGATTGTTTTGTTTGTTTTGTTTTGTTTTTGAGATAGGGTCTCAATCTATTGCCCAGGCTAGAGTGCAGTGGTGCGATCATGGCTTACTGCAGCCTTGACCTCTTGGGCTCAGGAAACCCTCCGACCTCAGCCTCCCAAGTAGCTGGGACCACAGGTGTGTACCACCATGCTTGGCTAATTTTTTTTTTTTAGATACAGAGACTCGTTATGTTGCCAGGGGTGGTCTTGAACTCCTGGACTCAAGCGACCCTCCCACTTCGGCCTCCCAAAGTGCTGGGATTACAGGTGTGAGCCATCATGCCCGACCAGTTCTTAATTTTGATGAAGTCCAATTTATCAATGTCCTTTTTTTATGGATACTTCATTTATTTATTTATTTGAGAGAGGGTCTCACCCTGAGCCCAGGCTGGAGTTCAGTGGCATGATCTCAGCTCACTGCAGCCTCAACCTCCCAGGCCCAGGTAATCCTCCTACTTCAGCCTCCCAAGTAGCTGAGACTACAGGTACCTGCCACCATGCCCGGGTAAGTTTTTTGTATTTATTTGTAGAGACGGGGTTTCGCCATGTTGCCCAGGTTGGTCTCAAACTCCTGGGCTCAAGTGATCTGCCCATCTCAGCCTCCCAAAGTGTTGGGATTACAGGCGTGAGCCACCATGCCCAGCCATATATATATATATATATATATATATATATATATATTTTTTTTTTTTTTTTTTTTTTTTTTTTTTGAGACAGAGTCTCACTCTGTTGCCCAGGCTGGAGTGCAGTGGTGCAATCTTAGCTCACTGCAACCTCCTTCTCTGAGGTTCAAGTAATTCTCATGCCTCAGCCTCTTTAGTAGCTGGGATTACAGGCATGTGCTACCAGGCCCGGCTAATTACCAGCCTTATATTTTTGAACTCTGTTTAAAACATTTAGGTGCATAAACATTCAGGCTTGTTATATTCTGTTGATGAACTGAACCTTTTATTATTATGAAATTGCTGTTGTAATCCGTGGTAAAATTATTTGTTCTGAACACTACTTTGTCTGTTATTGATGTAGCCACTGCAGCTTTCTTTTGATTGGTGTTAACATGGTATATCTTTTCCCATTCTTTTTCTTTTAACTGGTTTGTGTCTTTATACTATGGTTTGATTTAAATCTATTATCTCACAATTTGTTCTCTTTGGTACATCTTTGTTTTGTTCCCTTTTCCTCTTTTTATGCCTTCTGTTGAATTAATTGAGTCTTTTTTGTTTTGTTTCATTTAATTTTGTTTTTTGAGACGGAGTCTCTCTCTGTCTCCAGGCTGGAGTGCAATGGCGCTATCTCGGCTCACTGCAACCTCTGCCTCCTGGGTTCAAGCAATTCTCCTGCCTCATCCTCCTGAGTAGCTAGGATCAGAGGCATGCACCACCACGCCCGGCTAATTTGTGTGTGTGTGTGTGTGTGTATTTTTACTAGAGACGGGTTTCACTATGTTGGTCAGGCTGGTCTCAAACTCGTGACCTTGTGATCTGCCTGCCTTGGCCTCCCAAAATGCTGGGATTATAGGCGTGAGCCACCGCACCCAGCCTAATTGAGTCATTTTTAAGATTCCACTTTATCTCCTTTGTTGGCTTATTATTTATAACACCTTCTGGTGTTATTTTAGTAGTTGCTTTAGGGTTTATAGTGTATCTCTCTAATGTCTCCCAGTCTACCTTCCAGTGGTATCATTCTATCTTACAGATATTATAAGAACTTTATGACAGTATACTTTCATTTTTCCCTTCATGCATTTGTGGTAATGTTTCACATAATTTTATTTATTTACCTACATTATAAATATTACAATATGTTATTGTTTTACATAGACAGCCGGTTATCTTTTTAAGATAGTAGTAAGAAAAATTTTTTACATTTACCCACATAATTACCTTTTCTAGTGCTATATACCTTTGTATAAATCCAGATTTCCATCTGCTATCATTTTCCTTCTGCCTGAAAGACTTCCTGTGATATTATCTATAATATGGCTCTACTGGTAACGAATTACTAGCTTTTGTATGTCTGAAAAAGTCTTCATATAACCTTCATTCTAGAAAGTATGTGATTCAAAGGGCCGGGCACAGTGGTTCACGCCTGTAATCCGAGCACTTTGGGAGGCCGAGGCGGGTGGATCACCTGAGGTCAGGAGTTCAAGACCAGCCTGACCAATAAGGTGAAACCCTGTCTTTACTAAAAATACAAAAATTAGCTGGGCATGGTGGCTCATGCCTATAGTCCCTGCTACTTGGGAGGCTGAGACAGGAGAATTGCTTGAACCCAGGAGGCAGAGGTTGCAGTGAGCCAAGATCACGCCACTGCACACCAGCCTGGGTGACAGAGCAAGACTCCATCCCCCTGCAAAAAAAAAGAAAAAGAAAAAGAAAAAAGTATGTGATTCTACATTGGCAATTTTTTTTTTTTTTTTTTTTTTGAGACAGAGTCTCGCTCTATCACCCAGGCTGGAGGGCGGTGGTGCCATCTTGGCTCACTGCACGCTCCGCCTCCCAGGTTCACACCATTCTCCTGCCCCAGCCTCCCAAGTAGCTGAGATTACAGGCACCCACCACCACACCCGGCTAATTTTTTTGTATTTTTTAGTAGAGATGGGGTTTCACCATGTTAGCCAGGATGGTCTCAATCTCCTGACCTCATGATCCGCCCACCTCGGCCTCCCAAAGTGCTGGGATTACAGGCATGAGCCACCGAGCCTGGCCACTTTTTTTCTTTAAATGCTTTTAAGATGTTCCTACTATCTTCTTGTTTTTAATTAATTAATTTATTATTATTATTATTATTATTATTATTATTATTTTTTTTTTTTTTTTTTTTTTTAGAGACAGGGTCTTGCGCTGATGCCGAGGCTGGAGTGTGCTAGTGCCATCGTAGCTCACTGCAGTCTCAAACACCTGGTCTCAAGCAATCGTCCTGCCTCAGCCTCCTGAGGAACTAGGACTAGAGGTATATACTACCATGCCCAGCCAATTTTAAAAATTTTTTGTAGAGGTGGAGACTCGCTATGTTGACCAGGCTCCTCTCGAACTCCTGGCCTCAAGCAATCCTCCTACCTCTGCCTCCCGAAGTGTTGGGATTACAGGGATTACAAGTGTGAGCCACTGTGCCAGTCCCCACTGTCTTCTGGCTTGCATCGTTTCTAAAAGAAACTTGGTGTCATCCTTATTTTTGTTTCTCTACATGTTATATGTCCTCTTTATCTGGTTGCTTTAACTTTATTTATTAATTTTAGTTTAATTTTTAATTGACAAATAATAATTGTATTTTTATGGGGCACAATGTGATGTTTTGGTCTATGTTTACATTGTGGAATGTGTAAATCAAGCTAGTGAACATATCCACCACCTCACACACTTACCATTTTTTGTGTGTGGTGAGAACATGTAAAGGCTGCTCCTTGAGGCCAGGCCCAATCCCAGCACTTTGGGAGGCCGAGGCGAGTGGATCACTTGAGGTCAGGAGTTCAAGACTAGCCTGGCCAACATGGTGAAACCCCGTCCCTACTAAAAACACAAAAATCAGCCAGGCGCGGTGGTACACGCCTATAGTCCTAGCTACTTGGGAGGCTGAGGCAGGAGAATCACTTGAACCCAAGAGGCAGAGGCTGCAGTGAGCCAAGATCATGCTACTGCACTCCAGCCTGGGCAACAGAGCAAGACTCCATCTCAAAAAAAAAAAAAAAAAGTCTATTCCTTGAGCAATTTTGAAATACACAATACATCATTGTTAATTATGGTCACCATAGTGGGTAGTAGATCACTAAATCTTATTCTTCCTGTCTAACTAAAACTTTTTTCCTTTTGACCAACATCTCCCCATTCCCTCCCTCAACCTCAGCCCCTGATAACCACCATTCCACTCTCTACTGCTATGAGTTTGACCTTTTTAGATTTCACATATGAGATCACATGGTATTTGTCTTTCTGTGCCTGGCTTCTTTTACTTAGCATAATACCTTCCAGATTTACCCATGTTGTTGCAAATGGAATTTCCTTCTTTTTTAAGGCTGAATAGTATTCGTGTGTGTGTGTGTGTGCGTGTGTGTGTGTGTGTGTATCACATTTTCTTTATCTCTTCGTTCATTAATGATCATTTAGGATGATTCCACATCAGGCTACTGTGTATAGTGCTGCAGTAAACATGGAAGTGTAGACATCTCTTCAGCATACTGCTTCCAATCTCTTTGGATATAAACCCAGAAGTGGGATTGCTGGATCATATGTAGTGCTATTTTTGTTTTTTTGAGGAACCTCCATACTTATTTTGCATAATGCTATTCTAATTCACAATACTACCAACAGTGGACATGGGTTCTTTTTTCTCTACATGCTTGCCAACCACTTGTTATCTTTTATCTTTTTATATATCTGGCTGCTTCTAAATTTTTTTCTTTCTTACCAATTCTGAACCATTTGATGGTTTCTTCCTTTATGCTCCTTGTGCTTGAGGTTCATTGAGCATCTGGGATCAGTGCACTTATTGTTTTCATCAAATTCAGAAGATTAGGCCATTATTTCTTCAAACTTTTTTGTCGTTCTCTGTCTACCTTTGAGAGCTCCAATTATACATACATTAGGCCACTTGAAGTTGTCATTACAGTTCACTAATGCTAAGTTCTTTTTTTAAGTCTTGTTTCTGTGTTTCATTTTGGACACTTTCTATTGCTACATCTTCAAATTTACTA